>NC_000012.12:56210128-57460128 GCF_000001405.40 Homo sapiens
GAAAAGCAGCAAGAAAGTAAGATCTTAGAGCAGGAAGCCAAGGAGGCTAAGAATACTCCTTGCCAACATGCCAAAGAGACCTCCTCAGCTAGTGAGGAGGGCAGCCAGAGACAGGGGCATAAATGAGATGGCCCTTATCCATGTGGGGCAGAAGGGAACAAATCTCACCCACAGCCCTGTTCACAGGTCACAGGCCGCTTCGGGTTGTGCTCACAGTCGCTGAGGTGAGACATGAGGTTGTCAAGCCGGACAACGGCACTACAGCCGAACACAGCGTTGTCACAGGCAATCTGCAGCTTTGACAACATGTTCCGCATGATCCGAGGTACTGGGCGCAGATGGGCGACCGTCACAACACTACGGTCCACTGGACATGTCTGTTGCTGAGAGAACCACTGGGTGATGCAGGCGTTGCAGAAAGCATGTTCACAATGAGGTGCCTAGAAGAGAGAACAAGGCAAAAGGGGCGCAAGGGAATTAGCAGGACCTAAGAGCCTGGATATGATATAACTCTACAAAGCCAATCAAGCCTTTGAGCAGCCTCTACGACAAGAGGTCCACTGGGTCACAGCAAAGTATAGATCTACTACGGGCAAGGCATTGTAGGGGACAGGCTTAAGATACGTTTCCTGCTGGGCACGGTGGCTCATGCCTGTAATCCCAGCACTTTGGGAGGCTAAGGCAGGCACACTGCTTGACCTCAGGAGTTTGAGACCATCCCAGACAACATGACAAAACCCCATCTCTACAAAAATTACAAAAATTAGCCGGGCATAGGCCGGGCGCAGTGGCTCACGCCTGTAATCTCAGCACTTTGGGAGGCCGAGGCAGGCGGATCATGAGGTCAGGAGTTCAAGACCAGCCTGACCGACATGGTGAAACCCTGTCTCTACTAAAAATAAAAAAATTAGCCAGGGGTGGTGGCGCATGCCTGTAATCACAGCTACTCAGGAGGCTAAGGCAGGAGAATAGCTTGAACCCAGGAGGTGGAGGTTGCAGTGAGCCAAGATCACACCACTGCACTCTAGCCTGGGCAATACATCTCGAAAAAAAAAAGCTGGGCCTGGTGGCACGTGCCTATAGTCCCAGCTAGCCAGGAGGCTGAGGTGGGAGGATGGAGGATGGCTTGAGCCCATAAGGCGGAGGTTGCAGTGAACCAAGACTGCACCACTGCACTCCAGCCTGGGTGACAGAGCCAGAACCTGTTTCAAAATAAATAAATAAATATATATATATATATTCCCTGTGCTCAAGATTAAAAATGAGTTGTGAAACAAGACAAACAAGTAAAAAGTTATATAACAATAAGAGATACAAATGATATTCTAGGACAATAGGACAGATGACACAAGGCAGCCAATTATTAATTGCCATCTGGATTGCATACACAATAATTGCCAAAAATGTCCAGAGGAGGGTGAGGTCTTTTCAGGCTAGCTCAATCACGGCAGGTATTTATGAAGAGGACAGAATTTGATATGGGTCTTGAAGGATAATTCAGATGATAGATTTAGAGAGGAGGAGGACATATTTACTGGCAAAAATTCAATGTAAGAAAGCTAGGCCAGGCATGGTGGATGGCGCCTGTAATCCCAGCACTTTGGGAGGCTGAGGTGGGCGGATAATGAGGTCAGGAGATTGAGACCATCCTGGCTAACATAGCGAAACCCTGTCTCTACTAAAAATACAAAAAATTAGCCGGGCGTGGTGGCGGGTGCCTGTAGTCTCAGCTATTTAGGAGGCTGAGGCAGAAGAATGGCGTGAACCTGGGAGGCAGAGCTTGCAGTGAGCCAAGATCATGCCACTGCACTCCAGCCTAGGCTAAAGTGTGAGACTCCATCTCAAAAAAACAAAACAAAACAAAGCTAAATAAGGCCGGGCATGGTGGCTCATGCCTGTAATCCCAGCACTTTGGGAGGCCAAGGCAGGCAGATCACTTGAGATCAGTTCAAGACCAGACTGGCCAACATGGTGAAACACAGATATATTCATATATACATATGTATACACAAATACATATATATGCAGACATCTATTCATATTTGCTTATATCTGCCTTAAGACACACTGGAAGGATACCAAATAAACTAATAAAAATAGTTATCTGTGGGGGAATTAGGTGCACAGTAATAAAGACAGAAGTGAGAATTCTCACTGTATACCTTTTGATTTCTGAACTATGTTCATTTTTCACCTATTCAAAAAATAAATAATTATGATGTGGGGAAATCAGCATCCCTAGCAGGAGCCTTCTAACCTTAGAAATGTGTCTGGGAACCTGGCATCATGAGGGTTGCCTGCTCTGCTCCTCAGAAGATAAAGCCTGGAGGTAGATGGGTGGCTTCTGACTAGACTGTCACCAACTACGACTCACCTTTCCATAAGTGACTTGCCTAAAATGATAGTGCCAGAAAACAGACAAGGCCCTGCCAGGGTGAGGAGGGAACCTGACACACCCTGTGACCTCTTGACACTACTACTTGATGACTTGCTCCACACCCATCTAATATGCCTCTAATGGCAGCAGACTGCAAAGGCCTAGAAAGAAGACAGGTCCAGAGTTGGTTGCCATTGGAATGCAGTCTGAATTTTATTCAGCTCAAGGCATCAGTACTCCTTTTGGAGTAGTACTGGGAGAAAAAATAAAGGCTCAAGGGGAGCCCCTGGGAGTTAGGTGAGCAGTGAATGGGGGAAGGGCCATGAAACCTCATTGCCTAGTGTCCTGGTTTGGAAAATGTGATAATCTCTAGATAGCCAGGAAAGAGAAAGGATTAATTGGTATTTACAGAATGAGGGCAATAAGGATCCTGGAGGATGCTGTCCCATGAATACAACTCTTAAGGATTCACCTCACTCATTGTACTTGCCTGGTAATCGTGAGCTTCTCCTCATACTTGCCCCAGGATGATACAACTGACTCTGGTCTGGCAAGGCTGGCAGAGAAATGACCTATTGAAGGTGGCAGCTTTCACATCAAAATGCAGAGTGCATGGCTGTATCAAAAGCTGGTCTTTTCAGTAGATCCCAGGAAAAAAATAGGTCAGTACATACAGTTCCCCACTTCCTATTTGTTTTTGTTTTTTTTTTTTTGAGATGGAGTCTCACTCTGTCACCCAGGCTGGAGTGCAGTGGCACAATCTCGGCTCACTGCAACCTCCTACTCCCGGGTTCAAGCAATTCTCCTGTCTAGCCTCCTGAGTAGCTGGGACTACAGGTGTGTGCCACCACGCCCAGCTAATTTTTGTATTTTTAGTAGAGACGGGGTTTCACCATGTTGGCCAGGATGGCTCTTGAACTCGTGATCCACCCACCTTGGCCTCCCAAAGTGCTGGGATTACAGGTGTGAGCCACTGTGCCCAGCCTTCCTATTTGTTAGACAGTAGGCAGGTAGAAGAGGCCTGCAGGGAGCCTGGCTGATTACCTGAAGCACTACATCATAAAAATGCAGAGAGAACTTATTAGGAGAGTCCAGAAGTTCAATCACGGACAGGAAGATGGAACCTAGTAAGAGTTCCTGTAGAGGAAAGGAAGCTACCCAGCTACTATCACAAGACAGAAACAAGCAGCTGACTGTTTTACAGGAGAAATCTTTCAGAGTGACCTCAGAAAAAAATCTGAACCACTGGATCTCTGTGGCATCCACCTCTAGATTGATTCTGGAAGGCCTTATTCTTGTAGTCACCATTACTCCTTTGACCTAAATCTCTATTGGGTGAGGGTGGAGAGAAGAACACAGTGACTTCACCATGGGTCCCGCTGCCCATGAATATTTTCTACTAGTTCCACTGCTACCTGTTGCCCCACCAAACCTGCCATCAGACCAACTCACCTGTACTGGCTCCTCCAAGACTCCACTGCAAATAGGGCAGATAAGATCTTCGTCAACATCCCCCTGGAAACGGGTTACATCATACCCCATGTCTCATCACTGAAACCCAGGTCCTGAAAGGACAACAGGAAAAAGAGGCCAGTTCAGAAGAAGCCTACAAATATGTGACAAACATACACTCATTGCCAAGATCCATTCATTTATCCAACAAATATTTACTGGGAGTCTACTATGCAGCAGTCATTTGGCTCGGTGGAAGCTGACTCAAGAAATTTAATTCTGGCCAGGTGCAGTGGATCACGCCTGTAATCCCAACACTTTGGGAGGCCGAGGCAGGCGGATCACCTGAGGTCAGGAGTTCAAGACCAGCCTGGCCAACATGGTGAAACCCTGTCTCTACTAAAAATACAAAAATTAGCTGGGTGTGGTATGCGCATCTGTAATCCCAGCTACTCGGGAGGCTGAGGCAGGAGAAGCATTTGAACCCAGGAGGCAGAGGTTGCAGTGAGCCGAGATCGCGCCACTGCACTCCAGCCTGGGGAACACAGCGAGCCTCAGTCTCTAAAAAAAAAAAAAAAATTAATTCTAAGGCCTGGCACAGTGGCTCACGCCTGTAATCCCAGCACTTTGGGAGGCCGGGACAGGCAGATGAGCTGAGGTCAGGAGTTCAAGACCAGCCTGGCCAACATGATGAAAACCCAGCTCTACTAAAAATACAAAAATTAGCTGGGCGTGGTGATGCACATCTGTAATCCCAGCTACTTGGAAGGCTGAGGCACAAGAATCACTTGAACCCAGGAGGCAGAGGCTGCAGTGAGCCGAGATTGCACCACAGCTCTCTAGCCTAGGCAACAGAGTAAGACTCTGCCTTAAAAAAAAAAGAAAAAAAGAAATGTAATTCTAATGGGGGAAGACATTATATAAGCACACATTTAAAATATAAAGTGATAAATACTCAGAGTAGAGACAGGACCTTATGAGGACAAGAGACATGAATACCTAACCCAGGCTGAAAGCAGAGGGTGGTTTTGACAAGTTTTCCAGGACTGGGCGTCACCAGAAACGTGTCCTGTAGGGCAAGAGTCAGCTAAATGTTGGGGGAGCAGGGCATTAGGGTGTTATGCACATAAAATAGCACATCCAAATGCCCAGAAGAGGGCATATGATAGGTTCAGAGAATTTCAAGTGATTCAAGAAAAGGCTGACCTGAGAGGTGGGAGGGAGGGCCTGTCAAGAGACAAGGCTGGAGAGGCAAGCAAGGGCCATGCTGTGAAAAGTCTGTGAGGATTTTGGACTTTATTCTGAAGGGTATGAGAGAGCCACTGAAGGACTTAAAAAACAATGTGATAATAGTTCCATTTTAGAATCAGTATGTTAACAGGGGAGAAACTGGAGACCGGAAGAACATCTAAGTCAGGAGAGTGACGGTAAGAGTCTGAACTTAGGTGGTGGTGGTGATGGGGATAAAGAAGAGAAGAGAGGGCCGGGCATGGTGGCTCATGCCTGTAATCCCAGCACTTTGGGAGGCTGAGGCAGACGGATCATGAGGTCAAGAGATCAACACCATCCTGGCCAACATGGCGAAACCCCGTCTCTACTAAAAATACAAAAATTAGCCAGGCGTGGTGGTGCGCACCTGTAGTCCCAGCTACTCGGGAGGCTGAGGCAGGAGAATCGCTTGAACCCAGGAGGCGGAGGTTGCAGTGAGCCGAGATTGCACCACTGTATTCTAGCCCAGTGACAGAGCACGACTCTGTCTCAAAAAAAAAAAAAAAAAAAAAGAGAGGTCCAAAAGAGCAAGGACTCAAACAGCGGCAATGGCGCCATGCCCCTTCTTTGGGCTCCCAAAGGTCAAACCCAAAGAAGAGGTCAGTAAACAACTGGCTGGGCGCAGTGGCTCACGCCTGTAATCCTAGCACTTTGGGAGGCCGAGGTGGGTGGATCACCTGAGGTCAGGAGTTCAAGACCAGCCTGGCCAACATGGTGAAACCCCATCTCTACTAAAAATACAAAAATTAGCTGGGCATGGTGGTGGGCACCTGTAATCCTAGCTACTTGGGAGGGTGAGGCAGGAGAACTGCTTGAACCCAGGAGGTGAAGGTTGCAGTGAGCTGAGATCATGCCACTGCACTCCAGCCTAGGCGACAGAGCAAGACTCTGTCTCAAAAAAAAAAAAGAAGAAACACATAATCCTTGTCCTCAAACTAAGGTGTAGGCTTGAGCCCAATGAGTACATAGGAAAAAAAACACATAAAAACACATAAACGTATTAAGCAAATTATTAACAAGTAAAAGTCAATAATTTATGTAAGTTGTAAATATACAAAAAAGAACAAATGGTACAGATTAATCACAGAAAGCTTTCTGCAGAAAGAAGTTTTAAGAACTGGACTTTCAAGGGCAGAAGGAATCCCGAGCGACAGAGAAGAGGGTTGAGGCCTGGAATGGGATTCTGAATCAAAGCTCTTTACCTTCCAAGTGTTGGGGGGCAGGTTCCCTGTTCACAAGGCTCCAACCCCCTGATGCCTCCACTCAGTGCCACTGAAGAGATTCTCCCAGTAACCCATCTTGTTGGCTATTCTCCGACTGAGTATTCCTTCCCAGTGACAAGCTCCATCGCCCAGGGGATGAATGTGATGTCACAATCAGGAGTACTCTAGTAATAGGAACAAGGAAGAGAAAGGAGAGTCAGGAGAACTACCTCCACTTGGCAAGGAGACTGGACAGATGGATCTGGCAGTTGGTTGGGGAGGATGAGACAACTCCATTAAGCACTACAGTTTTCAGTGCTAGGCAAATAAGACTACCTTCTAAGGAGGGAGCTCACCAGCTAAGGAAGCACACACACGGGGTCCAGTAGATTTGAACATAGCTGGGAGGGGGAAAGAAAAGGACAAGAGAGGCCGGGCGTGGTGGCTCACGCCTGTAATCCCAGCTCTTAGGGAGGCCAAGGCGGGTGGATCACGAGGTCAGGAGATCAAGACCGTCCTGGCTAACACGGTGAAACCCCGTCTCTACTAAAAATACAAAAAATTAGCTGGGCGAGGTGGCAGGCGCCTGTAGTCCCAGCTACTCGGGAGGCTGAGGCAGGAGAATGGCGTGAACCTAGGAGCTGCAGCTTGCAGTGAGCCGAGACCGCGCCACCGCACTCCAGCCTGGGCGACACAGCAAGACTCCGTCTTAAAAAAAAAAAAAAAAAAGACAAGAGGAAAAGTAGAGGAGTTGTTGGAGATTTAAGATTCTTTTATTCAGTGCACATAACTACCAGTAATAATGATTCCAAATCTGTGACTACAAAATGCATAGATCCAGGTTGCGATGGCTCACGCCTGTGATCCCAGCACTTTGGGAGGCCGAGGCGGGTGGATCACCTGAGGTCAGGAGTCGGAGATGAGCCTGGCCAACATGGCGAAACCCCATCTCTACTAAAAATATAAAAATTAGCCGGGTATGGTGGCAGATGCCTGTAATCCCAGCTACTCAGGAGGCTGAGGCAGGGAGAATTGCTTGAACCCAGGAGGCGGAGGTTGCAGTGAGCCAAG
This sequence comes from Homo sapiens, assembly GCF_000001405.40. NCBI lineage: Eukaryota > Metazoa > Chordata > Mammalia > Primates > Hominidae > Homo > Homo sapiens. The sequence goes on from NC_000012.12 coordinate 56,217,500, forward strand.
ATCGCGCCACTGCACTCCAGCCTAGGCGACAGAGCAAGACTCTGACTCAAAAAAAAAGCAAAATGCATAGATCCATAATACATTATGTGTACAGGATGATGCTTTAATGCAGAGGTCCCCAAATCCCCAGATGGACCAGTACCAGACTGTGGCCTATCAGGAACCGGGTCGTACAGCAGGAGGTGAGCAGGAAACAAGCGAGCATTAAGGCCTGTGCTCCATGTCCTGTCAGATCAGCAGCGGCATTTGATTCTCATTGGAGCATGAACCCTATTGTGAACTGCCCATGCGAGGGATCTAGGTTGCCCACTCCCTATGAGAATCTAATGCCTGATGATCTGAGGTGGTAGAGTTCCATCACAAAACCATCCCCTCGCCCACCATCTGTGGAAAAACTATCTTCCACAAAAAGGCTGGGGATGCTGCTTTAATGTTTCCAAAGTGCTTTCACATAAATTATTATTATTATTTCGAGATAGAGTCTCGCTCTGTCACCTAGGCTAGAGTGCAATGGCGCGATCTTGGCTCACTGAAGCCTTGGCCTCCCGAGTTCAAGTGATTCTCCTACCTCAGCCTCCAGAGTAGCTAGGATTACAGGCACCCACCACCATGCCCGGCTAATTTTTGTATTTTTAGTAGAGACGGGGTTTCACCATGTTGGCCAGGCTGGTCTCGAACTCCTGACCTCAGGTGATCCACCCGCCTCAGCCTCCCAAAATGCTGGGATTACAAGTGTGAGCCACCGCGCCTGGCCCACATAAATTATTATTATTTTTTTGAGATAGGGTCTTGCTCTATTGCCCAGGCTGGAGTACAGTGGCATGATCATAGCTCACTACAGCCTCGCCTTCCCAGCAGGCTCCAGCAATCCTCCCACCTCAGTCTCCCAAATAGCTGGGACCACAGGCACACACCACCATGCCTGGCTAATTTTTGTATTTTTGGTAGAGATGGGGTTTTGCCATGTTGCCCAGGCTGGTCTTGAACTCCTGGGCAGGCTCCAGCAATCCTCCCACCTCAGCCTCCCGAAGTGCTGGGATTACAGGCACCAGCCACTGCGCCCACCCCCAAATCTACACATTTAAACAAGTCAAGTAACCCTGCTGTAGTTTTTCTGTTGCTTCAACTGTCAAGTAGGGAAAATGATACCTGCCTTATATATTAATATAAGGTATATATAATATATACATATTTATTATATATATATATGTTATTTTTTTTTTGAGACAAAGTGTTGCTCTGTCGCCAGGCTGGAGTACAGTGGCACGATCTTGGCTCACTGCAACCTCTGCCTCCCGGGTTCAAGCGATTCTCCTGCCTCATCCTCCCAAGTAGCTGGGACTACAGGCATGTGCCACCATGCTGAGCTAATTTTTGTATTTTTAGTAGAGACGGGGTTTCACCATGTTGGCCAGGATGGTCTCAATCTCCTGACCTTGTGATCCGCCCGCCTCGGCCTCCCAAAGTGCTGGGATTATAGGCGTGAGCCACCATGCTTGGCCTATTTTTCTTTTTTTTTTTGAGATGGAGTCTTCCTCTGTCGCTCAGGATGGAGTGCAGTGATGCAATCTCCTCAGCTCACTCCAACCTCCACTTCCCAGGTTCAAACAATTCTCCTGCCTCAGCCTCCTGAGTAGCTGGGATCACAGGCATGTGTCACCATGCCAGGCTAATTTTTATTTTATTTATTTATTTATTTATTTTTTTTTTGAGACGGAGTCTGGCTCTGTCACCCAGGCTGGAGTGCAGTGATGCGATCTCGGCTCACTACAAGTTCCGCCTCCCAGGTTCACACCATTCTCCTGCCCCAGCCTCCCAAGTAGCTGGGACTACAGGCGCCCGCCAGGACGCCCAGCTAATTTTTTTTTTTTATTTTTAGTAGAGACAGGGTTTCACCACGTTAGCCAGGATGATCTTGATCTCCTGACCTCGTGATCTGCCTGCCTCGGCCTCCCAAAGTGCTGGGATTACAGGCGTGAGCCACCGCGCCCAGCCAATTTTTATATTTTAGTAGAGACAGGGTTTCAACATGTTGGCCAGGCTGGTCTCAAACTGGCCTCATATGATCCACCACCTTTGGCCTCCCAAAGTGCTGGGATTACAGGCGTGAGCCACTGCGCCCGGCGTAATATAAGGTGTATATATGTGTGTGTGTGTATATATGTGTATATACACGCGCGCACCCCTTATACATACTGTCTGCAAATCAAATGAAATAATAAATACGAAAGGAGGCTGGACGCAGTGGCTCACACCCGTAATCCCAGCACTTTGGGAGGCCGAAGTGAGTGGATCACCTGAGTCCAAGAGTTTGAGACCAGCCTGGGCAACATAGTGAAACCTTGTCTCTACAAAAAATACAAAAATTAGCCGGGCATGATGGCGTGAGTGCCTGTAGTCCCGGCTACTGAGGAGGCTGAAGGGGGAAGGTCAACTGAGCCGAGGAGGCAGAGGTTGCAGTGAGCAGAGATCGCAGCACCGCACTCCGGCCTGGGTGACAGAGTGAGACCCTGTCTCAAAAATAAATAAATAAATAAATAAATAAATAAATAAATAAATATGAAAGGATACTGAATACTGTTATCCTCAAGTAAGATTATTTGTAGCAACAGAATACAAAATAAGGCTGGGTGCAGTGGCTCATGCCTGTAATCCTAGCACTTTGGGAAGCCGAGATGGACCAATCACCTGAGGTCAGGGTTTTGTTTTGTTTTTTTTGGCGGGGGGTGTGGGGAGACAGAGTCTCACTCTGTTGCCCAGGTTGGAGTTCAGTGGTGGAATCTCAGCTCACTGCAACCTCTGCCTCCTGGGTTCAAGCAATTCTCCTGCCTCAGCTTCCCAAGTAGCTGGGACTACAGGTGCATGCAGCCATGCCCCGGCTAATTTTTTATATTTTTAGTAGAGACGGGGTTTCACTGTGTTGCCCAGGCTGGTCTCGAACTTTTGAGCTCAGGCAATCCGCCCGCCTCGTCCTCCCAAAGTGCTAGGATTACAGGCGTGAGCCACCGCGCCCGGCTACAGTCAGAGGTTTGAGACCAGCCTGGCCAACATGGTGAAACCCCATCTCAACTAAAAATACAAAAAATTAGCCAGGCATGGTGGCAGGTACCTGTAATCCCAGCTATTCAAGAGGCTGAGGCAGGAGAATCGCTTGAACCCAGAAAGAGGTGGCACTGAGCCGAGATTGTGCCACTGCACTCCAGCGTGGGTGACAGAGTGAGACTCCGTTTCAAAAAAAAAAAAAAACAAGAATGCAAAATAAATTTAGAGTACTGAGAGTCGGAGAGGAAATGCTTGACAAAAGCTTGTTCCTTCTTTTTACTAGAAGGCAGGGCTAGCCACAGGTCGGTCGGCTTAACATTGCATCACTCACATTCCCTACCACTAGTCCACTACATTCTTATTTGGGGCAAAACTATCAGCCAACAACACTATCAGTCTCTTGCCCTATTGTCAGACTCTAAAACCCCTGTATAGAAAGGGATAACACTATCACGGGCCAGTCCCCAAGAACAGTGGCCTCAATAACAGCCCCACTTGCTATTAAATGAAATGAAGTTTCTGAACGGGGAAGCAGTCTGTCAATCCCTCAAGCAAAACGCCTTCACCCCTCCTGGCTTTCTGCTCTTCCTCTAGCCCCCTCCTCCCCACTACCCAATTTCCCAAAGTCCTGAGTTAGGGAAGGCCTTCCAGTGTGTGGTGTGTGAACCCTGCCAGAGAGCCAGGCTGCAAACCAAGCGCAGGGATGTGAAGAATGTGAGATTCCTTCATGGAGGGCTGGGAGGGGGTGAGGAGCGGGGAAGGAATGAGAGGACAAGGCTGCCAACGACAAGGCATGGGAGAGGAGCCAAGCTATGGCGCTTCGAGGGCGGGGGTTTAGGTTCCACCGCCCCTGCCCAGGCTGGCCCCCGGAATGCTCCCTTCCTCCCCTTCTGGCCCGTCAATCATTGCCCATTTAAACACCACGCTGTTCCCCCAGTTCTGCAGGTGCCGGTCCTCCAGCTAGCCCCGGCCCCCTCCCGCACTTCTCAAAGCTCCCCTATTCCAATGGACCTTCCCCAACAACCCGTTCTCCAGAGCCCCCTTCTCACCTCCCGACTCCTCGCCAGTGCTGCTCCCTTCTCACATTTTTATCTCTACCACCATCCCTCCTCCTGAACCCCAGTTATTTCAACCCCCCGCCCCAATACCCCTGGGACATCACCTCCTCCCCTCCCACACCCTCTTTTAGGTGGAAGATCGCGCAGGCGCAGTACGCACCGCCCTGGAAGCGGCCTGGAGTCTCCGCAACCTGACCCAGTCGGAGCTGAGGCCGCAGCGGCCACAGTACTGCCCTGGTGCCGGGTCCCAGCCTCTCCCGGGAAGGGAAGGGAAAGGGGAAGGAGGGGAAAGAAGACTCCTACCACTCGTCGCCGCCTCAGACGGATCCTTTGCCCCGCCCACCGCTGCTACGCAACCCGGCGGAAGCTCGTCACCAAACCCCGCCTCTTTGTTTAACTCAGCCCCTACACCAGCAGCCAGGAGCTGCCTACGAGGAGGGACGAAGGCTGGCCAGGCCTCCACTCTAGACAGGAAGTCTAGTCTAGAGTCTATATGGTCCCAGCCAGGACTATGTAGCCATTTAGGAGGGAGAACTCTATGTTCTTCCCGGCAAAAACGTGTGGGCCTGGCCGGCCACGCTTCGCTTTGGAGGGGTGCAGGTGACTTGTGTCTTAGAGCTGACGCAGATTGTTGCGAGATCATTGCGGAGAGGCAGGCCTGCAGCGTGACCTGCTGCGGGTCCGGCCCCTCTCCCTTTTCCAGAGCCCTGGTCAGCATCCCAGAGCTTCGTAACCCCTTGACTCCTGTCATGGGAATGGATATTGCAGTTAACAAGGCGGCCGCGGGGTGGGGAGTGAGGGAGTCTGACCGCAAAGCTTAGATCTGGGGTGCTCAACGGGTTGTCTGCCTCTCTCCCAGGCGCTCTCCTGCCGTATCCACGATGGCTCCCCGAACACTTGTGGAGTTCCCTGAAACACCTAAGAGGAAGGAAGGGAGAAAAAATTTCCCTCTTCCTGAGTTGGGGTTTGATTTCCTTAGCTTACAACACCGTGGTGTTGGGGATGTGGGCGGTAGAGAACGTGGGATCCAAGGGAAGTCAATGTGGAGCCTAAAGAGCTCCGTGAGCAGATAAGGGATTAATTAAGCAAACCAAGGCATTACAATCACATGACTTCCTAGACTAATCTGGTATTAAATAGTATGGTATTTATTGTGGACATTGGCTAAGCAAATGCTAATGCACATTAATACACACATACACACATATCTTTATGTAATTTGTTTATACACAACAATACAGAGCTAGCTACCTTTTGTGGACAATTTGACAGGTCCCAAAAGGAACTAAAGTTTCAGGCCTCCTTTCTGCTGTCTTCTAGCGGGACTCTGAGATAAGTAAGATAAGAGTAGTATGGCCGGGCGCGGTGGTTCATGCCTTTAATCCCAACACTTTGGGAGACCGAGGCTGGTGGATCACGAGGTCAGGAGTTTGAGCCCAGGCTGGCCAACGTGGTGAAACCCCGTCTCTACTAAAAATACAAAAAAAGTAGCCGGGCGTGGTGGCGGGCGCCTGTAATCCCAGCTACTCGGGAGGCTGAGACAGGAGAATCGCTTGAACCCGGGAGGCAGAGGTTGCATTGCAGTGAGCCGAGATCGCGCCACTGCACTCCAACCTGGGCGACAGAGCAAGACTCCTTTGCCGGGGTGGAGCGGTGGGGCGGGGCGGGGAAGAGTAGTATGGCCAGGTGCAGCGGCTCACGCCTGTAATCCTAGCACTTTGGGAGGACGAGGTGGGCGGATCCCTTGAGGTCATGAGTCCGAGACCAGCCTGGGAAACATGGCGAAACTGTCTCTACAAAAAAAATACAGAAATTAGCCGAGGGTGGTAGTGCGAACCTGTAGTACCAGCTACTACGGAGGCTGTGGTGGGAGGTTGCAGTAAGCCAAGATTGCACCACTACACTCCAGCCTGGGTTACACAGCGAGACCCTGTTTCAAAAAAAAAAAAAAAAGGGACTAACAATGTTTCTCTCTTTGTCGCAGGTTCCATTTCTTCCAAGAAGGGTGAGCCTGCCTTTTGTCTCTGGTGTAAATGCCACTTTTCCCAGAGACCTTGACCAAGCTGGGTAGTGCATTAAAGATGAGAACCCCAAATCAGGAACAAAGATAACGGTTAGAGCAATAAAAAGGGAGGAAACCGTGTGTGCCTACTGTGTGCAAGGCACTTTTTTAAATATAACTTCCGTTTTCTCGTAAGATGGAATTACATATTTTTTGTCTTTTTTTCCCTTTTTGTGGAGAATGGGGTCTCGTTATATTGCCCAGGCAGGTCTGGAACTCCTGGACTCATGCTATCCTCCAGCCTATGCCTCCCTACGTGCTGGGATTACAGGCGTGAGCCACCGCGCCTTGCGGAATTGGAATTACATATGTTTAAATAGTCGAGAAATGAAGTGAAGCATTGAGCCAGGATTCAAACTTTTGTCCGCCAGATTCCGAAGCCCTTGCTCCTTTTCCCATTGTGTCACTCTTTGGAAAGAAACGTCTTAGAACCTAAGTGCATTCTCCCTAGCCAAGTTAAGGAAAACTGGGGGCCCTGTGCGCCTTCTAGTGGTGGATTTTTCCCCCTACAGAGCCAACTATCTCCAAGGTTCCTTTAATACCTGAAATTCGCCCCCTTCGCGGCGCACGAGTCTCTGATCCCGATTGGCTGGGCAGGGCAGGCGGCGGGACGCAGGGCGCGCCCGGGCGGTGCTGATTGGCCGGAGGAGGCCAGCCGGGGGAAACTTCCGGGAATGTCCGCACTCCCGCGTTCCACGGGGCAGCATCCGGCGGCAGCGGAGCCTGTGGCTCCCCCTGCGGGCTGCTCAGCGGCGTGCACAGTCCTGCCGGCTGGCTTGGGTGGGTGGTGGGCTGCGGGTAGGGGAGGGGATGGACCGAGTCCCGGCTTGTCGGGATGAGGGTTCCGGAAGATCTGGCCAGTAAGATTCTACTCCCTGGCTGTGCACCGGGTTCCCTACCCCTGTCTACGTCGGCTCCGCCACTTCGCGGCTTGAGACTAAAAGAGCATCCCGGCAGGGGGCCTTCCAGCCCCAAAGCAGCCTGTCCAGAGACCCCCAAATTCTGATCCTGAAGTTGGAGGCCTCCGGGGATGTTCTTTTTTAATCTTTTAGAAGGGTTAGAGGGGTTGAGGCTGCCTGACCCCAGCCTAATGGGGTAGGTAGGCCTTGGGAAGTGGAGCATGGGGGCAAAGGATCCAAGCATTGAGCCTTCATCCTCTATTCCCCATCCAGTGGGGTGCCGAGGCTCAGGCAGCATGACGACGGAGACCTTTGTGAAGGATATCAAGCCTGGGCTCAAGAATCTGAACCTTATCTTCATTGTGCTGGAGACAGGTGTCTATACTGGGGTGGCGGGTTCGCGGGATGGGGGTCGGGGGCAGGAGGGGAAGAACGCTGTCTGCGTTCTTAACTTGCTATGGGGATGGCAAGGCAAGCTGCAAGACACTCCTCACTCCCAATCTCTTCGACCCTGGGACAGAAAGTTGCAGTCAGGTATAGGGTAGATAGAACTCTTGCCAGATCTAGACCTCCTGTGCGACGCGGGCCTCTTTCCACTCAGGGCCCTCTCCATGGTGCTGGCCCCTGAACTCCCACCTCCACCCTCCACCACCCCTTCCACAATCCCAACCCTTTATGCCCCAGGGATTTGGGCTTTCCCCTGTTTGTACACCTTTTCCCTCATTCCACCAATATCCACATCTCATCCTTCTGAGAGATACCACTCCATTTATTTGACCATCCTCCCACCTCGATTTATCTGTTCCGTTCAGGCCGAGTGACCAAGACAAAGGACGGGCATGAGGTTCGGACCTGCAAAGTGGCGGACAAAACAGGCAGCATCAATATCTCTGTCTGGGACGATGTTGGCAATCTGATCCAGCCTGGGGACATTATCCGGCTCACCAAAGGGTAAGTCAGCTGGTGACTTCTGGCCTTCCAAAGGCAACAACAATCAAGAGTGGGGTTAACAGTCCCTATAACACTTCTGAGTACTGAATTTTGCTTTTTTTGCCTCCCATAGGTACGCTTCAGTTTTCAAAGGTTGTCTGACACTATATACTGGCCGTGGGGGTGATCTGCAGAAGATTGGAGAGTAAGTGCTGTCTTGGGGATTGGGATGAAGAAGCACCAGGGCAAAGGGGTTTGCAAGGAGGCAGCATAGGGTGTGCAGTCCAAGCCTCATTTCTGGACTTTTTCTGTTTGTTTGTTTGTTTGTTTTGAGAAACAGTCTCTGTCGCTCAGGCTGGAGTACAGTGGCATGATCTGGGCTCACTGTAGCCTTGACCTCCCGGGGTCAGGTGATCCTCCCACATCAGCCTCCCAAGTAGCTGAGACTACAGGCGTGCTTCACCACACCCAGCTAATTTTTTTGTATTTTTTATAGGGATGGGGTTTCGCCATGTTGCCCAGGCTGGTCCCAAACTCCTGGGCTGAAGTGATCCTCCCGCTTCTGCCTCCCAAAGTGCTAGGATTACAGGTGTGAGTGACCACACCGAACCTATCTGGACTTTTCTGAGGCCTCCAGCAGTGGCCCAGAGGATGAATTCAAGGCTTTAGCTACTTTCTTCCCTTGCAGATTCTGTATGGTTTATTCTGAGGTTCCTAACTTCAGTGAGCCAAACCCAGAGTACAGCACCCAGCAGGCACCCAACAAGGCGGTGAGTCCTGTGGCCACAATGGTGGGAAAGGAGGGCAGATCAAGACAAGAAGCATGGGAGGGAGCAGGATCTGAATATGTAATCTGTGCCTTCAGGTGCAGAACGACAGCAACCCTTCAGCTTCCCAGCCTACCACTGGACCCTCTGCTGCCTCTCCAGGTAAATCTGTTCCCTTCTATCCACTGGTCCTCCTAGCTCTCCCACTCTCCTCAGCCTAGAAAGATGCATTTCCCTCATTCCTTTTCCAAATCTCTCTTTTCTCAGTGTATCCTCCTTCACCCAATTCTCCCAGACCCCTTTTTTTTTTTTTTTTTTTTTTTTTGAGACGAAGTCTCGCTCTTGTCAACCAGGCTGGAGTGCAATGGCGTGATCTCGGCTCACTGCAACCTCCGCCTCCCAGGTTCAAGTGATTCTCCTGCCTCAGCCTCCCAAGTAACTAGGATTACAGGCACCTGCCACCATGCCCGGCTAATTTTTTTTTTTTTGAGATGGAGTCTCTGTCACCCAGGCTGGAGTGCAATGGTGTGACCTCGGCTCACTTCAACCTCTGCCTCCTGGGTTCAAGTGATTCTCCTGTCTCGGCCTCCTGAGTAGCTGGGATCACAGGTGCACGCCACCATGCCCTGCTAATTTTTTGTATTTTAGTAGAGACGGGGTTTCACCATGTTGCCCAGGCTGGTCTCGAACTCCTGAGCTCAGGCGATCTACCCACCTCAGCCTCCCAAAGTGCTGGGATTACAGGCGTGAGCCACCGCGCCCAGCCATGGGCTGCAGATATCTTAGTCCAGTGGAGCAGCAGGGTTCAGTAGAGATATGGTTTAAGAACTAGACTGGCTGGGCGCAGTGGCTCATGCCTATAATCTCAGCACTTTGGGAGGCCAAGGCTGGCAGATCACCTGAGGTCAGGAGTTCAAGACCAGCCATGGCCAACGTGGCGAAACCCCATCTCTATTAAAAATACAAAAATTAGCCAGATGTGGTGGCAGGAGCCTGTAATCCCAGCTACTTGGGAGGCCGAGGCAGGCGAATGGCTTGAACCTGGGAAGTGGAGGTTGCAGTGAGCTGAGATCATGCCACTGCACTCCAGCTTGCGCGACAGTGAGACTCTTTCTCAAAAAAAAAAAAAAAAGAACCACTAGGCTATAACTTCCATGCCATTTAGGGTTCATAGTCCCTACTGTATGCAAGAAGCAAACCTCTGCCTTCATATAACAAATGTTTCTAGAGCACCTACTATTTGCCGTGGAATAAAACACACTACCTGCCTTTAGGGGCTTGTGGTTTATACAGGAGAGAGATAATGATTATAATACGCCATGGTTAAGTTCAATGACAGTGGTATGTCCAGAGTTGTGAGAGCTCAAACAAATCATCCCACACACCTGGCTTCAAACATTGAAAATATAAGCCAGACGCAGCGGTGCACACCCATCATCCTAGCTACTTGGGAGGCTGAGGCAGGAGCATTGCTTGAGCAAGGAGTTTGAGGCTGCAGTGAGCTATGATCACACCACTACACTCCAGCCTGAGTGACAAAGTGAGACCTCATCTCTAAAACAGTAAAAATTAAAAAATAAATATTTATATACACAAAAATGTGACTTGTTATTAGCTTTGGTGGGTAAGATTACGTGTAATAATCTTTTCACTAGCTGGGCGCAGTGGCTCGCGCCTGTAATCCCAGCACTTTGGGAGGCCGAGGTGGGTGGATCACCTGAGGCTGGGAGTTCAAGACCAGCCTGACCAACATGGAGAAACCCCATCTCTACTAAAAATACAAAATTAGCCAGGCGTGGTGGCTCATGCCTATAATCCCAGCTACTCAGGAGGCTGAGGCAGAAGAATTGCTTGAACCTGGGAGGCGGAGGTTGTAGTGAGCTGGGATCGCTCCATTGCACTCCAGCCTGGGCAACAAGAGCGAAACTCCAACTCAAAAAAATAAATAAATAAAAAATAATAATAATCTTTTCACTGATGGTTATCTATATTTTCTAAAATGAACATTATCATTATCGTACACTCATACACACCTTTTTTTTAAGTGCCTCATATTTTAACGCAGAGACTTCAGGCCCTTCCCCTTGCCATGCTTCTCCAGTTTTATAATCACTTTTGGTGAAGGGGCCTTTTTTTTTTTTTTAATTGAGAAGGAGTCTCACACTGTCACCCGGGCTGGAGTGCAATGGTGCAATCTCGGCTCACTGCAACCTCTGCCTCCCAGGTTTAGGCGACCCTCCTGCCTCAGCCTCCTGAGTATCTGGGATTACAGGCGCCTGCCACCACACCTAGCTAATTTTTTGTATTTTTAGTAGAGACGGGGTTTCACTATGTTGGCCAGGCTGGTCTCGAATGCCTGACCTCGTGATCCACCCGCGTCAGCCTCCCACCGTACTGAGATTACAGGTGTGAGCCACCACGCCTGGCCCAGTAAAGGGGCATTTTTGTCAGAGGTCCCTGAGCCTAGAACTAAACAGCTAATTCTAGGTCTGATTCCCAATAATAGTGAGATAACTACAAGAGAAAAATACCGTACCGAGGTTCATGTAGCAACTTCCTAAATGATCGTGTAAGTCTTCTCTGGAGCTCCATTCATACTCGCAGCCCACAGTCTTTTGCATTTGGTCCAGTTGGCATTAAGATGCAGTTGTGCATGGTGAAGACTGTGCCACTCTTTGGGGCATGGAGACAGGCCTTGGGATGGACCCCTCTCCTATGTTAACTAATTCCTTTGTTTCTTCTCCTCCCACAATTAGCCTCTGAGAACCAGAATGGGAATGGACTGAGTGCCCCACCAGGTCCCGGTGGTGGCCCACATCCCCCTCATACTCCCTCCCACCCACCCAGCACCCGAATCACTCGAAGCCAGCCCAACCACACACCTGCAGGCCCGCCTGGCCCTTCCAGCAACCCTGTTAGTAACGGCAAAGAAACCCGGAGGAGCAGCAAGAGATAGCATGACATTCTTTCTTCCTGCCACCAACCACATCCCAAGTGTCCCCTGGAGAGCAAGATAGCCTTCCACTGATTGGCTGGTGTAGCAGTATTTTAGCCACTGAACTTCAGTGGAGGGTGGTGAGCAGTGTCCTTATCCACCCTAATCTCATACTCCCTCATTGTCCAGCTGAACTACCTGTCCCCTGGGAGTCAGGACCCTCTGCCTGCTCTCTTTCCTCTTTAGAAATGGCAGTTACTGGCTGGGCGCAGTGGCTCACGCTTGTAATCCCAGCACTTTGGGAAGCCGAGGTGGGCGGATCACCTGAGGTCGGGAGTTCAAGACCAGCCTGACCAACATGGAGAAACCCCGTGTCTACTAAAAATACAGAATTAGCCAGGCATGGTGGCGTATGCCTGTAATCCCAGCTACTTAGGAGGCTGAGGCAGGAGAATCTCTTGAAACCGGGAGGCGGAGGTTGAGGTGAGCCGAAATTGCACCATTGCACTCCAGCCTGGGCAATAAGAGCGAAACTCCATCTCAAAAAAAAAAGAAAGAAAGAAAGAAAGAAAGAAAGAAATGGCAGTTACCATCTGTTTCTTCTGTGTGAGACATGGGAGTCTAACTGAAGTCTCTCCTTCCTAATAAATGTTACCACTCTACTCTGTGTTGGACTCCTTTGCTTTCTGTGGGAAAAGGAAGAGGTTAGCAACTAGGCATTTGGGAAGGTGGGGTGTCCCTAGAAGGTGGAAGGAAAATAGGTTACAGGTAAGGAGGCCCAGGCAAAGCAGACCTGCCCCTTTAAGGTAGTGTCCCTCCCCTACCCCCTCCCTGCAGGTGACCCTTGCCCGCCTGCCTGCCTGCCCCCCCAGCTGGAACCAAGAAGGTTGTGTCCCCCTTCCTCTGGGTGTCCTTGTCTCCTGCTATCAGGTAATGCCAACCTCAACCCCCTGGACCAGTCACCCCGATCAGACTTTGCTTGCCTGATTTTAGGCCAGGTCAGACATCAGAGGAGAGCCCAGATCCTTGTTTCCTCTCCCCCCGCAGGGCTTCCCCTTTCTTGGTCATCGATCCCTAGAGCTCTGGCTCTTTCTCTTCTTGGGGTGAGAAACTGCTAAGAACAGTTTATTTCCCATGCATGCATCTGGGCTTGCCACTGATCTGCCTTTTCCCCCCTCCTCCCCAGGTTAGGGACACCTGGGTCCAACCTTCCCAAGGAATATGGGGATGGGGGTTGGAGATGAAGTTTAGTGCTAGACTGTAAGGTAGGTGGGGTGGAAGTACATGAGGGAAAGGGCTAAAATGGTACTAATGGTGTTAAGGATAGGGTGAATTATTTAAGAGGAAAAAGACTAGGCCCAGGTTCTCCTTAGCCATGTGGCTTTCCCAGGGCAGAGGGTGGCCCCTCCCTACCCAGGGGCCCAGCAGAGACTGACTTTTGATCCCTACCCCAGAGACCAGTGAACCATTAACTCCTCTCTTATGTGAGCCTTCACACACTGGCCCCACCCCTGACCCCGCCCCAAGGCAGGTGGGCTAGGAGGGGGTGCATGTCCATCTCAGCCTTCTATGTGACGTGGCCTCCGATCCACCTGGACACCTGGAGGCTAAGCCTGGATTCCCCCTTCCCTGACTCAGGAACTGCTTAACGTCTACAGCAAGGCCTAATAGGGGACCTGAGGTGACAGCTCTTATGTTGCCAGTAGGGGTGAGGCCCTGGGGATTGAGGGGGGATAAAGAGGTGGGGCAAAGTTGAGGGGTGGGGTTTAGGGGACAAGGAATGGACGGTCAGCTCTGGATGAAGTATGAGGAGAGCTCTGACTCAGGGAGGTGCTCCAGGAACCAGCAAACAAGAGGCTGCTCCCGCAGGAGGCAGTGTGAAGGGAGAAAGAAGGCTGCAGTAGGGGCTGCTGCTGGACTCGGTGGGGAGCAGGTGCAAGGAGCTCTGGCTCCCCCATGGACCTGAGCTGGAGAGCAGAGCGCAGCTCCAGCCCATTCCTCATTCTTCCAGGGCACAGTCCTCAGGATGTTTCGGGGAGAATAGGAGCCAGAACCTGAGCCCCTAAGCTATTCCCCTCACCAATGATGGGGTCCCCAGTGAGTCATCTGCTGGCCGGCTTCTGTGTGTGGGTCGTCTTGGGCTGGGTAGGGGGCTCAGTCCCCAACCTGGGCCCTGCTGAGCAGGAGCAGAACCATTACCTGGCCCAGCTGTTTGGCCTGTACGGCGAGAATGGGACGCTGACTGCAGGGGGCTTGGCGCGGCTTCTCCACAGCCTGGGGCTAGGCCGAGTTCAGGGGCTTCGCCTGGGACAGCATGGGCCTCTGACTGGACGGGCTGCATCCCCAGCTGCAGACAATTCCACACACAGGTACTGACCCCTTCCTCCACTCCACAGGGCCACATCTCCCAGGTCCTCTCAGTGCTTGCCCCCAGTTGCCTCGTTCTGGCTTCCTCACGAGATCCCTGGAGTTACAAATTCTTCAGAACCGAGCTCCTTGGTATCTCTTCAAAACCTCTCATGCTTCTATTGCCTTCTCTCTCTTTTCTTGAGACTGGGGGTCTCGCTTTGTCACCCAGGCTAAAGTGCAGTGACACATTCACGGCTCACTGCAACCTCTGCTTCCCAGGCTGAAGCCATCCTCCCACCTCAGCCTCCTGAGCAGCTGGGACCATAGGCACACACCACCACAGCCGGCTAATTTTAAAAATTTTTTACAGAGACAAGGGTTTCGCTGTGTTGCCCAGGCTGGTCTCAAACTCCTGGGCTCAGCTCAGCGATCTGCCTGCCTCAGCTTCCCAAAGTGCTGGGACTACAGATGTGAACTACCACCCTAGCCCTCCGTTGCCTTCTAATTCTCTCCTCCTCCAAATCTCTAAGCCCTTAAATTTCTTGCTCTTAGTATCACTGTTCAGTGTCTCTGGGCTGATTTGGCTCCAAATTCGTAGACTTCTTTTTTCTTTTCTTTTCTTTTTTTTTTTTTTTTTTTTTTGAGACAGAGTCTCGCTCTGTCGCCCAGGCTGGAGTGCAGTGGTGTGATCTTGGCTCACTGTAACCTCTGCCTCCCCGGTTCAAGCGATTCTCCTGCCTCGGCCTCCTGAGTAGCTGGGATTACAGGCACACACCACCACGCCGGGCTAATTTTTGCAATTTTAGTAGAGACGGGGTTTCACCATTTTGGTCAGGCTGGTCTCGAACTTCCAACCTCAGGTGATCCACCCACCTCAGCCTCCCAAAGTGCTGGGATTACAGGCGTGAGCCACCGTGCCCAGCCATTCGTAGCCCTTTTGGTTGTCGTCCTTTTTTTTCTGTCCCCCCCAGTGGCAGAAAATGGACAACTCACAGATCTTCCTAAGAATGACATTCCATGGTTTCTGGGTCCCAGGATCTCCAGTCAGTGGCTAGTCCCCCCATTCCCCCTAAAATCCCTGGGAGCCTCTCAAAGCGGGTTGATAGAGAACACAAGGGAGGCTGACTTGCTGTCTCATCCATTCCAGGCCACAGAACCCTGAGCTGAGTGTGGATGTCTGGGCAGGGATGCCTCTGGGTCCCTCAGGGTGGGGTGACCTGGAAGAGTCAAAGGCCCCTCACCTACCCCGTGGGCCAGCCCCCTCGGGCCTGGACCTCCTTCACAGGCTTCTGTTGCTGGACCACTCATTGGCTGACCACCTGAATGAGGATGTGAGTCTGACGGTCTCTAGAGGGGAAGGAGCCATGGGATTAGATGGCCTGAAATGTTTAAATAATCAGTAGTTTTTTGTTTTGTTTTGTTTTTAAATCCCAACGTGGACCAAGCGTGGTGGCTCACGCCTGTAATCCCAACACTTTGGGAGGCCGAGGTGGGTGGATCACCTGAGGTCAGGAGTTCGAGACCAGCCTGGCCAACATGGTGAAACCCCATCTCTACTAAAAAATACAAAAATTAGCCGGGTGTGGTAACAGGTGTGTGTAATCCTAGCTACTCAGGAGGCTGAGGTGAGAAAATTGCTTGAACTTGGGAGGCAGAGGTTGCAGTGAGCCAAGATGGCACCATTTGCACTCCAGCCTGGGCAACAAGAGGGAGACTCTGTCTCAAAAAAAAAAAAAAAAAAAAAAAAAAAAAAAAAAAAATAGCTGGGCGTGGTGGCACATGCCTATAATCCCAGTTACTCGGAAGGCTGAGGCAGGAAAATCACTTGAACCCAGGAGGCGGAGATTGCAGTCAGCCGAGATTGCACCACTGCACTCCAGCCTGGGTAACACAGCGAGACTCTGTCTCAAAAATGAAAATAAAAAAAATAAAAAAATAAAAAAAAAATATCTCACTGTGGTCTTAGGGGATGTTATTTCAATAGTGAACTATGTTCCCTCTGGGATCAGAGCAGGTGAGCCCATATCCAGAGCTCCAAGACTCAGTTTAGGGGAATAGATGGCAAAGCAGAGAATCTAGAGAAGCAGCCCAGGGTAGGATCTGGATGGTCACCTGGAGAGGAGACCTGCAGGGAATGGATGGCTGTCTTCATCCAGAAAGACAGAGAATATATTCCACTTACACCAGAGGGCAGACAAAGCTGCCTAACCCTGATGGAGGTCCAGTGAGTGCCCATTGCAGGAAGCATTCAAGCTGAGGCTGGATGAACATCGACAGGGCTGTTGAGAGGGAGATTAGATGGCATTTCAGGGTCTTTTCCCTTTTAAGATTCTGGCATGGAGAGCTCTAGTTTTCCAACCAGCTTCATTTATCAAATCAACAAAATGATTGAAATGATCAGAGTTTGCAGGGAAGATGATGACAATGCTCACTAGCACCCAGTTTGCATCAAATTGAATACCTGCATTGGACTGAATATTCACTAATAATACACATTGATTATAAGTACCCTTGGCCCTAGTCCCCAAGGTACCTGCCAGTAGGAGCAAAGGGGACCCTGGGAGAGACCCAGGAGTCTATGCAATGGAAGGACAGGTGTTAAATATATATATATATATTTTTTTGAGGTAGAGTCTGACTCTGTCACCCAGGCTGGAGTGCAATGGCGTGATCTTGGCTCACTGCAACCTCCACCTCCTGGGTTAAAGCAATTCTCCTGCCTCAGCCTCCCGAGTAGCTGGGATTATAGGTGTTCACTACTATCCCCAGCTAATTTTTTTTTTTTTTTTTTGAGATGGAGTCTCACTCTGTCGCCCAGGCTGGAGTGCACTGGTGCAATCTCGGCTCACTGCAACCTCTGCCTCCTGGGTTCAAGCGATTCTCCTGTCTCAGCCTCCTGAGTAGCTGGGATCACAGGTGCACGCCACCATGCCCAGCTAATTTTTTGTATTTTAGTAGAGACAGGGTTTCACCATGTTGCCCAGGCTGGTCTCGAACTCCTGAGCTCAGGCAATCTACCCACCTCAGCCTCCCAAAGTGCTGGGATTACAGGCGTGAGCCACCGCACCCGGCTCATCCCCAGCTAATTTTTGTATTTTTAGTAGAGACAGGGTTTCACTATGTTGGCCAGGTTGGTCTCAAACTCCTGACCTCAGATGATACACCCGCCTGGGCCTCTCAAGGGCTGGGATTATAGGTGTGAGCCACTACACCTGGCCAGGTGTTAAAGATCTGAGTCATAGTTCCTGGTGATTCTCCAATGTATGACCCTCAATTCTCCAGTGTCTGAACGGCTCCCAGCTGCTGGTCAATTTTGGCTTGAGCCCCGCTGCTCCTCTGACCCCTCGTCAGTTTGCTCTGCTGTGCCCAGCCCTGCTTTATCAGATCGACAGCCGCGTCTGCATCGGCGCTCCGGCCCCTGCACCCCCAGGGGATCTACTATCTGGTCAGCAAGTAGGAGTGGGTGGGGGACACCCTGAATCCTGGAAGTGGGGCCCATGCCAAAAAGGAGGCTCACTGGGGTCCTGCCTCTCCTTGTAGTGTTCTCTCTGCTCCACCTTACGTGTGGGACCCTCCTCTTGCCCTGACCTAACTTCAGCCCCTGATTCTCCCCAGCCCTGCTTCAGAGTGCCCTGGCAGTCCTGTTGCTCAGCCTCCCTTCTCCCCTATCCCTGCTGCTGCTGCGGCTCCTGGGACCTCGTCTACTACGGCCCTTGCTGGGCTTCCTGGGGGCCCTGGCGGTGGGCACTCTTTGTGGGGATGCACTGCTACATCTGCTACCGCATGTATGTGAAGCCCCTTCCTTGTACCCCTGGCCTCCATGGATCTAAGGTGTCCCCAGCCATAGGACATCCCCTCCGCCTTTCCATCAGCTCCCATATCCTACTCCCAGATCCTGGCTTCAGCCCACAGCTGCCTTCTAGTAGAGCATATGAGCGAAGGCTTGCCACAATCCATGCAAGGGGATGTTGTTGGGTATAGGGGCTTCCAGAGTCTGCCCTGACCTTCTCTCTGTCAGGCACAAGAAGGGCGGCACGCAGGACCTGGCGGACTACCAGAGAAGGACCTGGGCCCGGGGCTGTCAGTGCTCGGAGGCCTCTTCCTGCTCTTTGTGCTGGAGAACATGCTGGGGCTTTTGCGGCACCGAGGGCTCAGGCCAGTGAGTGATACCCTTTTCTCCTCCTTCTGCTGAGACCAGAGTCCCAGTCAAGAACTGGGCCAGGCCGGGCGCGGTGGCTCACGCCTGTAATCCCAGCACTTTGGGAGCCCAAGGCGGGCAGATCACAAGGTTAGGAGTTCGAGTCCAGCCTGACCAACATGGTGAAACCCTGTCTCTACTAAAAATACAAAAATTAGCTGGGCGTGGTGGTGCGTGTCTGTAATCCCAGCTACTCAGGAGGCTGAGGCAGGAGAATCGCTTGACTTGGGAGGTGGAGGTTGCAGCGAGCTAAGATGGCACCACTGCACTCCAGCCCAGGTGACAGAGCGAGACTCCATCTCAAAAACAACAACAACAACAACAAAACTGGGCCAAAAAGCCAAGAGATGAGGAGCAGTGTGTGCTCCTGGATCTCTGACATTTGCCTGGTGTGCAGGACCTATCGGCTAACAGGGAGTGGGTAGGGGCTCCTTAAGCACAGACCCAGGACTTCTGGCCAAATGGCATCCTATTCTGAGCTCAAGTCAACAAGAAACAGAGGGGAGGTGCCAACTTGGGAAGAAGGTAGAGGCCAAAGAACATCCCAGGTGCCAGAGGTGGAACCAGGTGTTCATCTTCCCAGCTTGTGGCCTGGCTTCCCCTTAGTCCCTGGCTCTGCTGCCTCCTCCACCAGGAGGGATGCCCTCCTATTTCAGAGATGCTGCAGGCGAAAACGAAGGAATCTCGAAACACGCAACTTGGATCCGGAGAATGGCAGTGGGATGGCCCTTCAGCCCCTACAGGCAGCTCCAGGTGACTAGAGGAGAAAATTTGAAGAGTAGGTTCCAAGCTCACAGTCCTTACTTGCAGCCACCAACACTGTCCTGTGCTTCTTCCCGCAGAGCCAGGGGCTCAGGGCCAGAGGGAGAAGAACAGCCAGCACCCACCAGCTCTGGCCCCTCCTGGGCACCAAGGCCACAGTCATGGGCACCAGGGTGGCACTGATATCACGTGGATGGTCCTCCTGGGAGATGGTCTACACAACCTCACTGATGGGCTGGCCATAGGTGTGAGGGGTGGGAACGGAGGGAAGCAGGTCCGAGGGGAGGCCAGGGCTCCTAGTTATCAGCTGGGGCTAGGAGAGGGCCGTCAGGAAGATGGGGAGAGGACGGGAGGACCACGGAACACAGGAACCTGCTTCTGAGGAGACTTTTCTTCTGGACTGACAACTTCCGACCCTGCTGGCCCCAGGTGCTGCCTTCTCTGATGGCTTCTCCAGCGGCCTCAGTACCACCTTAGCGGTCTTCTGCCATGAGCTGCCCCACGAACTGGGTAGGAATGGCAGGAGCAGGGTGGGGTGGACTCCAGAAAGGAGATAGCTCCAAGGGGTAGAGCTTGGAGGCTGGTGGGTGGCATGGATGAGGGGCACCCCAGCTTACTCCCTCCCATCCTGTCCTCTGTCTCCAATAGGTGACTTTGCCATGCTGCTCCAGTCAGGGCTGTCCTTTCGGCGGCTGCTGCTGCTGAGCCTCGTGTCTGGAGCCCTGGGATTGGGGGGTGCAGTCCTGGGGGTGGGGCTCAGCCTGGGCCCTGTCCCCCTCACTCCCTGGGTGTTTGGGGTCACTGCTGGGGTCTTCCTCTATGTGGCCCTTGTGGACATGGTGAGAGATGTCGGGTAGAGCAGAGAAATCAAGGGCAGTGGGGAGGCGGGAGTGGAGAGGGAGGTAGCAGTCCCTCCGCCTCTACCATTAGCTCCTGGAAGGGCGTCAGACCATAGGCCCGCAAAAGTCTGAGAAACAAGGGACTAAGGTGTTTGGGTGGGGGCTGCTGATGCTTTCTGACACCATTCCTCTGGAGTTGAGAGGTCAGGGGCAAGGCCAGAATCCTGACATCCTCTTTTTCTTTCAGCTACCAGCCCTGCTTCGTCCTCCGGAGCCCCTGCCTACGCCCCATGTGCTCCTGCAGGGGCTGGGGCTGCTGCTGGGGGGCGGCCTCATGCTTGCCATAACCCTGCTGGAGGAGCGGCTACTGCCCGTGACCACTGAGGGCTGATGGGGCCAGTGGAAAGGGGTCGGGTTGCCCTTCCTTCCCCCCAACCACAGGAATGGAGGCGGGACACAGGGCCAGTAGGAGCAATAGGATTTTAATAAACAGAACCCATCCCAAAGCCATGACTACGACAGTTGTACTTGCACCAAAACAGCATAGAAAACCAGAGTGTGGTGGGAGGACCCGAAGCCGGTTGGGGGAGGATGTGAGTAGGGGCCTGGAGGGTGCAGGGTCATTAATCTGCGGGGAGAACATTGTGCTTTAGCCCAGGGAGGGGAGGGGTGGGGCAAATGCACCGAGGTCCCCACTTTTTCCTGCTGCCCTCGGCACCCTGGGGATGCAGGCATCTGGGCACATCTGCCCCTTATTGCTGCCCACCAGCGTTAAACGCCCCCGATCCCAACACTAGCACCACAGGTGGTTCCGGGGCAGGGAGAGGCAGGAATGGGAAAATTGCTTAGAGAAAGATTCCACTAGAATCCAGTGAATTGTGCTCAGTTCTCTTTACTTCCTACAACCGAGTACATGGGTCACAGGGTGGAGGGTGCAACAGGACATGGAACATGCCCCTCCGTGCCCCCCAACACACACCTGCACACAGGATGGTGGTGTCTGCAGCATCACAGGTCATGCAGGGCATGGGGAAGGGGAGGTTCACACACACATAGATGCCCACAGCGGGTACCAGACGGAGAACACCCCTGAATATACATAGCTGTACATGGGGAACCCCCAGGTCCCCACCCCAACCCTCTCCCCTGTCTTGCTGTCCCCCGCAGGGGAACTATATTGCTTTGAGAGAGCCACCCCAGGGGCTGCTCTGCCAGGCACCCTCCCCTCCCACCCACCCCCATTTTGGCACATCTGCAAGACACACAGCAGCGAGAGTAGGCACCCTCCCTTCCCAGGCTTCTGTGGCCTGGAGCTGGAGAAGGGGGTAGGAGACTTCATCCTCCATCCTCCCCTAACCCTTCCCAAACCCCTGCCAAACCCACTCAAGCCAGAACCCACCCCCACCCCCCAAACACACATACAAAGCTGAGCTATCCAGGAACACAAGGGAAACAAGGAGATTGTCCAGGGTGGGAGCGGAGGCAGCGGGGGAAGAAGACTGGAAGCAGAGACCTCCCCCCTTGTGGGGGGCAGACTGGCACAACAGCTACTTTAGTGCAATTGGAGAGGGTGCCCAGAGTGAGAGGTGGAGAAGGGAGGGAAGGCGGTCCCCAACTTCCCTGGGGGCAAAGTCAGGCTTCCAGATTCCCCAGGGAAAGGGCCTAGCAGGAGTGGGTGAGGGCCAAGGTGGATCCTCTGGTTACCCGCCACCCTCTGCCCTCCCAAATGCAGTGACAGTGTCCCCCTCACACCTAAGTGGGCAACAGCAGCCTTGGAGTCAGTACCTTCAAGTAATTCAAAGAGCAGACCCTCCCCACCCCAGCTTCACCCCATCTCTGGGATTTGGTCGCTTCTCTAGGGGTTGGGTTGGGAGGAGGGAGCCCCCAAGGCAGACCCTTCCCTCTCTACCTCCCGATTCCCAGACCACTGGGCTTGGTCCTCAAAGATTCCTCACCTCCGCCCTTGCCCAACCTGGGTCAAGGCTGCAGAAGGCTGGAGCCACCACAATTAGAGGGGAAGGGGCTGCTTTGTTCCTTATCCCTCCTTCTTAAAAGGTAGGGTTCAAACTAGGCGGGATGGGGGCCCATACTGGTTTGCCCCAGGAGTAGGGTTTCTGGGCTAGGGTCTGTAAGGCTATTTTCCTTTGCGGTGGGAAGGGGAGGTAGGGGATGAACACTGGGTATGGGAAGTGGGTGAGAAATGGCTGAGAGGGAAGGAGGAAGGGGCCTCCCCGCTGGAGCAGTCACTGGAGTCATTTAGACAAAAACACTCATGTGCATAAGATACACAGTGCGCAAACTCAGCCCTGCCAGCCCGGCCCCAATCCCACCTCTCAGGACTCCTTCCAAGACCCTGGAGGAGGTTCTGGGGATACAGCTGTAGAACCGTTCACTCTGGCCCCATCCACCCCACCTCCAGCCTCTTCTCCCCTTCTAGGTCCAGGGAGTAAGAAGGTGCTCGGGTGGGCAGACAGTGGTGGAAACAGTATTGAGTTTTCCTTTGGTTACATATTGAAGGCAAAGGTGAGCTGGACTTACAGTCAAAACGGATAGGGGTGAGGAAGGAAGAGGGGCCATGGCTGGGGTTGGAGAGGGAGGTAGGCCCTCCTCAGCCCCTCCACCCCAAGAAACACATCTACGTGGGGTGGCAGTCCCTCAGTCTTTTCTCTCCCACGCCCCACAGCACCAAACAAAAGGAGAAGCCCCCTCCCCCAGGGGCTGCTCCCCACCCCAACCTGGGCTGTACATTCAGTGGTTTTCAGCAGTCCTATGGCTCAGGGGGCCACGGGGCAGGGGAGGTGGCCCGTCAGTCTCAGTGGACAGTGGCAGTGACCCGGGTCTGCTGGTCCTTCCTGGGACCCACGGTTTGTGCCATTCGTTTTTCTGAAGGATAGTATATGACCCTACCAGAGCCACCGCCCAATCAGAAATAGCTCCCCCAAAATCAGAAACTAAAAACTGGCTCTTTCCATCTCACCCTCTGATTCACACGTCTGTTTCCCTGTCTCCTATGTCGCCCTCGCTCTGTTTCCTTTGCTGGGACCTGGGGCTGCTCCCAGGGTCCTCGCTTAAAATAGGCCTTTTCACAAAAGTGCTTATTACTTGAAGCAAGTGCTTTAGGGCTGCGGTGGGGAGAGGGGGGAGGGGGAGGGCAAAGGGAAGGCGCTGTTCCCTCCCCGCCCTCCCCCATGAAGACTGGGGGGCATTCTGCCTGTTTTACTTCTCCACACCCGTTTAAGTCAAAGAGGTTTAAAAAAAATCTTAACATTAAAATAAATATGCAGTGGCCATGAGAATGGTCAAAATGCTTCAAAAAACACTAGGGCTGGGGAGCCCAGGGTGGGGCGTGGGGTTTCCTTTGGCATAAGGAGAGGAGGCTGCTTGTCCCCCAGGCTTCCTCACAGCCACATATGGAGGGACAGAGGACTCCCCACCACCTCCCAGCACTGCTGACAGTGCGCTGAGGGCAGCAGGGCGCAGACAGCCCCCAGAAATCTCATCTAGCAAGACAACGGGGCTCTGACACTCAGACGCTTCCCGCCATCACCAAACATCACGAAAGGAGAACACGACTCACACCCGGCAAGTTCTCTCTGGAGGACCCATCTTCTCACTCCCCTTGCCCCCCACCACCTAATTCCCAGCACCAAGATGAGAGGGAGGGGGTGGAATGGGAAGATTTCAGGAGAGAGAATTGAAGGGAAGGCAAGCTTTGCAGAGCCAGCAGGGTTGGGGATGGGGGCTGCAGCCCTTAAGAGAGGTCACATTGATTGTCATATAGGGGAGGACACGGTGTGGAGGGAGGTGGGCAAGAGGGGCGTCACAAGGCCCTTTGGCTTTGAAAATAAAAATAAAAACTAAAAGCTGCACAATCCTTCTCATCAATAATGGTCATTTGGAAGCCTTGAAATGATTTAGGAACTGAGGGTTGGGAGAAGCAAAACACAGAGAGACAGGGGATCAAAAGGGACCATGAAAAGATAAGGACTTGGACAACACCCCAGGCTTCTGGAAACCAGCATGAGGTATGGTTAAAGGTATCCGTTGGGGAGGGAGGGGGTCCCTGGGACGCCCCCCTCCCCTCAGCCCACCCTTGACAAGGGTGGCAAGACATTCAGGGTATACAACTAAAAGATGGGTAAGACTGTGAATAAAGCAAACTTGAGTAGGGGAGGGAGGCTGAAGGATCCCCCCTCAGGGGAGACCCTGTACTGTGTAAACGAAGCCTGTCCAGTTCTCAGGGGACAATACTGATGGCAGCCAAACTGGGCAAGGATGCAGTGTGGGGGCGGAGGGGGCATGACCTCTATTCAAGTTCTGTGTCTTGGCCCCTGGCTGAGGTATTGAGTGTGAGGAAGGGAACACTGGGCTGCAGGAGTGGGTCCAACTGTCCAGGAGGCTGCACTAGGAGATGGGTGGACAGAGCACTTAAAGGGACCAGGGCCAAATTCAATGCTACATTTAGAGAGAAAACTGCCCCCTCTTCACTCCAGCCCAGTTTGGCTTTTGGGGTGCGACTTTAGAAATCTTATCAGTGCAGCCCCCAGCTCAATCCCATCTTTCCTCCCTGCTGGGAAGGCAGGGACCAAGCCCCAGTACCTATTCATCTCTCTCTAGGTCAGAGCTTCTTCCTCACACTGGAGGGGAAGCCTGGGTCCCGAGTAGCCACGGTCCCTTGTCGGCCCTGCCCCTCCTACCATCTTTGGCTTCAGATCAGGAGTGACTGGGGCAGTGGGTACTCTTGGACATAACGGAAGGTGGAGGCAGATAGGGAGCACAGATAAACTATGGGCTTGGCGGCACAGGAGGAAGAACATGGTCCCTCCCTCCATATACATGCAAACACATGCCTGAAACACAGTGGACATACTAGGGCTGTGGTTTTGAAATGGGCAGGAAATTAATTTGTTTCTTCCCCTAAAGGATAAAACGCTTACTTAAAAATTCATGACAAGCCTCAAAGTTCAAGGGAAGGAGAGCCAGGGCAGGAATGACCACAGGCTCTGCCCTCCCAAAAGAAGATAAAAGAAAGAAGCAAGGTTAAAGTGCGTGGTTAGGGGCCAGGCTAGGAGTGGGAGGGAATGGGGAGGGGGCAGGCTGTGGGGGCAGAACCAGCCCTTGATTTGCATATGAGGAGCCAGGGGAGAGTGCAGGATTGGGGCCCAGGTACAGTAGTTGCTGCTTCAAGTGTTTTGCATTTGAACTTTAGGGGTGATAGGGTACAGAAGTGGGGAAAAAGCTCCAGGCCCCAGTGCTAAATATCCTCCCCCCTCATCCTCTAGCTGCCCCTGAAGGGGGGAGGGGGACACCCCCAGAGTGCTCACACAGTACCAGAAATTAAGGCTTCTCACTGCTGCGGGGATGGAGGGACCGGCCGAGCAGGGAGGCAGTGATGGGTATGGAAGAAGAGGGGATCTGCCTGGCAGTAGGGGCAGGGGAGAAGGGGGACACAGAGAGGAGTCCCCAGGGAAGAGTCGGGGGAGCTGGCAGCAGAAAGAGGGAACCAAGAGATGGAGTCAAAGAGTGGGGGAGCCAGGCATTTAGCAATCATTTTGGGACACTTGGCAGAAGGGGTCGCCCTGGGGGTACCAAGGGCCTGGGGTGCTCCCTGTCAGTCCCAGACCCCTGCCAGGCCAAGATGGTGTGGCAAAGGGGTGAGCAGCTGCTCCCCAGGGCTTCCTTCCCCTCCGCCCCCTCCACCCAGTCGTGTTCTCCTTTAAAGTGCCCTAAATGTTTAGACTTTTTCTAAATAAATAGAATTAGATATCAAGCCACCGGCGGGGGAGGGACACTGGAGGGGGCTACTCAGAGTAGCAGCCATCTAACCCAATGGCGCCGGGCCGCTCCTGGCTGTAGGGGCAGGAGGCCCCATGGGGCAGGGCGCCGCAGCCACCCACCGTCTTGGCGGCTGCAATGCTGCAGTTCTTGAGCAGGCTGAAGCTGAAAGGACTGACGGCGTCCTTGGGTGGGAAAGGCTTCATGGTGGAAAGGATCAAGGCCAGGCAGTCTGCCACATCTTTGTTGGGGGCACAGGCCAGTGCTGGGGTGTGACCTGCAGGGCCAAGGGGGAGAACTGAGGCATAGAGTCCTGTATCCTAGCCAGCCTCCCCCAAGCCCTGAAGTCTCTTCTCTGTGGAGGGAGCCAAGGCAGGCAGGTACCCAGCAGCGGCAGAATCCAAGGGTGACGAGGGCCCAGGAAGGCTGACAGGCAGATTCTCTAAGTACGGGTTAAAGGGCGGGCATGGGAGTCAAAGCCTAGGGTGTGGAGTCCTCCTGACCCTGCAGGCTCCCCTCTGAGACTCCAGAGTACTGGTGTGGGCTCCCTGCTCTGAAGAGTTCCCTTGGGAAGAAAATCCCATGTATAGCAAGATTAAGAAGTCACCTCCTGAAGAATGTCCCTGACCCCAAACCCAAGAGAGGCATGGGGCCCCAGACCCCACCCACCTTCTTCATCCACAGCCAGCACTGTGGCCCCATGACTCAGCAGGGCCTGTACCACAGAAGCTAGACCATTCCGGGCAGCAATGTGGAGTGGCCTTGGAAAAAAGGAAAAAGAAGGAGCTTGATGCTAAGCTGCCCTTCCACCTCCAGACAGGGTGGCAAGGGTGCTGAACAAATACAATGGGCTCCAGAGAGCCTCTGAACAGCGGCCACTCTTTCATCACCCACTGGCCTCCCCCAGCCAGGAGCCCCCTTCCCCAGGCACTCACATCTGCAGCGCACTGTTGGTAGCATTGATAAGGCCAAGGTCTTGGGTTTCTGCCAGGATCATGAGGGCACATTTCTCATGGCCCTGAGGGAGGGGAACAGAGAGTGGAGACTTGTGAAGTAGAAATGTGGCAGGGTGCAGGGCAGGAGTTGGGGAGAGTAACAGGAGGACAAACAGCTGCCCAACCAGTCGGATAGGCTGGACAATCCTCACTTCTGCCCCAGTCCCCTCTGCAACCGAGACTTACCTCTCTTCATCAAGCTCTGCCCCTTATGCAGTCCCCCAATCACTTCAGGTAAGTACCTTGCTACAAGCCAAGTGGAGGGCCGTGTTCTTGTTCTCATCCAACACAGTAAGGTCTGCCTTCCCTCGATACAGCAGAAATTCTACGAGAGAAATGTGATAGAGGGACTGACCCCTCCCTCCAGAGCAGTAGCCATCCTGGCTCTCCACTTTGCATCCCGTCTGCAGATGGCGAGACATCCAAAGACAACCCTCTTGCTTTCTGAACCCCAGCCCCAGCCAGCCTCCACAGGCAGGGCTGACCCATCCTGCAAATGCCCCAGGGGAGCTCCTCCCTTCCACAAGTGGCCCCTACACACCCACAGCAGCGGTCTGCCCGTTCTCAGCCGCCGTCATGAGCGCAGTGCGGCCAGTGTGGTCAGTGGCGTTCACCTCAGCTTGATGCTGCAGCAGCATCCGGAGCCCAGAGACATTGTCCGCGAAGGCAGCGGCGTGAAGGGGGGTCCTGTAAGGCAGGGATCAGGGTAGATTAAAATAGGGAAGAGTATACTGCCCAAGCAGAAAGGGGAAGCCAGAGGCAACTGGGATTCTTCCCAAGTCTTCCATCACTCACCGTCCTTTGGCATCTCGGCTGTTCACAATCTTGGCACCCAGAGCTCCCAGTAGCATCTCTGTGGTGCTGTCTTGGTTATTAATCCTAGAGGAAGAGGGAGGAGGGGTCATCAGGAAGGACAAGGGAAGTAGACTACCTGTCCTAAGCTCAAGTCATGGGCCCTCGCGAGAAGGGCTGATGCAGCAGAAGGGACTTACACTGCACAGTGCAAAGGAGTGAAGGGGTTTCCTTCCAGGTACGAAAACGGGCTGTGTTCAAGTAACAACTCCAGACAATCTTCATGTCCTGGGCACGAGGAAGGAAGAGTAGTGATGGAGAAAAACGGCAAGGTTCCCTGTCTGTCCTGTGTCTTGACACTCCATTCCACTTCCAGATTCAGATCAACCCAGGTCCCCCCCAACAACCCACCTGTCCCCCTCTACACACACTCCAACACATGCTCCTGTGCCTGTGGAGGCCCCAGTCTAGTACCAGTGTAGGAGGCCCAGTGCATGGGCGAGTATCCGCTGTAATCCACCCCGGCATCCAGGGGATCTGTGGAAAGGGCAGCCTGCAGCAGGGTCCGCAGTACTGCAGTGTGGCCACAGGCTGAGGCCAGGTGAATGGGCGTGCGGCCCTTAAAGTCTCGGCACAGCACAAATGCGTCGTGGTCCAGCAGGGCAGCCAGGCAGTCCTCACAGCCAGTCACTGCCTGTGAGTAACATGGGGGTGTGAGGGGGATGAAAAGCTCCTCCTTTTCCACTGGCCTGTTGCTGGAGTCTGGCTCAGGAGTAAGAACCACTTCCAGGGCTCCAATCCTTGTCTTTTTTTTTTTTTTTTTTTTTTTGGAGTCGGAGTCTTGCTCTGTCGCCCAGGCTGGAGTGCAGTGGCATAATCTCGGCTCACTGCAACCTCTGCCTCCCCGGTTCAAGCGATTCTCCTGCCTCAGCCTCCCAAGTAGCTGGGATTACAGGCAGGTGCCACCATGCCCGGCCAATTTTTTTGTATTTTTAGTAGAGACAGGGTTTCACCACGTTAGCCAGGATGGTCTTGATCTCCTCACCTCGTGATCCGCCTGCCTCGGCCTCCCAAAGTGCTGGGATTACAGGCATGAGCCACTGGCCTCAATCCTTGTCTTTACAACAATAATTCTTTCTTTTTTTGAGACGGAGTCTCACTCTGTCACCCAGGCTGGAGTGCAATGGTGCGATCTTGGCTCACTGCAACCTCTGCCTCCCAGGTTCCAGCAATTCTCCTGTCTCAGCCTCCCAAGTAGCTGGGATTATAGGCATGCACCACCATGCCCAATTAATTTTTGTATTTTTAGTAGAGGCGAAGTTTCACCATGTTGGCCAGGCTGGTCTCAAACTCCTGACTTCAGGTGATCTGCCCGCCTTGGCCTTCCAAAGTGCTGGGATTACAGACGTGAGCCACCATGCCCGGCCCTTTACAACAACAATTCTAAGTATTAGGGACCCACATCTCCCTCCTTGACTCTCTCTATGCCAGCAGACAATCAGGATACTAAGAGTTAATACTGGAGCTCTGGAGTTAATACTGGAAAGACTAAATGGAGAGAAGGAGACTAAGGGATCAAAAAATCTTATGGGAGGAGGAGGCAGCTTAGGACAGGTGGTCACGGAAGAGGATCTAGGTTGTGGCGACATTATGCGATGGGTTGGGGCCAGCAGGGTATCCCAGGTAGAGTCTGGGTGGTGAGCACTCAGTTGTACGTGATTACAAAGCACAGATATTGGCCAGGCACAGTGGCTCACGCCTGTAATCCCAACCCTTTGGGAGGCCAAGGCGGGTGGATCTCATCATCAGGAGATTGAGACTACCCTGGCTAACACGGTGAAACCCTGTCTCTACTAAAAATACAAAAATTAGCCAGGCGTGGTGGCAGGCGCCTGTAATCCCAGCTACTCGGGAGGCTGAGGCAGGAGAATTGCTTGAACCCAGGAGGCGGAGGTTGCAGTGAGCCGAGATCACGCCACTGCACTCCAGCCTGGGTGACAGAGCGAGACTCTATCTCAATAATAATAATAATAATAATAATAATAATAATAATAATAATAATAATAATAATAAACAAAGCACAGATATCAGGGAAATCAGCTGGGGACGTCAGGAACTCATCCTGGAGCAAGCACAAAGCTCAATAAAATCCTGGGCACAGCGTGGGTCTGGTGGCTCATGCCTGTAATCCCAGCACTTCGGGAGGCCAAGGTGGGGGGATCACTTGAACCCAGGAGTTCAAGACCAGCTTGGGCAAGATGGTAAGACCCCCATATCTACAAAAAATACAAAAATTAGCTGGGCATGATGGCATGTGCCTACAGTTTCAGCTACTTAGGAGGCTGAGGTGCGAGAATCACCTGAGCCCAGGAAGTCAAGGCTGCAGTGAGCTGTGATAGTGTCACTGCACTCCAACCTGGGCAATGGGAGTGAGACCCTGTCTCAAAAAAAAAAAAAAAAAAGAAAAAGAAAAAAGACGGCACAAAATCCTGGCTTGCCTCCTAGACAATTGGATTCCCTACTGCTGGTGAGTCCCATGCTCCCACACTGAGGCCCATGTGCAAACAATCCCCCCTAGAAGCTCACTCACCCCGCGGTGGAGGGCAGTGCGGCCCCGGAGGTCAGCAGCATCAGCTGTGGATCCTTTCTCTAGCAGCAGATGTACACAGTCCACATGGCCATTCATGATGGCCAGCATCAGTGGGGTCCTACAGAAGGGCAGGAGGAGGAGTGAGGATCCCGCAAGGACTGGAAAACCTGCACCCCACCCTGGCCCACACTCACTGTCCATAGGCATCCATGACATCTGTGATGTCAGCTCGTTCCCCACTGTCGATCAGCAAGTGCAGGGAGTCAGTGTGGCCAGAGGCAGCTAGGGGAAAGGGACCCCGTGTCAGGGCAGGGCCAGGAGGAAGAAGGGAGGCAAGGTCAAGCCTAAAGGACTTGGGGTCAATGTTACAGAAAGACCTGGGCCAGGGAGAAATCTCTGAGGATAGGAAGCTATGAATCAGGGCTTGAAGTCTCCATTCTCCTCACCCTACTCCACTTTCCAGCCCCATTCCCATCCAGGAGGGATCTGGCATGGCAAGGGTAGGGCAGCAGCCTAAAGTGGGCACTAACCAGCAGCGTGCAGGGGTGTCCACTTGCGCTTGCGCTCCTTGATGAGGGCAGAGGCGCCGTGGGCTGTAAGCACCTCCACACACTCAGTAGAGCCGCGCTCCGTGGCCAGGAAGAGTGCGGTCCGGCCCTTGTGGTCCCTTACGTCCAGATTCACCAGCGTCTCCGCCAGCGTCTTCAAGGCTTCACAGTGACCGTTGTAGGCCTGGCAAGGTGCAGGCAACCAGTGCACACAGCTCGGGACCTTCCCTGCTCCTCCCTTCCCCTTCTCTGCTCTTGGGGTCCCTGGGAAGCTCAAGGTCTTAGTCCTTGACAAGCTCCTTGGGCCCCTTAAGGCTTCCTACCCTGCACTGTGCTTATCCCCTCTCCCACAAAAAGGCAGAAGGAAGGATAACTTCACAAGTGCTGGCACCTTTGTTAGGGCCTGGGAACAGGTAGGACAAGGAAGGCAACAGAAAAAAGACGTGGGACTCACAGCTAAGTGCAAAGGGCTGACTGGAATGGTGCTCTCCACATCCTCCAGGCAGTTAAAGGACATTTCTAAGAGCTGCAAAGGACAGGAAAGTAGGTGCTGAGACTCTGGAACTCCCAAGATAGTACCCCAGTCCCCGACTCGCAGTAATCCCCACTAAGCCTCTGGATCCAAAGACCACATTTGATTGAACCCTTAGTTTTGGAATCCACAAACCCTGTGCCCTGCCCCTGCCTCCCCTCCTGCAGGCCGGGCCCCAACACATACCAGTTCGAGGTTCTGTCTGTTGCCATAGGCGGCTGCATAGTGCACAGCTGTGTAGCCCTGCCTGTCCCGCAGGGAGGGGTCTGCACCGTTATCCAGTAAGAACTCCAGACAGCTGGGGAGCCGGGGGTAGACTGTGAGGCAGGGACAGGCCCAGCCCAGGAGGGCACAGTTCTGGGAGGGCCAGAGGAGAGGACCAAGGCCCTCCAGGCCTACCTGGCCGCCACCCGTCCTCAGCTCTAGGTAGGTTCTCTAAATCCTACCCATTCTTCAATGGCAGCTCCAGACCCACTTTACCTTCTCAAGGTCTGCCCTGAACCCCTCTGGCTTCAATGCCCTCCTTTATCCTCTGAATGCTCTCCTAGAGAACCTAGAGCATGATGTTCAGTTATCAGCCTTCTGCTGACCAACATGCTTTCCCCACCTCCAGGCACGCCAACCCCTGCCCTAGGATGCTTTCTCCTCCCAGCCCACCCGAATAAGTCCTGTTCATCTCAAACTCAGTCCCAGCTTCTCTCCTCTGTGAGGCCTTTCCCAGCCTTCCCTGGGGAAGATGCCTCTTCCTCTGTGCTCCCTTGGCAGTCTTCTCATACCTTAGTAGTAGTTGTAGTAGTAGTAATAATAATAAAGTAGCACTTACTGTCAAGCACAGTTCTAAGTACTTCATGTATATTAAATAATTTAATCCTCATAAAGATCCCATGAAGTAGATACTATTTTTATCCTTACTGTGGGTGATGAAATTGAGGCATAGAGAAGTAACTTGCTGAAGGTAATAGCTGAGCCTCTTGGATTTTAGTGTCCTTTTTAAAAAAATAAATCTTAAAAAAAAATTATTTAATTTACTTATTTTAAATGGAGACAGGGGCCTGGCTCGGTTGCTCACATCTTTAATTCCAGCACTTTAGGAGGCTGAGGTGGGCAGATCACCCGCGGTCAGGAGTTCGTGGCCAGCCTCGCCAACATGGCGAAACCCTGTTTCTACTAAAAATACAAAAATTAGGCTGGGCGTGGTGGCTCACGCCTGCAATCCTAGCACTTTGGGAGGCCAAGGCAGGTGGATCGCCTGAGCTCGGGAGTTCAAGACCAGCCTGGGCAACATGGTGAAACCCCGTCTGTACTAAAATACAAAAAATTAGCCAGGCGTGGCAGCGTGCTCCTGTAGTCCCAGCTACTCAGGAGGCTGAGGCAGAATTGCTTGAACCCAGGAGGTGGAGGTTGCAGTGAGCCAAGTTCATGCCACTGCACTCCAGCCTGGGCAACAGAGTGAGACTCGGTCTTCAAAAAAACAATTAGCTGGGCGTGGTGATAGGCACCTGTAATCCCAGCTACTCAGGAGGAAGAGGCAGGAGAATCGCTTGAACCCCGGAGGTAGAGGTTGCAGTGAGCTGAGATCGCGCAACTGCACTAGAGCCTGGGTGACAGAGCAAGACTCCATCTCAAATAAATAAATAAATTAATTAATTTATTTATTTATTTAATTAAATAAAATAGAGATGAGTTCTCATTATGTGTTAGCCAGGCTGGTCTCATACTCCTGGGCTCAAGCAATCCTCCCACCTCAGTGCTGGAATTACAGGCATGAGTCACTGTGCCTACCTGATTTTTGTGGGTTTTTTTTTTTTTTAGAGACGGGGTCTCACTAGGCTGCCCAGGCTGGGGTGCAGTGGCTATTCATAGGCATGATCATAGTGCACTACAGCCTCAAACTCCTGGGTTTGCATGATCCTCTTGCCTTACCTGCACCTGCCTCCTGAATAACTGGGAATATATGCATGTGCCACCGTGCCCAGCAAAAAATAAACTTTTTGTTTTAGAATATTATTAGATTTATAGAAAAATTGTGGGCTAGGTGTGGTGGCTCATATCTGTAATCCCAGCACTTTGGGAGTCTGAGGCAGGAGGAT
Organism: Homo sapiens; assembly: GCF_000001405.40. NCBI lineage: Eukaryota > Metazoa > Chordata > Mammalia > Primates > Hominidae > Homo > Homo sapiens. Next base: position 56,250,663 of record NC_000012.12, read on the forward strand.
TGCTTGAGCCCAGGAGTTCGAGACCAGTGTGGGCAACACAGAGAGATCCCTGACCTACAAAATAAATTAATTAAAAAAAAAAAAAAAGAAAGAAAAAGAAAAATTGTGAAGATAGTACAGGGAGTTCTCACATAACCTATACCTAGTTTCCCGTCATTAACATCTTACATTAGTATGCATAAGTGTCCTTTTATTTATCTTTCCCAATAGATTATTAGCTTTCGAAAGACAGAAATTTGGGACAATTCATCCTTTTTAAATTTTTATTTAATTTTATTTATTTATTTGTTTTTTTGGAGACAGAGTCTCACTCTGTCGCCCAGGTTGGAGTGGATTAGTGTGATCTTGACTCACTGCAACCTCCACCTCCCTGGTTCAAGTGATTCTCCTGCCTTAGCCACCCGAGTAGCTGGGATTACAGGTGCCTGCCAACATGACCAGCTAATTTTTATATTTTTAGTAGAGACGGGGTTTCACCACGTTGGCCAGGCTGGTCTCGAACTCCTGACCTCAGATGATCTGCCTGCCTCGGCCTCCCAAAGTGCTGGGATTATAGGCGTGAACCACCACACCCGGCCTATTTTTAATTTTAATTTTTTTGAGACAGAGTCTTGTTCGGTTGCCCAGGCTGGAGTGCAGTGGCGTGATCTCGGCTCACTACAACCTCCACCTCCCTGGTTCAAGCAATTCTCCTGCCTCGGCCTCCTGAGTAGCTGGGATTATAGGCGTGTGCCACCACACCTGGTTAATTTTTTGTATTTTTAGTAGAGACGGGGTTTCACCATGTTGGTCAAGCTGGTCTTGAACTCCTAACCTCAGGTGATCTGCCTACCTCAGCCTCCCTAAGTGCTAGGATTACAAGCTTGAGCCACTACGCCCAGCCTCATCTTTTATCCTTAGTATCTAGCACAGTACTTGGAACCTAGTAAGTAAATATTTAATTAATGCTTGTGGAATAAACAAATTATTTTGTACATTTAGCTTTTCTAATCCTCTCAAGAAGACCAGCCGGGCGCGGTGAGCTGAGATCACACCACTGCATTCCAGCCTGGGCAACAGAGTGAGACTCTGTCTCCAAAAAAAAAAAAAAAAAAAAAATCCATTCCTTTAGGGAAGGAACTATGTCTCATACTTTTGGGTTTTTTTTTCCCCCTGAAGCTCCTGAGCTTCAATCTCATACTTTTGTCTTTGCCCACTATGGACTACACCCAGAGGGCTCAAGACACACTGCTGGCTGACCGGCAGGACAGCAGCAGTATAGGGTAGAGGTTCAGATTAGGTAGGAGGACAGTAGGGCCAGAGCTTGCATGGGTTGGGGAAAGCACATCCCAGGGGCCCTCTCTGCTACTCACAAGAAGGCCTCCTTCCTGCGGGACTCCTTCAGTGGCTCGTCCTCTTCGGCATCATGGCTGGAAGGTGTATGGGGTTCCGCTCTGGGGAAGAGAGAGAGAAAGTTAGGGCCAGGCTCAGGGAGGTGAATGGGGCTGAGAAGGACCAGACTGGTAGCCTCACCTCCTGTAAGTGTCAGAAGCGGCAGCGTAGTGGAGGGGAGAGCAGCCTTTACAGTCGGCCTCGTTGACACCTGCCCCAGCAGTCACCAATGTTACTGCACACTGGTAGCTACCGTTAGCAGCTGCATAGTGCAGTGGGGTCCTGGGGAAGAAGTGAAGGAGGGTGGGGAAGAGAATCAGAGACAGATACGAATGCAATCAGATGTGCAGCCAAATGCTGCTTTGTAACATTCTCCTTATTTAAGTCTCCAATCTAAACCCTTCCTCCCTCTACCATTTGTTTCTCTAATCAGATATTCCCTATGTTTACCCCTGCATATTAGCATACCTGCCAAATTTGTCCCTCCTCCTCAAGTCAGCTCCACTGCTCAACAGCAAATTAAGACATTCAACATTCCTAAAAGAAAGATGTGTTAAGAGAGTTACAGCCTCAAAGGGAAGCCACAGGCCCAGGGTGGGGCTAAGGAAGGATGGGACTAGCAAGCCCTTTCTGCTGTGACTGCTTTCATTGTGAGAGGGGGAATAGATCTGGGCAGGCAAGAATGAGGGGCCCAGACCTTTGCCCAGCTCCCTGCTCAAAGCATGGGAGAGAGAAAGAGAACTCACCCTCCGGAAGCAGCAGCATGAAGACAGGTACGGCCAAGGTTGTCAGGTGTATTGATGTCAAACCCAGCTGAAAGCACATGCTCATTGCTGAGTGAAGACACAATGCTGTACAACTGACCTGGAGGCACAGAACAGCCACAGGTCACATCTGAGAGTGTTCAGCAGGGAGGGAAAGGCCTTTGCTCTCCTATACACCTGCCAATCCCCAGCCCATCAGCACATACCTGAGGAAAGAAGCTTACGACAACAGTCAGAGAATCCAAAGAGAACAGCTAAGTGCAGGGGGAACATGTCATGGATGCCACGCCTAGAGAGAAGTTGAGGGACTCAGTCCTTGGGTCAAGGAGGGACCAAGTAAGACCTCTTCTGTGACCTACCACCACCCTAGAGTCAGGGTAGGAGGTTCTCCAAGGTGCCCTTTGGCAAGCTTATCTGTGCCTCCATGGTTGATGTGAGCAGTCTGTGCAGATCTGGGCAGCCCAGAAGTGGAGTCGGGGCCCTGACTCACCGGGCGGTATCTGCGCCATTGGTCATGAGGGTGCTGATGAGCAGCTCGTGTCCATATCGAGCAGCCACATGCAGTGGCGTGTTCCCAAATTTGTCGGCACAATCAATCTCGCTGCCTGTGAGGGGATGCACACACACAAGCTCAGGCAGACCTCAGGCTTAAGACCACTTTCGCGAGCTAGCCATGATTTGAGTGCCTACTATGTATGCATCAGGTGCCAGGCCCAGGATTCTACATATTTTATCCTGTTTCTAGGCCTTAGGAGACTGGGCAGGGCAGAGCAGGGCCATTTCCACAGGTCCCTTGGTCAGAGTTCCAAGGGCCTATCCTACTGGAAGAGGGCAGGAGAAGGAAGTTAGGAACCTCCCTAGATTCTAGAAATGAGTTCCTTGGGGGAGGAGGGGATGAGAGCACAAAGTCTCCCAGGTCCATACCATTCTGGATGAGGATCTGGGAGCGTGTGAAACGGCCATGGATTGCAGCCATGTGCAGAGGACTTTTCCCTTCTTTGCTCTGTGGAAACATGGTGGGTTTTTGTTTTTGTTTTTTTTTCCAGTGCAAAGCACAGAGAATGCCCTACCTCCCTTCCAAGGACATATCTCTAAGGACAAAAGGGTCATATGGCACCTTCTTAGCCCACTCTTTCCTGAGTCCCTGGCAAGGTCTGATTACCCTAGGAAGCAAGTGGATAATTCCCCAAGAGAGCTATCCAGATACAGTCAGGACCCCTAGATCCAAGTTTCGCTCCCCACTGGTCTAAGCCTTATCCCTTCAGGCACCTGGTAGTTGACGTCAGCCCCATTATTAACCAGTAGCTCCAAGCAGAGAGCGCCATTGGTGGAGACTGCAGCCACATGCAGTGGCGTGAAGCCCTTGTCATTCGGCTGGTTGACATTGGCTCCGGCATTCACCAGCTCAATAGCCACAGCATCCTGGCCCAGGTAGCAGGCGATGTGCAAAGCTGTGTTTCCAAAAGCATTGGGTTCATCGATCTGGATATTCAGGGGTGAGAGTAAGGTGGTATCAGTTTAAACAAAGTAGAAGCCAGCACATGTAGCCTCCAGATCCCAGAAATCCAACGACTGCCTCATTTCCTCTCGGGTTTATGACCCAAGGTACTAAGGTACTAAGGGCACTATGGCTAAGGTAAGCATTATTCAGACCCTCTCTACCACGTCCTTCCAACTTCCCAAAACTATACCAACATCCCAATACCTCATATCTCCGTAACAGACTATAATCTCCTACTTGCTGCCCATAGTTCCCAACCCCAGAGCTCAAAGCCCTGACCTCCGCTCCCATCCGAAGCAGGTACTTCACCACTTCAATCTGGCCACTGGCAGCAGCTGTATGGAGCAGCCCATAGCCCTTGCGGTCCTTGCAGCCGAGGTCTGCTCCCCGTGCCACCAGCAGTTTTAGGACCTCCAAGTGCCCTGAGAAAAGAGAAGACACTCTAAAGGAAGTAGAAGGTAAACTCTAAGACCCTACACTCCTCTCTTCAAAGGCTGCAACCCCACATCCCTGCCCTAGGAATCCTAAATGTCAAATTTCTGATTTTCCCGTGTATTCTCTCTCACCTAGAAAAGCTGCCCAATGCAGAGGCTGCCGCTCCTTTTTGTCACAGACATTCAGGCTGGCTCCCTTGTTGAGGAGCAGGTTCACCGTCTGCATCAGGATATGAAAGACACCTGTTCAGAGCTAGATTCGTGCCCTCAACCTACCTAAGAGCAGAGGCCTCATCTCCTGAAAAGGCTGAGGCAGCCTAATGCCTTTTTCCATGAGCAAAACAACCTGGAGGACTCGAGGGAACAGCAGAAGCAGGCACTAAGGAGGAGATACTGGAGAGATTTGGAACTTTAAGGGAAACAAGAGAGTCTCTTCAGGTGATCTGGTGGTTCTTAAACTCTTTTTTTTTTTTTTTTTGAGACAGTCTCGCTCTGTTACCCAGGCTGGAGTTCAGTGGCATGATTTCGGCTCATTGCAAGCTCCGCCTCCCGGGTTCACGCCATTCTCCTGCCTCAGTCTCCCGAGTAGCTGGGACTACAGGCGGCCGCCACCACACCCGGCTAATTTTTTGTATTTTTAGTAGAGACAGGGTTTCACCATGTTAGCCAGGATGATCTCGATCTCCTGATCTCATGATCCACCCGCCTTCGCCTCCCAAAGTGCTGGGATTACAGGCGTGAGCCGCCGTGCCCGGCCGGTTCTTAAACTCTTGTAAGTCTTTGCAAATGTGCTGAAAGACATGGACTCTCTTCAGAAAGGCGTGTATGCAAATATTTTCCACGCAAAATCCAAGGTTTTATCAACCTCCTGAAGTCCAAGTTAAGAATTTTAATCTAGTCTGACCATTCATTTAGTGCTTCAGCTTAAGTGTTTATATAACCATCCGGGCTGCTTCTCCTTCAGGCTTGAGGGCCCAGAAGCAGGGAAACGTGAGTAGGAAGGTAAGAAAAGGGAAAGCCCCAGCTGGGCCTGGATGGGAACAGTCCTCACCTCAAGATGCCCACTATGCACTGCATGGTGCAGAGCACTGCGCCCGCTCCTGTCAGCCACGTTGAGGCTGCTCAACAGGGGTGCCAGAGCCTCAGCACACTTGGTGGCCCGGTTGGCAGCAGCCACATGCAGTGGTGTCTGCCACAGCTTGTCCCGGGCATTCACATCTGCTGAATGTGCCAGCAGCAGCCCCAGCACCTTCTGTTGAGGGGCAGGGGACAAAAGAGAGAGTGGGAGCAGGAGGTAAAACAACAGGAAATGGAAGGAGGAATAGGTCAGCATAGCATCTACAGCCCCTTCCCCAGCACAGAATCTCTTCTCATTTTTCCAACATACCTAGCCTCTGAATACCTACTTTCCATCTTCTGGATCTTCTTAGAACTTAAGCTCTTCCTTACCTTGCTGATTAAAACAAGGACCCTTTGCTCTTCTTCAAGCCACCTGACTCGCCAACTTAGACCCTGAAAATCTTCACTCACACATACATCCATTCCCAAACAAATCCACATGTGGAGATCCACACATCCCAACCCCCTACTACTTCTAGGAAAACTAAATGCTCTTGCTACATCTTGCCCTGAACACCCTCTTTAGCCTTCTCATAGGCACCAAAATTATTTTCAGTATCTCAGTAAGCAAACAGATACTGGTTCGTTTGCAAAACCCGAGCTAAAATGCCCCTCCTAACCACCACCCACCTCATTCCCACTGGCCTCGGCCCCTCCCCCTGGTGGCTGGAGCCAGGGAAGTGATGAACTGAGGAGGAGGTCCCCCTTTCCCTGTCTTCAGGGCTGATGGGAATAGGATAAAGGACCCAACTGATGAAATATGTTTGGCCCCTGTGCTGTCAACTTTCAAGCTGCTTGAGGGCCAAGGATGCAACAGATTACTATACCCATCCTCCATCACAAGGAAAAGAAATCTCAGTGCCCAGAGGGGGATCAGACTCAAGGTGGCCCCCCAGGGAGGGATGAGTCACTCAGGCCTGGCAGCAGGGCCCCCGCAGTCTGCCAGCCCAGTGTTAAGCTCTTCCTGAGTCACATCAGCTGGCAGCACTCAACCCCCTTACTGGCCAGTTCTAGGGGTAGGAGGAAGGGGCCAAGATTTGATCTCCTCACTACCTGGGGTAGAACAGCTTGTAGGGCTGAGGACTGAGGCTCCTTAACCCTTAACCCCCACCTTTAAGCAACTTATCCTTTTTGAAAGGGTAATAGAAGGTGGGGGTGCATACCTCGTTTCGGGAGGCAGCAGCACGATGAAGAGGGGTCAGCCACAGTGTGTCCTTAGCATTGACATTAGCACCTGTGGGGATATAATTTCCTATTTTGATGGAAGGTGGGGAGGAGGTATGAAGGAAGCCAGTAATCAGGCCAGGAAATCTGAATGGAGCTGGAGCCTCGCCTGGACCAAGCCGGGGAGAGCAATCCTTGAATATCAAAAAAGACTCCTCCCCTCCCTTCGCTCCCTATGTGCCACACCTTCCAGCTCCCCACTTTCACCTGACATCAGTAGCAACTGGAGGATGGGGACATCGCCTACGTAGGCAGCAGCATGCAATGGAGTTCGCCTCTCTTGGTCCTGGGAAGGCAAAAAAGAGCAGGGAGTATGGGCGCGGGGTAAGGGGGCTATCAAGGACCCCAGCCCAAGTCTCAGAGCTCCAGGCCCTTCCCCACAACCTCTTCCCATAGTTTCTGCAGCGTCCTAAGTCCCGGTATTGGGAGTCAAAGGCAAGCACCTAGGGAGGGTGGAGTCAGGGCCAATGGGCTGAGAAGCCGGCTCCTTTTTCCAGGAGGGGTGGGGGCGCTGCAGACTCCGGAGGTTGAGAAGAGAACAACGTTCCTGGGCATTCCCAGCCCAAGTGATCTGGGCTTCAAGCCTGACCTGCTCTCCATCCCCAAATGCAGAGTAGGCTTTCACTCCAGGATGGAAAGAACTGCGGCCTCATCTGAGCAGAGGAGACACGGAGCCGCCCCACCGGTGGGGAGGGGTCCAGAACACGGGAGCCAGGATTCCGGTCTCGCCATCCTCCCTGCTCCCAACTCACCAGCACATTGATGTTCTCCTTCTGCGAGAGTAGGGAACGCACTTCCTCCACATCTCGGCTAAAGATGGCCTGGACCAGGGGCGGCTGCAGAGAGAACCGGCATTCTGAGAGCGGGCTGGAGCCGGAGCGGAACCGGTGTGGGGGTGGGGGTGGGGGAGCACCTAGGTTTGAGTGGGGGGCGTCCGTGGAGGGGCTCCACTCTAGGGATTCTGGCTGGAGCGAGCTCCCGCGGTGCCTCCGCCGGTTGCCAGGTCCCCAAGGACACCGGCTCGGTTGAGGGGAGCGCGGCATGGGGCGGGGCGGGAGCTGCGGGAGCCCCGGGCTCAGGCCCAGCCTAGGCCGCACATCCCCGGGCTCGCGTGACGGCAGCGCCGAGCCCTGGAAGGAGGAAGCGGGAAAGGGCAGGAGGGCTGACCTGGTCCGTGATGCTGAGGATCCCCATGGCTCGGCCCGGGCTCCGTCCGCATCGAGCTCCCGGCGGCGGCGGCGGCGGCTCCACCGGGGACACGGAGCGGCCCAGGCGGCGGCTGCGGTGGCGGCTGCAGGGAGAGCGCGGCCCCGCCTACCGGGGGGCGGGCGAGTTGGAGGCCGCAGCGCTCCCTGGCGGCCGTCCTGGTCCCGGCGCTCCCCGCGCAAACGGACCCCGGCCGCAGCGCCCTCCGCCCCACCCTGGCGGCCCCAGCAGCCCCTGCACCCCCGAACTCGCGCGCCGGCTCCCCGGCTCACGCAGCTGGCCGCGCTGTGCTCTCCGCTCCAGTCTGGCGGCCCAAGGGGTTCCCCACAAGACCCTAGCGGAAACCTGGGCCTTAGTCCCGCGGTGCTTCCCAAACTGAGGACCGAACGGCTGGCCAGATCTTACCCAGCCCACAATGCTCCCGCCCGAGCTAACTCCTCCCGTCAGCGATTCCACACCCCGAAATCCCCCACAGACTAGGAGGAACTGGCGGGTGGAGAACTGGGAATTATGTATGGCAATAGCCCCAGAGGGAGGGAAAGCGTGTATCTCCACTGGCGGAGGCGTGAGTTCGGTAGAGAAGAAATAGCAAAAGTGCTCAAACTGCAGAGAAACCCCAAGGAGGATTCTACTGCAGAAAACACCCACAAAGAGGCCATGACAACTGGCAGCTGGAAAAGGCCGCCAAGACCAACAGAAGGGGCATTTTCCAACTCCTTACTGATTCCATTGCAAGGTTAAAGTGGAAAACACTCAACAATTTCTCCCCAGAACAGCCTGTGGCGCTTCCCCTCCTCCAATGGAGAGGCCAGAGAGCCGTCAATTAGAGAAGAAATGAATGGAGGTCATCTCAACCCAGAAACGGAAAAAGGAGGAAGACGAAAAGTGGAGATTGAAAAATTGATACAATTTATAAAAGGTGATCCAGGGTCCTGTTCAGAGTTTCACAACTCAATACACATTGAAGAGAACACGAAATGGACGAAGTGCAGCATGCTGGCGTCCTGTCAAGGCTTTATATATAAAAATCCTCCCTTGAGGGGAGAGGAAAAAAATTAAAAAATAAAAATACATTTTATTTTATTTTTTGAGATGGAGTTTCACTCTCGTCCCCCAGGCTGGAGTGCAGTGGCACGATCTCGGCTCACTGCAACCTCCGCCTCCCGGGTTCAGTGATTATCCTGTCTCAGACTACCAAGTAGCTGAGACTACAGGCGCCCGCCACCCTGCCCGGCTAATTTTTTATTTTAGTAGAGACGGGGGTTTCACCATGTTGGTCAGGCTGGTCTCGAACTCCTGACCTCAGGTGATCCACCTGCCACGGCATCCCAAAGAGCTGGGATTACCGGCGTGAGCCACCGCACCCGGCGAAAATACATTTCAAAAAAGCCTTCCCGGCCGGGCGCGGTGGCTCACGCCTGTAATCCCAGCACTTTGGGAGTCCGAGGCGGGTGGATCACGAGGTCAGGAGATCGAGACCATCCTGGCTAACACAGCGAAACCCCGTCTCTACTAAAATACAAAAATCAGCCGGGCAGGGTGGCGGGCGCCTGTAGTCCCAGCTGCTTGGGAGGCTGAGGCAGGAGAATGGCGTGAACCCGGGAGGTGGAGCTTGCAGTGAGCCGAGATTGCGCCACTGCACTCCAGCCTGGGCGACAGAGCGAGACTCCGTCTCAAAAAAAAAAAAAAAAAAAAAAAAAAAAAGCCTTCCCATTCCCAACATGGTGAAACCCCATCTCTACCAAAAATATAAAAAAGTAGCCTGGTGTGGTGGTGCACGCCTGTAATCCCAGCTACTGGAGAGGCTGAGGCAGGAGAATCACTTGAACCAAGGAGGCGGAGGTTGCAGTGAGCCGAGATGGAGCCACTGCTCTCCAGCCTGGGTGACAGAGCCAGACTCCATGTCAAAAAAAAAAAAAAAAAAAAAAAGCCTTCCCTTGCTTTCCTGCTAGAAAGATACTTAAGACACTAGTAACAGTCCTTTTTTCCCAGAAAGAAAAACTGGGGTACAGGAAATAAGGAATGAGAGAGAAATTTACCTATCACTATATACCTTTTGGAATTTTTTAAATTTTTACCATATTGAAAATAAAAGTTAAAATATTGCTTAGGAGCAATCACTCCGTGATTCCATGCACACACAAAAATTATGAAGAAATTTAAACTTACCTCTTCCAGGAAGTCTCCTCTGGCTAATAGGCTCTTTTCCTTTTGTTAGTTCTCCTTAACACTTACATACTTAGTTTATACTGCCACAATCTGGTTAAATTGTACACCTTTGTTTCTCATTTCACCTTTTTTTTTGGAGACCAGTGTCGCTCTGTCGCCGCCCAGGCTGGAGTGCTGTGGCGGGATCTCGGCTCACTGCAAGCTCCGCCTCTGGGGTTCATGCCATTCTCCTGCCTCAGCCTCCCCAGTAGCTGGGACTACAGGTGCTGCCACCATGCCCGGCTAACTTTGAGTAGAGATGGGGTTTCACCATGTTAGCCAGGAGGTTTCAATCTCCTGACCTCGTGATCCGCCCGCCTCGGCCTCCCAAAGTGCTGGGATTACAGGCGTGAGCCACCGTGCCCAGCCAGGTATAGTTTTTTTTAAGCTCCAGAATATCAGTATAGAGAAACAGGCATTTAATATTTGATGACTGATGATGATGATGAAGCAGCAGCAGAAACCAAAGGTAGCAAAGGATCAAATGGATATGGGTGTTGGGACTTGGCTATTGGGTATGATGGGCCTTCCAGGAAGGGCTAAACTAGGATATGGCCCAGAGGATAAGGAGGAGGGGCATACATGGTATCCATTGCCCAAAATAACTCTAGGTAACCTGAGGAATTGGAGTCAGGGGTTCAGCTGGGGTCACGTGCCCGGTTCTGGCTAGGGGATGGAGGTGAACAAGAGAGGTTGCCAGCCTGGTTCTCTGGGCAATTGGAGGGAGGAGGACGGGCTAGAAGAGTTATTTTTAATATTATTTAGAGCATCAAAAGAGGATTTCCCAGTAGGAAAAAAAGGGATTTGATGTAGGGAACACTGATACTTTCAGGGCTCAGGGAGACACACAGGGTATGGGAGGAGGAGGCCAGAAGTGGTGATAAAACCTTCTTATATGGACAGTCCTTCTGGATTGAACTACAAGCATTCATATTTGGGTAACTCTAGACAGATGGCTGCCTATTTTTAAGCCTCAGTTTTCCTTCTTCTGACTAAATGTGAGGACTCACCCGATGTACAGCCCTGTACTAATTGGTCGGGAGGTCAAAAATTAGAAGTAATGGTGTCTCTTTATGAGGAGCTTATAACTTAGTAGATGAACATACATATACATGTGAAACAACTACAGAATATAGGATACATGCTAGATTACATGGCATTATGTGTTCAGAGTAATGTTGAAGGAAGGGTTCAGTCAAGAGGGTCTTCCTGGAGGAGGTGTGTTTTGAGTCAGTACTTGAAGGAAGTTATTGATGTAGAATGGTGGAGACATGGGAAGAAATCGGTTGTTTCAAGTATAGGGACTAAACTAGGAAAGTTTAAATGGCAGTAATTAGTTAAACCAATTAGTAGGGGACAGTAAGCAAATTGGCTTGGTAGGCCTGTTGGACCTTGGGGATTCTGTAGCAGTCAACTTGGTTAAGGCAGAGTGATAATGAGGTCACAGTTCAGTTATGTATCCCTGTTAATTTCTGTCTTTTAACCAACCAGATCCTTACTCCTCATTCAAAGCAGCTGTCTCACATGTATAAGCCCTTAGTCAGAGGCGGGTGGGGCTGGACAAGACAGTGGAATTCGAAAGAGTAAATCTGTCCTTTAAGGTCATGTGCCCATCTGAAGGTGGCTCCAGATTACCATTTGTGAACTGGAAGGAGGCACTGTACTACAGTAGTGGAAAGGAGGACTGGGGGATGTGGACATTTTAACAGACTCTCTCTGGAGTGCAGAGGCGAAAAGAAGAGATGTTAGGAAAGAAAATAAGTGAGATCATCACCCAACTTGGGGTATCACGGAAGAGGATAAACGGAAAGGTGGCGGCCGGGCACGGTGGCTCATGCCTGTAATCCCAGCACTTTGGGAGGCCAAGCAGGTGGATCACCTGAGGTTGGGAGTTCAAGACCAGCCTGATCAACATGGAGAAACCCCGTCTCTACTAAAAATACAAAATTAGCCGGGTGTGGTGGTGCATGCCTGTAATCCCAACTACTTGGGAGGCTGAGGTAGGAGAATCGCTTGAACCTAGGAGGCTGAGGTTGCAGTGAGCCGAGATCGCGCCATTGCACTCCGGCATGGGCAACAAGAGTGAAACTCTGTCTCAAAATTAAAAAAAAAAAAAATTAAAAAAAAAAAGAAAAGTTGACAAAACACATTTATAGTCCAGGCATGGTGGCTCATGCCTGTAATCCCAGCACTTTGGAAGGCCAACGTGGACATATTGCTTGAGTTCAGGAGTTTGAGACCAACCTGGGCAAGAAGATGAAACCCTGTCTCTACCAAAAATGTGGTAGTGTGCCCCTGTGGTCGCAGCTATTTGGGAGGCTGAGGTGGGAATATCACTTGAACCTGGAAGGCAGAGGTTGCAGTGAGCCGAGATTACACCAATGCACTCCAATCTGGGTGACAGAGTGAGACCCCCGTCTCAAAAATTAAATAGATAAATAATAAAACATATTCATTTGGTCAATAATTATTTTGAATTGGTAGTACTAACTGCTATAGAGGTAGAACAGCTTATTAAAAATGGGTTTTGATGATCACCCAATGGCTCTTGCTTACTTGAAATCCAGAGAAGATGGGCTCAAACTTTTTTTTTGAGACGGAGTTTTGCTCTTGTTGCCCAGGCTGGAGTGCAATGGCGCCATCTAGGCTCACCGCAACCTCTACCTCTGGGGTTCAAGTGATTCTCCTACCTCAGCCTCCCGAGTAGCTGGGATTACAGGCATGCACCACCACGCCCGGCTAATTTTGTATTTTTAGTAGAGATGAGGTCTCTCCTTGTTGGTCAGGCTGGTCTTGAACTCCCAACCTCAGGTGATCCACCTGCTTGGCCTCCCAAAGTGCTGGGATTACAGGTGCGAACCATCTCGCCCCGCATTTTTTTTTTTTTTTTTTTTGAGACAGAGTCTCCGTCTGTCCCCCAGGCTGGAGTGCAGTGGCACAATATCCACTCACTGCAACCTCTGCCTCCCGGGCTCAAGTGATTCTCTGCCACAGCCTCCCGAGTAGCTGGGACTATAGGTGCGTACCACCACATCTGGCTTTTTGTTTTGTTTTGTTTTGTTTTTGAAACGGAGTCTCGCTGTGTCGCCCAGGCTAGACTGCAGTGGCGTGATCTCGGCCTACTGCAACCTCCGCCTCCCAGGTTCAGGCCATTCTCCTGCCTCAACCTCAGCCTCCTGAGTAGCCAGGACTACAGGCGCCCGCCACCATGCCCAGCTAATTTTTTGTATTTTTAGTAGAGACAGGGTTTCACCATGTTAGCCAGGATGGTCTCCATCTCCTGACCTCGTGATCCACCCGCCTTGGCCTCCCAAAGTGCTGGGATTACAGGCAGTGAGCCACTGCGCCCGGACATGTTTTGTATTTTTTGTAGAAATGGGTTTTTGCCACGTTGGCCAGGATGGTTTTGATCTCCTGACCTCATGATCCGCCTGCCTTGGCCTCCCAAAGTGCTGGGATTACAGGTGTGAGCCACCGTGCCCGGCCCAAGAGCTACCCTGTTTCTAGACCAGATGTCTCTTCCAGATTAGTTGGACAAGAATTGCAACACAGTCTTTTTTTGTTTTTGTTTTTGTTTTTCTGAGACAGGGTCTCACTCCCGTCACACAGACTGGAGTGCAGTGGTGCAATCACGGCTCACTGCAGCCTCAACCTCCTGGGCCCAGGTGATCCAACTCAGACTCCCAAGTAGCTGGGATTACAGGCATGTGCCACCATGCCTGGCTAAATTTTTTTGTATTTTTTGTAGAGACAAGGTTTCACCATATTGCCCAGGCTGGTCTCAAACTCCCGGGCTCGGGTGATCCACCAACCTTCACCTCCCAAAGTGCTGCAATTACAGATATGAGCCACCATGCCTGGCTACAACACAGTCTTTATTTACTTTATCCCCTGCCCCTCTGCATAACCACCACACACAACACTTCTCAGGGAAAGATTTCCTGAAAGTGGAGAGCTTGACTGAAGATTTAGAAAGCAAGCAGAGGAAAGGCTTGTACTGTAATAGCATGAATTTCTTAAAACTCAACAGCAGGCACCACCATTCTCTTGCACCCACCTAGTTCTAGTCTCTCTTTTTTTTTTCTTTTTTATTTTTGGAGAGACAAGTTCTCACTATGTTGCCCAGGCTGGTCTTGAACTCCTGGCCTCAAGTGATCCTCCCACCTCAGCCTCCCAAAGTGCTGGGATTACAGGCATGAGCCACTGCACTTAGCCCAATCTCTTTCTAATTGTTGATTTCTTTCTTCCCTTCCTTTTTTTCTTTTGTTTGCCTGACTTTTTTTTTTTTTTTTTTTTGAGATGGAGTCTTGCACTGCTGCCCAGGCTGGAGTGCAGTGGTGCGATCTTGGCTCACTGCAAGCTCCGCTCCCCGGGTTCATGCCATTCTCCTGCCTCGGCCTCCTGAGTAGCTGGGACTACAGGTACCCACCACCACGCCCGGCTAATTTTTTGTATTTTTAGTAGAGATGCAGTTTCACCCTGTTAGCCAGGATGGTCTCGATCTCCTGACCTCGTGATCCACCCACCTCGGCCTCCCAAAGTGCTGAGATTACAGGCATGAGCCACCGCACCTGGCCCACCTGACTTTTATCAAGAGCATTTTTTCTCTTTCTTGCTCGCTTGCTTTCTTTTCTTTTCTTTCTTTCCTTTTTTTTTTTTTTTTTTTTTTGAGATGGAGTCTTGCTCTGTTGCTCAGGCTGGAGTGCAGTGGCACAATCTCAGCTCACTCCAACTTCCGCCTCCTGGGTTCAAGCGATTCTCCTGCCTCAGCCTCCCGAGTAGCTGGGATTAGAGGCGCCCGCCACCATACCTGGCTAATTTTTGTATTTTTAGTAGAGATAAGGTCTCACTATGTTGGCCAGGCTGGTCTTGAACTCCTGACCTCAAGTGATCTGCCCGCCTCAGCCTCCCAAAGTGCTGGGATTACAGACGTGAGCCACCATGCCTAGCCAAGAGCATTTTTTTTTTCTCCTTGAATCATGAAAAGTAGTATAGTGGTATTTAATTGCGTGGGTTTCTGTCCATGAGGTCTCACTCTTCATCAAGCGCACACTTTTCAAACAAAGATGGTTCTCTGTCCTAAGAATATCTGGTTCTTCCTACCTCGACTTCTTTCTATAAATATTAAAGGTAAAAACTATGCAGTCTTAGCCCAGAGCTTGGAATGTTAATCTCCTTTCCCAAAAATGTAGAACACAGCACTAACCACTTGTGGAAGCTACAAAGATGAACAGTGCTTCTAACTATAAACAAGGCCGAATATGATAAAGGCTCTGTGATGATTGAGTGTCAACTTGATTGGATTGAAGGAGGCAAAGTGTTGTTCCTGAGTGTCTGTGAGGGTGTTGCCAAAGGAGATTAACATTTAAGTCAGTGGACTGGAAGGAAGTGACCCAGTCTCAATGGTGGGCACCATCCAATCCGCTGCCAGCGACGCTAGAAAAAGTAGGCAGGGCTAGGCATGGTGGCTAACACCTGTAATCCCAGCACTTTGGGAAGCCGAGACGGGTGGATCACCTGAGGTCAGGAGTTCGAGACCAGCCTGGCCAACATGGCGAAACCCCATCTCTACTAAAAATACAAAAATTAGCTGGGCATGGTGGCGCATGCCTGTAATCCCAGGTACTGGGGAGGGGGGCGGGGCGGGGGTGGTGAGGCAGGAGGATCGCTTGAACCTGGGAGGCCAAGGTTGCAGTGAGCTGAGATCGTGCCACTGCACTCCAGTCTGGGCAACAGAGCGAGACTCCGTCTCAAATAAATAAATAAATAAATAAATAAATAAATAAATAAATAAAAGTAAAAGTAGGTGGAAGAAGCTGACTTGCTGAAGTCTTCCGGCCTTCGTCTTTCTCTCATGCTGGATGCTTCCTGCCCTCGAACATCAGACTCCAAGTTCTTCAGCTTTTGGACTCTTGGACTTACACCAGTGGTTTGCCAAGGGCTCTCGGGGCTTTGGCCACAGACTGAAGGCTGCACTGCCGGCTTCCCTACTTTTGAGGTTTTGGGCCTTGGACTGATCCACCACTGGCCTCCTTGCTCCTCAACTTGCAGACGGCCTAATGTGAGACTTTACCTTGTGATCCTGTGAGGCAATTCTTAATAAACTCCCTTTCATATATACATTTATCCTATTCACTATGTCCCTCTAGAGAACCTAAGGCTCTAACAGCGACGTTCAGAGGATCTACAGATATCTGCGGTAGACACGCCCACGAAGTCGCCTCTGTGCCTACCTATCGGGTCCTGTGACCACAGGCGACCTCAGTCCCCGAACCATCTTTGCAGCTTCTCAAACGCACACCCCAGTGCCCTTTCTCGCCACAGGTGTGAAACTACATCTCCCGACAGGCGGCGTTGTCCCCTTCCTTCCTTCCTTCCTCTCCCAGGCCCGAGCCATGGCAACAGCGTGACGTGGGGGTACCGAGATCTGCGGGAGCAGCGGTCCCGGCTTCAGTTCTAGCCTACCCGGCAGCCTGGACGGGAGCAAGGCGAGAGGTGCTGCCGCCTCCCGTCGCCCCTGCGCTCAGAGGTCCCGAACCAGCCCAGCCGCTGCCTCTTGCCGCTCCGCCTTTGGAGTGAGGAGGGCGCAGCCCGCGTCAGAACTTAGAGGGCCAGGCAGGGTCGCGCGCATGGCCTGGGCGGGCTCGCGGCGGGTCCCAGCTGGGACGCGCGCGGCAGCCGAGCGCTGCTGCCGGCTCTCGCTCAGCCCGGGCGCGCAACCGGCCCCGCCCCCAGGCCCTCTGCCACCGCCGCGACCAATGAGGTGAGAGGGAGGTGACCGCGGCTGAGGGCAGGGGGTCGCTGCGAACCCCGGGGTTCCGCGGTGGAGGGGTGCTATACTGGGATGCAGGCGCGGCGGGGACTGGCAGCAATCATGCCCTGGGAGCTAACGTAGAGCTTTGGATAATGCTTTTGCAAGTTGTACGAGAAGGGAAGTTCTCGGGGTGAGTGTCCAACCTCTTCTTGGCCCTCGCGGGCGCCCTGGGGTCCCCGGGGACAGTGATGCTTCCTTAAAGTCTTAGCTTTCAGCAGTAGTGTAGGCCCAGTCAAAGGCAACTGGCGCTTCCCACACACCCCTTTTTCTCATCCCCCTCACCCCGCCCCCAGCCCTGTCCTTAGCTGCCCTCGACCTTTTGCACTCGTGACTCCCTGGCCAGAGAGAGCCTAGCGGGCTGCAGCAGGTGCTGGGGGGAAAGCTTGTTTGGACGACCTTCGTCTGGGATGCACTCTTCTTCTCCTTCACCTACAAATGATAGAGGATTACGAAGAACTATACGGTTGGCTCCTCTTTCCTTTGGCCTTAGGTTTCTGACCTCCTGCAGCCTCCTCTTGCCTCGGGCTGCCCAGATCTTGGCGGCTGAGGCTGGCTTACCTTCGAGCCGTTCCTTCATGGGATTTGCTGCTCCCTTCACCAACAAGCGAAAGGCTTACTCGGAGCGTAGAATCATGGGGTAAGCATTCTCTGCCTTGCATCCTTGCACCTCCCTTTTCCCTCCAAATAACCCTGTCCAGGCAAGAATGTCAGGGTATCATCGGTGGGCAAGATTCATCCCTAGCCATCCCCCTCCCCAGCTACAATACTGATCCTCAGTCCTCCCCTGCCACTCTTCCGACCTTAATTTCTCCCTTCTTGGTTGCTGTGCATGTGCTTAAGTGAAATGAGACTAGGGTTGGACTATACTTTAAGACAACAGGGCGTAGCTGGGTGCGGTGGCTCACGCCTGTAATCCCAGGACTTTGGGAGGCTGAGGCGGGCCGATCGTTTTAGGTCAGGAGTTCGAGACCAGCCTGGCCAACATGGTGAAACCCTGTCTCCACTAAAAAAAAACACACACACAAGAATCAGCCTGGCACGGTGGCGGGCGCCTTTAATCCCAGCTATTTGGGAGGCTGAGGCAGGATAATCGCTGGAACCTGGGAGGCAGAGGTTGCAGTGAGCTGAGATTGCCCCACTGCACTCCAGCCTGGGCGACAGAGCAAGACTGTCTCAAAAAACAAAACAAAAAACAGGGTGTATTTTTCTGGTGACCATTTAAAAATAATTTTTATGGGTACCTAGTATGTGTAAATTAGCAGCGTAACCTTTTTAGTATATTTTGAGCATAATAGCTAAATTATCGAGCACTTGCTACATGCTAGCAGCTTGACTTAGATGTTTTACATAGATATTTCTCATTTAATTCTCACAACAAACCTATAAATCAGGTGAGAAAATGGAGACACAGGTAATTTACCTAAGGCCACATTGTTAAAAAATTGTTAAGAGCTGGGATCTGATCCTTGTGTGATCACCAGTAAAACTGACAGCCTCTGTTCTCCCTAGATGGTCCCTCTTAAAATCAAAATAAACAATGAATGCAAAAGCATTCTGTAAACTGCAAAATATAAGGTAACAGTATCATAAGGATTTACACGTTTGCTTTTGGGAAGTTATTCATCCAGGCTTATTTGGGATCTGTAGTTCCTGAAGGTGCGTGGTTAGTGGGCAAAGGTATGAATTAGGGGCCTATAGCAAGGAGGAACCTGACCCAGCTGGCAGCTCCTTGGCCTGTGATTCTTCTTCTCCTAGGTACTCAATGCAGGAGATGTATGAGGTGGTGTCCAACGTCCAGGAGTATCGTGAGTTTGTGCCCTGGTGTAAGAAGTCTCTGGTGGTATCCAGCCGTAAGGGTCATTTGAAAGCCCAGCTGGAGGTTGGCTTTCCACCTGTCATGGAACGTTACACCTCTGCAGTTTCCATGGTCAAACCTCACATGGTCAAGGTGAGGCCTGTATGGGAGGGATTGACAAGATTTTTTGTTTTTAGCAGTTTCATATGAAAGTGCTATTTTGGCCTTCCTTGTAAGTACTTTATGTCCATGTGTCAAGTATTTCCCTCATATCAGAAAAGAAGGAAAATGGCTTTCAATTCCTTTATATTGTATCCTATACTTAGTAATGTTATTTAACTACCTGATTACCCTATTCTAGGCTGTTTGTACTGATGGCAAGCTCTTCAACCACTTAGAGACTATTTGGCGATTCAGCCCTGGTATTCCTGCCTATCCTCGAACCTGCACTGTGGACTTTTCGGTGAGTCAGGAGGTTGTGTAGCAGAGGACGAGGACTGGGTATGAGGAAGGGCTGGGGTACTGTGACAGGGTTATTAATTTATTTGAGATGGAGTCTTGCTCCGTCACCCAGGCTGGAGTGCAATGGCACGATCTTGGCTCACTGCAACCTCCACCTTCTGGGTTCAAGCGATTTTCCTGCCTCAGCCTCCCAAGTAGCTGGGATTACAGGAGCCTGCTACCAAGCCCGACTGATTTTTTATTTTTAGTAGAGACGGGGTTTCACCATTTTGGCTAGGCTGCTCTCAAACTCCTGGCCTCAGGTGATCCGTCCGCCTTGGCCTCCCAAAGTGCTGGGATTACAGGCGTGAGCCACCGCACCGACCTGACAGGGTTATTCTTTAAGTATAGCTAGCATTTCCCAAGTCAGTTAGTCTGAGCTTGTGTCAGACTCGTACTCCGTGCTCAGTCCCAAGTTAGGGCTCTTACGGGGATCCACGAACTGGATGGGGAGGGGGAGAAAAGGCACTGAGGAACAGTTTCCTTGCATTTGGCCAGGGACTATCCAACATGGTCTGGAAGTTTCTGACTGTCTCTTACCCATTCCCAGATTTCCTTTGAATTTCGTTCTCTGCTGCACTCCCAGCTGGCCACCATGTTTTTTGATGAGGTTGTCAAACAGAATGTTGCTGCCTTTGAGCGTCGGGCAGCCACCAAGTTTGGTCCAGAAACAGCCATCCCCCGTGAACTGATGTTCCATGAGGTGCACCAGACTTGAGGCAAGGGATTGCTCCCTGACCTCCCTTCTACCCCACTTCCCTACACAATTCTCTTATTTATTTGGTTTGGCTCCTGTTCCAATTTGAAAGGAGTCTGTGTTCATAATACTGTTTCTCCTCTCAATTTCCCAGAAATTGGGTTCTATGCTGGCTGGAAATGTTGGGGGAAAGAGAAGGCAAAGGATGTGGAAATGAGATGTGCTTAGGAAAGGGTCAGGCCCATCGTAGGAGCACCATATGCCTGCAGCCTTTTCACTACGAATTAGAATAAGGACTATGTGGTTGTCTCTGGACCTTATCAAGACACCTTAGTGTCTGACCAGGGGACGATAGTAACTTTTCTAAGGATTGAATAAATTGAGCTTTTCTTCTGGCACAGAGGTACTGAGTGGTAAGTAACTTTTACCCTGCCTGAGATTCCTCAGGAGAAAAGGCAACCTGCCTCCAGCCTGAAATACATAAAGCCTCATTTTAAGACTGTAAGTCCATGCTGCCTGGCTACTAGAGAGCAAGGGGCTTTCTTACCACCAGTGCTGAGGAGAAAAGTACTGAACGGAAACGGAGTTGTCTTTGTACTCTTGAGTTGTACCTTATTCTTCCACTTGGCCTGAGTTTTTATAAAATTTCAATAAATTGTGACAGTGTGAATTTGGCTTTATTATATTGTTTCTTGGGGCAATAATGTAGATATAGTAGAGTAGAACGAAGTTATGGCTTCTTTTCCTGGGGGAGTGAAGGTATAAGAAGGCCTCTTGGACACAGTGTCCCTGCTAACTATAGTAGCACATTCTACAAGCCAGGACCTAGTACCCACCCCCTTGTCTATTTATAGACTTTTTCAGAAGGTCAGTTGCAGCAGGGATCTCAGGACAGAATCATCTGGTCTTGGACCTCCCATATATGTGATGCCCTCAGGACCACCTCTTGTTATTTTTGGGACCTCCTTCAGGGAAGCTATAAAGAGCAGGCACTCCAAGAAGTACCAGAGCCCTCTAGTGGCTCTGGTCCTGAGGTAGCAGTACTAGCCCATTCGTCCTTGGTAGTTTGTTCCTTTCTCTCAGTGGGCTAGACCAGTTCTTGGATTAGTCACATAAGCAATTGAGAATCTCAGCTATAGCCCTTGAGTATGTTACCTTACAACAAAATTAGCAAGGTTAGGGGCTAAACATCAAGGACTTCCTAACCTTGAGGAAGGACAGAAATCTCCTCTGGAAATTTCTCAGGGAGGCTTTCCTCTGGTTAAGGTAAAAGAAAGCCAAACCTGCCTAAAGATAAATGGATACAGATTACTTATAACCCACTAAGTTCAGGATCTTGCTAGCCAGATTCCTTACCTCATAATAAAGGTTCTTCCAGGCCTTATTTAATAATAGGCTCAAGCATTGTTAATAAAAACATTTATTTTGCATTTTATACAGAACAACCTGAAGTCTCCATCATGACTTGACAGTTACCCAGGGGTTTACAGTGTGTCCAACTCAACAGTGTGGTTCTGGGACTGGGTATCCACACAAACACAGGCAGGAGTTTGGAGGAAAGATGGGGGCACAGCAGGAGTGTATCTTAATCCTTTCTCAAAGAAAAAGAAGTAGAGCATTCTGAGTTGCTGAAAACCTGTGCAAATGGGGCTTCTGAAACATTGTACTGTGAGCTCTCAGGGAAAGGGAGGAAAAAGATGTTGATAAATAAGGAGGCAATTTCTTGAGGCAGGGGACGAGGAGGGAGGCTTACTATTTTTAATGCCCTCAGCCCCAGTACCTGATAATCAGAGGAGACCATGTCCAATCTTGAATCAATTCCCTGTTCAAAAAGAGGTGCTAATACCCCGGGGACAAGACTCTGAAAATATCATGCTGGTCATTCCGGAGTTCTATGCCCCACAGCATATTAAAAGATGGGGGTTGGTGGGGGGTGGGGAGGTCAGAAGGTAGTGGCTTGTATTCTGTGGAAGTAAAAAACTTAGTTCACATTAAGCACTGATAAAACCCAATGACTGGGCCCACAGATCTGTTGAGAGGTCTCTAGTAGGGACCAAGAGGGGGAGGTCCAGAACATCCTCTGCCTGAGGTGCAACAGGTGTAGAAAGTCTGGGAGGAGGTGAGTATTAAAGTAATGGGAAACAGAACACTCCCAGACCTTAATTTTAATTGGATAGTTTTAAAAAAAAAATCAAACATTGGGTGCCAGTCACAACAAATGCCATGCCTTTATGGTCACTTGGTAGTATAAAAAAATTGCCAAAGCATGTCCAGCTAACCAACAGGTCTTGCTAGGAGGTGTTTGTGTGCATGGGAGAGGGCCAAGGGGCTTGGTACAGCTGACTATCCAACATGATTCCTATGGAAACAGAAGGGGCAGAGTCCTGGTTTGCTGGCTTATTGAGGGCTTGGCAGAGAAGCTAAAGCTCCAAAGTGACTACAGATTCTCTGCAACCGGCTTTGACCCATGGAAACAGGAGCCAGATTCTCACTCTAGAGATAGTGAGGGGGCCAAACCTACTCATACCACATGCATTAGTCCTGGTCATCCTCCAGGACCATGCGTATGATGGGCAACTCATACCAGGCAGGGGAAGGGAGCTGATTAGGGAAGAAGGGACCATTTTTCATCTTTTAAAGTCTTAATTTATATTTTAACCTCAAACATATTATCAGTGCCTCAGATATAATTTAATCTTAAGTCTTTAAAGGCCCCCTGAAACAAAAGTATACTTTTTATTTAGGCTTCCTCACTTTCTGGTAGTCACTTTCACCCAGTCTCCAGTTTTACCCTGACTTAGAGTCCACAAACTTCATCAGACCCTCTGTGCTCATGGACTTGGGCCTTTCTAGAGGGAAGCCTAAGGCTCGGCTCCAGATGAGCTGTGCCAGTACACCCAATGCTCGTGACACCCCAAACAGGACCGTGTAGTAATTCATCTCCGTCATGCCATAATACTGTAAGGTAGAAGAGAAAAATATTTCATTTAAGGCAGAGGCAGTGGCATGTACAAGTCCTAGGTGATAGAAACCTTAAAAGCTAAATTTTCCATTTTTCTCCAAGGACTTAGCCCAGTCAACCTTAAATAGAAATGACACTGAGAAAAGTATAGCAATTGGGATTCTGAAAACAGAGCAACCCCAACCCCCAACCCTCTCATAGTCAACTTTATCAAAATGCTCTGTGAGGGAAGTCCCTGCTCTGACTAGGAGTTAATTGACTTTGTGCATGGCAGATAACAATAGGGTTTGGTACAAATTAGAGGGAAAAGAGGGAAAGGAGGACTTACCTGGAGCAGCACCCCACTGTGAGCATCTACATTGGGCCAAGGATTCTTGGCTTTACCCTGCTCTAAGAGGACATTGGGCACAATCTTGTACAGCTGAGCAACCAACTTAAACATGGGGTCATTAGGCAGGTGTTTCAGAGCAAACTCTCGCTGACAGGTATATCGCGGATCAGTCTTCCTTAGTACTGCATGGCCATAGCCTGGAACAACCTGTAAAGAGTGAGGAAAAAAGATAGTATTCTCAGTAGAAATTCTTTTATTTTTCGAGACAGGATCTCACTCTGTCACCCAGGCTGGAGTGCAGTGGCATGATCACATCTCACGGCAGCCTCGACCTCCCAGGCTCAGGCAATTCTCCCACTTCAGCCTCCAGAGTAGCTGGGACCACAGGTGCACACCAACACATCTGGCTTTTTTTTTTTTTTTTTTGGTAAAGATGGGGTCTGGCCGTGTGCGGTGGCTCATGCCTGTAATCCCAGCACTTTGGGAGGCTGAGGTGGGCAGATCACCTGAGGTTGGGAGTCCTAGACTAGCCTGACCAACTGACCAACTCGGAGAAACCCCGTCTCTACTAAAAATACAAAATTAGCCGGGCATGGTGGCGCATGCCTGTAATCCCAGCTACTCGAGAGGATGAGGCAGGAGAATCACTTGAACCCGAGAGGCGGAGGTTGCAGTGAACTGAGGTTGCGCCACTGCATTCTAGCCTGGGCAACAAGAGCAAGACTGTCTTTAAAAAAAAAAAAAAAAAAAAGATAGGGTCTGTGTTGCTCAGGCTGGTCTCAAACTCCTGGGCTCACGAGATCCATCCACCCTGGACTCCCAAAGTGCTAAGATTATAAGCGTGAGCCACCACACTCAACCTATTTAAAACTGTTTTTTAGAGAATGGGGTCTTGCTGTGTTGTCCTGGCTGGAGTGTAGTGGCTATTCACAGGAGTGATCTTAGCACACTGCAGCCTTAAACTCCTGGCCTCAAGCAATCCTCTTGCCTCAGCCTCCCAAGTAGGTGGGACTACAGGTGCATGCCATTGTGCCCACCTAGAAATTCTTTTCTAAATTCTTCAAGGTAGATAAATGAAGAAAAAAAAATCTCTAATTTAGGGACCTCTTTCATTCTTTTCTTAATTCTTCCAAATTGCAGAACTTGTGTCTTGGTTTCTTTCCTAGTCGTTAAGCATCTCTGCTTACCCGTCCTGAGTTGAGTGTGTTCCAGATGTAGTCTCGTAACTTCTCATCTGACACATCTTTGCCAACTTCCTTCTGCAGCTGTGTTAGCCAGACAAGCACTTCCTATGGGTAAGGTTTGGGGAAAAAGGGAATGTTAATACATATGCCAGAAGAGAATGCCAAGATCAGAAACAAAGCATGGGGTAAGGAAAACATGTAGCAGGAAAATAAAAAGAATAGTCTTACCTGATTTGCCAGTCCATGGAGAGGCCCTGCCAGCCCGTTCATGGCTGCTGCAAAGGACAGGTAAGGGTCGGAAAGGGCACTGCCCACCAAATGGCTGGTATGGGCACTTACATTGCCACCCTCATGGTCACTGTGGGGAAGTAAGAAGGGAGAGCCAAGGGAAGAAAGAAGGGGCAGATTATGGAAACTTTGCTGTTCTCTTATTTGCCACTTACTAGCCTAGTTATGGGCTCATGCCAGCCTATAGCCAGTCAGTTATACCTAAACTCTTGTAAAAGACATCCTAATCTTGGCCAGGCACAGTGGCTCACGCCTATAATCCTAGCACTTTGGGAGGCCAAGGCGGGTGGATCATGAGGTCAAGAGATCAAGACCATCCTGGCCAACATGGTGAAACCCCGTCTCTGCTAAAAATACAAAAATTAGCTGGGCATGGTGGCACACATCTGTAGTCCTAGCTACTTGGGAGGCTGAGGCAGCAGAATCACTTGAACCTGGAGGTGCAGGTTGCAGTGAGCCAAGATTGCGCCATTGCACTCCAACCTGGCGACAGAGCAAGACTCCATCTAAAAAAAAAAAAAAAAAAAAGCATCCTAATCTCATTACCAGCTTTTGTTCACTCATCCACAGAGCTGGAGAGGTTACTGGTTGATGATGCCTGTATGCTCTGCTCCATGACTCCAACCTAGCTTTAATAGCAATGGCCCCAAAGAGCGAGCTCCTGGAAAGCTGAAGGACCATCTAATGTGAGCAGCTAGTACCTTTTCCCAGCCAGAAGCACCATCTTGTTCTTAGCATGGTTACAGTAATTTCTTTAGGCCTCCTGACCTTGCTTACTAGACCCCTTTCTTGCCTTGGATCATCCTTTATGCCACGTTTCTGTCTTCTTGCTGCCTATCATCTGTTCTCAGAAGATGAGAACATAAAGGAGCTTTTAAAAAAATTTCCCACCAATTGAGGCACCTAGTGGCTGTGGTTGCTGGGTCTAGCTTACCTGTGGATGGTGAGGTACAGGCGCGTGAGCTCAGTGAACTGATGATCAGTATAGCCTAACATGTTGGTGAAATTGTGAGACCAGTCCAGGTTAGAGTCAATGGCCCCAATACCGCTGCCTTCTCTGTAGAGATTTCGGTAGATCTTTGCTGCAACACAAGGTAGCTTTGCGATTAGATCCATAGAGTCTTCATAAATCAACTGACAGAAGAGGAGCAAGATGGAGAAAAAAAAAGGAATTATCAGCAAAGAAGAATTAGGCAGGGATATCGTCTGTCCTCCATGAATTGGGGCTATTTGGGTTGATGGTTAGTTATATGATGGGTTGTTATATATTGAGTATGTTTGAAAGTAGAGAATAACAATCATAACCATTTCACTGAATAACTATTATGACCCAGGCACTAAGTGATTTGTAATACTATCTAATGTACACTAAAACATTATTCCCAATGCTTACTACTACAAAGTATATAATGACTGCCATTTTAAAGATGAGTAAACTAAGGCTCATAGTATTAGGTTAAATGCTAAAGTCAAGTTTGAACTCTGATATGGTTTTCTGAGACAGAGTTTCACTCTTGTTGCCCAGGCTGGAGTGCAATGGCGCAATCTTAGCTCACTGCAACCTCCGCCTCCCAAGTTCAAGTGATTCTCCTGCCTCAGCCTCCTGAGTAGCTGGGATTACAGGCATGTGCCACCATACCCGGCTAATTTTGTATTTTTAGTAGAGACGGGGTTTCTCCATGTTGGTTAGGCTAGTCTAGAAACTCCCGACCTCAGGTGATCTGCCTGCCTTGGCCTCCCAAAGTGCTGGGATTATAGGTGTGAGCCACCATGCCTGGCCCTCTGATATGTTTAATCATGATCTTTTTCACTACACCATGACTTGACGTTCAATGTGTTAAGACAGCAGGTTTTACAGCCAGACACGGCAGCTCATGCCTATAATGCCAGCACTTTGGGAGGCTGAGGCTGGCAGATCATTTGAGGTCAGGAGTTCAAGACCAGCCTGGCCAACATGGTGAAACCTGGTCTCTTCTAAAAACACAAAAAATCAGCCAGGCGTGGTGTGGGCCGGCGCCTATAATCCCAGCTACTCGGGAGGCTGAGGCAGGAGAATTGCTTGAACCCGGGAGGTGGAGGTTGCAGTGAGCCGAGATAGTGCCACTGCACTCCAGCCTGGACCACAGAGCGAGACTCTGTCTAAAAAAAAAAAAAGGGGTCGGGCACAGTGGCTCATGCCTGTAATCCCAGCACTTTCGGAGGCCGAGGCAGGCAGATCATGAGGTCAGGAGATCGAGACCATCCTGGCTAACACGGTGAAACCCCGTCTCTACTAAAAATACAAAAAATTAGCCAGGCGTGGTGGTGGGCGCCTGTAGTCCCAGCTACTCGGGAGGCTGAGGCAGGAGAATGGCGTGAATCTGGCAGGTGGAGCTTGCAGTGAGCCAAGATCGTGCCACTGTACTCCAGCCTGGGCGACAGAGTGAGACTCCGTCTCAAAAAATAAAAAAAAAAGACACTAGGTTTTAATAATGAATTCTATGTTCCATCTTTCAAAGAAAATTCACTGTATGTGCCAAGGATCAAACAGTGATATGCAATTGTTATTTAATAACAAAGACTTCCATTCTTTTTTTTTTTTTTTTTTGAGATGGATTCTCGCTCTGTCGCCGAGGCTGGAGTACAGTGGCGCGATCTCGGCTCACTGCAAGCTCCGCCTCCCGGGTTCACGCCATTCTCCTGCCTCAGCCTCCTGAGTAGCTGAGATTACAGGATGCACCACCATGCCTGGCTTAATTTTGTATTTTTAGTAGAGGGGGGTTTCACCATGTTGGTCAGGTTAGTCTTGAACTCCCGACCTCAGGTGATTTGCCCACCTTGGCCCCTCAAAGTTCTGGGATTACAGGAGTGAGCCACCGCACCCGGCCGAGGCTTCCATTCTTTAAGCACTTACTATGCAACAGGTACTGTGCTATCTATTTGCAGTATTACTTTTTCTTTTCTTACAATAATCCTGTAAGGTAACATATACCTCTTTTTATAAATGAGGAAATTGGGGCTTAGCTAAGTTAACTTGCACAAGGTCACCCATGTAGCCAAGAAGCGTTACCTAGCTTACATTATTAACTCATGCCACTTTTATTTTTTGAGACGGAGTCTCACCCTGTCGCCCAGGCTGGAGTGCAATGGTGCGATCTCAGCTCACTGCAACCTCCGCCTCCGGGGTTCAAGCGATTCTTGTGCCTTGGCCTTCTGAGTAGCTGGGATTACAGGCGTGCGCCACCATGCCTAATTTTTTGTATCTTTAGTAGAGATGGGGTTTCACCATATTGGCCAGGCCGGTCTCAAACTCCTGACCTCAGGTTATCCACCTTCCTCGGCCTCCCAAAGTGCTGAGATTACAGGCGTGAGCCACTGCACCCAGCCCATGTCACTTTTTAAAAAGTTGATAAACAGGCCAAGCACGGTGGCTCACACCTGTAATCCCAGAACTTTGGGAGGCTGAGGAGCGCGGATCAAGAGGTCAACAGATCAAGACCATCCTGGCCAACAAGGCAAAACCCCATCTCTACTAAAAATACAAAAATTAGATGGGCGTGGTGGCTTGCACCTGTGGTCCCAGCTACTCGGGAGGCCAAGGCAGGAAAATTGCTTGAACCTGGGAGGCGGAGGTTGCAGTGAGCCGAGGTCGTGCCACTGCACTGCAGCCTGAGCGACAGAGACTCTGTCTCGGAAAAAAAAAAAAAAAGTTGGTAAATAAAAAGCATATATTTTTGGTTTATTTTATTTTGAGACAAAGTCTCGCTCTGTCACCCAGGCTGGAGTGTAGTGGTGCTATCTTGGCTCACTGCAACCTCTGCCTCCTAGGTTCAAGCGATTCTCCCACCTCGGCCTCCTGAGTAGTTGGGATTACAGGTGTGCACCAGGACGCTCAGCTAATTTTTGTATTATTTTGTAGAGATGGGGTTTCGCCATGTTGGCCAGACTGGTCTTGAACTCCTGACCTCAAGTGATCTGCCTGCCTTGGCCTCCCAAAGTGCTGGGATTACAAGCATGAGTCCCCACGCCTGGCCTACTAGCAAAACTTGATCTGTCAGCTACTTCACAAATTTGACTAAATTCAACAGCTTAAGGCTACTTCACAATTAAACAGCTGGTTGCATCAGAGCAATCAATCTCCTTGTTCTGAGTGACCTTAAGTCAATTAGAGGCCTAGAAGCTAGTTAAACTCTTTCAACTCAAGAGATTACACTATTCATCTAGAGTTAATGGAAATTATTATAGAAGAAATGTTCTGTGCAGAAGATCATCCTCTTAAGGTATATGTAAAAACAACTCCTTAAAAGCTCAAGAAGGCTGGGCACCATGGCTCACTCCTATAATCCCCAGCACTTTGTGAGGCCGAGGCAGGCAGATCACAAGGTCAGGAGTTCAAGATCAGCCTGGCCAACACAGTGAAACCCCGTCTCTATTAAAAACACAAGGCCAGGCGCGGTGGCTCACGCCTGTAATCCCAGCACTTTTGGAGGCTGAGGCGGGTGGATCACGAGGTCAGGAGATCGAGACAATCCTGGCTAACACGGTGAAACCCCGACTCTACTAAAAATACAAAAAATTAGCCAGGCATGGTGGCGGGTGCCTGTAGTCCCAACTACTCGGGAGGCTGAGGCAGGAGAATTGCTTGAACCAGGGAGGCGGAGCTTGCAATCAGCTGAGATCGCACCACTGCACTCCAGCCTGGGCAACAGAGCGAGACTCCATCTCAAAAAAAAAACCAAAAAAAAACAAAACAAAAGCAAAAAAGCAAAAACCAAAAATTAGCCAGGCGTGGTGGTGCGCACCTGTAGTCCCAGCTACCGGGGAGGCTGAGGCAGGAGAATCGCTTGAACCCAGGAGGCAGAGGTTGTGGTGAGCTGAGATTGTGTCACTGCACTCCAGCCTGGGCAACAGAGCGAGACTCCATCTCAAAAAACAAAACAAAACAAACAAACAAAAAGGCCCAGGGTGGTGGCTCACGCCTATAATCCCAGCACTTTGGGGAAGAGGTGGGCGAATCACCTGAGGTCAGGAGTTCTGGACCAGCCGTTCTAGACCAGCCTAGCCAACATGGTGAAACTCTATTAAAAAGACAAGGCCAGGCGTGGTGGCTTAAGCCTGTAATCCCAGCACTTTGGGAGGCCGAGGTGGGCAGATCACGAGGTCAGAGGTTCGAGACCAGCCTGGCCAACATAGTGAAACCCTGTCTCTACTAAAAATACAAAAAGTTAGCTGGGTGTGGTGGTGTGCGCCTGTAATCCTAACTACTCGGGAGGCTGAGGCAGGAGAATTGTGTGAACCCAGGAGGTGGAGGTTGCAGTGAGCTGAGATCGTGCCATTGCACTCCAACCTGGGTGACAGTGCAAGACACCGTCTCCCAAAAAAAACAAAAAAAAAAAACAAAAAAATTAGCCAGGAGTGGTGGTGTGCGCCTGTAATGCCAGCTAGACATGGTGGCATGTGCCTGTAGTCCTTGTTACTTGGGAGGCTGAGGCAGGAGGATCACTTGAGTCCAGGAGTTCAAGGTTACAGTGAGCTATGATCATGCCACTGCATCCTGGCCTGGGTGATTAGAGAGAGACCTATTTCTAAAAAAATAAAAATAAAAATGGCTGGGCACGGTGGTTCACATGCCATTTCACTCCAGCCTGGGTGACACAGCGAGACTCCATCTCAAAAAAATAAATAAATAAATAAAATGAAAAACAAAATATTAAGATTATATGACCTTTTGTACCTGCTAATGTGTGCAGGTACAAATATACACATTCATACCACCTAAAGTGTTTATAAATAAGCCTTTATAAATAAATGCTTTATGTGGTGTGAATGTGTATATTTTGCATCATTCTGATACCAACTCCCCAATGCCAACCAAGTTAATATCAATTTTAAATGCTCTCTGTCTTCCTCAACTGCAAACACAATTCTCTACACACAGTTGGTGCCAAATTAATATTGACCAACTAAATCAATCTAGATTTGCCAAGGACCCAAGGTGGTTGCATCAGAGCAGTGGGTCATGCTCTTCTGTGTCTTGCACCACAGTGAACTCTTTAGGGCCTTCCTGGTGGCTGGCACCTCCTGGCCAAAAATCATTTAATGTACCTGCTTTGTAAAAAGAAAATTTTCTGTTCCTATACTACCTATCTCCAAATAAGGAACAAAAGAAAATGGTACATTCTCCTGTAAACCTAGCCAGATCATTTGTACTTTTACCCAGTGTTTCTGAGTTTGTGGGGTACTAGAAGAGGATGGAAGGAATTATGTACTATGCATTGGGATAAGAAACAATCTTTCCATACCCCAACCAGCGTTGTAAACTATTAAGGACACTTTTCATTTTCAGAGAATAAAGCTCATTTGTTTCTGGATCTGGAGCCTACTCCAAGGATACTAACCACTCTCCCACTCCTGATGGGTATCTTAGGTTGGCTAGCCGAGAACATGACTGACTGGCATTAGTCCTCCTAGACTCCAGAGTTGCAATTGCTGTTCTCCCAACTTGTAAGATTTCTCAAAGTTTTCTGTATTTGAAGAAGATAGTGAGGGAAAGTGACCCTCTGGTGCTAGCATGAGACTGCTCTGTGAAACCTTCCTCAGGGACCCTGCAGTTAAGTCACATCCTTTTCTTTTCTTGTTTTCTCCTTTTTTATGTACAGATAGGATCTCACTATGTTGCCCAGGCTGATCTCAAACTCCTGGCCTTAAGCAATCCTCCCACCTCAGCATCATGACTCACTGGGATTATAGGTGTGAGCCACCTACCTAGGTCTCTTTTCCGTTTCAACAGCC
Organism: Homo sapiens; assembly: GCF_000001405.40. NCBI lineage: Eukaryota > Metazoa > Chordata > Mammalia > Primates > Hominidae > Homo > Homo sapiens. The sequence goes on from NC_000012.12 coordinate 56,281,833, forward strand.
ATGTGTACATACCTCTGTTACAGCAAGACTATGGAATTTTTTTTTAGATGGAGTCTCACTCTGTTGCCCAGGCTGGAGTGCAGTGGTGCGATCTCGGCTCACTGAAACCTCCACCTCCCAGGTTCAAGTGATTCTTCTGCCTCAGCCTCCTGAGTAGGTGGGATTACAGGCGCCCGGCATCACGCCTGGCTAATTTTTGTATTTTTAGTAGAGATGGGGTTTCACCATATTGGCCAGACTAGTCTTGAACTCCTGACCTCGTGATCTGCCCGCCTTGGCCTCCCCAAGTGCTGGGATTATAGGCATGAGCCACTGTGCCCGGCCGACTATGGAATTTTAATAATTTCTTTTTTCTGCACGTGTGTCAGCCTAACCAAACAAACAGTCCTGGTGATAGAAACCATGCTCTACTTAGCTTTGTAATTCCAACAACTGACAAAAAACAAGCCTCCAATGAAAATCTGTTAAGTTAGTTTCTGATTAACTCAGAGGTAATTTTTCTAAAGATTCTGTATTTTTTCCCTCCCTTCACACTCAAGTCCTTTGAATCCCCATCACACACCGATCACCCCACCCAAATTTCCTACCTCCCAGTACTTGGTTCGGCTGATACCCTGTGCATATGCTCGGGCAAAGTTACTTTCACTGTTGAGGGCTGTAACAGCTGCACTGAGCTGAGACATGGGGTGTAGATTGGTGGGAAAGTTGTCCAGCATGGTGACCACATGGGAAGGCAGAGCTGCCCTCTTTGCCCACTCTTTTGAGAGCCAAGATACCTGTGGAAAAAGAGACAGTGCTCAGAACACCAGCAAGGACAAGGAAGGAGAAAAATAAAAAAGGACAGCAACATCTGAGTAAAGAAAACCCAAGAGAGGTCAACCCAATCCATTTATACAGCAGAACTCTGCTGATTCCTTCCCTTCACTACGCATCTCTATAAATGCCGGATCAGCATTAAGTGTCTGAGATTAGAGAAAGGCAATGAAGAAGGGGAATGAGAAGAGCTAATAATATCCTTCTGCTTTACCTGTTCCTCTGTTGGGATATGTCCAGTTACCAGCAGCCAAAATAAGCCCTCAGGCAGGGGTTCTTCCCCACCCTTAGCCTTGGGTAGCAGTTTCTGGCATTCAGGGATACTAAAGCCTCGGAAACGGATGCCCTTGAGAGAGGAGAGAGAGAATTACAACTCAAGTTTATAGCCTAGAAGTCACACGACTGGTCTTACTCATCAGACCTTACAACAAGTTAGAGTAGAACTTTTTATGTTAATTATTATTTCTGTAGAGGTGGGGTCTTGCTATGTTGCTCAGACTGGTCCCGATCTTCTGGCCTCACGCAATGCTCCACCTTGGCCTCCAAAAGTGCTAGGATTACAGGGGCAAGCCATCATGCCTAGCCCAGAATACAATTTTTAATTTTCTTTTTTTTTGAGACGGAGTCTCACACTGTCGCCCAGGCTGGAGTGCAGTGGTGCGATCTCGGCTCACTGCAAACTCCGCCTCCTGGGTTCACGCCATTCTCCTGCCTCAGCCTCCCGAGTAGCTGGGACTACAGGTGCCTGCCACCATGCCCGGCTAATTTTGTGTGTTTTTAGTACAGACAGGGTTTCGCCGTGTTAGCCAGGACGGTCTCAACCTCCTGACCGCATGATCTGCCCGCCTCAGCCTCCCAAAGTGCTGGGATTACAGGTGTGAGCCACTGCGCCCAGTCCAGAACAGAACTTTAAATTAAGCTTAAATCTTCACATAACTTACCTCTGGTTTTGTACTTTTATTTTTACTAGTTGATATATTTAAAAGGTAAATTTGTTCTTCAATTATTCCATACATATGTCTTCTCTACCTTCCAATATATGAAGCTAGGTGCTCTGTTTTGTGCTTACCCTTACTGGTCTAATCCACGGTTTGCGTATTTGCACAAACTCAATGATTATTAGTAATTGACATGAAGATGTCTTACCTCATCAGGATCAAGAACTGATGTTTCATAGACCAATCCCTTCATGCCTCTCATGCCACCATACATCTAAAGAGGATGAAGAAAGAAGGAAAAAAAAAAGAGGCTGTGGCCAGTAATCAGAATGATTCAGACTAGAACTTGTTAGAGCTTCATGGGATCTGGGAGAGAAAATTTATTCTCAGACTTGTAAGACTTCATTTGGTGAGAGATGTCTGAGGAGTCAGCTTACTAAAGAATTAAACTTTGTGGCCAGGCACAGTGGCTGACACCTGTAATCCCAGCACTTTGGGAAGCCGAGGCAGGTGGATCACCTGAGGTCAGGAGTTTGAGACCAGCCTGGCCAACAGGGTGAAACCATGTCTCTACTAAAAATTAAAAAATTAGCGGGCATGGTGTATGTGCCTGTAATCCCAGCTACTTGGGAGGCTGAGGCAGGAGAATCGCTTGAACCCAGAAGGCAGAGATTGCAGTGAGCCAAGATCACACCATTGCACTTCAGCCTGGGTGACAAGAGCAAAACTCCATCTCAAAAAAAAAAAAAAAAAAGAAAAAAAAAAACAAACTTTGTGGCCAGGTACGGTGGGGCTCATGCCTGTAATCCCAGCACTTTGGGAGGCTGAGGAGGAGGGAAGATCACTAAGCCTCTCACAGAGTCTGTCACTCAGGCTGCAGCACAGTGGCACAATCACGGCTTACTGCAGCCTTGACTTGCAGGCTCAGGTGATCCACCCACTTCAGCCTCCTGAGTAGCTGGGATTATAGGCACGTGCCACCATGTCTGGCTAATTTTTGTATTTCTTTTTTTTTTTTTTAAAGAAATGGGGTTTAGGCCGGGTGCAGTGGCTCACGCCTGTAATCCCAGCACTTTGGGAGGCCAAGGCGGGCAGATCACGACGTCAGGATATCGAGACATCCTGGCCAACATGGTGAAACCCTGTCTCTACTAAAAATACAAAAATCAGCTGGGCGTGGTGGTGCGGGCCTGTAATCCCAGCTACTCAGGAGGCTGAGGCAGAAGAATCGCTTGAACCCGGGAGGCGGAGGTTGTAGTGAGCCGAGATCACGTCACTGTACTCCAGCCTGGTGACTCAGTGAGACTCCGTCCCAAAAAAAAAAAAAAAAACAGGGTTTTGCCAGCCATGTTGCCAAGGCTGATCTTTTTTTTTTTCCCCCCAGATGGAGTCTCACTCTTGCCCAGGCTGGAGTGCAATGGTGCAATCTCAGCTCACTGCAACCTCTGCCTCCTGGGTTTAAGTGATTCTCCTGCCTCAGGCTCCTGAGTAGCTGGGATTACAGTTGCCTGCCACCATGCCCAGCTAATTTTTATATTTTTTAGTAGAGACGGAGTTTTACCATGTTGGCCAGGCTGGTCTCGAACTCCTGACCTCAGATGAGCCACCCGCCTCAGCCTCCCAAAGTGCTGGGATTACAGGCATGAGCCACTGCAACAGGCCTGGAAATGAAATTTTTTAAGTTGAGAAATCACTATCTTTCTTTTTGTTTGTTTTGGAGATAGGGTCTCCCTCTGTTGCCCAGGCTATACTACAGTGGCATAATCATGGCTCACTGCAGCCCTGAACTCCTGGGCTCAAGCAATCCTCCTGCCTTTGCCTCCCCAGTAGCTGGGACTACAGGGGCATCCCACCATCTCTGGCTAATTTTTTAAATTTTTCTTTCATAGAGATTGTATCTTCCTTTGTTGATCAAGCTGGTTGTTAACTCCTGGCCTCAAGTGATTCTCCAACTGCAGCCTCCCAAAATGTTGGGATAATAGGCATGAGCCATTGCGCCCTCTGTTTGATTCCTTTTCTTATTGTATTTCACTTTTTTTCTCCTGCCCACTCAACCACTCCCCAACATACCCTACCCTCAAATTCCAACCAATCAAAACAAACAGAATGAGTTCTAGTCTAGGAGAAGGGGATGGAGACCAATAAGCTAAAAACTGTTGAGAAACTATCAGCTGAGCTGCTCAGAATCTGAAGGATGGGGAAAAGTCATCCTAAAGCTGTCCTACAGGGCCTATGGGACAGAATGCTTTTGAATAGTCAGTGGAGAGAATGTTACTTTTGTTGAAGCACATTACAGAGCTACTTTTCCCAGCCAAAGCCACACAACCCTTACCATGTCCACAGTGATTTGGCCCACCACCGTCTTGCCATGTTGCTGCCTGAAAGTCTTAATTCTGGCCTGCTCCTTAGGTATCAGGTCAGCCAATATGTCTTTCAAATTCTAAAAAGAAAAGTAGAAGGACTAAGCAATGGTCTAAAAGTTTATTAGATTTCCTGCAAAGTAGGTGTGTCAAGAATTTGCTTTTTAGAAGCTGGCTTTATCTGCCAGGGAAGTCTGGTCAACTACTCTGCACAAATGAGGGTAAAAGAATTAGGCAGGGGGAAGAAGGAATGAGGAGTTAATGTTTAATGGGAACAGTTTCTCGGTTTGGGCAGACAAAAGTTCTGGAGATGGATGGTTGCACAATAATGTAAACATATCTACTGCCACTAAACCATATACTTAAAAATGATTAAAATGGTAAATTTTATGTTATGTATATTTTACACTACTTAAAACATTTAAAAGAATTAGGCAAATGTATTGATATTCCCATCTCACTATACCACTGAGTAAATTATTTGTTAAATAGTAATATAATAATAATAGCAGCTATAACAATAACAATAGTAACAAACACTTCCAGGAAATACTCAGGATAATAAGAGGCCAGGTGGTTGCCAAATCCTCTGCCCCAAGGTCAGGCTGGCCGCAATGATTCTTATTCTTAGTCTTCTTTTCCAAACCTTACCGTGGAGGAAGCACTGGCATGCCGGGCTGCAAGAACAAGACAAGATGCATTCTGCAAAGCAAAAAAGAGAACCTTATGTAACTGTTACCCCTCCCTCTTTTATATTAACAAGAAGGAATTACAGTGACTCAACCTCTCTCTCTTCATCTCAGTCTCTTAGGGCAGTTTGACATAAGAAAGCTGTAAAAGTCCCCAAACAGTTTGGAAGGAGTTACCACTATGGAGACAGCAGGAGGTTTAACTGCTTTTTTTCATCCATAGCTTCACTAGCATTCCTTGAAGACAGACTCTTTCCCATCATCTGGGCTCCAGAGCAGGGCGGTTATCAATATTTTTGAGTGACCCCAAGGAAAACAAATGAGGAAACTGAGCAATTACTTAACACTGCTGGTAAGATCTCTCCTGCACCTGGTCTTTCGACAGCACTTCAACCTCTCTAATCTGGGAAAGACCACAGGCAGAGGGCAGCCTTTCATAACGGTACTTCTGACCCTCCTGGAAAAAGCACAAAGATTATCTACAAAGAAGCTGACAGAAGACTACTCATTAGCAGAAATGGAAACTTGCAAAGTTTCTAAGAGTGTCAAAAGAAAATAATTAGTTTGGCTGGGCGCGGTGGCTCATGCCTGTAATCCCAGCACTTTGGGAAGCTGAGGCGGTGGATCACCTGAGGTCAGGAGTTCAAGACCAGCCTGGCCAACATGGTGAAACCCTTCTCTACTAAAAATACAAAAATTAGCCAGGCGTGGTATGGGCAGGCAGCTGTAATCCCAGCTACTCAGGAGACTGAGGTGGGAGAATGGCTTAAACCTTGGAGGCAGAGGTTGCAGTGAGCCAAGATTGTGCCACTGCACTCCAGCCTGGGCAAATGAGCAAGACTCTGTCAAAAAAAAAAAAAAAAAAAAAAAAAAAAAAAGAGAGAGAGAGAAAATAGTTTAGCTAGTTTATGCTTTTCTGTGTGTACAGGTAGTTTCTTTTTTCCTCAAATAAAAAATACATCTGTGAGAAGATTGTTAAGTTGCAATAAAAGTTCCACACCAACTTTGTGAGTTTTCTTTTTCCTTTTCTTTATTTTTTTTGAGACAGTTTCACTCTTGTTGCCCAGACTGGAGTGCAATGGCACAATCTCAGCTCACCGCAACCTCAGCCTTCTGGATTCAAGTGATTCTCCTGCCTTAGCCTCCTGAGTAGCTGGGATTACAGGCATGCACCACCATGCTTGGCTAATTTTTTTTGTATTTTTAGTAGAGACGGGGTTTCACCATGTTGGCCACGCTGGTCTCAAACTCCTGACCTCAGGTGATCTGCCTGCCTCGGCCTCTCAAAGCACTGGGATTACAGGCGTAAGCCACCATGCCAGGCCATACACCAACTTTGAAATAAGATGACCAATCAGGTTACTAACTAGGAATACGGCCTGAGGCAAGGAAATTAATTTTTCTGTACTAGATTTTGAAAACAAATTGAGATAATCAAATTAAGCCTAAGTTTCCTGCTCTATAAAATGGCTCTAATACTCACCACACACCTCACAGAATAGTCCCATGATAACTAAATTACAGTGGATATAAAAGTGCTTTGCAGACTTAGAAGATTACACACAGAAATAAACTAATCCTGGAGCAAGGCTGCACCTGTCCTTTTGTCAAAAGACCAGAGGCACCTTTTCTAGTAACTACTGCACTGCTCTCTGTGCAAAAAATTGCTACCTGCCTGGGGTGAGAGTTCTATAGGGCTGAAGGCTTTTTAGAATTTTTTTTTTTTTTTTTTTTTTTGAGATGGAGTCTCATTCTGTCGCCCAGGCTGAAGTGCAGTGGCGTGATCTCTGGCTCCCGTGTTCAAGTGATTCTCATGCCTCAGCCTCCTGAGTAGCTGGGATTATAGGCACACGCCACCATGCTTGGCTAATTTTTGTATTTTCAGTAGAGACAGAGTTTCATCATGTTGTCCAGGCTGGTCTCAAACTCCTGACATCTGGTGATACGCCTACCTCGGCCTCCCAGATTTTTAGAATTTTTAAAATTTAGTTCCCCTATTTCTGTTGGGACGGAGAGGAGGAATGAAAAGAGGCCCTTCAGAAAGGTCACTCTTTCCCCCAGGCTGGAGTATAGTGGCATGTTAATAGCTCACTGTAGCCTTCAATTCCTGGGCTCAAGTGATACTTCCACCTCAGCCTCCTGAGTAGCCAGGATTACAGGCGCACATCACCAAGCCCAGCTAATTAAAAAAAAAAAAATTTTTTTTTGTAGAGATGGGGTCTTGCTCTGTTGCCCAGGCTGGCCTCGAGTGATCCTGGGCTCAAGTGATCCTCCATTTTCAGCCTCCCAAAGTGCTGGGATTACAGGTATGCACCACTGCACCCAGACAGAAAAGATTACTTTTAAAAGAATCAATCCAAAGGTAAATTCAGAGAGCATAGACCAAGCCAGTATGTTCCTAAAGCAAACGAGGAACACCTCAACTTGTTACCAGGGCTGTCCTTAACTCCTTTTCTTAACTTCCTCAAGAGTCTCCTCTATCTTACTGAGGATCACTTGAGCAAGAAAATAGGCAGCACAAACAGCCCTTCATAGCCCTTGCACCCTACATGGGCAAACAGGAAGCTGAACCCAGCACTGAAGATGTAACTTTGCCCTTTCTTTCACAAAAAAAGTGGGCAAAGAAAACATGTTAATAAGTTCAAACTATTGTTCTACAGAGTTAACCTTGTTCAAGCTATTCCATGGTTTAGAGTCCCACAGATTCCCTACTAGAGAGGCCCCATGTCCCAGAGACTACATCAGCCCAGCAGGAGACCTTTTAATTGAGGGTGGTTGTTTGCTGTGGTGATTTTTTTTTAAATTTAATTTAATTAATTTTTTTTTTTGAGACGGAGTCCCGCTATGTTACCCAGGCCGGAGTGCAGTGGTGCGATCTCAGCTCACTGCAAGCTCCACCTCCAAGGTTCAACACCATTCTCCTGCCTCAGGCTCCCAAGTAGCTGGGACTACAGGCACCCGCCACCACGCCTGGCTAATTTTTTGTATTTTAGTAGAGACAGGGTTTCACTGTGTTAGCCAGGATGGTCTCGATCTCCTGACCTCGTGATCTGCCCGCCTCGGCCTCCCAAAGTGCTGGGATTACAGGCGTGAGCCACCGCGCCCGGCCAGCTAATTTTATCTTTTAAACTTTTCTTATAGAGACGGGGGTCTTGCTATGTTGCCCCGGCTGGCTTTGAACTCCTGGGCTCAAGCGATCTTCCTACCTCAGTCTCCCACAGTGCTGAGATTACCGGCATGAGCCACTGCAACCAGCTGACTTTCTGTTTTGTTTTGTTTTGAGACCGAGTCTTGCTCTGTTGCCCAGGCTGAGTGCAGTGGCTTGATCTTGGCTCACTGCAACCTCCGCCTCCCAGGTTCAAGCGATTCTCCTGCCTCAGCCTCGCGAGTAGCCAGGACTACACGCACCCGCCACCATGCCCAGCTAATTTTTGTAGTTTTTTAGTAGAGACAGGGTTTCACCACGTTGGCCAGGCTGGTCTCAAACTCCTGACCTCAAATGATCCACTTGCCTCAGCCTCCCAAAGTGCTGGGATTACAGGTATGAGCCACAGTGCCCGGAAGATTTTATGTTTTTTTGTTTGTTTGTTTGTTTTTGAGAAGGAGTCTCACACTGTCACCCAGGCTGGAGTGCAATGGCACAATCTTAGCTCATTGCAACCTCCCTCTCCCAGGTTCACACTATTCTCCTGCCTCAGCCTCCTGAGTAGCTAAGATTACAGGTGCACACCAACACACCCGGCTAATTTTTTGTATTTTTAGTAGAGATGGGGTTTCACTATGTTGGCCAGACTGGTCTCGAACTTCTGACCTCGTGATCCACCACCTCGGCCTCCCAAAGTGCTGGGATTACAGGCGTGAGCCACCGCGCTCAGCCTGATAGCCACTTTCTAGCACCGTTCGGTGTCAGGTTCAGTCATGTTTTTTGCTAAACCTGAAGCTTAAAAAAAAAAAGTTATCAGAGGAATTTTAAAGGCAGCAATTCATTGGTAAGATTGCTCAAAAGGGTAGAGTAGAAAAAATTCAACTTAGGACAACTTTATCTAATGATGTAGAGTACAGAGCACTTAATTTGGAGTTAGGAAAGGAAGTCTGGGTTCTAGTCCTAGCTCCATTACTAATTAAGACAACCAAAGGAAAACAATGAACTACTATTTCTCTTCCCATTTCCATAATTAAGATAACACTTAAACTACTTAACTCAGAGTCTGATTCTCAGGTTCCAATAAGGACGTATATGCAAAAGTAGTCAAGTCTTGTTACTTAAAATGTGACCTCCTCGCCAGAAGTATTTACATTTCTTGGGCCTCAGACTTACTGAATCCAAACAGTTTAGATATGGAGTTACCAAGGACCAAGTCCTAAATGAACGTTCTGCCACCTTCCCACTGTGTTATCTTGGCTATGTAACCTAATTTCTAAGTCTCAGTTTTTACATTTCTAAAATGGTAATAATAAAAGCCAATTTCAGAGTAGTTAAGTAAACTAAATAAAATAATTTTCATAAAAGCATCTAGAACAGTGCTTTGTGCATAGCTGAATTCAGTAAATATTTGTTTCTTACAAATGTGTTGGCCTATCACCTACCATCAAGTGTCAGAACTTCCTGGGAGTTGGATCCCAGGAAAGAGGCAGTCAAGCCTGAGGCAGAGGTGAATGGATAATTCCTTCCAGCTGTGGAATACAAAATAAAGTCCCAATTTTCTTTCTTTCTTTCTTTCTTTTTTTTTTTTAACAGGCATCAAGGAAAAGATACCAGTTTTCTTTTTAAGGGCTTCTTGACCAAGAAGGGAGGCATCTCAGGGAGAGGAAACAAATTTAACTAACCCTGATGGCCACCAGCAGAGCAAATGACTCTAGACAGGAGGTGCTTGAGGACTGTAACATCAAAGGCTACATTTCATTTCCTCTACCCCGTGGCTGCCAAAGAAAGCTGCTGAATGGCTCTGAACAGTACATTCAGGTTATGTTCATTGATGAGACAGGTAGATTACAAACCTCTGAATCATCCCTGAACTTCTACCTCCCAGATTCTCCCCTAATCCTGGAGGTGTGACAGTTGGGCTTTTGGCTTCTGGATGCATGCCACCTGTAGAGTCACCTTACTGGAACAGCAGCTCTCAGGAGAATCAGGCAGTCATCTCACTCAATAGGTCAGCTCCTTCATGGGGAGAGATGGAGAGGGCTACTTCCAAAGACAAGGGCCTGGCTCACAATGTCTGACAGCCAGTATTCTCTATAGGGTGGAGGTGGCGTTATCACAATCACGAAGAGGTTTTTCCCCCACAATCACTAAGAGCTCATTTGTTGCCACCCCTTACAAGAACTCCTCTAGTGAGTCAGCTATTATTGATAGAGGTGGGCTGTAGCCCTCAAATGTGGTAAGATGAAAAAATATAAAAATTAAAAGAGGCCAGGTATGGTGACTCACACCTTCCTTTGTTCTCCTCTGCCTTTGCCTCTTTAAAAAAGTTCTAAGTTGCAGCTGGGCACTGTGGCTCAAGCCTGTAATCCCAGCACTTTGGGAGGCCAAGGCAGGCAGATCACGGGGTCAGGAGATCAAGACCATCCTGGCTAACATGGTGAAACCCCGTCTCTATTAAAAAATACAAAAAATTAGCCAGGTGTGGTGGCAGGTGCCTGTAGTCCCAGCTACTCGGGAGGCTGAGGCAGGAGAAGCTCCGGGAGGCAAAGCCTGCAGCGAGCCGAGATTGTGCCACTGCACTCCAGCCTGGCTGACAGAGCAAGACTTGGTCTAAAAAAAAAAAAAAAAAAGTTCTAAGTTGCTAGCCAATCAGGACAAATACAAAATGTGAGGTCCCATTCCAGCCAATGGAAACTGGAACTGGACACAGCAGTAGGGTGGATGCATCAGGGTATAAATGACCCTGTCTCCTTTGCTCGGTGTACTCTCGTGGCAAAACTGCTGGCGTGTACCCTTTCTGCAGAAAGTATAAAAATGGCCTTGATGGCCTGGCGCGGTGGCTCACGCCTGTAATCCCAGCACTTTGGGAGGCCAAGGCAGGCGGATCATGATGTCAGGAGATCGAGACCATCCTGGCTAACAGGGTGAAACCCCATCTCTACTAAAAAAATACAAAAAAAAAAAAAAAAAAAAAAAATTAGCCGGGCGTCATGGCGGGCGCCTGTAGTCCCAGCTACTCAGGAGGCTGAGGCAGGAGAATGGCGTGAACCTGGGAGGCAGAGCTTGCAGTGAGCCGAGTTCGCACCACTGCACTCCAGCCTGGGCGACAGAGTGAGACTCTGTCTCAAAAAAAAAGGCCTTGCTGAGTAAATTAAATTAAATTAATTAAATTTATGTTCAAGTGCTATTTCTTTACAGCACCAGGGAACAAGCATTTCAAACAGGAGGCTGAGGCAGAAGAATCGCTTGAACCCAGGTGGCTGAAGCTGCAGTGAGCTGAGATTGTGCTACTGCACTCCAGCCTGGGCAACAGAGGAGACTCTGTCTCAAAAAACAAAACAAAACAAAAAAAGCCCACTTACTCAATATAGGTTATTTTCCTCTTACTCCTTAGCCTATTACCATCACTGTTCCACATCTAGCACCCTCACCCTACAGTCAAGAAGCCAAATTTTCTTTGATTCTCCATCCTAGGTACATCCAGACTCTCTCTGTCCTTCTGCATATCCAGGATATGTCCTACCACATATCCACATAACCAACATTAAAACCTTGGGGGAGGCTGGGCGCAGTGGCTCATGCCTATAATCCCAGCATTTCTGAATTAAAAAGCAAGACTCTGTCTCTACAAAAAATAATTTAAAAAATTAGAAAACAGGCTGGACACGGTGGCTCACGCCTGTAATCCCAACACCTTGGGAGGCCAAGGTGGGTGGATCACCTGATGTCAGGAGTTCAAGACCAGCCTGGCCAACATGGTGACACCCCATCTCTACTAAAAATACAAAAATTAGCCAGGCGTGGTGGCACATGCCTATAGTCCCAGCTACTCGGGAGGCTGAGGCAGAATCGCCTGGACCTGGGAGACGGAGGTTGCAGTGAGCTGAGATTGCGCCATTGCACTCCAGCCTGGGTGACAGAGCAAGACTCCGTCTCAAAATAATAATACTAAAAAAAATTAGAAAACAAAACAGAAAAACCTTGCGGAAGAAGCTCCTGATTTTAACAGGGACTTCGTCCTTCATCAACAAAAGATCAGAGCTTGCCAAGCCAGCAGGACTGGCTTAGCTGATGGAGCAAACACAATACACTAATAACCAGTAGGAAAAAATCCTGTACTACAGACACTTCCAATGCAGAAGGAACAACTTGCATTCAGAGAACACGAACACAAATAGGACAAAGGCTCCTCTCTCCCCAGAACCAGGTCAGAGAACTAAAGCCATTTAATGTGTGTGTTTCACAACGGTGATACTGGAAGTCGGTTTGGCACTACATGGTCAGGCCACTTAAAAGCCTGAGCAATCTACAGATTTCATACTTTGACCTCCTTCATACTTACAGACATTTCCTTAATAATTCTACCTAACTGTCATTTTCCAACAGTCTCTTCACGTGAATAGTCACCGATCACTGCTGGGTGCAGTGGCTCATGCCTGTAATCCCAGCACTTTGGGAGGCCAAGGTAGGCCGATCACCTGAGGTGAGGGGTTCAAGACCAGTCTGGCCAAGATGGTGAAACCCTGTCTCTACTAAAAATGCAAAAATTAGTCGGGCACGGTGGCGCACACCTGTAATCTCAGCTAACCGGGAAGCTGAGAAAGGACAATTGCTTGAACCCAGGAGGCAGAGGTTGCAGTGAGCCGAGATCATGCCACTGTACTCCAGCCTGGGCGACAGAGCAAGACTCTGTCTCAAAAAAAAAAAAAAAAAAAAAAAAGATGCACTGATCACTCAGTAAGGAGGACTGCAAAAGATACTCCTCCAGCTTCCATCTTCAGAAAGGAATCACAAGTCTATTTTTGTTTTTTGAGACAGAGTCTCTGTCACCCAGGCTGGAGTGCAGTGGTGCGATCTCGGCTCACTGAAACCTCCACCCCCTGGGTTCAAGCGATTCTCCTGCCTCAGCCTCCCGAGTAGCTGGGATTATAGGTGCCTGCCACCATGCCCAGCCAGGAATCACAAGTATTAAACTTTCCTTTCAGTAGGAACACTTACTGTTCTTTTGTTGAGACGAGTCTCACTCTATTGCCCAGGCTGGAGTGCAGTGGCATGATCTCAGCTCACAGCAACCTCTGCCACCCGGATTCAAGTGATTCTTGTGCCTCAGCTTCCCTAGTAGCTGGGATTACAGGCAGCTGCCACGATTGGCTGATTTTTGTATTTTTAGTAGAGACAGGGTTTCACCATGTTGGCCAGGCTGGTCTCGAACTCCTGACCTCAAGTGATCTGCCCACCTCAGTCTCCCAAAGGGCTGGGATTACAGGCGTGAGCCACTGTGCCTGGCCAACACTTATTGTACTTTAATTTAATGAACTTTTTTTTTTTTTTTAAGAGACAAGGTCTTGCTATGTTGCCAGGCTGATCTCAAACTACTGGGCTCAAGTGATCCTCCTACCTCAGCCTCCCAAAGTGCTGGAATTATAGACATAAGCCATCATGCCTAGCTAATAAATATTTCTTGGCCGGGCACGGTGGCTCATGCCTGTAATCCCAGCATTTTGGGAGGCTGAGGCGGGTGGATCACGAGGTCAGGAGTTCAAGACCATCCTGGCCAACATGGTGAAACCCCATCTCTACTAAAAATACAAAAATTAGCCCGGCGTGGTGGCATGTGCCTGTAGTCCCAGCTACTAGGGAGGCTGAGGCAGGAGAATAGCTTGAACCCGGGAGGCAGAGGTTGCAGTGAGCCGAGATCACACCACTGCACTCCAGCCTGGGTGACAGAGCGAGACTCCATCTCAAGGAAAAAAAAAAAATTCTTGAACACCTACTTATTATGTGTACACTAAGTATATACTAGTGAATAAAGAATATAGGATCTGTCATCATAATACTTTCTCAGGAATTAGAAACTATTCCCTTACTTCTGCTAGAAGTTCGTAGAAGTTTTATGGCTGGGCGCGGCAGCTCACGCCTGTAATCCCAGCACTGTGGGAGGTGGAGGCGGGCGGATCACGAGGTCAGGAGATCGAGACCATCCTGGCTAACACGGTGAAACCCTGTCTCTACTAAAAATACAAAAAATTAGCGGGGCGAGGTGGTGGGCGCCTACAGTCCCAGCTACTCAGGAGGCTGAGGCAGGAGAATGGCGTGAACCCCAGAGGCGGATCTTGCAGTGAGCCGGGATCGAGCCACCGCACTCTAGCCTAGGCGACAGAGCGAAACTGTCTCAAAAAAAAAAAAAAAAAAAAAAAAAAAAAAGAAGTTCTTACAAGTTTTAACTCCCTGACACTTTAGGGATTTACAAGAAACTTTTCCAGATCCCATCCTACTTTGCAGAATTGTAATCTGAAGGTAGGATCCAGGAAACTGCAACATAAGCAAGCATTACAGGTGACAATGCCCACTGTGAGTTTACAGACCTTTTAAAATAGCATCATGTTAAAAGAAATACAGAGGGCTGGGTGCAGTGGCTCACGCCTGTAATCTCAGCACTTTGGGAAGCTGAGACTGGTGGATTGCTTGAGCCCAGGAGTTCGAAACCAGCCTGGACAACATGGCAAAACACTGTCTCCAAAAAAACTACAAAAAAATTAGCCAGGCGTGGCTGTGCGTGCCTGTGGTCCCAGCTACTCGGGGGGATTGCTTGGGCCCATGAGGTTGAGGCTGTAGTAATAGCAAGCCATGTTCGCACCACTGCACTCCAGCCCCACCCCCCAAAAAAAACCCAAAACAGAGAACTAAGGAACTTGTGCAGTTGAAGCACAGTTGAAGCCAGAACTGAAAGATAATCAGATGCTAAGAAAGATCTATTGCTACAGTTGCCTCATTACGGTTTTAAATTTCACATCCTACTCTGTTGCATAAAGTATTGACACAGGGCAGAAAGAATCATTGTGTGGCTTTATTGAAATCCACCAAGTCTGGTTTCCCTTCTGCTGCCCCTTGGATTTTAAGTCAGGAATGCCAACTCTATCGCTGCTACCTACCATACTATTCTTGCTGCCTCCCCATGCATTCATTCACCTGCTACCAACCTAAAGGCCACTGGGAAGACCAAATGCAGTCATCTCACCACTAACACCCCATAAGGCTTCCCCTGCCATTCTAGTATCAAGGAATCACCGTTACTTTGGGTAGGCTGATAGTCAAAGTGAGGGCACAGAGATATGAGCCCTTACCTTTAAAAAATTTGGGCTTTAAAACCTAACTAAATATTTTGCAGGACAAAACCAACTCGGTTTTGTTGAACCCAATTTCTGAGTAGGACTTATACAGGTGATGTTGTACAGTGGTATAAGTCCAATGTAAAGAAACCATTGGTTCCTTTGCATTTAAGTGTCTTGAAAAAGTCTAGAAGTAATCTAGAAACATCTTTGAATTGATTTACTCAGTTTCAAACATACTAGCTTGGAGAAGCAATTTTCAGTGGCTCAAGAGACAGTTCCCTTTAGCTAGGGTTGGTTAAGCATGTTGACTTCAAAAGTCCAGAAGTGAACTGCAGCCCTACTTCAATTCCTAGCCCAAATCCAAACCCAGATCATCTGTGAAAAGACATTTTTGATGTCACAAAACTGAGTCACCCACAGATAATACTAAGGCCATTGCTTAGCATTAATGAATTTGGATAAACAAGAAGTCAAATAATCTCAAAGCTCTCTGAATTAGCTTCTAACTCAGGTGTTTTAAATTATGTGACATTTAAATTATGTGACAGTGAGAGTAGAACAATAGAACAATGACTAATTCACATGTTGTCTCCTAGTAAGGTTAAAAAAATTCGCCAGTCTGGCCAATATGGTGAAACCCCGTCTCTACCAAAAATACAAAAAATTAGCTGGGCGTGGTGGTGCACACCTGCTAACCCCAGCTACTCAGGAGGCTGAGTCACGAGAATCGCTTGAGCCTGGGAGGCAGAGGTTACAGTGAGCGGAGATTACGCCACTGCACTCCAGCCTGAGTGACAGAGTAAGACTCTGTCTCAAAACAAAAAAAAATTTCTTCTCAGAAAAGTAAAACTACACCTGACGCTGAGACTCAAAGTGGTAAGAGTCAGTTCTCCCTGGTAGGAAATTACTGCCTCCCAAAGTCTACCTTACTAGCAAAAGTAAAATTACCAATTATGACTAGCATTATCCACAGGCTAATCTAGAAAGCACAGGCAGGTGCTAGCAATGCTGACAAGCCAACAAGCTTCTTGGTACCCTGGTCATATTGCTTATTTCTCAGGAGATTTCCAGTCCAATAAACTCATTATTGGGCTTTGCTACCCCCCCCGCCCTTTTTTTTCTCTTTGAAACGGAGTTTCGCTCTTGTTGCCCAGGCTGGAGTGCAATGGAGCGATCTGGGCTCACCACAACATCCGCCTCCTGGGTTTGAGCGATCCTCCTGCCTCAGCCTCCCAAGTAGCTATGATTACAGGCATGTGCCACCATGTCTGGCTAATTTTGTATTTTTCGTAGAGATGAGGTTTCTCCATGTTGGTCAGGCTGGTCTCAAATTCCCGACCTCAGGTGATCCACCCGCCTCTGCCTCCCAAAGTGCTGAGATTACAGGTGTGAGCCACTGCACCTGACCTACTTTTAAGGGTCAAAAGCCTTCTAATGGCTTTCAACTGATAGGTGACTAGGATCGTCAGGCCATCTCTAACAGGAAAATAATGGTACCATAATTATGTAGCTCTGTCATCCCAAAAGTGTTCTGAGCTTCCCTATGGGCTTAAGGAGGAAAATAAATTCAATAGGTAAATCCCAAGGCTTTTTCACATTCACTGCAGGGTTAGACTATCTGGTCTGGGTTAGCAGCTCAGAAATGAGCTAATTATAGTGTCCCCCATTCTGCCAAAACGCTATCTAGAACTTGCTTCATTTCCCAAGAGGTTTCCTTACCCTTTTCCCCAGCAGCAGGAGAAGCAACAGCCAAGTAAGACAAGCATCTCCCAAATGCTCAGCTAGTACTTGCCACTGGGTGCCTGGAAGAACCAAGGTAAATCTTACAAATTTCACTTTGTGCCAACCATGAAAAATAACGCACAGCAGGCCAGGTGCAGTGGTTCACACCTGTAATCCCAGCACTTTGGGAGGCCGAGGCAGGAAGATTACTTGAGCTCAGGAGTTCAAGACCAGCCTGGGCAACATAAGGAGACGCTGCCTCTACTAAAAATCAAAAAAGATTAGCCAGGCGTGGCGGTGCACACCTGTGGTCCCAGCTACTCGGGAAGCTGAAGTGGGAGGATTGCTTGAGCCCAGGAGGTGGAGGCTGCAGGGAGCCTTGGTCACACCACAAGACTCCAGCTTGAGTGACAGAGCAATATCCTGTCTCAAAAAAAAAAAAAAATTACATACAGCAAGCCAAAACCATCCTAAGGCTTTCCTTTCCTTCAGATGCTGTCAGCTTTAAATTATCCGCAGGAAAAACTAAGTTCTTTGCAGAAGTCAAGGTCACTTGTGGGACTGTCCCCTGCTTGGATTAGAGGGCTGGGACTCCCTCAGCACAGCAGTTTCTGTCTAAAAGGGCCAAGTTACTTAGAACTAAAAGTACTGCAATTTGAAATTGAAGGCATCATTACCTGCAACAGTATTTCTATGTCCCAAAAGGCAATCAATACCAAGTAAAGGACCCCAAAGAAGGAGAGAAAGTTCCTGGATAAAGTAGACTTAAGATCAACGGCATAACCTGGGTAAGCAAGTAGTATGACGGTCATGTGACCTTGGCATTAGTATCTCTTGCCGAGGATCTTCATTTATTGGCTTGCAGTTTGGTGGAAACACCTTTCTGGTTCTTTCTGCAATCATGTATGATAGTCATGCAGGAGGTTGTACAGAAGTGCTCCACCCCACCCAAGCTCCTCCTATATAAAAAGTGCAAGAGTCCCAAGGACAAAGAGGAGGGCCTGAAGGACCCACTCTTGTGCTCGGCGTGGTCACCGAAGGCTTAAATAATAGGCTTGGAGAAATGGAAACAGGCAGTTCGGGAACTGACAAGGCCCTTCCTACAAAGCAGAGGACGAAATTAGCCACTGCTCCAGAGTGAGCACATATCTTCACTCCCGCTCCCTCCACCAAACTGACTGTAACTCCAGTGGAACACCACATCTCTAGTCTCTACCAGAGGTTCCTGTCTCGGCTCCTTGCTATTTCAGGGCCACGCATCCCTTCCCCTTTCATTTCAGACATGCGGGGTGACAGCAGGGTCGGCCTCCTCACGCGTTCTGGACTGCGGGCCGAGGGCGGGCGGCGTGCACTTCACCCCCAGGAGCCAGAAGGGAAGCGCGGCACATGGTCCTGTAGCTTCACGCAGGGCTGGCGGCCAGCCAAGCGCAGGGCCCTTTAAGGCGCGCAGGGTGCGCACGGGTGTGGGAGGGAGACCCCGGCGCCGGAGGGCCTGCGGTCGCCTCAGCCCCACCCTGGGACGGCGTGCTCCCTCCCCTCGCTGCTCACCTTGGTTCCCAAGAGCCGGGCGGCCGCAGTAAGTAAAGCCATGGCGGGCGATCTCCGGGATCTGGTGGGGAGGTAAGAAAGGGAGAGAGCTGCGGCAGGAACAGGAGCCGCCGCCGCTGCACCAGAGGCCGCGCCGACGGGTTGACAAGGTTGAAAGGAGGCGGCTGAAGGAAAGAGTAGACGAACCGGCGGCGGCGCCCAGCCCGGGGTCCTCAAGGAGGCCCCGCCCACTGGCCGGAACCCGAGCCCGCCCCTCTCAAGGGACTCTCCCCGGGCCCGGCCATTGGTCCGGTATGGAAGCGGGGCGGGACCTTAGCCCTTGACAGCAGTTGTGACGGGGAGGATTGGACCGCCCGGATTAGGGCTAATTAAGGGTGGATGGGTGGCGGGCGGGGAAGTGCGGGTGGCTAAATAGGTGCCTGATAACTCAGTTAACTTCCCTCTTGGCTTTTCCCTTTGACCTTAACACTTTTGGGGTTATCTCTGAGGCGAATGCTAAAGGAGACGCTCCAGGACTCGACCTCTGAAGGTCCTTGGAGCCAATTCCGTAATATGATCATGGAAACTGATCATTGCCTGATCCTTCTACCGCCTTGGCGCGCTTTCTTGAGGAATGTCTTTGGTTAATGGCTTCACGGCCATGGAGGTGACATCATGTGGACAACAGGCTAGGATGCCAGAGTTAGCTGCTCGGTGGAGATCATTTGAGGTCAGCAGAGGCCACGATATTATAGATACTAACAGACCCCGATATGGGGAGAAAAGCAAAAGCAGGAGCCTGAATATCCAGTGCTTTGTGAGCTGTCAGTTCTGTGTGTAATGGCAGGAAATCCAAGTCTTAACTGCGCCCTTACTATGAAGGCTTTCCGAGCCAGCCACAGCTTCTGGGTCATGGGCATTAGTCTCACTGCCACTCTGGTCACGTAACCCCACACAGCAGCTCACCCCACTTTAGCCACAGATTAGGAGCCGCAGACTAGCCCCTCATCGAAGATCCCCTTTGGTCACATTCTCTAGGGCCTCTGGGCCACTTCTCCTACTTGGCAGTCTTCTATGCTCTCTTATCTTGTGCTCCCCAGAGACCATGACACGACCCTGAAGTGATATTCCGCACCACTTTCTAAATCCTCTGGGTAGACGAGGCTTCAGGACTTTTGTGCCTCCCTAAGCCTGTCGTAGTCATTGACCCCAAGGACAAGAGCATCTTATCTACAAACCTCCAGCCCCAAGTGAAAAGCCTTTTTTTTTTTTGGAGACAGATCTTGCTCTGTAGCTGAGGCTGGATTGCAGTGGTGCGATCTCAGCCTCCTGAGTAGCTGGGATTATAGGCGCCCGCCACCACGCCCAGCTAATTTTTGTATTCTTAGTAGAGATGGGGTTTTGCCATGTTGGTCAGACTGGTCTCGAAATCCTGACCTCAGGTGATCCACCCGCCTCGGGCTCCCAAAGTACTGGGATTACAGGCGTGAGCCACCGTGCCCAGCTGTGAATAGCCCTTTTATCTCACCACATAGCAGTAACAAGGATCACAGGTCTCAGTATCCACCTAAGCCAGGTTTAGATAGATCTCCTTTACAAAGAACCGAGTTTCTAGCTTGGACTTGGAAAAAGAGATAGAAAACCCCTATTTTCTCTTCTTAATTTTCTTTATACTCAGCTTCACACCTAACAACCAATGCTCTTCTGGCCTGGGGATCAGATAGTTAGGTCTCAGGAAAAAACTTTAGGCAATGCTCCAGAGGAGCACTGACCTCAGCTACCTTTGAAGACCCCGGTGACTTCAAAGCTTCACTGATCAATATTTGCTCCCCATTTAGCATCTCATAAAGGATTTCCACATAACCCTAGAATAGTCTGACCTGGTTCCTTTTCTCTGGTTAATTATCCACAGAGACTAACCAGCAGACCACAGGACTGAACTTCAGTGCCCCAGGATGAGACTACCAAAGGGACAATTATTGAGAGGCCACAGGATCATCTGTCTTGGAGCTTTAGTGATTGGGTGGGGAACAGCAATGCTCTAAGCCTCTCGACACTGGGTCCCAGAGCCCCTAGTGCCATGGGGACTTTATGGACTTGTTTTGAAGTTGTCCAATCCTGACATCGACTGCTATAAGGGCAATTGGAAAGCACAGGATCAAAGCGGCTAACTGGCATCTCCCAGGAGCTGGCCTAGATTCCTTCTCAACACTGATGGGACCTGGGGAGGTTGGAGAGAATGTTAAGGAAGAAAGATTGGCATGAATAAAGCAGCCAAGTGAGCTCTAGGTCCAGGTATAACTAAGTGCTTGGGAACTTGAAGGGGCAAGGGAGAGAAGGCTGAGAATTTAGGTTGTTGTGACCTTGGGAGGACCTCTTTAAAGTGTAGGGAGGCAATAGCACCCCCTAGTGGCAAAGGACAAGTGGGCTAATAAAATCTAAATTTAAACCCTTAAACTACAAGGTAAACCAAACGCCTCTATTTAATAGATAATAGCTAAAACTTAAACTGGAGGATCCCTTACTATTTGCAGATACTATCTAAATGTGGAACATGCATTATCTTTTTTTTTTTTTTTTTTTTTTTGGAGATAGAGTCTTGTTCTGTTGCCCAGCCTGGAGTGCAGTGGTATGATCTCGGCTCACTGCAACCTCCACCTCCTAGGTGGCACACGCCGCCACGCCTGGCTAATTTTTTTTTTTTTTTCTATTTTAGTAGAGATGGGGTTTCACCATGTTGCCCAGGCTGGTCTCCAAAGTGCTAGGATTACAGGCATGAGCCACTGTGCCTGGCCTGGAATGTGCATTATCTTAATCTTTGCAACAACTCTAAGTTTCAAGGTATTAAAAAATAAAAAGAAGAGAAAACCAAGACTTAGATGAAGTATCCTACCCAGTGTCATAGCTTGTAATTGGCATGGCTATAAATTCAGACCAAGGTCAGCATTACTAGGCTGTATTTCTTTTTCTTTTTTTTTTTTTGAGATGGAGTCTCACTGTGTAGCCCAGGCTGGAGCGCAGTGGCACAATCTCAGCTCACTGCAACCTCTGCCTCCCTGGTTCAAGCGATTCTTCTGCCTCCGCCTCCCAAGTAGCTGGGATTACGGGCGCATGCCACCACACTCAGCTAATTTTTGTATTTTTAGTAGAGACAAGGTTTCACTATGTTGGCCAGGTTGGCCACTGCGCCTGGCCCTAAGCTGTATGTCTTACATGATGATTATGATTTTTTTTTTTTTTTTGAGAGAAGGTCTTGCTCTGTAACCCAGGCTGGAACGCAGTGGCATGATCGTTGCTCACTGCTGCCCAACTTCCTGGCCTCAAGCGATCCTCCCACCTCACTCTCCCAAGTAGCTGGGACTACAGGTACTCACCACCACACCTGGCTAATTTTTCCTTTTTTTTTTTTTTAGAGACAGGGTCTTGCCATGTTGCCCAGGCTGGTCTTGAACTTCTGGGCTCAAGTGATCCTCCTTCCTTGGTCTCCCAAAGTGTTGGGATTACAAGCATGAGCCACCACATCTGGCAATTGTGAACTATCAGCTGCAACTCAGTAAGGGGATTTTTGAGTCACTGTCAACTGTCTCCTGGAGACATCAACTCACTGTGTTGCTATAAAGATATTTCGGCCGGGCATGGTGGCTCACGCCTATAATCCCAGCACTTTGGGAGGCCGAGGCGGGTGGATCACAAGGTCAGGAGATTGAGACCATCCTGGTTAACACGGTGAAACCCTGTCTCTACTAAAAATACAAAAAGTTAGCCGGGTGTGGTGGCGGGCGCCTGTAGTCCCAGCTACTCGGGAGGCTGAGACAGGAGAATGGCGCAAACCCAGGAGGCGGAGCTTGCAGGGAGCCAAGATTGTGCCACTGCACTCCAGCCTGGGCAACAGAGCGAGACTCCGTCTCAAAAATAAATAAATAAATAAAAAGATATTTAAGCCAAGCAAGGTGGAATGTGCCTGTAGTTTCAGTTGCTAGGGAGGCTGAGGCAGGAGGATTGCTTGAGCCCAGGAGTTTGAGGCTATAGTGCCTAATGATCATGCCTGTGAACAGCCACTGTACTCCAGATTGGGCAACATAGTGAGACCTTTTCTCTAAAAAAAACATAAAAATAAAAGATAAGGAACTATAGTCTTACTCATCTGTAAAGACTTTCACATCCATATGTGAACTAGATAATAAATGGTGACTCCCAGAATACATAAAGGTAGGAGAGACAAACATTCAGCATTTGAAATGACCAGAAAGGGGGCTGGGTGTGGTTTCTCATGCCTATAATCCAGGCGTGGTAGTCTCAGCACTTTGGAAGGCCAAGGCAGGAGGATCACCTGAGACCAGGAATTCAAGTCCACCCTGGGCAACATGATGAAATTCCACCTCTACAAAAAATGTAAAAATTAGCCAGTCCAGGTGGTGTGCGCCTATAGTCCCAGCTACTGGGGCGGCTGAGGTTGGAGGATCAGTTGAGCTGAGGAGGTTGAGGCTACAGTGAGCCATGATCATACCACTGCACTCCATGTACTCCATTCCAGCCTGGGCGACTGAGCAAGCTTGTCTCAAATACTACAGCCCAGGCATTGTGGCTCACTCCTGTAATCCCAGAATTTTGGGAGGCCAAGACAGGCAGATTACTTGAGGTCAGGAGTTTGAGACCAGCCTGGCCAACATGTTGAAACCCCGTCTCTACTAAAAATACAAAAATTAGGCTGGGCGCAGTGGCTCATGCCTGTAATCCCAGCACTTTGGGAGACTGAGGCGGGCAGATCACCTGAGGTTGGGAGTTTGAGACCAGCCTGACCAACATGGAGAAACCCTGTCTTTACTAAAAATACAGAATTAGCCGGGCATGGTGGTGCACGTCTGTAATCCCAGCTACTTGGGAGGCTCAGGTAGGAGAATCACATGAGCAGGGGAAGCAGAGGTTGCAGTGAGCCGAGATTGCATCACTGCGCTCCAGCCTGGGCAAGAGCGAGACTCTGTCTCAAACAACAACAACAGCAAAAACAAACAAAAAATGACCAGAAAGGTAAAAGGGGTGTCTTATAAGGAATAGTCAGGAAAAATGGCTGAACAGAGGATATAATGCTTTTCCACTACAGATTACTAGAATCAGAGGGCATACATTCAAACTTGGAGACAGTTTTTCAAGCCATATTTAAAAAGTGCTACTTTATACAGCCACTTGGAGACTCCACTACATAGAATGAGGTATAACAGAAAGATGACTGGACTAGGGATTAGAGGATGACTGGACTACGGATTAGAGGATCACTGGGGTTGAAGTCTTGGCTCCTCGCTGACTAGCAAGACACTTAATCTCTCTGAGCTTAGTTTCTTCATCTATAAAATAGGAATAACATCTATTTCTTAGAGTTGCAAAGATTAAATGAGGCCAGGCAAGGTGGCTCACATTTGTAATCCTGGCACTTTGGGAGGCCAAGAGGATCACTGGAGCCCAGGAGTTTGAGACCAGCCTGGGCAAAACAGCAAGATCCCATCTCTACGAAACATTTTTTAAGTTAGTTGGGCCTGGTGATGCGCGTCTGTAGTCCCAGCTACTCAGGAGGCTGAGGTGGGAGCATTGCTGGAGCCTGGGAGGTGGAGGTTGCAGTGAGCCATAATCTCACCACTGTACTCCAGCCTGGACAACACAGCAAAACCCTGTCTCAAAAAAAAAAAAAAAAAAAAGAAAAAAAAGATTAAATGAGTGTGTATGTGCTTGTTATACAAGTATTCAGCATATATTATTTCCCTTCCCCATGCTATTTATTCCTATTTATTTATGACAGGGTCTGGCTCTGTCACCCAGGCTGGAGTGCAGTGGCAAGATCTCAGCTCACGGCAACCTCCTGGGCCCAAGCCACCCTCCCACCTCAGCCTCCTGGGTGGCTGGGACTACAGGTGTGCCCTGCCTGGTTAATTTTTGTATTTTTTGTAGAGATGGGGTTTCTCCATGTTGCCCAGACTGGTCTTGAATTTCTGAACTCAAGTGATCCGCTGCCTCAGCCCCCAAAACTGCTGGGATTACAGGCGTGAACCACTGCACCTGGCCCCTGTCCTATATTTAAAGGAATATTGTACCTATGAATGCTTTTTAAGTTAAAAAATCCTATAAAAGTTTTTTTTTTTTTTTTTTCGGCCAGGCAGTGGCTCATGCCTGTAATCCCAGCACTTCGGGAGGCCAAAGTGGGTGGATCATTTCAGATCAGGAGTTCAAGACCAGTCTGGCCAACATGGTGAAACCCCACCTCTATTAAAAATACAAAAATTAGCCGGGCATGGTGGCAGGCACCTGTAGTCCCAGCTACTTGGGAGGCTGAGGCAGGAGAATCACTTGAACCTGGGAGGTGGAGGTTGCAGTGAGTCGAGATCATGCCACTTCACTTTTTTTTTTTTTTTTTTTGAGACAGGGTCTTGCTCTGTTGCCCAGGCTGGAGTGCAGTGGCGAGATCATGACTCACTGCAATCTCGATCTCCCTGGCTCAAGCAGTCCTCCCACCTTAGCCTACTGAGTAGCTAGGACTACAGATGCCTGCCACTATACCCAGCTAATTTTTTTGCATAGACAGGGTCCTGCTATGTTGTCCAGGGTGGTCTCAAACTCCTGGGCTCAAAAGATCCTCCTGCCTCAGCCTCCCAAAGTGTTGGGATTATAGGTGTGAGCCACTGCATCTGGACTAAACCTTTTTTTGAGTCGCACTTTATTGCCCAGGCTGAAGTGCAGTGGCGCAATCTTCACTGTAACCTCTGCCTCCCTAGTAGCTGGGATTATAGGCGCATGCCACTACACCTGGCTAATTTTTGTATTTTTGGTAGAGATGGGTTTTTGGCATGTTGCCCAGGCTTGGTCTCGAACTCCTGGCCTCAATTGATCTGTCCACCTCGGCATCCCCAAGTGCTGGGATTACAGGCATGATCCACTGGGCCCAGCCCTAAAACGTATTTCTAAAGGACTAAATTTTCACATAATAAACTTTCCTGTTATATCTGTACCTCATTTAACACTGTCTTCGGAAATGTTTGTTAAGTTCTAACATTTTACTGATAAACTAAGTTAGAAGGCATCTGAAGCTTGATCAGATTTACAAGGTTAAGAGCATATGCTCTACCAAATACTGGGCTATAATTTATTATAATGAACCTCCAGAGGGTTCAGATAAATTCATGCATTCCTTGTGATATGAATTAAAACATGTGCAAAGCCAGGCATGGTGGTGCTTGCCTGTAATCCTAGAAACTCAGGAGGCCAAGGCAGGAGGATTGCTTGAAGCCAGGAGTTAGAGGCTGCAATGAGTTATGATCATGCCATTTCACTCCAGCCTGGGCAACAGAGCAAGACCCCTGTCTCGCTAAGATAGTAATAATAATAATGATAATAATAAAAAAAATAAGAGGTTTACAAAGTGTATCTTCCTGCTGGGCACGGTGGCTCACGCCTGTAATCCCAACACTTTGGGAGGCTGAGGCAGGCGGGTTACTTGAAGCCAGGAGTTTGAGACCAGCCTGGCCAACATGGTGAAACACTGTCTCTACAAAAAACTCAAAAATTAGCTGGGCATGATGGCACATGCTTGTAATCCCAGCTACTTGGGAGGCTGAGTCAGGAAAATCACTTGAACCAGGAGGTGGAGGTTGCAGTAAGCCGAGATTGCACCACTGCACTTCAGCCTGGGCGACAGAGCGAGACTCTCCCTCAGGAAAAAAAAAACAAAAAACAAAAAAACCCCACAAAGTGTATCCTTAATCAAGCCTAGAAGGTAACATCCACCCTTTCCTATATAGGACATATCCTTTGTGTACCAATGACAAAGTCTCTCCAGCTGGAGAGTTCTTAACAGCTGTACTTTGACAAACCAGAAAGGTGCATCACAAGTAACTTGTTACTGATTAACATTAAATTTATTTATTTAAAACTATGAATAATTTGTTTTCTAAATTAAAACAGTTTTAAGTTTCCAGAAGAGAACTCTCTTTATTGTATTTGAGACAGGGTCTCACTCTGTTGCCTAGGCTAGAGTGCAGTAGTGCAATCACAGCTCAGTGCAGCCTCAGCCTCCTGGGTTCGAGAGATCTTGCCACCTTGGCCTCCAGAGTCGCTGGAACCACAGGTGCACACCATTATGCCGGCTAATTTTTGTATTTTTTGTAGCAATGGGGTCTCACTATATTGCCTAGGCTGGTCTCAAACTCCTGGACTCGAGTGATCATGATCCTTCCACCTTGGCCTCCCAAAGTGTTGGGATTATGGGCACGAGCCACCGCATTTGGCTTGAAGAGTACTCTCATTTATACTTCTGATAAGCTTTCTGATGGAAAAGAAAGGCATTTTTAGGCACGAAGCACGAAATGGACAGCACCTTGGGTATACTTTCAGGGACATGAAAAAATGTAATTATTACTTATATGCATCATAGAAGAAAAAATAAGCTTTATAATAGTTGGTTTGGAAAACTAGAGCGAACACAGCATTTCTTATGGATGATGGGAGAAGATGGAATTAACACCAGGCTGATATTAGTTGACAACAAATATCAGAGTGCTTGCTCTGTGCTCTAGTTAATTTGTCAGATTTCACAGGGATTTTTGGTACAAGAAAGCTTTGTGGAATATATGCATTCTATGCGCCAGGCTTAGTGCAAGGTATTATTAGAGAAAAAAGACTTAAAATAGAAGGTACTCTATAGCTATATTAGATCAGGTCAGCACTTGGGAAAGTTAGCTTATAGACCCAGTTTTGCCATTAAATACAGAACTTCATAAAGTTCTATGGCTTCTCTGGGCCTCAGCTTCTTCATCAATAAAATGGGCAGAGGTGAACCAGACGACCTCTAAGGTTCCTTTAGATTCTAAAATGATGTAATTTTTAAAACCTTTGAAATGTTTATTCAGGTCTTCTCTCCTTGAGGTGTTCTTGGGACCGGAGATATTCCATTTGAAACCCTGAGACAACCATACCTCAAGCTCAGAGTGCTTAAGAATTTTCTGCCAGGTGCGGTGGCTCACACCAGTAATCCCAGCATTTGGGGAGGCCAAGGCGGGCGGATCATGAGGTCAGGAGATCGAGACCATCCTGGCTAACACGGTGAAACCCTGCCTCTACTAAAAATACAAAAAAATTAGCCAGTGCAGGCCGGGCGCGGTGGCTCACGCCTGTAATCCCAGCAGTTTGGGAGGCCAAGGCGGGCGGATCACGAAGTCAGGAGATCGAGACCATCCTGGCTAACATGGTGAAACCCCGTCTCTACTAAAAATACAAAAAATTAGCCGGGCGTGGTGGCGGGTGCCTATAGTCCCAGCTACTTGGGAGGCTGAGGCAGGAGAATGGTGTGAACCCGGGAGGCGAAGCTTGCAGTAAGCCGAGATCGCGCCACTGTACTCCAGCCTGGGCGATAGAGCGAGACTCTGTCTCACAAAAAAAAAAAAAAAAAAATTAGCCGGTGTGGTGGCGGGCGCCTGTAGTCCCAGCTACTCGGGAGGCTGAGTCAGGATAATGGCGTGAACCTGGGAGGCAGAGCTTGTAGTGAGCCGAGATCGCGCCACTGTACTCCAGCCTAGGCGACAGAGCGGGACTCCATCTCAGAAAAAAAAAGAAAAAAAGAATTTCCCAAAAGAAGGTATCCTTTAGGTTTTCATCCCTATGCCCCAGTCTGGAATCTCTACACACAGAATTGTGGACAGACTTATAGTCCAGATTGACAATGGCTAGTGATAGATACACTTTATTGTTGCCACTGGCATCAAATTTAAAAGCTTAGGCTGGCAAGCAAGGCCTCTCATTAAACAACCTTCCTTACCTCGTCTGTCCCTATCCGATAAAGCCCTTACTTTTCAGCTGAGTTGGTCACATCCATTTTCCCCTTCCTGTCTCTGTTCTTGCTGGTCCCTCCATCTGGATGGGCAGGGAAGGAAGAATAATGCATATCCGTTATTTCCTTCAAGACCAAGCCCTGTCTTACTTTATGTTTCAACAGCCATGAACACAAGGGATTTCTAGAATTCTACACTACCATACACTATGTTCCCCTGCTTCCTCATGGAGGTTCCTCTATTCTCCACAATTAGACTCTAAAGACGTGGTATTGAGTGGGCACTGACTGAAAGCTTATCTAGTTTATGAGTGGAGTGGAATCTCAGAAGGTAGAAGAATTAAAGGTTCAGGCCTCTCCTACCTTTATCCTGTATCAATCCCAAAACTCTTCTTTCTCCTCCATTATCTTTCCTGTCTATATAACTCCTTATCTTCAAGCTTAATGTAAGGGCAATTCCAGGCATGAAAAGACAACACAGTTTGTACTTTTGGTTTCATATTTTTTCAGTTAATTTCAGTAAAAACATAATATATAAAAGGCATTGCCACCATTTTCCCCTCCTGGGGGTGATCCATCAAGCCAGTGTGGGCTGCTCCAGTGGTTCATAGCTCATCATGCGATATGTGCAGGGCATGGTCACAAAGATCTGCAAATGGCAAACAATTTAAAGGAATATGCCATTCTCATACTGATATCTGCCAGTATCAAGAAAATTTCCCAGACCAAGCTGACACAAACACACACCAACCACCATTCTGCAGAATATATGCTTATAAATGATAAAACATCCCCACTGTCCTCTCACCTGTATCTCAGGGTCAAGGGGACACAAATTCTGAAAGCTGACAGAAAATGTGGAGGAACACCCCAAGTCCCTAAGCCAAGGGAAATGGAAGACAGCTCTTGACCTAATACCAGAGGTTTCTGGGATGGGGGTGTATGGGTGAGTTAGGGAATGTCAGGTTCCACAGAGCTACTAGAACAGGAGATAAAGTGGGGGCAGCTTACCTGTTCGCTTACTGCAAAGTTTGTCTTTAACATTGTCAGCCTCTCGGGAAAAGAATTCAATGAGTTCATCCTCGTATTCCTCCACAATGCTCTCACACTGCCAACCCAAGGGAGAAATGGGTGACACAGGGCAATAAGAGGCCTCTTGCCTTCACTTCCAAAGAGGAGGACAAGGATATCAGCCTAACTTTCTAATTGGTTCTCCAACAACCCCTTAATGTCCAAGAACCAGCTACCGATTCCCATAGCTCACCGCAAACTTGAGGGTGCCGCTAATATCTGAGTCGATTCGGATGCCTTGTAGGTCCAGTTCACTGGATTCTCCATTCCGGCCCACTACACGTACGTAGTTCTTGCGATGGGTGGAAGGATCAATCTGTTCCCCATACTCCTTCATCCGGTCACATATCTCCTCCAGCAGCTCTGTGAGGTGGGCCTCTGAGCGGGCATAAGGCACCTAGAAATGTCCTCAGCCTTGGGTCACTCTCTTCTACCTCTGTACATTAGTAATTTATATCCTTACTTTTCTTTCCAAATCTAGCTCCAACAACCTATTCTAAAAAGCTTTCCCTAATTGATTTTAATTAGTTTTGTTTGTTTGTTTGTTTTTTGAGATGGGGTTTTGCTCTTGTTGCCCAGGCTGGAGTGCATTGGCGCCATCTCGGCTTATTGCAACCTCTGCCTCCTGGGTTCAAGTGATTCTCCTGCCTCAGCCTCCTGAGTAGCTGGGACTACAGGCATGCACCACCACACCCAGCTAACTTTTGTATTTTTAGTAGAGATGGGGTTTCTCTGTGTTGGTCGGGCTGGTCTCAAACTCCAGACCTCAGGTGATCTGCCTGCCTCGGCATCCCAAAGTGCTGGGATTACAGACGTGAGCCACTGTGCCTGGCCTAGTGTGGTTTTCATTTATTTTATTTTATTTATTTATTTATTTTTTTGAGACGGAGTCTCACTCTTTCGCCCAGGCCGGACGCAGTGGCACTATCTTGGCTCAGTGCAAGCTCCGCCTCCAGGGTTCACACCATTCTCCTGCCTCAGCCTCCCGGGTAGCTGGGACTACAGGCGCCCACCACCACGCCCAGCTAATTTTTTGTATTTTTAGTAGAGACGGGTTTCACCGTGCTAGCCAGGATGGTCTCGATCTCCTGACCTAGTGATCCGCCCACCTTGGCCTCCCCAGGTGCTGGGATTACAGGCATGAGCCACCGCGCCCGGCCTGGTTTTAAATTAA
The DNA here is from genome assembly GCF_000001405.40 of Homo sapiens. Taxonomy (NCBI): domain Eukaryota; kingdom Metazoa; phylum Chordata; class Mammalia; order Primates; family Hominidae; genus Homo; species Homo sapiens. The sequence goes on from NC_000012.12 coordinate 56,312,192, forward strand.
TATGGTTTACTTGATAGTTTCAAAGTACTTCTTTTTTTTTTTTTTTTTTTTTTTTTTGAGACAGGCCTCACTCCGTTGCCCAGGCTGGAGTGCAGTGGTGTGATGACTGAGGCTCACTACAGCTTGGATCTCCCAGGCTTAGGTGATCCTCCCATCTCAGCCTCACACAGATGCACACCACCACACCCAGCTACTTTTTTATATTTTTTTTGTAGAGACGGGGTCTTGCCATGTTGCCCAGGCTGGTCTCGAACTCCTGTGCTCAAGTGATCTGCCTGCCTTGGCCTCCAAGAGTGCTGGGATTACAGGTATGAGCCACTGTACTTGGCAGTAGTTTCAACTATATGATTTTATTTTACCTCATTGTACAATTCTTTTTTTTTTTCTTTTTTTTTTTGAGATGGAGTTTCACTCTTGTTGCCCAGGCTGGAGTGCAATGGCGCGATCTCGGCTCACCGCAAGCTCCACCTCCCGGGTTCAAGTGATTCTCCTGCCTCAGCTTCCCGAGTAGTTGGGATTACAGGCATGTGCCACCACGCCCAGCTAATTTTGTATTTTTAGTAGAGACGGGGTTTCTCCATGTTGGTCAGGCTGGTCTCAAACTCCCAACTTCAGGTAATCCACCCGCCTCAGCCTCCCAAAGTGCTGGGACTACAGGCATGAACCACCGTGCCCGGCACCTCATTGTACAATTCTAAGAAACAAGACAGTTAACATTAGCTCCAAGTTATAAACAGAATTTTTTGATTAACCTGATCAACTTATACTTCTAATTTCTATAGATGAAGATAATTTTTTTTTAAATTATAGTTTAAGTTCTGAGATACATGTGCAGAACGTGCAGGTTTGTTGCATAGGTATACATGTGCCATGGTGGTTTGCTACACCCATCAACCTGTCATCTACATTAGGTATTTCTCCTAATGCTATCCCTCCCCTAGCCCCCAACACCCCAACAGGACCTGATGTGTGACGTTCCCCTCCCTGTGTCCATGTGTTCATTAATATTTTATTTTTGGCCGGGCGTGGTGGCTCACGCCTGTAATCCCAGCACTTTGAGAGGCCGAGGAGGGTGGCTCACTTGAGGTCAGGAGTTCGAGACCATCCTGACCAACATGGAGAAACCCTGTCTCTACTAAAAATACAAAATTATCCAGGTGTGGTGGTGCATGCCTGTAATCCCAGCTACTCGGGAGGCTGAGGCAGGAGAATCGCTTGAACCCGGGAGGCAGAGGTTGCGGTGAGCCGAGATCGTGTCATTGCACTCCAGCCTGGGCAACAAGCCCTAAACTCCATCTCAAAAAAATAATAATAATTTTGTTTAAATTGAGACTAATATCCTCAGTAAGCACAGTATTAAAGATGTAGTGTAGGCTCTGTGAACAACAGCTATTAAAGTACCATAATCTTTTTTCTTTTCTTTTTTTTTTTTTGAGAGGAGTCTCGCTGTGTCGCCCAGGCTAGAGTGCAGTGGCACCATCTCAGCTCACTGCAAGCTCTGCCTCCCGAGTTCACGCCATTCTTTTCGTCTCAGCCTCCTGAGTAGCTGGGACTACAGGCACCCACCACCACGCCCGGCTAATTTTTTGTATTTTTAGTAGAGACGGGGTTTCACCATGTTAGCCAGGATGGTTTCGATCTCCTGACCTTGTGATCTGCCCACCTCAGCCTCCCAAAGTGCTGGCATTACGGGCGTGAGCCACCGCGCCCGGCCTTTTTTTTTTTTCAAGACAGAGTTTTGTTCTTGTCAACCAGACTGGAGTGCAGTGGTGCGATCTTGGCTCACTGCAACCTCTGCCTCCTGGGTTCAAGTGATTCTCCTGCCTCAGCCTCCTGAGTAGCTGGGACTATAGGCATGAGCCACCACGCCTGGCTACTTTTTTGTATTTTTAGTAGAGACGGAGTTTCACCATGTTGGCCAGGCTGGTCTCGAACTTCTAACCTCAGGTGATCCGCCTGCCTTGGCCTCCCAAAGTGCTGGGTTTTGGTTTTTTTTTGAGACAGGGTCTTGCTGTGTTTCCCAGGCTGGAGTGCAGTGGCACAATCACGGCTTACTGCAGCCTCGACCTCCTGGGCTCAAGTGATCCTCCCACCTCAGCCTTCCAAGCAGCTGTCACTACAGGCACATGCCACCATGCACTGCTAACTTTTGCATTTTTTTGTAGAGTTGGTGTTTTGCCATGATGCCCAGGCTAGCACTGTAATCTTAACACTGCCTTATATATTGCTTATTAGATACACCTTTGTGTACATGTGTGTTGTTTTCGATTAAAATTTCCTAATTATGAGGATAAGACCTTTTATTCTTATTTCTGTTTTTTCATTTTTTATTTTTAGCTCCGACTCAGATTTTGAACGGATGTTTGCATGTATACCACAGTGCTACATTAAAAACCAGTCATGTGGATGTGGAGAAGGGTGCTGATCAGGACTCCCTGTTTGCTAACAAATTCTACAGCAGAAACAAAGTATTAAGGTTTGCAGCCAGGAAGCAAGTGCATGGGGAATAAGCCTGCAGCTTCTTCCAAATGAGACAGAGCCAAATCTTTTTTCTGAGTCTGTTTTCTTCATTTCTATTAAACCAAGGTCCTTTTTAAGCAGTCGAATTTCATCCAAAGCCAGAGTGAGCTACTTTGTTTGGGGGAACAGTAACAGTTACCTCCACCACTGACTGGCTGCCATCTGGATTGATCCGGAAAGATCCCATCTGAATGGTCTTCTTGGGGTCCACCTGGGCAATTTCCCATTCTAGTTCATCCACCAGAGCCCTGCATGCTGGTGGAAGAGGAGAGAATGAGAGCAGGGGACAGGGTAGGGGGTAGGGTGTGAGGAGAATGGGATCAACCCAGGATTTCCATTCATCCTTCTCCCAGGCCTTGGATCTCATGCCCTCCCAAGGCTCTGCTTCCTCCACTTCTTTTTCCCGTTGTGCCTTTACCTCCACAGTGGAGATCCTGGCTCCTCCGAGCCCAGGCGGTTCCCAGCAGGGCCCCCAGAAGCAGGGCCAGCCAACCCCAGCCTTTCATCTTTAGCGTAATGGGGTCGCTCCACCTGGGTTTGAGTGGGAATAAAACATAAGTGTGAGGAGCCGACTCCATTTTTCCCTGACCCCCCCAATCCTCACCCCAAGGCTTTCAAAGGCCTCATTGTGACTCTGGCTCTACTTTCCAGGAAATGGCCGGGACACAAAGGGGCTTCTCTGTTCCAGCGCTTGAGGGCTCTGATTCCCCCAGGGTGGTGGGTGGGAGCGCGAGCTCAGGACTTGCGGCTCAGCCCCAGACTCTACGTGGATAGGTGAGGCCCTAAGTGTTGGTACTTTAGCACTGCATGCCTAGGGTTCACGGGGCTTTGTGGCAGCTACAGGAGGTAAGTTGGCGATTACGTGAGGACTACAGGCACTAGGGAACTGCCGGCAGGGAGCCCTCAGTCAGGCCAGGAGGCCAGCGAGGAGAGCAATAACTAGGGCCCATTTGGATCCTGCACCGAAGATTCCTGCGTCCCCACCTCCAGCCCGTAAGTGATTACCCGTACGGACACCAGCCCCCTTTCTAAGGACTCCGCCATTGCTTTCGCTTCAGTCCATCCCCAACCCTCAGCGCCCAGCGCCTCGCCGCCCGCATCCGTCCCACCTCTGCTCCCAGGGCCGCCGCCGTGGCCCAAGCGCTGGAAGACCGCTGGACTCTCACTTTGGCCCCAGTGGCTCCCGAAACTACACCTGGCTGCAGGGAGCAGGGCTGTCCGGGATTCTCCAGAGCGCTTCGCCGCCTGCCACACACGGGGTGTCCCGGCGACCGCCTGACCCAGCTCCCCTGACGCTAACTGGTACCTAAGCGGGACTCCAGCGTGCTGCGGTGCGAGCCCCAATCAGACACCGACCCCAAACCCGCCCCTCCAAACTCTCGCGCGAACAGGCAGCTTAGGAGAGGCTCCCGAACAGCAAGGACCCCGGTCAATCGCCGAAGGACCCAGACTTGCGTGGCGAACAGATCCACGTGACCACCAGGGGTCAGCCGTAGAATAGGAGTGGCCTTAAGCGACGACAGAGTCCGGGCGTGCTGTATGGGAGCGGCTAGTCGTGCGCGTGAGCCAGCCCAGGTGGGCTAGGACCTTCAAAACGGTGCGCTGCCGGCCAGCGAGCAGTCCAGGTTTCAATACACAGGAAACTACATCTCCCAGGAAGCACCGCAGCACCGGACCCATCTTTGTGAGCAACTACAAGTCTCAAGCTATCCTGGGACCTGTAGTTTGTCGGCTTACACAATTAACGGAAACCATACTGTACATCTTCAGTCTGACTTAGGGTACTGGGCAGCTATAGCAAAGACCCAGCATTGCCCAGAAAAGGCATAAATTATACCTTTTTCCCCTTTTTTTGAGACGGAGTCTCGCCCTATCGCCCAGGCTGGCATACAGTGGCGTGATCTCGGCTCACTGCAACCTCCGCCTCCCGGGTTGAAGCAATTTTCTGCCTCAGCTAGGGTTACAGTCGCCATCCACCACTCCCAGCTAATTTTTGTATTTTTAGTAGAGACGGGGTTTCACCATCTTGGTCAGGCTGGTCTTTAACTCCTGACCTCGTGTTCCACCCACCTCTGCCTCCCAAAGTGCTAGGATTACAGAAGTGAGCCACCGCGCCCGGCCTAATTATACCCTTTCATATCCATAACTTTGGATTCCGGACCTTTACCTTCAAAGGAAGGAGAGGAAGACTGAAGCCAGAGAACCCACACTAGCAGTTCTCTAATGAGATAAATAACAAACGATATTTTATTTTTATTTTATAAAACATGCAGTTTACAACAAATTTTTAAAAAATGGAACAAAACTTGGGACAGGCAAGTGGGATGGAAGACAGATGCTTCTCAGCCATCAGCAGGAATAAATGAAGCCGGCAGCCAAGCTTTGTCCAGGATCCAAAGGCCCTTTTGGCAATGGTATTGGCAACACTGGTTTGCTTGGGCCACCAACACTCTACTTGCTGGCCCCTCCAGGTATCCCTGAAGCAGTTGGTGACTTGTGCTAAGTCTTGAACTACTGTGGTATCCTCTGTCACTGTCCAGGACTTCAATCCCTAGCCAGCTAGGAACTTACAGTTATGGTTCCAGGAGCTTCTCTGCCTGGATATTAGTCACCCAGGATATTAAGAATACCAATTACTTTCCATCTGGGTCAATTCTAGACTCCATGTCTGTACCACTGTTTTGCAAAGAATGAAGAAGGAATGAATCTGGCTCCTAGAACCTTTGCAACAATTCTGCTGTGTTCCAGTTCAATTAATAGCACCATCTGTGACCCTAGACCCTGAGCACGTCCAGTACTGGAAGTGGACAAGGTATAGCCAACTTAGGAAGCCATCTCCCAGTTCTGGGGCTATAGAACAGTAAAGGGAGAGGGCCGTGGTTCTTTGGGAAGGGTAGTCAGAGCGCCAGCACTGAGGAGAAGACAGCTGCATCTGTCAGAGACAAAACCAAAAGCATGATTCAAGCTGAGTGGAGAAAAAGCATCTTCTCATACTTCCTATGAAGGAAAAATGCAAGAGAAAAAAGGGCATGGACCTTCCCTGAACATTTTAGACTTGGGCAAGAGGAAGTTATAGTTAATGGAGAGTTTCGATAAAATGTATTTTACTGAATGTTAGGAGGATGAAGTGCTTTGTAAACTGTTAAGTGCTATTCTCCATATGTGCAATCAAAATCCACCCAATTGGGGGCGCTCAGGCTCATGCCTGTAATCCCAGCACTTTGTGAGCCCAAGGTGGGTGGATCGCTTGAGCCCAGGAGTTTAAGACCAGCCTGGGCAACATGGCAAAATCCTGTTTCTACAAAAAGTACAAAAATTAGCTGGGTGTGGTGGTGTGTGCCTGTTGTCCCAGGTACTTGGGAGGCTGAGGTGGGAGAATCACTTGAGCCCAGGAAGTCGAGGCTGCAGTGAGCTGTAATCACGCTACTGCACTTCAGCCTGGGTGACAGAGTGAGACCCTGTCACAAACAAACAAAATACAAAATCCACCCAGTCCAGTTTCCCTTGTCCCATCCCAGGTCTTACTCTTGGGACTTGTTTGGCCCTCAGGCTCAGGCACCTTCCAGTCCATCTTTCTGCCCTTCTCATAAAGACCCTTGAGCACCTTGTGGAAAGACTCAGGCTCAGTGCCATTTTTGCTTAGCTCCAGATACTTTCGGTACAGCTGAAGGGCTGTGCGGGCATCCTCAATACTGTCATGGGTTTCCCCTTGAATCTTCAGGTCTGGGGTAAGTAAAGGTGGAATAGTTTGGGACCCAGCAAAGGGAGGTAGGAACATGTCTCCCCACTCCTACCTGACTCCAGAAAACTAAAAAGCCTGACTGCCCTTAAGGAAAATTGTCAGACATCTTCCTCAGTGCACAGAAGGGATATTGAAGTTAATTAAATCCATTAGTAACTGTCACCACTAACTGAGGGTCTCCCCTACTCCCATTTTGTCCTCTAACACTTTTCCTACTTTTTCTTTTCCCCCCATGCTTTTATTTTTTATATTTAAATTTTATTTTAGATTTGGGGTACATGTGCATGTTTGTTACATGGGTGTATCGTGTACTGGTGGGGACTGGGCTTCTGGTATCCCTAATATGCAAATAGTGAACTATGCACCCAATACGTAATTTTCAACCCTCACCCCTCACCCACCACCCCAACTTTTAGAGTCCCTAATGTCATTCTTATGTCCATATGTACTCATTGTTTAGTTCCAACTTATAAGTGAGAATATGTGGTATTTGATTTTCTGTTTCTGAGTTAGTTCACTTAGTATGATGGCCCACAGCTCCATCCATGTTGCCGCAAAGAACATGATTTCTTTTTTTTTAAATGGCTGCTTCTGCTATTAATGTAGCAGGGGCCTACAAGGCAGAGCAACTCACCCAGAAAGTACCAAGCAAGGAATCGCAGGGAAATCATTCGTTTTCGGGGCATATGGAACAGGTAGACAGTGTCAAGGACTTGGTCCTTGGGCACCTGGCAAGGATAAAAGAGGGGGAGACTTAAGGTAGGGGACCTATAATTCCCCATTCTCTAAAGGCACAATGTATACCCTGAGGGGCCCACTCTCACAAGAAGACTCTTAAAAGAGCCCTGCCAAACCATCAGGTTGATGACCCGGAAGTCCTTCTGCAGGCCATGACCCACAAACTTGACTCCAATGTCAATGAGAAAACGAAGCTTTAAGTAGGTAGACTTGAGAGTTGTTAGGTGCTTGGAGGAAATTTTGGCATCGAGGTCACCAGGCTTTATACCCGAGTATTGAGTCAAGTAATCCACCACCTAGGAATAGAGAAAAGGACAAGCCTTTTTCAGGAAGTGAGATGGAGTCTTCCCCTATCACTCTTCCCTGGGTTCTTGAGCACTGTAAGTAAGCACCAGGGTGTGCCTCACTTGCATCTCCATATCCTAATACCTGCTCCTGGGTAGAGATGTAGTCATCAATGAAGGGGATACCCTCATTGGGTCCCTGGCCCCGAACACAGGTAATCCTGGCTACTGACATCTGGCTTGGTTTAATGGTAGACTTGGTACCATCACTGCGTAACTCTGCTTCCTCCTACATGAGAAGAGTTAATAAGGAAATCAGAGAAATGCTTACAACTCCTAATATCCTCAGCGTTCTCTTCCAATGCCCCATCCCTTTGGTCTTGGTTACCTCATTAAGGGTGACAAACTCAGCATCCAGACCCACCAGGTCCCCAATCTGTGGCATCTCATTCAGCATCAGTGGAATAAAGGTAGTATGTGTTTTCCGCTGCTTCCGTGCCAGCGAGGCTTCAGCCAGCAAGACACTTGCCTCAATAGGGTTCTTGACTAGAAGGGAGAATGCAGAGGACACAGGGCTTGGATAGGGAAGTGACTAGGGGAGAGAAGCCCAGTGTGGCTGATCATCGACTCTGGGTCTTCACTGTGATCCCTCAATAATCAAAGCACGTGAGAAAAAAGATCATGTCTGATAAATGGGACAGGTAGACAGAGCAGGTCACATCACAAAATTATCAACAAACATGCTGAGAAAAAACCAGAAAAGACCACAGAGAAGAAAGAATAAGATTTTCACTTGGACCTTAGTTTACAGAATCCAGAAAAAGGTTACAGAGAAACTATGGTTTAAAGGTACCAAATAGGTACTTAATAAGGAGCTCATAGCCAGGCGCGGTGGCTAATGCCTGTAATCCCAGCACTTTGGGAGGCCGAGGCGGGCGGATCACCTGAGGTCAGGAGTTTGAGACCAGCCTGCCCAACATGGTGAAACCCCGTCTCTACTAATTAGACACAAAAAAAAATTAGCCGGGCGTGGTGGCACATGCCTGTAATCCCAGCTACTTGGGAGGCTGAGGCAGGGGAATCGCTTGAACCCGGGAGGCAGAGGTCGCAGTGAGCTGAGATCATGCCATTGCACTCCAGCCTGGGCAACAAGAGCGAAACTCTGTCTCAAAAAAAAGAATAATTAGATGTAACATCATAACCTAAGCCATTCTGATCAAACATCCCCCCCTCATCTCATTTCCACTCCACTCTCAAGACTTACAGCTGCTTTTTTTTTTTTTTTTTTTTTTTAAGACAGGGTCTCAGGCTGGGCACTGTGGCTCACGCCTGTAAACCCAGCACTTTGGAAGGCCAAGGAGGGTGGATCACGAGGTCAGGAGTTCAAGACCAACCTGGCCAACATGGTGAAACCCTGTCTCTACTAAAAATACAAAAAATTAGCCGGACATGGTGGCAGGTGCCTGTAGTCCCAGCTACTCGGGAGGCTGAGGCAGGAGAACTGCTTGAACCCGGGAGGTGGAGGTCGCAGTGAGCCAAAATTGTGCCATTGCACTCCAGCCTGGGTGACAAGAGTGAAACTCTGTCCAAAAAAAAAAAAAAAAGCAGTCTCATCCTGTTGCCCAGGCTGGAGTACACTGGTGCAATCATGGCTCACTCACTGCAGCCTTGACCTCCTGGGCTCAAGTGATCCTCCCGCCTCAGCTTCTCCAATAGCTGGGACCACAAGTATATGCCACCACACTCAGCTAAATTTTTTTTTTTTTTTTTGAGACAGGGTTTCACTCTCGTCACCCAGGCTGGAGTGCAATGATGCAATCTTGACTCACTGAAATCTCTGACTCCCAGGCTGAAGTGATTCTCCTGCCTCAGCCTCCCAAGTAGCTGGGACAACAGGAGCACATCACCATACCCAGCTACTTTTTGTATTTTTTGTAGAGACAGGGTTTCACCATGTTGCCCAAACTGGTTTTGAACTCTTGAGCTCAAGTGATCTGCCCGCCTCAGCCTCCCAAAATGCTGGGATTACAGGCCATAAGCCACTGTGCCTGGCCTATACTAGGCTAATTAAAAAAAAAAAAAAAATTTTTTTAGGCTGGGTGTAGTTGCTCACGCCTGTAATCCCAGCACTTTGGGAGGCTGAGGCGGGCAGATCATGAGGTCAGGAGTTCGAGGCCAGCCTGACCAACATGGTGAAACCCTGTCTCTACTAAAAATACAAAAAAATTAGCCGGGTGTGGTGGTGGGCGTCTGTAATCCCAGCTACTCAGGAGGCTGAGGCAGGAGAATCGCTTGAACCCAGGAGGCAGAGGTTGCAGTGAGCCGAGATTGCGCAATTGCACTCCAGCCTGGGTGACAGAGCAAGACTGCATCTCAAAAAAAAAAAAAAAATTTTTTTTCAAAGAGATGGGATCTTGCTATGTTGCTCAGGCTGGATTTCGCACTTCTAAATTTAAGGTCTGATGAGCAGGAATCTCTTTAGTATCTCCAGAAATATTAACACTGGTTACCAATCCTAAGTACTTGCAAGCAATGTCCCAGATCTCACCCTGAAGCCCAATCTAAACTGTCCACACACTTGGGTCTACTATGTAGCACTTACTGTTCAGGTTGTATCTGGAATTGAGATTCCGTTTGACATAATAAAGGATTGCAGGTACTTTCCAATTCATGTCAAACTGCACAGCTTCATGCTATAGAAGAGAAAAAGCACTTATGGCTAATGTATATCACCCTTTTCCTTTTCCCCCACTTCAGACGGAGGCCAGGACTCAGGTGCTAGTTTTTGTTTTTTTTCAGGTGCTATTTTTAAGTGCTAATGGTTTTTATTCCTGAGGATTCCTTCCTCCCTCCCTGTTGAATCTGCCTGGCATTCTATAGAGCCCTAAAGATAAGGATGCTAGGAAAAGGGGAAATGAAAGAAGAAACAGAACATGTTGCAACTAACCTTATCAATAGGTTCAATAAGAAAGTCATTGAACAGATACCACTGCTGGTGAGTAACGCCCTATGGAAATACAAAGAAAGCCTGTGGCGATACAAATTGATGGCTGGACCACTCTGTCTCAGACTCAAGGACAGATCTGGGACTCACTGTGGCCATCCCAGGAGTGTTCCTGCCCTCTACAACCTCACTCACCTCCTTGCGCTGGTGGTAGGTCTCTCCAACTTTGATGTGAGCCACCAGGCTGCCCCCTGTGCGTGAGTCCAGGATGTGTACCACAGTAGCCATCAGGTCATACACATAGACACCATGCTCCTCCTCTGCCCTGGCTGGGCCCCACTGTGAGGGGGGTACCCAGGCTGCTAAGCTAAGTTTAAGGATGGGGAAGGGAGGGGAATGGGGACAGAGGACAGGGAGTTGGGGGTATGGGGGATGGGGGACCAGGGTGGGTTATCTCCATCCTAGCCCATCTAGGACCCCAACACTGAACTGAGTGACTATGGAAAATCCCCTAACAGGTAAATACTAGGCCTTATTCTCTTCCTTTTCCCTCTGCTAAGTTTCACCTTCCCCTGCCCTCCTTTACCTTCTGCCCCACCTTCTCTCCCTTATTCCCTTTCCTCTTCCCGGTTTTTCAACAACCTGCATCTCATCCCCATCAGTCCAATTGCAAACATCCAGCCCTTTGTTTTTGGTCATCTTCATGCGAATGGAGAAAGGAAGCCAGACGTTCTTCAACTCCTCAATGGAGGGACACACCAGCACACCCTCTGGACTCCCTAGTTCCTTCCTATCAGGTCAGAAGAATTGGAAATTTGTTCCGAAAGAGGTCTTGATAAGAGGAACCACTGGGCAATTCAATCCTTTGACAACTCCCAAGACAGCACCTACCAATCAGCCAAAGCAAATTCCTTGTTCTTGGAGATTTCCCCACCGTGTTTCTTTACTGCCATCTTGAAGGCAACCTGAACACAGAAGAAAAACATCCAGTTCTTCAGGAATGTAATCATATATGGAGGTCAGAAGGGGGATAAAATGAAAAATTATTCCGGAAGCCTTGTTTCTAGTCTGAGTCCTTACCTCAGCCTGCATTCTCCAGAAATCAGCCTCTTTTGAGCTGTTCACCTCACAATTGATGACAAGAATATCTGGCAGATGGCGGATGTTGCGGGTCTGAATCTGAGAGGAAGAAACAAACAAGGAATGGCAGGGAATGTACAGGAAAAGGAGTCTGGACAGGGACCTGGGTCTGCGTCTTCAAACTGGGATTCCTCACTCCACCAGAGATCCCTGGATGGCAGTGCTGACAGAGCCAGCCCCACATGGGATAGTGGCTGAATCTCCATGGCAGGACCAGGACTCTAGTCCAGTCCAACAGTCCACTCACCGTGGGCTGGTACTTTTCACAGGTGTCACACCAGGCCTGTGTATTCTGGTCCAGGCAGATGCTTCGCTTCAGCACCTGAGCAAAGTCATAGTTCTTCCCAGTTTTATCTGAGGGAAAATTAGATGCTATACTCCTGGTTCTCCCCTCTACCCACAGTTAGTCCCCAACACCCTCTCCCTGATATTACAGGACATTTTGGGGAGCCTTCCCAACTGAGCTGAAGGGTATACCACTTTTGCTACCATCAGGGTAGGAGAGTGTGAAAAGCAGAGTGGATGAGGCTCGCACGGTCTCACTGCCACAGCGGCAGAGGCTGCAGTTCTCCATCTCACAGCTGAAGAGCTGCCCAATAACAGAGTCCCCCGATGAGCAAAAGCTGCTAAGAGTGGAGAGGATGATATATGCACATTGAGGAAGTTAGGAGACCTTTTAAATCACAGAGGGGCCTGTCATGATGGCTTTAACTATTTCTATCCTGATTTCATACCTGCCTCCAGCACCTCGATAAGCCTGTGGTATTTCCAGCTCCTGCATATCTTGATGCAGTTGAGTGAGAATGAAGCGATTCCACCTCTGAATGAGCCTGGCCAGATTGCCCTTGCCTGAGGCCTCATCTGAGTCAGCCAGGATTAGACCGAGGGCTGAGGCCTCAGGAATAGTACGGAATGCCCGAAGAAAATTATTGCCCTGGAAATGTGTTGGTGGAAAGGGGTTATTTTGTCTTTTGTGTCCACCTTCCTTCCCCTTCCATTTTAAGTGTCTCCAAGTACTGACCTGGCAAGGGTCACCACGAGAGAGGTCCAACATGTGAAACAGGAAGCCCAGCTCACATGCCAGACAGAACTCCTTCTGGCAAAGGTGGTTTTGAATTAGACAGCGTACAGGCTCCAGGAAATAGAGCACCTGGAGGGAAAAGCAGAAGAACTGATGTAGGAAACTGGCCTGGGGGTGAGGAGAAATATGGAGGTTAAGTGAGCTGGTGGAGAAAATGTCCCAGAAGCAGGAGTCCACCGAAGCAGTGAGTCCACCAAACCGGTGGAGCTCAGAGGAGACTTGAAAGTTGTAGAGGCAAGAAAGAATTGTAGAGGAGACCATGGTAAAGAGAACACGGCTGAGGAGACCTGGAAAGAGCAGGGTCGAGAGCCATAGGGAAGAAGAAAAGCAGCAGGCACGTTCAAGTTACAGGAATACCCAACCCTTACCTGGATCATGCAGTTACAGTAGGCGTTGGGAATGTGGGGCTCTAATCCAGCAAACAAGGTCTTATTGTAGTGTTTGAAGTCAAAGTCCTCCAGCCCTAGCTTGGAATATTTGATGGTCACCTAAGGTAGAAATTGTCTGAGCAAGACAAGGATATTCTCAGAGTCCCCAAATCTTTCCAGTAGCCACAGCCTTTCCTAGAGCCTTCCTCCTGGGTCCAGGGTGGTAGTTGAAGGCCTCCTGACTGAGTCCTTCAATCCTTTCTCATATGACTTCCTTCCCAGGGTACCTTTCCCCACATCCCACAGGCCCTGATGTCCCCCAGCACCTTGCGGTATTTCTTAGAAACCATGTGGAGATGTGGTTCCTCTTCTCGTCCTACTGGTGACTCAGTGACCTGGCTGAAGCTGTCAAATTCACTGTCTGACTCCTTGAGTCTGTAGGGTATCTAGGGATTTTAGGAAGAGGTAACCTTGTTGGATGTCTTGTCATCTTTGGCTTCACACTCATTTATCCCAACATTGAAACAGCCACCAAGTCCTGAACCTTCTATATTCATAGCACTCTCAGCATCCGCTGCTTCCTTTCTATTTCCACTGCCATCACTCTGCTTCAGCACAGATGGACAACTGTGATGGCGTCCACACTGGTCTCCCTATGTTCACTCTGTCCAGCACACCACTACCAAATTAACCCTTGCAGAATGCTGCTTTCTGTGTATTACTTCCTCTATTATAGACTGGTGTTCAAAGCTTCGCAATCTGGCCACTTCTAATTTTAATCGCTCACTACATCCCAATACCAACAGCTACTCCGGCCAGACTGGTATACTCATGTAGTCCCCCTCAGATATGTGTTTTGCATTTATGCCTCTTGAGATCTTTACTAACACTCTTCTCTCATCTTGGATATTCTCCTCTGTTACTATCTACTTAACTGATATCCCACCTTTCCAGCTTAATACCCAGCTCTTTCATTACACCTTCCTTGGTCACTTTAGCCTGGAATAACATTTTTCCTCCAAACAGCTCTGGCACTAAATGCTTATGACATTCCTTCAGCATTTAACAACAGAACGTAATTTCTGATATGGCTATGTCTTCTCTTCACCAACCAAATACTAAACTTCCTAACAGCAAGGACCCTAGCTTCTCTATCTTTGAATCCTCCCTAACACCTAGCATAGTTCCATCAATTTGGTTGGTTACCAACAGGATCTAAAAACAAAAGAAAGACTAGTAAAGGAAAAAGATAGGAGAAACTTCAGTGGGCCGGGGTCGGGGCTGACCCTCCACTCTGAACACACCTGATTGCGCAGCCTGGTGCGGGGATTGGGCGCATAGCCAATGAAGCCCACCTTCTTCATGGTGCGCAGAATCTCTGCATCCACGGGTGGTGCTCGCCTACAATCCAGCATAGTTCTAGGACTTAAAGAGTTGTGGTGTACACTGGTCCACTCCCCAATCCCCAAGGGTCCAGAGAAAAAGAAAATACTGAAGGTAGACAAAAATCAGGAAAGTAGTAGAATAACAACAGGGCTAGCAGAGAATTCTGGTATCTTGGCCCTTTCCCTGTCCCTCCCGCCTTTTGGCCCAGAGGTAGGGTACAACCTGGGAGCTGGAGCAGAGTTGGCAGCAGGCCAATCAGAGAGAAGTGTGTCAGTGGTGAGTGGGACAGGGATGAGGGAAAGAGGCAGCAGGTCCTGGCTCCAGTCCAGAGGAGGCAGTGAGTCCACGAGACACGGCAAAGCAAACTCAGTCTCACGGGAGTAGGGGTTGAAGGAAGGCTCCGGGGAATCAGTCCAGAGGTGCACACAGCCCTCAGAATCCCCAAAGGCCAGAGCCTGCTTGCTGGCTGACACATCAAATGTCATTAGCAGAGGCCCCACAGGATTCACATGAAAGATATCGGCTGGGTTGGCCAGGCCTGTGGGTTCACAGAATTGGCACTGCCCTACAAAGGAGGAAGAAACCCACTGAGCCCTAGAAAGTGAAAGGGAGCCATATTCTTATGCCCTTCCTATCCTCTTCCCCTGATTTCAGGACAAGATGGGCCCCAAATCCATGCCTAGAGACAGAATGCCACTTCGTGCCTTCCATAAACCACAGATGGTTCGCTACTCAGCAAAGAGCAATTCTACAGTTATTTTGCCTACTTTATCTTTACCTTTTTCCATGTTCCTCATATTCAAGAAAATAAAAGCTCTAATCTCTGGCCAAACCCAAGTAAAACCTTGGGACCCTGATGAAAGGTTACTTCTTTCCCCAACAAAGAGGTTTCAGGATGAGTACTCCTTCGGGTTCTAGCTCTCCTTTGCTCATCGATCCCTCCTACCCAATCCCATATGCCCTTCATACCTGACTGAGAGATGATAGCAAGACGAGAAGTATATGTAGGAATGAAGCGCAAGAAGGCAGGATCCACATGTACTTGAAGTGGTGTGATGGCACGCATCATGCGCAAATCATACACCTTGAGGAAACGGTCGCAGGCCAGGCCAGTGAGGCGGCTGGAGAAGCCACAGGCAGCTAGCAGGTTGCCATGCACATCAAAGTCTGACAGACTTCCTGAGAAGGCATCAAACTCATGTTCCACCTTAAAAGTACGGAGGTCTCTCAGGGAAACCTAGAAAAAAAAAATTCAGTTATCTGCAAATTCTGTTATCAGGAAAAATACCTGCCACCTACCTAACCCAGTGGGGTCCCTACCAAAGGAACTAGGGCTTTAGGACAGGGAAAGTTAAAGCACAGAAAAGGCAAACAGAGAAGCCCAGAGCCAGAAGGGGCTTCAGGGAGACTTCATTATCATAGAAAACATCAAGCTGCAAAATAATCTCATAGTAGAACATCACTGAGTAGGAAGTGAATTCACTCCACTCATCCCTCACCTCCAATCCAACTACACCCCAGAGTTAAGGGAAAGCAGATCGCAATCAGGTATCTAGTGAAACAGGGCCCTGCAGTGGGAGGAGAAATGGAACTTGGCCACCTTGCCAGACGTGTGGCCGCAGAAGAAGAAGCGATTTGTCTGTCTCATGATGGTGACTCCAGGCGTCTCTACTGCATACTGGAGAGGGAAGCAGGAAAAACCAGTGAGAAGAATGATTTTTCCCACAGACCAAGGGAACAGAAAGGTCACACCCACATCTCAGGCACATTACCAGCCCAAGCATACCCTGCCCCCGCAACAACCTCAGACCCCACATAGGTCTTTCTTGCCCCAAGCTTGTACCTTCTGAGTCTCCTGGACAGTGTTAAGATCAATCTCTATTATGTGATTCTGCAGCCCACCAACGAGTAGAGTGCTGCTGTCAGTCAGTAGGAGACTGTGCATATCCTCATTCTCATCCAGCCTGGTGGGGAGAGGAAAGGCTAAGGGGCCCAGGCCTTACAAGCTGCCAATCCCTTAGCCTTCCCACCCTATGAGGCATCCTCGTTCCTAGTCCAGAGCTGAGAAGCCACTTACAGGTAATCAAATATAATGAGGCCCCCACGGGCCATATACTTGAGGTTGTTCTTGGTGAGAAAAAGGATACCATTCTCCAGGCTCTGGATCTGCCGAATATCATCACTGCCATTGACTTGAAAGGATGAGTAGCGCTCCAAGGCTGGGCCAAAAAATGAAGTGGCATGGCCCTATAGAGGACAAAGACAACAGAGACACTTAGAGTGGAGGGGCAAGGGCCACCCTACGGCCAGGTCAGGGACTGAACATGGCTCAGCTTGGATCCTTTCTTGCTTGGCCTTTGTGACTAGGAGCAACTGGGGCAAAAGGCTAGGAACCAGTCAATCTTAGTGATAAAGACACTGATAATACTGTCTTATGTTTGTTTAATGTGTTACACAGCATTTTGGTAAACTCTACCTCATTTTGTCCTCACAATGACCCTGCTGAATAGGTAATGGCTCACTTGGTTAGAACAGTATATAGAAGGTCAGGGACATGGTCCAATTCTCTACTGGCCAGCTGGCTTTCTTATGTTTCACATCTGGGAGGATGTGCATAAGGTTATATGCAAATACTATATCATTTTCTATAACGGATTTAGGCATCCTTGAATTTTGGTATCTGGTATCTTTAGATCTTGGAACCAATCCCACATGGATACCAAGAAGATGATGGTAACTACTAAACCTCCTTAAACATCCCATCATAACCTCAAACTCATGACATCCTAAATTAAATTCACCATTTTTATTTCTATTTTTCTTACTGTATTCTCTATGGTACCAAGATCTACCTAGTTGACCAAGCCATATATCTGACAGTCAAGTCCTATGTATTTTTTTCCTAACCACTAGATAACCAAGGATTTTTTAAAATTTTTATTTATGTATTTATTTTTTGAGATGGAGTTTCACTCTTGTTGCCCAGGCTGGAGTGCAATGGCACGATCTCAGCTCACTGCAACCTCTGCCTCCCAGGTTCAAGCAATTCTCCTGCCTCCCAAGTAGCCAGGATTACAGGCATGCACCACCACACCTAGCTAATTTTTTGTATTTTTAGTAGAAAGGGGGTTTCACCATGTTGGCCAGGCTGGTTTCGAACTCCTGACCTCAGGTGATCCACCTGCCTCGGCCTCCCAAAATTCTAGGATTACAGGCATCAGTCACCGCACCTGGCCTATTTTGCTTCCTAAATATTTCCCAAATCTGAGGCTGGGTGCTGTGGCTCACACTGTAATCCCAGCACTTTGGGAGGCCAAGGCAGGTGGATCACTTGAGGCCAGGAGTTTGACACCAGCCTGGCCAACATGGTGAAACGTCATCTCTACTAAAAATACAAAAATTAGCTGAGCATGGTGGCACACACCTGTAGTCCCAGCTACTCAGGAGGCTGAGGCAGGAGGATTACTTTAACCTGGGAGGCAGAGGTTGCAGTGAGCTGAGATGGCACCACTTCACTCCAACCTGGGCAACAGAGTGAGATTCCACCTAAAAAAAAAAAAAAAAAAAAGCCCTTCAGTGGCCTGAAGGTTCAAGTCCAAGGTCCAAGCTCTTTTAACACAGCATATGAAGTTCTCTAGAATGTTCCTTCCCCAGATATCTACATGGCTCCTTCCCTCCCTTCTAGAGGGCCTAGAATAGTAAAGGAGAGGCACAAGGATAAGTTAGAGGCATGGAGCTCTGCCTCTTTGTTCCCCTTTTTGGTGCTGCATCCAAGTCTCTATTCAAATGTTACTTTATCAGAGAGAACTCCTGACCAACTATTTAAAGTAGCAACATTGTTTCTAAAAGAGCCATTAGGAAAAAAGATTAAAATTAAAACAAAACACTACAAAACCAAACAAAATAGCAACATTTCCCACCCTTCATTACCTCAACCCCCTTACTCAACTGTATTTTTCTTTTTTTTTTTTTTTTTTTTTTTTGAGACGGAGTCTCGCTCTGTCGCCCAGGCTGGAGTGCAGTGGCGGGATCTCGGCTCACTGCAAGCTCCGCCTCCCGGG
Organism: Homo sapiens; assembly: GCF_000001405.40. Lineage (NCBI taxonomy): Eukaryota > Metazoa > Chordata > Mammalia > Primates > Hominidae > Homo > Homo sapiens. The sequence goes on from NC_000012.12 coordinate 56,330,456, forward strand.
TTCACGCCATTCTCCTGCCTCAGCCTCCCAAGTAGCTGGGACTACAGGCGCCCGCCACTACGCCCGGCTAATTTTTTGTATTTTTAGTAGAGACGGGGTTTCACCGTTTTAGCCGGGATGGTCTCGATCTCCTGACCTCGTGATCCGCCCGCCTCGGCCTCCCAAAGTGCTGGGATTACAGGCGTGAGCCACCGCGCCCGGCCTGTATTTTTCTTTTAATAGAGATGGGGTCTTGCTATGTTGCCCAGACTGGTATTGAACTCTTAGGCTCAAGCAACCCTCCCACCTTGGCTTATCAAAGTGCCGGGATTACAGGTGCCACTGTGCCTGGCCTCATTGTATTTTTCTTTTTCTTTTTTTTGAGACGGAGTCTTGCCCTGTCACCCAGGCAGGAGTGCAGTGGTGTGATCTCAGCTCACTGCAACCTCTGCCTCCCAGGTTCAAGCAATTCTCCTGCTTCAGCCTCCCAAGTAGCTGGGATTATAGGAACCTGCCACCACACCCAGCTAATTTTTATATTTTCAGTAGAGACGGGGGTTTCACCATGTTGGCCAGGTTGGTCTTGAATTCCTGACCTCAGGTGATCCGCCTGCTTCGGCCTCCCAAAGTGCTGGGATTACAGGTGTGAGTCACCATGCCCAGCCAGCATTTTTCTTAACAGTACTAATCAACACCTGATGTATTGTAATGTTTTTCTGTTTACTGCTTATTCCAAACCTAGACCTTAGGGCAAGGTCTGACACCTAGCATGTGGCTCAAAAAAACACTGGTTGAATGAATAAATGTCTACCTCTTCCAGTCCGGTAAATCCTAATTGCTTGTAGTTCCTGAATTTTGTACTCAGCAAGCTTTGTAGTATCTTGGGAATCTTTGTTTATCCTATGCTAAGACGCCTTTTCCCATCTTTCTCACCTGATTTCTACTCATGTTGCAAGACTCAGTTCAAGGGTTACTTCCTCCTCGATGCCCTTTCTGACTATTCTCCATCCTGTCCAGCATCCAGTACAGATTTTCACACTGGCGCTTAGTACCATGAAATTATCTGGTTTTGTATATGTTTTTTACCTCACTGTCCTGTAAACTCCTTGAGGGCAAGGATTATGTTTTATTTAGCTTTATTCACAGTGCCTAGCATAGCAGTAGACACTGCCTATTAAACTGAATGAATCACACACAAAAATTCATCCCTTCTAATGGAAAAACAATTCATGACCAAAGAAGTCAATCAGTAAATGAAGGACAGCGTTTTTTTTTTTTTTGTTTTTTGTTTTTTTTTGAGACGGAGTCTCGCTCTGTCACCCAGGCTGGAGTGCAGTGGCGTGATCTCGGCTCACTGCAACCTCTGCCTCCCAGGTTCAAGCGATTCTCCTGCCTCAGCCTTCCGAGTAGCTGGGACTACAGGCGCCTGCCACCATGCCCAGCTAATTTTTTGCATTTTTAGTAGAGACAGGGTTTCACCATGTTAGCCAGGATGGTCTCGATCTCCTGACCTCGTGATCCGCCTGCCTCAGCCTCCCAAAGTGCTGGGATTACAGGAGTGAGCCACCGGTCCCGGCCGGACAGCACAGTATTTCTTACAAAGTCTTTGGGCACCATAGCATATTGGCAATACGGGTACAGATTTTAAAAAATTAAGATTGATAACTGCTCTGAGAGATATTAAAATCAGCCAGAGAAGACAAAATGATTCAATGGAAGATATGCAGAATCATTCATTAAATATTCTATAATAATAAAAATAGAAAACACAGGTGGGGCAACAGCAATTGAGATTAGATTTGGATGGCTACAGACTAAGTGATGGGTACAACTATCAAGATAAATCAAAACACTGGATGGGCAATTGTGACAAAAGTGGGATGCTGGCCAGGTGCCGTGGCTCACACCTGTAACCCCAGCACTTTGGCAGCTCTATGCAGGAGGACCATTTGAGCTCAGGAGTTTGAGACAAGCCTGGGCAACATAGTAAGACTAAAAAATTTTTTAAAAATTAGCTGGTCTTGGTTGCGCATGCCTGTAGTCCCAGCTACTTGAGATGCTAAAGTGGGAGGATTGTGTGAGCCCAGGAGATTGAGGCTGCAGTGAGCCATGATCACATTACGCCATTGCACTCTGGCCTAGGCGACAGAGCAAGACCCTGTCTCGAAAAAAAAAAAAAAAAAAAGGGATGCCTCCTGAGAAAGAATATGTCATTTACTCCTAGATCCTAGATTCTCCCTTTATCCCTCCAACCAGACCCAGCTGTCTCATCACTACAACTCCTCGGTACTGGCTATCTGCAAAGCAGCTTCCTTGGGTTAAGACCAGATAAAGACCTTCAACATCTTTCAACCCTCACAAAGGGGTACAGTTCTTACCCCGTGGCTCCCCACCCACAGCATCTCCTCGTGCAAGTCAAAGTGGGAGACGGAAACAGGTACACCCACTTCAGCCACCACGCTGTGCAATTCAGAGTAGACACCTTCCATTATGTGCACTGATTCCTGGACGGGAAGAGCCTCCAAGGCCACTCCCTCTGGGTCCAGCTCCACATTCTGTAGCAGACTTGGGTTCAGGTGGGCATCCAAGACAGGGTCCAGGGCAGAATGCATGGCTGGGGCATATTCTGCCAGTCCAGGGTCCAGACCCTCAAAGTTCATGATGACGATGGCAGCTTACACCTGTGTCACACCCTCCCTTACCACAGTCCCTTTAGATGCCTGACCCAACCTTCAGCAAGACAGCACCGATGGGCCTAGAATGGACATCCTGGCCTGTAAGGGGAAAGAGGTAGCTGAGTCAAGGGTAGGCCCAGGTACTGGTACTTAGGGTCTTCTAGGTTATGGGGGCAGGAGGGAGATGAGGCAGGCATGAGGGATGAGACTGCCAGCCAAAGGATGAAGCAGGCGGGGGAGGGATGGGCAGTGGGGGTGGAGGTGGTAGAACTGTTGTCCCTATCCCTCCTCCGCTAGGCCCTCTGTACTCTCCACCACCCCATTATCTAACCTAATCCTTGACTTCCCTTTCTTCTCACTTCGGACTGCTCACTTGCCTTGTTCAGCCCTGAATCATCAGGTGAAGGGAGCGAGAATTGCGGGGGTTGGAGTTAGGTAGAGGGATTTAAGGTGCTTTCTCCCAGAATTGGGGGTGAAAACGGGTGGATTGGACGGTGGGGAGAACGAGAAGTCAGTTTCCTAGAATCCTCTCCAATAGCTACCCAGGATTCTCTAGAGGAAAACAATAATGGCCAGTTACCCACAATTGGGGCGGGGGCAGGGGAAGGTGACGGAAACGGCTAGTTACCCAGAATTCTCTGGGGGAACCAGAAAAATCGGTTATCTAGAATTCTCCCACGGCAGCGGTGAGGAGGGGGATAGGGCAAGGGTCAGATGTGTTCCTGGGATGCTTACGGGGAATGGGTCATTACCAAGATTTCTCCATGGCGGATATTTTGGAGCGCGTGGAATTAGAACGAGTAGGGGGAGCGCAAGCGCTGTCAGCTCCGCGGGAAATTCCAGTTTCCCCAGTTCTCCCCCACGCCTAGGGCTCAACCTAACCACTACGGCGCCAAGGACCGGGGTCCGAGGCGCTTCTTCCAATCAAGAAGGGCTCGGGGCATATTTTAGCCAATCAGAAGGGCTCCGGGCGCATCTAAGCCAATCAGAAGGAGCCAGGTACGGCGACCCCAGGAGAGAGCGTGTGACGCACGCGCCGGAAAAAGAGGTTACGGGGCGCCGGTGGGACAAACGCAGCCAGACGCCGGACTTGTTGGGTGGCGTTAGAAAGTAACTCTGTTTTTAGTCTTCTTGAACAAAATTACGTCTAGGTTTGAAAACCAAACTTTTATGCTTTCTATAACTTTAGGAACTCTAAAATAAGGGACACACAAGGCAAAGCACTAGGAGTCGCTGTTGGGTATTCCCAGCGGGGCTTAGTCTACCTCCTCTTCCTGCGGTGCCCTAGTGAGCCACTCCGCCACCTCTGACCCTGTTGCCCCCAAAACTCGCTGGCATTTCCTATTATTTCCAGATATGGGAGAGAAAAAAAAGGAAGCGGGAGCCGGACTCCTGACACAGTCCAAGTGGCTGCATCTTCTACAGGCATCCATCTGAAACTCCCATCCGTGATTGTTCCCTCCCCAGAGACCCCGGTAACATTCCCGGGTAACAAGATGCCCCTGGTTATCAAATTCCCCTAGCTCTTGAGGCTGGCTGGACGTTATCCCTCAGAGGGGGATGAGCATGGCAAATTGGGACTTGTTATTCTGAAGGATTCGTGGGTCCTGTGAACTCTAATTACTTTGAAATGGGTCTAGGTTGTGAGATGTCTCAGAGCACTTTAGCTCAGCTGTTATTACTGTTTCTAAAGGCCACATAAAGGGACTCTGATGGGAGACATTCCTCATGGAGGATTCAATTCTATAACATTTCTCTCAATAAAGGCTGGTAAATAGACCTTCATTAAAGGAACCAAGAATTTAAATTTCTAGGACTCAGAGGGGTGGGGTCCTATACCCAGTCAGAGATCCTACCTAGAGCCTAGACCAAGAGAAAAACACAGATGGTCTCTCAAACTGATTTGATCTGACTTCGCAGGTCATTAGATATAGAATCTCCGAAAAAGGTGGATGCTGAGAGACATAGACAGTTCCTACACTTTAAGAAATCTCCATCTTGAGGTCTCAAATTGAGAAAGACTTAACAGACCCATGAGAGTTACAGATCCCTAATAACCTGGGCTAAATAATCCATGTCTGCCGGGCGCAGTGGCTCACGCCTGTAATCCCAGCACTTTGGGAGGCCGAGGTGGGCGGATCACCTGAGGTCGGGAGTTCGAGACCAACCTGACCAATATGGAGAAACCCCGTCTCCACTAAAAATACAAAATTAGCCGGGCCTGGTGACGGGAGCCTGTAATCCCAGCTACTTGGGAGGCTGAGGCAGGAGAATCATTTGAACCTGGGAGGCGGAGGTTGCAGTGAGCCGAGATGGCACCATTGCACTCCAGCCTGGTCAGTAAGAGCGAAACTCCGTCTCAAAAAAAAGAAAAAAAAAAAGAAAAGAAAAAAGGATACTGTGAGGAGACACAAGAGCATCCATGACATAGATTATTTAGCTCAGCTGTAATTACTGTTTCTAATACAGTAATATTAGATGGTGATCTGCCTGCCTCGGCCTCCCAAAGTTCTGGGATTACAGGTGTGAGCCACCGCGCCCAGCCTTTTTTTTTTTTTTTTTTTGAGACAGGATCTCACTCTGTTGCCCATGCTTAAGCGCATTGGCCCTCTCACTCACTGTAGCCTCAACCTCCTGGGCTCAAGCGATCCTCCCACTTCAGCCTCCCAACTAGCTGTAACTACAGGCACTGGCCACCAAACCCAGATAATTTTTTTTTTCCTGTAGAGGTGGGGTTTTGCCACGTTACCCAGGCTGGTCTTGAACTCTTAAGCTCAAGCGATCCTCCTGCCTCGGCCCCCCAAAGTTCTGGGATTACAGGCATGAGCCACCATACCTGGCGTACAGTATCCAGTGTAATGCAGTGATTAAAAATTCAGGATCCAGACCGGGATGGTGGCTTGTGCCTGTAGTCCCAGGGGTGGAGGTTGCAGTGAACGGAAATGGTGCCACTGCATTCCAGCCTGGGTGACAGAGTGAGACCCTGTCTCAACAAAACCCCCCAAAAACCAAGAACAAAAAAGAATGCAGGATCTGATGCTAGATTGTCTGCATTAGAACTCTAGCCACTTAAGCTGGGTGTGGTGGCTCATGCCTGTAATCCCAGCACTTTTGGAGGCCGCAGGCGGGTGGATCACCTGAGATTGGGAGTTCAAGACCAGCCTGACCAACATGGAGAAACCCTGTTTCTACTAAAAATACAAAATTAGCCACCGGGCATGGTGGTGCATGCCTGTAATCCCAGCTACTTGGGAGGCTGAGGCAGGAGAATCACTTGAACCCGGGAGGCAGAGGTTACGGTGAGATGAGATGGCACCATTGCACTCCAGCCTGGGCAACAAGAGCGAAACTCCATCTCAAAAAAAAAAAAAAAAAAAAAGGAATTCTAGCCACTTAGAAGCTCTGTGATCTTGGGCAAATTGCTTATCTTTGCACCTCAGCCTCCTCCTCTGTAATATAGGGTAATAGTATCTACCTTAAAGGGTTGTTGTGAAAATTAAATAGTTTAGTACATGTAAAGTGCTTAGACAAAGTATTTGGCATTAAGCGAGAGTTGGATATATTAGCCATCATTATTAACCACCTGGGGGAACTTCAACTGATTTGGAGTCTAGGCATACAACTGGAAAGACCTGCCTAGGAGTGTCTTGTGAATGCGATTTGCATAACGGTTTAGGCCCAGCTGACGTCAAGGGCTCCTTATAGCTCCAGGTCAGTTGTAGCCCTGGATGTAGTTCCTGCCACGCAACAGTCCCACAATCTCCCCACCAACCCTTCTTCCTACCCAACTCCTGCAGCACCAGGAAGTGAAACAAAGAGGCAGAGCCCTGTGCCTCCAACTCACCCTTGTCCCTCTCATCCCATCCCCCAGGCTCTACTTCCTCCTCCTTTTCATCTTTCTTTCATCTCTTATCTTTTAGGGCTCCCAGAATGGGGACCAGAGATGGGAAGAACATAGGAGACGTTGTACACAAGTAAGGTGAACTCCCTATCCTGCCCCCTCCCCTTTCCTTATTCCATTGGTGTCCACCTTATTAGGGAGAGAGGCAAAACAGTTCTCACCCAAACTCAGATAATTCTCTGATGCTGGAAATGTTTAATCTAAAGGGTAGATTTCCATTTTTTTTTTTTTTTTTTTGAGACAGAGTCTTGCTCTGTCACCCAGGCTGGAGTGCAGTGGCGCCATCTCGGCTCACTGCAACCTCTGCCTCCTGGCTTCAAGCGATTCTCTTGCCTCAGCCTCCCGAGTAGCTGGGACTATAGGCGCCCACCACCGTGCTGGCTCATTTTTGTATTTTTAGTAGAGACAGGATTTCACCATGATGGCCAGGCTGGTCTCGAACTCCTGACCTCATGATCCGCCTGCCTCGGCCTCCCAAAGTACTGGGATTACAGGCGTGAGCCACTGTACCCGGCCCTTGGTAGATTTAACTTAGAATCGTAATATTTTTTTTTCTTCTCTTAGCTCATACCTACAGAATCATAATATTTGAACCAGAAGTGTCATTGGGCAGTTTTGAATAGCTCTAAGGGAAGGGAGACCTCCATTCAGGACAAGTTTCTCAGAAGAAAAGGGTCAACCTCTTGGGGGAGGCTTTGGGAGCCAGCTGTGTGGTCACCGATGGCCTCATTCTGACGTCTTCGAAATTGTTCTGGGACCCTCCACTGGGGTCGGGGCAGTCCCGGCTTTGGACCACCTTCCACTCCCACGCCCAACCTCACACTCTTAGCTGTTTCACTCGATGTTGCATCATGGAGGGTGATGAAATCGGTGTCAGTGGATTTTACCCATGGATGCAACAAGCTGAAGGACCAGCCAGAGTCATTGACAGTGCACCTTCGACTACCCAGAACTCCTGGGCTTCCTAGCCATGGGGTCCAAAGCTGGGACTGCCCCGACCCCAGTGGAGGGTCCCAGAACAATTTGGATGACGTCAGAATGAGGCCATGGGACTAGGTGCTGGAATGTCTAAGTTGAACTTCCAGGCCTTATTTGCACTAGTCCTGAAAAAAACATCATCCAACTCTTATAGAGCCTATGAAATCTTGGGCCACTAGGGTTGAGGAGTCAGGTGGTTCTTAGTCAATAACCCTCTTCCCACAAGAGCCTTTCTAACCTCCACTGTGAGGCCTGAAATGGGGAGCAATAAGACCTCATACTGGCTTCCCAGTTCTCCAAGTTCCTTCATGCGCATTCTCTCCCATGAAACCAGGACCATCCAGTTGAAATAATGTTGTTTCCAACTGAGAAAAAGAAGCCCGTTTATTCCTAATAGGGGGCATCAGGTAGGAATCAAACTTCATTGCAAACAGCTCACCATCCTATTGGGAGATGAATGGATGTTTCTCTGTTTTGCTTTTTCCTCAAGCAGGAGGAAGTGAGGAAATTAGGTTTGGGGTGGGGTAGGGGTATAGCTTTGAGAGGCAAAAAGATCAGGGAAAGATCAAACAGGAAGGAACTTGAGACCAGATTAATTTAAATATTTGTTCTCCCTTACCCCTCCCACCCCATCCCCGCTGTGCCCCCCATCCCCGCCCCTTCTATAGCTATTTCGATTCCTGGAGAGCATTACACATGTGTCCCATCCCAGGCCTCTAGCCACAGCAACCACACTACTCATTTCCCCTGGAACTGAGGCTGCATACCTGGGCTCCCCACAGAGGGGGATGATGCAGGGAGGGGAATCCCACCTGCTGTGAGTCACCTGCTGGTATAAAGGGCGGGCCTTACAATGCAGGGACCTTAAAAGACTCAGAGACAAAGGGAGAAAAACAACAGGAAGCAGCTTACAAACTCGGTGAACAACTGAGGGAACCAAACCAGAGACGCGCTGAACAGAGAGAATCAGGCTCAAAGCAAGTGGAAGTGGGCAGAGATTCCACCAGGACTGGTGCAAGGCGCAGAGCCAGCCAGATTTGAGAAGAAGGCAAAAAGATGCTGGGGAGCAGAGCTGTAATGCTGCTGTTGCTGCTGCCCTGGACAGCTCAGGGCAGAGCTGTGCCTGGGGGCAGCAGCCCTGCCTGGACTCAGTGCCAGCAGCTTTCACAGAAGCTCTGCACACTGGCCTGGAGTGCACATCCACTAGTGGGACACATGGTGAGTGGCAGCCCCTGGAGCCTAACAGGAGTCCAGGCTCTCCAAGGCTGTGGCAGAAGACCGTGACCTTGAGTGGAAGCTGGAGGGTTGAAGGCCATTAGGGAGTAAGAGAGGACAAGAGAGTAGGGTTCCTGGGAGAGTCATGGGCCTGAGGGTCCAGGTTGGCTTCAGAAGTACTATCTTACTTCTTCATTCTTTCCACCTCTTCCTTCATTCCAGGATCTAAGAGAAGAGGGAGATGAAGAGACTACAAATGATGTTCCCCATATCCAGTGTGGAGATGGCTGTGACCCCCAAGGACTCAGGGACAACAGTCAGGTACCACTGGGATGTGGCTGGGCAATGAAGGAGAGGGGACTGAGAACATGGCTGGGTACCATGGTAAACCAGAAGTTGTGTCTGAAAATAGTAAGAAACTGGGTGAGTCTTCAGTGAATGGAGTAGGAAGAGGGTGTCCTCTTTCATTGCTTTCTTTTCTCCCTAGTTCTGCTTGCAAAGGATCCACCAGGGTCTGATTTTTTATGAGAAGCTGCTAGGATCGGATATTTTCACAGGGGAGCCTTCTCTGCTCCCTGATAGCCCTGTGGGCCAGCTTCATGCCTCCCTACTGGGCCTCAGCCAACTCCTGCAGGTATGAAGTAGGGGCGTGGAGGATGGGGGCTTGCAGGTGTCAGAGACAGAGGGTTGGGGGTTAAGGGTTTAGAGTCTTCTCTGACTGTGTCCTATGTCCTTTCAGCCTGAGGGTCACCACTGGGAGACTCAGCAGATTCCAAGCCTCAGTCCCAGCCAGCCATGGCAGCGTCTCCTTCTCCGCTTCAAAATCCTTCGCAGCCTCCAGGCCTTTGTGGCTGTAGCCGCCCGGGTCTTTGCCCATGGAGCAGCAACCCTGAGTCCCTAAAGGCAGCAGCTCAAGGATGGCACTCAGATCTCCATGGCCCAGCAAGGCCAAGATAAATCTACCACCCCAGGCACCTGTGAGCCAACAGGTTAATTAGTCCATTAATTTTAGTGGGACCTGCATATGTTGAAAATTACCAATACTGACTGACATGTGATGCTGACCTATGATAAGGTTGAGTATTTATTAGATGGGAAGGGAAATTTGGGGATTATTTATCCTCCTGGGGACAGTTTGGGGAGGATTATTTATTGTATTTATATTGAATTATGTACTTTTTTCAATAAAGTCTTATTTTTGTGGCTATATGAGTCTAATTTCTAGGCTCAATTGGGAAAGAGAAATCGATGGAAAAATAAGGCCAAGAGACTACAATATGCATCCCTTTCTTCTATTCTGAAGGGCTATGGTGGAGAATGATATTTTCTCATGACCCCCTGGTGTATAGAATAACTGGGATCTCTTTAGTATTAATTCCTATATGGCTGAGCAAGCAGAATGGGATTACCAGATTAGGAAGTGGGATCATACCTAAGGGTCACTTGCTCCCTGATCCAGTGTCTCCTTCCCTGCTTTCTTGGCCAAGAGTATATCTGATCAAAGACGGGAGTCCTGATCATTGCAGGATCAAAAGTCAGAGTTCAGCTTTGAGCAGGAAGGGCATTCCAGGGAAATGAAGATAAATATCCTAGAATAATGGGACTTTCCTCTCAAAGGACAATTGGAATCCCTTTTTTTTTTTTTTTTTTTTTTTTTTTTTGAGATGGAGTCTCATTCTGTTGCCCAGGCTGGAGTGCAGTGGCGTGATCTCTGCTCACTGCAACCTCCGCCTCCCACGTTGAAGCGATTCTCCTGCCTCAGCCTCCCAAGCAGCTGGGACTACAGGCACGCACCACCACGCCTGGCTAATTTTTGTATTTTTAGTAGAGATGGGGTTTCACCATGTTGGTCAGGCTGGTCTTGAACTCCTGACCTCAGGTGATCCACCTGCCTCGGCCTCCCAAAGTGCTGGGATTACAGGCATGAGCCACCATGCCCGGCCTTGGAGTCCCTTTGGAAGTTTGGTAACTCAAGGGTAGCTGAAATTCTTTGAAAAAAAGAAAAGATGAGGGGAAGTGGCTAGTGATTATTTCCTTTCCTTTTTTTTCCATAGTCACAGCATCAAAAAGTGTGGGTTTGAAGTCAGAAAAATCCAGACAGGTTTGTGTTTTGGCTTTGCCAACAATCAGCTGAGTGACAATGAGACAGTTATATAACTACTCATCCCTCCCCCCACAATGCATATATAGCTCCCAGCACCCCTAGAAGAGTCTAACGGACAGGAGGGGCTACTCCAAACAGGAAGGGAAGAAGAAATATGACAAGAGGAATGTAGAGGGGTGGATGGAAGAGAGGCCACAATTTTCTGACTTCATTCCTGTGCAGCTTGTTGGTGTCCCTAAGAACATTAGCCTTTGTGAGCAGGGAAATAAAGAGGATCAGAGATGAGACATTTCCAGATCAGCACAAAGTTTATTAGCCATTTCTGCTCAGAAGAGCCCCTTTCTGAACAGGACTGTTCCTCTGACATAACAGACAAGAAACAGCCACCTGTGCAGGGCCTTTCCTTTATATCTCAAGCTACATCAGGAGAACATCTTGGAGCAATGTCAGTTGCCCCCTGGGGTTCCCTGGGAATAGCTAAGGTGTGAGATTGTCCAGAGTCCTATGACAGACCTTCAAGGTTTTAAGTTCCACAGACTTGGACTTTGTCCAGGTCCACAACCAACGAATAGAAACCTTCCTTTCAGGTAAACAACATATTGTACAAAAAAGGGAGGATGATAACATAATAGAGAAAGAGCTAAGACCCATTGCTTCTCCTCTGTAAAAACACCAAACTTTATCCAATACTATAAAAAAGAAATTCCTGCTGGGAACAGTGGCTCACGCCTGTAATCCCAGCACTCTGGGAGGCCGAGGTGGACAGATCACTTGAGGTCAGGAGTTCGAGACCAGCCTGACCAACATGGAGAAACCCCGTCTCTACTAAAAATACAAAATTAGCTGGGCATGGTGGTGCAGATCTGTAATCCCAGCTACTGGGGAGGCTGAGGCAGGAGAGTCACTTGAACCCGGAAGGCGGAGGTTGCAGTGAGCCGAGATCACACCATTGCACTCCAGCCTGGACAACAAGAGAGAAACTCCATCTCAAAAAAAAAAAAAAAAAAATCCTGGCCAAGCACAGTGGCTCATGCCTATAATCCCAGCACTTTGGGAGGCCAAGGCGTGAGGATCACTTGAGCCCAGTTCAAGACCAGCCTGGGCAATATAGCAAGACCCTGTCTTTAAAAAAAAAAAATAGGGCATGGTGGCGCATGCCATGGTGCTAGCTACCCAGGAGGCTGAGGTAGGAGGATTGCTTGAACCCAGGAGGTTGAGGCTGCAGTGAGCTGTGATTGCACCATTGCACTCTAGCCTGGGCAACAGAGTGAGACCCTGTTTAAAAAAAAAAAAATCCCCAGCAATCCTACCATCCCCAGCCTCCAGGAGTGATCTGTCTCCTAAGCATTGAGAAAGTGGAGACTAGGTAGCATAAACTAGTGTGCAAAGCTTCACACTCACATTAGATTGGCAGGATCATTTTATGGGGGAGGAACAGGTACAGCCAGCTTAGGGGCAGAGTAGGGGAGGAGACTGGTAAGAAAAAGAGGTCTACTTCCTATCCATCCCTTTCTTCAGGGTAGAGTTTCACATGGTAGGCTAAGGCAGAAAGCTCTCAACCCCTGCAGGAAAAGAAGAAATTCAGGGCTTGAGCCAGGAGTAAAGGAAAGAAGAAAGCAAGTTATCCTAGACATGAAGGAATGGAAGAAAGAAATGGAGTCCTATCCTGTGTCTGTGCTCCCCACCAAGGGCCAATGCCAGTATGCACCAGTTTAGCCTAACCAACTATTAAAATGTTGAAATCCTTCCATACTGGAAAGAAGCCACTGCCCTGAGCCCTCCAAGTACCTGTCAACTGCCCTGGCCTGCCCCCAGGACCCCTATACCTCCCAGCACAGCAGGCAGCCTCCAGGATCCTATTTAGACCTATGGCTCAGCATCTGTTCTGATTCATTGTTGTCCCCTCTGTACCCATGTTATGCTTTCACCTCTCACCCCAATGGAGTCACACAGGCCTGAGTTTGAACAGTTAACACAGCTTGGAAGGGACACATGCCTGATTCCCATCCTTGGAGAACAATATCATGCTATGAGGAGTAGGAAGGGCAAGAGATATGAAAAGAACAGAGGAAATGTGGTTCCTAGAAGTCAGAAGGCATCAAGGGTCCATCAGTGTAGAAGTGGCTGGGGCGGGAGACGTAAACCTCATCCACGGTGTTCTGGCCAGCCAACAGTGGGTCACCATTCGGCATGATTTCTTCAATCTTTACACAGTTTCTGAAGACTAGGTAATCCAGAGAGAAAAGTGAGGCCCCGATCTTAGTTAGGAGTTCCCAACCCAGCAGGGAAAGGGAGGGAGGATGGCAGGAAAGGCCTGGGAAGAGCCTGAGTGGGAACTTGTGGGATGAAAGAGCAGGGAGGTGGGGGAAGGCATGTGTAATTCCTAAAAAAAGGAATCACAGAATGGACCTCTCTCCAATGAGGAGCTTGGAGTTCAGCTTTTTCTGTAATGGGAGAGGGAGAAGAGGTAGGAAAGGGAATGTGTGCCATCTTCCATAGCTCCATCTCATCACTTACTTTCCATTGGCTCAGTGTTCAAATGTCTCAGATCACAGGGCAAATCTGGCTCTGGCACTGGCTGTGATACAGGTCCTTGGTCTGGCTCTGGCACTGTTTGTGATACCATGCATAGTGTGGGCTCTATCACAGGCTCCAGAGTGGACTCCAGCACAGACTCTAGCTCTGGCCCCAGATCCAGCCCTGCCTTCAGCAGTGGCTCTAAGTCCAGGCTGAGCTCTGGCTCTGGCACCAGCCCTAGTTCCAGCTCTAATGACTCCAGCTCTGGCTCTGGCTTAAGCTCCAGCGGTTGTTGCAGTTCATCCACCTGTCTGGATACCCAAAGACAGACAAAGGGGCAGGGCTCAGTGGTTCAAATGAAATCAGGAATGGTAGAATAAGCAGAAGCTAGTCTAAGAAGGCAGTAGGGCGGAGGGCTAAAGAGCATGGGTTTGGAATCAGGCCTCCTGGAGTTTGAATCCTGGCTGGGGGACCTTAGGCAAGTGGCCTAACTTTTCTGAGCCTCAGATTTATCATCTATAAATGAGAACAATACCTAGTAATTCTTGAGAGGCAGTAGGGTGGTTAAAATCAGGGCTACGGAATCTAACAGACCTGTATCATTAGCCACGTACCTTAGGTACAAAACTTGACTACTCTAAATCCAGTTCCTTAGCTGAAAACAGTAACAGTGTTTACTTCACAGGACTATTTTGTAGATTCAATAAAATGAGAAAATAAATGCAAACCATTTAGCCTAGTGCCTGGCGCATAATAAACTCTCAGGCCAGGCATGGTGGCTCACACCTGTAATCCAAGCACTTTGGGAGGCTGAGGCGGGCAGATCACTTGAGGCCAGGAGCTCATGACCAGCCTGGCCAACATGGTGAAACCCTGTTTCTACTAAAAATACAAAAGTTAGGCCGGGTGCAGAGGCTCACGCCTGTAATCCCAGCACTTTGGGAGGCCAAGGTGGGCGGATCATGAGGTCAGGAGTTTGAGACCAGCCTGGCCAATATGGTAAAACCCTGTCTCTACTAAAAATACAAAAATTAGCCAGGTGTGGTGGTTGTGCGCGCTTGTAGTCCCAGCTACTCAGGAGGCTGAGGCAGGAGAATTGCTTGAGCCTGGGAGGCAGAGGTTGCAGTGAGCTGAGATCGTGCCACTGCACTCCAGCCTGGGCAACAGGGCGAGACTCTGTCTCAAAAAAAAAACAAAAATTAACCAGGCATGGGTGGCGCTCGCCTGTAATCCCAGCTACTCAGTAGGCTGAGGCAGGAGAATTGCTTGAGCCTGGGAGGCAGAGGTTGCAGTGAGCTGAAATTGCACCACTGCACTCCAGCCCGGGCAATGAGAGTGAGACTGTCTCAAAAAAAAAAAAAAAAAAAAAAAAAATTCTATCCCCAGCCAAGTGCCATGGCTCATTCCTACAATCCCGGCAATTTGGGAGGCCAAGGCAGGAGACTGCTTGAGGCCAGGAGTTCAAGACCAGCCTGGGCAACACAGTGATACCCCATCCCTACAAAAAATTTAAAAAATTAGCTGAGTGTGATTGAGTGTGATGGCGTGTGCCTGTAGTCTCAGCTACTTGGGAGGCTGAGGCAGGAGCATTGCTTCAACCCCTAGGTCAAGGCTGCAGTGAGTCATGATTATACCACTGCACTCCAGCCTGGATAACAGAGACCCTGTCTCAAAAAAAAAAAAAAAAAAAAAAAAAAAAAATATATATATATGCGGGGTGTGGTGGCTCACGCCTGTAATCCCTGCATTTTGGGAGGCCAAGGTGGGTGGATTGCTTGAGTCCAGGAGTTCAAGAACAGCCTGGGCAACATGGTAAGACCCCATCTCTACAAAAAATACAAAAAAAATTAGCTGAGTTTGGTGATGCATGCCTGTATTGCTTGAGCTCAGGAGGTCGAGGCTGCAGTGAGCCAGGATCACACCACTGCACTCCAGCCTGGGCGACAGAACAAAACCCTGTCTGGAAAAAAAAAAAGCTCCATGCTTGCATCAAGTAGGTACCCATTAACACCAGTGATTATGATCATTATTATCCAGAAACCCCTGTGGAGACAACCTAAGGATGGCAGCAGAAAAATATGAGATAGGAGAGACTAGAACCAGAAAAAACTAGAGTGGGCTAGGAGGGAGGGAAGGCTGGGGAGACTGGAATAGGGCAGCTTAGGAGAAGGCAGAAAGGAGAGGCTGTGGGAATGGCAGGGCAGAGCAGCTGACCATCATCCTGGTGCTCCACCCAGGAGAAGGTAATGCCCCCTTTTGACGATTCACTGAAGCAGAGCCAAAAAGGATTAGGGAGGATGAATGAAGAGTTCATATCTCACCTATTAGAGACCACAATGAGCCTGTGTTTCAGGTATTTCCTCCGTTCCTGGAGATTAACTGTGAGGAACATATACAAGAAGCAGAGAAGATCAGTGGGCCAGACATATAGCCTGAGGTTCCCCTAGTGCAGATGGTCCTGGCAGTCTCATCCCCATAGTAACCAGCAGTATCCCATGGACGAATCCCTTAATTCCTCTAGATATCAGTTTTCCCATGCTTTAAAGGAAGGAGTGGGATCTATGGATGTCTGGTAGATCTCTGCAATCTAGCAATGAAGTATGTCAACGATTCCCACCTTTCTCCTGGTAGTAGCACCCAAAAGCTTCATCCCGGGGGATTCGGGGATAGAGGAAGCGCAGTGGGTTTTCAGGTATATTCTCCTCAGTGAGCAACTGGTAATGGCGGATGATTTCAGTCAGCGGGAGTGACTGCAGCACCTCCTTCGTGTACGGTTGCACAGAGTAGATGAGCACCTTGTCTGGAGAGTGAATGCAGGAACAGGCGGGCTTGAGGGAAGAGGCCGGGCCTTGGAGCTCTCTGCTCTGGCTGCCCAGTCCCAAACCAGCTGAGGGATTCAGTTCAGAGCCAGGGAAGCCAAGGGCAGGCAGAGGGGCAAGAGGGGAGCCAGGCAGAAAGGAGAGGCTGTGGGAATGGCAGGGCAGAGCAGCTGACCATCATCCTGGTGCTCCACCCAGGAGCAGGTAATGCCCCCTTCTGACGATTCACTGAAGCGCAGTAGAAAGGTGCCAGACATGGTCTTCTTCAGCAGCCGGCGCTCCTGGCTCCGACTCACAAAGCCCATGATGCGTCTGGAGCACAGAGAGCAGCTGTGAGACACCGCCCAACACCCTGCCCCACCAGGCCCCTGCCTCCCTGCTCCCCTTGTATGGAGAAACAGCCCAGGTTTGGAATCCAGGCTTTGGACCAAGCCCTGCCACTTAGCTTTTTTTTATCTTTTACAAGTCACTTCACTTTGCTGACAATAGCCACCTTCCGAGGGTTTGAAGTACGAAGATTCAGTGAGATCACACAGATGAACAGCACTTTTTTTTTTTTCTGGGAGACAGGGTGTCATTCTGTCACCCAGGCTGGAGAATAGTGGCATGATCACAGCTCACTGCCACCTCGACCTCCCGGGCTCAAGCAATCTTCCCACCTCTCAGCCTCCAGAGTAGCTGGGACCACAGGTGCACACCACCATGCCTGGCTAACTTTTGTATTTTTCGTAGAGACGGGGTTTCACCACGTGGCCCAGGGTAGTTTTGAACTCCTGGGCTCAAGTGATCTGTACTCCTCAGCCTCCCAAAATGCTAGGATTACAGGCATGAGCAACCACGCCTGGCCACAAATAGCACTTTTTTTTGGTTTTGTTTTGAGACAGAGTCTTGCTCTGTCACCCAGGCTGGAGTGCAATGGCACGATCTTGGCTCACTGTAACCTTCTCTCCTGGGTTCAAGCGATTCTCCTGCCTCAGCCTCCTGAGTAGCTGGGATTACAGGCGCCCACCACCACACCCGGCTAATTTTTGTATTTTTAATAGAGATGGGGTTTCGCCATGTTGGCCAGGCTGGTCTCAAACTCCTGACCTCAGGTGATCCACCCACCTCGGCCTCCCAAAATGCTGGGATTACAGGCGTGAGCCATCGTGCCTGGTCATGAATAGCACTTTTAAAAGCCAAATGCTACACAAGTTGGTAGGCAGTGTGGTGGAAAGAGCATGGGCTTGGAGTCACATAGGCCTGGATTTGAATATCAACTGTGTCCCTTGGGTAAGTTCTTTAACTTCTCTGAAACTCAGTTTCCTCACATGAAATGAAGCTGGCAAAACCCACCACTCAGCATGGTTGTAAGGATGAGATGAGAGAATTAATGAAGAGCACCCATCAAGCTCTGGAATGTAGGAGATGCTTCACAAACACTGTTTATGGCTATTATTGGTTGTTTTTTTTTTTTTTTTTTTGAGACGGAGTCTTGCTCGTCACCCAGGCTGGAGGGCAGTGACGCAATCTCGGCTCACTGCAAGCTCCATCTCCCAGGTTCACGCCATTTTCCTGCCTCAGCCTCCTGAGTAGCTGGGACTACAGGTGTCTGCCACCACGCCCGGCTAATTTTTTGTATTTTTAGTAGAGACGGGGTTTCACCGTGTTAGCCAGGATGGTCTCGATCTCCTGACCTCATGATCCGCCCGCCTCGGCCTCCCAAAGTGCTGGGATTACAGGTGTGAGCCACCACACCCGGCCTTATTATTGTTAACAAATGTGAGGAGACGTGGCCTGCACCTGTCTTTGCTCTCTCTCCCTGCTTGCCACGTGAGGGTGCAGAGACTCCACTCTCAAGCCCGGAAAGCACAAGCCCATGAGGGAAGGGTGACCAAGGCCTTACCCATCATTCCAGAGATCCTTCAGGTGGTCATGTACCAACTCCAGAATTTTGTCCAGCCATGTCCAGAATGGTAACTTGCCAGGAGGGCTCTCTCGCTGGAGGAGGAATGGAAAGGTAGCAAAAGCTGAGGAGTTGCCTCTGGTGTAGGGAAGGAGGGACGTGGGAAGGCCAGTATTTGGAATGTGGGCTAGATCCAGCAGCTCCACAGGATTCAGGGAGTTACCTTAGTGAAGTCAGCCCAGGACAATAATGGATCCTCAGTCCTACAGTTCTGCCCTGTGGGACAGATAGCCACAGACAGATGATGAGGGAAGCCAGGGGTCCTGGGATAGATAGGACAGAGGGACAGAAAAGACTAAGGCTGGGGAAAGGCTGAGAGAAAAGGAAATCTGTACCGAACAGCTTGTTTCTCAGCATGCTCAGCTGGTCTGAGTTGAGGCCTCGGCCAACATAGGAGGAGAACTGCCAACTGAGAGCAGGGCCCAGCAAGCTCCAGGGGGCCTTGGGGGGGTTGGAGAAGAACTGCTGGTTCTGCAGGGGTGGGAGCAGTGTAGGCTGGCTCAGAAGCAACCTATCACACCAAGCTTCCACACCCCTCCTCTCGCGCCTTGACCTGTCGGCCCCACTCCCCTACCTGAAGGTTTGGGCTGAGCAAATTGAACCAGAGAACTGAAGCCCAGGCAATTGAGAGCTGGTTCATGTTGGAAATAATCACCACAGGGAGGGTGTCCGTCTGGGGAGAAGACAGGAGTCACAGAGAGGGATGTGATGTTTCTAGCTGCAGGTATTTGTTAGAGGAAAGGAGTGCTAACCCACCCCAAGAGGCTTCTGTTTATCCCCTTCTTATGCCTTCTTCCAAAGCTGCTTTCTCTCTCCTTGCCCTCCATTTTCACTCACTTTCAGCTCCTGCTTCAGACCCTGGTAGGTATATTTGACCGTGAAGCTGATGATGTGCAGTTCCTCTGTCACACCTAGTGGCCCCTGGGACAGCCAAAGACATAGTCATCAGAAGGCTCTTTGGCAAGCTCCCCCTGCCTCGAGTCCTCTGTCCAGATCTCACCTTATTGCTGCCCTTTCCTGAACCACCTGAACGTTGCTCCACCAGAGTCTGTGAATTGAAGGGAAGGAGAGAAAATGCCAGAGTGGGCACCCTAGTGTCCCTGGAACCCCTGTTTGGCTTCAAGACCTCTCAAGCCCTGGGAACTTCCCCCAACCCCTGTTCCTTTGGACTAAAAGCAGGCCAGCTATGGTGGCTCATGCCTGTGATCCCAGCACTTTGGGAGGCTGAGGCGGGTGGATCACCTGAGGTCAGGAGTTCGAGACCAGCCCGACCAATATGGTGAAACCCTATCTCTACTAAAAATACAAAAATTAGCCGGGCATGGTGGTGTGTGCCTATAGTCTCAGCTACTCAGGAGGCTGAGACAGAAGAATTGCTTGAACCCGGGAGGCGGAGGTTGCTGTGAGCCAAGATGGCACCACTGCACTCCAGCCTGGGGGACAGAGTGAGACTCCGTCTCAAAAAAATAAAAATAGTAATAAAAGCATAGGTCACAAACTATTCTTACCAGGTAACCAAAGTCCCAAATCAAACCCTGACTCTGCCCCTTCTCGGGGGTCAAAGTTTTCTGGTTTGAAGTCAGAATGTTGAACTTCCGGAAGCTGTTCCAGGAGGAAGATACATGGAGACAAGGAATGGAATTATTCTAAAAACTCAGCAGAAAAAAAAAAACAGAAGTTCCACTTCATTTCAGATCTCGCCATCTCCCTTTGTCCATATCCCAAATCCCCCTCTTCCTTGTTTGTGCCACCAGGGCTGCCGAATGTGGTTCTGCAGGTCATACACTGTACAGATGTTTGCAGTGTCCTTGTCAAGCACCTACCCTTGTAATTGAGGAGGATTCCTGAAAAGAAATAAATTTAAAAAAATCATTGGGCAAAAGAGTATGGAAGTTAGGAGTTTCGTCTTTGGGATCAGACAGACCTCGGTTCAAACCCGACTTGAGCTCACTAGCTATGTGGCCTTGAGAAGAGATGTAATCAGTCTCTCTAAGCCTGTATCTTTGTTTGTACAGTGCACTGGTAATAGTTTATTCATGGGGTTGGTGTGACAATTAAATGAGTAGCTGACATGCTGCATGTCACAAAGTAAGTGTTCAACAAAAGAAATGAATTATAATTTCTGTGAGGTAGGATTGGAAGGAGGAAGGAGATAGCCCTAGGGCCCTGTTGTGAAGAGTGAGTATCTCCTCCACCCCAGCAGCCCGTGTCCTGGCCACCCTTCACCTGCTCCAATTTACCTGTCAATGGAGACTTCCACAGTCAGTGACTCATTGCCTTCCTGGAGTCTCACCAGCAGCCTGGGGGAAGGAAGGGGGATAGGGGAAAGTGGTCAACCTCAACCTTCCGGATAGACTAGATGTTTGAAAAAGAGAAGAGGGATTATAAGAGGTAGGGAGATTGCAGGGAAAGAGAAGAAAAAGCCAAGAGTGGGAAGAGCTGTAAAGCCAGAAAATACACAGTGGCAGGGTTGGAAAAAGGAAGTGGGAATGAGTTCTGGAATGCCAACCTTGTTCGGACGGTGAACTTGCTGCCAGTCTTGAGGATGAGGGGTCGATGGGGAGTTTGGGGCATGCAGGGCTGGGTTTCTACCACAAAGGCTCTGAGGAGAGAGAGGTGTGGAGAGAATATATAGCTCAGTATCTGTAAGAATGGCTTCCCTTGTTCCTTCTTTCCCCCAGGGTTCCTGCCTGGCCTCTAGACCTGTGGAGCAGACGCTGTAGCAACTCTGTGACCTGGGCGTTGCGTAGGTCCACCCCTTTGGTCAGAGGGTCATCCTGATAGCTAACCAGGCAACTCAGTCCCTTCAGCTCCTTCAGCAGCTGCCTCAGGTGAAACAACAGCTTTGCTCCAGCTGTGAACCTGGGTGATAAAATTCAGGAAGAAGGAATCCATGAGTTTCCTGGATTCCCCCATCCAGGTTCCAAGATCTCTCTGTAAATATGTGAAGAGTCAGAAACTGACTGGGGGGAAGAAAAAAAAAGAATCCAGGAAGCATATAAAGGATTATTCAACATGATTCATAATCCAAGAAATGAAAATCAAAGCTATTTTCACATATAAAACTGCTAATAGATTTAACATAACAGTTTTCATATGCTATGTACAACTTATATTAAGCCCTTTCCACATATTAATGCATTTAATCCTCAAAACAACCCTCTGAGGCAGGTACTATTATTTTCCCCACATTACAGATGATAAAACTGAGGCACAGAAAGGTTAAGTGACTTGCTTAAGGTCATACAACTAGTAAGGGATGAAGCTTGTATGTGATCCCAGGCAGTCTCATTGTACAACTCACACTTTGTTTTTTTTTTTTAGACAGTCTCACTCTCTTGTCATCCAGGCTGGAGTGCAATGGTGTGATCTTGGCTCACTGCAACCTCCACCTCCTGGATTCAAGAGATTCTCCTGCCTTGGCCTCCCGAGTAGCTGGGATTACAGGTATGTGCCACCACGCCCGGCTAACTTATATATATATATTTTTAGTAGAGACGGGGTTTTGCCATGTTGGCCAAGCTGGTCTTGAACTCCTGACCTCAGGTGATCCGCCCACCTTGGCCTCCCAAAGTGCTGGGATTACAGGTGTGAGCCACTGCACCCAGCCCCAACTCACATTTTTAACTACTGTACTTTACTGTCTCTATAATTAAAAATAATAATAATCAGCAATGTGGTGACAGGAAAACAACCATACACTACACATGAGAAAATAGATTCGATTGGGACAACTATTCTGGGAAACATTTGTAACTATCTTTTTTTTTTTTTTTTTTTTTTGGTGGGGGTGGGGGTGGGGGTGGTTTCTGGCAAAAACCTGAAAGCCTGCTAGACAAATCCTAAAAGAGCTGTAACACTTGGAACTATCTTTTAAAAAGCCTCGCCAGCTGACATGGTGGCTCACACCTGTAATCTCAGCACTTTGGGAAGCAAAGGTGGGCAGATCACTTAAGGCCAGGCACTCCAGCCTGGGAGACAGAGAGAGACCCTGTCTCAATCAATCAATCAATCAATCAATCAATGCATGCATGCATGCATGCTGGTCCTGTACCATAAGTACTATATGCCTGTTTTTCAATCTACCTGAGCAATTGTGGTATTTTTTTAATCTACTTTTTTTTTTTTTAAGAGGTGAGGGTCTTGCTATATTGCTCAGGCTGACATCAAACTCCTGGACTCAAGCACTCTTTCTGCCTCAGCCTCCTCAGTAGCTGGGTATTATGGTATGTGTACATATATACTTTTAGAGACAGGGTCTCGTTCTGTTGTCCAGGCTGGACTACAGTGGTATAATCATGGCTCACTGCAGCCTCCAACACCTGGGCTCAAGCAATCCTCCCACCTCAGCCTCCTGAGTAGCTAGGGACTACAGGCGTGTGCCACCATGCCTAATCTTTTTTTTTTTTTTTTGAGACGGAGTCTCGCTCTGTCACCCAGGCTGGAGTACAGTGGCATGATCACAGCTCACTGCAACCTCTGCCTCCCGAGTTCAAGTGATTTTCCTGCCTTAGCCTCCTGAGTAGCTGGGAATACAGGCATGCGCCACCACACCTGGCAAATTTTTGTATTTTTAGTAGAGATGGGGTTTCACCACATTGGCCAGGCTGGTCTTGAACTCCTGACCTCAAGTGATCCACCCACCTTGGCCTCCCACAGTGCTGGCCACATGTGTGAGCCACTGTGTCCGGACATGCCTAATTAAAAAACAAATTTTTTTTTTTTGTAGAGATGGGGTCTTGTTATGTTTCCCGGGCTGGTCTCAAACCCCAAGACTGAAGTGATCCTCCTGCCTCAGCCTTCCAAAGTACTAGGATAACAGGCATGAGACGCCATGCCTGGCCTGGTATATTTCTAAAAGACTAAATTATAATAAATTTTTAAATGAGAAAATATTGAAAACAGTAGGTATTTTTCAAGTATGTTGGAGGACACACTAGTGATTTTTCTACAACACAATATAATTACCATAAAATATAGCGTTTCCTGGAAAAAGGTAACAAGAAATTGAAAATAACCTAAATAGCTGAAAATAGGAGTTCATTAATTAAATTATGTTACCACCATATAGGGGACTGTTGTGTGGACATAAGAAATAACATGGATAAATATAATATACTGTTGGCCGGGCATGGTGGCTCACGCCTGTAATCCCAGCACTTTGGGAGCCCAAGTTGGGTGGATCACCTGAAGTCAGGAGTTTGAGACCAGCCTGGCCAACATGGAGAAACATCGTCTCTACTAAAAATACAAAAAAACTAGCCAGGCATGGTGGTGTGTGCCTGTAATCCCAGCAACTCGGGAGGCTGAGACAGGAGAATTGCTTGAACCTGGGAGTTGGAAGTTGCAGTGAGCTGAGATCGTGCCACTGCGCTCCAGCCTGGGCAACAGAGAGAGACTCCGTCTCAAAAAAAAAAAAAAAAAAAAAATATATATATATATATATATATATAAAAAATACTGTTAAGCTTAAAAAAAACCCCATGGATTTCAAAATAGTATGGACAATATGATTCCATTTTTGTTTAATAAGCTAGGTAATAGGTAATTTTCTCTTCCTCCTTCCTTCCTTCCTTTCTTGTCATTGTATTCGTTGCAGTAAAAAAAAAAATACATATATATATATTTCTGGGTGATTAAAAAAGAAGGAAAAACCAGATTGTGGGTTAATTCATTCCTTTCCCTGAAGGAGACTGGGCTCTGGGCTCCCTGCGTGGTGAGGATGAGGAGCAGAATAGAGCTGCAGTCAGCAGGGAGCAGGGCTCATTCTGGGGAGCAGAGACAAATAGAGAACAGTATCTCTTGCTATATGCAGGGCACTGCAACTTACAAATCACAGCGCATGGCGAGGACGAGGGTTGGGGTGGTACCTCTCACCATGTCTCCAGCTGTTCCAACCCGTGGTCAATGGGAGCTCTGATGCAGGCTTTTTGCTGCTGGGCCTTCCACTCCTCCAACTTTGGCAGCAGTAGCTCGATTAGGGTAGTTAATCGGCCTAGCAGTGCTTTGGAGGCATCCAGCACCTCCTGGGAAAGAGATAATGTGAGTGTTGAGCATCTCTCCCTTTCACCCTCCACCACCCAACTGGGGATGAAGAAACAAAGAAGCCAGCGCTAGAGGACCAGGGTCCCCACATCCCTCATTTTTCCAGGTCCTTGTTGCCCACATGTTCTGTCCTCTGTCTCCCACCTTTCTCCTTTTGTCCAGTTCATTGAGAGTTTCCTGCAGAATCTTCTGCTCTTTGGTCTGATGGGGGTCCAGAGAGGGTGTCTTCCCTGGATGGTGGGAACAGGAGTCAGTCCAGGGGTTCTTTCCTCTCCTTCCTGACTGGGGTCTCAGTCAGAGTCAGGAAGGAGGAATTTTGTGGAGGAAGAAAGGGAAACCAAGCAAAGCACAGGCACCTGTGGGACCCTCAGGCAAATTCTGAATGGTCATGCTTGGACCAGACACCCCCTCAAATAAAACACTGTTAGTTTTCCATGCATTTCCTCAACATTTACTGTCTCTCAGCTGCACCTCCAGCTCAGCCTCCACAAAGCACTTCCAGCTTTGCACGGCAGCAGGACTGTAGTCAGTGGGGTGTGTCTGACAGTGACTACTGCTCATCGGAGCTTTCTCCTGTTCACTTCCAGCTCCGGCTTCTCAGCAGGCACTTATCTTTCTCCAGCCCCTCAATGTGCTTCCTACCTTTGGCCTGGATCTTATATCGGAAGCAGAAGACATCCTGCTGGTCTTTCAGTTGGCTGATGGATTTTACCAGCTTCTGCAGAGGGGAGAGGACCCCGATGAGGCTGCTTCTCAGGGAGGTGTTAGGCTGAACGCTGTCAACCCTAACTCCTACCACATCTACTAACCTCCATCATAGCCCTTAAATCCAGGATCCGGGATTCAATCTCATGTTGCTGGCTCTCCACAGGTGTTTCGAGAACTGGCTCTCCTTGTTCCTGAAAAAAGAGGCTCTGAGCACGTTTTAACTCTGGCCTTTCATGCCTTAAGTTCAGGCCTGAAATTATACCACAGGATGTCGGGGGGATCCTGTTCTGAGACAACTCCCTGAGTCCTTTCCATGGTTCCTCTCTACTTCAGGAGTTTCCAACATTACCACTGAATTGTCCTCACCAATTGGGCCCTCTGAGCCTGGATCAAAATTCTTTTTTCTTCCAGAAGGAGGTTAAAGATCATCTCAGCCAACTGGGTAGGATCCTGGGAAAAGGGCTAGAATAGGTAAACAGAAAGGATTGATCCAATTCAACCACTCTCAATGACCTATTGCCCTAGACCCTCCCCACCAATGTCCACAGTATTTCCTCCTCCTTCGGGGTTCTTAGCCCTTTGTCTTTTCACCATAGCATCCTCCCAACAGTGTCACGTATATGCAACCCTTCTCTCTGCTAGTGATTCCCCAAGTCCAGACTCTGTCCTCCTTTCCCCACATTTGTTCCCGTCTCCCTTTCCACCTCCAGGTACTATTCTATTCTCCAAACCTTACTCCTCTATGCTCAGCTCCCAGTGCTACCCCATCACTCCCAACCGTTCCAAGTACCTGAATGTCCCGGCAGAATTTCCGCAAATTGTGCTGCAGCAACAAGGACTCTGGGTCCTGGCTGCAACGGCCACACTCATAGTTCAGCTGATCCAAGAAGTGGAAGAATAGCATGGTAGCCTTGGAATCATCACTCCCAAGTGCAGCTTCCTGCCTGGGCACCAGGAATAAGAAGTATTAGTGTCTCTGCAGTGTTACTGTAGTCCTGAGGCTTTCCAACCCCTTCCTGCCATTAATGATTCCAGGATCCCGGGGGCCCAGAAGTAAGGAACCACCTTTTTCATTCCCCCAACTTCCTGAAGGCCTCACCAGTTCTGGTCTTCAATCCAGACAGCCAAGTACTGTCGAATGTCCACAGGCAGGAGGCTGTGCGAGTAAAGCTGGTGCAGCTGATCCTGAAAGGGGCTGTCAAGATTCTGCAGCATTTCCCACTGCGCCATTTGGGCTCTGCGTCAGAAGGATGAGGGTTCCCAATTGGATATTTTGCTGGACTAAATCATCCATAGTTTCATGATTGTTCATTATTACTAATTTAAAATGTTTAAATTATACAAGTAATAAAAATACAGAAAACATTAAAATATATGTTGATCCTACTGCTAATCTTGGTTCTTTCCCCTCCTCTCCAGAAGTAACCACTGCTATCAGTTTGGTGCATATTCTTCCAGGGAGTGCTACCAGTTGAGTATCTGCTATTCCAAGCATTTTGGATTTCAGATTTGTCCAGATTTTGGAATATCTGCATTACTTACCAGTCGAGCATCCCTAATCCAAAACTCTGAAATCTGAAATGGTCCAAAATCTAACTTTTTGAGCACCCACATGACACTCAAAGGAAATGCTCACTGGAGCATTTTGGAGCCAAATTTTTCAGATTAGGAATGCCTAATCTGTATTTTTTTTTTTTTTTTTTTTTTTTTTTTAAGATGGACTCTCACTCTTTTGCCTGGGCCGGAGTGAAGTGGCATGATCTTGGCTCATTGCAACCACCATCCCCCTGGTTCAAGTGATTCTTCTGCCTCAGCCTCCTGAGTAGCTGGGATTACAGGCACCCACCACCACGCCCAGCTAATTTTTGTATATTTTTTAGTAGAGATGGGGTTTTGCCATGTTGGCCAGGCTGGTCTCAAACTCCTGACCTCAGGTGATCCACCTACTTCGGACTCCCAAAGTACTAGGATTACAGGCATGAGCCACTGTGGTCCCAACCTGTATTTTTTTTTTCTTCAGATGGAGTCTCGATCTGTTGCCCAGGCTGGAGTGCAGTGGTGTGATTTTGGCTCACTGCAAGCTCCGCCTCCCGGGCTCATGCCATTCTCCTGCCTCAGCCTCCCGAGTAGCTGGGACTATAGGCTCCCGCCACCATGCCCGGCTGATTTTTTTTTTTGTATTTTTAGTAGAGATGGGGTTTCACCGTGTTAGCCAGGATGGTCTCGATCTCCTGAACTCGTGATCTGCCTACCTCGGCCTTCCAAAGTGCTGGGATTACAGGCGTGAGCCGCTGTGCCCAGCCGGCCCCAACCTGTATTTTAATAGCTTCAATAAGTGGGCCTTTGTGCTTTAATGGGAATTTTCTTTCTTTTTTTTTTTTTTTTTTTGAGACAGGGTCTCACTTGGTCACCCAGGCTGGAGTGCAGTGGCATGATCTTGGCTCACTGCAGCTTTGACCTCTCAGGTTCAAGCCATTCTCTGCCTCAGCCCCTCAAGGAGCTGGGACTACAGGAGTGTGCCATCATGCCAGCTAATTTTTTGTAGAGATGGGATTTTGCCATGTTGCCCAGGCAGATCTCAAACTCCTGAGCTCAAGTAATCCGCCTGCCTCAGCCTTCCAAAATGCCGGGATTAACAGGCATGAGCCACCATAACCAGCCTAATGGTAATTTTCAAATACACACTAGAGTAGAGTGAATAGTACAAGGATCACCATCCAGCTTTAACAAACATTACTATTTCCACAATCTTATTTCATCTATCTCCCTAATTCATTTATTTTGCATTTATGTGTGTGTTTGTTATTTATATTTGATTGTGCTAAAGCATTTAAAGATCAGTGTTGATGTTAAGTATTTATTACAGCATGATCCCTGCTGGCTCTGAAGCTTTTTTTTTTCTTTTTTTTTTTTTCTTTTTTTGAGATGGAGTCTTGCTCTGTCACCCAGGCTGGAGTGCAGTGACACGATCTCGGCTCACTGCAAACTCTGCCTCCCGAGTTGAAGGGATTCTCCTGCCTCAGCCTCCCGACTAGCTGGGATTACAGGCGCCCACTACCATGCCCAGCTAATTTTTGTATTTTTAGTAGAGATGGGGTTTCACCATATTGTCCAGGCTGGTCTGGAACTTCTGACCTCAGGTGATCTGCCCACCTTGGCCTCCCAAAGTGCTGGGATTACAGGGGTGAACCACCATGCCCGGCCACCTGAAGCTTTTTTAGGAGCCAAATCTTTTTGGTGGTCAGGTAAGTACACCATATAAACTGCCCTCCATATAGGAAGGAGGAGCTCCATTCTAGAAGACATCTAAATGCTGTGCAATGGGTGGCTCAATCCCAAGAATATGACACGTTTATGACCTGTGAATCTTGAATATGATTATAGGTTATCAACTTTGTGAGATCCTGAAACTTCACTTAAAATTGTTGCCTGTAATCCCAGCTACTCAAGAGGCTGAGGCAGGAGAATGGCTTGTACCCAGGAGGCAGGGGTTGCAGTAAGCAGAGATCACATCACTACACTCCAGCCTGGGTGACAAAGCAAGACTCTGTCTCAAAAGAACAACAAATTGGTTTTTGCCTGTCACCAAGCAGGCTGTCCCATGCATCTTTCTCCCCACTGTTCCCTGCTCACTGCCAGCTGGTGTCTATTTAGGAAACTGAAACTTATGCTTGTTGCAGCCTGAGCCTAACAGAACAGAATTCATGCATATTTGTGGTCTAAAAAGGTCACATGATTTTATTACAAAATAAAGAGAAATGCTTGGGGTGGGAGAGTCTTCTACTAACATGAATAACATCAGCTGCCTTTCTACCTCCAGCAGGAACAAGGGAAGGGAGGGATTGGGCAGGGGCTATTTTCATTTTAACTCTTTTAGTAGTGCTTGATTTTTAAAACTATGTATCTGTATTGCTTTTATGATACCAAAAAAAAGTTAAAAAAATGATCAGGTGGCCAGGCATGATGGCTCATGCCTGTAATCCCAGCACTTTGTGAGGCCCACAAGACGAGAGGATGGCTTGAGCCCAGGAGTTTGAGACCAAGCTTGAGCAACATAGTGAGATTCCATCTCCAAAAAAAAATTAATGATGAGGTCCCAATTCTTGAGGATTTAAGTGTCTGATATTAAAGGAGCAAGTCAGCAAAGATTCAAATATGAAAACAAAACAAAAAACCTGGTCTCCCCAAATGGATTGCAAACACTGAGGTTAAGGGCTGAAACAATTTTTTCTCATTATCTCTCATTCTTAGGCACATATTTTGCACTCAAGAAGCTTTTCTGAAATGAACTGAATTTTGTGTGTGACCTTAGGCAATCGTTTCATCTTTCAGTAGCTTATACTTTTTAACAAAACAAGGATAATAGATTTATCTATCTTTGTTTTTAGATTTATCTATCTTTGAACATCGTTTTTTGGTGAAGATAAAAAATAATGCAGAGCAGAGGGAAAAACGTCAGATACCGAACCAACATAACAATGCCAGATTCCGGGTCTCGGAAGCTGCAGGGCAGTTTTGGGAGAGGGGCATTAGGGTTAGGGAGATAGGCTGGACAGAAGAAGATCGAGGACCGAGCAGGCGACAGCTCCTATTTCAATCTGGGGACCGAAGCTACCCTCTCCAGGGGGTAACCCCTGGGGCCAGTCGCCCTTCCCTCGGAGGAACTCTCACTCTCACCCCCACCCCTACCCCAGCACACCCTCTCAGGGCCCGTACCTGATTAGGGTTGCAGTCCCCGCGCCCTCCAATGGCTCTGGTCGCGACTTCCCGTCCCTAGTATGAGCTCGGGTACTAGAACCTCGCGCCCCGCCTACAACTTCGGCTAACCCCCCTCGGACCCGCCCCCTTGTAGTTGGCAGCGGAAGTCCGGAGCGGCCCCCATTCCCAGCCGCCACCCCGACACTGGCTGCCATTCAGTCAAGCCCTTCCCAGACTGCGAGCTCACTGGCGCCGCCGCAACTCCGCCCCTCCGCAGGGCGGGACAAGCTGAGCCGAAACCACACCTGCAGCTTCAGCGATTGGTGGAGAAGTTCAAGTAGGCACTTTCTACGAGGGGAGGAGTCCAATTAGTGGACTAGCCCAAGACTGAAACAGCTGATTTTCGAGAACCCGCGCGTGAGCCCCGGAACCGAAACTAGCTTGAGGAGCCTGGAGACGCCAAGGGCTCCATGGGAAGGGGTGGGACCGGAATTTCGACGCCTTGGGATAGGAAGAGGAGGGCTGAGGTAATGAAAACAATTTTTTTTTATTTTTATTTTTTGAGACATGGTCTCGCTCTGTCACCCAGGCTGGAATGCAGCGGCGCGATCTCGGCTCGCTGCAGCCTCGACCTCCCAGGCTCAGGTGATTCTCCCGCCTCAGCCTCCCAGGTAGTTGGGACTACAAGCGTGCATAACTCCGCCAGGATAATTTTTTGTATTTATTGTAGAGACGGGGTTTCGCCATGTTGCCCAGGCTGATCTTGAACTCCTGACCTCAGGTGATCATCCCGCCTCAGCCTCTCACAGTGCTGGGATTACAGGCGTGAGCCACCGCACCTGGCTAATAGCTATTTATTGAAAGTACTGTGATAAGCATTTTAGATTCATTGTATCATTTTAAATTTACAGGGCAACTCATTGAGGTTAAAATCATTCTATCTCCTTTAGAAACTTCAAAACTGATCTTAGTTCAAGAAAGAAGTTACTATTCAGTGATCACCGAGGCTCTAACAAGTGGAGCCTAGATTCGAAACCAAACCCTGTGACTTCAACACCCAAACATTTACGTTCTTACGTTTTACTGTACAGCCTTCCTCCTGGATAAATCAGATTAAAATTTTGAAGACATGTATATAGCTTGTCAGGGTAGTACAGTTATTAATTCTGTGGTTACCACATTCTTTTATATCTCAAGACTCCCAGCCCCAGGATCTAAGTCATAGCTCTTGATTATGGCCCACCCCCAGTAGGGAGCTGAACTTACTACTTCTGATATGAAAGAAGCCAGAGTAGTTGTTTCTTCCAAGTCACTCACATCTGAGATGGCCCTCAAACCCTCCTTGGTGGTCTCCGGCTGAGAGATGTTTGCGTCTTTCTGATCTTGGTAATACTGGATCAACTGCTGAACCCCAGACCTTAATGCAGGTTTAAGTGCAGCACTGATCGCTAGACCCATAGGCCCCCCTGACATCCCAGCCATGGTCATCAGAAGGTCATATCCCAGATCTATGGCCCCATCTCGGCCTCGTTCCCTGGCCTTGCCCAGGCAGTTTTGAGTAGCATAATACAAAGCTGTGCCCAGGTTGTAGAAGGTTCCCACTCCTGGCAGCAGCTGGACTACATTGTGCACAGCTTGCTCCTTCTCATTCTCACAGTCCTCTGTCGGGAGGGAGCGCCCGACCCTTCCTGTGCTTTGCTGCTCCCTGGCTAACAGCTGCAGAGCAGAGGCCAGGGCTTCCACTGACACGTTCCTCTCTGTGCTTCTGCCTTTCTGGAGCCCTCGAAGATGCTGGATGAGGACCTGTGTAGCATTCACACCACCCTGGCGGTAGAGCTGTAGCTGTAGAGCCCAAACATCAGCCTGACAACCAGCTTCCTCCAGGGCATTCCTTAGAGCCAGGCTTACCAAGAACTTGGGTAGAGGGGCCATGTGGCTGAAACCAGGCAGTGACTTTGGGTGCAGAAATTGGCAGGACAAGGGGTCTGAGGAGGGTGTCTGGGATTCCAAGGACAAGGGAAAGTGCATCAAGACATTTGTCTGCTTTCCATATGAAGTGGCATCCACAGGGTGCAGCAGGAGGTAGCAAAGTAGCAGCTCAACTGGTATCATGATGAGTCTGAGGCCACGCATGTCTGGAGCAGAGTACCCTAGAAAGGGGAGAAATCCGAAACATACAAACCATTTCCCTAAGGGCGATGGTGAGCCCAAGACTCAGTTAGGGGGACACCTCATACATCACCTGCTTCCAAGCTTTTGTACTTTCTTTTTAGAGACAGGGTCTTGCTCTGTTGCCCAGACTAGAGTGCAGTGATGGGATCACAAATCACTGCTGCCTTGAATTCCTGGGCTCGAGGGATCCTCCTGCCTCAGCCTCCCAAGCAGCTGGGACTACAGGTGCGTGACACCATGCCCAGCTAATTTTTAAATTTTTTGTAGAGACGTGGTTTTGCCATCTGGCCCAGCCTAGTTCTGAACTTTGGGCTCAAGTGATCCTTCCACCTCCGCCTCCCAAAGTGATAGGCTTCCAGATGTGAGCCACCGCGCCTGGCCCCAAGCTTCTGTTCTTTTTAGGTAAAGGCCTAGGAAATAGGAAATGCACCCCAGTTGCTCCCACTTGGTCTCCCCCATTTACAGGTCACCAGGGACTTCTGTTTTATTTCCACCCATATATAGGGACCCCAAATTACCACACAGTCCAGTCATTGAGAAGTGAGACTGCCTTGGTAGGTTTGATCGCTTCCTGATCCTGTTCTGCCTAGTTCTGTGTCCCATGAGGAAAGGAGATATTTGCTTTCCCCTATGATCAGTGAAGGATGTAATCTCTGCAAATATTTGCCCATTTATACTGGCTGCTCAAACCTTGTGCCCCTTGTCACACACTCAACCTCTATGCCTACAGTCCTGTTCTTTGGCATTTCCTGTATGTCCCTGCCACATTCCCACTCTAAGCTCATGATAGGAGCCAGGGAAATTCAGAATTAGGAAAGATGAGATGTTTGTGATACTCTCATTTCTCTTCATTTTAAAAATTAAATTAGCGGCTGAGCATGGTGGCTCACGCCTGTAATCCCAGCACTTTGGGAGGCCAAGGCGGGCGGATCACAAGGTCAGGAGTTCGAGACCAGCCTGGCCAATATGGTGAAACCCTGTCTCTACTAAAAAAAAAAAAATATATATATATATATATATATATATACACCCAGGCGTGGTGGTGGGCGTCTGTAGTCCCAGCTACTCAGGAGGCTGAGGCAGGAGAATTGCTTGAACCCGGGAGGTGGAGGTTGCAGTAAGCCAAGATCGCACTACTGCACTCCAGCCTGGGTGACAGAGTGAGACTCCGTCTTAAAAAAAAAAAAGGAGGGGAGCTGACACCTACTAAGTGGAGAGGGGCAAGGCTAACACTGGTCACATATGTGTTTAAGGGAAGAGGTGAAATAAAGAGCATTCATCTGTCCTAAGTGGTCTCCAACATTTCTAACTACTTACTGTGTGCCATCCTTGAATACAGTCCTGGGAAAGGAGACTCATTACTTATGTGATATTGAATAGCTGAAATGAGCCGGGATCAATTCCTGGATCATTTTCCTCACAAAGCACTTCAGAATAGCTGTGGAACATTTGATAGATTATATTGTCACTGTCCATGGACAATTTAAATGATCTTGAGAGCTTCTTCAACTTTTTGCCTAATTCTTCAATATGCTCCCAAGACTCATACCTGCAGTTCTTGGTGATGTGGACACCCAAAACTTTGAACTGTGACACCAAGCATCATGGGAGATGGTTTCTCAGCAAACTCAATCACCATCTGAGCTACCTGGTAGGCCAGCTACCCCAGTGGGTATATTTGCCACCATCCATACATTTCCCAGGATGGGCAGCTGGGTGCTGGGTTTATTCACACTTCCCTAAGGGACTACTAGATTCGTCACAATGATGTTGGTATTGCCTTCCTCCCCATTGAACTTTTTGACTCTCACGGATGAGGGTTTCAGTGGTATCCTTTCCTCGCATCTGAAACTGCAGAACATGGGCCTCAGTTGGGCAGCCCACCTCCTCCAAGGGCACCCTCAGAGCTAAGTTGGACAGGTACTCAGGCAGAGGGGCTAGGGAGGGGGCTGTGTGTAAGAGATCTTGGCAGATCCTGGGATCTGGGAGAGGAATCTGGCTCTCCATGTTCTCCAAATAATGGAGAGCATGTTTGATGGATGCCCAGTCTCTGTTAAAGATGGCTGGAGGGTCAGAGTCTCATTCTGAGCATTTCTTGGAAAGGCAGACACCAGGGACAGCAGGACACAGCAAAGCAGCAGCACAGCTTGGACCATGGGGGGACAGCAGAGCAGCCCTGCTGGAAGGAAGCAGTGCTCAGGTTGGGAAGTGGAGAAAGGCTCAGGACAAAGAGACACCAAGACTGGCCAGAGCTAGAAAGTGTCTTAGCTCTTGGAAACTTCGGTTGCCCTGAGCACACCTCATCTTCACTCTTAAAGGATGTGGGTGATCCTCCTATTTTGAGGAGAAACAAGTCAGAGGAAAAAAACAGTCCAAACATCTCATTTGCTTTGGTATCTTCATGACCTGAATTACTATTATTGTTGTTGTTGCTGTTTTTAATCTGCCCTTTCCCAGAATCACAAGGAAACCAGAAAGTTGATGGCTTCCAAAACAGTGAAGGACAAAACATTTGCAAATATTTATGCATCTCTTCCCAGCCCAGACTTTGTCCTTCTCACCTTTGACCCATACTGACAAACTGACCTTTCCCCTTTTAGGCCCTGCAGTCCTGTCCCATATCTTTTTTTTTTTTTCTTTTTCTTTTTCTTTTCCTTTTTTTTTCTGGAGACACAGTCTCACTCTGTTGCCCAGGGTAGAGTGCAGTGGCACGATCACAGCTCACTGCAACCTCCACATCCCGGGTTCAAGCGATTCTTGTGTCTCAGTCTCCCTAGTAGTTGGGATTACAGGCACGCACCACCATGCCTGGCAAATTTTTGTTTTGTTTTGTTTTCTGGAGACAGTCTCACTCTGTTGCTCAGGCTGGAATGCAATGGCGTGATCTTGGCTCACTGCAACCTCCACTTCCCAGGTTCAAGAGATTCTCTTGCCTCAGCCTCCCGAGTAGCTGGGACTACAGGTGTGCGCCACCACGCCTAGCTAATGTTTTTGTATTTTTAGTAGAGATGGAGTTTCACCATGTCAGTCAGGCTGGTCTCAAACTCCTGACCTCGAATGATCTGCCTGCCTCGGCCTCCCAAAGTGTTGGGATTACAGGCGTGAGCCACGGCACCCAGTGACATATCTTTTCTATCCTAAGGTTTTACCCTAAACCTATATTTGAGCTGAGGAAAAGGTCCTCCGTATCTTCTTGAGGGGAGAAAGGGTAAGGCAGAATAGCTGGTGATCTCTGGGACCCCTAAACCATTTTTCTTTTCTTTTTTTTTCTGAGACGGAGTTTCGCTCTTGTTGACCAGGCTGGAGTGCAATGGCGCGATCTCAGCTCACTGCAACCTCCGCCTCCCAGGTTCAAGTGATTCTCCTGCCTCAGCCTCCCAAGTAGCTGGGATTACAGGCGTGTGCCACCATTCCCGGCTAATTTTGTATTTTTGGTAGAGACGGGGTTTCTTCATGTTGGCCAGGCTGATCTTGAACCCCTGACCTAAGGTGATCTGCCCACCTTGGCCTCCCAAAGTGCTGGGATTACAGGCTTGAGCCAGCCACAGCGCCTGGTCACCATTTTTCTTATTAAAAGAATATATTGGTTGGGAAGCCAAGGCAGGCAGATGGCTTGAGCCCAGAAGTTTGAGACCAGCCTAGGCAACATGGCGAAAGCCCCGTCTCTACAAAAATTATAAAAATTAGCCAGGAGTGGTGGCATGCACCTGTAGTCCCAGCTACTGGGGAGGCTGAGGTGGGAGGATCACCTGAACCTGGGGAGGTCAAGGCTGCAGTGAGCCATGATTACACCACTGCACCATCCAGACTGGGTGACAGAGCGAGACTTTGTCTGAAAAAGAGAATATACTGGATGGGAGTCCAGGGAAACTGGACAGATTGACAAATAAGACAAAATCAGAGCAACTTTTTTTTTCTTTTTTAGAGTCCAGTCCAGGTATTGCTCTATCTCCCTGGCTGGAGTACAGTGGCCTGATCATGGCTCACCACAGCGTTTAACTCCTGGGTTCAAAAGATCCTCCTGCCTCAGCTTCTCAAGTAGCTGTGACTACTGGTGTGCACCACCATGCCTAGCTAAAATTTTTTTTTTTTTTTTTTGTAGAGATGAGGTTTCACTATGTTTCCCAGACTGGTCTTGAACTCTTGGTCTCAAGCAGTCCTCCCACCTCAGCCTCCCAAAGTGCTGTGATTAGAGGCATGAACCACTGCACCTGGTTTATTTTTCACTTTTCTAATTCCAATGCAAAACACAAATAAAACATGTCCATCAGCTGAGCAGTAACTTTCCAAATCTAACCAAAACTCCAGGAATTAGGCTTTATCTTGGGTTTAGGGGTAACATTAGTCCAAAAATTAGGGAAATAAGACATCTGATGCCTCCTAAAAATGGTACCAGTTCCTACATATCATTATGGCCTAAAGTTTCCTCTGATGTCACTCACCTCAGGCACATGGCCAAAGGGACTAGGCCAATGGCAGGGTCCAGGGTCCCTCCCTCTATTTTTTTCGGTTCTTTCAGTTCCCAGGAGTGGCCCCTGACAACTAAGAGCAAAGACAGAAGCAGAGGAGTAAGTCTCCAGGGACACAGTGCCAACTTAGAAACAGCAAGAACTAAGTGGAAAGGAGTCCAACACTGTCTGAAATTACTAGACCCCAAACCCCTGGGGAATCCCTAAGACAATATATATACATATACCTACATGGATAAAATATACGTACACACACATACACGTATACCAGGCTGGAGTGCAGTTGGTACAATCACAGCTCACTGCAGCCTTGAACTC
Organism: Homo sapiens; assembly: GCF_000001405.40. Classification (NCBI taxonomy): domain Eukaryota; kingdom Metazoa; phylum Chordata; class Mammalia; order Primates; family Hominidae; genus Homo; species Homo sapiens. Next base: position 56,366,999 of record NC_000012.12, read on the forward strand.
CCAAGCTCCAGCAATCCTCCCACCTCGGACTCCTATATATCTGGGACTTCAGGCACGTACCACCACACCTGGCTAATTTTTAAAATTTTCTTGTAGAGAAGGGAACTCACTATGTTGGCCAGGCTGGTCTCGAGCTCCTGGGCTCAAGGGATCCTCCTGTCTAGGCCTCCCAGAGTGCTGAGCCACTGCACCCAGCCTCCTAGGACTCTATAGTTTCTGTGTAGCAACACTAGAAGGAGTGAAAGATTTAATCCTTGTCTCCTAAGATCTATCACAAAGCAGAAATATCCATTCTTACCAGTTTTTCCTCATTGTACTGGAAGTTCTAACCAGTGTAATGTGGAAAGAATAAAAAATAAATGGCATAAAACTAGAAAGGAAGATGTAGAACGATATTTATTTAAATACAACATAGCTCTGGCTGGCTCAGTCGGTAGAACATGAGACTCTTAAAAACAACATGGGGGCTGGGCGCAGTGACTCACGCGTGTAATCCTAGCATTTTGGGAGGCTGAGACGGGCAGATCACGAGGTCAGGAGTTCAAGACTAGCCATGGCCAGCATGGTGAAATCCCGTCTGTACTAAAAGTACAAAAAATTAGCCAGGCATGGTGGTGCGCACCTGTAATCCCAGCTACTCGGGAGGCTGAGGCAGGAGAATCACTTGAACCCGGGAGGCAGAGATTGCAGTGAGCCGAGATCTCGCCACTGCACTCCAGCCTGGCAACAGAGTGAGAGTCTATCTAAAAAAAAAAAAAAAAAAAAAAACCAGCAACAACAAAAAAACAAAAAAAAGACATGGGGCGGGGCTTGAGACCAGGAGTTCGAGACCAGCCTGGCCAACATGGTGAAACCCCATCTTTACAAAAAATAAAAAACACAGCCAGGGGTGGTGGTGTGCATCTGTAGCCCCAGCTACTCGGGAGGCCGAGGCAGGAGAATTGCTTGAACCCAAGAGGGGGAGGTTACAGTGAGCTATGATTCTGCCACTGCACTCTAACCTTGGTGACAGAGTGAGACCATGTCTCAAAAAGTAATAATAATAAAATTTAAAAAAGTAATACAAAATAAAAACAACATGGACTAGGCATGGTGGCTCACACACTTTGGGAGGCCAAAGTCCAGGAGTTCAAGACCAGCCTGGGCAGCATAGGGGAGACCCTGTTTCTGCAAAAAAAAAAAAAAAAAAAAAAAAAATTAGCCAGCTCAGCTGTCCAGCTGTGGTGGCACACGCCTGTAGTCTCAGTTTCTCAGGAGGATCACTTGTGCCCAGGAGGTTGAGGCTTCAGTAAGCTGTGATCGTACCACTGAACTCCAGTCTGGGTGACAGAGGGAGACCCTGTCTCAAATAAATAAATAAATAAATAGATAGATAGATAGATAAATAAAATAATAATTAAAAAATAAAAAATTAAAAGAAACAATGTGATTGTTTATGCATAAATCCTAAAGAATACAATTTTAAAAGGACCAATAAGTTAATTTAGCAAGGTGACAAGATAAAATATTAATATATAAATGAATTCTATTTCTGTAGTCTAAAAACATACATTGAATGTTAACTTAGGGCCGGGTGCGGTGGCTCACACCTGTAATCCTAGCACTTTGGGAGGCCAAGGTGGGTGGATCACGAGGTCAGGAGATCAAGACCATCCTGGCTAACACAGTGAAACCCTGTCTCTACTAAAAATACAAAAAATTGGCCAGGCGCGGTGGCTCACACCTGTAATCCCAGCACTTTGAGATGCTGAGTCGGGTGGATCACAAGGTCAAGAGTTCAAGACCACCCTGGCCAACATGGTGAAACCCCATCTCTACTAAAAATACAAAAATTAGCTGGGCGTGGTGGTGTGTGCCTGTAATCCCAGCTACTCAGGAGGCTAAGGCAGGAGAATCGCTTGAACCTGGGCTGCAGAGGTTGCAATGAGCCGAGATCGCGCCACTGCACTCCAGCCTGAGTGATAGAGTGAGACTCCATCTCAAAGAAAAGAAAGAAAAAAATTTAGCTGAGTGTGGTGGTGGGCGCCTGTAATCCCAGCTACTCGGGAGGCTGAGGCAGGAGAATCGCTTGAACCCGGGAGGCGGAGGTTGCAGTAAGCCAAGATCGCGCCACTGCACTTCAGCCTAGGCAACAGAGCAAGACTCTGTCTCAAAAAAAAAAAAAAGAAAATTAACTTAGAAAATTCCAGCTGGTTACCATGGCTCAAGCTTGTAACACCTGGACTTTGGGAGGCTGAGGTGGGACGATTGCTTGAGGGTAGCAATTTGAGACCAGCTTTGGCAACATAGTGAGACCCTGTTTCTACAGAAAAATAAAATGAAAAAAAAAATTCCAATTACAATAGTGTTTAAAATAAACAAGTAAAATTCCTAAAAGAAGAAACAAGACAAGGATGCTCACTCTTGCTACTTCTATTCAACATTGTACTGGAGGTTCCAGCCAGAGTAATTAAGCAAGACAATGAAATAAAATGTACCCGATTAGAAAGGATGAAGTAAAACAACCTATATTAGTGGGTAGCATGATGTTGCATATTAAAAAAACTCAAACTTACACACACATAGACACACACACACAAAATAAGTACTAATAAATGGGTTCAGCTAAGTTGCAGGATACACTATCAATACACGAAAATCGATGATATCTCTATATATGTGCAATGAATAATTTGAAAATGAAGTTAAGAAAATTGCATTTATAATAGCAGCTATAAGTGTAAAACTTGTACATTGAAAACTACATGGGTGGGGGGAGGGGGAGGGATAGCATTAGGAGATATAGCTAATGTTAAATGATGAGTTAATGGGTGCAGCACACCAAGATGACATATGTATACATATGTAAAAAACCTGCACGTTGTGCACATGTACCCTAAAACTTAAAGTATTAAAAAAAAAAAGTCAAAGAAAAAAAAGAGCTCTCATCATTTAGAGATTCATACTGAAATACTTATGGATGAAAATATATTATTTGCTTGAAAATGGTGGAGGTGAGAAAATGTGGAGTATATGACTATGAATTGATAATTCTTGGAATTAGGTGATGAGAAATAGGTGTTTAATAGACTATTTTCTCTACTTTTTTATATATTTGAAATTTTCCATAATAAAAAGGTTTTTTTTTAAAAGAAAAGAAAACTACAAAACATTACTAAAAGAGATTAAAGGAGACTAAAGAAGATTAAAGAATGAGTTAAACCCAAAACTATTATAAGGAAGGAAATAATAGAGATTAGAGAAGAGATAAATAAAACAGAGAATACCTTTAGGCACAAATACTTGTGAAAAAATTAAAAATAGGCCCGGCAAGGTGGCTCATGCCTGTAATCCCAGCACTTTGGGAGGCTAAGGTGGGTGGATCACGAGGTCAGGAGATCGAGACCATTCTGTTAACACTGTGAAACCTCATCTCTACTAAAAATACAAAAAATTAGCTGGGCTTGGTGGCACACGCCTATAGTCCCAGCTACTCGGGAGGCTGAGGCAGGAAATTGCTTGAACCCAGGAGGTGGAGGTTGCAGTGAGCCGAGATCGTACCACTGCACTCACTCCAGCCTGGGCGACAGAGCAAGACTCCGTCTCAAAAAAAAAAAAAAAAAAAAAAAAAATTGTCTGGGCGCAGTGGCTCACACCTATAATCCCAGCACTTTGGGAGGCCAAGGCAGGTGGATCATCTGAGGTCAGGAGTTCAAGACCAACCTGGCCAACATGGTGAAATCCCGTCTCTACTAAAAATATAAAAATTAGCTGTGGTGGTGCATACCTGTAATCCCAGCTACTTGGGAGGCTAAGGCAAGAGAATTGCTTGAACCTGGGAGGTGGAGGTTGCGGTGAGCCAAGATCATGCCACTGCACTCCAGCCTGGGCAACAGAGCTAGACTCTGTCTCTAAATAAATAAATAAATAAAACAAAAAAACAAAAATTAGCCAGGCATGGTGGCAGATGCCTGTAACCCCCGTTACTTGAGAGGCTGAGGCAGGAGAATCACTGGAACAGGGGAGGCAGAGGCTTCACACCACTGCACTCCAGCCTGAGTGACAGAGGGAGACTCTGTCTCAAAATAATAATAAATAAATAAATAAATAATAATACAGATAAGAGAAAAACAATTGAGAAAATCAGTGCAACCAAAAGTTGGTTCTTCAAATAGATGAACAAAATTGACAAACCTTTAGCTACACTAACAACAAAAAAAGATAAAAAGACTCAAATTATTAAAGTTAAAATGAAAGTGGGAACATTACATTTTACAAAAATTAAAAGAATTATAAGAGTAATTAAACAATTACATGCCAACAAATTGGATAATCTAGATGAAATGAACAAATTCCTAGAAACATATATCTTACCAAGACTAAATCATGAAGTAATAGAAAATTTGAATTAAAGATATTGCATCAATAATCAAAAATCTCCCCAAAATGAAAAGCCCTGGACCAGATGGCTTCACTGGTGAATTCTGCCAAACATTTGAAGGAGAATTAATGCTAATGCTTCTCAAACTTTGCCAAAAGATCAAAGAGAAGGAACATTTCCTAACTCATTCCAGGGGTGAGCATTACCCTGATACCAAAGGCAGACATACACTAGGAAAAAAGAAAACATACACCAATATCTCCTATGAATACTGATGCAAAAATCCTCAACAAAATGCCAGCAAGCCAAATTTAGCAATGTATTAAAAGGATTATACACTGTGGGATTTATTCCTGGAATATAAAGGTGGCACAGTGTACGAAAAACAATCAATATAATTCACCACATTAACAGAATGAAGGAGAAAAATCATACAATCATCTTAATTGATGCAGAAAAAGCATTTGACAAAATTCAACACCCTTTCATGATGAAAACATTTAACAAACCAGGAATAAAAGGAAACTACCTCAATATAATAAAAGGCATGTATGAGAAAGTCATAACAAACATTATATCATACTCAATGGTGAAAGATTAAAGGCTATTCTGCTAATATCAGGAACAAGAAAAGGATGCCCACTTTTGCTAGTTCCATTCAACATAGCCCTAAAAGTTCTAGCCAGAGCAATTAGGCAAGAAAAGGAAATTAAAGGCATCCAGGTTGAAAAGGAAGAAGTGCAATTATCTCTTGTTCTTATGAATTTTTTTTTTTTTTTTTTTGGTGACGGAGTCTTGCTCTGTCGCCAGGCTGGAGTGCAGTGGCTCCTTCTGGGCTCACTGCAACCTCCGCCTCCCGGGTTCAAGCGATTCTTCTGCCTCAGCGTCCTGAGTAGCTGGGACTACAGGCACACACCACCACGCCCGGCTACTTCTTATGATTTTATATGTAGAAAACCCTAAAGATTTCACACAAAAAACTATTAGAACTGATAAATGAATTCAGCAAATTAGTGGATTACAAGTCAAGAAACAAGAACCACTTGCATCTCTACATATTAACAATGAGCCATTTGAAAATAAAATTTTGAAAACAATCCCATTTACAATAGGATAAAAATAAAATACTTAGGAATTAATTTATCCAAGGAGTTAAAAGGTTTATACAATGAAAACTATAAAACATTGCTGAAAGAAATTAAAGGAGATATAAATACATGAAAATGCATTCCATGTCCATGGATTAGAAGACTTACTATTGTTAAGAGGCCAACAGTACCCAAAGTGATCCACAGATTCAACGCAATCCCTATCAAAATCTCAATCATGTTTTTTTGCAGAAATTGAAAAGCCCATCCTAAAATTCATATAAAATCTCAAGGGACCCCAAATAGACAAAACAATATTGAAAACGAACAACTTCCTGATATCACAACTTACTGCAAAGCTACTATAAATCAAAACAGTGTGATATTGGCATAGCAGCAGACATATAGACCAATGGAATAGAATAGAGAGCCCAGAAATAAACTCTTGCATATATGGTCAAATGATTTTTGACAAGAGTGCCAAGACTATTTGATGAGGGAAAAGACAACCTTTCTAACAAATGTTGCCATAGGAAACTGGTATCTACCTGCAAAAAGATGAAGTTGAACCATGATTTAACACTATACAAATATTAACTCAAAATAGATCTAAAATCTAAATATAAGAGCTAAAACTATGAAGCTCTTAGAAGAAAACATAGAGGCCGGGCACGGTGGCTCATGCCTGTAATCCCAGCACTTTGGGAGGCCGAGGCGGGCAGATCATGAGGTCAGGAGATCGAGACCATCCTGGCTAACACAGTGAAACCCTGTATCTACTAAAAATACAAAAACAAAATTAGCCGGGTTTGGTGGTGGGTGCCTGTAATCCCAGCTACTCAGGAGGCTGAGGCAGGAGAATGGCATGAACCCGGGAGGCAGAGCTTGCAGTGAGCCAAGATTGCGCCACTGCACTCCAGCCTGGGCGACAGAGCAAGACTCCATATCAAAAAACAAACAAACAAACAAACTAAAAAACACAGGGCAAAATCTTCATGACATTGAATCTGGCAATGATTACTTGGATATAACACCAAAGACACAGGCAGCAAAAGAAAAAAATGGGCAAATTGGACCTCATGAAAATTTTAAAATTTTGTACACCAAAAGACAATATCAACAGAGTAAAAAGGCAATCCACAGAATGGGAGGAAATATTTGCAATTATATACCTAGTAAAGATTTATATCCAGAATAAATAGAGAACTCCTAAAACTCAACAAAAACAAAAATGGCCTGACTCAAAATGGGCAAAGGGCATGAACAGGCATTTCTCTAAGGAAGCTATACAGATGGCCAATAAGGACATGAAAAGATGTGCAACATCTCTAATCATTAGGGAAATGCAAATTAAAACTACAATGAGATACTATCTCACACCCACTAGGATAGCTATTATTTTTAAAAAGAGAAAACGACAAGTGTTGTCAAAGATGTGGAGAAAATGGAACCCTTGTGCTTTGTTGTTGGGAATGCAAAATGGTACAGGCCCTGTGGAAAACAGTATGGCAGGTCCTTAAATTTGTTTTGTTTTTTTTTTTGAGACAGAGTTTCACTTTTGTCACCCAGGCTGGAGTGCAATGTCGTGATCTTGGCTCACTGCAACCTCTGCCTCCTGGGTACAAGGATTCTCCTGCCTCAGCCTCCCAAGTAGCTGGGATTACAAGCATGCACCACCATGCCTGGCTAATTTTTTGTATTTTTAGTAGAGATGGGGTTTCACCATGTGGGTTAGCCTGGTCTCGAACTCCTGGCCTCAAGTGATCTGCCCGCCACCTCAGCCTCCCAATGTGCTGGGATTACAGGCAAAAGCCAGCGTGCCCGGCCCTTAAAAATTTTTAAATAGAATTGCCATACAATCTAGCAATTCCACTTCTGGATATATATCCCAGAGAATTGAAAGCAGGATTTCAAAAAGATATTTTCACATCTGTGTTCATAGCAGTACTATTCCCAATAGTCAAGAAATGGAAGCAACCCAAATGTCTCTCAATGAACGAATGGATTTTAAAAATCCACTTGGTGGTGGATGGCCACAGCGGTTCATGCCTGTAATCCCAGCATTTTGGTAGGTTGAGGCAGGTGGATCACTTGAGGTCGGGAGTTCAAGTCCAGCCTGGCCAACATGGTGAAACCCGTCTATACAAAAATAATATAAAAATTAGCCAGGCATGGTGGCAAGTGCCTGTAATCCCAGCTACTAGGGAGGCTGAAGCAGGAGAATCACTTGAACCCAGGAGGCAGAAGTTGCAGTGAGCCGAGATTGCACCTCTGCACTCCAGCCTGGGCGACAGAGTGAGACTCTGTTTCAAAAAAAAAAAAAAAAAAAAAAAAAAAGTGCATACATGCAATGGAGAATTATTCAGCTTTAAAAAGGAAGGAACAGGATGGGCAACTTAGTCAGGTCCGGTCTCTAAAAAAAATAAATAAACAAAATTAATGGGGTGTGGAGATTCATGCCTGTGGTCCTAGCTACTCAGGAGGCTGAAGTGGGAGAATTGCTTGAGGCCCAGAGGTCGATGTCCATCCTGGGTGTCAGAGTGAGGCCCCATCTCTTAAAAAAAAAAAAAGGAAGGAAGGAAATTCTGACACAAGCTACAACATGGATGAACTTTGAGGCTATTATGATAAGTGAAATCAGCCAATTACAAAAAGACAAATCCTGTATAATTCCACTTATGTGAGGTATTTACAGTACTCAAATTCATAGAAACAAAGTGGAAGGGTGGTTGCCACAGGCTTCAGGGAGGGGAAGATAGGCAGCTGTTGTTTAACCAATATGCAGTTTCCATTTTGCAAGAGAAAAAGTTCTGAATGTGGGTTGTACAACAATGTAAATATACTTACCACTACTGAACTGTACACTTAGAAATGGTTGTGGGCTGGGCACAGTGGCTCATGCCTGTAATCCCAGCACTGTGGGAGGTCGAGGTGGGCAGATCACCTGAGATCATGAGTTTGAGACCAGCTTGGCCAACATGGTGAAACCCCGCCTCTACTAAAAATACAAAAGTTAGCCAGGTGTGATGGCAGGCACCTGTAATCTCAGCTACTGCGGAGGCTGAGGCAGGGAGAATTGCTTGAGCCCGAGAGGTGGAGGTTGCAGTGAGCTGAGATTGTACCACTGCACTCCAGCCTGGGTGACAGCAAGACTCTGTCAAAAAAAAAAAAAAAGAAAGAAAGAAAAAAAGAAATGGTTATGATGATAAATTTTGTTATGTGTTTTTTTTTTCTTTTCTTTTGAGACAGGGTCTTTGTCACCCAGGCTGGAGTGCAGTGGGGTGATCATGGTTCACTGCAGTCTCGACATCCTAGACTCAGGTGATCCTCCCACCCTAGCCTCCCGAATAGCTGGGACTACAGGCATGCATCACCACCTGCTAATTTTTTGTATTTTCTGTAGAGACGGGTTTTTGCCATGTTGCCTAGGTTGCTCAAGCAATCTGCCCGTCTTGGCCTCCCAAGGTGCTGGGGTATTACAGACGTGAGCCACCGTGCTTGGCTTGCTATGTGTTTTTTACCGTACAAAAACTAAACTAAAAAAAAAAAAAAAGGAAGTGAGAAAATGATTTTTTTCTAGGAGATTTTTTAAGATGAAGAAAATAAGTTTTCCAGTTGAGTGAACTCACAGGGTAACAGAAAATAGATGAATAAAGACCCATGCTTAGTGTCTTAGTCGGCTAGGGCTGCCATAACGCAAAACTACAGCCTGGATGTCTTATGGAATATAAATTTACTTCTGACAGTTCTGAAGTCTGGAAGTACAGGATTAAGGTGTCAGCAGTTTCAGTTGCTCCTGAGGCCTCTCTAATCGGCTTGCAGATTGCCATTTTCTCACTGTGTCCTCACATGGCACATGGCCATTCCTCTATCCCCATACACTCTGGGTGTCTCTTCCTTTTTCCTTTTTTTTTTTTTTTTTGTGAGACAAGGTCTGATTCTGTTGCTCAGGCTGGAGTCTTGCTCTGTCGCCAGGCTGGAGTGCAGTGGCTCCTTCTGGCTCACTGCAACCTCCGCCTCCCGGGTTCAAGCAATTCTTCTGCCTCAGCGTCCTGAGTAGCTGGGACTACAGGCTCACTGCAACCTCCACCTCCCAGGCTCAAGCCATTCTCCCACCTCAGCCTCCCCTGTAGCTGGGACTACTGGTGCGCACCACCATGCCCAGCTAATTTTTGTATTTTTGGTATAGACGGGGTTTCACCATGTTGGTCAGGCTGGTCTCGTACTTCTGACCTCATGATCTGCCCGCATCAGCCTCCCAAAGTGCTGGGATTACAGGTGTGAGCCACCACGCCCGGCCTGTTTGCTTCTTTTTGATAGGGATACTAGATTAGCTGTGAATCCCAGCCTTCACTGCAGGTTTAACACAGAGAGCCTGTGGATCCCCCTGACAGCCTCAGTATGATCATCAGGAGGTCACAGCCAAGATCTATGGCTCCATATCTGCCTCATTCCTTGGGTTTGACAGAGTAGTTCTGAGCAGCAGAGTACAAAGCTGTGCCTGAGTTTGTAGCAGATTCCCACTCCTGGTGACAGCTAGACTGCATTACAGACATGCTGCTTCTGCTCATGCCCACAGTCTACAGTAGAAAAGGTACACTTGCTCTGAATTAGGCTGAACCCTGCCTAGCAGCTACAGAACAGACATCAAGATATCCCCTGGGAAGCATCTACCTGGGCTGCTGTCCTTATGGCACCTTGTATCTGGTTGAATAAACACCGCATGTTTTCACATCCTCCAGCCTAGAGATGAAGCTCTGGGGTCTGGGAGTTAGCCTGGTGGTCAGCGTGCTCCAGGGCAATCCTCAGTGCAAGGTCTATCTGGATCCTTGGTAGAAGGACCAAGTGGGTGAGGCCAGGAAAGGTCTTTGGGAGCAGGGTCTGGCATAGTTAAGACCCTACAGAGCGCATCTGAATCCCTAGAGATTAGAAAAATGGCACCAAGGGTGTTTATCTAGGTTTCACAGGATGCAGCAGGAGGCAGTAAAGGAGCAGTCATCCTGGGTCTTAGGTGATGCCTTGCTGAGTCAGACTATGCTGGAATGAATGACAATACTCAAACTGTTTCTCCTGGTCTGAAAGGAGCCCAGGGCTCAGAAGACATCTCATGCAATAACCTTCAGCTTCTGTTCCTTTTAAGTTGGCCCCAAGAAAAGAGAATGGGACTCAATTATTCTTCTTGGTCTCCCCATTCCAGATCACCAGACTTCCTCTGCTTCACTTCCTAATTATGAGGCCCAAATTACTACACAATCCCGTCAGTGAGAAGTGGGACTGCTCTGATAGGTGTAGACACTCTGCCCAGTTCCCTGTCCCATGAGGAGGGGAGGTGATTGTTTTCCCCGATACTCAGTTAAGGGACATAATCTCTACAAATATTTGTCCTTTTGTTAAAATCTTCAGCCTCAAAAGACATTGGCATTTCCGTGTCCCTGTCACATTTCACCTCCAGTTCACAAAAGAGGCCACAGAGACCCAGAGTCAAGAGAAATAAGAAAACTGTGATTCTGATATAAAAGCAGCTTTTTATTTCTCTTTTCAGTTTGCAAATTAACATAAGCAAGCTACAGCATTCGGGTGGGGAGTTAGAAAGTACAAAGAAGATGAATGGGGAAAGATAATACCCTTCATATCTAGTACATAATAAATCCACAGTATTTGACAACTGAAAGAAAGATAAATTGGGGAGAAGAAATAGGAGCTAGGAACTACTAAGAGAGGGGCAAAACTGATTCTAGTCACATGTCTTTTAGCTCTGGAATCAAGTGAACATACATCTGTCCTAAGCTGTTCCCATCATTCTTTTTTCCTCTTCTTTCTCCTCCTCTGTTCAACATTTCTAACTACCTGCTATGCTATGCTGAGTCTCTGTACACAGGTCTATCAGAGACATTTGAGAAAGTAAATGTAGTGGTAGGCTAAATCAGCCTGAACATATTTCTAAATAAGCCTGAAAATATTTCTTTATCAAGTCCAGTAAAATGAGTTTCAGAATTTTCGTGGCACGAATGAAAAAGTACATCTGGGCCGGGCGCAGTGGCTCACGCCTGTAATCCCAGCACTTTGGGAGGCCGAGGCGGGTGGATCATGAGGTCAGGAGATCGAGACCATCCTGGCTAACACGGTGAAACCCTGTCTCTACTAAAAATACAAAAAATTAGCCGGGCGTGGTGGCGGGCGCCTGTAGTCCCAGCTACTCAGGAGGCTGAGGCAGGAGAATGGCGTGCACCTGGGAGGCGGGGCTTGCAGTGAACGGAGATTGTGCCACTGCACTCCAGCCTGGGCGACAGAGCGAGACTCCGTCTCAAAAAAAAAAAAAAAAGAAAGAAAAAGTACATCTGATCTTCTATATATAGGCATTGCAAAGTTCTTTTTTTTTTTTTATTCTTTAGAGTTTGTTTATTGAAAATTTGAAGCAGAAAATGAAAAATAAATATTTTTAGGCCGGGCATGGTGGCTCACGCCTGTAATCCCAGCACTTTGGGAGGCCAAGGCAGGCAGATCACCTGAGGTCAGGAGTTTGAGACCAGCCTGGCAACATGGTGAAACCCCATCTCTACTAAAAATACAAAAATTAGCTGGGCATGGTGGCGGGTGCCTGTAATCCTAGCTACTTGGGAGGCTGAGGCAGGAGAATTGCTTGAACCTGGAAGCCAGAGGTTGCAGTGAGCTGAGATCATGCCACTGCACTCCAGCCTGGGTAACAAAGCGAGACTCCCTCTTAAAAAAAAAAAAAAAAGTTTTTACACAGTTTCATTAAGTTCCATACTTTAAGGACTAAAATATAATAAAAACTATTTCTGCTATATCTATATACCAACAAATCATACTTTCCTTCCAATTATTTTTATTTATTTTTTCTGAGACAGAGTCTCGCTCTGTCGCCCAGGCTGGAGTGCAGTGGTGCGATCTCGGCTCACCACAAGCTCTGCCTCCCGGGTTCATGCCATTCTCCTGCCTCAGCCTCCCAAGTAGCTGGGACTACAGGTGCCTGCCACCACGCCCGGCTAATTTTTTTGTATTTTTAGTAGAGACGGGGTTTCACCGTGTTAGCTAGGATGGTCTCGATCTCCTGACCTCATTATCCGCCTGTCTCAGCCTCCCAAAGTGCTGGGATTACAGGCATGAGCCACCGTGCCTGGCCTCCAATTATTTTTTAAAAGGTGTAGCAATTTCCATTTATTTATTTATGTATTCATATAATTTTTGAGATTGGGTCTTGCTCTGTTGCCCAGGCTGGAGTGCAGTGGCGTGATCTCAGCTCACTACAGCCTCTGCCTCCCGTGTTCAAGCAATTCTCCCACCTCAGCTTCCTGAGTAGCTGGGATTACAGGGGCATGCCACCAAGCCCAGCTAATTTTTGCATTTTTAGTAGAGATGGGGTTTCACCATATTGGCCCCAGGCTGGTCTCAAACTCCTGACCTCAGGTGATCCACCTGCCTCAGCCTCTCAAAGTGTTGGAATGACAGGCATGAGCCACTGTGCCCGGTCGCAATTTCCTTGTAGTTACAAAGAACTATAAAACTCTTATTTAACTCTAGAAAGAATGAAATTCTTTCATCATACAAATTAATATACACAGTATAGTTGCAAATCTACACTCAATTGTGTTAATATTAACATATATACAATGCTACTACCTTCATCAACTTTTTCAGTTGGGCATCACAAAGATGAGTCTTCTGATGTTCTATAAACAATATGTTTATACGAAAGTCAGAAGTTTAGCTAAAATTCAGCCTACACAGTAATAAATGAATATGGAATGGAAATCAAATAAAGTTCTTAAATAGGATGAAAAAGTCCCAATGTCTCTTAAGCAGCAAGAGCACCTTCCCGCTTTAGTTTCAAGATGAGCACCATCCTCCATTTATCCTTGTATTTCCAGGGCCCAGTGTTTCCATGGAAGATCCTTATCCAGCCGCTTGTTTGGAGCCTGCTGCAGGGGGTACAAGGCTGTCCAGCTGTTGGCGATGTCCTGTATTAATCAACCATTCATAAAACTTGTTCTGGCTGGGCGCGGTGGCTCATGCCTGTAATCCCAGCACTTTGGGAGGCCAAGGTGGGTGGATCATGAGGTCAGGAGATCGAGACCATCCTGGCTAACATGGTGAAACCCTGTCTCTACTAAAAATACAGAAGAAAAAAAAAATTAGCCAGTGTGGTGGCGGGCGCCTGTAGTCCCAGCTACTCGGGAGGCTGAGGCAGGAGAATGGTGTGAACCCGGGAGGCGGAGCTTGCAGTGAGCTGAGATCACACCACTGCACTCCAGCCTGGGCGACAGAGCGAGACTCTGTCTCAAAAGAAAAAACAAAAACAAAAACTTGTTCTCTATCAGTACCTGGAACTGCTTCCTTTGATCCTATGTCAAATGAGCCTCCTTCACAGTTTTCTGCCAGATCTGTACCTTCTGTTCTCTTTGACCCAGTGCTTTCTGATATACAGATGGAAGACTCCCAGGAATCCCTGTTGTGCCCTCTTCCATTTCAAAGGGAGTAGTAAATATATAGAATTCAGAAGGTGGTAAAAGCCAGAAGACACCTGTGTCGCTGTTCTTTCCGCACACAACCATTAGATTATCCCAATAGTTAGGCACTGTAGCAAGGCCAGTCCTGGCCATATGGTTCTCTTTTGACCAGGATTAATGCTGGGTCCATTACCTAGCATTGGGTAATGGGTATGAAAAGGGGCAAAAGTTACTATCTTGTTCCCAGAGAGAATGAGTGGGCACGTAGGCGTCAGAATGTGAAAGACGCAACCTGTCGTAGAAGAGATGGACAAACGATGGCAAACAGCAATGACTTTAATGTTGTCACAACTGTGGAGGTAAATCATAGTTGCTACAGGGCCCAAGACAAAGGTGCTAGTCCTGCACTTCTCAATTGTCACAGATCATAAGGGAGAGAGTAGATATATAAAAGATTCGTTGCAATGATGAATCTTTACATGTGTCCCCACCAGAGTATCTGAGCTCTTAGCCAATGTCTGCTTGTAAACCTGGCTCATCACCATCATGTGGTGTATCCTAGGGGCCACATTAGAATTACAAGTAATCTGGGACAGGTGTGGTGGCTCATGCCTATAATCCCGGCACTTTGGGAGGCCGAGGCAAGTGGATTATTTGAGGTCAGGAGTTTAAAATCAGCCTGGCCAACATGGTGAAACCCTGTCTCTATTAAAAATAAAAAAATAAGCCTGGTGTGGTGGTGGGCACCTGTAATCCCAGCTACTTGGGAGGCTGAGGCAGGAGAATCGCTTGAGCCAAGGAAGCAGAGGCTGCAGTGAGCAGAGATCACGCCATTGCACTCCAGACTGGGTGAAAGAGTGAGACTCCATCTCAAAAAAAAAAAAAAAAAGAAAAAAAAGAAAAGGAAAAAAAAGAAGAAGAATTACAAGCAATCTTAGCTCTTTTGGTTGTCCCTTCAATTTGATGAGCCCAAGCCAATTTCTTTCCAGACTTGAGGCAAGTTGATGTACCAAATGGATTCCCAGTCAAACAGGACCTCAACCAGGGTTCCAGCTTGTAGAAAGTCTTAGAGATCTTTGAGAAGCCACTATCTGCATGCAGTGGTTACCACAGTGCAAGTTCATGAAGTGGATAGATCTTCCTGGCGCTTCTTATTCTACCTTCAATAAGGAAGCTTCTTGAGACACTAGACTACTATGGTTTGAACGAAATGATGCAGTGAGTTGTCCTGGATCTAAAAGCAGCTCGGGAGATCAGACAGATGATCATAGACAAAAGCTTGATATCTGTAATCATTCCAGTTCTTATTATGACAATTAGATTTTTCAGTCAGGTCAGGAGACTGAGATCTGTTTCTGGGACTAGGCCACTCTTCTCCAATCAAAGATGTCCTTAGTAGAGGCCTTGTTCAATTGTTGAATGTATAAGAAGAGCAGAAACTGCAGGGTGTCCACTGAAAGCTGATTTCTCTGCTTTTCAACTTCCTCCTCAGACATGCAGTTGGACAAAACCTCAGACCATTCCAGGCACTCCTCAGCTATCTTCACTGAAAGACTATCAGATATTTCAAAGTAAAGCCACATCAGGTCCTTGGCCAACTGCAGCTTCCCACAAGCGATGTGCCTCCATGTAGACCAGTAGAGGCGTGGGGAAGATCCTTCTGTGGCCCGGATTCGCACATAGTTGAATATCTTCCTGAGATAGTGAAGACTAAACTTGGATGGAGCGGGGGACCTGCAAGGCACCCACTATAAAGGGTTCTGCTTGCACCCAGAGGATAACTCTGGGCTCATCCAAGTTATCTCTAAGGACACCTGGGTGAAAACGCGTCTTTGCATACCTGCTAAGGCAGGTGCCCTCTGCCGCACTTCTCCGTGTGAGCACCACGGCGCCCCGCATCCCTTCACTGACTGGGCCTGACCCTCGCCCTGGCCTCGTGAAGTTCTTTTTTTTTTCTTTTAAATTATTAACTAGATATTATTTATTTATTTTCAAGACGGGGTCTCGCTCTGTTGCCAGGCTGGAGCGCAGTGGCATGATCTCGGTCACTGCAACCTCCGCCTCCCGGGTTCAAGTGATTCTCCTGCCTCAGCCTCCCGAGTAGCTGGGACTATAGGCACATGCCACCACACTGGCTAATTTTTGTATCTTTAGTAGAGACAGGGTTTCACTATGTTGGCCAGGCAGGTCTTGAACTCCTGATCTTGTGATCCACCCGCCTCAGCTTCCCAAAGTGCTGGTATGACAGGTGTGAGCCACTGCGCCTGGCCATTGTGAAGTTCTTAACTTCAGAGTTATTCATCAGCCGTTTGCCTACTTCTTCCAAATGCTCCCAAGACTCATCCGTGCACTTCTGGGTGACACTGACAGCAGAAGCTGTTACCAGCTTAGGGGAAGGGAGCTTCTTAGTAAATTCAAACATCAGCACTGCTGTCTCATACAGCACCTGCCCATATCTATAGGTATATGCCTCAGGAAGGGTAACGGGAGTGCTGGACCCGCATAAGCTCCCCTGGGGTTCTCCCCAGATCCCTCACGATGATATTAGTATTGCCAATCACTTCCTCCTCCTTGAGCTTTTGACTCTCATGGATGAGGGTTTCAGTAGTATCCTTTCCTCCCATCCTAATGAGCTGAAGCTACAGAACATGGGCCTCAGTTGGGCAGCCCACCTCCTCCAAGGCCACCCTCAGAGCTAATTTGGACAGGTACTCAGGCAGAGGGGCTAGGGATGGGGCTGTGTGTAAGAGATCCTCGCTGGTCCTGGGATCTGGGAGAGGAATCTGGCTCTCCCAGAAATGGGAGATGGATGCCCAGTCTCTGGAAAAGACAGCTGGAAGGTTAGGGCCCCACTTTGGGCATTTCTTGGAAAGGCAGCTACCAGGGGCAGCAAGACACAGCAGAGGAGCAGCACAGCCTGGACCATGGGGGGACAGCAGAGCAGCCCTGCTGGAAGGAAGCAGTGCTCAGGTTGGGAAGTGGAGAAAGGCTCAGGACAAAAAGACACCAAGACTGGCCAGAGCTAGAAAGTGTCTTAGCTCTTGGAAATTTCAATTGCCCTGAACACACCTCACCCTCACTCTTAAAGGATGTAGGTGATCCTCACCTGCTCCAGAAAAACAAGCCAGGAGTTGGCCCAAGACACATTCTTTGCTTCAGTGTTTCCCTAATCTGAATGACTACTTTTTAGATCTGACGTCTTTACCCCAGCCAAAAAAGCTGATGCCTTCTAAGAACAGTGAAGAATGTAACATTCACAAATATTTATCTACCTTTTCCTGGCCCAGAATTTGTCCTTCTCACCTTTGTCCCACGCCGACAAACATTTTTCCCTTCATGGCTTCTGCTTCTCCTGCCCCATATCCTTGTCACCCTAAGGATTTACCCTAGACCTAAACTTAGATTTAAAAAGTTTCCTCTGTACCTTCTGAGGAAACAGGGAGGAGAGAAAGGCAGGGGTGCCTTTCACCTCTGGGTAGGAGAACTGCTCTGGCCTGAATGTTTGTACCCTCCAAAAATCCTGTTAAAACTTAATCCCCAATATGGGAGTATTGAAAGATACAGTCTTATACCTGTAATCCCAGCACTTTGGGAGGCCAAGGTGGGCGGATCACCTGAGGCCAGGAGTTTGAGATCAGCCTGACCAACATGGTGAAATCCCGTCTCTACAAAAATACAAAAAAAATTAGCCAGGCATGATGGCCGGTGCCTGTAATCCCAGCTACTGGGGAGGCTGATGTAGGAGAATCACTTGAACCCGGGAGGCGGAGGTTGCAGTGAGGCAAGATCACGCCATTGCATTGCAGTCTGGGTGACAGAGCAAGACTCCGTCTCCAAAAAAAAAAAAAAAAAAAAATTGAAAAGAAAGGTACTGTCTTTAAGAGGTGATTGAGTCGGCTGGGCGTGGTGACTCACACCTGTCATCCCAGCACTTTGGGAGGCCAAGGCAGGTGGATCACGAGGTCAGGAGATTGAGACCATCCTGGCCAACATGGTGAAACGTCATCTCTACTAAAAATACAAAAATTAGCCGGGTGTGGTGGCATGCGCCTGTAGTCCCAGCTACTCAGGAGGCTGAGGCAGGAGAATATCTTGAACCCGGGAGGCGGAGGTTGCAGTGAGCCGAGATCGTGCCACTGCACTCCAGCCTGGGTGACAGAGCAAGACTCTGTCTCAAAAAAACAAACAAAAAAGAAGAAGTGATTTGGTCATGAGGGGTCTGCCTTCATGAATGGATTAAAATGCGTTTCAGAATGATTAATTCATGGATTAACAGATTATCAAGGGAGTGTTACTGGTGGCTTTATAAGAAGAGAAATACTGGAGCTAGCATGCTGAACCCCTTTGCTGTGTAATGCTCACAGCCCAGGCCACATTAGGACTCTAGAGTCCCCACCATGAAGAAGGCCCTCACTGGATGCTGAGCCATAGCCTTGGACCTTCCAGCTACCAGAATTGTAAGAGATAAATTTCTTTATAAATTACCCAGTTTTAGGTGTTCTAAGCAACAGAAAACAAAGAAAAGACTCTAAAAGAGTTATTACAGGCCGGGCACGGTGGCTTATGCCTGTAATCCCAGCACTTTGGGAGGCCAAGGTGGGCAGATCACCTGAGGTCAGGAGTTCGAGAACAGCCTGGCTAACATGGAGAAACCCCGTCTCTACTAGAAATATAAAATTAGCCGGGCATGGTGGCACACACCTGTAATCCCAGCTACTTGGGAGGCTGAGGCAGGAGAATCACTTGGACCCGGGAGGCAGAGGTTGCGGTGAGCCGAGATGGCACCATTGCACTCCAGCCTGGGCAACAAGAGGGAAACTCTGTCTCAAAAAAAAAAAAAAGAGTTATTACTCTATGGACTTATCAGGTAGATGACTGGGAGAATAGAATCTATTAGCAAGTCAGACCAAATCAGAGTAACTTTTTAGTCTTTACCTATTTAATTCCAATGCAATACCCAAATTGAACACATTCATTACCATGCTAGAACCACTTTCTAAGCTTATATCAAAACAACATGAATTGGGCTTCATCTCTCTTCTAGGGGTATCTACAGTTTGGAAAATAGGGAAAGATGGCATATAGTTCCTCCTACAACTGGTAAAAGGGCCCACATAATTGTACACTAATGGGAGGCACCTAATGGTTCCTCCCTGAGCTATGACCAACCTCTGGCAGACAGCCAAAGGAAACAGGCCAGTGAAGAAGTCCAGGCCAGGCCAGGTGCAATGGCTCTTGCCTGTAATCCCAACACTTTGGGAGGCTGAGGTGGGTGTATTACGTGAGGTCAGGAGTTTGAGACCAGCCTGGACAACATGGTGAAACCCTGTCATTACAAAAAAATACAAAAATTAGCTAGGCATGGCGGCAGTGCCTGTAGCCCCAGCTACATGGGAGGCTGAGGTAAGAGAATCACTTGGAGCCGGGAGGTGGAGGTTGCAGTGAGCCAAGATCACACCATTGCACTTCAGCCTAGGCGACAAGAGCAAAACTCCGTCCAAAAAAAAAAAGAGGTCCAGTTCACTCACTTCTCTTAGTCCCCAGAAAAGGCACCTAACAATGAAGAAATCAGAAAAAAAACTTTTAAAACAGGGAGCTACTGGGACACACACCTAAAACTGAGAGAACTAGATGTAGAGATATCCAAACCTGTCACCCGAATCTCAAGCCTCTACTGCTGCTGCACAGCTCAGGGAGATTTTTGGATCTTGTCTAAGTCTCCCATTTCTGACCTGAGTTCACCAACCATAACTGGACCCATCTCCTCCTCTAGCCTTCTGGTTCTTCAGCTGGCATCCTCATCCTCAGTATGTATCTTAGTTTATTTGTGCTGCTATAAAGGAAATACCTGAGGCTGCGTAATTTATAAAGAAAAGAGGTTTATTTTGCTCATGATTCTGCAGACTGTACAAGAAGCATGGTGTGGCTGGGTGTGGTGGCTCATGCCTGTAATCTTAGCTTTTTGGGAGGTGAAGGTGGGTGAGTCAGGCTGAGGTCAAGAGTTTGAGACTAGCCTGGCCAACATGGCAAAACACCATCTCTACTAAAAATACAAAAATTAGCCAGATGTGGTGGCAGGCGCCTATAATCCCAGCTACTCAGGAGGCTGAGGCAGAAGAATTGTTTGAACCCAGGCGGCAGAGGTTGCAGTGAGCTGAGATCATGCCACTTCACTTCAGCCTGGGTGAAAGAGTGAAACTCCATCTCAAAAAAAAAAAAGCATGCTGCCAGCATCTGCTTCTGGGCCTCAGAAGCTTCCACTCATGGTAGAAGGCAAAAGGGAGCAGGCAGCACACAGCAAGAGTGGAAGGGAACAACAGGGGAGGGAAGTGTCAGGCTCTTCTTAATAATCAGTTCTTGCAGGAACTAAGACAACTCACTCATTCCCTCGAGAATGGCACCAAGCAATTCACGAGGGATCCACCCCACAATCCAAACAACTCCCACCAGGCCCCAGCTCCAACACTGGGGATCAAATTTCAGCATGAGACTTCGAGGGGACAAATATCCAAACTATTTCAGTATGAAACTGCCTTTTCTCAGAAATTCTTTGAATTTCTAACTCTGGCGCTTTGGGAATGACAGGGGAAATTGAATGCATAAACATGGGAGGGGACAGGGAAAGTGGGGTTGAGTTTATCTTCAGGACTGAGGAGTAGAATGACAGAGGACATGAAGACAAAGGCAGGTCCCCCAACCAGACCTCCTGCCCTTGTCTGCCACGTGTTCCTCATCAATGCCCAGCCGTTGTCACTTCTTGCGCACTTGGGTTTTCATTATTGTTGTTTGTTTTTAACTAATAGAGTATTTTTTAGGGCAATTTTAGGTTTACAAAAACATTGAGCAGAAAGTAGAGTTCCCATATAATCCCTCTTCCCACACCCCTCAGTTTTCCCTATTATTAACATCTTACATAGGTGTGCTACATTTGTTATAATTGATTATTGTATTATTATTATTGAGACAAGGTCTCACTCTGTCACCAAGGCAGTAGTGCAGTGGTGTGATAATAGCTCACTGCAGCCTTGACCTCCCAGGCTCAAGTGATCCTCCTGCTTTAGCCATCCATGTAGGTGGGACAACAGGCATGTACCATGATGCTTGGCTAATTTTTTAATATTCTGTAGAGACAGGGTCTCACTTTGTTGCCCAGGCTTGAGCTGATTCTGGAAGGATGGCTAGTGGTTGGATAGAACCCTCCAATAAAGAGACTGGCATGATCCACAGCTTGGGGCATGAAAAGGCCTGCTCTGTGTGGGTGACTGAAAATAGTCAAGGGGGGCTGGGAATGGTGGCTCACGCCTGTAATCCAGCACTTTGGGAGGCCAAGGTGGGTGGATCACCTGAGGTCAGGAGTTAGAGACCAGCCTGGCCAACATGGTGAAATCCCATCTCTACTAAAAATATAAAAAATTAGCTGAGTGTGGTGGTGCACACCTGTAATCCCAGCTACTCGGGAGGCTGAGGCAGGAAAATTGCTTGAAGCCGGGAGGTGGAGGCTGCAGTGAGCCAAGATTGCGCCACTGTACTCCAGCCTGGGCAACAGAAAAATGGACACTCTGTCTCAAAAAAAAAAAAAAGAATTTTTGCAGAGGCTGGGCTTAGTGACTCACGCCTATAATCCTAGCACTTTGGGAGGCCATGGCAGGCAGATCACTTGAGGCTAGGCGTTTGAGACCAGCCTGGACAACATGGTGAAACTCCATCTCTACTAAAAATACAAAAATTAGGCCTGGCGTGGTGGCTCATGCCTCTAATTCCAGCACTTTGGAAGGCTAAGGCGGGTGGATCACCTGAGGTCAGGAATTCAAGACCAGCCTCGCCAACATGGTGAAACCCTGTCTTTACTAAAAATATAAAAATTAGCCAGGCGTGGTGGCCTGTAATCTCAGCTACTCCGGAGGCTGAGGCAGGAGAATTGCTTGTACCTGGGAGGTGGAGGTTGCAGTGAGTCGAGATCATGCCATTGCACTCCAGCCTGGGCGACAAGAGTAAAACTCTGTCTCAAAAAAAAAAAAAAAAAAAAAAAAAGGAAAGAAAGAAAGAAAGAAAAATTAGCCAGGTGTAATCCCATCTACTTGGGAGGCGCTGAGGCACAAGAATTGATTGAACCTGGGAGGCGGAGTTTCAGTGAGCCAAGATCATGCCACCGCACTCCAGCCTGGGTGACAGAGCAAGACTGTCTCCAAACAAAAAAAAAAAAAAGAATTTCTGCAGACAGAATAGAAAATGAACTTGAACTAAGGAACTAAAGGAAGAAGAGATTAGAGGGAGGAACCCTAGAACCCTAGAGAGCCAGCTATTTTAAGAGTCTAGGTCAGGCCAGGCACAGTGGCTTATGCCTTTGGGAGTCCAAAGCAGGAGGATCACTTGGGCCCAGGGGATTGAGACCAGCCTGGACAGCATAGTGAGACCTTGTCTCTACAAAAACTTTCAAAGTAGCTGAGCATGATGGTGCATTCCTGTAGTCCCAGCTCCTTGGGAAGCTGAGGTGGGAGGATCACTTGAGCTCCAGAGGTCGAGGCTACGGTGAGCTGTAATCGCACCACCGCACTTCATCCTAGGTGACAGAAGGAGATCCTATCTCAAAAAAGGAAAAGAAAAAAAAAAGAAAAAGAAAAAAAGGAGGAGGGGATGCATTTTGGTGGTTGAACCAATGTATTATAGTATGTGTCTCATTCTCTTAAGCTCCGTCAGCAGCAGCTGCAGTAAAAACAACTTTATTTGATCTATGACCCTGGGTGGTGGAAGTTAAGGAGGAGGGAAGCAATTAGTTTCCTGGAGTCCCAACCTTAGTCCCAAGAGGTCTCTTTTACATACATGGAGAGCCAGTAGCTGAATGGGACAAAAAAGAACCCAGGAAGTAAGTGAAAGGTCTTTAGACAAAATGGGTATGGGGTTTCTTTTTGGGGTGAAGAAAATGTTCTGGAATTATTGGTGACAGTTGCACAAAACTGTAAATGTACTGAAAGATACTGAGTTGTACACTTCAAAATGGTTAAAATAGTGAATGTTATGTGAATTCTACCCGCCCCCCCAAAATAAAAAGAAGACATTCAAAATCTCAAAGGATTCATCACTGGCAGACTTGCAGTATAAGAAATGTTTTTTGTTTCTTTTTTCAGGGGGAGGGTCTTGCTCTGTCTCTGAGGCTGGAGTGCAGTGGCCCAATCTCAGCTCACTGCAACCTCTGCCTCCCAGGCTGAAGCCATCCTCCTGCCTCAGCCTCCTGAGTAGCTGGGACTACAGGCACGTACCACCACACCCAGCTTATTGTTGTACTTTTTGTAGAGACAGGGTTTTACCATGTTGCCCAGGCTGGTCTGAAACTCTTGAGCTCAGTTGATCCACTCACCTTGGCCTCCCAAAGTGCTGGGATTACAGGCATGAGCCACTGCACCTGGCCTAAGAAATGTTAATAAAAGTCTGTAGACAGAGGAAAATGACTTCCATTGAAAATCTGGATGTACATAAAGAAATGAAGACCATAGGAAATAGTAAATAGGTAAATATACATTTTTGTTTATTTGTGTGTGTGTGTGTGTGTTTTCTTTTGAGATGGAGTCTCACTCTGTAGCTCAGGCTGGAGTGCAGTGGCACAGTATCGGCTCACTGCAACCTCCGTCTCCTGGGTTCAAGCAATTCTGCCTCAGCCTCCCGAGTAGCTGGGATTACAGGCGCCCACCATTACGTCTGGCTAATTTTTAAAATATTTTTAGTAGAGACAAGGTTTCACCATGTTGGCCAGGATGGTCTCAAACTCCTGACCTCAGGTGATCCGCCCGCCTCGGCCTCCCAAAGTGCTGGGATTACAGGCATCAGCCACCGCGCCTGGCTTAAGAAATGTTAATAAAAGTCTGTAGACAGAGGAAAATGACTTCCATTGAAAATCTGGATGTACATAAAGAAATGAAGACCATAGGAAATAGTAAATAGGTAAATATACATTTTTGTTTATGTGTGTGTGTGTGTGTGTGTGTGTGTGTGTGTGTTTTCTTTTGAGATGGAGTCTCACTCTGTAGCTCAGGCTGGAGTGCAGTGGCACAGTATCGGCTCACTGCAACCTCCGTCTCCTGGGTTCAAGCAATTCTGCCTCAGCCTCCCGAGTAGCTGGGATTACAGGCGCCCACCATTACGTCTGGCTAATTTTTAAAATATTTTTAGTAGAGACAAGGTTTCACCATGTTGGCCAGGATGGTCTCAAACTCCTGACCTCAGGTGATCCGCCTGCCTCGGCCTCCCAAAGTGCTGGGATTATAGGCATGAGCCACCGTGCCCGGCCCCTTAAATATACATTTTTAAAAGAGATAATTGACTATTGACTATTTAAGGCAAAAATAATGTAGTTTATAACATATGTAAGTGTAAAATGTAACAATAGCACAAAGGCTGGGAGGGAGAAAATGGAAGTATACTATGGTTTCTTACACTGTAAATAGCACCTGAAGGTAGTCTGTAATAAATTAGAGATGATTACTATAAACCCTAAAGCAACACTAAAATAACAAAGCAGGTGTGGCACAGTGGCTTATATCTGTAATCTCAGCACTTTTGAGGCTGAGGCAGGAGGATCACTTGAAGCCAGGAGTTTGAGATTAGCCTGAGCAACATAGCGAGATGCCATCTCTACAAAAAATAAAAAATGTTATTCAGGGGCTGGGTGCAGTGGCTCACATCTGTAATCTCAGGACTTTGAGAAGCTGAGGCAGAAGGATTATGTGAGCCCAGAAGTTCAAGACCAGCCTGGGCAACATACGGAGCCTCCATCTCTATAAAAAATAAAAAATTAGCCAGGTGTGATGGCACAAACCTGTGGTCTCAGCTACTTGAAGGTGGGAGGATCACTTGGATGTGGGAGGTGGAGACTGCAGTGAGCCATGATTGCACCACTGCACTCCAGCCTGGGTGATAGAGCAAGACCATGTCTAAAAAAAAAAAAAAAAAGCCAGATGTAGCGGCACATACCTGTAGTCCCAGCTACTTGGGAGGCCAAGGTGGGAAGATTGCTTGAGCCCAGGAGTTTGAGACTGCAGTGAGTCATAATTGCAAAATGCACTCCACACTGGGTGACAGAGCAAGACCCTGTTACAGAAAGGGAAAAACAAAACAAAACAAAACAAAAACAGAAGATAGAATTATAAAAAAATACTGAGTTAAACCCAAAGAAGAGCTGGGTGCAGTGGTTCATGCCTACAATCCCAGCACTTTGGGAGGCCGAGGTGGGCAGATCATAAGGTCAGAAGATCAAGACCATCCTGGCTAACACAGTGAAACCCCGTCTCTACTAAAAATATAAAAAATTAGCTGGGTGTGGTGGTGGGCACCTGTAGTCCCAGCTACTCGGGAGGCTGAGGCAGGAGAATGGTGTGAACCCAGGAGGCAGAGGTTGCAGTGAGCCAAGATCATGCCACTGCACTCCAGCCTGGGCGACAGAGCAAGACTCTGTCTCAGAAAAAAAAAAAAAAAAAAAAAAACCCAAAGAAGAAAGAGAGGAAAGGAGAACAAGGAACAGATGAGACAAATAGAAAACAAGTAGCAAAATGTAATATTTAAACCTGACAATGTCAATAATGATATTAAATATAAATGGTCTAAACAACAAAATTAAAAGGCAAAGATTGTCAGATTGGATAAAAGAAAAAAGTCCAGCTATGTGCTTTCTACAAGAAACCCACTTTAAAAGAAACAAATAAATTATAAGTAAAAGGATTTTTAAAACTATACCATGCTAACACTAACCTAGAGAAAGCTGGAGTGGCTATGTTAATATCACAAAAGCAGACTTCAGGGCTGGAAATGGTGGCTCACGCCTGTAATCCCAGCACTTTGGGAGGCCGAGGCAGGAGGAATGTGTGAGCTAAGTTTGAGACCATCTTGGGCAACATAGTGAGACACTGTCACTATAAAAACAGATTTTTTTTTTTTTAAGAAAGAAAAGTAGGCCGGCAGTGGTGGCTCACGCCTGTAATTCCAGCACTTTGGGAGGCCAAGGTGGGCAGGTCACGAGGTCAGGAGCTCGAGATCAGCCTGACCAACATGGTGAAACTCCATCTCTACTAAAAATATAAAAATTAGCTGGGTGTGGTGGCGCGCACCTGTAGTCCCAGCTACTCAGAAGGCTGAGGCAGGAGAATCGCTTGAACCCGGGAGGTGGAGGTTGCAGTGAGCCAAGATCACGTCACTGCACTCCAGGCTGGTTGACAGAGCGAGACTCCATCTCAAAAAAAAAAAGAAAAAAAGAAAAGTAGACTTCAGAGGAAAGAATATTATAGGGATAAATAATGTCATTTGACAGTGAAAAAGGGGCCAATTTATTAAGATGACCTAACAATTCTAAGCATTTATACATATGATAACAGAGCTTCAAAACACAAGAAGCAGGCTGGGCACTGTGGCTCATGTCTAATCCCAGTACTTTGGGAGGCTGAGACAGGTAGATCACTTGAGGTCAGGAGTTTGACACCAGCCTGCCCAACATGGCAAAACCCTATCTCTACTAAAAATACAAAAATTAGCCAGGTGTAGTGGTGCACACCTGTAGTCCCATCTACTTGGGAAGCTGAGGCATGAGAATTGCTTAAAACCGGGAGGCAGAGGTTGCAGTGAGCTGATATCATGCCACTGCACTCCAGCCTGGGTGACAGAGCAAGACTCTGTTTCAAAAAAAAAAAAAAAAAAAAAAAATCCAAAACAATGTACCAATAAATTTAAAAGGATTCAAGTCATACAAAGTATGTTCCTTGAGCACAGTGGAATTAAATTAGAAACTAATTACTGATATCTGGATGATAGCCTAGTATTTGGAAACTAAATAACACACATTTAAGTAATTTTCATTTCAAAGAGTAAAAAGAAAATTCAAAAAGTACTTTGAGCTGAATGAAAATAAAAACAGAACATGTCAAAATTTGTAAGATGTTGCTAAAGCTGTGCTTAGAAGGAAATTTAGAGCACATGAACATACAGATTCAAGAAATGGAGTGAACCCTAAGTAGAATAAATTCAAAGAAATCTATTGCAAGACACATCATAAGCAAACTTCCTAAAATAAATACAAAGAAAAAAGTCTTGGAAGCAAATAGAAACAACATAGTACCTATAAAGGAACAATTATTCCATTGACAGTAGATTTCTTATAAGAAGCCATAGAGACCAGCAGGGAATGGCACATTTTCCAAGTACTCAAACAAACAAACAAACAAACAAACAGACAAACGTCAACTTTAAATCCCATACCCAGCAAAAATATCCTTCAGGAATGAAGGTGAAATCAAGAGCTTCTCAGATAAGGGAAACTAAGATAATTTGCTTCCACCAGACCTACTCTTAAAAAAAAAAGAAAGAAACAAAGCTTAAAACATTGTGAAGAAAATTTGGGAGGCTGAGATAGGCAGATCACTTGAGGTCAGGAGTTCAAGACCAGCATGGCCAACATGGCGAAACACCATCTCTACTGAAAATACAAAAATTAGCCAGGCATGGTACCGCACGCCTGTAGTCTTAGCTACTCGAGAGGCTGAGGCAGGAGAATCACTTGAACCTGGGAGGCAGAGGTTGCAGTGAACCAAGATCACATCACTGCACTCCAACACTGGGCAACAGAGTGAGACTCCATCTCAAAAAAAAAAAAAACCAAAAAACCAAACAAAACAAAAATTATGAAGAAAGAAGAGGAAGTATAAAAATATAAATACATGACAATAGGTCAATCTTCTCATCTTGAGTTTTCTAAATTATATTGGATGGCTGAAGTAAAAATTATATTATCTGATATGGTTCTCAATATATAGATAGGAAATATTTAAGATAATTATAGTATACAAGGGGGAGGGAATGTTAAGGGACCTAAATGGAGGTAAGATTTCTATACTTTACTCAAACTGATAAAATGTTGACACCAGTAATTGTGATAGGTTTCATATGTATAATGCAATATCTAGACCAACCACTAAAAACATTCATAATAAATAAAAATTTATAACAGATAAATCAAAAAGGAATTTAAAGAAATGTTCAAGTAATCCACAGGAAGGGGAAAAAGGTCAAAGAGTAATGAAAATGAGAGCTGAAACAAACAAAAAGAAACATAAAATGGCAGACTTAGCCCTAATATATCAAAAATTACATTAAATGTAAATGATCTAGGCATACCAATTAAAAGACTGGTAGAAAAATAAAAAACAACATGTATATGTACATGTACATGTAAATATAATGACATAGGTAAGTTGAATGTAAAAGGATAGGCCAGGTGCGGTGGCTCACATATGTAATCCCAGCACTTTGGGAGGCTGAGGTGGGTGGATCATCTGAAGCCAGGAGTTTGAGACCAGCCTGGCCAACGTGGAGAAACCCCACCTCTACTAAAAATACAAAAAATTAGCCAGGCGTGGTGGCACCTGCCTGTAATCCCAGCTACTCGGGAGACTGAGGCAGGAGAATCGCTTGAACCCAGGAGGCGGAGGCTGCAGTGAGCCGAGATCACGCCATTGCACTCCAGCCTAGGCAACAAGAGTGAAAGACCATCTCAAAAAAATAAAAAATAAAAAATAAAAGATAAATCATACACATATTACTCAAAAGAAATCAGGACTGGCCATGCTAATACCAGATAAAATGAATTAAGAGCAATGAAAATTACTGCAGATTGAGAGGAACATTGTTTAATTAATAAAGGGTTAACCCACCAAGAGGGCACAGCCATTTTTTAAAATATAGTTTTGCTCTGTCACCCAGGCTGGAATGCAGTGGTCAGATCATGGCTCTCTGCAGCCTTAACCTCCCAGGCTCAAAAGATCCTCTGACCTCAGCCTCCTAAGTAGCTGGGACTACAGATGCACACCACCACACCTGACTAATTTTTGTATTTTTTTTGTAAAGATACTTTCACCATGTTGCCCAGGCTGGTCTTGAACTCCTGGCATCAAGTGATCCACCTGCCTCAATCTTCCAAAGTGCTGGGATTAGAGGCATGAGCCACCGTGCCCAGCCTAAGACACAGCAATCCTAAATGTGTACATATCAAACAACAGAGGCCAGGTGCAGTGGCTCATGCCTGTAATCCCAGCACTTTGGGAGGAGGTAGAGGCAGGCAGGTCACTTGGGGCCAGGGGTTCAAGATCAGCCTAGCCAACATGGTGAAACCCCATCTCTACTAAAAAATACAAAAATCTGCCAGGTGTGGTGGCATGTGCCTGTTATCCCAGCTACTCAGGAGGCCGAGTCATGAGAATCAGTTGAACCCAGGAGGCAAAGGCTGTAGTGAGCCAAGATAGCACCACTGCACCCCAGCTTGGGCAACAGAGCAACAATGTGTCTCAAAAAAACAAAAACAAAAAAGCCCCAATAAAACAGAGCTTCAAGATATATCAGGCTGAGGCCAGGCATGGTAGCTCACGGCTGCAGTCCCAGCACTTTTGGAGGCCAAGACAGGCAGATTGCCTGAGCTCAGGAGCTCGAGACCAGACGGGGCAACATGGTGAAAGCCCATCTCTACTAAAAAAGATACAAAAAATTAGCCAGGCGTGGTGGTGTGCACCTGTAATCCCAGCTACTTGGGAGGCTGAGGCACGAGAGTTGCTTGAACCCAGGAGGCGGAGGTTGCAGTGAACCGAGATCGCACCACTGCACTCCAGCCTGGGTGACAGAGTGAGACTGTCTCAAAAAAAAAAAAAAAAAAAAGTCTATTAGACAAAAATTAAGGCCAGGCCCAGTGGCTTGTGTCTGTAATCCTAGTGTTATGGGATCGATTTTTC
The DNA here is from genome assembly GCF_000001405.40 of Homo sapiens. Lineage (NCBI taxonomy): Eukaryota > Metazoa > Chordata > Mammalia > Primates > Hominidae > Homo > Homo sapiens. The sequence goes on from NC_000012.12 coordinate 56,396,670, forward strand.
TTACAGAAAAACCTCTGTGGCCATGGTGCTCGAGTTCTTGTTCTTGTCCTGCATCTAGGAAGAATAAGGGTCACAGACAAGTGAAGGGTGAAGATGAAGAGTTTTATTTAGTGTTAGAACAGCTCAGAAGAGACCCACAGTGGGTAGCTCCTCTCTGTAGGCAGGTCATCCCATGGAGTATTCAGTTCTCAGCAGAGAGGAGGCCCTGGAGAGGGTGGCTCCTCTCTGCAGGCAGGTCATTCAGACATCTCTGCAGGTCTCTGAAGCTCTCTGCAGAGAGAGTAGCTCCTCTCTGCCAACAGGTCATCTCTGCAGCTCTCAGCAGAGGATACTCCTCTCTGCATCTCTGCAGCTGGTTGCACTGACATCTTTCTGCCTTCTTTGTCCTCTGGCCATCCTCTGCCCTGCTCTGGCTGACCCCAGGGCTTTTATGGACCTCAGAGGGAAGAAAGTTTGTGCCAATTGGCCCACGGGAAGCCATGGGTGGGCCTGGAAGAGATACCACAAGTCCCCACTCTGGTCCGTGGGACTGTCAGTCCAGCCCCCAGCCTTCAGGTCCTCCCTGGCCCAAAGGTGGGGCCTTACTGGGGATCTGCCCCCTTCTGCCTTGGAATCAATCTGCCTCCCACTGCCATTCATGGTCCCTGGGTTCAGCCCCAAACCCCGCTCCAAGATCAGAGCAGGTGCCTGGACTGGAGGTAGGCCAGACAGACACCAGACACCCCCATGACTGCAGGGTTCAGGGGTCCTTCCTGGGGCTCCCAAGCATGCAGGCTGTAGAAACACCCAGCTCCTGTACCTGGAAGGGCAGCCACAGTGGCACCTGGGAAGGCAGATCTTACCTGCTCCCGGCTCTCCCTCAAGAGCACAGGGAAGCTCGGATCCACAGATGCAGTTTGGGTAGCTGTAGCTCCGTCCAAGAGGGTGGGGCTCCTGCTTGCTTCCTAGAGCAGGAGGCCTGGGTCTGCAGCTGCGGTTTGGGTGGCTGCAGCAGCACCCAGGGAGCTCTTGTCCCAATTCAGAAGGGGCAGGGCTCCCATTGGCTCCATGGAGTGTGCAGCCCCAGCTGTGCAGCCAGCGTCATGGCACACTGTCATCATTTCTGCCTCTGAAGAAGTACACCTAATTGCTATTAGGATAGGGATGATGACCATTCCTAATTGTTTCATGCTGACAAGGGGTGCTGTTTTGGGAAAACAACAGTCAGGTCTCAGAGGCCTATCTAAGAGTCCCTAGTAAAAGGCAGCCATCGTCCAAAGCTCCATTTGCATGGCCATTTGAAGTTTGATGGCCCATCCCTTGGTTCTTCTGAGCTGCAGTCAGAGATCACTGGTTCATTCAACCTATAATTGTTAAAAGCTATAAACAGCTCAAAAGAAAAACTTCCTTCATTCTGAAAAAACAGAACATAAGGATCAGCAACATTCCAAACAAAAAGCAAAAAGTCAAAAAAGATTAGGCTTTATTGGAAGCTTATTGGAAGCTTTATTGGAAGTTCATTCAGTTTACCCAGTCAACTCCTGTTCACAATTTTCAAAGTTATCAGAAACCTGCACTTGAGGTTTATAATCCATCCTTTGAAGAGGATCAAAACAAGACAACAATTGTCTATGAATGTCCAAATGTTCTAGGGTAGTCACAGTAAAAAACACAACTGACAAAGAAATTTGGTCAACTCTGAGACTTAAAATAATCTAACACAATAACCTTAATTATGTTTGATAACACAAACTCAGATATCAGAACTCTAGAAATCCCATGTGATTTTGGAATACACATTAACATTGTTCACTAAAATATAACCTGAGGATCAAACACCACCTTATTTCAACAATCCTATGATGTGACATAATACCTTTGATCCTAAGTTCAGTGGACAAAGTGAAGAAAGAAAATGATGAACTCAGGGATTCTATCTTCCAGCTTCAGAAGCAGATACTGAGCCCCAAATCTGCTAAGATCACCCTGAGTGAGAGTCTCATCTCCTGTAGAGGAAGAACTGAAATTGTGGAAAAACAAACCCAGGATCTGATCATGTAACTGGCTGACCTGCAACTAAAAGTGCATGCACAGACTTGCCAGGTGTCTACTGTTAAAGTGAGGGCATTGATTGGAAAAGAATGGGACCCTGCAACTTGGGATGGGGATGTGTGGGAGGACCCTGATGAAGCCGGGGACACTGAGTTTGAAACTCTGATTAATCTTTTTTGCCAGAAGGAACAGCTTCCCCATCCCCAGTAGTGGCAACATCCCGTCCCTGACCCATGCTGCCATCAGCCTTTCCACCTGTCTGAGGAGATAAACCCTGTGTTGCCTGAGGCAACAGCAATGGCCTCCCCTGAGGCAGTTGCCAGGCAAAAAAATGTTGATTCTCCTCAGGATCCCACCCCAACACCCCTATTTGCTTCTTCTAGACCTATAACTAAAGTCCCAGCAGGCCCCTAGAAGTGAAGTTGAGAGTGTGACCCATAAGGAGGTGCACTACACTCAAAAAGAACTGCTTGAGTTCTTTAATTTGTATAAACAGAGATCTGGAGAACAGGCATGGGAATAGATATTAAGGGTGTGGGATAATGGTGGAAGGAACACAGAGTTGGATCAGGTTGAATTTATTGATTTGGGCCCACTAAGTAGGGACTCTGCATTTAATGTTGCAGGTTGGGGAGTTAAAAAAGGTTCTAATAGTTTATTTGCTTAGTTAGCTGAAATATGGATTAAAAGATGGCCAACTGTGAGCAAGCTGGAAATGCCTGATCTCCCTTGGTTTAATGTAGACGAAGGGATCCAAAGGCTTAGGGAGACTGGGATGGTGGAGTGGATTAGTCACATTAGACCTACTCATCTCAGCTGGGAGGGTCCAGAAGATATACCCTTTACCAATGCCTTGCAAAATAGATTTGTGAGGGCAGCACCTGAATCTTTGAAGAGCCCTGTAATTGCTCTTCTGTGTATGTCAGATCTAACGGTGGGAACCACAGTCACTCAACTACAAAATTTAAATACAATGAGAATAATTGGATCACAAGGTGGCAGTGGCCAAGCGGTGGCATTCGACTGTCAAAGGCAAGGTGGGCACAGCTACCATAATGGACAGCAGAGACAAAGCAGCAATCAGAATAGTCTGACTTGTGTAGAGCTCTGGCATTGGCTAATTAATCACAGTGTTCCTAGAAGTGAAATTGATAGGAAGCCTACTGCATTCCTACTTAATTTATATAAGGAGAAAACTTCTAGGTTGAATGGACAAAAGACTAATTTGAATGATAAAAACAGAGAGTCATGGCCCCTCAATCAATTTCTAGATTTGAAGCAGTTTACAGACCCAGAACCCCTTGAACGAAGGGGAGACCAGGTCCCCTTGAGGAAGGACTGCACTACATTACCAACAATTTATGCAGTAAATCTTTCTCCCATCCTTCCCCAAGGAGATCTCCGGCCTTTTACCAGGGTAACTGCATTGGCGAAAGGGAAATGATCAGACATTTTGGGGACTACTGGACGCTGGCTCTGAGTTGATGTTGATTCCAGGGGACCCAAAACGTCATTATGGTCCTCCAGTTAAAGTAGAGACTTATGGAGGTCAGGTAATTAATGGAGTTTTAGCTCAGGTCTGACTTACAGTGGGTCCAGTGAGTCCCCGAACTCATCCTGTGGTCATTTCCCTGGTGCCAGGGAAATGGATTCTGGTGCCTGTTGGGGTGGGTTGCCCCTACACACCTGTGGGTGTTTCTCGTAAGGTGGGACGAGAGATTTGGAAAAGAAAAAGACACAGAGACAAAGTATAGAGAAAGAAATAAGGGGACCCGGGGAACCAGCGTTCAGCATATGGAGGATCCTGCCAGCCTCTGAGTTCCCTTAGTATTTATTCATCATTTGTGGGTGTTTCTCGAAGAGGGGGATGTGTCAGGGTCACAAGACAATTGTGGGGAGAGGGTCAGCAGACAAACACGTGAACAAAGGTCTTGGCATCATAGACAATGTAAAGGATTAAGTGCTGTGCTTTTAGATATGCATACACATAAACATCTCAATGCTTTACAAAGCAGTATTGCTGCCCGCAGGTCCCACCTCCAGCCCTAAGGCAGTTTTTCCCTATCTCAGTAGATGGAGCATACAATCGGGTTTTATACCGAGACATTCCATTGCCCAGGGACGGGCAGGAGACAGATGCCTTCCTCTTGTCTCAACTGCAAGAGGCATTCCTTCCTCTTTTACTAATCCTCCTCAGCACAGACCCTTTACGGGTGTCGGGCTGGGGGACGGTCAGGTCTTTCCCTTCCCACGAGGCCATATTTCAGACTATCACATGGGGAGAAACCTTGGACAATACCTGGCTTTCCTAGGCAGAGGTCCCTGCGGCCTTCCGCAGTTTTTGTGTCCCTGGGTACTTGAGATTAGGGAGTGGTGATGACTCTTAAGGAGCATGCTGCCTTCAAGCATCTGTTTAACAAAGCACATCTTGCACCGCCCTTAATCCATTCAACTCTGAGTTGACACAGCACATGTTTCAGAGAGCACGGGGTTGGGGGTAAGGTTATAGATTAACAGAATCTCAAGGCAGAAGAATTTTTCTTAGTACATAACAAAATGGAGTCTCCTATGTCTACTTTCTACACAGACACAGTAACAATCTGATCTCTCTTGCTTTTCCCCACATGTGCCAGAATCCATAATTGGCACAGACATACATAGCAGCTGGCAGAACCCCCACATTGGCTCCCTGACTGGTAGGGTGAGGGCTATTATGGTGGGAAAGGCCAAATGGAAGCCATTAGAGCTGCCTCTACCTAGAAAAATCATAAATCAAAAACAGTATCACATCCCGGAGGAATAGCAGAGATTAGTACCACCATCAAGGACTTGAAAGACACAGCGGTGATGATTCCCACCACATCCCTGTTCGACTCTCCCATCTGGCCTGTGCAGAAGACGGATGGATCTTGGAGAATGACAGTGGAGTATTGTAAGCTTAACCAAGTGGTGACTCCAATTGCAGCTGCTGTACCAGATGTGGTTTCATTGCTTGAGCAAATTAACATATCTCCTGGTGCCTGGTATGCAGCCATTGACTTGGCAAATGCCTTTTTCTCCATTCTTGTCCATAAGGCCTACCAGAAGCACTTTGCCTTCAGCTGGCAAGGCCAGCAATATACCTTTACTGTCCTACCTTAGGGGTATATCAACTCTCCAGCTTTGTGTCATAATCTTATTGAGAGACCTTGATCACTTTTCACTTCTGCAAGATATCACACTGGTCCATTACATTGATGACATTATGCTGATTGGATCCAGTGAGCAAGAAGTAGCAAACACACTGGACTTATTGGTGAGACATTTGTGTGCTAGAGGATGGGAAATAAGTCTGACTAAAATTCAGGGGTTATTCCCTCTAAGGTGAAGGATAAATTGCTGCATTTGGCCCCTCCTACAACCAAGAAAGAGGCACAACACCAAGTGGGCTTATTTGGATTTTGGAGGCAACATATTCCTCATTTGGGTGTGTTACTCAGGCCCATTTATCAAGTGGCTCAAAAGGCTGCCAGTTTTGAGTGGGGTCCAGAAAAGGAGAAGGCTCTGCAACAGGTCCAGACTGCTGTGCAAGCTGCTCTGCCACTTGGGCCATATGACCCGGCAGATCCAATGGTGCTTGAGCTGTCAGTCACAGATAGAGATGCTGTTTGGAGCCTTTGGAAGGCCCCCATAGGTGAATCACAGTGGAGGCCTCTAGGATTTTGGAGCAAGGCCCTGCCATCTTCTGGCGATAACTACTTTCCTTTTGAGAGACAGCTCTTGACCTGTTACTGGGCTTTGATGGAAACTGAACGTTTGACTATAGGTCATCAAGTCACCAGGCGACCTGAACTGCCTATCATGAACTGGGTGCTTTCTGATCCATCTAGCCATAAAGTGGGTCTTGCACAGAAGCATTCTGTCATCAAATGGAAGTTGCATATATGTGATCGGGCTAGAGCAGGTCCTGAAGGCACAAGTAAGTTACATGGGGAAGTGGCTCAAATGCCCATGGTCTCCACTCTTGCCACCCTGCCTTTTCTTTCCCAGCCTGCACTGATGGCCTCACAGGGAGTGCCCTATGATCAGCTGACAGAGAAAGAGAAGACTACGGCCTGGTTCACAGATGGTTCTGCATGGTATGCAGGCACCATCCGAAAGTGGACAGCTGCAGTACTACAGCCCCTTTCTAGGACATCCCTGAAGGACAGCGGTGAAGGGGAATCTTCCCAGCGGGCAAAACTTTGAGCAGTGCATCTGGTTGTGCACTTTGCATGGCAGGAGAAATGGCTAGATGTGCGATTATATACTGATTCATCGGCTGTTAGCCAATGGTTTGGCTGGATGGTCAGGGACTTGGAAGAGGTATGTGGATGGACCTCTCTGAGTGGTCAAAACTGAAGATATTTGTATCCCATGTGAGTGTTCACCAAAGGGTGACCTCAGCAGAGGAGGATTTTAATAACCAAGTGGATAGGATGACCTGTTCTGTGGACACCACTCAGCCTCTTTCCCCAGCCACCCCTGTCATTGCCCAATGGGTCCATAAACAAACTGGCCATGGTTGCAGGGATGGAGGTTACACATGGGCTCAGCAACATGGACATCCACTCATTAAGGCTGACCTGCGTTCGATCACTGCTGAGTGCCCAATTTGCCAGCAGCAGAGACCAACACTGAGCCCTTGATATGACACCATTCCTCAGGGTGATCAGCTACCTGGTGGCAGGTTGATTATATTGGACCTCTTCCATCATGGAAAGGGCACAGGTTTGTCCTCACTGGAATAGACACTTACTCCGCATATGGGTTTACCCATCCTCCACGCAATGCTTCTGCCAAGACTACCACCCGTGGACTCACGGAATGCCTTATCCATCATTATGGTATTCCACACAGCATTGCCTCTGACCAAGGCACTCACTTTACAGCTAAAGAAGTGCAGCAGTGGGCTCATGCTCATGGAATTCATGGGTCTTACCATGTTCCCCATCATCCTGAAGCAGCTGGATTGACAGAATGGAGGAATGGCCTTTTTAAGTCATAATTACAACACCAACTAGGTGACGATATTCTGCAGGGCTGGGGCAAAGTTGTCCAGAAGGCCATGTACGCTCTGAATCAGCATCCAATATATGTTAGTTTCTCCCATAGCCAGGATTCACAGGTTCAGGAATCAAGGGGGTGGAAGTGGAAGTGGCACCACTCACCATCACCCCCAGTGACCCACTAGCAAAATTTTTGCTTCCTGTTCCTGCAACATTAAGTTCTGCTGGCTACATGTCTTAGTTCCAGAGGGAGGAATGCTGCCACCAGTAGACACAATGATTCCATTAAATTGGAAGTTAAGATTGTCAACTGGACACTTTGGGCTCCTCCTACCTTTAAGTCAACAGGCTAAGAAGGGAATTACAGTGTTGGCTGCGGTGATTGACCCGCACTATCAAGATGAAATCAGTCTACTACTCCACAACATAGATAAGAAAGAGTATGCATGGAATATAGGAGATCCATTAGGGCACCTCTTAGTATTACCATGCCCCATGATTAAAGTCAATGGGAAACTACAATACCCCAATCCAGGCAGATGACAAACAGTCCAGACCCCTCAGGAATAAAGGTTTGGGTCATTCCACCAGGAAAAAAACCATGACCTGCTGAGGTGCTTGCTGAAGGCAAAGGGAATACAGAATGGGTAGTAGAAGAAGGTAGTCATCAATACCAGCTATGACCACGTGACCAGTTGCAGAAACAAGGACTGTAATTGTCATGAGTATTTTCTCCTTTTGTTAAAAACACGCTTATGCATGTAAACACTTGTACTAAGAAAATATCTTCATTTTATTTCCTTTTCCTTTATCATGTGACATAAAATTTATTGTTGTCCTATCAGCATTTAGGTATTGTTAACTTTACGTAATAATATTGGGGTTGGGGTTTGGTGCATTTCTGGTTATGTGAAGGATAGTTGTATTATGTTAGGCACAATTATGACCTTATTATTGGCTTTATTCGAAGATTATGTATGATCTTAGGAGATGTGTATGGGTTCAAGTTGACAAGCGGTGGACTTGTGATGGTTAATACTGAGTGTCAACTTGATTGGATTGAAGGATGCAAAGCATTGATCCTGGGTGTGTCTGCAAGGATGTTGACAAAGAAGATTAACATTTGAGTCAGTGGGCTGGGGAAGGCAGACCCACCTTTAATTTGGTGGGCACAATCTAATCAGCTGTCAGTGAATATAAAGCAGGCAGAAAAATGTGAAAACGTGAGATGGACCCAGCCTCCCAGCCTACATCTTTCTCCTGTGCTGGATGCTTCCTGCCCTCAAACGTCGGACTCCAAGTTCTTCAGTTTTGAGACTCGGACTGGCTCTCCTTGCTCCTCAAGCTTGCAGACAGCCTATCATGGGACCTTGTGATCATATAAGTTAATAATTAGTAAACGCATATATATATATATACACATATATATACACACATATATGTACATATATATGTACACATCTCCTGAGATCATATATAATTTTCGAATAAAGACAATAATAAGGTAATAATTGTGCCTAACATAATACAACTATCCTTCCCACAACCAGAAATGCACCAATCACCAACCCCAATATTATTGCATAGTTAACAATACCTAAATGCTGTATATATATATCCCTAATACAACTGTGAAACAAAATTTCCGGTAAAGCAGTTTCCATGGCAGTTTGATATTTAAAGGCCAAACTCCCCCAGACTTCAAAGAACACTGGGGTCAAACAGCACCAAAGGAGAGCATCACAGGCTAACCAGGCCCCCTGCTTAGAACAACAGCATAAAAGCCTGGATACAGGCAATGGCATCCCACTTTCCCTTTCAGCAGTAACTCCAGATTCCATGCAATACTGGGGCCAAACAGTATTGCAACTGCGAAAAAGTTCTAAGGAGGGCTTATTAGTAGACCTCAGAACCTCTGCCAAAAGCATCCTCTTTGGAGAGGTGGAAGTCCAGAGGATCCCCTGGAGCATCCCCCTTTGGGATCCAGTCTTACTCTGACCTTAGGTGGGCACCAGTGCCACTTTACGTTTTCCCTCCAGAGGCAACGGCCTACTATGAGCTGTGTAAGGCCATACTTTCTCATGCTTCCTGTTCCACTAGAGTGATAGCCATGAACTAAAAGGCATTACAGCTTTATTTTTCTTTCGAAATATTTGATTTAAACACTTATTTTCCTTTAAGCCAATCAGTTAGAGCTCTTTTATATAAACATGACACACCTGACACATATATATCCACACAGAAACAGACAGAGATCCAGTAGTTTTAAGATTTTTCATGTGCCAATCTCCTAATTGCATTGCTGGCCCTGGGGTTAAGCCCTTTAAGAAGCAGGGCCAGGAAAACATGTAGTTTCTATGGCCTAATAAGTATGCATAACTGGAAGACAAAAACATTTTGAGAGGGATCCATCTGCTCCTAATTCCTGGGGCTCCATGAGGAAAACAGAAGTCTTTCCCAAAATGGGTCAGTGGCACCTCTTTCATTTTCCCAAGGAGTCCCAGGCCATCAGAGGATATCTTGGGGCTCCTCATGTGCGCATCAAGAGTGGCAAGACAAGAATGGAGAAAGATAATTCAGTCGACTGAGAAGAAAAGACCCTTCACCAGAAAAACAGAGAAATGACATAAAGGCCTTTTAAGTATACCTAAAGCTTGGATATCTATGAACATCTACTTTTAGTTAAGCTAACTTTTAACCATAGTGCTCCTTTTAAAGAAGTCCTTTTAAATCTTTTTTTCTTTTTTAAGGCAGAGTCTCACTCTGTCGCCCAGGCTGGGGTGCAGTGGTGCAATCTGGGCTCACTGCAACCTCTGCCTCCTGTGTTCAAGCGTTTCTCATACCTCAGCCTCCCAGATAGCTGGGACTACAGGTGCATGCCACCACACACAGCTAATTTTTGTATATTTAGTAGAGACAGAGTTTCACCATGTTGGCCAGCCTGGTCTTGAACTCCTGACCTCAAGTGATCCACCCACCTTGGCCTCCCAAAGTGCTGGGATTACAGGCGTGAGCCACTGCACCCGGCCCCTTTTAAATATCTTACTACCCAACCTTAGCCATGCCAAAAAGGCCAACTGAACCATGGAGTAGAGAATACAGTGATTTATATCATTCCTGCAACCAGTTTGCATGGAGAGAGAGAAGCCAGAAGTCCCACAACTTTTACCCTTTTACTGGCATGTCAGGCTTCTGGGTTCCCTTCCCCCAAGCCATGGAGCCCTATTGGCCCTGAAGTCCTGTGAAGGGGAAAAAGCTTTTTTCTTTCTCCAGAGTCTGAGGGTCAAAGGAGTCCAGTGATGTAGGATGCACTCCACCCATGAAGTGGGGGGGACTAATCAGCAGGAATTAGCCATGCTCACCTGTGCTGTGCCCTGACTCCTGCTGTCATCTGCCTCAGGTCTAGTGTTCCATTCAAGGGATTCAAACCAAAGCCTGGGACAAGAAGATGCCTCAGGAGTGTATGAACCCTTTAAATTAGTCCCAGATGGCCCTTGCCAAATTGCAGCTAGCAGCTGGCAGGGGGCACTCCTCTGTTGCTTCCCTATCACAAGCAGGTGAAGCTGTGGGGGAAGGTCCTCCTCAAATAAGGGAGAGAAAGGGAGTCTCGGGAATAGGGGACCTGGCCCAAGGTGACAACTAAAATGTTGGGCTTTTCCTGAGATGTACCTCACAGTCATGCTAAGAGAGGGGGGTGCCTAGATTGGAGAGGAGAACTGAAAGGACCGCTTGAGTCCAGGAGGAAGTCCATTCTCCTTCCCTTGATCCCCAGAATCACCCAGGGCTCCTGGATGGTAATGGTGGTCTAAATTACCAAAGCCAGGGAAAGGAACCCCGGGACCCATCAGTTCTGCTGCATCATTTGGGAGACCAGCCCTGTACCTGGGGACTGGTGTCTTGGGAACAGTCCTCCCTCCAATGGTCCATATTTGTAGCAGTCAACAGGTACAACTTAGGAGCTCTGTGGTTTGTGAGCCTGCAAGCTGGCTATTAGAGCCTCTGCCTTTTTCTTGTGTTTCCTTTCCTTCTCTTGGGCCTCCTGATCCCTATAGTAAAAGACCGAGGTGGCCGCTTTCAGGAGGTCCTCTAAAATACTACCTGGTCCTATGGCCTGCTTCTGCAGCTTCCTCTTGATATCAGGGGCTGACTGAGTAGTAAACTCATTCCCTATGACCAGGTGTCCCTCTATTGAATCAGGAGATAGAGGGGTGTGTTTTACCAAGACCCCTCTTAGCCTTTCCAGGACATCAGTGGGACTCCCATCCAATCCCTGATGTACCACAGATAGCCCAGTGCAATTCAGAGGCTCAGTTCCAGTCCCTCACAAGCCCTCCAATATGCACACCTGAAAGAATTTCTTCTTCCATTGTCCCATTTCATTACTGGGGTCCCATTTAGGGTCCTCTAATGGCACTGGTATTCTTCCAACTGGAAAAGGCTCTTCCTGTTCCCTGGCCCTATACAAGATGTAAAGCTCATCCCCAAAATTCTCTGCCACTTGACGAGAGTGGCCTGCTTTTCAGCAGTGTTCAGGGTTTGATTCAAAAGTAACATGGCCATCCTTCCAGGAGAGCTAAAATACTTGGGTTAAGTTCTGGAAATCCGTTTCTTTTTTTTTTTTTGTTTGAGACGGAGTCTCGCTCTGTCACCCAGGCTGGAGTACAGTGGCGCGATCTCGGCTCACTGCAAGCTCTGCCTCCCGGGTTCACGCCATTCTCCTGCCTCAGCCTCCCGAGTAGCTGGGACTACAGGCGCCCGCCACCACACCTGGCTAATTTTTTGTATTTTTAGTAGAGACGGGGTTTCACCGTGTTAGCCAGGATGGTCTCGATCTCCTGACCTTGTGATCCGCCCGCCTCGGCCTCCCAAAGTGCTGGGATTACAGGCGTGAGCCACCGCGCCCGGCCTGGAAATCCTTTTTATATTTTTCAGGGCCATCTCAAAACCTGCCAAGATCCCCCTTAATTTGCCTTAAGTCCTGAAGAGAAAAGGAGACCTGGACCTTAATGGGGCCATATGCACCAGGCATCTGTTGCAGGGGCAGGAGTGAGACTGGGAACAGTCTAAAATTATTTCTAGGATGAGGCAAGCTTGGAAAAGCACCTGGATAGGGAGGTGCGGAGGGAGTTGATTCCCCCGCTGGAGGTAACTCTGGGATTTGCTTCTCCAGTTCCCTGGGATTGCCCCTTGCAGCCTCTCCTGAGATGGCCCCTAGGAGGGCTGAATCAATTCTACAATGTTGGCAAAGGTCTGGGGCACCCTGCAAGGCAAAGGCCTGCACATAAAGGACCTTGGACTATTTGCCTTCGTGTTTACAGAAAAGCTTTTTTCCTGAGGCAATGCTTCTTTTCTGTGCCTCAAGGTGCTTGGCCCTAAATTGGCAATCAAGTAAATTACAAGAACATTTTCACCACAAATTTACATACAGATATGACGGCACACTTTGCTTTGTGGTACCCTTAACCTTCTATTTTATACTTGATGACTAAGCCAAATGCTCATTTTATCCAGAAATCTCTCTGGTTTGCAACAACATCCTTAACATTTAAGGATGTTGCCGCCCTATCACAGGCAGGTGAAGCTGTGGGGGCAGGTGTTACAATTTAACATTGTATATAAAAGAGATAGGAACCATGACAGCCTAGAAAGCAAGCAAGAAATAAACAAATAACAATAAAAAAGATTGGAGGTCCTAGTGTCAACACCCCAATGGGCAGTCGGGGACTGGAGTTAGTCCAAGGGCCTTTGGATAACACCAAGGTATGGCCTCGGCCAGATACCCTGTTACCCTAGGACCTCCTTCCAGTCCCATGCGACAGCTAGACCTCAATGAGGGGAAACTGGGTTGGAACAAAGCCAACATTCCCAATACTCGAGGGTGATGGGGGGTTGACAGTGTCCTCCCCGGCAAGCCTGTCCTCCATGTCTTAAGTCTGGCAGCTGTGCTAGTTACTTTTAACTGGCTGACAGAGGCCTGGTATTTTTCCTTCATTTTTACTATTGTGGAGTTTAGAGACTCTGAAAAAAATGGACAGAATTGCTTTTACTCACCCTTCTGCAAATCCCGGACAAGCCTCCAAAATATTATGGGATCTCTGGGGTGTAAATGTTTTCTGGCTACAAACCTCTGTGGCCGTGGTGCCTGAGTTCTTGTCCTTAATCCAGGAAAAACAAGGGGCGCAGACAAATGAAGGGTGAAGAAGATGAAGAGCTGTATTTAGTGTTAGAACAGCACAGAGAAGGCCGGGCACAGTGGCTCATGCCTGTAACCCCAGCACTTTGGGAGGCTGAGGCAGGTGGATCACGTGAGGTCAGGCGTTCGAGACCAGCCTGGCCAACATGGTGAAACCCTGACTCTACTAATAATACAAAAATTAGCTGGGAGTGGTGGCGCACGCCTGTAATCCCAGCTACTAGGGTGGCCGAGGCATGAGAATTGCTTGAACCTGGGAGGCAGAGGTTGCAGGGAGCTGAGATCACACTACTGCACTGCAGCCTGGGCAACAGAGACTGTCAAAAAAAAAAAAAAAGAACAGTTCAGAGGAGACCCACAGTGGGTAGCTCCTCTTCGTAGACAGCTCATCCTGTGGAGTGTTCAGCTCTCAGCAGAGACAAGGCCCTGGAGAGGGTGGCCCATGGTATCTCTGCCTTCTTTATCCTCTGGCCATCCTGTGCCCTGCTCTGGCTGAACCCATGGACCTCAGAGGGGAGAAAGTGTGTGCCAATTGGCCCATGAGCAGGCCTGGAAGAGGAATCACAAGTCCCCACTCTGGTCCATGGGACTGGCAGCCCAGCTCCCAGCCTTCAGGTCTTCCCTGGCCCAAAGGTGGGGGCCTTACTGGGGACCCACCCCCTTCTGCCCAGGAATCAATCTCTCTCCTGCTGCCATTCATGGCCCCCAGGCTTGGCCCCAACCCCTGCTCCAAGATTGGAGCGGGCACCAGTAGTGGAGAGAGGGCAGGCAGACACCCCTGAGCCTGCAAGGATGAGGGAGGGTCCTTCCTGGGGCCCCTAAGGGTGCAAGCTGAAGAGACACCTGGCTCCTGCACCTGGGAGGGTAGCTGCAGCGGCACCCGGGAAGGTAGATCCTGCTTGCTCCTGGCCCTCCCACAACAGCACAGAGAGGCTCCAGTCTACAGCTGCGGTTTGGGTGGCTGTAGCCCAGCCCAGGAGGGTGGGGGTCCTGCCTGCTTCATAGAGCAGGAGGCCTGGATCTGCAGCTGCAGTTTAGGCAGCTGCAGCGGCACCCCAGGAGCTCCCATCCCAACTCAGAAGGGACAGGGTTCCCAATGGCTCCATGGAGTTTGCAGCCCCAGCTGCACAGTTGGCATGATGGCAGCAGCCTCTGCCACCACCAGCACTTTGGGAGGCTAAGGCAGGAGGATCATTTGAGCCCAGGAGTACAAGACTAGCCTGAGCAAGATGGTGAGATCCCATCTCTACAAACATAAACAAAAATTTAAAAATTAAAAATTAGCCAGGCATGGGTGCCTGTAGTCCTGCTACTTGGGAGGCTGAGATGGGAGGATAGCTTGAGCCCAGGAGTTTGAGGCTGCAGTGAGCTATGATCACATCACCACACTGTAGCCTAGGTGACAAAGAGAAACCCAGTCTCTATTTAAAAATAATAATAACAGAACTAAAAGAAAAAAATAGATAAATCCAATATTATAGTTGGTGACTTTAACACGCTTCTTTCAACAACTGATAGACTTACTACGTACAAAGTCAGCAAGAATATAGAAGAACTTAACAATATCATCAACCCATCTAATTGACATTTATAGAATACTCCAACAGCAGAATGCACATTCTCAAGTACCTATAGAACACTCACCAAGGTATACCATATCTGGGCCATAGAAGAAACCTCAACACATTTAAAATAATTGTTTTTTTTTTTTTTTTTTTTTTTTGGTTAAGAGACAGGGTGTTGCTCTATTGCTCAGGCTGGAGTGCAGTGACACAATCATAGCTCACTGTAACCTCAAACTCCAGGGCTCAAGAGATCCTCCTGCCTCAGCCAACATGTCTGGCTGATGTTTGAAATTCTTTGTGGAGACAAGATCCCATTATGTTGCCCAGGCTGGTCTCAAACTCCTGGGGTAAAGGGATACTCCCACCTCAGCCCCTCAAAGTACTGGCATTATTGGCATGAGCCACCACATCTGGCCAGCACGTTTTTTAATCATTGTATTTTTCATCATTGTGTATCCTGTGGATATCAGGTGATGTTTATTTTGGATTCTGAACACCACATATACAGCTTGCCAAAAAATTAGAATTCATCCCTTCTATTCCTATCCAATTTTCTTATAGCACAAAACTCCCAGCCCCAGGTTCTAAGCTATGGCTCTTCAGCGAGACTCACCTCTAGCAGAGAGAACTACCTCTGACCCATTGGCCTTGTCTGACCAGTTCTATCTGAGCAGCATAGTACAAAGCTGTGCCAGTTTATAGTAGTGTCATGGGATTCTTGGGATGTCACTTTTCCAGCTGGAAACCTCTGTGGCCAGTGGTGCCTTTGCCCAAGTGTTGCTCGGGCTCACTGTGTTTGTTCCACCCACTTGGCCTGGCAGGCTGTGCTCTGCTTGTGCTACTGGCCTGGATTCCATGCCTGCCATGGGTGAACCAGATGTGCAGCAGCAAGGGGTGTGTGAGCATGGGGTCTGGCCACACTGTGCACAGCCAGGCATGCCGGCTGCAGCAGACAGGGAGCTCCAGGCACCGGCTCCATGTGAGGTTGTGGCTGGACCAGACATACTGCAAGCAGCTTCCACTGCAGGCACCAGGGAATGCGGTGGCACCTGGGAGCTTGGAGACACCAGGAACCACAGAGCCCCAAAGAGGGTGTCATAGCCCTGGCTCTGGGAGCCCCTGGGTCTGGGCTTCTCAAAGAGCCACAGCTCTTCTCTTCTTCTAGTCGCCCACATAGTGGCAAGCAGTGGAGTGACAGGGCCGGGCGGGGGGGGGCGGCAGGCGTGTTTCAGCCCTGTTTGTGTTACAGCTCTTTCAGTTCCACCATTCCTTGGGTCCTGAGTTCTTGTCCATATCCAGGAAGAATGAGGTACACAGACAACTGGAGGGCAGGGCAGAGAGGAGCTTCATTGAGCGACACAGCAGCCCTCAGGAGACTGGCAGTGAGTAGCTCCTTTCCACATGCAGGTCGATTCAATGTCTCTGTGAGTGGCTGAGTCCAAGGTTTTCATGGGCTTCAGAAGGGAGGAAGTGCATGCTGATTGGGCCATGGATGGCCCAGAATAAGCATCATGAGTTCTCATTCTGGGCGATGGACTCCACCCAGAAGTGACAGTCCGGCACCCAGGCTTCAGGCTGTCCCTGGCTTAAAGGTGGTACTTCACTGGACCTGCACCTTTCCACCCAGGAGCCTGCCTTCTGCCACCATCAATAATGTCATCCACGGGACCCAAGCTGTTCCTGCTGAGGGGCACTTGCAGACCCCTGCCAAGTCACCCTTGGCTCCCCCTCAGCCCCTCTCCCATGCTTGTCAGTGTACAAAGTTTAGAGGGGGCCAAGGTGGCAGGGGGCTGGTGTGTCAGCACCGCCAGGAGGGTGTGCACACATGGCCAGGTCACAACAGTGCTGGGCTTGGCCTCAACTTTGCTCTAAAAACAGAGTGGGAAGAGGCTAGGCAGTGGGAGCATGCACTTCTGAGTCTGCGGGGGCAGTGAGGCTTCGTAGGCCCCTAAGAGCATAGGGATGCCTGGATCCACAGCTGTGGCTGTGCTGCTGTAGCTGCACCCAGGAGGGTGGGGACCCGCCAACTTGAAAGGGGGCGGGGCTCCTGCCTGTTCCTGGCTCTCCCTGGTTCTGTGGAGCATGCAGCCCTCACCACACCTCCCCAGCCGCAGCTGGCGTCTTTGCAGTGACCACTCCAGATGGGCTGCCACTGCCAGGAGTAGGTTCCCACTCCTGGCAAAAACTGGAACACATTGTGCTCAGGATATTCCTGCCCCTGCTCACAGTACTCAGTGGGAAAGACACATCTGGCTTTTCCTGGGTCTGATTGAAGCCCGTCTTAACACCTGCAGAACAGAGGCCATGGTATCACCTGGCATGCTCCTCCTTATGCCACTGAAATTCCAGAATCCTTGGAGCTGGTGTGTATGGGACTATGTGGCTTTCACACATCCCACCCTGTATAGCCAAATCTTCAGGGCCTGGCATCAAGTTTAGGAGTCAGCCTGCTCCAGGGCTTTCCTTAGTGCCGGGCCTACTAGATCCTGGGTAGAGAGGACATATGGAAGACACCAGGCAGGAACTTTGGAAGCCAGGTCTGGCAGAACCAGGGCTCTGCAAATACGAAGCAAGGGACATCAGGGCCTTAGTTTGGGTTCCATATGAAATGGCAGCCAGAGTGTGTGCAACATGTAGCAGTAAATGATCAGCTGAAGTGGGAGTTAGAAAACAGACCGTTTCACTCACCCATTACCTCCAGGCTTGTGTTCATTTTAGGTTAAAGCCCAGTTACATAGGAAATGGTACCGCACTGATCTTATTTGACTTCTCCTATTCCCTGGTCACCAGGGCCTTCCTCTGCTTCACTTTCTACTTAAATATTTGAGAGCACCAAATTACCAGAGGGTAGTCAGTGAGAGGTGGGCTTTCCCAGGTAGGTTATTCCAGTCCCAGTTCTCTGTCTCATGAGAGGGGACAGTTGCTTGTCTCTAAGGTCAGTAAGGGCACAATTTTGGCAAACATTTGCCTATTTGCCCTGTGGTGTTCTGCTCAGATCTCCCTTCAAGAGAACACAGAGTGAACATTCTATTTGGCCGACAGCTTCCACTCTTTAGAATGTTCTGCAGTGATCACAGCAGCATCCCTCTCTACAGGCTGCTCTGAGACAATGACAGGTGGACAGTGCTAGAGCCCAGCCAAGTCGGCCAGACATGGGACTCCTCAGTCATGTAATCTTCATTCTGGGGCTCTGTATCAACTTGGCCAAGATTTTCTGAGTAGCACTGTAATTTTTCTCTTTCTCCCTTTCATACATGTGTGACTGTCATCGTGATCTATAGGTTCTCCCAATCTATACCTGAATTGATATGTACTGACTAATCAGAGCTTGTTTAGGTGTCAGAAATGCCGCAAAAGCAGTATCTACCTCTTGCTCCCACATTCCCAGCTTAATCCAAGAGACCCAGAATAAGGAGAAATCAGACGGCTGTGATTCAAATATGTAAGAAATAGCTTTTTACTCCTCTTCTCATTTAAAAATTTCCAAAGGGTAAATAAACGGAAAAGGACAAAAATACCTCTTGTGCCTAATAAATAGTAAATTTTCTTTTTTTTTTTTCTTTTTTTGAGACGGAGTCTCGCTCTGTCACCCAGGCTGGAGTGCAGTGGTGCGATCTCAGCTCACTGCAACCTCTGCCTCTTGGGTTCACGCCATTCTCCTGCCTCAGTCTCCTGAGTAGCTGGGCTACAGGTGCCCGCCACCATGCCTGGCTATTTTTTATATTTTTAGTAGAGATGGGGTTTCACCGTGTTAGCCAGTGTCTCGATCTCCTGACCTTGTCATTCTCCCATCTCGGCCTCCCAAAGTGCTGGGATTACAGGTGTGAGCCACCATGCCCGGCCAATACATAGTAAATTTTCTATACTGATAAACACTGCTAGAAGAAACTGGAGCTGGAAATTTCAAAGAGGGATGGAAAGTCAGGGTCCAGTTCTGGACATTTCTTAGAAAGGCAGCCACGGCCGGATGCGGTGGCTCATGCCTGTAATCACGCCACCGGCTCATGCGGTGGCTCAAGCACTTTGGGAGGCTGAGGTGGGAGGATCATTTGAGGTCAGGAGTTCCAGACCAGCCTGGTCAACATGATGAACCCCCATCTTTACTAAAAATACAAAAATTAGCCAGGTGTGGTGGTGCATGCTTGTAATCCCAGCTACTCAGGAGGCTGAGGCAGGAGAATTGTTTGAACCCAGGAGCCAGAGGTTGCAGTGAACTGATACTGCGCCACTGCACTCCAGCCCGGGTGACAGAGTGAGATTCCATCACAAAAAAGAAAAAAAAAAAAAAAAAAGGCAGCTGCTAGGCCGAGCACGGTGGCTCACGCTTGTAATCCCAGCACTTTGGGAGGCCAAGGCAGGCGGATCACCTTCGGTCAGGAGTTCAAGACCAGCCTGGCCAACGTGGTGAAATCCTGTCTCTACTAAAAATACAAAAAATTTGCGGGGCGTGGTGGCTCGTACCTGTAATTTCAGCTACTTGGGAAGCCGAGGCAAGAGAATCACTTGAACCTGGCAGGCAGAGGCTGCAGCGAGCCGAGATCATGCTGCCACACTCCAGCCTGGGTGACAGAGCGAGACTTCGTCTCCAAAAAAAAAAAAAAAAAAAAAGGCAGATACTGGGGACAGCAGGACACAGCAAAGGAGCAGCACAGCCCGGATCATGGAGGGAAAACAGAGCAGCCCTGCTGGAAGGAAGCAGTGCTCAGGTTGCGAAGTGAAGAAAAGCTCAGGATGAAGAGACACCAAGACTGGCCAGAGCTAGAAAGTGTCTAGCCCTTGGAAACTTCAATTACCATGGAAATAGCTTCACTCCCACTTTTAGAGGCTATGGGAGATCCTCATCTTTTCAGGAAAAAATAAAAATGAAAAGTCAAAGCAACAGGGCAATCCAAATCCATCCTTTACTTAGAAGCCTTCCTGAGCTGAATGGCTATTTTCTCAATCTCACCTTTGCCCTACCTCGGCTGGAAGCACAGGAAGCAAGAAAGCTGACGTTTCCAAGAATGGGTAAGAACATAATATTTGCAGTATTTATCCATCCTTTTCATGCCTAGATTTTGTCCTTTTCTATGCCCCATGCCAACAAGCTGGCTTCTCTTCCTTTATGGCTCCTCCTTCTTCCTGCCGCATACTCTTGTCACCCTAAGAATTTACCCTAGACAAAAGGATCTAGAGGCAAAAATGCTTTTCTGTGTCTTCTGTAGGGAAAGCGGAAGAAAAGGGAAGGTTGTTGGTCTTTTTTTTTTTTCTTTTTTTTTGAGACAGAGTCTTGCTCTGTCGCCCAGGCATATGCACTGGCGTGACCTTAGCTCACTGCAACCTCTGCCTCCTGGGTTCAGGCAATTCTCCTGCCTCAGCCACCCGAGTGGCTGGGATTACAGGCGCATGCCACCATGGCCGGCTAATTTTTGTATTTTTAGTGGAGATGGGATTTCGCCATATTGTCCAGGCCGGTCTCAAACTCCTGACCTCAGGTGATCCGCCCGCCTCAGCCTCCCAAAGTGCTAGGACAACAGGTTTGAGCCACTGTGCCGGTCTGTTGGTCTCTTTTTACCCTAAAATTGTTAAGTTCTTCTTTCAAGAGCACAGCAGGGGAAGGGCTGGGGAACTTAGACATATCGCCAAGTCAGACTGAGATGAGAACTTCTAATCTTACATGTTTAATACCAAACACAAAGCAAACACATTCATCATCTAGAGTACTATATTCCAACCCTATCTCAAATGCAGGAATGGGCCTCTATCTGGTATCTAGAGGATGATCATAGGAAACAAAATGAGGACAGAGGCATCTGGTATCTTCTAAAAGTGGTACAAAACTCCCGCCTGTCATGTCATAAAGCTCCCCATCTGGTGCTGCGACCCACCTCCAAGAGAAAGCCAAAGGAACAGACCAATAAAAGGGGTCCGGGGTGCTTTCTCTATTTCACTCACTCCTCTTATTTGCTAAGGAGCTCCAATAACCAAAAGAAATGGTTCCTAGAAGAAGAGAACTAAATCTCCAGAGAGCTGCTGGGGCATACCGATAAAAACTGGGAGAAACAAAGACTGACAGCAGAGAAGTCCAATACTGCTGCTGAAGTTTCTCAGCCTAAATCCGTGAAAGAGCCTGGGATTCTACTGCTCTGTCCAGTAAGAGGAGCTTCTGGGTCCTGTATGACCCTTCCAACTCTGACTTGAATGCACCATCTAAAAACGTGTCTATCTCTACCCCTAGGCTTCTTAGCTCTTCAGTCATCCTCATCATCCTCAATCTGGTATCGTTTCTTCTTTTGGATTCCTGGAGCTCCCAACTCTGGTGCTGTGGGAACGATGGGGGTGAGAGAGAGAGAGAATATCTAAATATGTTAAGGGGTAAGGACGTGGTAGAGTTTGTCTTCAGGATTAGAGAAGAAAAAGAAGGTCCCATCAAATTCCCTACCTCTGTTCCTGCCCTCATCTTCTTCCTGTTCCTCGTCGCTGTCCAGCAATTGTCGTTTCTTGGGTGCTGCCTTCAGCGGCTCTTTACCAACAGCGTCTTCCTCTGCAATGACCATAAATGACACAAAATTAGGAACTCGGTCCTCATATTCTCAGAACACCTTTCCTGCCCTCTAGACCAACATGGCTGACACGTTAATACTCAGAAGATGGCTGTCGCACTATTACCCTCTGGGGATGCCAGGCCCGCTTTCTTCTTGTGGGCTAGCAAGAGGGCCCTCAGGGCTTGTGCTCGGTGCTCTTTACAGTGCTCCTCATCAGAGCCTTGCTCTCCAGGGACTTTAGGCTGCAGCTCTGGCTGCAGCTTCTGTTCCTCCTCTGGTTGACTCAAAGAAGCTGCTGCCCTCCGGAGCTGGGTAGGACTCAGCTTGGCTGGAATTCGCCAGAAGGTTTCCTACAGGGGCCAAAAAGTTGAAAAGGGAAAGGACCAGCTTTTTGTTTCCCAGAGTATGATATTCATTGAATATATATGACCCAATATTGGTGAAGATCCACAAGGGTTGTGAACTCTATTTATTATAATACTTACTATCTAATATATACCCAGTGCCTAGCACAGTGCCTGCTACATTAGGAGGTTCCCAGTTATAGGTTTTTTTGGTTGTTCTTTTTTTTTTTTTTTTTTTAAATGAGAAGGGGTCTGCCTCTGTCACTCAGGCTGAAGTGCAGTGGCACAATCATGGTCCACTGTAGTCTCGATCTCTTGGGATCAAGCTATCCTCCTGCCTCAGCCTCTCAAGTAGCCAGGACCACAGGGGTGCATGCCACCATGATGCCCAACTACTTAAAATTTTTTGTAGAGACAGGGTCTTGCTGTGTTGCCCAGGCCAGTCTCAAACGATCCTCCCACCTCAGCCTCCCAAAGTGCTGGGATTACAGGCATGAGCCACTACACCTGGCTATAGTTGTCAATTGAATAAATAAATAAATAAATAAATCCTGGGGATGTAAAGGTGAATCAGGTATGATCCTTGCTATCAAATAACTCACAATCCAATGGGAAAAAGAACAAATGTACTGTAGTATCACAGGATTTTTTTTTTTTTCTTTTTGAGGCAGAGTCTCACTCTGTTGCCCAGGCTAGAGTGCCGTGGCAAAGCAATAAAGGCTCACCCTCCTGGGTTCAAGCAATTCTCCTGCCTCAGCCTCCCAAGTAGGTGGGACTACAGGTGCCTACCACCACACCGGGCTAATTTTTGTATTTTTAGTAGAGACAGGGTTTTGCCATGTTGGCCAGGCTGGTCTTGAACTCCTGACCTCAGGTGATCCGCCTGCCTCAGCCTCCCAAAGTGCTGGGGTTACAGGCGTGAGCCACCATACCCAGCAGATTCCACAGGATTAAGGCTGCATCAGGGGCATGAACAAATCACAGCTGCAAAAGTGATTATTTTTACTTCAGGGGTTGAAAGAATGACAAGGACTGCTTCTCTGACAAGGTGACAATTGAGCAGACTCTTGAAGACTGGGTAGAGGTCCATCAGTAAGACAGATGGAGTGTGTGTGTGTGTGTGTGTGTGTGTGTCACCCTGTGTGCACGGTTGCAGCCTTCCAATAGAGGGACTGGCATGATTAACCATTTGGAGGCATGAAAAAGCCTACCAGGGTGACTATGATGTAAAGTCGGTGTGTGAGTGGTGTGGCTGTGAGGCTGCAAAGGTTGGCCAAGGATGGGGATGCCATTTGGAGTTTGTGGATTCTGTCCTGCAAGCAGTAAGGAACCATCAATGGCTCTGGACAGAGGACTTGACCCTCCATATCCACAAGTTCTGAGTCTGTGGATTCAAACCACTGTAGATCGACAATATTAAAAAAAAATAACAATACAACATTAAACAATAATACACAGCCTGGGCAACATGGCATAACCCCATCTCTACAAAAAATACAAAAAATTAGCTGGGAGTGGTAATATAGGCCTGTAGTCCCAGCTACTCAGGAGGCTGAGGTGGGAGGATCACCTGAGTCTGGGAGGTTGAGGCGACAGTGAGCTGAGACTGAGCCACTGCACTCCAGCCTGGGTGATGGAGTGAGACTCTGTCTCAAAAAAAAAAAAAAAAAAAAAAAATATATATATATATATATATGTGTGTGTGTGTGTGTGTGTGTATATATATATATATAAATAAAATGTATATATATATATTTACAATACAGTATAACAATTATTTACCTAACATTTACATTGTATAGGTATTATATGTAATCTAGAAATGACGAAGTATACAGGTTGTACCTAGGTTATTTACAAATACTACAAAAAGGGACTTCAGCATCTATAGATTTTGGTATCTGTGGGCAGGGGGGTCCTGGAACCAATCCCCTCTCAGACACTAAGGGACAACTGTAATCAAGACTATATTTTAAAAAGATAAATCTGGAGGCAGTCTGGAAGATGGATCTAGGGGAAGGGGAGATTAGAGAGAGGAAAAGAAGACTAGCAGAATGGCTGCTGCAGGAATCTTGGTCAGAGATGACAAGACAATGAGAAGGACCAAGATGACGATAAGGATAAGGAGGACCACCATGACAGTGAGGAGGAGGAGGAGATGTATTTGGAAATAGGACTAACACGCCTTGGTTGACACTGTAACTGACATATTTACCTGCCCAGAGGCAGGGGGCCGAACCCCTAGCTTGCGCAACAGCTGCTGAAACTGTTCGTTTTCCATGGCTTCCTCATTTTCCTCTGTGAGTGGCACCAATGGAACGGCCTGGGAGCAGCCTAAGACAGGGTCAATAGTCATATGGTGAAGATATAAGGGAAGAACTGGTTCTCCATCCCATGACCAGGTAGGTCTCCAATAGCCTCCAGGGCTCTTCTCCTAAAAGTGTCACCTGTCCACTCACCATCCTCTTCCCGATCATCAGCTGCTCGGATCAGGCAGTTCTGGAGCCATAGGAGCGGGATAGAAAAGCCTAAGGAAATGAGGGAAACTTACATTTGACCCTACTCCCAAGCCCTCCACCTGAGACATCTCTCCCAGCCAAAGTCCTCACCTTCCTGATGCAGGCTTTGACCAAGGTTTTCATTTGAAAGGACTAAGCTACCCTGGACTTGTTCTGCTTCTGAGCCCCCTTCTTCTTCCTCTTCGCTGTCTTCCTCAGGCAGGTTTTCCTCTTCTTCCAGATCTTCCTGGCAAAAATCTTTCAGGGACTCCGCTCCATTTGGCTAAAATTCATTGGGGGTTGGGGGAATGAAAATGAAGGCAACACAAGGAACTTAGTGGAGTCTCCTCGTTCCTGACCACCGCACCCCCCCGCGCCTGCTCTCTCGGAAGGACCTGGTCAGAACAGCCTCAGGCAGGAAGAATCCAGGTGGACTGCTCCTAAGGACCACTTCAAGGGAAGTGAGCCCATGCCAGCAGAGCTAGGGTCAGATTGTTACCAAGATGGAGGATGCCAACTTTTTCTGCCGTTTCTTGTACAGCTCCCGCCGCTCAGCCACCAGCCCCAGAGCCAAGAGTTTATCCACTATTCGGGCCCGTGAGCGTTTGGCTGTGATATTCTTCATGATATGACCCAGGACATCTATAAAAAGCAAGCATGTGAATACCCAAGGGTAACAGGGAAAGAGATGAGTAAAATAAATCAGAGGTCTCTGGAAAGAGGGTACCTCAATTCATCCAAAAATGACACTTACAAATATAGTAAGTGAACAGAAGGGATGGGAGAATCTTTCCTTGGGAATAAAAGGCAGCCCCAAAATAAATGGATAGCTTGGCTTTCATCTCAAAGGTCCCCTGAGTTTCCAGCTTACTCACCATCTGAGTCCCGGAATTCCTCAAAAAGCCGCTGCAGCTCCAACTCCTGATCCCCCGTCCACAGTACAATATGGGTTCCTTTCCTGATTAGGAAGGTGTCAGTGGAAGAGGAAGCCCAGGAAGTGATCACGAGTCCCCATCCCAATAGCCTCCAGAGCATGTGCCTCTCTACCTTTGGAAGTCCTTGACACTGTCAGCCAGTCCCATCTGTACCAGATGGTGGATGATCTGCTTGCGTGTTCGAGGAACAGTATTCAGGTGGGCCAAGATGGCTTCCACCACATCCTGCCCTGGCGTGGGGAAGGACTAAGGCAGTAAAGAAGGTCCCACAGCTCAAGCTGCCCTCCTCATAAACTCTCCAGATCCCAAGGCCTCTCACCTTCCACGTCCTTATTGGCGAGGTACAGCTCCCGAAGATGAGCCTCTTCTTCGGGGCTCCATGTAGGTGCTCTGCGACTGGAAGACCTGAATGGTGAAAGGAGAAAGGGAGCATATAGGTTCTTGGCCCAAAAAGAGGAGACCAAAGGCCTTCTCTGATCAGTTCTGAAAAGAACAGGAAGGACAAGGCAGGTAACTGAAAGAGGCCAGCCAGCAGAGGCCTACAGTGTGCCTCCTTCCCCTCACTTTCCTTCCACGTAAGAACCTAAAAGTCAAACTAAGAGATTTTCCAGGTTGGGCCAATGGAACCCTGACCATTCTGACTCTAGGGACTGAGAATATTATGGGAAAAAGAGACTAAGTGTGAAAGGAGAGGGGCTGAGATACTAAGGGAAAGAGGACAAACATTTCTACAAATCCTCATGGTTTCCCAGCACATTTTGGGAGAGGTCGCACACAGACTCCCTCTGGGCAACCACCCAGCTCCCAACAGTGACTACCTCTATGGAGGCTGGTGATGGAGAAGGAAACTAGATACACACTAGACTTAGGCTCCAGTCCCTGCTCCTCTCTTGGATAACTTTAGGTAAAGCATTTCACCTCCTGAGCCTGTTCTCTCACCCATAATAGGGAAAGAAACAGTGGGCTAAATGACATGCAAGCTCTTAACAGCTTTGACATTCTGTGACTCTGCATCAAACTTCCCCTACCCCCACCCACCCTTTGCCAACTTCAAGCTCACCTGTCATCCAGGGAGCCATAGCCCTCAGTCATCTCTCGAACCACAGCTGTGTTCTTCCAGAACAACAGCTCCACAAAGGCTTTTTGGTTGACTGCAGCCAGTGCAAAAAATTTGCCCAGGATGTATTTGGCAAAAGTCACTAGCTCCTGTAGGAGAAGGAGGTTACTATGAGGCCTCTCTGGTCCAATGCAGACCCGAACCTGGCCCTCTAGGTATTTTCTCTATAGCTGTTCCCAGCTGCCCCCTCCTCACTCACTCTCTTCTGTCCTTCTCCATGCAGCTCCCTCAACCTGCCTGTCTACTTTCTCATTGTTTTCCCATCTCCCAGCCCTTGACACCTCTCAGCACCTTCTATCTCCTGAAGATTATTTATTTACCTGAGGGTTCCCATACCCTTCCAGAACCCCATTCCTTGTTATCCCCTCACTTTGTAGGCTCCAGCAGCAGGGTCACTAAGCAGACGATTGAAGAGGCAGAAGACTGACAGCTGAAAAAGTAGGGCTTCCATTTTGAGGTCATGGGCCAGCCGGTGCAGCATCTTCACAATGCAATGGTTAGTGTGGGCACTATTCTGCTGGTAGCTCCTTAGTAGCAGCACATAGGCTCGAACGACAGTTGAACATGCAAAGCTGCACCAAAACAAGGAGGGAGAGGATGTCAGCATAAGGAAGACATAGCTCATCCTCACAGCCGCACAATCGCCACTCTAGGACCAACTCAGGCCTCTCAGCCCGCACCGTTTCAGGTAGTCCAGAAAATTAAATTCTTTCTCCGACACCTGGACCACTTGCAACTCCTCCTCTTCCTCCTCCTCCTCCTCTTCTTCTTCCTCTGCCCCACGTTCCTCTGGGCCCTGCTGCCCTATAGACAGAGGGAGGATTACTGAGTCTCTGTTATGTTGGTGCTAGAAAAGAGCTGGAAGGAGACAGATGTGAAGGGTGGAGACTCACGGGGAAGTGGAGCAGAGAGGATTTGTTTCAGCAACTGGATCTCTTCCTCTGGAGAAATGTCTTGAGAGCCAAACACATCTCCTTCAGGCCACACCTCCCTGGAGCACAGATAGAAAAAAGGCTTTACCCAGGGGAAATCTGGCTTTAAATTTATAATTCGAAGTAGAAGAAGGAATTTAGACTTATTTCTTTTGTTGGCCAGAAACAGAATGCAAACTGTTACCTCAAATGAAACAAAGACTCCAGGGAAAATTTTCCTCATAAGCCACAATTCAATAAAAACCAGCTAAGAACAAAATGCAAACAATCTAAATGTTTGACACCTGGTTGAACAAATGTACATATTCACACAATGGTGTTTTAAAGCCATTAACAATTACAGAAATATATCTGATGAGAAATCATGCTCATAATATACTGAGAAGTGAAAAATTACTATAAATCAGCATGTACAGTATTTCATTTTTGTAAAACAAGGTATATACGATATTTTTACATGTAACGGAGCAAAAAAACCTCTGGATGGTTACTCATCAAAATGTTAATGATGCATATCTTTGGCTACTAGAATTAAAGTTAAGTCCGCCCTTAATGTCTTCAATAGGTTCTTGGATACTGCCACTTTAAGTGAAACAATGTATAACAAAACCAGTTTTTTTTCTCTTAACGTTATAAGAAACATGCCGTAGGTCATTTTACTCAAAGCTGCAATTACCAAGGACTTATTGATGATGTCAAGTGAGGATTTGCTTTCTTTATTTTTTTCTCAATTAACTATGCTTTTTTAATGTTTTTCAGAAACAAAAAAACCCAACAAACCAATCAAAACGCCCCAGGAGTCAGTTGGTATACAGTCCCAGAGCCTTGATGAGACAACTCTCTTTTGAAGACTGAGAACACTGTACCGCAGTGATGGCCTCCTCCTTCCCCCAAAGCCCAAGAGGATGAGCAGGCAGGGTTCTTACCGAGCAGACCTCAGGAGAGTCAGGGCCTGTGGGGCCTGGCCAGCCAGGAGACAGTCTTGGATCCGTACCATAGCTTCTGCCCGCTGCTCCTCCACTGGCACCTCTGAGGCCGCATCAAAGGGAACCACGGAGTCCATGCTGAGCTCAGAATTCTAGAGATGGATAAAGCTATGGGAGCGGAGGGAGTGGAAAACCCAGATTGTATACCCTGAGCACTATTCTCAAAAAAGACAGGGTTTCTGTAACCACCTACCTGGGCACAGCACTGTAGCTGCTCAGCCAGGGCTGGCCACACAGCCTCCACTTCTTCTGGGCTAGATGGGACATTACCAGAAACAATGGCCTGGTCTAGGACCTTCTTCTTCTTCTTCCTTCTCTTCTTTTGTTTGTTCTGTGGGGAAAGAATTGTATTAGGATGTCAAGAGAGCTAAAGAGGGCTTTCCCCATCAGTGTCTTTTCTATTACAAAACTAATTAACTGGACATTCACAGAGTGCCCATTATCTGCTATCCATCGGTAATAGAAAGCAATAGTGAACAGCATATTTCCTTCCCTTTGAGGAGCTTTTACTCTAGTGGTGGAGACAGGAAGTAGAAAGGTAATTACACTAGAGTGTGGATAAAAGCTATAATGTGAGTGAGCATAAGATGTCATGGCAAAACTCCTGACCCATTTCCTGAGTTCAGAGGTTTGCCAAAAGCAGTGCTATCTCAAGAGGTCTACAGAATAAGCAGATGCTATGAGGATCAAATAAGACACATGGAAAAGCTTCATAAAATGCAAAGCACTATGTAAATAAAGCCTCTAATTTTTTCTCCTGAAAAGTAGGACAGCCAGGCGCAGTGGCTCACACCTGTAGTCCCAACACTTTGGGAAGCCTAGGCAGGTGGATCGCTTGAGGTCAGGAGTTCAAGACCAGCCTGGGCAACACAGCGAGACCCTGTGTCTACAAAAAATACAAAAATTAGCCAGGCATGGTGGTGTGTACCTGTAGTCCCAGCTACTTGGGAGGCCGAGGCAGAAGAATCGCTTGGGCACGGGAAGGAGAGGTTGCAGTGAGCTGAGATTCAGCCACTGCACTCCAGCTTAGGTAACAGAGCGAGACCCTGCTTAAAAAAATAAATAAATAAATAAATAATTAAAAAAAAGAAAAGCAGGAGAGTGAGTCAATACCCAAATCCTGCTTCTCCCAAGTCAGGGCTGTGAACCAGTCTTTGGTGTGGGTACTGAAAAGTCAAACAGGATGAACTGAGAGGCCCCTGAAGGTCATGCTCCATTAAAGAACTTACAATCAAACACACCAAAACTTAGGAGCATGGAGTCCAGCAGATCTGGATTTGAGTATTGAATTAGTATTACTAACAAGACTTTGGACAAGTTGCTTAACCACTTTGGGCACATGCGCTACTGTGAGGATTACATGAAAACGTCAGCACAGTGTCTGACACACAGTAAATGCTCAATAAATGATAGTACCTAGTATTACAGATAATACCACAGAGCTCTGAGTGCAAAAATACCCTTTAGCAAAGTCTCGTTGGTACTACTGCATCTTTCAAGTCCAGTTATGACAGAATTTTAAGCTGTAGCAACTAGAGTTATAGGAAGGTTCTGGTACAAAATCTTTTTTTTTTTTTTTTTTAAGACAGAATTTCACTCTTGTTGCCCAGGCTGGAGTGCAATGGCGTGATCTCGGCTCACTGCAACCTCTGCCACCTGGGTTCAAGCGATTCTCCTGCCTCAGCCTCCCAAGTACCTGGGATTACAGGTGTGTGCCACCACGCCAGGCTAATTTTTGTTTGTTTGTTTGTTTTTTGAGACGGAGTCTTGCTCTGTTGCCCAGGCTGGAGTGCAATGGCATGATCTTGGCTCACTGCAACCTCCGCCTCCCGGGTTCAAGTGATTCTCCCACTTCAGCCTCCCAAGAAGCTGGGATTACAGGTGCGCATGACCATGCCTGGCTAATTTTTGTATTTTTAGTAGAGACAGGGTTTCACCATGTTGGCCAGGCTGGTCGTGAACTCCTGACCTCAAGTGATCTGCCCGCCTCAGCCTCCCAAAGTGCTGGGATTACAGGCATGAGCCACCGCGCCTGGCCCAAAATCTGTTTATACAAAGCAAAGTCTCTGTGTTTCCAGGATACAAATTCCTTGGAGTTTGCATTTTGTCCCAGGGTTTTTTTTATTTTAATGTGAACCAATAATTTTATTTTTCAGAGATAGGGTCTTGGTCTCACCCAGACTGGAGTGCAATGTCTCAATCACAGCTCACTGCATCCTCAAACTCCTAAGTTCCAGTGATCCTCGTGCTTCAGCCTCCTGAGCAGCTGGGACTACAGGTATGTGCCACCATGCTGGTGAATTGTTTTTGTTTTTTGTTGAGACAGAGTCTTGCTCTGTGGCCCAGACTGGAGTGCAGTGGCATGATCTTGGCCTACTGCAACCTCTGCCTCATGGGTTCAAGCAATTCTCGTGCCTCAGCTTCCCAAATAGCTGGGACTACAGGTGCGTGCCATCACACCCAGCTAATTTTTGTATTTTTAGTAGAGAAGGAGTTTTGTCATGTTGCCCAGGCTGGTCTCAAACTCCTGGCCTCAAATGATCCACCCACTGTGGCCTCCCAAAGTGCTGGGATTACAGGCATGAGCCACTGTGCCCAGCCTGTCCTAGGCTTTTCACTGATTCCACTTTGGGTTCATGGACAACTGTCACAATCCCAACTTTATGGATCTGGAGACCGACACGACCAGCTTGAGCTTATTCCAATAATAACCAATACAGGACTAGATTCCAGACTTTCTAAAGTTCAATTTAAGGCTCTCTTTGTGTTGCTGTTGAGACAGAGTCTCACTGTGTCACCCAGTCTGGAGTGCAGTGACATGATCTTGGCTCACTGCAATCTCCACCTCCTGGATTCAAGCGATTCTGTCTCAGCCTTCTGAGTAGCTGGGATTACAGGTGTGCATCAACACGCCTGGCTAATTTTTGTATTTTTAGTAGAGACGGGGTTTCACCATGTTGGCCAGGCTGGTCTTGAACCCCTGACCTCAAGTAATCTGCCCACCTTGGCCTCCTCAAGCGCGGGGATTACAGGTGTGCGCCACCATGCCTGGCCGCAATTTAAGGCTCTTTCCACCTCACCACAATGCTTTCAAGGTATAACCAGAAAATGCTATAGCATAATTATTAGACTCTAAAATTATGAATCCCCAGGGTTTTTGTACTTGGCATGTGGTAGGTGTTCAATAAATGTTTCCTGACTGAACTAAAATATTTATGGCAGATCAGAGATTATTCTAATGGGAGAAGGAAACTGTAGTAGACTCACACTGGCCAACACCCACAAACCTCTTGCTGTCGTAGTTCAGAGCACGTTTAACAGATGAACTTAAGCTGTACAAACTGTGAGAAGAAAGAGCCCCCCTTCCTTGACTCTCCCTTACAGCTCTTTCTACATTGTGGGGCTGCCCAGTACCTGCACCACCAGGTTCCCACGGCTCCGACAGAATCGCTCCAACATTTTGAGGAAGAGGTGGGTGGTCTCCACCAGGTCACGAAGGAAAGAGCGGGGCTGGCATCTCTCATCAAACTTTCGAAAAAGTGCCAGGAATAGTTCTCGGTACTCCATCACATAGAAAATATTGTCTAGGAATGGGGAAGAGAAAGGGATGGAAGGGCTATTCTGGAAAGCTTGAAAAGGAGAGATGGATGAAGCTGGGACTGGGAAGAATGAGATTCTCATCACGAGATGGGACAGGCTGGGATCGGGGACCAGGCCAGGGCCTCACTCTTGATGATGCGGCTGCTCTCCCTCACAGCCTCATCTGGAGATATGTCCATCTCATTCACTGTTGCCAGCAGCTCCTGATAGGCCTTCAGAGCCAAGTGCATCCTGAGAGTTGACGGGAAACGGTGAAATGGAGGACAGCTTAGGGCAATGGCCCATGGAAACAGCAACTTCCCACAGCGAAAAAAAAAAATGTGCCACCCAAACTAAATTTCCCAGCCAGTCCTTGCTCCCCAGACTGATCACCTGAACCCTGAATCAGGAAAAAAGCACCAGCCAGAATTCAAGCATTCAGATCCCTAGCTCACTGTATCTCCAGTAACCATCCCACTCACCGGCGTGCCCAGGAGGCA
This sequence comes from Homo sapiens, assembly GCF_000001405.40. NCBI lineage: Eukaryota > Metazoa > Chordata > Mammalia > Primates > Hominidae > Homo > Homo sapiens. Next base: position 56,428,901 of record NC_000012.12, read on the forward strand.
GCTTCCTTGCGGTCAGTCAGCATCATCTCATAGTAGTTGGTGAGGTTCTGCTCAATGAAGTGGAAGGTACGGACACTGAGGGTCTCAGAAACCAGGCCTGGCCGGAAGGAGGCAGCTCGGTTGAAGGCCATGAAGAAAGCCAAGGCCCACATATAATAGGTCTCATCATGCTGCTGAGCTTTCTCCCGAAGCAGGTGATCCTGACATTTAAAAAAGAAAAAAAAAGATCACCATGACTCCAGGGCTTCCAACTTCTTCCTTCCTGTCCTATGATGATGGAATGGATGCTGGACACCGTCATAATTTTTTTTTTTTTGAGGCGGAGTCTCACTCTATTGCCCAGGCTGGAGTGCAATGGCATGATCTCGGCTCACCGCAACTTCCACCTCCTGGGTTCAAGCGATTCTCCTGCCTCAGCCTCCTGGGTAGCTGGGATTATAGGTGCCCGCCACCACGCCCAGTTAATTTTTTGTATTTTCAGTAGAGATGGGGTTTCACCATGTTGCAGGCTGGTCTCAAACTCCTGACCTCAGGTGATCCACCTGCCTTGGACTCCCAAAGTGCTGGTATTACAGGCGTGAGCCACTGCGCCTGGTCTTTTTTTTTTTTTTTTTTTTTTTTGACAGTCTTGCACTGTCATGATGAGGCTGGAGTGCACTGGTCTGATCTCGGCTCACTGCAACCTCTGCCTCCCAGGTTCAAGTGATTATCCTGCCTCAGGCTCCTGAGTAACTGGGACTACAAATGCACACCACCATGCCGGCTAATTTTTTTTTTTTTTTGTATTTTTTTTTTTAGTAGAGATACGGTTTCACCATATTGGCCAGGTTGGTCTTGAACTCCTGACCTCAAGTGATCCACTGCCTCAGCCTCTCAAAGCGCTGGGATTACAGGTGTGAGCCACCACGCCGGGACACCGCTATAATACTCTAGGATCCACAATTTCCAACTCTCTCCTGTTCTCCCTTTCCTCTCCCTCTGAGGCAATTTTTCCAGAGCCTCTTTTGTCATGCCAGGAGCCCACTCGTTCCTGGCATTTTCACTATCTCTCAGGGACATCCTAACTGTATATCCTTCCCACCTACGAGTCCACATTCCAGGGGCAGCCTCCCCGAGCTCCTCCCCACTTCTTACCCACCAACAGCTGCATCATCACCTGTCTATTCCATTCCTGATTATCTCCATATCCTTCACAGGTTCTCACCTTTACTGATCCCATGAGCCGGTTGTAACAGTTCTCCAGGAACTCAGAGCAGAAGTCTCTGAGGAAGAGCCTCACATTGAGGGCAGAACGGCGCTGAATGGACAGCTCTCGGGCGGCCTGGCGACGTTTAGGCACCTTTTTCGGCTGCTTTCCCAAATCTGAACTGTAGTTTCGTAGCTGGGTGTGTCGGTTGGGGGATTAGAATTACTCCTAAATACCACTTTCCCCTTGCAGCTCTCGTCAATTTTCTCAGAAGAAACTAATTTTTGTTTTTCTTTTGAGACAAGAACTTGCTCTGTCACCCAGGCTGGAGTGTAATGATGCAATCATAGCACACTGGAGCCTTGAACTCCTGGGCTCAAGGAATCCTCCCACCTCAGCCTCCCGAGTAGTCAGGACCACAGGCGGGTGCCACCATGCTCAGTTAGTATTTTTCACTTGTTGTAGGGACAGGGTTTTGCCATGTTGCCCAGGCTGGTCTCGAACTCCTGGGCTCAAGCAATTCTCCTTCCTTAGCTTCTCAAAGTGTTAAGATTACAGGCATGAGCCATTGTACCCAACCTTTAATTTAATTTTTTTTTTAGAGACAGGGTCTTGCCATGTTGCCCAGTCTGATCTTGAACTTCTGGGCTCAAGCAATCCTCCTGCCTCAGCCTCCCAAAGTGCTGGGACCACAAGTGTGAGCCACCAGGCACAGCCAAGAACTCTTAAGATGATTACCCTGCTTAAGCTATGCAACTCCACTATGTTCCCACTCCAGATGTAAGAATACTCACGTTGTGAAGGCCTTTGTGAAAGATGAGGTCCCTCTCCCCAATGGATTTCAACCCCTGGACAATATAGGAGCCCCCAAATCGAGAATGCCTGCAGAAACAAAAAGGTCCAAGGTGATTTTTCAGTTCTCTGGAAACTTTATCTCCATTCTCTATCATCGGCACATTGGAGCAAGTTAAAACTACAAAATGTTGGTCGGGCACGGTGGCTCACGCCTATAATCCCAGCACTTTGGGAGGCTGAGGCAGGCGGATCACCTGAGGTCGGGAGTTTGAGACCAGCCTGGCCAACATGGTGAAACCCTGTCTCTACTAAAAATACAAAAATTAGCCTGGCATGGTGGCATGCGCCTGTAGTCCCAGCTACTGGGGAGGCTGAGGCAGGAGAATCGCTTGAACCCAGGAGACAGAGGTTGCAGTGAGCAGAGATCGTGCCAGTGCACTCCAGCCTGGGCGACAAGAGCAAAATTCTGTCTCAAAAAAAAAAAAAAAAAACACTAAAATGTTGTTCAATCACCCCACCTTAGAATTTGCCTTCTATGCCCTCAGCATTCCATGATGTAGGAAAAAGAACCTGCCTCTCTGTCACTCACCTGTTGCCTCGCTGGAGGGCTCGAGTCTTCTTTTCTGCCATCTCTCGCTGGCGCAACACCTCCAGTTCTGCAAAATCTGCACTCCGCTCCTGAGCTAAGCGTCCCTGCCCTACTCCCGCCAGCTGCTCGGGGTTCTAGATTGGAACAAAGAGGGAAGAATCAGGAGGACAGTCATTCCTTATCCTGAGTTCACGCCTACTGGGGATGCAAAGAGTGAACAAAATAGAACCCCATTAATGGGGCATTGTGCTGTCGTTCTCCCTTATCTGAGGGGGAAATGTTCTAAGACACCCACTGGATGCCTGAAACTGCAGACAGTACTGAAATATATATATGTATATATTCATATATACATATATATATTTGTATGTGTATACACATATACATAGAACATGTACGTTCTATGTTTTATAGAATGTATATATGTGCTATATATATAGTTATCAGAAAACAGAACATGTATACATATATATATACGCACATACACATATTCTATTATGTTTTTTCAATTTGATAACTAAGATGGCTAGTACATGACTAACAGGCGGGTATACACTGTGGATATGCTGGGCAGAGGGATGATTCACATCTTGTTTAGGACAAACAGGGACAAAAGATTTCATCACACTACTCAGAACAATGTACAAGTTTAAAACTTCTAAAATGTTTATTTCTGAAATTTTCCACTTAATATTTTCAGACCATGGTTGACTGTGAGTAACTGAAATCAAGGAAAGAAAACCATGAATAAGGGGGTACTACTGAACTCAAGACATGGCTACTCCTGCTGTCGCCTGCCTTCCCCAGATAATGCAGCCATTATCACAAGAGCAATTCTGGCTGTACAGCAGAAAAGTACATGGGCGGAGGGGACTCGGGCAATAGGCCAGGGTCTCACCTGGTCACGAAACATAAGGGAGACAATCTCTAGCACATGTAGGCTCCATTGCTCCTCAGCAGACGAGCTGGCCAGAAAGAGGAGCAGGTCATCCAGGCCGCTGAGGTGAATCGCCCAGAGGAGCTGGTCATGGGCACTGGCGTCATCATCAATCTTCTGAGCAGTGAGTGGTGAGGGTAGAAAGGAAGCTCATTCAATCCCACTGCCCTGCCTTGAAGCTCTCCAACTCATTCTTTGACCAAGCCTCCTCTCCCAGACTTGTCAGAGGACAGAATAGCCCAAAAAGGGCAGCTTGGCCGGGCGCGGTGGCTCACGCCTGTAATCCCAGCACTTTGGGAGGCCAAAGTGGGTGGATCACAAGGTCAGGAGATCGAGGCCATCTTAGCTAACATGGTGAAACCCTGTCTCTACTAAAAATACAAAAAAAAAAATTAGCCAGGCATGGTGGCGGGCACCTGTAGTCCCAGCTACTCAGGAGGCAGAGGCTGAGGCAGGAGAATGGCGTGAACCCAGGAGACAGAGCTTGCAGTGAGCTGAGATCGCACCACTGCACTCCAGCCTGGCGACAGAGAGAGACTCCGTCTCAAAAAAAAAAAAAAAAAAAAAGGCAGCTCAACCTAACCATGCACAAGAACACAGAACACCCAAGACCCTCACCTTCTCCTGATCAAGGTCAGCTGGGACATGGAGAATATTTCTGACCAGCAGTAGGATCCGTTCAATCAGCAAGTTGTCTTCCTCCTGCCGTTCCTCCCAGCCCTAACCAGAAGAGAGTAAGAGGAAGAGACTCCCTGTGGAAGGCAGGCAGTATGTACTCTGGCTGGAAGACCCAGGCATAGAAGAGAAGCAGGATTAAAAAGAAAGAGTTCAAACAGTACTGAGGCAGCCAGAGACTATGGATCGGACTACCACATCCCCAAGGACTGGGACCATATCTCAGCATCTCCTCCTCTGCCCGGAGAAGGTGCAAAATGCTGTCCCATGGTATCCTGTAAGGTGAAGACTCACTCACCAGCTGCAGCAGCTCATACAAGGTTTCACTGAGGACTCCAAAAGCCTTCTCACTGGCAAAGGCCTGTGAAATAGGGAACCTGATCTTAAGTAGCAGTCATCCACTTCTTCACCACTGCCCCATATTCCACCCCAGGGACTCCAAAGGAAATCCTCACCTCTTTGTAGGCCTGCAAATAAGTTAGCACCTGCAAAAAATGGTGCCGAAAGCTGGGCTCCTTAGGCAGATTGCCAAAACAGAGCAAGGCTGGTTGTGTCAAGTTCACCATCAGTCTGGGAGACAATGAAGGAGGGAGAAGTTGTTAAGTTTCTTTACCAGCTCAAACGCCAAACCTATCAGCTCAAACACCAAAGCCTGGCAGGTGGCAAAAGTTTAAAAGCTAGGGAGGCAACCTGATAACAGCATCAAAGAGAGGCTTGTCCTGGTGGTGCTGGGTGAGGATGGGCAGAAGGTCGCTCTGTAGGATCTGGGCTGCCCCCAGCTGCTGCCGCACATCTCGTGTCTCATCCTCATGCCTCAAATAGCGGATCAGATCCTTCACGCTCTCTTCAGAGACAGAACAAAACATGCATGTGGAACCTTGGAAGAAGCTCCATCCAGACCCACATCTTTTCACACCCATGGTTTGAGGAATTCAACAGACCTCCTTAATTCAAGCCAATTTTTTTCCTGTTTCATCAAAAAGGTACTCACCTAAGCAATCTGGTTCCTTATGGTAAGTGTCTCCCTCCAAGTACCCAAGGGCACTACATGTGGCTAGAAGTTCACAGTTCATCATGTGCAAGTCCATACATCAGTGGACCAACCAACAGAGAAGGAAGTGGAGAAACAGGAGACAGAAATGATGAGGCCTGGAGAAATAGAGAAAGATAAAAAATGTAAGTTCCTCTCCATGAAAAGAAGATAGGAACAGGACGAGGCCCTAATGCTCAGAATATTCTGAACAAGATCCTCAAATGTTTGACTTTTGTCACAACCAAAAGTTCTGCTCTCAGCCCCAGAGAAAGTTTTAAATAATGGCTTCTACCTGATCAAAACCAAAGAGGCTCCAGCCTATGAATTAAGCACCTACCCTGGCCAGGCGCGGTGGCTCACGTCTGTAATCCCAGCACTTTGGGAGGCCAAGGCAGGCAGATCACCTGAGGTTGGGAGTTCGAGACCAGCCTGACCAACATGGAGAAACCCTGTCCCTACTAAAAATACAAAATTAGCCGGGCGTGGTGGCGCATGCCTATAATCCCAGCTACTCGGAAGGCTGAGGCAGGAGAGTGGCTTGAACCCAGGAGGCAGAGGTTGTGGTGAGCCAAGATCATGCCGCCACACTCTGGCCTGGGCAACAGAGCGAGACTCTGTCTCAAAATAAATAAATAAATAAAATTGTTAGACCCTGGCTGGGCACAGTGGCTCATGCCTATAATCTCAGCATTTTAGGAGGCCAAGACATGATGATCATTTGCCCCAGTGTTCAAGATTAGCCTGGGCAACATTGTGAGACCCCATCTGTACAAAAAGCCAACCGTTGTGGCACACACCTGCACTCCTACCTACTCGGGAGGCCGGCTGAGATGAGAGGACTACTTGCGCCTAGGTGTTTGAGGTTGCAGTGAGCTGTGATTGCACCACTACACTCCAGCCTGGTCTACAGAGTCTCTGGAAAAAATAAATTGCTCAACCCTGTCACCCTCCACTTTCTGTGGCTCTTCCAGGCAGACACAGCTCTGATGTACCACAGGAATTAAAAAAACCGAGCTCTGGCCATACAGTGATTCCACCAAGGATCTAATACATCTCAGGAGCCCTGAGGCTTCTGAGACACTGCGAATGTGTAGAGAAAGGTCCTTCACTCTCCTCTCCAAAGTTACTCTTAAACCTTGGTAATTTCAGTAGAAATCAGCATCTAACAGAACAGGTGAGGAAATGGAGTGAATAGAAACTGGTACATTCCCTATCACTATCTCCCAAAGAATCATCTTCTTTTAAAAAAAAAAAAAAAAGAGAAACAGGGTTTCACTCTGTTGCCCAGGCTGGAGTACAGTGGCATGATCACAGCTCATTGTAACCTCAAATTCCTGGGCTCAAGCAGTCCTCCTGCCTCAGCCTCCTGAGTAGCTATGACTCTGGGCATGTGCCATCATGCCTGGCCTTTTAAAAAATTTTTGTAGGCCAGGTGCGGTGGCATCCCAGCACTTTGGAAGGCCAAGGCAGGCAGATCACCTAAGGTCAGGAGTTCGAGACCAACTTTGCCAACATGGTGAAACCCCATCTTCTACTAAAAATACAAACATTAGCTGGGCGTTGGCCGGGCACGGTGGCTCATGCCTGTAATCCCAGCACTTTGGGAGGCTGAGGCGGGCGGATCATGAGGTCAGGAGATTGACACCATCCTGGCTAACACGGTGAAACCCCCTCTCTACCAAAAATACAAAAAATTAGCCAGGCGCGATGGCGGGCGCCTGTAATCCCAGCTACTCAGGAGGCTGAGGCAGGAGAATGGAGTGAACCCGAGAGGTGGAGCTTGCAGTGAGCAGAGATTGTACCACTGCACTCCAGCCTGGGCGACAGAGCGAGACTCCGTCTTAAAAAAAAAAAAAAAAAAGAAACAGCTTGTTTAACACTCCGAAAAAGTATACAGTATATGATATAATCTCAGCTATGTCCTTTAAAATCCATAATCACTATGAAAAACTCCATACTGTCTATGGAAAAACCAAACTCTGACAAATATTTAAAGAGACTTATTCTTAGCCAATGAGTAACTGCAGTCCAAGAAAACACTAATTTAAGAAGTCTTGGCTGGGCGTAGTAACTCATGCCTGTTATCTCAGCACTTTGGGAGGCCGAGGTGTGTGGATCACCTTAGGTCAGGAGTTCAAGACCAGCCTGACCAACATGGTGAAACACTGTCTCTACTAAAAATACAAAAATTAGCTGGGTGTGGTGGTGTGTACCTGTAGTCCCAGCTACTTGGGAGGCTGAGGCAGGAGAATCGCTTTAACCCGGGAGGCAGAGGTTGCAGTAGGCCGAGATCACGCCACCACACTCCAGCCTGGGCCACAGAGCAAGACTCCATCTCAAAAAATAAATAGAAATAAATAAAAATAAAAAGTTGGAGTCAGTAGAAAGGAATGTTTAATATTAGCGTAAGTTAGTTAAGGAAGTCTGCTAACCATCGTGTGATTGATGCTATGCCAGAGTCAAGTTATGAGAGCAAGCCATAACATACTGGGTCCAAGTGACCTGTTTAGCAAGATGGATGGGCTGCAGACATGGCTCTCTCCAGGCTCCTCAGAAAGGAATTTAGAACACCGAACAGTGGTCAGAATTCAGTAAGAATACATTATCCTTATTTTTCTCATTTCACTTCAGACGGATGGAAATGTCATCATATATTAGTGTTCTTCTAGCATTTAGAAATCATTGATTTATATAGTAAAAATCATAAACCAGTCCAACAAAAGGAAAGCTCCATGCTGTAGGGCTTCATTTTGTTTTGCTCATTGCTGCATTCTCCAGTGCCTAGAATAGAGCTTGGCATATAGCGAGCATGCAATTTTTTTTTTTTTTTTGAGACAGAGTCTCACGCTCTGTTGCCCAGGCTGGAGTGTAGTGGCGTGATCTCGGCTCACTGCAACCTGTGCCTCCCAGGTTTAAGTGATTCTTTGCCTCAGCCTCCCAAGTAGCTTGAATTACAGGCGCACGCCACCATACCAGGCTAACTTTGTATTTTTAGTAGAGACGGGGTTTTACCATATTGGCCAGATGTGTCTTGAACTCCTGACCTCAGGTGATCCACACACCTCGGCCTCCCAAAGTGCTGGGATTACATGCTTGAGCCACTGCGCCCAGCCAAGCATGCAATAAATATTTGCCGAATTTTGAATCAACAGATTATCCTGGGTCATACCCTTTGAAACAGTAAACTGATTTCAGAAAATATAACTGAAGAAAATAATTCATAAAAGAAAGGAAATCATTTGTACAAAACCAAAAATAGTAATACCTTTTCCTAGTACACTCAAGTTTGCAAAATGATTTTATAGCTTTTTTTTTTTTGAGACAGGGTCTCACTCAGGCACCCAGGCTGGCACCCAGGAGTGCAGTGGTACAATCACGGCTCACTGTAACTGAGGAAGCAGAATACAGAAAATGAGGCAGGATAATAGTAAAGGGAATTTAAAGTTGGATAAAGGGCAGAATGAGTAAGAACATGAGAGCAGAAGCAAGGTGAAGGGGTAGGTGAGCAAGAAGCAAGATAAAAGGCAGAAGTTAAGCAGGCCAAAACAAAAAGTAAGCTAAGAGAAGCAAGCAAGGACCCCATGGCCCGCAGGATCAAGACCAAACCAGCAAGGGGCAGCTCTTCAGGGCAAGTCATATGCATCAAAGAGAAAAAGTGTCCTTATGATGACCCCGTATGATAATCAACTCATCAACGCTCATGCACATGGACTGCATATCATGCATGTACTTAAAATTATGGGATGGAGGCAGCAGGCAAGCACTAAGCAACACACCCATCAATCAAAAAGGCAGACACTGACTAGAGATTAGGCAGCCAAAAAAACACATAAAAAGACCCAAACTACACCAAACTAATGCTGATCTCATTTTGCAGAGGTCAGTCTGCTCTCTCGCTCCGAGAGTGTTAATACTGGGCTTGATAAACATTTTTTTTTTTTTCTGAGATGGAGTTTCGCTCTGTCACCCAGCCTGGGGTGCAGTGGCACGATCTTGGCTCACTGCAACCTCTGCCTCCCTCCCGGGTTCAAGCGATTCTCCTGCCTCAGCGTCCCAAGTAGCTGGGATTACAGGCATGCACCACAACACCCAGCTAATTTTGTATTTTTAGTAGAAACGAGGTTTCTCCATGTTGGTCAGGCTGGTCACAAACTCCCGACCTCTGGTGATCTGCCCGTCTTGGCCTCACAAAGTGCAGGGATTACAGGCGTGAGCCACCGTGCCTGGCTTGCCCAGCTAATTTTTTGGTATTTCTGGTAGAGACAGGGTTTCACCATGTTGCCCAGGCTGCTCTGGAACTCCTGACTTCAAGTGATCCTCCTGCCTCCTAATTATGCTAACTCAAATTTGAAAGTCTATATTTAAAAAGGGCACAGCCAGGTTCAGTGGCTCACGCCTGAAATCCCAGTACTTTGGGAGGCCAAGGCGGGAGGATCACTTGAGCCCAGGAGTTTAAGACCAGTTTGGGCAATATAGTGAGACCTCGTCTCTACAAAAAATTTAAAAAATGAAATTATCCGAGTGTGGTGGTGTGTGCTTGTGGTCCTAGCTACTAGAGAAGCTGAGGTGGGAGAATTACTTGAGCCTGGGAGGTGGAGGCTGCAATGGGCTGATATTGCGCCACCGCACTCCAGCCTAGATGACAGAGCAAAGCTCTGTCTCAAAAAAAAAAAAAAAAAAAAAAAAAAAAGGAATGGAATACTGACTGATACATGCCATGAAGTAGATGAAACTTGAAAACATGTTCAGTGAAAGAAGCCAAACACAGCCGGGTGCAGTGGCTCACACCTGTAATCCCAGCACTTTTGGAGGCCAAGGTGGGCAGATCACCCTGAGGTCAGGAGTTGAGACCAGCCTGGCCAACATGGTGAAACCCTGTCTCTACTAAAAATACAAAAAAATTAGCTGGGCATGGTGGCGGGCGCCTGTAATCCCAGCTACTCGGGAGGCTGAGGCAGGAGAATCGCTTGAGCCCTGGAGGTGGAGGTAGCAGTGAGCCCAAATCGTGCCACTGCACTCCAGCTTGGGCACCAAGAGTGAAAACTCCTTCTCAAAAAAAAAAAAAAAAAAAAAAAAAAAAAGAAGCCAAACACAAAAGGTCATATATTGTATGATGGAATTTATATGAAATGTCCAGAATAGGCAAATGCAATAGGCTGATATGGGCACAGTGGCTCACGCCTGTAATCCCAGCACTTTAGGAGGCTGAGGTGGGCAGAAATGGTTGTACAACTCTCTGAATATACTAAAAATCACAGAATTGTACAGGGGTTTTCTTTTTTTTTTTTTTTCTTTTGAGACAGGGTCTCACTCTGTTGACCAGCCCAGGTTGGAGTACAGATCAATCATGACTCGCTATAGCCTCAACTCCTTGGCCCAAGCAATCCTCCCACCTCAGCCTCCCAAGCAGCTGGGACCACAGGCATTCAATACCACATCTGGCTAATTTTTAAATTTGTGTAGAGCTGGTACCTCCCTATGTTGCCCACACTGGTCTCAAACTCCTGACTGGCCTCAAGCAATCCTCCTGCCTTGGCCTCCCAAAGTGCTGAGATTACAGGTGTGAACCACCACACCTAGCCTGAATTGTACACTTTAAAAGGGTGAATTTTACAGTATATGAATTATATCTCAAACAGCCGTTATAAACAACACTCCACACAATTACTATACGCATTCTGTTTCTACCATTTTAACACCAAAAAAACTACAGACAAAAATCTCAGGATAAAATACTGTCCTTCAAATTTAATAAATATGACTTCATGAAAAAATTCATTACATTGACTTTATTTTCACATTTCATCATAGACCAGGTGAGAACTTTGTCAAACACCACAGAGCCAATGGAACTGGACATTTAAAAGGGATGTTAGTTACTTTTCCTACTCAACTAAGTATCAAGCAGTTCAGATGAAGCAATATGCATCTGAAATCAATACTTGGAGGCATTAAAATGCAAGAACCAAAAGAAAACAACAGATAAAATATTAAATGTATTTGCAATTCAAATTAACCTTTTTTTTTTTTTTTTTTTTTTTGAGACAGAGTCTTGCTCTGTCGCCCAGGCTGGAGTGCAGTGGCACGATCTCAGCTCACTGCAACCGCCACCTCCTGGATTCAAGCAACTCTTCTGCCTCAGCTTCCCAAGTAGCTGGGACTACAGGCACGCGCCACCATGCCCAGCTAATTTTTGTATTTTTAGTAGAGATGGGGTTTCACCATATTGGCCAGGCTGGTCTCAAACTCCTGACCTCATGATCTGCCCACCTGGGCCTCCCAAAGTGCTGGGATACCAGGCATGAGCCACTGCGCCCGACCAAATAAACTTACTTTTTGAAGACGAAACAAAACACTCTACCTGCCCCAAACCAACTCTGCTCCAAGGATCCTCTTTGAGACCCAGTAGTATGAACAAAATGGCATCTAGCACTTGAATTCCAATTCTGTCTGGTACTAAACTGGTGAACTTGAGCAGGTGGCTTAACTAAATCTCTTTCCTTATCAGTATACTGAGGAAATAATAATAATACCCACCCTCACAAGATATTAGGGAAGTGTAAATGAGATCATGTAAAGCAATGCTACTCAAACCTTGGTCTTCAGACCACTGCCAATCCACAAACTATTAGCAGTCTGCATCAAGGTAAGTACAGAAAGAAAGCATTAGCACTTAGAACATCTTAGGGCAATTTGACAGGCAGTTTACAGTTTTGTTTTGAGACAGGGTCTCCCTCTGTCACCCAGGCTGGAATGCAGTGGCGTGATCTTGGCTCACTGTAACCTCTGCCTCCCGGGTTCAAACTATTATCGTGCCTCAGCCTCCCAAGTAGCTGGGATTACAGGCCTGTGCCACCATGCCAGGCTAATTTTTTTGTGTTTTGTAGTTGAGATGGGGTTTCGCCATGTTGCCTAGGCTGCTGAACTCCTGGCCTCAAGTGATCCACCCACCTCGGCCTCCCAAAGTGCTGGGATTACGGGCATGAGCCACTGCACCCAGCCAATGTTTGTTGAATCTAATGATGATAATAATAAAAAGCCTGTATTCTCTATGTCTTTTTAAATGTTATTTTTCTAGTAATTTTATTTTACAGAAGTGCTTTTAGAACACTACTGATCTGCAACAGCTTGAGGGAAAAATCTACCTGGTCCTTTACCAAGACAGTTTGAGAAGCAGTGATATTAAGCACTCTACCCAGTGCTGAGCACAAAGTAAGAATCCCTGGCTGGACATGGTGGCTCACGCCTGTAATACTAATACTTTGGGAGGTTGAGGTGGGAGGATCACTTGAGTCCAGGAGTTTGAGACCAGCCTGGGCAACATAGCGAAGCCCAGTCTCCACAAAAAATAAAACACAAAAATCAGCCGGGCATGCTGATGTACACCTTTAGTCCCAGCTACCCAGGAGGCTAAGGCAGGAGGATCACTTGAGCCCAGGAGGTTGAAGTTGCAACGAGCTGAAATTGTGCCACTGCACTCCAGCCTGGGTAACAGAGTGAGACCCTGTCTCAAAAGACAAATAAACAAAACAAACAGAACCCCTCCCCCGCCCCAAATATTAATTTCCTCTCCATCTGTCAGACTCTATAGTCAGTTACTAAATGCTTAGGGAGAACCTTCCTGGCAAAAGATAGCGTGCAGGTGCAATGGTAGCGCTAAAGAAATTTAAGAAATGTAGATGCAGAGGCCAGGCGCGGTGGCTCACGCCTGTAATCCCAGCACTTTGGGAAGCCAAGGCGGGTGGATCACAAAGTCAGGAGTTCATGACTAGTCTGGCCAACATGATGAAACCCCGTCTCTACTAAAACTAACAAAAAATTAGTCAGGTGTGGTGGCGGGTGCCTGTAATCCCAGCTCCTCGGGAGGCTGAGGCAGGAGAATCACTTGAACCAGGGAGGTGGAGGTTACAGTGAGTTGAGATCGTGCCACTGCACTCCAGCCTGGGCGACAGAGTGAGACTCCGTCTCAAAAAAAAAAAAAAAAAAAGAAATGTAGTTGCAGAAATAAAATCCACAAATATAGAACAAACAATGTAAAAGATAAGGCAGTACAAGCTCTAAATACGTGATACTGAAAAAAACTAAAAAACTAGTACTCTTTTCAGGTTAAAGTGGTCAAGGAGGTTTTGTCTGAGGAAGCATGATTAGAACTGGGCCTTTGAAAGCTGCATAGGATTAAGGCAGCTGGGAATAGGATGGGCATTTAAGCAGAGAACTGCCAGTGCAAAACCAAAGAGGGAGCCATTATGAATAGATGAGTCCAACAGGAAAGCAATGGAAAAGCAGCTGGAACCAGCTTTATGGGAAAAACCTCATCTTTGTCCATCAGTTCAAAGATTTAGAACCTAAGCCAGGGAGCCACTGAAGATTTCTGAGCTAGAAAACAAAATGATCAAACCAGGGTCACACATATCCTACTACTGTATCACTATATACATCAGTTTGGCCATTTTCCCGTGTGGCCTCTATCTCTTTTCCTTTCAGTGCACTCACCCTGCAAAAGACCATACATAACCTCAGATCAATGCAACCATCTGCTTCCTAGACTTCAATTCAAATCTAGGCCCAGATGTGCTGGAGAAAACCAAACGACCCTCTATAGTGATATAAGATAGATGATGTTGCGGGAAGTCAGGGACCCCGAATGGAGAGACCGGCTGAAGCCACAGCAGAAGAACATAAATTGTGAAGATTTCATGGACATTTATTAGTTCCCCAAATTAATACTTTCATAATTTATTACGCCTGTCTTTACTGCAATCTGTGAACATAAATTATGAAGATTTCATGGACATTTATCACTTCCCCAATCAATACTCTTATAATTTCCTATGCCTGTCTTTAATCTCTTAATCCCGTCATCTTCATAAACTGACAATGTATGTCATCTCAGGACCCTGTGATCACTGCATTAACTGTACAAATTGTTTGTAAAACGTGTGTTTGAACAATATGAAATCAGGGCACCCTGAGAAAGAACAGAACAACAGCGATTTTCAGGGAACAAGGAAAGATACCATAAGGTCTGACTGCCTGGGGGGTCAGGCAGAATAGAGCCATAGTTTTCTTCTTGCAGGGAGCCTATAAACGACATGTGAGTAGGAGAAATATCACTGAATTCTTTTCCCAGCAAGGAATATTAATAATTGATAACCCTGGGGAAGGAATGCATTCCCAGGGGTAGGCCTATAGACGACTGCTCTGGGATTATCTGTCTTATGCGGTTGAGATAAGGGATGAAATATGCCCTGGTCTCCTGCAGTGCCCTCAGGCTTACTAGGATTGGGAAATTCCAGCCTGGTGAATTCTAGTCAGACTGGTTTTCTGCTCTCAAACCCTGTTTCCTGTTAAGATGTTTATCAAGACAATGTGTGCCCAGTGGGACATGGACCCTCATCAGTAATTCTAATTTTGCCCTTGCCTTGTGATCCTGCTCTGCCCTTTTGCCTTGTGATCTTTTATTGCCCTTTGAAGCATGTGATCTCTGTGATCCACTCCCTATTCGTACCCCCCTCCCCTTCTAAAATCCCTAATAAAAACTTGCTGGTTTTGCGGCTCAAGTCGCCATCATGGTCCTACCAATACGTGATGGCACCCACAGAGGCCCAGCTGTAAAATTCTTCTCTTTGTAGTCTTTCTCTTTATTTATGAGACCAGCTGACACTTAGGGAAAATAGAAAAGAACCTACATTGAAATATTGGGGGCTGGTTCCCCCGATAACATGTATAGCCTGCAACCTGAGCAGGGCCTTCAGCCTGGTCCAGCAAATCATTTCGGTATTCTTTTTTTTTTTTTTTTTTGAGACAGAGTCTTGCTCTGTCATACAGGCTGGAGTGCAGTGGCGTGATTTCGGCTCACTGCATCTCCGCCTCCTGGGTTCAAGCGATTATCTTGCCTCAGCTTCCCAAGTAGCTGGGATTACAGGTGCCCGCCACCACGCTTGGCTAATTTTTGTATTTTTAGTAGAGACATGGTTTCACCATGTTGGCCAGGCTGGTCTGGAACACCTGACCTCGTGATCCACCTGCCTCGGCCTCCCAAAATGCTGGGATTACAGGCATGAGCCACCGTGCCCAGCCTCATTTCTGTATTCTTGGTCCCCTTCATTGTCTCTTCCCAAAGAACCACTATTCCTAACTTTCATCATTATCCTCAAGCCCCTTCACTCTACTGCTTCCTTGCCTCCCACCTGGTTTATCTGCTTCCTTCCTGTTAGGAACAATTGAGGTTATCAGACATGAACTCTCTCAACTCTCTCCACCCAAGCCTAAAAACATACATATTTCAAACACCCACCCTTAGTTCTTTGCTTCTAATCTAAGTACTCTGTGATCCTCATTAATCACTTCCTGTCCCTTAGTTGGTTATTCCTTATTTCCAACCTTCCCTTTATACTAGCCCCATCCCCATATATTATGAGTTGCTCAAGGCTATTCCATCTGTTTTTTTCTTTTGAGGCAGTATCTCAAAAGTGTAGTGATGTGCAGTGGTGCGATCTCGGCTCACTGCAGCCTCAAGCCCCCAGGCTCAAGCTATCCTCCGACCGCAGCCTCCCAAAGTGCTGGGATTACAGGCATGTGCCCCCACACCTGTCCTAGCTCATCTTAAGGGGGGAAAAATCCAACATAAAATAAAACTTTCCCCTTTGATCTCTTATTGGCTGTTCCTCCTCCTACTTAAGTGCTGATTTTCCTTAGGCCTGCATCTTTAGCCTTCTTCCCTTCTCACTGTACGCGGCCTGATTGGGCAAACTCACCCTCTCCCATGCACTTCAACTACCACCCAAGCCAGAAGCCAGCAAATCTGTATTTCTGGCCCCTCTGAGCTATTGAGTTGACAATCTCGTATGTTAAACTGACTAACTGAATAGCATTCTCTACCTTTATGTCTCAAAGATACCTTACACTCAATAGGTCTAAAGCTGAACTCATCTTCCCAAGTCTGTCTCCACTTTGGCTCTCTCAAGGACTGACACTATCTCCTCAGTGAAGAAGGCTAAGAGTTTCACCTTATTAAAAGAAACCTAGGGCCAGGCGCAGTGGCTCATGCCTGTAATCCCAGCACTTTGGGAGGCTGAGGTGGGTGGATCACCTGAGGTTGGGAGTTTGAGACCAGCCTGACCAACATGGAGAAACCCCATCTCTACTAAAAATACAAAATTAGCTGGGTGTGGTGGTGCATGCCTGTAATCCCAGCTACTTGGGAGGCTGAGGCAGAATTGTTTGAACCCAGGAGGTGGAGGTTGCGGTGAGCCGAGATCGCACCATTGCACTCCAGCCTGGGAAACAAGAGCGAAACTCCACGTCAAAAAAAAAAAAAAAAAAAAAAAAAAAAAAAAGAGGCTGGATGTGGTGGCTCATGCCTGTAATCCCAGCACTTTGGGAGGCCGAGGCGGGTGGATCACCTGAGGTCGGGAGTTCAAGACTAGCCTGACCAACATGGAGAAACCCTGTCTCTACTAAAAATACAAAATTAGCTGGGTGTAGTGGTGCATGCCTGTAATCCCAGCTACTCAGGAGGCTGAGGCAGGAGAATCGCTTGAGGCGGAGGTTGCAGTGAGCTGAGATCGCACCACTGCACTCCAGCCTGGGCAACAAGAGCGAAACTCTGTCTCAAAAAAAAAAAAAAGAAACCTAGGAGTCACCTTAGCTCCATCTCACTTAACTTCCTTAAGTTCTTCTATCAGTTGCTGTCTATCCTTCTATCCCAATTGCTACTGCCTTAGTTCAGTTCCTGAGTAGCTCTTGCTTAGGTTACTCAACCTCTTCCTATCCTCTTTCTCTGCCTCCAGACTTTTTTTCTTTTTTGAAAGAGGGTCTCACTTTGTCACCCAGACTGGAGTGCAGTGGTGCAATCACAGCTCCCGGCAGCCTCAACCTCCCAGGCTCAAGTGACTTTCCCACCTCAGCCTCCCAAATAGCTGGGACTATAGGGTACATCACCACACCCTGCTAATTTTTGTATTTTTTCTAGAGACAAGGTTTTGTCATGTTGCCCGGGCTGGTCTTTAACTCCTGGGCTCAAGCGACCCACCCACCTGGGCTCCCAAAGTGCTGGGATTACAGGCATGAATGCAGCTGCCTCCAGTCTTGTTCAATCTAGCCTCAATATGGTTACCTGATTTAGGCATATAACAATCCTGCTTAGAACACTTCAATGGATACATAAGAAACTTCATAGTGATCGTCTCTGAGAACTAGGGGATCTAGGATAGGAGAAATATTTGTCTTTCCCTTTGGTACTATTTGAATTCTTTACTATTAGCATGCATTACTATACAAAACTAAAGTTTCAGTGACCTCCAGTGCCTACAATACAAAGTCTTTCATGAATCTCTCTCCTGTTTACCTCTCACGCTTCTCTCTCAAGCCACTACTCTATCTAGAATGGCCTCCCATCCAAATATCAGCTTAGCTCTGAAGACTCTGTGCAGGCCAGGCGCAGTGGCTCATGCCTGTAATCCCAGCACTTTGGGTGGCTGAGGCGGATGGATCGCCTGAGGTCAGGACTTCAAGACCAGCCTGGCCAACATGGTGAAACCCTGTCTCTACTAAAAATAAAAAAAATTAGCCAGGTGTGGTGGTGGGTGCCTGTAATTCCAGCTACTTGGGAGGCTGAGCCAGGAGAATCGCTTGAACCTGGGAGACCACGCCACTGCACTCCAGCCTGGACAATAAGAGCAAAACTCCATCTCAAAAAAAAAAAAAAAGACTGCCCAAAAGGGACTTCCTCCTGACTTCTCCATACAGAAGTGACCTCCTTTTCCTTAATGTCTACTGTGTACCATATTCAGACTTCCAACATGGTACTTACAATTCATGTTGTATATAATAGTTAAAATCAAAGTCTATCTCCCTCCATTAGCCTTAGATTCCCTGAGGACAGGAATTCTTTTTATTTTTTTTTTTTTTGGAGACGAGTCTCACTCTGTCACTCAGGCTGGAATGCAATGGTGCAATCTCGGCTCACTGCAACCTCCGCCTCCCGGGTTCAAGTGATTCTCCTGCCTCAGCCT
Organism: Homo sapiens; assembly: GCF_000001405.40. Lineage (NCBI taxonomy): Eukaryota > Metazoa > Chordata > Mammalia > Primates > Hominidae > Homo > Homo sapiens. Next base: position 56,447,132 of record NC_000012.12, read on the forward strand.
CCCAAGTAGCTGGGATTACAGGAAAATGCCACCATACCCAGCTAATTTTTGTTTTTTTTTTTTTTTTTTTTTTTTTTTAGTAGAGATAGGAATTCTTATTCACCCTTGAACTTTCAGAGCCTTGCTACAGGATCAGAATTTCCAGCGATGGGGCTTAGGCAAGTGTTTTGACAATGTTCCTCAGGTGATTCTAACTATCCTATGTTAACTGCACGAAAACGTAAACTCTTTCACATCAGGAATCATCATTACGCAGCACAATGTAAGTGCTCAATAAATGCTTTACTAAATTGAACTGAAACAGAGAAGTCTGGAAGATGAGGGAGAAGAGTTTGGAGCTAAAGATTTGGAGGCATCAGGATGTAAGATGGTGTGAGTGCAGTGAGAGGAGGAAGGAAGCCAGGAAGGACTTCTTGATGACCCTTTCACTGTAACCACAGAAGACTCAATTACATGTGTTTTCCTTAGGACTTGAGTTCCTTAAGGGTCGGGAACTCTCCATCCTACTCATCTCTGTAAGCCTGGCGCTAAGCACAGTGCATGGTACATGTTAGGAGCTCAGTAACCTTTTATTGATCTTTTATTGAGCTGTATCAGTGCCCCTGGTAATAGAGGGGGGTAAAAAACTTCAGGGACACACAGGAAGAAGTGACTAACTTGGCATAGGAAGCTGGATACATTGATTTTCAGAGGGACAATTAAGCTCAGTCTTCAAAGAGAAGTTCGCTTGGCAGAGCAGTGTCAAGATCTTCCAAGCAGAAGGAACAGCAGGAACTAAGTACTGAGATATGAAAGAGGGCAGCCACAATCTTTCCACGTGGCCAGGAGTCAGGTGCGTAAGAGATTTACAAAATGAGATTGAGAGGGTCAGGGCCAGACTGAGAGGCCACAGACACCCACCTACGGATTTAAGGCTAACTGTGGGTGGTCAAAGAGGAGTTTTAAATTTAACATCAGATGATCTACCTTTACTTTGTACAAAGTACTAGTAGGGCCGGGTGTGGTGGCTCACACCCGTAATCCCAGCACTGTGGGAGGCCGACGCGGGCGGATCATTTGAGGTCAGGAGTTCGAGACCGGCCTGGCCAACATGGTGAAACCCCATCTCTACTAAAAATACAAAAATTAGCCGGGCGTGGTGGCGGGCAGCTGTAATCCCAGCTCCTGGGGAGGCTGAGGCAGGAGAATCGCTTGAACTGGGGAGGCGGAGGTTGCAGTGAGCCGAGATCGGACCACTGCACTCCAGCCTGGGCGACAGAGCCAGACTCCATCTCAAAAACAAAACAAAACAAAACAACCAAAAAAAACAAACAGGCCAGGCGCGGTGGCTCACGCCTATAATCCCAGCACTTTGGGAGGCCGAGGCGGGCGGATCACGAAGTCAGGAGTTTGAGATCATCCTGACCAATAAGGTGAAACCCCCATCTCTACTAAAAAAAATACAAAAATTAGCCGGGCATGGTGGCGCGCGCCTGTAATCCCAGCTACTCAGGAAGCTGAGGCAAGAGAATCGCTTGAACCCGGGAGGCGGAGGTTGCAGTGAGCCGAGATGGCGCCACTGCACTCCATCCTGGGCGACAGAACGAGACTCCGTCTCAAAATAAAATAAAATAAATAAAAAATTGAAAGTACTAGTCGAAGCACGAATGGCAAAGAATTGAGAGGCTCAAGGAAAAAAGCTTCATTAGCGGCTGAGGTCCAGGTGACAAACCCGAACAAGGCAACGAAGGGAGGGAGTGAGAAATCCGTTCCATAAAACCCACGATATAAGTAAAGCGGCCTGTGAATTCCGACCACTGCTGACCGCCAGGCCACACACCGGTTTTTTTCAGGAGGTCTCAACTAGATGCTAAGCTCCGAAGTGGAACTCCCTCAGGCACTTTCTGTTCTAATTCAGGAATTCCAAGCCCCTTTCCATCACAACCCCATCCCGCGGGAGACCCAAGCTGTGCGGAGCAGCGTAGGGCTAAGCCCGCGTCCGGTGAGACCCGGGAACGCGGCGCGGGAGACTAAGGAGCAGAGTACAGAATTGCGCGTGCGCGCCTGCAGCACGAGCCCCGCCCCCTGGCTCTAAACCGGGTGGCGGGAAAAGGGACTCAGCGTTTCCCGAGAATGCCCCCATAGCTTCGAAAGGATCCCCGTGTCCGCTTAGCGCCCTCTCGCCACACACTCACTCACCCGCTCCCTGCGGGTCCTCAGAAGCCCGGAGGAGCCACCGGCCCTCTGGCGCGGGGCCGCAGCCTTTCCGCCACCAGGCTCAGCTGGACCGGTCCCCGCCTGCGCGAAGAGCGAGGCGGGGCGAGCCGGGCTGGTCCACGTGACTCCGAGCGAACTGGGGCGGAGATTGGTGAAGAAGGAAGGAAAAGGGAAGCGAGTGCAGGGACTGTTTTATGTGAGGTCGATCTAAAAATCACAGCGCTATGAATTTTCTGCTGAATTATAGTAGAATCAAAGTCCGATTAGAGGTGAATTTACAAACATTCTTCCCCTTCTTCTAGTCAAGCGGACTATTCCAAGTCTTAAATAGTTAGTTAGAAAAGTTAGGTTTTATTTGGGAGGAAGTAAAGAGCTGAAGTACAGGGAGGAATGGTCTTCTGGGATAGGGGATGTCCGTTGTATTATAGGTATAAATTTAAAGCTTTCAAAGTATGCAAGAGGCTCATAAAAGGAAGAAAGCAACCGTAAATATTCATTGAACAGTTGAGGGTCTCTTCTGGCCTCTGCTGAGATGATCTTGCCAAAAGGAAAAGAAAATAGGGCTGTGCTCTGGCCCCCTGTAATCCCAGCTACTGGGGAGGCTGAAGCAGGAAGATCGCTTGAGCCCAGGATTTCTAGACTGTAGTGTGCGATGATCGTGCCTGTGAATATCCATTGCACTCCAACCTGGTCAACATAGTAAGACCCCCTCTCAAAAAAAAAAAGAAGATAGGGCTCAAACAAATAATAATCTCCTGAATTATTAAGCATTTGAATAGAAGGAATCAATTTCTGGGGTATGAGGGAGTTAGAAGAGATTTGCTTCAAGATGAAAGGACGGATGACAGAGAAATGAAAATACACAGACACAAAACAAGAAAAAAAACACGGAACTAGTGATAAAAGCAGAAAGATGCCATTTGAGGAGTGTTTTGATTTGCTCTAAATAAATTAGAACAGAGTCAAAGCCTCTCCCCTCATGCCCCCTACTACCACCCGTTCATTTATTTGCTCCAGGAATCAGATTTCCTGTGTTGGCCTTAGGGAACAATTGTGGGGCTTAAATACCATCTGCCAGGCAGCCACAACAGTGGATGTCAGGCTGACCAGTTAAGCTGCTTAATTTTTCTAGATTCTAGGCTTGCCCAAGCTCTATTTAGGTTGGAAGCTCTTTGGCCCAGGACCTCTGAAGAGATCCATTATGTCAGAATGAACACAACCAGCCAGCGGATGTAGACAGGTTTACGTGGCTTTACAGAACAGCTAAATCCTAGTGTTCACTTTTCTCAGAGCTACTTCCCCACCCAAGTCCCTGGGGCAAGCATCCCTAAGATAAGTAGGCTATATATTCCCATTAACTTCCCCCCAATTCTTCGGTACACCTACATCCTGATCTGGGGCTAATACTCCGTTTTCACCACCCACCTCCCTTGAGTCCCTTCTCCTAACCCTTGGAAGCCTTGTCTCCTCCACTTCTCTCCATCTGCCTCGTGTGAGGAGTAACTCCCTGCTTCTCTGTTCCCTCAGAAATCAAGAGCCACACACTTGACTGGCAGCAGGGTAAAGGCCAGAAACTTAAGGTGTCGGTTACCCAGTACTCACCATACTGGGTCGAGGAAGGGAGGTATAGGATGGCACCTCTTTTTGCTTCCTTAGCTCTCATGCCCCAAAACTCAGACACAGCCACACTCACATTCATATGCACAATCAGCACACACGGCGAAGGGTGGTGGGATGGGGAGGAAGGGAAGTTTGCACCAACCAGCTCATGAATGCAACTTGAAAGATTTCACACAGCAAAAGGAAAAAAAAAAAAAAAACAACCACATACATAAGTTAAAAAATAAAGAAGTACATGACCCTCCCCACAGTCTCTTTCTTCATCTAGGGGCTGGCTAAACCCCTCCACGTAAACTCAGAAGCTTTCTACTCCCTCTATTCAGCTGGAGCTTCTACAGGGCCTGGGTGTTCAGTTCAACAGGTTCCCCTGTGACCTCTGGTTGTCCATTGGAGACATCGGGTTTGGCACCCTTGAGGACAGACAGTCTCTCAGAAATACTCTTGAGCCGGGGGAAGAGAAGAAAGTCGTACAGGAGGCTGCCCAGACCCCCTCCAATGATTGGGCCTACCCAGTACACCTGTAGAAAGAGAAAAGGAATACTCAGGCTTGGGGAGGGGACAGAGTAGCAACGCTGCTCTTTTTCCAGCCACCTTAGTGGAAAACAAGATATTGTACACTTGATATCTACAATAAACTCACCATTTATTTTCTGATTCATCAAATTACTCCTTTATCCCACACCTTAGCATGTGTATATTCTATTTGTTATCAATTTGCACTAGTTTGTATGTTGCTTTCAAAAAAATTTTATACATTGTGGTAAAACACATATAAAATTTACCATATTAAATATTTTTGGACAGGCGCAGTGGCTTATGCCTGTAATCCCAGCACTTTGGGAGGCTGAGACGGGCGGATCACAAGACGGGCGGATCACAAGGTCAGCCATTTGAGAACAGCCTGACCAACAGGGAGAAACCCCATCTCTACTAAAAATACAAAAAGTAGCTGGGCGTGGTGGCAGGCGCCTGAAATCCCAGCTACTCAGGAGGCTGAGGCAGGAGAATTGCTTGAACCCAGGAGGCGGAGGTTGCAGTGAGCTGAGATCCTGAGATCAAGCTCCACTGCACTCCAGCCTGGGTGACAGAGGGAGACTCCATCTCAAAAAAATATATATATGTTTTTAAGTGTACAGTTTAGTAGTGTTAAGTATATTCACATTGTTGTGCAACCTATGTCTAGAACTTTTTCATCTTGCAAAGCTGTAACTCTATACCCATTAAACAACTGCCTATTCCACCCCACCCCCATCAGCCCCTGGTAACTATCCTTCTACTTTGCGTCTGTGAATTTGAGTACTCTAAATACCCCATATAAATGTAATCATACAGTATTTGTCTTTTTGTGACTGGCTTATTCACTTAGCATAATGTCCTCAAGATTCATCCATGTTGTGGTATGTGTCACAATTTCCTTCCTTTTTACAGGTAATATTCCATTTATGTATATACCACATTTTGTTTATCCATTCATCCACTGAGGAACACTTGGGTTGCTTTTACCTCTTGGCTATTGTGAATAATGCTGTTATGAAAATGGGTGTACAGCTTTGAAAAATTTTTAAATTATTTCCATATGTTTGGCTTGCACAACATCAACATAACCAATATTTATTGAGTGCTTACTTTATATCAGATTCTGTGCTAAATGTTTCTCACATATAACTTTCACACATTTCTCGTAATGTCCCATTTTATAGTAAAACAAACTGAAGCACAGAGTGATTATTTGCCCATGGTCACACACAAAGCCGATAACGTATTAGAACTGGAATGGGGCTGAGGCCCATCTGTGCTCACAACACATCTTGATCTCTGAGAGCAGAATTTATTCTGCTCATATTTAGTTGTCTCTCTTCATACCCGCTAGTTCAGCAACCAGTGAATACTCAGTGCATACTCCCTGACTAACCAGAGAAGGAAAAATATGAGCAAGAGCCTCTCCTTCTAGCAAAATCATGAATCCTGCTCACACAGGCATGCCAAACTCTCTGACAGCCCCCTTAGCTGAGTGCTGGTACAGCAGCCAACACACGCAGAAGGAAAGCAGGAATCCAGCCTGGAACCTGCAGTCCACAACCATCCAGAAGGGCTTCAGGATCTTGCCCCTCTCCCTTCACTCACCCAGTGGTTAGTGAAGTTCCCAGTGAGAATGGCAGGAGCAAAGGAGCGGGCAGGATTCATGCCTGCACCAGTATAATACATCTGCAAAAGAGACAGTTGTAACTGAGACACCCCCCTACTGCACCCCAGCTTCTCTCCCCACAACCCACATTGCCCCTGAGAGCTGCCATCTTTTCTCCAGCCAGCAGCAAGTGGAGAGGGACAGCCTGCATGACTCTCCAGGGGTTCCTGCAATGGGGTGAGGGCAACTGATGCCCTGTCTGGGAACAGACTATGGATCCATAGGCAAAGCCCATGTCTAGCCATGATACGTTCATTTCTACCTTGGGGTCAAGAAGGACTAGATATAGCAGTCACAAGAGAGGGATAGGGCAGAGTTGATTCCTTTGTGCCAGTAGAGAGTGCAATGGACAATGTTCATGTTTGACAGTGAAGTAGGCAGGAAGAACCCTTAAAAGTTGGGAAAGGTTTAGGGGCCCCGGAATCCTTGAATGAGAAGTTGCTCTCCTTCCTGCTTACCCCAAAGAGGTGCCCCAGGGCAAGGGAGAAGCCAACGGCCAGGGCCACGGAGCCCAGTTGGCCATTCCGCCTCTCGTCGTATGTGGCAAAGATGCAGAGCACGAACTGGAGCGTCAGGAAGATCTCCACTGTGGTTGCCTGGCCCACGCTCACCGCAGGGTGCAACTGTGCAAAGGAAGAAGAAGAGAGACAGCTCAGGAGGGCTGCCACAGTGTTACCTCCTCAAGACTTCCCCGGCAAGGATCTCGTTACGGCATCAGGTCCGTGGAGAGGAAGGATAATACAACCCCCTTCATAATCATTGTATTTGCATCTTACCATCTCCTAACAGTGCTCCTTCATGATGGAAATGATTGCAGCCACTTACATGTATGAGGAAACTGAGGCCTTGAAAGGTAAAATAAGTTTCCTTAAGAACCTGCAAGGAGTTGGAAGGAAAGCTGAAACTCAAACTCAGGTTTCTTAATTCTCAGTCCAGGGCCCTATGCCTTCCTTAAAGCTCTAAACCACCTGTCAATCCTCACCACTTCAACACACACATGCTCACACATGCACATATTGTCCCAGACCCCAGGGGAGCTGATTCACCTGCACCAGTCAGGGAGTCAGGGCAATAGAGAGACAGGACACCAGGTTCCCCATCCCCTCTCAGCCAACCATTACCGTGTTGAGTGCTAGGTTTCCTCGGACAGCAGGTGGGGTAACGCTATACAGCACAGCGGCCCCAGCCACAGCTCCCAGGAGCTGGGCTGCCATATAGCAGAAGGCACGGAGCAGGGACATCTGGGAGCCCACAAGGAAAGCAAAAGTGACTGCAGGATTGACGTGGGCTCCACTGATGTGGCCCACAGACTGCACCAGTGTAGCCAGGGCCAAGCCAAATGCCATAGCCACCTGCAGAACATGCAGGGGTCCAGGAGCCCAGCGCAGTGAGGACCCCAGCCCAAAGAAGACATAGAAGAGGGTGGCAAAGAACTCAGCGAATATGGCCCTCCAAAAGGAGGCTGATCGCAGTTCCCACATGGCAGGGGGGATGGTCACAGTGCCTGGGTCCCTGCTACCCCCATGGCCTTGTCTGGGTGGACAGTCCCCTTTATAGAGGACTCTTAATCCCTGGGAGGGGCAGGCTGAGGTAGCAGGCCCAGCCTCTTAACCCCTTCACAGCTGTGGAGGGCTAAGTCCCCTCCCCTACATGGTAAAAATGCTGGATTTTCCCGCCTTTCTCAACTGGGAGATGAGCCGAGAGAGCCATGGCAGTGAGGGTGGGATTGGGGTCACAGCAAGAGAGACTACGAGAAGTGGGGGTGAAGAACAGCAGGACTGGAAGAGTCTGCCCTTCTGTGTGTGTCAAAATTGGGGTTCATTGTCCTGATTGACATCAACATTAGAATACTCTTCAGCTCTCTTTGGAAGGTCCATCAAGCTGAGCTCACTTCATGGCATTTGGGGCTGAGCTCCTGGGGGCCTCAGCCTCCTCTGAGTCTGCCAGGGGTAAGGGTTGGGGGGAGTGGTAAGGAGTGGGGTTCAGCAGGGAAGTTGGATAACTAAAGAGAATTCTTTAGTTCCCAGGGATTAGAAGCCTTTCTCCCATTGGCTAGTTTGGGCTGGAATCTGTGGACCCTGCAGCTCTGGGACAAAATAGTTCTGCTGCGTCTGGCTTTCTCTGAGCCCGGGTTCCCTACCCCCAGTCCATGACAGCACCTCCCTTTTCAAACCCTAGGCCTGGCTTTTTAAACTACAGGGACCGACAGAGAGAAGACACTATCATCCCTGCATGGGCTGGGAGTGGGGTTGGAGGGATAGGAATAAGAAAGGGACTCGTAGTTAAACCTTAGAATCAGCTTGTATTTCATCTTTCCTAACTCACATGGTCATAGCAAGAAGTACTGAAAGGAAGGAAACAGTCATGGCTATGAAGCAATGGGAAGGTCTAATGTCCTTTAATACAGCCATGATCAGCACACCCTAAGCCTTGATCCCCAGGGAAAGGTATGGGTGTGCTGGGATCAGATCTGGGGAAACAGCCGATCAAAGAGAGGGAAAAGGATAATATGGGGAAGGAAAGTTTGGGGAAAGAGGTTCAGTTGTGCTCGGGCTTGGTGAGGGACTTGGGACCTAGGCGTGGGGTTGTGTGGTGATGGAGAAGGTAGAATGGGACATACTGATAGGTTCTACCATCTCCACATAGTGGCAAGTCATACCGGCCACAAACTTTTCTCATGAAGCACCAGAGAGCAGAAATTCGAGGTGAGGCCTGCAAGAATGGTGCCCAGCATGGGTCCTACCCAGTACACCTGTGGGGAGAGAGAAGGAACACAGATCAGGGGCTGTGCTTTCTCCTCATAATACCCAGCTTGGGGATGGACAGAAAGAGAGTTATAGTGAAGGTAGAGGGTCCATCTAACCTATCCACTGGCAGGAAGAGTTGCTGAGAACAGGTCAGAGAGCACCCAAAGGGTTTGGAGCTCTCAATTACATAGAAGAGAAACAGTCCACTAGAAGTCATTGGAATCTCCTATATTCTAGAAGCCTCATCAGTCTCCTGACTTAAGGCCCTGTAACCCTCAGTGCATCTCACCCAGTAATGCTCCCAGATCCCAGTCACCACTGCTGGCCTCAGGAAGCATGCAGGGTTCACACTGCCTCCAGAAAAGTTCCCCTGGACAGGATAAAGAGAGAGGGTAGCACATCATGGTGTTAAGAGCAGAGATTTTGGCCACAGATACTCTGGTCCAATTAGGTGAGGATAAAAAGTGACAGAACCAGCTGGGTGCGGTGGCTCACGCCTGTAATCTCAGCACTTTGGGAGGCCAACGCGGGTGGATCACCTGAGGTCAGGAGTTCGAGACCAGCCTGACCAACATAATGAAACCCCGTCTCTACTAAAAATACGAAAAATTAGCTGGCCATGGTGGTGGGTACCTGTAATCCCAGCTACTCGGGAGGTTGAGGCAGGAGAATCGTTGGAACCCGGGAGGCAGAGGTTGTGGTGAGCCGAGATCACGCCATTGTACTCTAGCCTGGGCAACAAGAGCGAAACTCCGTCTCAAAAAAAAAAAAAAGAACCAGTTACAACTGCTGGTGGGAGTATAAACTGAGATATTACTTTTTTTTTTTTTTTTTTTTAGACAGGGTTTCACCCTGTCACCCATGCTGGAGTCGAGTGGTGCAATCACAGCTCATTGCATTTTCAACCTCCTGGGCTCAAGCGATCCTCCTACCCCAGCCTCCCAAATAGCTGGGACTACAGGTGTTTACCACCATGCTCAGCTAACTTTTTTATTTTTTGTAGAGATGGGGTCTCACTGTGTTGCCTAATCTGGCCTCAAACTCCTGGGCTCAAGTGATCCTGTCACCTCAGCCTCCCAAAGTGTTGAGATTACAGGCGTGAGGCACTGTTCCCCACCTGAGATAATGACTTTGGGACACAGTTTAACACCTACTTATAAAGATGAACAAATTACATAATTTCTTTTTTTTTTCTTTGAGACAGAGTCTCACTCTGTTGCCCAGGCTGGAGTGCAGTGGCACAATCAGCTCACTGCAACCTCTGCAATTTTTATGTCTCAGCCTCCCAAGTAGCTGGGACTATAGGTGCCCACCACCATGCCCAGCTAATTTTTGTATTTTTAGTAGAAACGGGGTTTTACCATGTTGGCCACTCTGGTCTCAAACTCCTGACCTTAAGTGATCTGCCCCTCTCAGCCTCCCAAAGTGCTGGGATTACAGGTGTGAGCCACCATGCCAGGTCAAATTACATAATTTCTGACTCAGCAACTCCACTTCTCACTTATATACCCACGAGAAACTTGGGTAGCACATCGTGTAACTTTATGTAATTGTTGGCTGGGGGCAATGGCTCATGCCTGTAATCCCAGCACTTTGGGAGGCTGAGGCAGGCGGATCACCTGAGGTCAGGAGTTGGAGACCAGCCTGGCCAACATGGTGAAACCCCATCTCTACTAAAAATACAATAATTAGTCGGGCATGGTGGTGGGTGCCTGTAATCCCAGCTACTCGGGAGGCTGAGACAGGAGAATCGCTTGAACCCGGGAGGTGGAGGTTGCAGTGAGCCAAGATTGTGCCACTGCACTCCAGCCTGGGCAACAAGAGCGAAACTCAGTCTCAAAAATAAAATAAAATAAAATAAAATAATAGTAATTGTCAAGGTTCTAGTTTTTCTATTGGATGGATGGTTAGAAATGATGCTTAATTATCATTATTAAAAACAAATAAGTGGGAGCCATATATATAGGCCAATGAGGAGAGGATATCATGAACAACAAAATATTCTGTGTACCCCAAATTAATTAAAAACAGCAGTGACAACAATATATGCTTTACCACTTTCTAGTTGGGCAAGTTATCCCCGCTATATATAGGTTCCAGGAGGGCAGGGCCCATGTCTGATTTTTCACCAGTGCGAACCTGGTGCTTAACACACAGAAGGCAGTAAATAAATATTTGCCGAATAGATTAGATTAGCATAAGCTTGCTTGCTTTTTTTTTTTTTTTTTTGAGACAGAGTCTCTCACTCTGGAGTGCAGTGGTGCCATCTCAGCTCACTGCAACCTCCACCTCCTGGGTTCAAGCCTCCCAAATAGCTGGCATTACAGGTGCACGCCACCACACCTGTCTAATTTTTGTATTTTTAGTAGAGACAGGGTTTCACCACGTTGGCCAGGCTGATCTCGAACTCCTGGCCTCAAGTGATCCGCCTGCCGAGGCTTCCCAAAGTGCTGGGATTACAAGCCTGAGTCACTGCACCTGGCCAGATTAGCATAAGCTTTCTGAGTCTCAGTTTCCTCTGTATCAAATAAGATAATGTAGGTAAAGAGACTAGTACAGTGTCTGGCACAGAATAAAGCACTTAAAAACAGGAGCTACCTGCACCTGTAGTCCCAGCAAATCAGGAGGCTGAGGTAGGAGGATCGTTTGAGCTCAGGAGTCAGAGAGCAGCGTGGGCAATATGGCAAAACCCCTCCTGTACAAAAAATACAAAAATTAGCCAGGCACAATGGCACACACCTGTAGTCCCAGCTACTGGGGAGGCTGAGGTGGGAGGATGACTTGAGCCTGGGAGGTAGAGGTTGCAGTGGACTGAGATGGCACCACTGCACTCCAGCCTTGGTGACAGAGTCAGGCCCTGTCTCAAAAAAAATTGAAAATTTGGCTGGGTGCGGTGGCTTACACCTGTAATCCCAGCACTTTGGGAAGCTGAGGTGGGCGGATCATCTGAGGTTGGGAATTCAAGACCAGCCTAGCCAACATGGCAAAACCCCATCTCTACTAAAAATACACAAAAAAATTAGCCAGGCGTCATGGTGTTCACCTGTCATCCCAGCTACTTGGGAGGCTGAGGCAAGAGAATCACTTGAACCCAGGAAGTGGAGGCTGTGGTGAGCTGAGATCACACCACTGCACTCCAGCCTGGGAGACAGAGTGAGACTCCGTCTCAAAAAAAAAAATTATAATTAAAAAATTTAAAAAGTAAACAGAAGCCACTCAATGGGGTTTTATTAACAGGAATGGGTTATCTCTACCCACTAATCCTGTAGCCTCTTATAATAAGAGATGGAACAGCAAAGGGCAGTTAATTCAATCTCTTATAGACGACAAATAAAATGGCTAGCTTTCCTTATCTGCAGCTACCATCCTCTTGCCTCTATTCTTCATCAAACATTGACAAGAATTCCATGGAGAACTAAACCTCGGCCCATTTCCTTTGACATCAGTCTCCCCACTTAGATAAATGCCAGCCTCTTTCAAACCTAACTAGAGATGAACTCTTAAAAGCTTACTTGAGTTTTTGCATAGATTTACATACAATTAGTATGCTTATTGTTTTCTACTAGCCTAGCCTTTTATTTTTATTTTTTTTACAGACATAGTCTCACTGTGTTGCCCAGGCTGGAGTGCAGTGGCGCTATCAAAGGTCATTGCAGTCTTAAACTTCTGGGCTCATGCAATCCTCCCACCTAAGCCCCCTGAGTAGCTGAGACTACAGGCACGTGCCACTGCACCCAGCTTATTTAAAAATTTTTTGTAGAGATGAGGTGTTACTGCGTTGCCCAGGCTGGTCTCAAACTCCTGGCTTCAAGCCAACCTACCGATTCTACCACCTCAGCCTCCCAAAGTGCTGGGATTACAAGCATAACCATAGAACCTGGCCTTTTTTTTTTTTTTTTTTTTTTTTTTTTTTGAGACGGGGTCTTGCTCTGTCTCAAAAAAGGTGAGACTCCAGGCTGGGGTGTAGTGACGCAATCTCCCAGGCTCAAACAATCCTCCCACCACCTCAGCCTCCCAAATAGCTGGGACTACAGGCATGCACCATCACACCTAGCTAATGTTTGTATTTTTTGTAGAGATGGGGTTTTGCCGTGTGACCCAAGCTTATCTTGAACTCTTGGGCTCAAGCAATCTGCCTGCCTTGGCCTCCCAAAGTGCTGGGATTACAGGCGTGAGGCACCTCACCCAGCCTTAGCCTAGCCTTTTTAACAAAAAAACAACAAAAAACAAATACAATCCAGGCGCAGTGGCTCACGCCTGTAATACCAGCCCTTGGGAGGCCGAGGCGAGCGGATCACGAGGTCAGGAGATCGAGACCATCCTGGCTAACACGGTGAAACCCCGTCTCTACTAAAAATACAAAAAATTAGCCGGGCGTGGTGGCAGGCGCCTGTAGTCCCAGCTCCTCGGTAGGCTGAGGCAGGAGAATGGCGTGAACCAGGGAGGCGGAGCTTGCAGTGAGCCGAGATTGCACCACTGCACTCTAGCTTGGGCGACAGAGCAAGACTTCATCTCAAAACAAAAAACAAAAAACAAAAAAAGGCTGTGTCTCCCTTCAGAAGTGGGATGCACCTGTGGTCCCAGTTACTTGGAAGGCTGAGGCGGTGAGCTGTGATGGTGCCACTGCACTCCAGCCTGGGCAACAGAGTGAAACCCTGTCTCAAAACAACACCATAAAATAACCAGGCCTTAGCGTGGTTCACTGAGCCTGTGGAGGTTGAGGCTGCAGTGGGCCATGATTGCACTACTGCACTCCAGCCTGGACCACAGAGTGAGACTCTGTCTTAAAAAACAAAACAAAATAAAAACAAAAACAAAAGAAAAGAAATCTGCCAAGGAAGGTGACTTTGGAGAATTGCCTAGGAATAAGGGGATTTCTGGGGTCTAACCCTCCCGGGTGATGCCAGGACACACTCCAGTTCATCTTCCTCTTTTTTTCTTGTTCACTTGTTCCCCCCTTTGCTATTATTCTACTTCATTCTTGTATTTGGGGTTCTTTTCAGGGGTTGCAAAATGTTTTTAGCTATAGATTCTCCACCTTTCTTTTCTTCTGGCATTAAGTAAGTATACAAATGTTTTTGAAGTTTTTTCCAACAGGGACTATGAAAATGGAGAAAGGATTTGTAAAATAACAAATTTGAGTAATTACAAAGTTATTATAAATCTTAATGGCTCCTAGCAGTAATCACCCTGAATTCTCATTTGTCTCTATACTTAACTGAGTTAGCTCTTGATTACTAATGATCAGTCTTTCAAACTTTAGGACAGTGACAGTGATCCTAGCTTACTCCCCACTTCAATAAGGAAGGCTCCATTGCTTAGTCCCAGAGAGTGCTATACAACCATAATCCATAGTAATAGAGAGCAAGTGGGTCTATATAGCTTAGGAAATCTGCAGGCAGAGCTATTTTTCTTGCTGTGTTCCTCCACAGTGGGTCCCATGTGATTACCATAGTCACCTCTAAGGATGTCCAGGACTGACTCACCATCTTACTGCAGCTACTCCCTAGCCAGCTCATATTATCAGGACCTGAAGAATATATCAGGTTTGAGTTCCATAAACGATCTACGCTGGACAGGTGTGGTGGCTCGTGCCTGTAACCTCAACACTTTGGGAGGCCAAGGCAGGAGGACTACCTTGTCAGGAGTTCAAGTCCAGCTTGGGCAACATAACAAGACCCTGTCTCTATAAGAAATTTTTAAAAATTAGAGGGTGTGGTGGCACGTGCCTATAGTCTTAGCTACTCAGGAGGCTGAGGTGGAAGGTTCACTTGAGTCCAGGAATTCAAGGCTACAGTGAGCTATGATTATGTCACTGCATTCCAGCCTGGGTGACGGAGCGAGACTGTGTCTCTTTAAAAGAAAACAAAATAGTATTTTACTGCCTATCCGGCCAGATTGTAAAAATATAAATAAATGTAAATATATATAAATAAATTATATATATAAATTATATATAAAATAAATAAATAAAATGTAAAAGGAAAAATAGCCAGTCATGGTGACTCATGCCTGTAATCCCAGCACTTTGGGAGGCCAAGGCAGGAGGATCACCAGAGGCCAGGAGTTCAAGGCTGCAGTAAGCTTATGGCACCACTGCACTTTAGCCTTGGCAACAGAGGGAGACTCTGTTCAAAACAATAAATAAAGGCCAGGCGCAGGGGTTCACACCTGTAATCCTAGCACTCTGGAGGCCGAGGCAGGCGGATTACTTGAGGCCAGGAGTTCATGACCAGTCTGGCCAACATGGTGAAACCCGTCTCTACTAAAAATATAAAAATTAGCTGGGCATGGTGGTGTATGCCTGTAGTCCCAGCTACTTGGGAGGCTGAGGCAGGAGAATGGCTTGAACCCGGGAGGTGGAGGCTGCAGTGAGCTGAGATCATGCCATTGCACTCCAGCCTGGGTGACAGAATGAGACTACGTCTCACAAAAAAATAAAAATAAAAAAAATAAATAAATAGATAAAATAAAAATAATAAAAACAAAATAAAATAAATACAAATAAATGAGCTGGGTGCAGTAGCACATGCCTGTAGTCCCTGCTATTTGGGAGCCTGAGGTTAAGGATTGCTTGAGCCCAGGAATTTAAATCCAGCCTGGACAATGTAGGCAGACCTGTCTCTTAAAAAACAAAAAAATCAAAGTATAAATGAATTGACGTGTGAATCACATATAAACATAAGTTATTATTATCATATATTGAACATCCTCTCTAGTGATTTCATTGTGGATGAATGGAGATGCAGTCCTCAGGAACTAGGTGACTATCCATCTCTGCTTCCACCATACAGAATCTCTATCCCAGCCCCCTACTCAGAATGCCAGGTCAGCATGTAACCCAGCTCCATTGTGTGGACAGTTTCAGCAGGACAAAGGCCCCAGCATAGCACAAGCCAGCCCAGCAGCCCCTTTGGCTAGCTCCTGAGGCCCTCCCCACCCCCTGCCCTTCTCCCTCTTTCTCTGGTTATGCTTTGCTGACTGCTGACTACTGGCAAAGTCCAGAACAATCACCAAGCACTGAGTGCATCATCTTTCTCCCATCCATAGTTAAGGGATCCAATTAGCACTTGGATCAGGCCAGGATTCCCACAAATTAGAAATGGGGTAATCCAAGAAATCAAGTAATAAAGAGATTAGCCCACCTTGCCTCCTCCTTTCTTTTCCTAGGGAGTCAGATACAACTTCAAGCCAAGCAGACCGGTGCTCACTATGGTCAGGTTCTGTTCTAAGCATTTTATATTTATCTCATGTATTGGTATTTTTTAGGGTTGTACCTTCCGTTTATTCCCTACTTACCCTATACCCTCTCTTTGGATGACCTCATCTACATCTACATCCACTTCATCCTTGAGATGCATATCCATATATCTATAGAACATTTCATTTAGCCCGTCCAAAACTGAACTGATTATCTTCTCATCCAAACATGCTTCTCCTTCTGCATTCCCTTATTAAGTCAGAAAGTCAGAAACTTATGAATCAGCTTTGACACCTTCCCTCATCCTCTCACTTCCATCTAATGTCACCAAAGCTCCAAGAATTCTACCTCTCAGTTAACTGAGTCTGCACCACATTTCACCTGAGAACTTTAGTGGTCTCAGACCCTGTTTGTCCCTGTTTCTAGTCTCGTCCCTTCCAATTCATTCTCCATATTGCTGCCAGCTTTATCTTTATATGGTACCCATAATTTGTAACTTCTCTGTGTTCCCTTCAACAGTTCCTGAATGCCTGAAAGACAGTCTAAACTCCTTCTCACGGCATGTAAGCCACTTCATCATCCAGCCTCAAGTTTTCCAACTGCTTTCCTTGTCTCCCCAACATGAGACTCTGGCAATATTGTGTTCCTTGTGGTTCCTTCCAATACTCTGTTCTAAATTTCATAACCCAGTGCGTTAGTCTAAGCTGTTCCTGTTGCCTCAATGTCTTTCCCGTTTTGTCTGTTAAGTAAAATTCTATCATATTCTAATTATTTTGCATTTAAGTTAAGAATTATAGGCTGGGTGTGGTCAGCACTTTGGGAGGCTGAGGTGGGCGGATCACTGGATGCCAGGAGTTCGAGACCAGCCTGGGCAACATGGTGAAACCCCGTCTCTACTAAAAATACAGCCAGGCATGGTGGTGCGCATCTGTGATCCCAACTACTTGGGTGGCTGAGGTAGGAGAACTGCTTGAACCCAGGAGGCGGCGTTTGCAGTGAGCTGAACTGCACTGCAGCCTGGGTGACAGAGCGAGAATCTGTTTAAAAAAAAAAAAGAATTATAATTACAATGAGCAACGAGGCAGCTAAATCATCTGAATGAGGAAGGTGAATTTATCAAATGAATGGTCAGCCTGTAAAAGGTAAATAATACAAGAGATGACAAGCAAGGCTATTCCCTGAATAAGGAATAAAGTAATGGATGTGTCTTAAGTGACGGTGTGAGGGATGTGTAGTGATTGCTTCAGCTCTCACAGGAACCAAAGGGGAAATCCTACAGAAACACAATCCTGGAACCTTCCCATTACTACCAAAATGCAAAGTATTGACAGAGCAGGACTTTGCTGAAGGAAATCTCTAAGCTCTCTTCTCACGTTATTTAGCTGACTGAAAAGTCTGGGCCATGCTGACCCCTGGTGGAGACAATGGGCCACTGCACTCCAAACTGGTGGCGAGGCCGGGCGGGAGGCCAAGACGGGTAGATCGCTTGAGGAAAGGGGTTCAAGATCAGCCTGGCCAACACGGTGAAACCCCGTCTCTATTAAAAATACAAAAAATTAGCCAGGCATGGTGGTGCATGCCTGTAGTCCCAGCTACTCGGGAGGCTGAGGCAGGAGAATCACTTGAACCTGGGAGGCGGAGGTTGCAGTGAGTTGAGATCACGCCACTGAACTCCAGCCTGGGTGACAGAGCCAGACTCTGTCTCAAAAGAAAAAAAAAAAAACTGGTGGAGAGAATGAGCCACTGCAGTCCAAAAAATATGGGAACAAAACTTTTTTTTTGTTTTGTTTTTTTTTTTTTTAAGACAGGGTCTCACTTCGTTGCCCAGGCTCACTGTAGCCTCGACCTCCTGGGCTCAAGCAATCCTCGTGCCTCAGCTTCCCAATTAGCTGGGACTACAGCCGTGCACCACCACACCTGGCTAATTCTAAAATTTATTTTGTAGAGATACGGTCTCCCTATGTTGCCCAGGCTGGTCTCGAACTCCTGGGCTCAAGTGATCCTCTCACCTCAGCCTCCCAAAGTGCTGGGATTACAGGCATGAGCTACCATGCCCAACCACCCTCTCCTTTTATACTCATTCGTTTTAATGAGCACATATTCTGTGGTAAAGGGAACACTAAGGCCCTGGGGCAAAGAGAACACAGTATTTAATCACCTTTCTTAAGAATTCATGACCTAAGCCGGGAGTGGTGGCTCATGCCTATAATCCCAGCACTTTGGGAGACTGAGGCAGGTGGATCACAAGGTCGGGAGTTCAAGAACAGCCTGACCAAGATGGTGAAACCCCCATCTCTACTAAAAATACAAAAAAATTAGCCAGGTGTGGTGGCAGGTGCACGTAATCCCAGCTATTCAGGAGGCTGAGGCAAGAGAATCGCTTGAACCTGGGAGGCGGAGGTTGCAGTGAGCCAAGATCACACCACGGCACTTGAGCCTGGGCAACACAGTGAGACTCTGTCTCAGAAAAAAAAAAAAAGGATTCACAACCTAATGGGTGATATAGGTTTCACTCAGCAGCACTGGGGAGAATGGAGACAAGTTAGACGGCTGATGCAGTTGACAGTGGGGGCTGGTAGGAGTAGGGGGAATGTGATAGGGATTCAGTGACAATCAGATATGTGAGAGGAGACAGACAAGCCAAGGACTCCATGGTTTCTGGGCAACTGGCTGAATATGGGTTGCAATTCATGAGATTCCCTCACTTGCTTAACCATTTCTGCTTTTCAAGCCATAGGTATGGCTTTTGGGAAGTCTCTTCCCACCACTCTCAAATATACTAAATCAGAGGTTTCTCCTTTGTTTCCTGAGCATCCTGTATGACTTCAATCATGGCACCTAGTGAATTATACTGCAATGGCCCTGTGAACTCTTGAAGAAATCATGTTTTGTGAAAACGAACAAAGAAGGTAGGCAGTAGTCATATCATGTAAAGCCTTGTGACCATGTAAGGGAATTTGAGGCAGGCACATTAACAGATTTAAGCAGGGAGGTTGCATGTCTGACTGTAATGCCGACATTGAATTAGAAGCAGACAGATAGAAGCTGGCAGATCAGCTTAGAAGCTACTCACATTTCTACATTGAAATGAGAAAGCCTTGTCCAGGCGCGGTGGCTCATGCCTGTAATCCCAGAACTTTGGGAGGCAGAGGCGGGCAGATCACCTGAGGTCAGGAGTTTGAGACAAGCCTGGCCAACATGGCAAAACCCTGTCTCTACTAAAAATACAAAAATTAGCAGGGCGTGGTGGTGGGCGCCTGTAGTCCCAACTACTTAGGAGGCTGAGGCAGGAGAATTGCTTGAACCTGGGCAGTGGAGGTTGCAGTGAGCCGAGATTCTGCCACTGCACTCCAGCCTGGGTGACAGAGTGAGACTCAGTCTCAATAAAAAAAATAATAAAATAAAATAAATAAATAAAAGAAATGAGAAAGCCTTAAGGCCAAGGATGACAGTGGCCTGAACTAGGGCCATGTGCATCATTCAAGGCAGTTACCACTCTGGGAGAGGAGGAAGAATTTTTGGTTAGTTATTTAGGCTTTTAAATATCTAGGCCAGAAGCCAGGTGTGGTGGCTCACACCTGTAATCCCAGCACTTTGGGAAGCTAAGGTGGGTGGATCACTTGAGGTCAGGAGTTCGAGACCAGCCTGGCCAACATGGTGAAACCCTGTCTCTACTAAAAATACAAAAATTAGGCCAGGTGCAGTGGCTCACGTCTGTAATCCCAGCACTTTGGGAGGCTGAGATGGGTGGATCACCTGAGGTCAGGAGTTTGAGACCAGCCTGACCAATATGGTGAAACCCGTCTCTACTAAAAATACAAAAATTAGCCGGACGTAGTGGCATGCGCCTGTAGTCCCAGCTACTCAGGAGGCTGAGACAAGAGAATTGCTTGAACCCGGGAGGCGGAGGTTACAGTGAGCCAAGGTTGCGCCACTGCACTCCAGCCTGGGCAACAGAGTGAGACTCAGTCTCAAAAAAAAATTAGCCAGGTGTGGTTGGTGGGCATCTGTAATTCCAGCTACTCAGGAGGCTGAGACAGGAAAATTGCTTGAACTCCAGAGGCAGAGGCTGCAGTTAGCCAAGATCAAACCACTGCACTCCAGCCTGGGTGATAGAGTGACACTCCGTCTCAGAATATACATTTTAAAAATATATATCTAAAATCCTTTTTTGAGGGGTAGGAGGATGGAGGTGGGATGTATGTTGCTATTGCACTGGCCAGCAGAACCTTGAGAAGTGGACTGATTAAAAAAATGTAGGCCTGGCATAGTGGCTAACACCTGTAATCACAGCACTTTGGGAGGCAAAGGTGGGAGGATGGCTTGAGCCCGAGAATTCGAGAACAACTTGGTCAACAAAGCGAAACCCCCGTTTCTACAAAAAAGTTAACGGGGCATGGTGCGTGCACATGTGGTCCCAGCTACATGGGAGGCTGAAGCAGGAAGATCGCTTGTGCCTCGGAGATGAAGGTTGCAGTGAGCTGTGTTTGCGCCACTGTGCTGCATGCAGCCTGGGTGACAGAATGAGACCCTGTCTCAAAAAATAAAATAAAATGGAATGCAGATCGAAATGTTCAATATAGGCTGTCCATAATCTCCTACCTCATACCCTGAACCAAAATATTGCTACTCTTGGTTAAGTTCAGAAAACTGAATGCTGAGTTAAACCATCCGTTCCTAGCCTTGAACATACAAAACCAACATTAACAGTATTTATGTATTTACTATTAATTATAAACAACTGTGAATTACCCAATGGTTGCTATTTGCCAATATATATCTAGATTAATTATTATTATTTTTTGAGATGGAGTCTTGCTCTGTCACCAGGCTGGAGTGCAGTGGCAGAATCTCGGCTCACTGCAACCTCCCACTCCCTGGTTCAAGCGATTCTCCTGCCTCAGCCTCCCGGGTAGCTGGGATTACAGGCGCGCGCCACCACGCCCGGCTAATTTTTGTACTTTTGGTAGAGGCGGGGTTTCACCATATTGGCCAGGATGGTCTTGATCTCCTGACCTCGTGATCCGCCTGCCTCGGCCTCCCAAAGTGCTGAGATTGCAGGCGTGAGCCACCGCGCCCGGCCTAGATTATTCTCACTTAATTATTACTAAGGTCTGTATATAATTTCTATTTTATAAATTAGAACACTAAGGCTCAGAAAAGTGGAGTGAGTTGCCCAAACTCACACAGTGAAGCCGGGATCAAAGCTAATTACAGTACTGTCTAATTTTAAAATCTATACTTCTAAGCATCTGGCTACACTATATCTCTAAAAGTTTTACGTAGTTCAAATGTGAGCAGCGTTCGTCTACGCAGAAAAACTGAATAAGCAGCATTAACCGCGGGCAGAAACAGAACAGAAACCACTACCTTGGCGGCCGCCCGCCCCCGGGCGTCGCCTACGTCATAACACTGCGCGGCCGCCCCTCGCGCACCACGTGCTAGGGGAGCGGGCGGGCAGATGGCTGTGTCTGTAAGCGGGAGGCGTGCCCGGTTCATCCAAGGCGCAAGATGGCGCTGCTTTTTGCACGTTCTTTGCGCTTGTGCCGCTGGGGAGCCAAACGATTGGGAGTTGCCTCCACAGAGGCCCAGAGAGGTAGGATTATCTCTTTTTACTCTTTTACCTCCAGAATGGCTGCCGTCTATTATTCCCAGACCCCACTCCGAGAAGCAACTCCAACCCTCTCGGGTCTTTTCCTTCCCCACCTGCCTTGGTCTTAAGATTCCAAACCTGTGATACCATTTGGTTTCTTTAAATTCCGGGACTTACTCAATCCGAGTTTTTCAGCTCCGTGAGCTATCCGTAGTAAAGCGACCTCGCGACTCTCTTGCCCGCTTGGCATTCTGACTCTTCCCTAGTTGCTCGTGTATCATGGCTGCCTGCCTCATATCTGAATATATCACCAGCCCTAGGGTTCTAGCCCCTGTTATTATCCCGTCTTTTTGCTCTGCCCGCAGGCGTCAGTTTCAAACTGGAAGAAAAAACCGCCCACAGCAGCCTGGCACTCTTCAGAGATGATACGGGTGTCAAATATGGCTTGGTGGGATTGGAGCCCACCAAGGTGGCCTTGAATGTGGAGCGCTTCCGGGAGTGGGCAGTGGTGCTGGCAGACACAGCGGTCACCAGTGGCAGACACTACTGGGAAGTGACAGTGAAGCGCTCCCAGCAGTTCCGGATAGGAGTGGCAGATGTGGACATGTCCCGGGATAGCTGCATTGGTGTTGATGATCGTTCCTGGGTGTTCACCTATGCCCAGCGCAAGTGGTACACCATGTTGGCCAACGAGAAAGCCCCAGTTGAGGGTATTGGGCAGCCAGAGAAGGTGGGGCTGTTGCTGGAGTATGAGGCCCAGAAGCTGAGCCTGGTGGATGTGAGCCAGGTCTCTGTGGTTCACACGCTACAGACAGATTTCCGGGGTCCAGTGGTGCCTGCCTTTGCTCTCTGGGATGGGGAGCTGCTGACCCATTCAGGGCTTGAGGTGCCCGAGGGCCTCTAGTATGTCCATTACTGGAGTCCCTAATCACGCCTTTGGCCAGCCTCCTTTTGAAAGTGTCCGAAGCCTTTTTACTTTGCCTCAAGCAACCTCTAGCTCCCACAATTCAGTGTTGGGTCCTCTGTGCAATATCATGATCATCTTCCTCATCCCCTACCTTGTGAAAGCTAGGCATACAGCCAAACCCTCCTTTTCCCCACCCACCAACTACTGCCAATTTCCTAGGCTACCATGGGTGTATCTTCCTTGACCTGCTTCCTTCAGTCCCTCTGCCTCCCTTTGCCCAGGCCTTTCTCAGACTGTATTCCATCCTGGGGTCTTATCATTCAGCTTTGTTTGAATTTATTAATCACCATGATACCTCTCCCTCCCTTTGTCCACATGTAACTTGTTCTTGGGGCTCTACCAGATGGCTGAAGAGTAAATCCTTTCTACCTCTGGCTGAAGGAGTGGTGCAGTCAATGACTTGGCCCTTTTTCTACAGCACATTTAGAGTTTGGGCTCTGGCTCCCTCAGTAAGTGCTTTATTAACTCAGTGTGTCAAAATGAAAACAGAGCCCTCCTTCCCCAGTAGCTCAGTGCCACAGACCTTCAGCCCCACACAGCTGTAGCTATCCTTACCCTGAGTCCATCTACCTTAAATCTGTACCTCTGACACCCAGCCAGTCTGTCATAATCATTATCCCAGTTATAACCTTGACCAAAGGGGAAGAGAGACACTTGGGGGATATCTAGGGGATGAGTGCTAGAAACTATTTATTTATTTTTGAGACAGAGTCTCACTCTGTCACCCAGGCTGGAGTGCAGTGGCATGATCTTGGCTCACTGCAAACTCTGCCTTTTGGGTTCAAGCGACTCTCGTGCCTCAGCCTCCTGAGTAGCTAGGATTACAGGTGTGTGCCACCATGCCCGTCTCATTTTTATATTTTTAGTAGAGATGGGGTTTTGCCATATTGGCCAGGCTGGTCTCGAACTCCTGGCCTCATGTGATCAGCCCACCTTGGCCTCCCAAAGTGCTGGGATTTCAGGCGTGAGCCACCACACCCGGCCAAAACTGTTTATTCTTGAGAAGTTCCATCTTCATTTCTGCCACAGTTGGAACTTCCCGAGGAAGGAAGGAGGCCTGAGGTTTTGCACAATCTGTTTCAGAGCCTGTTTAGACTCAAACCTATGCTTCCCTTGGCAGCAGAATACACTTAACCTAAAGCAGTATTTGGAGTTGAGAAAAACCTGGTGGGGTAAGTGAATATGTACTGTTTGGTAGGGTAGGTAGAGAAGCTGTGCTTTGACCCTGTGATTCCATCTTTTTCTACCTTCTATGATGGTGATGAAGCTAGATACCCCTAGGGAAGAAAGAAGGACTGGGTTTAGCAAAAATGATTTGGTAATTAAAGTTTATTTGAACACAAAATACTTTCTCTGTCTATAAAATTGGCTGTTAGCAGTAGCAGCAGCATGTCCTGGCCAAGGGGAGTAGATTTCTCCAGACTACTAAAGCCATGTATATAGCCATTCCCACTTCCCATATTCTGTGGATATGTACATGTGCATGGTAGCTAGAGTCCCTCCACCAGAGTATCTCTCTCATGATGGTTTCTTCAGGGAGAGGAAGAGGAGACCTGGGTGAAGAGCTGGGATGGTTTTGAGTGGGGCAAGCCATTAGGCTGTACCTTGAAGCCCAGTCTCTCTGGATAGCTGTACTGCAGGTGTCCTCTGAGGCCCTTCTCTGTACTCTGTCTGCTGAGGGAATGGGGTATTTTGACTCCCATAGAAAGCACTAGCCTAAGTCACCAAATGACTGCTTGGTCCCCACTGAAGCAGTGTAGCTCTCCATAGTATTTTTGGTGGTTATGGATTACATGTGTGGCCAGCTCATGCTTTTTCTTGAGCAGGGGCTGTCCATGACCTGTGCTCATACCATGCTTTCTAAGTTCTCTTTGGACAGGGCCTCAGCTGCTGCCTCAGCCTGAGTTTCAGAGAGTGTGTAGGAGTCCTGGTAATCTTGAAGCAGTTTGACCACCTCCAGATGGTTGAACTGCACAGCATCATCCAGGGGAATGTTGCCCCACCTGAGAGGAATAATGATATGATCAGGCAAAGGAGACGTGGAGAGTGGTGGTTGTATATATTTGCATGGTGGCTGGAGGGTAGGTGGAGAAGCTGTGCCCACCCTCCTCCACTTTTAGCCTATTCCTCACCTGTCCTTGGCAAAAGGATTCACTTTGCAAGCCTCGATCAGGAATTTAACAACTTCGATGTGTCCTAGGAATATGGGCAGAAGGAAAATGAGAAGGCGCAGGTCTTGAACCCTTTGGTGCAGACACTTAGCCACTGAAGTCTTTACCAAGAGGGGAGGGGAAAAGGCCTCTTCCCATTTTGTACCCTGCAGCACTCAGTCATAGTCTAGCTGCAAACCGAAGGGTGTCTAGATAAAACTAGTTGCTGCCCCTATAACCTTGAGGGCACATATAATGAAGGTACTTTTGGTGAAAAAGAAAGGGTCTTATGATTACCCTCCTCCTCCCCTCCTTAACCCTTCAGTACCTTCAGCTGCAGCAACATGCAGAGCTGTGCGCGAGTCATAGTCTTTCTGTTCCATATCCATGGCTGACAAGGCAAACCTGAGGGTAGTGGGAAAGCAGCTAGAGTTGCCTAGATCAGACTGGAATCACAGGTGTTCTTTGTGAACTGGTGTCAGACTGGATGAGTTTCAGAGAAAGTGAAACAGCCTATAGCCAGATTTGTTGGCTCTGAATAATCTTTTTTCCATATCCAGATGAGACTGTTATACTCATATTAGAGAGATGGGAATGTGATCCTTCCAGAAATATCACTCACTGCCTACCTGTGGTAAGTGCCCATTTGAGGCAGGGTACCTACTTCCTAGGACACTGCTCTTAACACTCAATAACAATGGCTAACATTAATTATCATAGAGCAGACAGTTTACTTTTTTTAAAAAAAATCTCCTTTTTTAAAAAAATTTCATTTAAATGCAATCTATATCCATTCTAATTCCAAAGCTGAAGCACTTAACTATTTTGTTACGCTGCCTCCTAGTAAAATCTCTGACCAGGAGTATTTTATTGTGTATATTTGGTCACAGTAGCATTACCTTCGAAGAGCTGAGACATCGCCACTATAGGCAGCAAATAACAGGTTGACCACAGTCTTGTTCTGGAACACAAATCATACCCACATGACATTAATTGAACTCACCTATGCCAGCTGTGCCCTGTGACCCTCCTCCATGGATGCTTAGTCCAAGGGTATTGCTGAAGTGTTATGGAATGTGCTACTCTGAAATATTCTTTTTTTTTTTTTTTTTTTTGAGACGGAGTCTCGCTCTGTCGTTCAGGCTGAAGTGTAGTGGCGCGCGGTCTTGGCTCACTGCAACCTCTGCCTCCCGGTTTCAAGCGATTCTCCTGCCTCAGCCTCCCAAGTAGCTGGGACCACAGGCGCGTGCCACCACGTCTGGCTAATTTTTTGTATTTTCAATAGAGACCAGGTTTCACCGTGTTAGCCAGGATGGTCTTGATCTCCTGACCTTGTGATCCGCCCGCCTTGGCCTCTCAAAGTGCAGGGATTACAGGCGTGAGCCACCGCACCTGGCCTTTGAAATATTCTTACAAGCCACCTGGAGTTTTCCTTACCCGAATTTCTGCCCCTTCACGCCGTGGGTCTAACTTCCGAGCACAGTGCCTCAGGTTGTCATAGTTGTGGAAATTGAAGAGAGACACCAACTTCTAGAATTGTAAGCCAAATATATTGTTTATTTACTCCTTACACTTAGTAGGAGCTCAAAATTGCTTTATTATAGTAAAAGTGGTACCATTAAACAAATTTATTGCTTCAAAAATAGTAAGTACTATATGCAAAGCATCTCACCTGGCAGAAGCTGGTCCCCCTATGGCTGTTCCCCAGCTTGTCCAATGGGGGTGACAGGCACATCATTCCCATGACATTGGGTACCACCAGGAGGATGGCTCCTGATACAGCTGACTTGGCTGGCAGGCCCACCTGGGGAACAGAACTGAAGCTGAGGATAAAGTGGGTGTGCCCCAAATCAGAAAATAAACAAGTTAGGCTGTACTCTTAACAAGTTTACAAATGACTGCATGACCACAATCCACCTCAACCTTTTGGCTTGTTAATTAGCTTCTTTTATTACTCCTGTCCTTTCCTTCCCTTAAATTCATTGATTCAGCTAGAAAATATTTTTTGAAATACTTACAGCATTCTGTGCTAGATGCTGTGCTAGAACTAGGAACTTCCATTCTGGTGTTAGGAGATAGGTAATAAACAGGTAAATAAATAGACACGTAATGTTTAAAGTAATTGTGATAAATAGTGAGAAGTAGGGTGCTGTAAATAGAGGTAGAGGGGGGCCACATGAGATAGGGTGGTCAGAAAAGTCTTTCTTTGGAAATGACATCTAAGCTGAGACCCCAAGGAGAAGAGCCAGCAATGTGAAGCACAATTCAGGAGCTGCAACACCTCTGGTTGTTTTTCTTTTTCTTTTTTTCTTTTTTTTTGAGATGGAGTTTTGCTCTTGTTGCCCAGGCTACAGTGCAATGGCACAATCTCGGCTCAGTGCAACCTCTGCCTCCCAGGTTCAAGCACTTCTGCCTCAGCCTCCCAAGTAGCTGGGATTACAGGTGCACACCACCACCCCCGGCTAATTTTTTGTATTTAGTAGAGATGGGGTTTCACCATGTAGGTCAGGCTGGTCTCGAACTCCTGACCTCAGGTGATCCACCTGCCTCGGCCTCCCAAAGACATCTCTTTATATATTCGAGGAACTTGGTGTTTTTGAGAAACTCGTCTAAGGAGTCTCAACCTAATTGCCTTCCTGGAAGTTAGTGAATGAGAGGCAGGAACAAGCTTCCACCTCTATCTTGAGAGAGTCAGTGTTCTCTCTTCTTAGCACTGGGCTCATGACAGATGGATAGCAGAGCCAGAAACTCACGTGGAAGGCAAACTGGCCAGAGAAGTCATACATGCCGCAGGAATGCATGAGGCTGAGGGTGTTGCGCACTGCTTCAGCACTCAGCACACTCTCGCCTGTGATGGGGCAGATCCCACCGTTGGCGAGGGTGGCTGCCATGACACTGCCTGATTCACAAGTGACCTCCACAGAACACAGCTATGAAAACAAAGAATAGGTGAAGATGTGACGTGAACCTGCACATGGGACCCTCGGGTGTAGGGAAAGGGCAAGGGCAAGGACAGTCTGTCCTGTTCCCTCGGCCCTGAGCAGTGTTTTCTTACCTGGAAGTAGAGATCAAGGGCAGCCATCATGTCCACCCCCTTAGGAAAGCACTGCAAGGAAGAGAGGGGAGAGCATTTCTCTTCAGGACATCAGCCCTTTCACACTGTCAGGGTCTCAGCTGAAGCCCCCAACCCCTACTGCCCTTCCACTAGCAGCAGAATTCCCAGGGACTTTCTCTTCCGGCCTCTTCTGGTTACCTTCTTTTCCTTGAGATAATAGCCGATGGCATAATTCCGATCCCCTGTTTCCTTCTCTGACTGGAATCTGAAGCAAACACCCAATTTAGTACTTGAAGTTGGAGGAGTGGGTGTTGGGAGAAGGGGAAAAATTACCTTCCCTGGAGAGACAGAACTACATCACACCACAAACTAAATGAACCCCTTTATAACTTCTCACAGTAATATTAGAGGAAATTTCTGAACCTGAGCAAACACTCAGCATAGTTTTGTTATAAAGTAAACCCAAACCAAACACCCCAAACTGTCTAGTCATCTAGGAAAACTGGTGAAGTTTTTGGCTTTGAAAGTCTTGGCAAGAAAGGGCTTAGGCACAAACCATCACACTGCCTCTCTCATTATGTACTAATTAGAAATGGAACAAATTATTTTACAAGATAAACAAATGTTTATGAAGGGACTCAGAGGAAGCTGGAGGGCCAAAGTTCCCCTGGGATTTCTTCCTCCTAAGATTCTCTCTCCCCCATTCCTCTTGTCCCCATCCTAAGTACACACACATACACCACAATGCTTTCAGTCAGTCCTCTGAGTAGGGACTTACGTGGCATTGCTGAAACCCATGTATTCATTCCCAGCCATTTTGTTGAGATACTGCAACACCTGGAAGAGAAAAAGGGACATTGAGGCTCCACTTGGTTAAGAAGCTCTATTAATACCTCACAGGTTGACTAGCCCTTCTGAACTCAGGTCTTGTCAAGAGGCTTTCCTCTCTGAGGCCAGCAGATTTCCACATTTCTGGAAATAAGGCTTCTAGTATGGGCTGGTGCACCTGGTAGTGGGGTTAGAGAGCCACTGGGGCAGCTGGAGAGGACAGCATGCCATGGCGAAATGCAGCCAGGGGCTAAGTAGCAAGGGAACTTACAAAATCAAACTTCTCTGCTTTGTTACAGTCCATCTGCAGAGAAAGAGAGAGATGTCAGCATTCTAAGTGTAGGAGGATGACAGAGGGAAGGGTCAGAAGGATCTAGTGGAGTTCTAGTGTTAGTCTGGTCCTGCTGCTGCAAATGTGTTCAATTTTATAATGGCCCTTTTTTTATCCTTCTGAAAACACCGCACTTCCATTGGCTCCTCTCTTTCTCTTTCTTTTTTTTGAGACAGTCTTGCTTTGTCACCCTTGTCACCCAGGCTGGAGTGCAGTGGCACGATCATGGCTCACTGCAGCTTTGACCTCCCAGGCTCAAGCGATCCTCCCACTTCAGCCTCCAAGTAGCTCGGATTACAGGCATGAGCCAGCTTGCTGGGCCATCCCACTTCCATTCTCAATCCAAACCCTCATCCCTGACTCCCACGTTCATTTTCCTGACTCGAATCCTGTCTCCTAGCCCCACCCTATCCCTGATCTCCATCCCCATTCCTTACACCCCATGCTGGAGCTTTACTCCATCCCATTGGCCAGCATGATGGTTCATGCCTGTAATCTCAGCAATTTGGGGGGCTGAGGCAGGAGGATCGCTTGAGACCAGGGGTTTGAGACCAGCCTAGGCAACATAGGAGAGACCCTGCCTCAATTTTTTTTTTTTTTTTTTTTTGAGATGGAGTCTTGCTCTGTCGCCCAGGCTGGAGTGCAGTGGCAGGATCTCGGCTCAACTGCAAGCTCCGCCTCCCGGGTTCATACCATTCTCCTGCCTTAGCCTCCCGAGCAGCTGGGACCACAGGTGCCCACCACCAAGCCTGGCTAATTTTTTGTATTTTTAGTAGAGACGGGGTTTCACCGTGCTAGCCAGGATGGTCTCGATCTCCTGACCTCGTGATTTGCCCACCTCGGCCTCCCAAAGTGTTGGGATTACAGGCGTGAGCCACCGCGCCTGGCCTCTATATTTTTTAAAAAAGGTCCTACTTAGATGGGAATGGGATGAGGCAGGTCCCAGATACAGGTTTGTAGATGGAGCCATCACAGAACAAGGGGAGAGACTCAGCCTCTTTTCCTCACCCAGACTCATTGCTTACTCATGTGTCAACTACAGAGTCAATACCACAGGGACTCTGATACCTGAGTCCCTGAGGGGAGGATTCCTAACACCACCTTCCCCAGGAGGGGCTGTGATTGGCTCCAGGGTGTTGCTGCCCAGCTGCTCCCAGGTTCTTGCTCAAGCCCTGGGAGACCTACAGCTGATGGGCTAGTCTGACACCCTGTTCAAGGCCAACTCACAGTTCCAGGTGACGTGAATAACTGCCCTGGCCTGGCCATTCACCCTTGCCTGCAGGTGTCCCACACCCAGAAGTGGCCAATCAGTGCCCAATAGTGCTGTCCTCCCCTTGTCTCTGGCATTTGGCCCTTGGTCCTAGGCAGGGGTCAGGACCTGCTCACTTCTCTAAGGGTCAGAAAGCTCTAGGCTCTAGACTCATGGGTGGGGGCAGGGAACAGTACTGAGTGGGGATGACGGAGGTGGTGCAGTCTCTTATACTGACATTGTCAGCATAACATGTGGGTCCCTGCTGTGCCTCATGTGCCTTCTGGGGACCCTCAAAGGAATCAGAGCCCCACCAGTCTCCCTGGAGAGCTGAACAAATATGAGGGATACAGGAACACAGGAGCTTAGAGGATAATACCTATCAGAAGGTTAAGGTGGCACTGACCTTGATCAGGGAGCTGACAACAATGGCACCAGCATTGACCATGGGGTTATGGGGGATTCCTGGGGAAATACAAACCACCAAGAGTCTTAGCCACTGAACAAAGCCTCCCTGACAGCCCGCTCACTTTGTGGGTTAGACAAGAAAGACTGCTAGGGAGAAAGGCATGACAGGGCTAATCAGGAAGGGCAGAGAAACAAAAAAGGCTGGGAGATGGGGTGGGGATAAGGAGAAGGGGACAGCTGTAAGTACGGTCTGAGCCTTGGTAGTGCTCACCTTCCTCATTGAGGGAGAGCTTGTTGTAGCGCAGGCCACTTGGCTCTTTGCCCACAAACTTGTGCACGTAGTCAGTGCCTAGGGTGCTTATGGAGATGGCATAGGTGAGGGGCTTCACACAGGACTGCAGGCAGAAGGGGATCTTTGTGTGGCCCACAGAGTGCCTGGAGGCAGACAGATGCCATGAAAGGGGTTGGCCTGTGTTCGGCACCTGTGCCCTGCCTCCCCTTCCTCTTGCCCAGCATCTCACCGTTGACCATCCACAGTGCACAGGGAGACACCCCACAGGTCTGGGTTTGACTTGGCCAGCTGAGGGATGTAGGCTGCCACCTGGACATGAGTGGGTAGAGAAAAGGGAGATGGATGTGGAGAAGAGGAACAGAGTTGAGGTTGAGGGTCAAGAGAATCTTTTAGATAAAAGCTAAAATTCTGTCTTCTATAGGGCAGAGGGGTTCCCTCCTGCCTGTTGCTCCCAGAAATGCCCGAGCCTTAAGTCCTAGAAGGCCATATCTTTGTGTATCCGCAATCCTGTAGAGATAGCAGTAAAGCCAATGGAAGTTAAAAAAGGAGAATTCTGAGGCAACCTTCCCCTTTTGGTTCTTAGGCTCAGTTACCCTATAAATCCCTTTGAAGGCTCTATTCGATCTTGATTCCCTCACCTGCTCTAGGAATCGTGTATAGAAACACATGAAGCCATGTCACCATTTACAGAAGTTCTGCTTCTCATCTCTCATTCATAGGACTCCCAGCCCCAGGAAATCTCTGAGAAGCGAGGTATATCTAGGTGTGGTGGCTCATGCCTGTAATCCCAGCACTTTGGGAGGCCGAGGTGGGTGGATCACTTGAGATCAGGAGTTCGAGACCAGCCTGGCCAATATGGCAAAACCCCATCTCTACTAAAAATACAAAAATTAGTCGGGCATGGTGGTGTATGCCAGCTACTCGGGAGGCTGAGACAGGAGAATCGCTTGAACCTGGGAGGTGGAGGTTGCAGTGAGCTGAGATTGCACCATTGCACTCCAGCCCGGGTGACAGAGCAAAACTCTGTCTCAGGAAAAAAAAAAAAAAAAAAAATCTGGCCCAGGTCCCTGACCCCTCCCTTAGTCCCCTGACTCTCACTTTGCCTCCAGTGAGCTCTTTGACATCCTCAAAGATGCGATCCACATGGCCCGTGAACTCCTCAAAATCAGGAATGACAAACTTCTTTCGGAATGCCTGGGTCAGGAGCACAATGTTGCTGCTCACACACCTGGATCCCAGACACGATTGGATTAGGGGGCTAGAGAAATGCAGCTGGGACTCACTCTGGAGCCACGGAAATTGGGAATAAAGAAGGTTGAGTGGTCTTCAGGTTTGGGATCAACAGCTCTGTTACCTTTGGCAAATCAGTTTACCTTTCTAGGTCTTAGTTTCCGTACCTCTAAAATGAGGGGTTTTAATGATGTGGAAAGACACTATGTCTTGGGATATGAGAAAAAAAATAAATACCAGAATAATATGTATGTATGTTACCTTGATATTTAAAAAATCCTAAATCATAAAAGTATATTTATATATATTCATGTATGTATGTCAGTACATAGGACATTATCTAGAAGATACCCACTAATCTGCTAATATTTACTTCTGGGAAAAGAGGACAGGGATTGAGTAGGGAGGGAAAGGAGAACATGTATTTCTATATTGTTTGAACTCTTATGATGAGTATTCATGTATAACTTATGTAATAAGTAATAAAATAAAATGAGGAATTGAACTATACAATTCCCAAATTCCTCCCTGCTCTGAGAGTCTATGTCCACAGGACAGTTTTCAGAGAGCAGTGCCCTTGTTTCTGGGGCCCTCACTTTCGGAAGAGATCTCGGTCCAAGAGGCCACCACTACTGGACTCTTGGACCACGCGGTGCATCTCGCTCATGCAGTCTCGGAGCCGAGGATCTGATGTCTGCAGTCCAGTGGCCTTTAGTGCCTTTAGAGGAAAGAAGAGGCCAGAAAGGTCAGCTACAAGGACAGTGATGTACTCCTCATAATCTTTCCCACTGGATACCCAATTAGCTGAACCCCAACCACTACAATAGGTGGAACAAATGGGTTTGGAGAATAAGAAAGGAGGGGATGGAGTAGCTCTGAAGGCTAACAAGGGTTTCCTGTCCTTTTTCCAGAGGGTTTAATCTTCTGACCCTGGGGCAGGGATGGGCTTGTCTTGTCAGCCTAGACATCTGGATTCTCATCCATCTGTATGCTTCACCCTCATGTAGCAACCCATTAGCTGCCCTGCACTTGTCATACCCTCCTTTCCCCACTTTTCAGAGATCTTAAGGAATTAGGATCCTGAACAGGTAGAGGGCAACTTACAGTGGTGAACTTGTGGATAGGGATTCGTTCCTGTCCTTCAGCAATAGTGTAAAAGAGCAAATCACCCAGGCGGGACAGCATGCCACTTTCTGATGAATCACTGTTTGGGGGCAGAGAATGGGGAGGAAAGTGGGGCCTGAGAACTGCTACCTGCTCCTCCTTCTGCAACATGGGCTTATAAGTAGGTGAGTGTCCTCATTCTATGCCTCCTCCTTAAGCCATCTGATCTATCCCTATAAATCTAACTTTCATGTCTGTCCTAAGAAGTTGTAGATCTTTTCTCTAGCTTTTACTCCTGACCTTCAGATCTTTATTTTTAG
The DNA here is from genome assembly GCF_000001405.40 of Homo sapiens. Classification (NCBI taxonomy): domain Eukaryota; kingdom Metazoa; phylum Chordata; class Mammalia; order Primates; family Hominidae; genus Homo; species Homo sapiens. The sequence goes on from NC_000012.12 coordinate 56,480,608, forward strand.
CTCCCTTCTCACACTTCCACCTATAGGTTCCCCACAAGCACTGAAAAATATGTCCAAACCTGAGTCATCTCACTTCCTTCCCTCTTCTTCTCCTCTTGTTTCCCACCTGGGTTAACAGCATTACCACCCACCTGGGTGCCAAGCTGGAAATGTGGCATCATTTTGATAGTTGCCACACCTTAAGTCCATGCTTAGTTGGTCACCAACATTGGATGAATCTGCCTCATAATGTCTCAAATCCACCCTCTCCTCCTTTTCCCTGTGCCAGCATGGTGTAGTAGACCAGAGTTTGCCCCTTAATAGCTGTGTGATCTTGAGCAGGTCGCTTAATATTGCTGAACTTGCTTCCTATCTGTAATACAAGGGTAGTAATGTCTACTTCACCTGGGTGATGTGAGGCTTAAGATAATATTCTGTGAAAAACTGCCTGACACAAAGTAAATGTTCAATAAATCATGTTTATCATCAGCTCCTTATTCCCTATTACCTAATTGCCACTACACTCTCTTGACTTTCAATCCATCTTTTTTTTTTTTGAGACAGAGTTTTGCTCTTGTTGCCTCAATCCACCTTCTAAAATGTGCCAGTGATCTTTTTTTTTTTTTTTTTTTTTTTTGAGACGGAGTCTGGTTCTGTCGCCCAGGCTGGAGCGCAATGGCGCGATCTCGGCTCACTGCAACCTCCGCCTCCTGGGTTCAAGCGATTCTCCTGCCTCAGCCTCCTGAGTAGCTGGGATTACAGGTGTGCACCACCACGCCTGGCTAATTTTTTTGTATTTTTAGTAGAGACGGGGTTTCACCATTTCGGTCAGGCTGGTCTCGAACGCCTTACCTCGTGATCCGCCTGCCTCAGTCTCCCAAAGTGCTGGGATTACAGGTATGAGCCACCACGCCCAGTCAAAATGTGCCAGTGATCTTTCTAAACTCAAATGTAATTTCTCTACTCAAAAACGTTTGGTAGCTCCCCAGTGCCTACAGAATAAGCACTTGAAATAAGAAGTAGGCTGGGCATGGTGACTCACACCTGTAATCCCAGCACTTTGGGAGGCTGAGGCAGGCGGATCACCTGAGGTTAGGAGTTTGAGACCAGCCTGGCCAACATGGTGAAACCCTGTCTCTATTAAAAAATACAAAATTAACCGGGCATAGTGGCATCTGCCTGTAATCCCAGCTACTCCAGAAGCTGAGGCAAGAGAATTGCTTGAACCCAGGAGTCAGAGGTTGCAGTGAGCCGAGATCACGCCATTACACTCCAGCCTGGGCAAAAAGAGCAAAACTCCATCTCAAAACAAACAAACAAAAACTTGGTAGGACATCAAAAGCTCTTTAAAACCTGCCAATTGGCCGGGCATGGTGGTTCACACCTGTAATCCCAGCACTTTGGGAGGCCAAGGCGGGCAGATCACCTGAGGTCAGGAGTTCGAGACCAGACTGACCAACATGGTAAAACCCCGTCTCTACTAAAAATACAAAAATTAGCCAGGTGTGGTGGTGGGCTTCTGTAATCTCAGCTACTTGGGAAGCTGAGGCAGGAGAATTGCCTGAGCCTGGGAGGTGGAGGTTATAGTCAGTCGAGATTGTGCCACTGCACTCCAGCCTGGGTGACAGAGTGAGACTTTGTTTAAAAAAAAAATAAAGTAAAATAAATAAAACCTGCCCACTTAACTTTCCTATTCCCCATCATGCCCACACTCCAGATATAACAGGCAATATAGATGGTTCCCCAAAATGGGCCAGGAACTGTGAGGCTTCCTGGCCTTTGCTTATGCTGTAACTTCTGCATAGAAGGACCTTTGCTTAGTATGGTCCTGCTCATTCTTCAAAGTCCAGATCAAATGTCACCAACTCTGTAAAGGCTTCCCCAAACCTCCAGATATTGCTTATGCTGCCGGTTTGACACAACACACCATCTTACTGACAGAAGAATCTCCCTTGCTCCACAGTTAGGTCTTTGTGTTTTATACATCTTTGTCTTCCTAGCCCTCAGCAAAGTCCCTAGCACACAGTGGGTCTTCGATAAGAATTACTAAGTTGTATTGCTAGCAAGGTCCCTGTGTCCCAAAGTATCTCTCTGGCTTATAACACCTAAAATTCCAGGTACTGAAGACTTCTTAGTTTTCAAGATTTCCATTAATATGTTAAAATATTTAGAAGAGTTATTGTTTTTTTAAGTAGAAAAGGGGTCTCACTATGTTGCCTAGGCCGATCTCAAACTCCTGGACTCAAGTGATCCTCCCACCTCAGCCTCCCAGAGTGCTGGGATTATAGGCGTGAGCCACCGCACCCAGCCAAGCAGAGTTATTTTATCAGATTATTTCCAAATATGACAGCTAGTTGCGATTAAGACCCTTCAAAGATCTTTGACCCAGTAATTTGACTTTCAGTGATTTATTCTACAGGTATACTCACACACCTCAAAAATAACATATTTACAATTATTCATCACATTGTTGTTTTTTCTTTTTTCTTTTTCTTTCTTTTTTTTTTTTTTTGAGACGGAGTCTTGCTGTGTCACCCAGGCTGGAGTGCAATGGTGTGATCTCGGCTCACTGTAGCCTCTGCCTCCTGGGTTCAAGTGATTCTCCTGCCTCAGCCTCCCAAGTAGCTGGGATTACAGGCACGTGCCACCACGCCCAGCTAATTTTTGTATTTTTAGTAGAGACAGGGTTTCACCATGTTGGCCAGGCTGGTCTCGAACTCCTGACCTTGTGATCCGCCTGCCTCCCCCTCCCAAAGTGCTGGGATTACAGGAGTGAGCCACCGCGCCCGGCCCTCATCACACTGTTAGTAATAGTAAGATTAGAAACAACTTGATGTGCAACAATAGGGAACTGATTAATTATGGTATATTCATATAATGCAATATTATGCAGTGTAAAAAAAAGAAATTGGGGTGTGCTCTAAGAATTGATATGGAATTATCTCTAAGATATAATATTAACTAAAAGAAGCGTGCTGTAGAACAGTATAATATTAACTAAAAGAAGCGTGTGGTAGTATTTATGTTTGTTTGTTTGTTTTTAGAGATGGGGTTTAGCTGTATTGCTCAAGCTGGCCTTGAACTCCTGGGCTCAAGTGATCCTTCTGCCTCAGCCTCCCTAGTAGCTGGGACTATAGGTGTATGCCACCATGCCCAGTTTTATTTATTTTTATTTTTAAATTTATTTTTTTATTTCAATAGGTTTTTGGGGAACAGGTGGTGTTTGGTTACATGAGTAAGTTCTTTAGTGCTAGCTTTATTTTTTCATTTGTTTTTTCTTTTTTTTCTTATATCAGTTTTCTCAGGTTGAAGCACAGGTTTAAAAGGGAAAAATATATATGTGTTTGCTTATTCAGGCACAGGATATTTCTAGAAGACCATTTAGGTAGAAATAGGTAAGACTGGCTGGGCATGGTGGCTCATGCCTGTAATCCCAGCACTTTGGGAGCCTAAGGTGGGCGGATCATGAGGTAAGGAGTTCGAGACCAGCCTGACCAACATGGTGAAACCCCATCTCTACTAAAAGTACAAGAATTAGCCGGGTGTGGTGGCGCGCACCTGTAATCCCAGCTACTCAGGAGGCTGAGGCAGGAGAATCGCTTGAACCCAGGAGGCGGAGGTTGCAGTGAGCTGAGATTACGCCACTGCTCTCCAGCCTGGGCAACAGAGCGAGACTCCATCTCAAATACATAAATACATAAATAGGTAAGATTGATTCATCTCCTTCTACAGAGATGACATAGGTGCCAGGAAAAAGGGATGGGAGGATACTTTTCACTATCTTTTGTATATTTTGAATTTTGAACCATATGGAATATATTATCTATTGAAACAATGGATTAAAAAATAATACTCAAACAGCTTGGCATAGACTAGGCATGTGTGTGTTTGGAGTCAGGAGGAGTACCAGAAGAGGGAATACCAGAAGAGTTTTCCTGCTTCTGGGGAAATCCGGTTGTCACAATGAAGCTAATGCCTATAGGGGGGAGAGGAGGAAAAAAGCTATCTGAGGGATAACTCAAGAAGGAAAGTACATAGGAACACTCTGAAGGCAGGACTCTGCCTGGAAGCCAACAGAAGACAGGAAATAATGCTATACCACTGAATGTATCACAAGCCTAAAAAAACTGCATATCCCTCAGATATGGATGGATCACCAATGTAATGTTGAGGGAAAACAAGCAACGTACAACAGCAATGTGTATAGTATGATACCAAAAAAGCAAGGTATAGGAACATTGTTTATAGGATACCATTTGTATAAAAAAAGGTAAAGTAGTATCAGCATGTATTTTATGCATAAAATATCTCTAGAAGACTATACATGATATTAATGACATCAAATTATCTCTGGGGGCAAAATTTCCTTGGAATTTATGAAATAATTGAACAAGTGTACAAGACTATATAGTAACCAAATTGAAGACTGGTTATATAAACTATGATACCTCAAACAATGGAATCTTTTAAAATGACAAGATGACAATGTCATACACATTCGATGATATTAAAAGCTGTTCATAAATGAAAAAGATAAGTTCAAGAATATGACTATTATCCCATTTTTGTTAAATTACATATACATATATAGGATATATATGAATATATCACAATATTAATTGGTTATCTCTAATACTGGGATATTTCTTTTTAAAATTTTTAAGTAATAAACTTATTTATTTATTTTTGACACAGGGTCTTGCTCTGTTGCCTAGGCTGGAGTGTGGTGATGCAATCATGGATCACTACAGCCTCGACCTACAGGGCTCAAGTGATCCTCCCACATCAATCTCCCAAGTAGCTGGGACTACAGGCATGCGCCACCATGCCTGGTTAATTTCTGTATTTTTTTTTTTTTGGCAGAGACAGGGTTTTGCCATGCTGCCCAAGCTGGTTTCGAACTCCTGAGCTCAAGTGATCCCCCTGCCTTGGCCACCCACAGTGCTGGGATTACAGGTGTGAGCCACTGCACCTGGCTCTAAATTTATATATTTTTTAATTGAAACATAATTGTACACATGTTTATGGGATGCATAGCAATGTTTCAATACACAGGATTATAGTGATCAGATAAGGGTAATTAGTATATCCATCATCTCAAACATTTATCATTTCTTTGTGTTGGGATATTTTCCTCTTGATACTCTTGTGTTTCTTTTAAAGTCATAAATATGGCCCGGCACGGTGGCTCACGCCTATAATCCCAGCACTTTGGGAGGCCGAGGCAGGTGGATTATCTGAGGTCATGAGTTTGAGACCAGCCTGGCCAACATGGTGAAACCCCATCTCTATTAAAAATACAAAAATTAGCCAGTCGTAGTGGTGGGTGCCTGTAATCCCAGCTACTCAGGAAGCTGAGGCAGAGGTTGCAGTGAGCCGAGATTGCGCCACTGCACTCCAGCCTGGGCGGCAAAGAGACTCTGTCTCCAAAAAAAAAAAAAAAAAAAAGTCATAAATACAGCTAAATAGCTAAATATTAAACAAACAATAACCTGAATAACAGCGCATTTCCTCTTTGCTGCTCTCTTTCCTCCCCCAAACACAGGAACCCCACCCCATCATGGTGTCACACTGCCAGAGCACATCACTCTCCAGTGCTCTCAACCCTTTCTGCCTGGGGAGCACCAGTCCGAGGATATGATAGGGGGTTCCCTGGGCAGAAGAAACAAGGTCCCCTAAAAACACTTCCATCACCAGACTCCACTGGATAAGGAGGTGTGTGTGTGGGGAACCAGGGATACCTCTAGTTCCCTACTCTGCAGAAGGCGGACAGATGAGGGAAGTTCAGCCTTTGCTGTATCCCACCATTATTTCTCCCATGGTGAATACCTGGGGGGAAGTTGGGGTGGAGACTAGAACAGGAGGGAGAGGGCTTATCCTTTAAATGTTCTGTGTCTCTTTAAGAAGAAGCTGATGGGAAAGTACTGTGTAATATGGATAAGCAGACACCATGACTATGAAAAAGAGAAAAGGGCCGGGCGTGGTGGCTCATGCCTGTAATCGCAGCACTTTGGGAGGCTGAGGCAGGCGGATCACCTGAAGTCAGGAGTTCAAGACCAGCAGGGCCAACACGGTGAAACCCTGTCTCTACTAAAACTACAAAAAGTAGCGGGTTGTGGTGGCGCGCACCTGTAATCCCAGCTACTCGAGGTAATCCCAGCTATTCGAGAGGCTGAGGCAGGAGAATTACTTGAACCCAGGAGGTGGAGATTGCAGTGAGTCGAGATGGTGCCACTGCACTCCAGCCTGTGTGACAGAGTGAGACTCCGTCTCAAAAAAGAAAGAAATAAAAGTACTGCATAATGTCATTAATAATAAATAATACCTATTGGTGTCCCTTACGACAGAGACTCGAGTAGTGGTGAGGTAGTGTTGTGTCAGAGACTCGAGTAGTGGTGAGGTAGTGTTGTGTCAGTCTGGCTACTTTACTGATGGTGTCCATGTTTCTGAGTGTCATCAGGGAGATGGCAGCGACGAGGGAGATGGCCCATTTCCTGTTCCTGCTACAGTAGAGCAGGGGCTCTTTGGACAGTGTCTATGCTGGCCCTCTGGGGAGGACAAGATTTCCTGCTCAGCACCGTCTGGGTCTCAGAGAAAAAGGCTCAGCCACCAAGTGTGTCCTAGGCGGTGGGGAAGATAAAGGTTTGGCATCCTGGGTGGAAGAAACACCCAAAGGAAGAGAACGTTTTAGATTCTGGAGCCTGGGCAGCACAAATAAAGGCTCTGACTGGCTCTGGTTTGGGAAATCTGCGTCTTAAAGACCTTTCCTCCATTACAAATATTCTCCCCATTCAACAACCAGTTTGGAAATTCCCCCCCATTCTGCTGTTCAGGGAGCACTGCTACGCACACACCCAACACTTATGGACGTACCTGCGCACCAATAATACACGCGCATCACACATTACCTGCCGAGAACACGCAGAAACACAACACACAGACCCCAGTACACCTGGACCGGAGGCAGGAGGCTGTTCCACATCCACGCATCTCCTAAAATACACACGAGGACTAGGGAAGGTGAGGACTGGCGGCGTGAGCCCGGCCCTGCACTCAGACACGTGAGCCAAGCAACACTCGGCGCGCATCTGTGATCCGGGTTAAGTGCGCACCTTGGACAGGCGCCATCCCCAGGACCCGCTTGCCCGAACGCACTCCTAGGCAGACGGCAGATTACCGCCCGAGCGCGGCGCACCCAAAGCCCCACATCCAAAGGAAAAGGCACCGAGGGCTAGTGAGCGAGGAGAGGGGAGATGAGCGGCGCTGCCTTGGAAGGGCACTCGGGAACTAGCGAGAACCACAGTGGGAGTGGGGGCAAGCCCGTCCCCTGCCCTGTCCCAGGAGCCTTACTGATCCTGGTGCTGCGGCTGGTGGCTGTGTGGCGTCTCTCTGCCCTGCGCCGCGGCCTCACTGAGGTGGTGCCGGACGCCCCCGCCAAGGAGGGGGCTCCGGCTCGGGTGACCCCAGCCTCCTCGCCCGCAGTGACTGCCAGCCCGGCTCAGGGCCTTCTGCAGAGCCTTCATGGAGCGCATGCCCCAGCAAGCCTCCGGCTCTGCAGGTGCGCCCGGGACCTCTAGCTGTGGCTGGGAAGGAGGGGCGGAGCGAGCGAGACAAGGTGCGGGGGAGTTCTGTGAGGGAGCGCTGGACCTGGAAGACGGAGAATGTGGGCCCGGTGGGTGGGGCTGGGGCTGGGGCAGGAGAAGGGGCCTGCCCCTTTAAAGCTGGCTCCAGGGTTAGGGGCACCCTCAGGACAGGGGCTAGGTGAGGAGCGTTGGGGATGAAGGAGAACCCGGGTGGCTTTCTAGTGGGTGGAGAGAGGGCGGTGCCTGGGAGCTGGAATGGACAATGCCCAGGTCCAATCACTGAGGAAGCAAAAACATTGAGGCGGGGAAAGGGTAAGGTTGCCCAATGAGAGCAAGACGGTGGGACCTTGCGACAGTCTGCGGATGCTTCCGCGTGGGCCCGGCGAGCGCGGGTATCCGCGGATGCTGAGGGCGGGAAAGGCGAGGACAAGCTGAGGCGAAGCCGGTGGGGGCGGGAGGCGCTCCCCGGGAACACCGTGGGGCTGCGAATGATGGAGTTGTCGTGTAGAGAGGAGGGTGCTGCCTCGAGAGAGGAGGCTAAGTAAGAGTGAGCCCAGTTCAGGAGGTCACTCAGAGAGCCTCGACCTCCGAAGGCCAAACCAGCGCCCAGTAACCCGGCGGGTAGCGTGGCGCGCGGCCGACGTGCGGTGGTGCTGAGTGGAGAGTAGGATGACTGCTGGGTACCCCGGGCAGAAGCAGCCGACCAGCACCTCAGGGAGGCATTGGGCGGCGGGAAGGTCGCTCTGGCGGTTAGGAAGCCTGGGTTCCAGTTTGTGTCCCTCTACCATTTATTTGGTGTAGGACTTGTTTTCAAATCTGGAAAGTTAAGACATTAAAATAAGTTGGCACGCAGAAAAACGTTTTATAAACCATGAAGTGCTCCCCACATTTTTCCTATTTTAATTGTTTGCCCTTGTCCTCCTCACGGGCAGAAAAGAGGCGATATACAAAAAGCATTTTGAAATCCAAGAACATTCAGGACTTTTGCCATTTGCAGCTAGAACTTTCACCTTGTATCTCGGCAGCGCCTAACCCAGCATCCATATTTAGTAGGGACTCATTATGTAAATGATAGCTATTATTGAGTGCCCATGGTGTTCCAACCGCTTAGTTTCTCTCTCCCTCTTACCAGAGACCTACAAAGTAGTTATTAGTCTCAATTTGAAGGTGAGGAAACTAAGACTAGGAAATTAAGAATTCTCGCATAAGGTAACCCAGCTAGTAAGTACCAGAACCAGAAATTAGACCCGTTTTTTTTTTTTAACTACAAGTCTCTCCTTCATGCAGCCCTTCTCAAAAATTAAGCATTGAATTGAATTATCCCGGGAGAAATGACCCCATCCCTAAAGGAGGTATTTTATGTGGAAGTATTATGATACAGTACTGGGAGTCTTTTCCTTGTGATAGTTCTGGCTGTATCACAAAATACTAGTTTTTGTTTGTTTGTTTTTGAGACGAAGTTTTGCTCTTGTTGCCCTAGCTGGAGTGCAATGGCGCAATCTCGACTCACTGCAACCTCCGCCTCCTGGGTTCATGCGATTCTCCTGCCTCAGCCTCCCTAGTAGCTGGGATTACAGGCGCCTGCTACCTCGCCCAGCTAATTTTTTGTATTTAGTAAAGATGTGGTTTCGCCATATCGGTCAGGCTGGTCTCAAACTCCTGACCTCAGATGATCCGCCCGCCTCAGCCTCCCACAAGTGCTGGGATTACAGGCATGAGCCACCGTGCTTGTCCCATAGTTTTCATTTTTGGATTAAAATGAGTTTCAAGGGTACTCGTGGGAAAACAAGTACTGAAACCAGTCAGGTGTGTTCTGTGGAAAGGCAGTTCTCCTTTGCCTTGGTTAGGGTTGGAGGGCTTATTTGGCTTAAAACCAGATGGAGTGACATTTGTTTTTGCTTGTTTTCGCCTTCTGTAGTCATTCTGTGTCTGCTGTATCTGTTCTCCTGTCCGTGGAAAGCCGTCTAATTCTGGGAGGGCTTGCTGCTTTATGCTTGGCTTTGCCCAAGAGGCAGAGTTCTGGGTCTCAATACTTAACGTAAACTCAATCCTGCATTAGTTTTTTTCATACGTAACAGACGAATCTTATCCTTGTTTCATAGAAATATGATTTATCTGAAACGTTTTGATCTATTCAAGAGAAAAATACCATCTGTTAGGGAATTTCTAAACATTACCCAGAAGTAATTTGCTTCCTTTTTTTCCTATTTCTGCCTCTTTGAATTAGCTTTATACTCTAATGAGTTCCTTACTCTCTTTCTCCCAGCACTCTTCCACTAATAGGAACTGGTTGGGTAGTGAAGAAGATCTATGCATGGAAGCAGAGGTTCTTTGCTTAGAGAACTAGCTCCAGCTGCACTTGGACCTTTGGACTAACTGTCTCCAATACAATATTGCTGTCTTTGCATGAGGATGGAGCATGAACTGGTGACTTGGGAGGCCAATGGTACTGTGTAAAGTATAAGATGCTGGAGAAGAACAAGTTTGTTGTCCCAGGTGGTTAAAGCTTGGCAGGGTCAGGTCCTCTTTTTGTTTCTAATTTGAAAAATACTCATCATCTAGTTTAATTTGTGCAAAACTATTAGCCAACTATGACAAGGGCAGCTAGAAATGAAGATTTTCATAACTGAAAGAAAGTTCTTTGTGTCTCTAACAGTGGGCTTTTAGGTTAGTCCATGGCTGTGCCAGAGTTTTGTGGTATGTGAGAGAGGATTAGACTTAATGATTTTGAATCCTTAATAAAAGCTAAATCCGGGCCGGGCGCGGTGGCTCATGCCTGTAATCCCAGCTGCTCAGGAGGCTGAGGCAGGAGAATTGCTTGAATCTGGGAGGCGGAGGTTGCGGTGAGCTGAGATCACGCCATTGCACTCCAGCCCGGGCAACAAGAGCAAAACTCCGTCTCAAACAAAAAAAAAAAAAGAAAAGAAAGAAAGAAGGAAAAGCTAATCCTCTGTGATAGGAAATTGATGTTTGGAGTTTGTTTATTTCTTATGATTTAGAGACTCATTTGTTCTACTCTATTTTGTGTGTGTGTGTGTGTGTGTGTGTGTGTGTGTGTGTGATGGAGTCTCGCTCTGTCGTCCATGCTGGAGTGCAATGGTGTGATCTTGGCTCACTGCAACATCCGCCTCCCGGGTTCAAGCAATTCTCCTGCCTCAGCCTTCCGAATAGCTGGGATTACAGGCACCCGCCAATATGCTCGGCTAATTTTCGTATTTTTAGTAGTGACGGAGTTTCACTATGTTGGCCAGGCTGGTCTCGAACTCCTGACCCCTTGATTTGCCCGCCTCAGCCTCTCAAAGTGCTAGGATTGCAGGTGTGAGCCACCGCACCTGGCCTGTTCTACTCTTTAGACTGTAGCTAGGATGTTAATTGGTCCAAGTAAAAGATTAGTTCATTTTTTTATTAATCTTTGTTAATGATACTATTGTTACAAACTCCTTTCTGCCTTAGTTTCTCCATTTGTAAAAGATAAACTTGTATTTTACTGGGTAAAATGTAAGTACTTGGGGCTCTGACATAATGAGCTTCCATTCACTCAATTAATATTTATTTGTTGGCATTCAGTGTGCCAGGTCCAGTGCTGGAAAATCCAGAAATTTAAAAATTTAATAAACCAGTTTCTACTGGGAGAAATGAGAAAGCTTATGTTTAAAATTCCTAATGAAAAATGCTGTGATGTAGAGACATGCAGAAGAAAGTATAAAGGGGACATCTAACTAAGCTGGGGGTGAAGGGCCACTGGGATAGAAGAGGAATGGTGACTGACAGGAGCTGGTTTTTAAAGCACGAGAGGTGTTTCAGACAGAGGGCTCTACAAGAATAAACATAGCCTGAGAGGAACATTTGAGGGACTCTACCTCTAGTTTGGTTGGAATGAAACGTGGGTATAAGAATGTGGACCAGCCGGGCGTGGTGGCTTATGCCTGTAATCCCAGCACTTTGGGAGACTGAGGTGGGCAGATCACAAGGTCAGGAGTTCGAGACCAGCCTGACCAACACGGTGAAACCCCATCTCTACTGAAAATACAAAAATTAGCCAGGCGTGGTGGCATGCACCTGTAATCTCAGCTACTCAGGAGGCTGAGGCAGGAGAATCAGTTGAACCTGGGAGGCAGAGGTTGCAGTGAGCCAAGATCGCGCCACTGCACTCCAGCCTGGGTGACAGCGAGACTCCATCTCAAAAAAAAAAAAAAAAAAAAAAAAAAGAATGGGGACCAATGAAACTGAGGATGTAGGTATGGGATGCATGTTTTAACTTGATGCTAGACTTTCATGGAGTAAATGAAATTTAATAAAAGTTTAAGCGTGTCTGTGATCTACTCCAGTGTGCTTTCCTAATTCTTCTTTGGTTTAGCAATAACAAAATGAACATTTATAGGACTGAAAAAATATAAATATAAGCCTATTAAAAAACATATCATCACACTGGTCCATTTACGATGCCTAACATGCATTTTCTCTATTTTTCCAAATAATATCTTGTATAATCTGGGTTCTCCAATAGCTATTAAAGTAGATTCTAGCAAGTCTTAATCAACAAAATATACTAAAATAATGTAGATTTTGCTAGAATTCCTAAAAAGGATTTAGAAAAGTCTGTAGGCGAAAGCTAATTTGAAGGAATTTGAAAGCCTTTGCCAACACAGCAAGAAGAAAATACCTTCGGGGTTTGCTTGATAGCATTTTCTTTTTTCTTTTTTCCCTTCTCCAAGTTATTGCTAGAGAAATAGTATTTTAATACTTGTTTTTCTTTGACTTAAAGACTATGAAAGATGTCAGAATCTTGTATTACTCTGTAGTGAACAAATGAGACCCTTCTCTAAAAGACTAGGTTAAATTAACTTTTAACCACATTTACCTAAGTGAAATGCTCCATAAGCCATATTTTATTAAGATTGTATATAATTTGAAATTTTTTACATCACCTACTTTGACCTGTCAGTTTGCAAAAAAACTGTCATTCTAGTTTTCTGATTTTCAGGAAAGTTTTTTTTTTTTTTTAACTGTATGAATTTTCTTTTTTTTTTTTTTTTTAAGTATTTATTGATCATTCTTGGGTGTTTCTCGGAGAAGGGGATGTGGCAGGGTCATAGGATAATAGTGGAGAGAAGGTCAGCAGATAAACATGTGAACAAAGGTCTCTGGTTTTCCTAGGCAGAGGTCCCTGCAGCCTTCCACAGTGTTTGTGTCCCTGGGTACTTGAGATTAGGGAGTGGTGATGACTCTTAATGTGCATGCTGCCTTCAAGCATCTGTTTAACAAAGCACATCTTGCACCGCCCTTAATCCATTTAACCCTGAGTTGACACAGCACATGTTTCAGAGAGCACGGGGTTCGGGTAAGGTTATAGATTAACAGCATCCCAAGGCAGAAGAATTTTTCTTAGTACAGAACAAAATGGAGTCTCCTATGTCTACTTCTTTCTACAGACACAGTAACAATCTGATCTTTCTTTTCCCCACATTTCTCCCTTTTCTTTTCGACAAAACCGCCATCGTCATCATGGCCCGTTCTCGATGGTCGCTGTCTCTTCAGAGCTGTTGGGTACACCTCCCAGACGGGGCGGCTGGGCAGAGTCGCTCCCCACTTCCCAGACGGGGTGGCTGGGCAGAGGTGCTCCTCACTTCCCAGAGGGGGCGGCCGGGCAGAGGCGCTCCTCACTTCCCAGAGGGGGCGGCCGGGCAGAGGCGCTCCTCACTTCCCAGAGCGGGTGGCCAGGCAGAGGTGCTCCTCACTTCCCAGATGGGGCAGCCGGGCAGAGGCGCTCCTCAATTCCTAGACAGGGTGGCGGCTGGGCAGAGGTGCTCCTCACTTCCCAGATGGGGCGACCAGGCAGAGATGCTCCTCACTTCCCAGACGGGGCGGCCGGGCAGAGGCGCTCCCCACTTCCCAGACAGGGCGGCCGGGCAGAGGCACTCCCCACTTCCCAGACGGGGCAGCTGGGCAGAGACGCTCACTTCCCAGATGGGGCGGCTCCCAGAGGGGGTGGCGGCTGGGCAGAGGCACTCCCCACTTCCCAGACGGGGCAGCTGGGCAGAGGCGCTCCCCACTTCCCAGACGGGGCGGCTGGGCAGAGATGCTCACTTCCCAGATGGGGCGGCTCCCAGAGGGGGTGGCAGCTGGGCAGAGGCGCTCCTCACATCCCAGACGATGGCCAGGCAGAGGCACTCCCCACTTCCCAGACGGGGCAGCCGGGCAGAGGCGCTCCCCACTTCCCAGACGGGGCGGCTGGGCAGAGATGCTCACTTCCCAGATGGGGCGGCTCCCAGAGGGGGTGGCAGCTGGGCAGAGGCGCTCCCCACTTCCCAGACGAGGTGGCCGGGCAGAGGCGCTCCCCACTTCCCAGACGGGGCGGCCGGGCAGAGGCGCTTCCCACTTCCCAGACGGGGAGGCCGGGCAGAGACGCTCCTCACTTCCCAGACGGGGCGGCTCCCAGAGGGGGCGGCGGCTGGGCAGAGGCGCTCCTCACATCCCAGACGGGGCGGCCGGGCAGAGGCCATCCCCACTTCCCAGACAGGGTGGCGGCCGGGCAGAGGTGCTCCTCACATCCCAGACGGGGCAGCCGGGCAGAGGCGCTCCTCACCTCCCAGACAATGGGTGGCCGGGCAGAGGCGCTCCTCACCTCCCAGATGGGGCGGCAGGGCAGAGGTGCTCCTCACTTCCCAGACAGGGTGGCCGGGCAGAGGCACTCCTCACTTCCTCCCAGACGGGGCGGCCAGGCAGAGGCGCTCCTCACTTCCCAGACGATGGGCGGCCGGGCAGAGGCACTCCTCACTTCCTAGATGGGGTGGTGGCTGGGCAGAGGCTGTAATCTTAGTACTTTGGGAGGCCAAGGCAGGCGGCTGGGAGGTGGAGGTTGTAGCGAGCTGGGATCATGCCACTGCACTCCAGCCTGGGCAACATTGAGCATTGAGTGAGCGAGACTCCGTCTGCAATCCCAGCACCTCGGGAGGCCGAGGCGGGCAGATCACTTTATACTACATATAAAATTTCTGTGATAGTTATTAACAGTACTGGTACTTGATTTCAAATTTCTCTGAAATATCATCTTAGTTTTGTTTTTAAATTATTATTAAACAAGTCCCTTACTGGTGAATATTTGTGTTACTTTCCTTTTTTTTGTTGTTTTTTTTTTTGAGATGGAGTTTTACTCTTGTTGCCCAGGCTGGAGTGCAATGGTGCCACCTTGGCTCACCACAACGTCCGCCTCCTGGGTTCCAGCAACTCTCCTGCCTCAACCTCCTGAGTAGCTGGGATTACAGGCGCCCACCAATATGCCTGGCTAATTTTTGGTATTTTTAGTAGATATGAGTTTTCTCCATGTTGGTCAGGCCGGCCTTGAACTCCCAACCTCAGGTGATCCACCCGCCTCAGCCTTCCAAAGTGCTGGGATTACAGGCATGAGGCCACGGAGCCTGGCCTCCATTTTTTATTATTGCTAGAATCACCATATTTCCTGGCTTGCCTGGAACAGTATGAAACATATTCTTATGTTTATAGCAGAATTAGGCCGGACGCAGTGGCTCACGCCTGTAACCCCAGCACTTTGGGAGGCTGAGGTGGGCGGATTACCTGAGGTCAGGAGTTCGAGACCAGTATGGCAAACATGGTGAAACCCCGTCTCTTCTAAAAATACAAAAAATTAGCCAGACGTGGTGCCGCACACCTGTAATCCCAGCTACTCGGGAGGTTGAGGCAGGAGAATTGCTTGAACCCGGGGGGCAGAGGTTGCAGTGAGCCAAGATCACGCCACTGCACTCCAGCTGGGCGACAGAGTGAGACTCTATCTAAAAAAAAAAAAAAAAAAAAAAACTGCTTAAAGAACTCTATAGAATCACAATCTTTAACAGAATTATTATTATTTAATATAGAAGCACAAGCAGGGGAAAAATACGTCATCAAAATTTTCAAGTAGTCAACTCATTATTGGAGCCATTTTATTTTATAATTTTATTTATTCAGCTGGTTCAGAATTCAAAAGGGCATGTAATGAAGTCGCTATCCTGCTTCTGTTTCCCAGCTATCCAGCTTCCCTCCCTGGAGGCAAACAGTGTCATTGGTTTTCAATATATCCTTCCAGATGTATGTTATCCGTATCTAAGCAGTTATATTTATTCTTACTTCGCATAAATGGCAGCATGCTATAAGCACTGTTTTGTATTTTGCCTTTAACAATTTTTATTATACATCTTGGAGAACTTTCCAAATCAGTACATAATGTGCTTCCTTTTATTCCTTCATAGTATTCTATTGTCTGGATGTATTATAATTATTTAACAAATTCCCTATTGGTGAATATTTGTCATTATTGCTAGAATGACCGTATTTCCTTGTTTGCCTGGGACATTCTAAGCTCATGCCACTTGTCCCAGCTTATTTATTTATTTATTTATTTGATGTGGGCGGCAAGCCACCCAGGCACCGAGGCAAGAGACAGAGGACACGAGCTGTTCCAGTATAATAAAATATAAAACAAGAATAGTTATACCAGATATAGATCTTAGATATGATTATATATGAATATCATTAATCATTAGTTTGTAGCAATTACTTTTTATTCCAATATTATGATAATCCTCGCTCTATAATCATAGCCTAGGAAAAACCACGCCATACAGAGATAGGAGCTGAGGGGACATAGTGAGGTGTGACCAGAAGACAAGAGTGCGAGCCTTCTGTTATGCCCGGACAGGGCCACCAGAGGGCTCCTTCGTCTAGCGGTGACGCCAGCGTCTGGGAAGACGCCCGTTATCAGGGGGATCGTGGTCCAGCGGTAGCAAAGGTGTCAAGGAACAACACCCGCTACTTAGCAGACCGGGAAGCGGGGGGGGGGGAGGTCTCCCTTTCCCCAGGGGAGTTTAGAGAAGACTCTGCTCCTCCACCTCTTGTGGAGGGCCTGACATCAGTCAGGCTTGCCCGAAGTTATCGGGAGGCCTAACCGTCTCCCTGTGATGCTGTGCTTCACTAGTCGCACTCCTAGTCTGCCTTCATGTTCCATCCTGTACACCTGGCTCTGCCTTCCAGATAGCAGTAGTAAATTAGTGAAAATACTAATAGTCCCTGATATGCAGAAATAATGATGTAAGCTGTCTCTCTCTCTGCTTCCTCTCCCTCTCTGCCTCAGCTGCCAGGCAGGGAAGGGCCCCCTGTCCAGTGGACACGTGACCCACGTGACCTTACCTATCATTGGAGGTGACTCACATTCTTTACCCTGCCCCTTCTGCCTTGTATCCAATAAATAACAGCGCAGCCAGACATTCGGGGCCACTACCGGTGTCCGCGCATTGGTGGTAGTGGTCCCCCGGGCCCAGCTGCCTTTTCTCTTGTCTCTTTGTCTTGTGTCTTTATTTCTACACTCTCTCATCGCTGCACACAGGGAGAGACCTACCGACCCTGTGGGGCTGGTCCCTACATCGGGGCTGAGAGTTGACGAATGCCCCATTGTTTAGAGGGGCCTGGGGCCGGCCCCTCATCCTGTTTCCCTGATTTTTAAAAGGCCGTAAAGGATGGCCATCAATATCAAATCTGAAATGGCATTGAGATGCCCAGTGAAGACCCTTTTGGCATCGTGGGCATACAGTAGAAGGTGGGGCATCTTGTTGCTGAAAAGTTTTTTGTTGTTGTTGTTGGTGATGTAAAGGATGGCGACCTGCACGCCGAGGGCAATTTCTTTTTGCATGTCCATTCTGGCCGCATATGAAGCATTGGCCAGAGAATTGTCCAGGCATTCGAATAGAGGCCATAGCTTGTGCCATAATCATTGCTGTATGGAGAGTTCCTCCCACCCCTTCACAGGCTTTAATGTAGGAGGTGAGTATATCACCACCTGGTGGAATTTTACCTTTGACGGGGCGAATAGCCGCCTGACAATCTGGATTTGCTTGTTCATAAGCCATAAGTTCTACAACAAGTCTTTGGCCGTGGCTATCAGGAATAGCCTTTTCTGCTGCGTCTTGAAGATGAGCAATAAAGTCTGGGTAGGGCTCATGTTGTCCCTGTCTGACGGCTGTGAAAGATGGGCATACTTTACCATCATCTTGAATTTTGTCCCAAGCATCTAAGCAACATTTTCGCAGTTGTTCAATAACCTCATCATTTAGTATAGTTTGGTGTCGGATTGCAGCCCATTGACCCATTCCCAGTAACTGGTCAGCCGTAACGTTAACAAGAGGATTAGAGCCCTGATTAAGACGAATGCGTTCCTGGACAGCATCAACCCACCAAGTCCTGAATTGTAAATATTGGGATTTAGATAAGACTGATTTTGCCAAAATTTCCCAATCATAGGGTACCAAACGTTTATCTTCTGCTAAGGCTTTTAATGTGGAATGGACAAAAGGAGAGTTGGTGCCATATTGTTTCACTGATTCCTTAAAATCTTTGAGGAATTTAAAAGAAAAACTTTCCTATGTAGCAGGGCGTAGCTGAACCTGGCCTGGATGGATGGTGTCAGGCTGAATTACCGCCTGAACAGCGGGAATGCCAGGTATTGGCTGTGCCCCAGGAGCAGGCAATTGCAGAGCCTGATTATTTACCCAAGCAGCCGATTCTCAGGCTGAGGGGCTTAATTGTCAGCCTCTTGATCTTGTTGAGCTGTGGGGTCAGCCGCCTGCTGGGCAGGATCAACAACAGGCTGTGGGTGGTTTTGTACTGCTGGGGTGGCAGGTACTGGGGGTTGTAAAATTACAGGAAATTGCCAAGCTTCGGGATCCCCATATTCCCTTGCCTGAACTATAGCCCTCGTAAGCAGAGTGTCATCTTCAGGGATGTATGTAATTTGTTGCTTATGAGCGGCAATGGTAGTATTGGCAACAGCAGTTGCGACCAGACCAGGAGCAGAAAAAGAGGTAGAATTTTGAATAGAAGGAGAGTCGAAAAACTGAAAGCCAGGGTGAGAGCAGATTACCTGCTGAGCAGGTCTTTCATGGGCCTGAAAACCAGGCTGCCACGGCAAGTGTGAACCAGGCTTCAAGGGAGCCTGTGACTCTAACTGAGTCCAATTTGTAGGAAAGGATCCAGGCTTCAAGGGAGCCTGTGACTCTACCCGAGTCTGATTTGTAGAAAAGGGACCAGGCTTCAAGGGAGCCTGTGACTCTAACTGAGTCTGATTTGTAGGAAAGGATCCAGGCTTTAAGGGAGCCTGTGACTCTAACTGAGTCCGATTAGGAGGAAAAGAACCAGGCTTCAAGGGAGCCTGTGACTCTACCCAAGTCTGATTTATAGGAAAGGAACCAGGCTTCAAGGGAGCCTGTGACTCTAACTGAGTCCGATTTGTGGGAAGGGAACCAGGCTTCAAGGGAGCCTGTGACTCTACCCGAGTCTGATTTATAGGAAAGGAACCAGGCTTCAAGGGAGCCTGTGACTCTACCCGAGTCTGATTTATAGGAAAGGAACCAGGCTTCAAGGGAGCCTGTGACTGTAACTGAGTCCGATTTGCAGGAAAGGAACCAGGCTTCAAGGGAGCCTGTGACTCTGAGTCCGATTTGCAGAGAATGGACCAGGCTTCAAGGGAGCCTGTGACTCTACCCGAGTCTGACTTATAGGAAAGGAACCAGGCTTCAAGGGAGCCTGTGACTCTACCCGAGTCTGATTTATAGGAAAGGGACCAGGCTTCAAGGGAGCCTGTGACTCTGAGTCCGATTAGAAGAAATAGGATTGAGGGCCTCATTACCGGGCCGAGAATTGGAAGCCTCTTTTCCAAGCTGTTCATATAGCGGAGCCTCTGTACCGGGCTGCATAGAAACGTAATTTATAGACTCGTTTACAGGCTGCCTGGTCTCATCTGCTATTTGCACGGCGGCAGTGTTGAAAGAGTGAGGAGAGACAGGAGGGTCTGGCCGCAATGGCTGTTGATATGTTTCAGCTGAGTTTTGCTGATTGGGGAGATAAGTACATTTAGGTCAGTTAAAAGATCATCATAAAGCGGCAATGGGGGTGCAGTGGCCTCTGGCGTAGGTGGCGGTGGCGCAGGCATGTCAGAGTGGAAGTCCTCCTTTGAAATTACGTTCTCAATTTGTGCAGTATCATCAGGGGAAAGAGAGCTGAGAGCTTCCTCGACCTCCTCAGAGGAGAGGAAAGAGGGATCAGTCTCCATATTGTCCTCCTGAGTCTATAAGGAGTCTAAGACAGAGCGAACCGAAGCCCAGATTGACCAAATGGTGGGTGGGATAAAATGTCCCCCTTTATGAGCAATTTTGAATTGTTTGCCAATCTCATCCCAATCTTTAAGTTCTGGAGTTCCCTGAGTCGGAAACCAAGGGCAAAGAAGATCTACAACCTCAAATAGTTCAATTAACTTTTCAGTAGAAACTTTAACACCTCCTTCTTTAAGAAGAGTTTTTATAAAATTTAAATAAGCCGAATACTTTGTACTGGCCTGTCCCATGGTGTCCCCGGAAAACTCTGAGTGCTCAAGCTTACCACCAAGTTTATTGACTGCAATCCTCAGGAATCTCTCGTTGAACTCCTCCGCTGATCCCGCACTCAGGGCGCAACTTCACACAGCGAGGGAGAGCCCCACGTCGGAGCGCCAGATGTAGGGACCAGCCCCACAGGGTCGGTAGGTCTCTCCCTGTGTGCGGCGATGAGAGAGTGTAGAAATAAAGACACAAGACAAAGAGACAAGAGAAAAGGCAGCTGGGCCCGGGGGACCACTACCACCAATGCGCAGACACCGGTAGTGGCCCCGAATGTCTGGCTGCGCTGTTATTTATTGGATACAAGGCAGAAGGGGCAGGGTAAAGAATGTGAGTCACCTCCAATGATAGGTAAGGTCACGTGGGTCACGTGTCCACTGGACAGGGGGCCCTTCCCTGCCTGGCAGCTGAGGCAGAGAGGGAGAGGAGACAGAGAGAGAGACAGCTTACATCATTATTTCTGCATATCAGGGACTATTAGTATTTTCACTAATTTACTACTGCTATCTGGAAGGCAGAGCCAGGTGTACAGGATGGAACATGAAGGCAGACTAGGAGTGCGACTACTGAAGCACAGCATCACAGGGAGACGGTTAGGCCTCCCGATAACTTCGGGCAAGCCTGACTGATGTCAGGCCCTCCACAAGAGGTGGAGGAGCAGAGTCTTCTCTAAACTCCCCTGGGGAAAGGGAGACCCCCCCCCCCGCCCCGCCCTTTCCCGGTCTGCTAAGTAGCGGGTGTTGTTCCTTGACACCTTTTGCTACCGCTGGACCACGATCCTCCTGATAACGGGCGTCTTCCCAGACGCTGGCGTCACCGCTAGACCAAGGAGCCCTCTGGTGGCCCTGTCCGGGCATAACAGAAGGCTCGCACTCTTGTCTTCTGGTCACACCTCACTATGTCCCCTCAGCTCCTATCTCTGTATGGCGTGGTTTTTCCTAGGCTATGATTATAGAGCGAGGATTATCATAATATTGGAATAAAAATTGCTACAAACTAATGATTAATGATATTCATATACAATCATATCTAAGATCTATATCTGGTATAACTATTCTTGTTTTATATTCTATTATACTGGAACAGCTCGTGTCCTCTGTCTCTTGCCTCGGTGCCTGGGTGGCTTGCTGTCCACAATTTGAGATGGTGTCTTGCTCTGTTGCCCAGGCTGGAGTGCAGTGGCACCATCTTGTCTTCTTGCAACCTCTACCTCCTGAGTTCAAGCAATTCTCCTGCCTCAGCCTCCTGAGTAGCTGGGACTATAGGCATGAGCCACCACACCCGGTTAACTTTTGTATTTTTAGTGGGGACAGAGTTTCACCATGTTGACCAGGCTGGTCTCGAACTCCTGACCTCAAGTGATCCACCCACCTCAGCTTCCCAAAGTACTGGAATCACAGGCTTGAGCCACCACACCCAGCCCCAGCTTGTATATGAATACTGTCCTCTTTCTGTTCCAACAGTATTCCAATTTGGGTAATATATGTTTTATGGTTACCTTAGTTATTACAGACAGTGCTGCAGTAAATAAGCTTGTATATCTTGTCATTTTGCAAGTTTGCAAATATAACTGTAGGATAAATTTCTAAAAGTATAATTGATGTGTCAAAGAGTATATATATTTGTAATTTTTAAAGATGTTGACAAATTGCCGTCCATACTGGTCATGCCATTTTTCAGTTTTACCAGCAATGTAGTAGAGTGCCTGTTTTTCCTCCCTCACTTCAGTTGGTTATCACTTTTTTTTTTTTTGAGATGGAGTCTCTCTCTGTTGCCCAGGCTGGAGTGCAGTGACACGATCTTAGCTCACTGCAACCTCTATTTCCCGGGTTCAAGTTATTCTCCTGCCTCAGCCTCCCAAGTAGCTGAGATTACAGGTATGTATCACCACACCCGGCTAACTTTTTTTTTGTATTTTTAGTAGAGATGGGGTTTCGCCATGTTGACCAGGCTGGTCTCGAACTCCTGACCTCAGGTGCTCCGCCTGCCTCGGCCTCCCAAAGTGCTGGGATTACAGGCGTGAGCCACCGTGGCTGGCCGGTTATCACTTTTTTTGTGTGCTTGCCATGCCAGTAGGTGTAATATGCTATTTCAGTATTGTATTTTTATTTTTATTTATTTATTTTTTTTTGAGATGGAGTTTCGCTCTTGTTGCCCAGGCTGGAGTGCAGTGGCGAGATCTCGCCTCACTGCAACCTCCGCCTCCCGGGTTCAAGCAGTTCTCCTGCCTCGGCCTCCTGAGTAGCTGGGATTTCAGGCAAGCGCCACCACGCCTGGCTAATTTTGTATTTTTAGTGGAGATGGGGTTTCTCTATGTTGGTCAGGCTGGTTTCGAACTCCTGACCTCAAGTGATCCACCCGCCTTCCAAAATGCTGGGATTACAGGCATGAGCCACCGCGCCCGACTTATCTCAGTATTGTTTTTATTTCACTTTTTAAAAATTATGAATGAGGTTGAACATCTTTTATATATTTAAGAACCATTGGTGTTTCCTTTTTTATGAAGTGTTTATTCCTATGTTTTGTCCATTTATCTGTTGGATATTAAAATTTTTAAGTTTTATTATTATTATTATTATATATATTTTTAAGAGACAGGGTCTTGCTCTGTCACCCAGGCTAGAGTGCAATGGTGAGATCATAGCTCACTGTAATCTCAAACTCCTAGACTCAATTGATCTTCCTGCCTCAACCTCCTAGGTAGTTAAGACTGCAGGTGAATGCCACCACACCCAGCTAATTTTTGTATTTTGTGTGTGTGTGTGTGTGTGGAGAGGGGATCTTGCTGTGTTGTCCAGGCTGGTTTTTCAAATTTCTAGCGTCAAGTGATCCTCCTGCCTCAGTCTCTCAAAGCGCTGGGATTACAGGTGTGAGCCACTGTGCCTGGCCAGATATTAGGCTTTTAATATGTGTTTTTAGGAACTTTTCTTTTTCTTTTTCTTTTTTTTTTTTTTTTTTAGACGGAGTCTCACTCTGTCGCCCAGGCTGGAGTGCAGTGGTACGATCTCGGCTCACTGCAAGCTCCGCCTCCCGGGTTCACGCCATTCTCCTGCCTCAGCCTCCCGAGTAGCTGGGACTCCAGGCGCCCACCACCACGCCCGACTATTTTTTTTTTTTTTTTTGTATTTTTAGTAGAGACGGGGTTTCACCGTGTTAGCCAGGATGATCTCGATCTCCTCACCTCGTGATCCACCCGCCTTGGCCTCCCAAAGTGCTGGGATTACAGGCGTGAGCCACTGCGCCCGGCTGGAACTTTTTGGAAATTAGCTCTTTATGAAATGAGTTGCATACATTCTCCCCTCCCTGCTAGTTTATCATTTGACTTTGGTTTTCCATTTGTGGATTTGTTTGCCATGTAGAAATGTTTTCTCTTTATGTGGTCAGGTCAGCTTTCTTTTTTCTTTTCTTCTTTTTTTTTTCTTTTTTTGAGACCGGGTCTCACTCTGCCACCCAGGCTGGAGTGCAGTGGCGCCATCATGGCTTACTGCAGCCTCGACCTCCAAGGGGTTAGGTGATCTTTCCACCTCAGACTCCTGGGTAGCTGGGAGTACAGGTGTACACCACCACGCCCAGCTAATTTTTTGTATTTTTTTTAGAGACAGCGTTTTGCCACGTTGCTCAGGCTGGAGACTTACCATCTCTACAATGACAAAAAAATCCATTGTTCAGCTAGAGGTTCACATGTGATCCTTTATTTCTCCTGCTTCCATATCCTTTACATCCGATAATGGGACTCAAATCCATCCACTTCTCATTCCCATTGCTACTATCTTAGTGAGGCTTCTTAATTTAGGTCTCCCATCAGTTTTACTCCCTTCCATTCGTTACAGTATAGCCACAAGTGGTCTTGCAGAAATGCAAATCTGATTATGTTGCTTTTTAAATATAACCCAGTGGCCAGGCGCGGTGGCTCACACCTGTAATCCCAGCACTTTGGGAGGCCGAGATGGGCGGATCACGAGGTGAGGAGATCAAGACCATCCTGGCTAACACGGTGAAACCCCGTTTCTACTAAAAATACAAAAAATTAGCCGGCCGTGGTGGCGGGCGCCTGTAGTCCCAGCTACTCGGGAGGCTGAGGCAGGAGAATGGCATGAACCTGGGAGGCGGAGCTTGCAGTGAGCCTAGATGGCGCCACTGCACTCCAGCCTGGGCGACAGAGCGAGACTCTGTCTCAAAAAAAATAAAATAAAATAAAATAAAAAATAAATATAACCCAGTAGTAATTTCCCAACTCTAACATAACTTGGAATACAATTAAAAGTGAGTGGAGAAAAACAAATGAGAGATGAGGACATACAGTTAGCAAATGTAGATTACTCTTGATTATGGGGAAAACTAAGAATATCTACAGAAGAACATAGGGTACAGGGAAGGGCTTTTGTTTATTTGTTTTTTATGTATGTTTTCATCTCTCTTTTAATTTTAATTTTTTTTTTTGAGACGGAGTCTCGCTCTGTTGCTCCAGAGTGCAGTAGCACCATCTCGGCTCACTGCAACCTCCACCTCCCGGGTTCAAGCGATTCTTCTGCCTCAGCCTCTTGAGTAGCTGGAACTACAGGCGAGCACCACCACGCCCGGCTAATTTTTGTATTTTTAGTAGAGATGGGATTTCACCATACTGGCCAGGCTGGTCTCGAACTCCTGACTTCATGATCCACCCACCTCAGCCTCCCAAAGTGCTGGGATTACAGGGGTGAGCCACCACTTCTGGCCCTATCTTGTCTTTTTAAAAGGTCATCATGTATCCACATGTGGAGGAGGAAAGCCAGTAGAGATATCAAGGTTGAAGATAGCAGATAAATATGATATGCTAAGAATGCAGAGTGAAATAATGAGGTAGAAAACTTAGAGTGGTAAATGTTTAGAACAGCTATAGTAAAGACTAGGAGAGGGCACTAACTCTAGAGTGTTGTAGGAATGCTGGGAAATACTGAGATTTTGATGAGATTAGAGATTTTGTACTTTAAATACTGACATAGAAAAAAATATATACAGATTTTATGCGAAGTACTATTGAAGTACTTTTATGTGGCAGTACTTTGAAGACTTCAGTCTTCAAAGAACAGATTTTCCAAGAAATAAAAAGAGAAGGAACACTTCACAACTTGTTTTGTGAAGCTATTGTAAACTTTAAACCCAGAACTAGACAAGGACAGTATAAGAAAAGTAAGATATAGACCAATTTTATATAAAGAAATAAATGCAAAAGTCATAAAATATTAGAAAATTGAACACACACACGTGGCAAAGTCGTGTTTATCCCAAAGATGCTAGAATGGTGTAATATTAGAAAACATGTAGTCGCACCACATCAACAGATTAAGAGAGAAAAATCTATATGATCCTCTCAAGTCATTGTAGAAAAATTATTTGATAAATGTCTTTCAAGCAAATATTTTCAAAGCTCTTAGCAAATGAGACAAGAAAAGGAATGTCTAGACCAGGCATCATGGCATATGCCTATAATCCAAGCACTTTTGGAGGCCAAGACCAGCAGATCACTTGAGGACAGGACTTGGAGACCAGCTGGCCAACGTGGAGAAACCCCATCTCTACTAAAAATATAAAAATTAGCTGGGCACGTTGGCGCATACCTGTAATCCTAGCTACTCAGGACACTGAGGCATGAGAATTGCTTGAGCCCGGCAGGCAGAGGTTGCAGTAAGCCGAGGTTGTGGCCACTGCACTCCAGCCTGGGTGACAGAGGGAAACTCTGTCTCAAAAAGAAAAGAAGTGCTGGGCACAGTGACTCACACCTGTAATCTCAGCACTTTGGGAGGCTGAGGCAGGTGGATCATGAGGTCAAGAGATCGAGACCATCCTGGCCAACATGGTGAAACTCCGTCTCTACTAAAAATACAAAAATTAGCTGGGCGTGGTGGCACGTGCCTGTAGTCCCAGCTACTCGGGAGGCTGAGCAGGAGAATCGCTTGAATCTGGGAGGTGGAGGTTGCAGTGAGCCGAGATCATGCCACTGTACTCCAGCCTGGCGACCGAGTAAGACTCCATCTCAAAAAAAAAAAAGAAAGAAAAGAAGAAAAGGAATGTCTAAAACCTGATAGAGTTTATCAGGAACAGGCTTGGTATCACAGCTTCTGTTATATATTTTATTGGAGGCCTTGTTGTCCAATAAGATGTTTTTAAACGTTAAAAGGATTAATAAAAAAGATATAAAAAAGATCTTTTTTTTTTTGAGATGGAGTCTGACTCTGTCGCCCAGGCAGGAGTGCAATGGTGTGATCTCTGCTTACTGCAACCTCTGCCTCCCAAGTTCAAGAAATTCACTGCTTCAGCCTCCTGAGTAGCTGAAATTACAGGTGCCCACCACCACGCCTGGCTAATTTTTTTGTATATTTAGTAGAGACGGGGTTTCACCATCTTGGCCAGGCTGGTCTTGAACTCCTGATCTCGTGATCCACCCGCCTTGGCCTCCCAAAGTGCTGGGATTACAGGCATGAGTCACTGTGCCCAGCCATAAAAAAGATACTGAGTCCAGGAGTTGCTTGAATGCCAGCTAATTTTTGTATTTTTTGTAGAGACAGGGTCTCACCATGTTGCCCAGGCTTGTCTTGAACTCCTGGGCTCAAGCCATCTCGCCCATCTCCGCCTCCCAAAATACTGGGATTACAGGCGTGAGCCACTGTGCCCAGCTGGTTGTTCTGTTTTAACATGGCATATTGTGTTACTTGATTTTTTTTTTTTTTTTTGAGACAGAGTCTTGCTCTGTTGCCCAGGCTGGAGTGCAGTGGCGCGATCTCAGCTCACTGCAAGCTCCACCTCCCGGGTTCATGCCATTCTCCTGCCTCAGCCTCCCAAGTAGCTGGGACTACAGGCGCCTGCCACCACGCCTGGCTAATTTTTGTATTTTTAGTAGAGACGGGGTTTCACCGTGTTAGCCAGGATGGTCTTGATCTCCTGACCTCATGATCTGCCCGCCTCGGCCTCCCAAAGTGCTAGGATTACAGGCGTGAGCCACTGTGCCTGGCCAATTTTTGAACATTTAATTAGCTTTGCATTCCTGGAATAAATCCCACTTGGTCATGGGGTATAAACCTTTTTTATTTTATGTATTTTATTTTATTTTATAACTTATTTTACTTTTAAAAGACAGGTTCTCACCATGTTGTCCAGCCTGGTCTCAAACTCCTGGGCTCAAGTGATCCTCCCACTTTGTCCTCCCAAAATCTTGGGATTACAGGTGTGAGCCACCGCTCCTGGCCTAAACCTTTTATTTTTTTTGAGATGGAGTCTCACTCTGTCACCTAGGCTAGAGTGCAGTGGCACGATCTCAACTCACTGCAACCTCCACCTCCCAGGTTCAAGTGATTCTCATGCCTCAGCCTCCCCAGTAGCTGGGATTACAGATGGGTGGTACCATGCCTGGCTAATTTTTGTATTTTTAGTAGAGATGGGGTTTCACCATGTCAGCCAGGCTGGTCTCGACTCCTGACTTCATGTGATCTGCCCACCTCGGCCTCCCAAAGTGCTGGGATTTCAGGTGTGAGCCACTGTGCCTGGCTGCCTAAAGCTTTTTTGTTTTCTTTTTCTCTTCTCCTTCCTTCCTTCTTCCTTCTTCTTCTCCTCCTCCTCCTCTTCCTCCTCCTCCTCCTCCTCCTTCTCCTCCTCCTTTTCTTCTTCTCTCTCTCTCTCTTCTTTCTTTCAAGATGGAGTTTCACTCTGTTGCCCAGGCTGGAGTGCAGTGGTGCAACCTCAGCTCACTGCAGCCTCCGCCTCCCGGGTTTGAGCGACTCTCATGCCTCAGCCTCCCAAGTAGCTGAGATTACAGGCATGCCCACCATGCCCAGCTAATGTTTTTTCTATTTAGTAGAAAAAGGGTTTCATCATGTTGGTCAGGCTGGTCTCAAACTCCTGACCTCAAATCATCCACCTGCCTCGGCCTCCCAAAGTGCAGGGATTACAGGCGTGAGCCACCATGCCTGGCCCACCTTTTTAAAAAAATATGTTTCTGGGACCGGGTGTGGTGGCTCACGCCTGTAATCCCTGCACTTTGGGAGGCTGAGGCAGGCGGATCACCAGGTCAGGAGTTCAAGACCAGCCTGGCCAAAGTGGTGAAACCCCGTATCTACTAAAAATACAAAAAATCAGCCAGGCGTTGTGGCGTGCACCTGTAATCCCAGCTACTCGGGAGGCTGAGGCAGGAGAAACGCTTGAACCCGGGAGGCGGAGGTTGCAGTGAGCTGAGATTGCGCCACTGCCCTCCAGCCTGGGCAACAGAGCGAGATTCCATCACAAAAAGAAAAAAAGAAATAAGGAACAACAAAAGAGCACCACTTTGCAACCTTTAATAAAGCAGTTGATCAAGGCAATAATTATCAAAGGCTGCTAAAACCATTATATTAAAAATTGATTGTGTATCACAAGAAAGGAAAACTATATACCAATATCTCTTATGAATATAGATGTTAAAAAAAAAACCTTAACAAATTATTAGCAAACTGAATTCAGAAACCTTTTTTTTTTTTTTTTTTTTTTTTTTTTTTTTTTTTTTTGACCGAGTCTTGCTCTGTCGCCCAGGCTGGAATGCAATGGCAGGATCTCCACTCACGGCAACATCCACCTCCCAGGTTCAAGCAAGTCTCCTGCCTCAGCCTCCCGAATAGCTGGGATTACAGGCACGTGCCACCACACCTGGCTGATTTTTTGTATTTTTAGTAGAGACGGGGTTTCACCATGTTGGCCAGGCTGGTCTCGAACTCCTGACCTCGTGATCTGCCCGCCTCGGCCTCCCAAAGTGCTGGGATTACAGGCGTGAGCCACTGCACCCAGCCTATTCCTTATTTCTTTATTATTTTGTATTCATCTATAAAGGAGGATTTTCTTCATCAACTACTTGGTTATTCTGAGAAACAATTCATATAGAAAAGGCAGGCTATATATTCAACTTGTTTTCCTTTATTTGCTAGTTTTAGGAATAGTAAGTTGAGTATGTAATATCCTCTTAAAGATGATCAATTAGGGTTTTGAAAAATTATTATGAACTTACGGATTTTATTAAATTTGGCGTGTTTACATTCTTTGTAGTTATTTTTTTTGATGCTCAAACTGTACCATCTTTGGACAATAGCAACCCACTGAAGTTGATTCTTTTTAAATATTATTCATTTAATTTTTGACTTTTTTCAATAGAGACTGTGTTTCCCAGGCTGGTCTTGAACTCCTGGGCTCAAGCAGACCTCCTGCCTCAGCCTCCTAAAGTGCTAGGATTAGAGGTGTGAGCCCCCATGCCCAGCTTCTAAAGTTGATTCTTGAATCCTTTTGACATACCCCCAGTAGTCTTTGATAGCTTTCTTGCTTACTGCTGTGAAGATGCCTTATATGTACTGTCTCTTTTTATTGTTGCCATTGTATCTTTCGGATCTATTCCTACAAGTGGGACTGTTGGGTTGAAGGGTAAATACACATATAATTTTGGTAGATAGTGTGAAAGGTGTTATTTTATTTTGTCTTTTCACAAGCAATATATGAAAGTGCCCTCCCCGCCTTTTTGTTTGTTTGTTTGTTTGTAGAGACAGGGTTTCGCTCTGTTGCTTATGCTGGAGTGCAGGGGTATGATCTTGGCTCACTGCAGCCTCAAGCTATCCTCCCATCTCACCCTTGTGAGTAGCTAGGTCTACAGGCATATGCCACCGTGCCTGGCTTATTTAAAAACATTTTCTTTTTTTTTTTTTAGAGATGGGGTGTTGCTATATTCCCCAGGCTGAAAGTACCTTTTAACCCACAGTCTCACCAACAGTTTGTTGTGAGCTTCTGGATTTTTGCCAGTCTGGCAGGTGAGAAATGGTATCTCCGTGTAGTTTTGTTTTTGTTTTTGTTTTTGAGACGGAGTCTCGCTCTGTCACCCAGGCCGGAGTGCACTGGCGCGATCTCCGCTCACTGCAAGCTCCGCCTCCCGGGTTCATGCCATTCTCCTGCCTCAGCCTCCCGAGTAGCTGGGACTACAGGCGTCCGCCACCACGCCCGGCTAATTTTTTTTGTATTTTTTAGTTGAGACGGGGTTTCACCGTGTTAGCTAGGGTGGTCTCGATCTTCTGACCTCGTGATCCGCCCGCCTTGGCCTCCCAAAGTGCTGGGATTACAGGCGTGAGCCACCGCGCCCGGCCTACTCCGTGTAGTTTTAATGTGAGCATATTTTTATGTTCAAAATCACATTTTAATAGGTTGGTGATAGCAAACCTGCATTAACATTTAAAGAAGGCAGGCCAAGCATGGTGGCTCATGTTTGTAATCCCAGCACTTTGTAAGGCCAAGGCGGGAGAATCACTTGGGTGCAGAAGTTTGAGACCAGCCTGGGCAACATAGTGAGACCCCATCTCTATAAAAATTTTTAGCCCTCACTCGCCGCCGACGACCTGTCTCGCTGCGTGCACGCCCTGCCGCCGCCCCGCAGAAATGCTTCGGTTACCCACAGTCTTTCGCCAGATGAGACTGGTGTCCAGGGTGCTGGCTCCTCATCTCACTGGGGCTTATGCCAAAGATGTAAAATTCGGTGCAGATGCCCGAGCCTTAATGCTTCAAGGTATAGACCTTTTAGCCGATGCTGTAGCCCTTACAATGGGGCCAAAGGGAAGAAGAACAGTGATTATCGAGCAGAGCTGGGGAAGTCCCAAAGTAACAAAAGATGGTGTGACTGTTGCAAAGTCAATTGACTTAAAGGATAAATATAAAAACATTGGAGCTAAACTTGTTCAAGATGTTGCCAATAACACAAATGAAGAGACTGGGGATGGCCCTACCACTGCTACTGTACTGGCACGCTCTATAGCCAAGGAAGGCATCGAGAAGATTAGCAAAGGTGCTAATCCAGTGGAAATCAGGAGAGGTGTGATGTTAGTTGTTGATGCTGTAATTGCTGAACTTAAAAAGCAGTCTAAACCTGTGACCACCCCTGAAGAAATTGCACAGGTTGCTACAATTTCTGCAAACGGAGACAAAGAAATTGGCAATATCTCTGATGCAATGAAAAAGGTTGGAAGAAAGGGTGTCATCACAGTAAAGGATGGAAAAACACTGAATGATGAATTAGAAATTATTGAAGGCATAAAGTTTGATCGAGGCTATATTTCTCCATACTTTATTAATACATCAAAAGGTCAGAAATGTGAATTCCAGGATGCCTATGTTCTGTTGAGCGAAAAGAAAATTTCTAGTGTCCAGTCCGTTGTACCTGCTCTTGAAATTGCCAATGCTCACCGTAAGCCTTTGGTCATAATCGCTGAAGACGTTGATGGAGAAGCTCTAAGTACACTCGTCTTGAATAGGCTAAAGGTTGGTCTTCAGGATGTGGCAATCAAGGCTCCAGGGTTTGGTGACAATAGAAAGAACCAGCTTAAAGATATGGCAATTGCTACTGGTGGTGCAGTGTTTGGAGAAGAGGGGCTGACCCTAAATCTTGAAGATGTTCAGCCTCATGACTTAGGAAACGTTGGAGAGGTCATTGTGACCAAAGATGATGCCACGCTCTTAAAAGAAAAAGGTGACAAGGCTCAAATTGAAAAACGTATTCAAGAAATCATTGAGCAGTTAGATGTCACAACTAGTGAATATGAAAAGGAAAAACTGAATGAACGGCTGGCAAAACTTTCAGATGTAGTAGCTGTGCTGAAGGTTGGTGGGACAAGTGATGTTGAAGTGAATGAAAAGAAAGACAGAGTTCGGATGCCCTTAATGCTACAAGAGCTGCTGTTGAAGAAGGCTTTGTATTGGGAGGGGGTTGTGCCCTGCTTCGATGCATTCTAGCCTTGGACTCATTGACTCCAGCTAATGAAGATCAAAAAATTGGTACAGAAATTATTAAAGAACACTCAAAATTCCAGCAATGACCATTGCTAAGAATGCAGGTGTTGAAGGATCTTCGATAGTTGAGAAAATTACGCAAATTTCCTCAGAAGCTGGTTATGATGCTATGGTTGGAGATTTTGTGAATATGGTGGAAAAATGAATTATTGACCCAACAAAGGTTGTGAGAACTGCTTTATTGGATGCCGCTGGTGTGACCTCTCTGTTAACTACAGCAGAAGTTGTAGTCACAGAAATTCCTAAAGAAGAGAAGGACCCTGGAATGGGTGCAATGGGTAGAATGGGAGGTGGTATGGGAAGTGGCATGTTCTAACTCCTAGACTAGTGCTTTACCTTTATTAATGAACTGTGACAGGAAGCCCAAGGCAGTGTTCCTCACCAATAACTTCAGAGAAGTCAGTTGGAGAAAAATGAAGAAAAAGGCTGGCTGAAAATCACTATAACCATCAGTTACTGGTTTCAGTTGACAAAATATATAATGGTTTACTGCTGTCATTGTCCATGCCTATAGATAATTTATTTTGTATTTTTGAATAAAAAACATTTGTACATTCCTGATACTGGGTAAAAGAGCCATGTACCAATGTATGGCTTTCAACTTAAATCACTGAGGCATTTTTACTACTATTCTGTTAAAATCAGGATTTTTAGTGCTTGCCACCACCAGATGAGAAGTTAAGCAGCCTTTCTGTGGAGAGTGAGAATAATTGTGTACAAAGTAGAGAAATATCCAATTATGTGACAACTTTTGTGTAATAAAAATTTGTTTAAAGTTAAAAAAATTTTTTTTAATTAGTGAGGCATGGTGGCATGTGCCTGTAGTCCCAGCTACTCAGGAGGCATGGGTGGGAGGATCAGTTGAGCCCAGAATGTCAAGGCTGCAGCGAGGCATAATCAAGGCACTTCACTCCAGCCTGGGCAACGGAGCAAGACCCTATCTCAAAAAAAAAAAAAAAAAAAGAAGTTTGTCTTTAGCAATCTAAAATTTGACAAGTTTGCTTTGACTCTCTAGCTGCAGGTTCATAACCCAAGTTTATAGTAAAAAATAAGATGGATTTGTTATATTCAACATGGTGTAGTAAATATCAAGTATAGGTGAAAAATATATTTCATATTCGTAAAATACTATATAATAAAGTACTTTTATATAGTAAAATACTATATATTAAACAAAGTACTTTATAGTCACCTGATTTGACTGCCTTGATAATCCCTGAGAGATAAGCAGGACTGATACTTATTAGATGCCCATTGAACAGAGTAGTATATTAAGAAGTGTACAGATACTACTTATATGCCCGTTTTGTAGAAGAGGAAACTGATGTTTTAAGAACGTGACTTTCCAGTTTAACACAGCAAGTGGGTGCCCACTTTGTCAGCACATATACTAACACAGCAAGCAGTAGAGCTGGGTTTGAATTTCAAACTTCTGATCTACCCACTACAAATTCTATACTTTCTTTTCCCAGTATTTGCTAAAGGAGACACAACCCGTTTTACCCAGGAGGTGGCAGCGTTTCTCTTACTGTTCTATTTATTGGGCGCTCACTTTCCCACTGAAGGTGAAATACTTAAAAAGTGAAAATTGTATTCTTTCAGTGAATAATCTCGAGTTAAATTATGTTTAGCTGTTAATGATAATAAGATTAGTAAAGTTGGTGCCTGCCTTCTAGGAGTTGACAATCTAGGAGCAAGAGGTGGAGGCGGAACTGTGAAGCAGAGTCCAAAATAGCCTAAAAAGGCCGGCTGTCATGGCTCACACCTGTAATCCCAGCACTTTGGGAGGCTGAGGCAGGCAGATTACTTGAGCTCAGGAGTTTGAGACCAGCCTGGCCAACATGGCAAAACCCCCTCTCTACTAAAAATACAAAAATTAGCCGGGCATGGTAGCATGCACCTGTAATCCCAGCTACTGGGGAGGCTGAGGCAGGAGAATTGCTTGCACCTGGGAGGCAGAGGCTGCATGAGTCGAGATTGTGCTGCTGCACTCCAGCCTGGGCAACAGAGCAATATTCTGTCTCAAAAAAAGAAAATAGGCTATGAAAATTTCAAACAAAGTGTTATAGGAATACAAATTTGTAATGGAGCTCTTGATGTGATGTCTTTAATGGCAGTTTAACTTTAGTCCACAGGTGGGAGTGGGCTTACTCTACTGTTAGGAGACACAGGTAAGTTCAAGCTCTCTGACTTCCAAGACACAAAAATAGGCAATAAAAAAAAAATCAGGCCAGGCATGGTGGCTCATACCTGTAATCCCAGCACTTTGGAAGGCTGAGGCAAGAGGATCTCCCTTAAGGCCATGAGTTTGAGACTAGCCTGGGCAACATATTGAGAACCCTGTCTCTATAACAAATTTAAAAATTAGCCAGGCCTGGTGGCATGTGCCTGTAGTCCTCGCTATTTGTTGGGGGGTGGTGCTGAGGCAGGAGGATCCCTAGAGGACCGTGTCTCAAAAAACAAAAAGAAAAAAAGAAAACAATATATTGTAAACATAAAAGGAAAAGCTCCTAGATGTTCTAATGTGCCATTCCATCACTGCCAGCACTACTTTGACCTTTTTTTTTTTTTCTTTGAGACAGAGTCTTGCTCTGTTGCCCAGGCTGGAGTGCAGTGGTGAGATCTTGGCTCACTGCAAGCTCTGCCTTCTGGGTTCCCACTATTCTCCTGCCTCAGCCTCCCGAGTAGCTGGGACTACAGGTGCCCACCACCACGCCCGGCTCATTTTTTTTGTATTTTTAGTAGAGACGGGGTTTCACCGTGTTAGCCAGGATGGTCTCGATATCCTGACCTCATGATCCACCCACCTCAGCCTCCCAAAGTGCTGGGATTACAGGTGTGAGCCACTGCGCCCAGTCTTACCATTTTTAATTAGTAACATTTTTTTCAAATGTAAATTTTGTGTTCTGAGACAGTCCATTTATTCATTTAACAAATATTTTAACATTTTAAATTAGCCAGGTCCTCCTGAATGCTAAGGATATAATGGTGTACAAAACAGTCATGGTCTCTGTCCTCATCAAGCTTATGCTTCTGGTAAAGGCTGCTCATGACTAGTGACCTTATAACTAATGTATATTTATATTTTAACAATTACTTTTTCAGCACCATATGAACAGGAAAAATAGAAAAACAATTATTTCTTACATTCAAATCTCTCTCTCTCTCTCTCTTTTTTTTGAGACAGAGTCTCCCTCTGTTGCCCAGGCTAGAGTGCAGTAGCGCAATCTCGGCTCACTGCAACCTCTGCCTCTGGGTTCAAGTGATTCTCCTGCAGCAGACTCCCGAGTAGCTGGGACTACAGGGCCACACCACCACGCCTGGCTAATTTTTTGTATTTTTAGTAGAGATAGGGTTTCACCATGTTGGCCAGGCTGGTCTTGAACTTCTGACCTCAAGTGATCTGCCTGCCTCTGCCTCCCAAAGTGCTGGGATTACAGGTGTGAGCCACTGTGCCCAGCCCTTACATTTAAATCTTATGTTTCACCTGAGAGTTTTAGGATATGGTCCTAATTATCTGGAAATCAGATTTTAAGCAAATTATCTTCTAAATATATAGTGAATCAAAACTCAGGTAGAATCTTCATTAGGAGTGCTTCTCAGCAAATGTGGTTTTCAACAAACCTCTTGCTGTTTGTGTTGTAAGTTTATCCCTAGAAATATTACCCAGTGTGTAAGTTAAGAATAAGTCAGAATATTGAATATGACTACTACTTGAGGTAAGGGGCTGGCTTGAGGAAAATAGTTGAATCTTTCACTTCTGGATTCCTAGGATTATTCCTTTATTATTTCTGACCCCAAAGTACATATTTACTGGAATTTTTAATTTTACGGGCAAATAGAAAGGATAGAATTGAGTCAAGAAATCTGAATTCTGGCCAGGAGCAGTGGCTCACAGCTATAATCCCAACACTTTGGGAGGCCGAGGAGGGCAGATCACCTGAGGTTAGGAGTTTGAGACCAGCCTGGCCAACATGGTGAAACCCCGTCTCTACTAAAAACACAAAAATTAGCCAGGCATGGTGACATGTGCCTGTAATCCCAGCTGCTCCAGAGGCTGAGGCAGGGGAATTGCTTGAACCCGGGAGGCGGAGGTTGCAGTGAGCTGAGATCACACCATTGCACTCCAGCCTGGGCAACAGAGTGAGACTCCATCTCAAAAAAAGAAAAAAAAAAAAACAAAAGAAGAAGAAGAAATCTGGATTCTGGTGTCACTTATGCTACTATTTGACCCCTATGACCTTGTGTAAGTGAGCTTGCCTCTCTGGGATTTGTTTTTTTAATCTGAAAATGAGAGAGGACAAGGGGAAGGAACTATCCAATTAATTACTGTTTTGGCTCATTATCATCCCCGCAGTCTCATACTTCTTGCAATATTTAGATTTAACCATATGAAATTGCTAGTATTCAATGATATGAAAAGATTAAGATTTGACCTATGGAGACAGCAGTTTCATTTGATTCAGCCTAATTGTTGAATCAGTTGTGGGCCCTATTGGGATCATCTGAGTTGTTTATTTTAGGGATAGATGAGGCCAAGGCCAAGCAAAACTAATGCCTCAGGTGTGAAGGAAACACACATTTAGAGAATATATCTTTCTGGTAGGTGATAAAATAAAAATAAAAAGAGAATACAATGAATACCACCATAAAATCAATGTAGTATATTCTGGGTTACATAGAATTCATTCTAGTCTTTTCTTTCTACAATATGCTAATTTTCTAGCCCAGTGATTCTAAATGATTTGGTTCCTGTATTCCTTCAGCGTCCGGCAAAGGAAAAGTCCATTTGACAATTTTATTAGAATATTCTCTGAAGCAATGTTTGTCCAGGAATATCTGTTGCTATAGGAGAAGAGGCCTGTTAGCACTGATATCCAGGTGTGAAAGAAATAATTCTTCAGAGCTGTCTTTTTCCTTGTTTGCCAGTAAGGTAAGTCAAAGAGGTAAAAAGACAAACTTTTCCAATTTTTTGTTTTAGACCAATTTTGTCATTCCATCCTACATCAGAAGGGGTCACGGCTAAGCTTTGCTTTATTGTTTGATGTAGCTCATTAACATTTCTTGCCTAAGGAAACTGGTATGTTCAATAAACTGTTTTTGTTTGTTTGTTTGTTTTGTTTTGTTTTTTACTTTTCCCTAAGACATAATCTCATCTTTTTTACCAGGAAATAAACTCAGCTTTTTTTTTTTTTGAGACAGAGTCTCACTCTGTTGCCCAGGCTGGAGTGCAGTGGCATGATCTCAGCTCACTGCAACCTCTGCCTCCCAGGTTCAAGCGATTCTCCTGCCTCAGTCTCCCAAGTAGCTGGGATTACAGGCGTGTGCCACCACGCCTGGCTAATTTTTGTATTTTTAGTAGAGACAGGGTTTCACTATGTTGACTAGGCTGGTCTCGAACTCCTCACCTCAAGTGATCCGCCCACCTCGGCCTCCCAAAGTGCCAGGATTACAGGCATGAGCCACCGCACCTGGCCAATAAACTCAACTTTTTGGACTATTTCCATTACATAGCCTTTTGGACACAAAAGTTAATCAGTGGAATGAGAAGATAATCCACAGGGAGTATTTATACCTAGGGAAAAATGTTTCTTTGGCTCTAATATACCTTGTTCAGGTCTCTTAGCCACAATCAGAGCCTCACACGCAAACTGACCTGTCTCATTGCTTTCAACCACATATACCACACCAGCCTGTCTCCATTGGAATGTCTGGCTAGGGTCCAGCACATCTACAGGTAATACATTCTTCTGAATTCTCCACTCTGATATGGAGGGGCCAATAGAGGCATGCAAACATTTTTCTTTATTTTTCTTTTTCTTTTATTTTGAGACAGGATCTCACTTTGGTTGCCTGGGCTGGAGTACAGTGGCGCCATCTCAGCTCACTGCAGCCTCGACCTCCCAGGCTCAGATGGCTCTCCCAACTCAGCCTCCTGAGGAGTTGGGACTACAGATATGCACTACCATGCCTGGCTAGTTTTTTGTATTTTTAGCAGAAATGGGGTTTTGCCATGTTGCCCACATTGGTCTTGAACTCCTGGACTGAAGCAATCTGCCCACCTCAGCCTCCCAAAGTGCTGGGACATTTTTCAGCTACATTTTGGGGTTGACCTAGCCCCTACTCCTTCACCTTGGACACTTGTTTAAAAGAGTTGTTTTTCTGGAGAAATCACAAACAAGCCTATATTGAATCAGGTACAAATGTCTCTTCCCCAAAGAAGTTACAGATAACTCTCATTTTGCTTTTTTCCCTTCAAAACAATTCCTGAGTGCTGGGTTCATGAGAACCAAGAATTAGAGAGGCATTGACTAAATCTGGAAAAATGTGGGCAATGTAATGGGCAAAGCAGAAGGGCGTCAAAGTAAATACACTGGAGGAAGTAGGATTCTTCCTCCTCCCGTATACTTCCTGAATCTAACCACAGAACACCATTACCTTCCCCATCATTTCCACAGAATTCCATAACTCCTTTACAAATATACTCACCTGTAATGCCAGCAGTTTTGGAGACTGAGGTGGGCAAATTGCTTGAGCTGAGGAATTCAAGACCAGCCTGGGCAACATGATGAAACCCCGTCTCTACCAAAAAAAAAAAAATTACAAAAGTTAGCCAGGTGTGGTGGTGCATGCCTGTAGTCCCAGCTACAGGGTGGGGAGGGGTGGGATGGGTGTGAGGATCACCTGAACCTGGGGAAGTCAAAGCTGCCTGTTGTGAGCCGTGATTGTGCTACTGCACTCCAGCCTAGGTGACAGAGTGAGACCCTGTCATAAAAAAAAATATATGTTTATAATACATATACTCACCAGAATGAAGGATTTAGTTTCCAGTTTTGTTGGTGCTCTTTAACATAATACACCTTTGGCATCAGTTTGCATATCCGGGTCATTTTACTTCTGTGGTCCTAATTTACCAGATTATAAAAATTTAGATTTTTCGGTCGGGTGCCGTGGTTCACACCTGTAATCCCAGCACTTTGGGAGGCCAAGGCGGGTGGATTGCCTGAGGTCAGGAGTTCGAGACCAGACTGGCCAACATGGTGAAACCCCGTCTCCACTAAAAATACAAAAATTAGCTGGGCGTCGTGGCACATGCCTGTAGTACCAGCTACTCAGGAGGCTAAGGCGGGAGAATCGTTTGAACCCGGGAGGCAGAGGTTTCAGTGAGCCAAGATTGCACCACTGCACTCCAGCCTGGCGACAGAGTGAGACTCTGTCTCAGGGGGAAAAAAAAAAAGTAGAAAGAAAAATTAGACTTAAAAAAAAAGTTAAATTGGGTTGATTGCCTTTATGAATCAGGCCTTCAAGAGAAAGGTTTCTGTACCACATTGTTAGGGTAAAGGAGAAGATATCATCCAAGGGCCTAAACAGCAAGGATAAATTGGTTAATGAGAGTCTCTGAGAGCAGAAAAAGGACTTAAAAAAATATATATATATATATATATGGGCCGGGCGCGGTGGCTCACTCCTGTAATCCCAGCACTTTGGGAGGCCAAGGCGGGCAGATCACCTGAGGTCGGGAGTTTGAGACCAGTCTGGCCAACAAGACTACTAAAAATACAAAAAAATTAGCCGGGCATGGTGGCGCATGCCTATAGTCTCAGCTACTCGGGAGGCTGAGGCAGGAGAATCGCTTGAACCCGGGACGCAGAGGTTGCGGTGAGCCAAGATAGCACCACTGCACTCTAGCCTGGGCAACAGAGCAAGACTCTGTCTCAGAAAAAAAAAAAGATATCACTGAGTGATGCCTTCATTTATTTATTTACTGCATTTGGCTGCTGTGTTTCCAGTCTCAGTTGCAATTCCCACACTGAGGCTCTCCCACCCTTCCTGTGTCCCCTGAGCTGAGCAGGCACTTCCTGTCCTATTGGAAATGAAAGTTAGAGATTGGGGGTAGGGTATGTATATTTACTCTGCAGAATACTAATACTGTCTGTTCCATTATCATAGCAAAAAAGTGACACGGAAACTAGAATAGAGACCAGAACTTCATTTGAGGGAGGGTTTGGGCTTAATATTTGTTGTCACAAAACAGACAGGGTTAATTTATATCTCAAGAAACTACTTAGGATGGCAGCAAGGTGGCCTTATGAAGGGATTTGAAGGCTTTCATTTAACATCCCTATTGCACTTGGATTGGTAGGGGTTACTGGATATCATTCTTAAGTTTTTGGTTTCCTTTCTTGTTAAGGTTACGCCTACAAAGACATTCTTTGGAAACTAGTAGAGGTAAGTGTTGCAACTCTATTAGGTTCTTGACTCTGAAATTTGTATTCCTTCCTAAGAATTTTGTGTTTTTATTCTGTTGAAGCATATGCTTCTTAAGTATTTTTTTTTTTTAAACAGCTCAAAGACAACTCAAAGCAGACATCCCAACTGTAGACTTCAATTTAGACATAAACTCCAGGTTTGGTGAGTTACTGTAATTGTTTCAGTTTCATGGATCTTAAAGATGAGGAAATAGCAGGGTAAAGTGTTAAATAAGATAGCCTGCAATTGTTAGAGAAATAACAAGGCACCAAGTTTCATGATATAGTCCAGTCTGATAATTCCTTCTTAAGTATGAACTCATTCCTCGGAGAATCTGAAATAGGAGTGAGGGGCATCAGCCCATTGGTATGACCCAAGAGAAACACATCTAAGGATCTGAAACTAGTTATACCCCATACTCTGTTTTGCTTAGCTCTGCTCTTTGGTGTGTTCCTCTGTTTGTTCCTTTGTACATTAAGATCACTATAAATGGGCCAGGGGTGGTGGCTCATGCCTGTAATCCCAGCACTTTGGGAGGTTGAGTGGGTGGATCACTTGAGGTCAGGAGTTCGAGACCAGCCTGGCCAAGATGGCGAAACCCCGTCCCTACTAAAAAATACAAAAATCAGCTGGGTGTGGTGGTGGTCACCTGTAATCCCAGCTACTCGAGAGGCTGAGGCAGGAGAATTGCGGAAGGTGGAGGTTGCAGTGAGCCGGATCCGGGATTGCACCACTGCACTTCAGCCTGGGTGACAGACTAAAACTCTGTCTCAAAAAAAAAAAAAAAAAATCACTGTAAGTGTAAAGTAGGGGAAGCCCTGAGCTTATCTCACACACTCTAACTCTGTTTTTTTTTTTTTTTTTTTTTGCGTGTTCTCCAAGGCAATGTCTCAGGAGCCCCTTTAAAATCAAGCTTGAAATCTTATAGCTGAGATCTAAGGGTGGAAATAAAGCCCTCATTGTCTTTATATGAGAATCGGAACTTGTTCATAGAGGAAAGGGGATAAATTTGAAAGGGGTTAGACCTAAGAACTCTTCTTTCTAGCTTTAACTCCTGAGACTATGAAAAACAAACAAAAAAAAACATCTTGGGCATTAGGACCCAGTGGAAGTGCCTCTGCCTCATTCAGACTCTGTTAACTTCTCTCAGTGACGTAAAGGAGCAGCCCGAGCTCATTCTCTGCCCGCAGCCCCCCTTCATCTCTCTCCTCCTGCTCCTTTTCTCCTCCTTTCTCCTCCCCCTCCCTTTTTTCCTCCCTCCCTCTCCCCCTTTCCCTCGCTCCCCTCCTCCCTCCCTCCCCGTCTTTCTTACCCCCTCCCTTTCTCTCTCTCTCTCTCTCTCGCTCGTTCCCTAACATTAAAGAGAAAATGCTGCTATCCGTGACTTCCAGGCCCGGGATTTCGACTTTTGGCTACAATAGAAACAACAAGAAGGTAGGGAAAAGCGCTTTTTTGGTATCTAGCTACTTCTTTTTCTGGGGATCTTGCAATGCCCTTGGTTTTTACATTCTTTTTAAAGAGGGGAAGGGGCTTCCTCTCTCAAGATTCCTAATTCCTCACCGCGCTTCTCCCTTTTCCACTACTGCTTTCTGCATCTTTCCTCAACTGGTTCTGGAGTTCAGGGAACTTTCAGTCTCTGCGAGGCCTGAAAAGACAGGGGAATTAAAAACAAATCAAGCTTGCAAGTTTGTATCCTTATGAAATGAAGTTAGTTTGACTTCCTGCTGATGTATCAATCTCCACAAGGATAATATGTCATTTCAGACCCTGTCCCCCAGTCCACCCCACCCCACAAGATTATTTTATTTTTTGATTAACTGTTTCCATTCTCTCCCCAACCTTCCCTCCTACCCATACCACCAGTAGTATTAGATAGCTGAAATCATAGATAGTCAGAGAAACCACAACAGTTTATCAAGAGCTGGGTATACTCTTCTAGACTACAGATCCTACCCCACCCAGCCTATAGAGAAGGAGTCTTGAGAGACATCGCACCTTGGGATTAAGGCACAGAGCGCTGTGATACTTTGGATCTTGTATTTGAACTGATACTTGGACCTCTGCAGATAGCCAGACTTTGCAGTGATCCTAGGAGTCTTTATGATTAACCCATGGCTGCCAGAGAATTGTGCTGTCCTTGGGCACATGGGGAGAGATGGACAATCTTGTCCATATTTGACAAGGAATATATTTGGCAGTTTCTGGCATTTCAGGGCGCACAGCATACTGATTAGGAGGAATTTCATGCTGTAGCAGGAAGAAGACTCTTTACCCTCTCTTTGTGTTGTAGCTGTTCTTTGAAGAAAAAATGTGACATAGACATTTAGGGAATCTTTTGCTCATCTAATGGAATGTTGGAGGGTGAGGAACGATTCCTGCTGCTTTCTCATGTACCTAATGAGACCATTAGAGGTGGATTTAAACACAAGTGTCTGATCAATGCAGTGGGTAAATGTTTAGACCCAAAACACTTAATGTTGATTTATGGGCTTAGTCTGTGTGGTACTCATTTTGTTTATATCCTGAAGAAATATGGGTAGAGGGGAGAGGAAATGGGGAGCTATAGGTCAGAGGATACAAAGTAGTAGATATGTAGGATGAACAAATCCTGAGATCCAATGTACAACATGAGGACTATAGATGATAAAGTTGTACTGTATATGGGATTCATGCTAAATGAGCAGACTTTAGCTCCTCTTGCCACAAAAAGAAACAAAAGGGACAATTATGTGGGATGATTAATTTACTTCACTATAGTAACCTTTCTACTATCTATATGTATCCCGTAACATGTTGTATACCTTAAATATACACAATAAAATTTACTTTAAAAAAGAAATGAGGCTGGGCATGGTGGCTTATGCCTGTAATCCCAGCACTTGGGAGGCCAAGGTGGGTGGATCACTTGAGGTCAGGAGTTCGAGACCAGCCTGGTCAACATGGTGAAACCCCAAATTAGCTGGGCTTGGTGGCACGCGCCTGTAATCCCAGCTACTCAGGAGGCTGAAGCAGGAGAATCACTTGAACCTGGGGGACAGAGGTTGCAATGAGCCAGGATTGTGCCACTGCACTCCAGCCTGGGTGACAGAGCAAGACTCCATCTCAAAAAGAAATGAAATATGAGTTTATACACATTTGTTGGTTATCAATATATGTTTATATGTACATATACTGACATCCCTTTATCAAATATATGTATAGATAATACATTATATATTATACGTATATATTTGAAAGGGAAATATTTCACATGTCTTTATTCTTTTCAAACCTTGTAGAGTACCATGTGAAAATTTCTTTCCTGATTTTTTTCCCTCCTAGTTCTCTCAGGTTACCCAGAACTCATTAAAATAAAATGAATTCCCAAAATGAATTGCTTCCC
Organism: Homo sapiens; assembly: GCF_000001405.40. Lineage (NCBI taxonomy): Eukaryota > Metazoa > Chordata > Mammalia > Primates > Hominidae > Homo > Homo sapiens. The sequence continues at coordinate 56,524,038 of NC_000012.12, forward strand.
TATTAGAGGTTTCACGTATTTGAAGCTATCTAAAAATCTCTTTTTGCTCTCTGCTCCCTCTCCCACCTTGGAGTATAGGAAAAAGTTAATTAGCTTCTAAATCTAGGATAGTATAGGGGACAAGAGGTATGGTTGTGGGTTTGGGTTGAAATCTCTTAGTAAGGTTTGACAATTCAGGAATTGTTGGAATTGGTTGGGGAGGATAGGTAGATACATAATTACTAATTACTAATGTATTTGTCAATTCTTTGGGTTCTTATAAGTCAATGTTATGATCAGATGTAAGGATGCTGTATCTGTGCATCACTCTGTGGCCATGCATATGACTCCTTTTGTGCCTATATAAGTTTGTGAACGTGGAGGGTTTTCATATTTTTATTTTTACTTTTTTTTTTTTTGAGATGGAGTCTCGCTCTGTCACCCAGGCTGGAGTGCAGTGGTGTGATCTCAGCTCACTGCAGCCTCCGCCTCCCAGGTTCAAGCAATTCTGCCTCAGCCTCACAAGTAGCTGGAACTACAGGAGTGCCACCACACCCGGACAATTTTTTTGTGTTCTTAGTAGAGACGGGGTTTCACCATGTTGGCCAGGCTGGTCTCAAACTCCTGACCTCAAGTGATCTGCCCTGCCTTGGACTCCCAAAGTGCTGAGATTATACTTTGAGTCACCAAGCCTGGCCCATATTTTTATTTATTTATTTGAGATGGAGTCTTGCTCTGTCGCGCCCAGGCTGGAATGCAGTGGCGTGATTTCGGCTCACTGCAACCTCCGCCTCCTGGGTTCAAGTGATTCTCCTGCCTCAGCTTTCTGACTAGTTGGGATTACAGGTGCCCGCCACCACGCCCAGCTAATTTTTTTGTATTTTTAGTAGAGACGGGGTTTCATCATGTTGGTCAGGCTGGTCTTGAACTCCTGACCTCAGGTAATCTGCCTGCCTCGGCCTCCCAAAGTGCTGGGATTACAGGCATGAGCCACTGCGCCTGGCCCCATATTTTTATTTTTATTTTACTTAATTTTTTTCCTCAACACTAGATGACCAGGGAGGGTGTTTTTAAACTATAGCATTATTACGTTGCTCTTTGTCTTGTCAAGTAGGGCTTACTGTGTTTCTGTTTTGGAAAGGGTTGTAGATGCATTTGCTTATGTAATTTGTGTATTTTCCATACTCAGTTAAATTTTATTTATTTGTTTATTTATTTATTTTGAGACAGAGTCTTACCCTGTCACCCAGGCTGGAGTCCAGTGGCGCGATCCTGGCTCCCTGCAACCTCAGTCTCCTGGGTTCAAGCGATTCTCCCGCCTCAACCTCCTGGGTAGCTGGGACTACAGGTGTGCGCCACCAGGCCCAGCTAAATTTTCTAATTTTAGTAGAGACGAGGTTTTGCCATGTTGCCCAGGCTGGTCTTGAACTCCTGGCCTCAAGCAATCTGCCTGCCTCGGGTTCCCAACGTGCTGGGATTACAGGCGTGAGCCACTGTCTGGCCCATTTATTTATTTATTTATTTTGAGACAGGGTATCACTCTGCAGTCTGGGCTGGAGGACAGTGCCATGATCTCGGCTCACTACAATCTCCAACCCCTGGGCTTAAGCGAGCCTCCCACCTCAGCCAACTTTTATATATAACTTTTTTGTTGTTTGTTTTCGAGACAGAGTCTCGCTCTGTCACCCAGGCTGGAGTGCAGTGGGGCGATCTCAGCTCACTGCAACCTCCGACTCCTGGGTTCAAGTGATTCTTCTGCCTCAGCCTCCTGAGTAGCTGGGATTACAGAGGCCCACCACCACGCCTGGCTAATTTTTTATATTTTTGGTAGAGATGGCGTTTCACCATGTCGGCCAGGCTGTTCTCGAACTCCTGACCTCAAGTGACCTGCCCACCTCGGCCTCCCAAAGTGCTAGGATTACAGGCGTGAGCCACCACGCCCTACCTATATATAACTTTTATATAAAAGTTACTGTTTCTTACTGAAACTAATGAAAGTTATTGTAAAAATTTAACTTTGGTGCTCACGCCTGTAATCCCAGCTCTTTGGGAGGTGGAAGTGGGCAGATGGCTCAAGGTCAGGAGTTTGAGACCAGCCTGGCCAACATGGTGAAACCCCGTCAATACTGAAAATACAAAAATTAGCCGGGTATGGTGGTGCACGCCTGTAGTCCCAGCTACTCAGAAGGCTGAGGCAGGAGAATCACTTGAACCCAGGAGGTGGATGTTGCAGTGAGCCGAGATTGTGCCACTGCACTGCAGCCTGGGCAACAGAGTGAGACTCCATCTCAAAAATAAATAAATAAATAAAATAAAATAAAATAAAACATAAAAGGTAGGATTATTTTATTTTGAAATACATACTTCACTTATCAGGAAAGATGTTTCCTGAGGAGCCCATGACAGTCATAGTTTTCTTACTCTTTATTGGCTGGTGGTAAATATGGGAATGCCGTCAACAAATGTATAATGCCTAATAAAGGCGGACTTTTTTCTCAGGAAGTAGTGTTAAATTTTTTTTTCCTTTCTTTGGAATTAAAATAGTTACTGAAGGGGAAAAATGTGGATTTCAAAGAGGGATTCTGCAAGATAATTTTGTGTTTTTTTTTTTTTAAACATCAGTTTTAATGCCCTTCAGTAACTTGGTTCATTAAAAAAAAAAAAAAAAGGCTGAAGTAAAAAGAGACAGGGTCTCAACACTGTTTCTTCAATGTTTGAAGAAGTTGCCAAAGTAGAGAGATTTGAGTATAGGTGAGATCGAAAGAGGAAATGTTTGGGACTAAAGGAATTTCAAACTTGTAAAGGGCCTAACCACGCCTTTCTTGACATCATCTCTCTGGCATGTGTTATTATAATTTAACTCCTCATAGGATCAACAACCATTTCCTTTGGAAAAAAAGAAAAGGGACTGTGTTTAACTTAGGATAATTTGCCTTCTCCAACGTACTTTTCATACATTTCTATTTCTTCTCAATGTTAATATATTGAAGACTGATGGGGAGTAGGAGGTGATGAAAGTAAGGCTGACTGGTGGGTACTGCCAGATCCTCATTCTTTGAGAAGCTTGTTACCTGAGATTGTCATGAGTGTTTACTCAGGAGAGAGAAGTGACAAACAGTGCTGGATTCACTTAGTACTTCTAACAGGATAGAGAATTTTCTCTGTGTATGTTTACTACTTTTCCTTCTAGTTTCCATCAAATCAAATGTAATAGGACTGAGAATTAAGAACTTGTCGGTCTAACATCTCTTGACTGGGGCAGCTGTTCTGTTATCAGTAATAAGTTAACTCAAATGGTTAAAGTTTAGTGGTAGGCCGGGCGCAGTGGCTCACGCCTGTAATCCCAGCACTTTGGGAGGCCAAGGTGAGTGGATCACCTGAGGTCAGGAGTTTGAGACCAGACTGGCCAACAGGATGAAACCCTGTCTCTACTAAATATACAAAAATTAGCCAGGCATGGTGGCAGGCACCAGTAATCTCAGTTACTTGGGAGGCTGAGGCAGGAGAATTGCTGGAACCTGGGAGGCAGAGGTTGCAGTGAGCCGAGATCGCGCCATTGCACTTCAGCCCGGGGCCGACAACAGCGAGACTCCATCTCAAAAAAACAAAAACAAACAAAAACAAAAACAAAAAAAAAACTTTAATGGCTATATATTACCTGCTGAACAAAGTGCAAATCTCTAGCCCAACACCTACTATCTGTCTGGCCTTTCCTTATCTTCCCCATCCCCCGCCACCCCCCCACCATGCCCCCTTGATACTGTTACATTTGCTCTACTGGCCAGTTACGTTAATGCAGTTTTCTGGATATGCCCTTTGGTTGCTGGTTTACATTTCTTATTCCATAGGAGAATATGCAATATGCAATATAACAAAAAATACAGAACAGAAACAGGACAAAGGAAAATATCAACTGGACTAAGAAGTCAGTTGGAATTAAAAGGCAAGTATGGCCAGGCACAGTGGCTCATGCCTGTAATTCCAGCACTTTGGGAGGCCAAAGTGGGAGGATCACTTGACCTAGGAGTTCCAGACCAGCCCGGACAACATGGCAAAACCCTGTCTCTACAAAAGATACAAAAATTAGCCACATATGGTGGTGTGTGCCTGTCGTTCCAGCTGCTCAGGAGCCTGAGGTGGGAGGATCACCTGAGCTGGTAGAGGTCGAGGCTACAGTGAGCCATGATCATGCCACTGCATTGCAGCCTGGGCAACTGAGCGAGACCATGTATCAAAAAAAAAAAAAAAGTCAAGTGTGCAAATCATAAAATTATAATGCTGGAAGATGAGGATTGAAGAATAGTCTTTGAATTTGTTAGTGTAAAGGTGGTTGATGACTTTGACAAGCAATTTCAGAGGTATGGGGAGCAAAATCAAGGTTGGAATAGGTTGATGAGTGAAAACAAGTAAGGAAGTATAGATGGTATATATACACTAATCTCTTAAGAACATTGATTAAGATGTAGAGCAGAACCCAAATAGAAAGTAGGCAAAACATCTGAATCGATGTTTATCCACAGGCTCTATGGCAAGATGCTTAACATCATTAGCCATCAAGGAAATATAAAATAAAGCCACAATGAGATACCACTTCACACCCAGTAGGCTGTTTATAATGAAAAAGACAGATAATAAAAAAGACAGTCAATAATCAAAAAGATAATCGAAAGGACAAATATCTCCTCGGCACCGTGTTGCCCAGGAGTTAGAGACCAGCCCGGGGCAACATGGTGAAACCCCATCTCTACAAAAATACAAAAATTAGCTGGGTGTGGTGGCATACACCTGTAGTCCTAGCTATTCATACTTGGAAGGCTGAGGTGGGAGGATTGCTTGAGCCCAGGAGGTCAAGGCTGCGGTTGATTGCCCCACTGTCTTCATTCTGGGTGACAGAGCAAGACTCTGTATCAAAAAAGAAAGAAAGAAAGAGAGACATAATATATGTGGAGTAACTGGAACCTTTATACACTTCTGGTGGGAATGTAAAATGGTACAGCTGCTTTGGAAAACATCTTGGCAGGTTCTCAAAAGGTTAAGGAAAGACCCAGGAATTCCACTCCTAGATATATGCCCAAGAGAAATGGAAACATATGTTACACAAAGACCTGTACATAAATGTTCATAGGAGCATTATTCATAATAGTCCAGAGTGGAAACAACCCAAATGTCCATCAACTGATGAATGGATAAATAAAATACATGGTATGCCCATACAATGAAATATTATTCAACAATAATAAGGAATGGGGTACTAGGCTGAGTGTGGTTTCTCATGCCTGTAATCCCAGCACTTTGGGAGCCCGAGGCAGGTGGATTGCTGGAGCCCAGGAGCTCTAGACCAGCCTGGGCAACATGGCAAAAGCAAAACCCCATCTCTACAAAAAGTACAAAAATTAGCCAGGCGTGCTGGTGTGCAACACACCTGTAGCCCCAGCTACTCGGAAGGCTGAGGTGGTAGGATTGCTTGAGGCTGGGAGGTGGAGACTGCAGTGGATCACACCACTGTACTCCAGCTTGTGCAACAGAGCAAGACTCTGTCCCAACAACAACAACAACAACAATAACAACAACAACAACAAAACAAATCTCTAGGGGAAAAAAAAAAGAAAAAAGGATGGAATACTGATACATGCTAAATGTGGATGAACCTTAAAAACATGACGCTCATGAAAGAAGCCAGTCATAAGAGACTACATGTTGTATGATTCCATTTATGGGAAATGCCCAGAATACGGAAATCTATAGAGACAGAAAGTCGATTAGTGGTTGCCTAGGGCTTAGTGGAGAAATAGGGAGTGACTGGTAATGGGTATTGTGTTTCTTTTTGGGATAATGAAATGTTCTAAAATTGTGGTTATGGTTGCACAACTCTGTGATCTAAGTACCATTGAATTTATGCTTTCTTTATTTAGAGACAGGGTCTCACTCTGTTGCCCAGGCTGGAGTGCATTGGCACAATCATAGCTTACTAAAGCCTCAAACTCCTGAGCTCAAGGGATCCTCCTGCCACAGCCTCCCAAGTAGCTGGGATTACAGCGCCACATGCCCAGCTAATTAAAAAAAATTTTTTTTATAGAGACAGGCTTTTGCTATGTTGCTCAGGCTTGTCTCAAACCCCTGGGCTCAAGCGATCCTCCTGCCTTGGCCTCCCAGAGTGCTGGGATTACAGGCGTGAGCCACTGTGCCTAGTCCTGAATTTATACTTAAATGGGTGACGTGTATGGTATGTGAATTATGTCTCAGTAGAGTTGTTATTTTAAAAAAAGGGACCAGAGAAATGAGATAAAAGCTAGAAGAGGATAGCGGTGCTGTCAAGAGAGAATTTTCTTTTTCCTTTTTTTTTTTTTTTTTTTTTTTTTTTTGAGGCAGGGTTTTGCTCTGTTGCCCAGGCTGGAACACAGTGGTGCAATCATGGTTCACTGTAGCCTCAACCTCCTGGGCTCAAGCGATTCTCCTACCTTGGCCTCCCGAGTAGCTGGGACTACTGGCTCACGCCATCACACTTGGCTAATTTTTAAATTTTTGTACAGATGGGGTCCCACTATATTGCCCTGGCTGGTCTCAAACTCCTGGGCTCAAGTGATTCTCCCACCTCAGCCTCCTAAAGTGCTGGGATTTCAGGCATGAGATACTGCACCTGGCTGAGATAATTTTCTTAAAGATGGGAGATGTAGGAGACAAATGTAAAGAGAATCATGACCAGTTACTTGGTACTTATTCTCAAAATATGCATATTCACGTCCCTCCAACTCTGATCTTTTTGTCGTTCTTGTGCCTTATGCATTCAGCCTCTGATCCTTTTTGTTGTTGTTGCTTAATTCCGGAATGGCCTTTCGTTTCATTTGTTTACTTCACTCATATTACTTAGGTTTATTGAGCAGCTGCAGCATGCTAGGCCCTGGGGTTAAGGCATGACTGTGGCCCTTTAAGAACTCACAGTCAAAACTGTCTTTAAAAATCCTACCCATCCCTTTAAGTTCAGTTGAAAATTACCTCTTATATAAAGCTTCTGCTAATCCCTCCATTTCCCAGCCCCAGAGGGGACTGTTTTTTCCAAAGGGGACTTTTTTCTGAACCCCCATAATGTTTTATGCTTCTTATATGGTGTTTATATAATTTTGCATTGTATTGGAATCATTTAGGTAATTGTCTTATCTTCATTGCTAGAGTGTAAGCTCTTTAAGGTAGAGACAGTGTTATTCAGTTTATTATCTCCCCAAATACCTAATATAGCATCTTAGGCCTATCTAGTAGATACTCAAAAAATATATATCCTAATAAATGTGATTAAGCTATCACATTTAGTGCCTATGGTAGGCACTAAATCAAGGTTAAGCAAAGGAAGGAAGCATTATGTTCTATACAAACCCTGAAATACGGAGTTAGATAGATCTGAATTTATTTTTAAGTAATTATTTATTGATTGATCTGAATTTAAATGTGGCTTTGTCACATATTAGCTGTGTGACCAGCGCCAGGTGTCTTAGGCTTTCTGACCTTGAATTTTTCATCTTAAAGTACTGATATATTGGCCCAGCGCGGTGGCTCATGCCTGTAATCCCAGCACTTTGGGAGGCTGAGGCGGGCGGATCAGAGGTCAGGAGTTCGAGACCAGCCTGGCCAACATAGTGAAACCCAGTCCCTACTAAAAATACAAAAAAATTAGCTGGGCGTGGTGGTGGGCACCTGTAATCCCAGCTACTTGGAAGGCTGAGGCGAGGAACCTGGGAGACAGAGGCTGCAGTGAGCCGAGATCTGCCACTGGACTCCAGCCCAGGCGACAGTGCGAGATTCCATTTCAAAAAAAAAAAAAAAAAGTACTGATATATTTTGTCGAATTATTTTGAGGATTGGTAATGTTTATAATCACATATCAGCCTGTATATTGGCTGTTTTTCTCTTATTTAAAAAAAACATTGTGGGCCGGGCACTGTGGCTCAACGCTTGTAATTCCAGCACTTTGGGAGGCCGAGGTGGGCAGATCACCTGAGGTCAGGAGTTCGAGACCAGTCTGGCCAACGTGGTAACCCTGTCTCTATTAAAAAATATAAAATTAGCTGGGCATGGTGATGCATGCTTGTAATCCCAGCTAATTGGGAGGCTGAGCCAGGAGAATCGCTTGAACCCAGGAGGTAGAGGTTGCAGTGAGCCAAGATCGTGCCGTTGTACTCCAGCCTGGGCTACAAGAATGAAATTCTGTCTAAAAATTGTGAACCTATGGAGTATAAAAAAGAAAAAAAAATTGGCCAGGTGCGGTGGCTCACACCTGTAATCCCAGCACTTTGGGAGGCCGAGGCAGGCAGATCACCGGAGGTCAGGAGTTTGAAACCAGCCTGACCAACATGGTGAAACTCCGTCTCTACTAAAAATACAAAATTAGCCAGGCATGGTGGCGCATGCCTGTAATCCCAGATACTAGAGAGGCTGAGGCAGGAGAATTGCTTGAACCTGGGAGATGGAGGTTGCAGTGAGCAAAGATTGTGCCATTGCACTCCAGCCTGGGCAACAAGAGCGAAACTCTGTCTCAAAAAAAAAAGAAAAATAATTAAATTAAAAAAAAACTTTTTCTTCTTCTTCTAGCCATTGTTTCATTTCTCTTCTTCCCTTTACAGTAAAACATCTTGAAAGAGCTATCTATTCAAGAATCATATATACTTGCTGTCTCCAATTTATTTCCTTCCATTCTTTTTTCTTTTATTATCTTGAATATATTGTCAGATAATACAAAAGTTTACATGTAGTTATAAAGTGTAATAATAGAGGAACACCTGTAAGAGGTACTCTCAAGTACTAGACTAGATTCATTGCCTGTAAATTACGTACACATGAATTTCTCCATCTCATCCTCTGCACCTCTTCTAGAGCTAACCACTGTCCTAAATTCTGTATTTATTACTCTCTTGCTTTTTATTTTATTTTATTTTATTTTATTTTTTGAGACTGGGTCTCACTTTGTCACTCGGGCTGGAGTGCAGTGGCTCGATCGTGGCTCACTGCAGCCTCGACCTCCCTGGCTCAAGCAATCCTCCCACCTCAGCCTCCTGAGTAGCTAGGATTACAGATGTGCGTCACCATGCCCAGCTAATTTTTAAATTTTTTGTGGAGACAGGGTCTCACTCTGTCATCCAGAGTGGAGTGCAGTGGCATGATCGTAGCTCAGTGCAGCCTGGAACTCCTGGGCTCCTGTGATCCTCCTGCCTCAGCTTCCCAAGTAGGTAGGACTATAGGCACTCACCACCACACCTGGCTAATTTTAAAATTTTTTTGTAGACACAGGGACTCGCTATGTTGCCCAAGATGGTCTCGAACTCCTGACCTCAAGCGATCCTCCTGCCTTGGCCTCCCAAAGTGCTGGGATTATAGGTGTGAGCCGCGGCACCCAGCCCTATTACTTTTTTTTTTTTTTTTTTTTTTTTTGAGACGGGATCTTCCTCTGTCACCCAGGCTGGAGTGTAGTGGCGTGATCTCAACTCACTGCATCTTCCACCTCCCGGGTTCAGGCAATTCTCATGTCTCAGCCTTCTGAGTAGGTGGGACTATAGGCGCATGCCACTACACCTGGCTTATTTTTGTGTTTTTAGTAGAGACAGGGTTTCACCATGTTGACCAGGTTGGTCTCGAACTCCTGACTTCAAGTGATTCGCCCACCTTGGCCTCCCAAAGTGCTGGGATTACAAGCATGAGCCACTGCGCCCAGCAGCCCTGTTACTTTTTAAAAACATAGTTTTAGTTTTCTGTGGAAGAAAGTGAAGCCAGTTTACTTCTATACTGCCATTTTGGACTGAAAGTCTTTCCCAAAAAACATAGTTTTAAAATCATGTTTAATTAACTTGTTTGCACTGTTCTAAGTACTTTGTATAACTGTATATAATTATATCTATATAATATATAGTTATATAACTATATTTTATCTTATTTAATCCTTACAACTTCATTATTATTATTCCCATCTTATAGATGAGGAAAAGTGAGTTACAGAGAGTTTGAAAATCATACTGCTAGTGAATGGCCCAACTGGGATTTGAACCCGGGTAATCTAGTTCCAAATCTGTGCTTGCAACCACTGCTGTAGTGTCTTATTGCAGCACATAGTCTTCTGTTTTTGTTTTTGTTTTTTTACCTTCAGTTTTGTGTTTTCACGATTCATTCATGTTGCATATAGATGTGGTTTATCCATTTTTTCATGCTTTACAATATTTCATTTGTGAATATACTGTAATTTATCCATTCTCCTACCAAGGGATTTTTGGATTGTTTCTAGATTGTGTTTGTTCATTTTTGCTGTTTTTGAAATTGCTGTTCTGAACATTCTTCTGTATATAGTATCCTTGTGCTAGAGTTTCTCTTGGGTTTCTACCTAAGAGTGGGATTGCTGAGCCATCAGGTATGCGAATATTCCACTTTGGGAGATAATGCTAAATTTATTTCCAAAGTATTGTACCAAATCTGTTTCCATCAACAATGTATAAAATTTGTCATAGATTTACATCCTTTCCATTTTTTGATAATGTCAGACTTCTCTCATTCCCTCTTAAAGCAAACTAATTAGGCTTTTATTCCTACCACTCCACCAAAACTGCTTTTTTGAAAGTCTGCAGTGACTCATGTTATTAAGTAAATGTTTATTTATTTATTTATTTTTTATGATGGAGGCTCGCTCTGTCGCCCAGGCTGGAGTGCAGTGGCACGTTCTCGGCTCACTGCAACCTCCGCCTCCCAGCTTCACGTCATTCTCCTGCCTCAGCCTCCCGAATAGCAGGGACTACAGGCGCCCGCCACCATGCCCGGCTAATTTTTTGTATTTTTAGTAGACACAGATTTTCACTGTGTTAGCCAGGATGGTCTCGATCTCCTGACCTCGTGATCCGCCCGCCTCAGCCTCCTAAAGTGCTGGGATTACAGGCGTGAGACACGGCGCCCAGCCCCAGTAAATGTTTATTTCTTAACTTTCATCTTAACCTATCGACAACACTTGATACAATTGATCACTCTATTCCTTGAGAAACTTTCTTCATTTGACTTATGGAATGCCACACTCTCCTGGTTTTCTTCTTATTTCTATGGCCTCTCTTTTTCTGGTTCCTTTCCTGGTTTCTCCTCATTTTCCTGACCTCTAAACCTTGGAGTACCCCAGGACTCAGTCCTTGAGCCTCTTTTCTGTCTATACTTCTCTCTTCATAGTTTTATCCAGGTCTTGGACGGGTGCAGTAGCTCATGCCTGTAACCTCAGCACTTTGGGAGGCTGAGGTGAGCAGATTGCTTGAGCTCAGGAGTTTGAGACCAGCTGGGGCAACATGGTGAAACCCTGTCTCTACCAAAAATGCAAAAATTAGCCAGGCGTGGTGGTGCATGCCTGTGGTCCCAGCTACTCGGGAGGCTGAGGTGGAAGGATCACTTGAACCCAGGAGGCAGAGGTTGCAGTGAGCTGAGATTGTGCCACTGCACTCCAGCCTGGGTGACAGAGGGAGACTCCATCTCAAAAAAAAAAAAAAAAAAAATTTATATCCAGTCTCATAGCTTTGAATAGCACCCGTATGACGGAACTCTCAACTTGGACTGGAACTCTCAACTTGGACTGCCCTCCTGTATTTTAGATTTATATATTTAACATTACACCTGACACCTCCATTTAGACATTTATTAGACATTTCAAACTTAACATATTTAAACAGAGCTCCTGCCTGCTCTTCTCCTCCCTGCCCTGCCAAAACTGTTCTCTGTCTCAGTAAATGGCAACTTCATTCTTCCATATGCTCAGACCAAAAACCTTAATATTATCCTTGACCTTCTTTTCCCCCCATAACTCCATATCTAATGGCATACTACTAGTATCTACTTTATTGAGCTGTTAGTAATGAATGCCTGGCACATAGTAAATGATCATTAAGGTTAACGATTGTCCTGGTGTGGTGGCTAACACCTGTAATCCTAGCACTTTGGGAGGCCAAGGCAGGTGGGTGGATCACCTGAGGTCAGAAGTTTGAGGCTAGCCTAGCCAACATGGCGAAACCCTGTCTCTATTAAAAATACAAAAATTAGCTGGGCGTGGTGGCGCACACCGTAATCCCAGCTACTCGGGAGGCTGAAACAGGAGAATCACTTGAACCTGGGAGGTGGATTTTGCAGTGAGCTGAGATCACGCCATTGCACTCCAGCCTGGGTGACAAGAGTGAAACTCTGTCTCAAAAAAAAAAAAAAAAAAAAAAAAAAAATCCCAGCACTCTGGAAGGGCGAGGCAGGCAGAGTACCTGAGGTCAGGAGTTCTGCCCGGCTAATTTTTGTATTTTTGTAGTGATAGGGTTTCACCATGTTACCCAGGCTGTTCTTGAACTCCTGGACTCAAGTAATCCTCCCACCTCAGCCTCCCAAAGTGCTGGGATCACAAGCATGAGCCACCATGCCTGGCCTGAGCTTCTTGAAAGAGTAGTCCATATAGAGTCTCTGTTTCCTTACCTCCTACTCTTTTTCTTAGTAAGATCTTTTCCTTCCTTCCTTCCTTCCTTCCTTCTTTCTTTTCTCTCTTTCTCTCCTTCTCTCCTTCTTTCTTTTTTTTTTTTGTTTGTTTGTTTGAGATGGAGTCTCACTCTGTCTCCCAGGCTGGAGTGCAGTGGCGTGATCTTGGCTCACTGCAACCTCCACCTGGTGGGTTCAAGCAATTATCCTGCCTCAGCCTTCCTAGTAGCTGGGACTACAGGCGTTTGCCACCATGCCTGGCTAATTTTTTGTATTTTCAGTGGAGACGGGGTTTCACCATGCTGGCCAGGCTGGTCTTGAACTCCTGACCTCATGATCTGCCCCCCTTGGCCTCCCAAAGTGCTGAGTTTACAGGCATGAGCCACTGCACCTGGCCTATTTTTATTTTTAATTGTGACAAATATACATAACATAAAATTTACCATCTTGAACTTTTTTTTTTTTTTTTGAGACGGAGTCTTGCTCTGTTGTGCAGGCTGGAGTGCAGTGGCATGATCTTGGCTCACTGCAACCTCCGCCTCCCAGGTTCAAGTGATTCTCCTGCCACAGCCTCCCAAGTAGCTGGGATTACGGGCACCTGCCATCACACCTGGCTAATTTTTGTATTTTTAGTAGAGACGAGTTTTCACCAGGTTGGTCAGGCTGGCCTTGAACTCCTGACCTCAAGCAGTCCACTCACCTCAGCCTCCCAAAGTGCTGGGATTACAGGCGTGAGGCGCCCACCTTGCCTGGCTCATCTTGAACATTTTAGTATACAGTTTAGTAGCATTAAGTGCATTTACATTGTTGTGCAACCCATCTCCAGAATTCTTTTCATCTTACAAAACTGAAACTCTATACCCATTAAACAACTCCACATTCTCCTCTCCCTCCAGCCTCTGGCAACCACTGTTCTACTTTCTGTCTCGATGAATTTGACTATCCTATGTACCTTATGTAAGTGGAATCATACAATATTTTTGTGACTGTCTTATTTCACTTGGTGTAATGTCCTCGTGGTTCACCTATGTTGTAGCTTGTGTCAGTGTTTCCTTGCCTTTCACCCTGAATAATGTTTCATTGTATGTACAACATATAGCACATATTTGTTTATTCATTTTCCCATTGATGGATACTTGGGTTGCTTCTGCCTTTTGGCTGTTGTGAATAATGTTGCTATGAACTTGAGTGTACAAATACATTCAAGTGTCCCTTTGAGACACTGCTTTCAATTCTTTTGGGTATATACCCAGAAGTGGAATTGCTACATCATATGGCAAGTCTATTTTTAACTTTTTCAGGAACCACTGTCCTGTTTTCAACACTGCACAAGGGTTCCAATTTCTCTGCATCCTTACCAACACTTGTTGTTTTCTGCCTTTTTTTTTTTTTTTTTATAAGTAGCCATCCTGATGGGTGTGAGGTGGTATCCCATGGTTTTGATTTCTGTTTCTCTAATGATTAGTGATGTTGAACGTCTTTTCACATTTGTGAAATGTCATTTGTAAATCTTCTTTGGAGATAAGTCTATTCAAGTCCTTTGCTTATTTTATTTTATTTATTTATTTATTTATTTATTTGAGACAGAGTTTTGCTCTTTTTGCCCAGGCTGGAGTGCAATGGCATGATCTCGGCTCATTGCAACCTCCACCTCTTGGGTTCAAGTGACTCTCCTGCCTCAGCCTCCCGGGTAGCTGGGATTACAGACGTGCACCACCATGCCCAGCTAATTTTTGTATTTTTAGTAGAGATGGGGTTTTGCCATGTTGGCCAGGCTGGTGTCGAACTCCTGGCCTCATGTGATCCACCCACCTCAGTCTCCCAAAGTGCCTGGAATTACAGGCATGAGCCACCACACCCGGCCCATCTTTGGGATTTTGATAGGGATTACATTGAATCTGCAGATTACAGGCATGAGCCACTACACCTAGCCCATTTTTGGGATTTTGATATGGATTACACTGAATCTGCAGATTGCTTTGAGTAGTACTGATATCTTTTTTTTTTTTTTTTTTTTTTTTTTTCTGAGACGGAGTCTCAGGCTGTCTCACTCTGTCACCCAGGCTGGAGTGCAGTGATCTCAGCTTACTGCAACCTCCGCCTCCCGGGTACAAGCAATTCTCTGCTTCAGCCTCCTGAGTAGCTGGGATTACAGGCGCCTGCCACCAAGCCCGGCTAATTTTTGTATTTTTAGTAGAGATACGGTTTCACCATCTTGGCCAGGCTGGTCTTGAACTCCTGACCTCGTGATCCACCCGCCTTGGCCTCCCAAAGTGCTGGGATTACAGGCGTGAGCCACCGCACCTGGCCCTGATATCTTAACAATGTTAATGCTTCCAATCCATGAGCATGGAGTGTCTTTCCATATATTTGTGTCTTCTGCAATTTCTTTTAGTAATGTTTTTGGCTTTCACTGTACAAGTCTTTTGCCTCCTTGGTTAACCTTATTCTTAAGCATATTATTATTTTTGGTGCTATTAGAAATGGAACAGTTTTAATTTCCTTTTCAAATCATTCGTTGTTAGTTATATAAAATTCAGAAATTCTTTTTTTTTTTTTTTTTTGAGACAGAGTCTTGCTCTGGTGCCCAGGCTGGAGTGCGGTGGCGCAATCTCGGCTTACTGCAACCTCCGCCTCCCAGGTTCAAACAATTCTCCTGCCTCAGCCACGCAAGTAGCTGGGATTACACGTGCACACCACCACGCCCAGCTAACTTTTTGTATTTTTAGTAGAGATGAGGTTTCACCATGTTGGCCAGGCTGGTCTGGAACTCCTGAACTCAAGTGATTCACCCACCTCAGCCTCCCAAAGTACTAGGATTACAGGCGTGAGCCACTGCGCCCAGCCAGAATTCAGCAATTCTATAAGTCTATGTTTGTGTATTGATTCAGCAAATCAGATATTGCCTTTCTGTTATAGAGGGTAAAGATTTATTTCTCTTAAACCCCGTGCCCTTATGTTCCAGCTTCCCCTTTCTTCCCACCTTCTGTGTATAAGTTGTGTCATGATTTTTAGTTAAACCAGTATTCAGTATTTATATTATTATGATTTTATAAGTATTATTTCTAGCTAAGCTATATAATATGCTATGATAATAGTTCCTTTGTTCAATTTTTGTTTTCCCTGGAGTTAATAATTACCTTGTTTTCTTAGTTTTATTTTATATAATAGACAGTATTTTTACATACCAGTTACTGTTCTTTTATTTTTTTTGAGATGGAGTTTCGTTCGCTCTTGTTGCCCAGACTGGAGTGCAATGGCGTGATCTCGGCTCACTGCAACCTCTGCCTCCCAGGTTCAAGTGATTCTCCTCCCTCAGCCTCCTGAGCATACCAGTTACTGTTCTAAGCCCTTTATAAAATTTAACTCACATAAACCTTCTAAAAACTGAGAGGCCGGATGCTTCATTACATTCCAGCTTCACTGGCCTTCTATTCCTTCCAAAGTCCCACCTTATAGCTTTTAACCGTGTGCTCCCTCTTTCTGGAATGATCTCTTTCATTCTCCGAATGGCTAGTTTCTTCTCATCCTTGAAGTCTTTCATACTTAAATGTCATCTTTCTGACTAGTCTAATGAAAATAGGCCACAGCCTTCTTTTTGTCTTTTTTTTGGTAGCCCATTTATCACAGTGGGTAATTATTAAATTATTTTATGATTATTTGATTAATGTCTCTCTCCCCACTAAATACTCCTGAAAATTTTATTAGGGCCAGAGCCATGTCTGGTTTAGCTAAGCATTTTGTCCTTGGTACCTAACGTAGTACCTAGTACTCTAAAGTGGGCATTGAATATTTATTGAATGAATAGATGTCAGCTCCTTTTATGTTTCAGGCAGCATGATAAGAGTTTTACATGTATGTATGTATGTATTTATGTATTTATTTGTATTTACATATATGTATATATTTATTTATTTATTGCAAAAGGGGATCTCACTTTCTGTCCCAGGCTGGAGTGGAGTGGTGTGATCATAGCTCACTGCAGCCTCAAACACCTGAGCTCAGGTGATCCTCCTGCCTTAGCCTTCCATGTAGCCGGGACTACAGGTGTACACTAACACACCCAGCTGATTTTTAAAAAACTGTTTTTTATAGAGACAAGGTCTCACTATGTTGCCCAGACTGATCTCGAACTCCTGGCTTCAAGTGATCCTCCCACCTCAGTCTTCAGAGTAGCTGGGATTATAGGCAAGAATAACCACACCTGGCTACCTGCATTTATTTTAATCCCCACAACAGTCCTATTTCATAGGTGTTGTTAACTGTCCCCATTTTATAGGTGAGGTCAAGCAACTTATCCAAAGTCACACAGCTAATACAAGACAATGGTAGAATTAAACCTAAATATTGGCTGGGCTTGGTGGCTCATGCCTGTAATCCCAGCACTTTGGGAGGTCAAGGCAGGAGGATCACTTGAACCCAAGAGTTCAAGACCAGACTAGGTAACATGGCAAGACTAAGTCTCTACAAAAAACTCAAATATTAGCCAGGTGTGGTAGCATGCACCTGTAGTCGCAGCTACTCGGGAGGCTGAGGTGGGAAGATTACTTGAGCCCAGGAATTTGGGGCTACAGCGAACCATGATTGTGCCACTACACTCCAGCCTGGGCAGCAGAGTGAGACCTTGACTCAAAAAAAAAAAAAAACCCCAAAACCGCTAAGTCTCTGCGACTTTTGAGCCAGTGTTTTAACCATTTTCTGTTGGTTAATGGGATTTATAGTCAAGAAAAATACTTTTTAAAAAATTGAGTAAACATTGATTCCTTGCCTATTCAGTTGCTGAATGAACAGTGAAAAATTAAGTTAGTTATATAAAAAGTGAATCTGATTTTCCCTCATTTGTAAAATGAAGACATTAATTAGGAATGAAATTGATTTACTTTAACTCAAATTGAATTACTATTAAATTATTATTTTACAAATAATAGGATTTGCAAACTGGTAGGGCTGTACTCTAACCTTTACCCCACTATTTCAATTACCAAAAATAATATTTGCATAGCTCTTAAAGATTGTTGGGGTTTGAGGGTTTCAATTGGAAGCACTCCTCTTACTTCAATCCAGTTGAGAAATACGAAAAAGTTTGACAGAAATAAAGTAACACTTACTACTAATAAAACTAATATTCAAGAAGATAGCTTATATTTGTGGGCTAGTAGATGTTCTAATACTGAATCCAGAATTAGACAGATTTATCCACCTAAATACAAGCAGTACTTAAAAACCAAACAAAAACCTATGCACTTCTTCGTGTGGGCACTTACCCATGTAAAATTTGACCAGTTCAGAGTAGCAAAGCTGAGTGTATACTCTCTGCAGCTAGCTGGATCTCAAAATAGGAAAGAAGGAGCTGTGTTTTTCTTCTAGTCACTAAGAAGGGAGGGGTGATATGCTAAACGCTTGGCTGTCTACATTGAAAGAAACATCTGGAGTAGGGAATAAGTGTTTTTCCCTAAGATGATAACAATCCAGAGAGAAGCAAGAGTCAAAAAATAAAATAAACATAAAAAATTTTAAAAGATGATACAAGATTCTCTTGATTGGGTTCCATTTTCACTTATTAGATCAATGCTTAAATCTAGTAGATTTATTTTTTTTGAGACAGGGTCTCACTGTCATCCTGGTGGAGTGCAGTAGCATGATCACCACTCACTACAGCCTCAACCTCTGTGGACTCAGGTGATCCTCCCACCTCAGCATCCAGAGTAGCTGGGACTACTTACGGGCACATGCCACCATGCCCAGCTAATTTTTGCATTTTTCTTTCTTTTTTTTTGTAGAGACAGAGTTTCGCCATGTTGCCCAGGCTGATGTCAAACTCCTGGGCTCAAGGGATCTTCCCACCTTGGCCTCCCAAAATTCTGTGATTACAGGCATGAGCCACCGCACCTGGCTCTAGTAGACTTTTTGATGATTCAGGTAAAATGGTAAACTAAATCCCTTTACCTGTTTTTTGGTGTCATTTTAGACTACTGATTTGAGCATATTTAAAGTATGGGTTTTTTTTTTTTAAAAATGGGGCTTATAGTTAACGAAAACCATTGACTGTCCCTGTGTTTCCTTTTTTTTTTTTCTTGTTTTTCTTTTTTTTTTTTTTTATTCAGGGTTTCACTGTGTTGCCTAGGCTGGAGTGCAGTGGCCCGATCTTGGCTCACTGCAGCCTCAACCTCCTCGGCTCAAGTGATCCTCACAGGTCAGCCTCCTGAGTAGCTAGGACTATAGGTGCACACCACTATGTTAGGCTAATTTTAAAATTTTTTTGTAGAGGCAGGGTCTCCCTGTGTTGCCCAGGATGGTCTCAAACTCCTGGGCTCAAGCAGTCCTCCCATCTCTGTCTCCCGAAGTGTTGGGATTATAGCCGTGAGCCACCATACCTGGCCTCTTTATTTATTTTTTAACCATCCCATATTTCATTTCTTTTTATTATTTTTATTTATTTATTTATTTATTTATTGAGATGAAGTCTCACTCTGTCACCCAGGCTGGGGTGCAATGATACAATCTTAGCTCACTGCAACCTCCGCCTCCTGGGTTCAAGCAATTCTCCTGTCTCAGCCTCCAAATTTCTTTTTTGAAAAATTTTATATAGAGACAGTATCTCACTGTGTTTCCCAGGCTGGTCTCAAACTCCTGGCCTCAATGATTCTCCTGCCTTGGTTTCTCTAAGTGTTGGGATTACAGGCATGAGCCACCACACCCAGCCCCATACTTCATTTCAAACTGTCCATGAAGGCCGGGCGCAGTGGCTCACGCCTGTAATCCCAACACTTTGGGAGGCCGAGGCGGGTGGATCACCTGACGTCAGGAGTTCGAGACCAGCCTGGCCAACATGGTGAAACCTCATCGCTACTAAAAATACGAAAAAATTAGCTGGGCGTGGTGGCAGGCGCCTGTAATCCCAGCTACCTGGGAGGCTGAGGAAGGAGAATCACTTGAATCCAGGAGGCAGAGATTGCTGTGAGCTGGGATCATGCCATTACTCTTCAGCCTGGGCAACAGAGCAAGACTCTGTCTCAAAAAAAAAAAAGTACTGAGAGTCACCTTTTTTTTTTTTTTTTGAGATAGTCTTGCTCTGTGGCCCAGGGTAGAGTACAGGCTGGTCTGGAACTCCTGACCTCAAGGATCCACCCGCCTCGGCCTCCCAAAGTGCTGGGATTACAGACATGAGCCACCACACCTGGCCTAGAGTCACCTCTTTTTTTTGGAGGCGGGGGTGGAGTCTTGCCCTGTCCCCCAGGCTGGAGTGCGGTGGTGCAATCTTGATCTCAGCTCACTGCAACCTCCACCTCCCAGGTTCAAGTGATTCTCCTGCCTCAGACTCTCAAATAGCTGGGATTACAGGCGTGCGCCACCACGCCTGGCTAATTTTTGTATTTTTAGTGGAGATGGGGTTTCACTATGTTGGCTAGACTGGTCTCGAATTCCTGACCTTAAGTGATCCGCCCACCTCAGCCTCCCAAAGTGCTGGGATTATAGGTGTGAGCCACCATGCCCGGCCATAGAGTCACCTTTTAAAACCAGCTATAGGCCAGGGGTGGTGGCTCACGCCTCTAATCCCGGCAGTTTGGGAGGCCAAGGCAGGGGGATCACAAGGTCAAGAGTTCGAGACCAGCCTGACCAACATGGTGAAACCCCATCTCTACTAAAAATACAAAAATTAGCCAGGCGTGGTGTCGCATGCCTGTAATCCCAGCTACTCAGGAGGCTGAGGCAGGAGACTCGTTTGAACCCAGGAGGTGGAGCTTGCAATGAGCCGAGATCATACCACTGCACTCCAGCCTGGGCAACAGAGCGGGACTTTGTCTCAAAAAAAAACCCATCTATGCTGGGCAGTTATGTGGCGTGTATTCTCTGCCTCAGGCTCTGTTTTAGAGATGTCTTTCTTGTTTTACATTGTTGTTTTTAGGAAGAGGAGTTGCAGGAAATATTTGTTTCTTTCTCTTACATGATTTGAGCTTCAGTAAAATATATTTATCCTGTGACTGACTTTTCTACCTGGAAATGAAGTAGAGTGATGCCACCTAGGCTGAATTCTATGCCAGTTCATGGTAACGTCTGGTAACCTAACGTCTCAAGATAGTTTTAGTGGTTGGAATGTCTTCTTCTGTCTACCCATCCTCATCACATTTTGTTGTTGTTGAGACAGTCTTGCTCTGTTGCCATGCTGTAGTGCAGTAGTGCAATAATGGCTCAATGCATTCTCAGCCTCTCAAGTTTAGTGATCTTCCCACCTCCTGAGTAGCTGGGACTACAGGCACATGCCACCATGCCCAGCTAATTTTTAATTTTTTTTTTTTTCTTTTTTGTAGAGCTGGGACTTTGCCGTGTTGCCCAAGCTGGTCTTGAACTCCTGGGCTCAAGCAATCCACCTGCCTCACACTACCAAAGTGTTAAGATTCTAGGCATGAGGCACCACACCTGGCCCTCATCACATTTTTTTAAACTATGTATTTAAATTTCAATAGTTTTTGGGGTACAGGTGGTTTTTGGTTACATGGATAAGTTCTTTAGCAGTGATTTCTGAGATTTTAGTGCACCTGTCACCTGAGCAGTTTACACTGTACCCAATATGTAGTCTTTTATCCTTCACACTCCTTCCAGCCTTCCCCTCCCAGTCCCCAAATTCCATTATATTACTCTTGTGCCTTTGCATCCTCATAGCTTAGCTCTCATTTATAAGTGAGAACATATAACATGCGGTTTTCCATTCCTGAGTTACTTCATTTAGAATAATGGCCTACAGCTCCATCCAAGTTGCTGCAAAATACATTATTTTGTTCCTTTTTATGGCTGAGTAGTATTCCATGGTGTATATACACCACATTTGCTTTATCCACTTGTTGGTCGATGAGCACTTAGGTTGGTTCCGTATCTTTGCATTTGCAAATTGTGCTGCTATAAACATGTACCTCATCACATTTTTATAACAGCTCTATTGAGATATAATTCACACATCATACAGTTTAAAGTTCACACATCATACATTTAAAGTATACAATTCAGTGGCTCTTAGTATATGCAGTTTTGCATCCACTACCATAATCAATTTTAGAACATTTTATTATCCCCAAAAGGAAATCCTACCCACTTACCTATCACCACTTAATCCTCCCATTGCTCCTCTCCCATTGCCCTAAGTAGTCACTAATTTACTTTCTATATCTATAGATTGCCCTATTCTGGACATTTTATATAGATGGAATCATGCAACATGTGGTCCTTTGTGATTGGCTTCTGTCTCTTTGCATAATGTTATTGGGCTTACTTCACATTGTACCATGTATCAGTACTTTCTTCCCTTTTATGGCTGAATAAATATTTCATCATATGAATATATCATATTTTATTTATCCAGTTATCAGTTGATAAACATTTGTCTTCTTTCCACTTTGGGCTATTATGAATAGTGCTTCTGTGAAATTTGTGTACAGGTTTTGTGTAAGCATATGTTTTCTTCCCTTTCTTTTCTTTTTTTTTTTTTTTTTGAGACAGGGTCTCACTCTGTTGCCCAGGCTGGAGTGCAGTGGCACAATCTTGGCTCACTGCAATCTCTGCCTCCCGGGTTCAAGTGATTCTTATACCCCACCTTCCGAGTAGTTGGGATTACAGGCATGCACCACCACACCTGGCTAATTTTTGTACTTTTATTTATTTTTATTTTTTTTTGAGACAGAGTCTTGCTCTGTCGCCCAGGCTGGAGTGCAGTGGTGCGATCTCAGCTCACTGTAAGCTCCACCTCCCGGGTTCACGCCATTCTCCTGCCTCAGCCTCCTGAGTAGCTGGGACTACAGGCACCCGCCACCATGGGTTATTATAAATGTATAATGCATTATAAAATAATACATTATAAAAAATAATAATACATTATAATACATTATAAATATAATGTACAATATATTGTACATTATAATGTAAAATATAATGTATAATATATTGTACATTATAATGTAAAATATAATGTATAATATAATATGTATAATAAAATAATATAAAATAAATGTATATTATATTTTATATACAAAAAATATAATTTTTTTGTATTTTTAGTAGAGACAGGGTTTCACTGTGTTAACCAGGATAGTCTAGATCTCCTGACCTTGTGATCCCCCTGCCTCAGCCTCCCAAAGTACTGGGATTACAGGCATGAGCCACCGTGCCCAGCCTAGTTTTTGTATTTTTAGTAGAGACAGAACTTCACCATGTTGGCCAGGCTGGTCTTAAACTCCTGGCCTCAAATGATCCGACTGCCTCAGCCTCCCAAAGTGCTGGGATTACAGGCTTGAGCCACCACACCTGGCCCTGTGTGGGCATGTTTTCAATTCTCTTAGGTGTATACCTAGCAGTGGAGTTGCTAGGTCACATGGTAACTTTATGCTTTAAACATTTGAGGAACTGCCCAACTATCCTCCAAAGCAGCTGCATCGTTTTGCAATGCCATAAATGGTATACGAGGTTTCCAGTTTCCAATTTCTTTACACCCTTACCAGAACTTATCTGTCTTTTTTATTATAGCCATTCTAGTAGGTATAAAGTGATAGCTTGTTGTGATTTTGATTTGCATTTCCTTGATGGCTTTCCATTAAAAGTTTATTATTCTGGGCCGGGTGCGGTGGCTCACACCTGTAATCCTAGCACTTTGGGAGGCCAAGGCGGGTGGCATCATTTGAGGTCAGGAGTTCAAAACCAGCCTGGCCAACATGGTGAAACCCCATCTCTGCTAAAAAATATTTTTAAAATTAGCCAGGCATGGTGGCGGGTGCCTGTAATCCCACCTACTCAGGAAGCTGAGGCAGTAGAATCGCTTGAACCTGGGAGGCAGAGGTTGCAGTGAGCTGAGATCGCACCACTGCACTCCAGCCTGGGCAATGAGAGCGAAACTCCATCTGAAAAAACAAAAATGAAAAAAGTTTATTGTTCTGGCTGGGTATGGTGGCTCATGCCTGTAATCCCAGCACTTTGGGAGGCCAAAGTAGGAGGATTGCTTGAGTCCAGGAGTTTGAGACAAGACTGGGCACATAATGAGTCTCTGTCTCTATTTAAAAAAATAATTAATTATTGCTCTGCTTATCCTTTCAAGGCCCAAGTGTCTTTTTTGAGAGACTTCACCCTCAGGAATTAATTGTGTCTTCTTTCATATTCTTATACCATTAGCACAAATATTTTGTTCTGCTACTTTTCTTTTCTTTTTTTTTTTTTTTGAGACAGTTTCGCTCTTGTTGCCCAGGCTGGAGTGCAATGGCATGACCTCAGCTCACTGCAACCTCTGCCTCCCAGGTTCAAGCGATTCTCCTGCCTCAGCCTCCCAAGTAGCTGGGATTACAGGTGCCCACTACCACGCCTGGCTAATTTTTTTTGTATTTTTAGTAAAGACGGGGTTTCACCATGTTGGCCAGGCTGGTCTTGAACTCCTGACCTCAGGTGATCCACCCACCTTGGCCTCCCAAAGTGCTGGGATTACAGGTGTGAGCCACCGTGCCCAGCCCATTCTGCTACTTTTCTAGATTGTAAGCTCTAGTTTGTGAACTTGTTAGTGACTCCTTGTGGATGTGCATTTAAATTTATTATGTACCTCCCTGTGGAGCATGTTAATAAATAAATATATTATGAAATACGTCACTCATACACCATTCATCTATGAGTCCCCAGAGCATCAAGCAGTGTTTGTACATAGTTGGTATTCAAATATTTGCTTGGCTGGATGTGGTGGCTCACACCTGTAATCCCAGAACTTTGGGAGGCTGCCAAGGTGGGCAGATCACATGAGGTCAGGAGTTCGAGACCAGCCTGGCCAACATGGTGAAACCCCATCTCTACTAAAAATACAAAAATTAGCCGGGCATGGTGGCGCATGCGTGTAATCCCAGCTACTTGGGAGGCTGAGGCAGGAGAATTGCTTGAACCTGGGAGGCAGAGGTTGCAGTGAGCTGAGATTGTGCCACTGCACTCCAGCCTGGGCAACAGAGTAAAACTCTGTCTCAAAGAACAAACAAACAAACAAATATTTGCTGAATGACTGAAATAGTGCAAAGGATCTCATGGGTAATTATTATGGGGTCTGTTACTTCTCAGAGAAAGTGGACTTTCTCTTATTAGGTGATACAATGACTTGGAACCCAGGAAATAATGTATTTTAGGCAAACGTTCAGTTATGTTATATGTCCTGGAGACCACTGGCTCCAGGAATATGTATTGTGGATCATCCACATTCCCGTTGCATTAGGAATTTTGATGTTAGGCTGCTGGATTGTGTATCTGTGAGACTTTTTAGGGATTTATTAACATGATACACAATTAGCAAACCATGTGTTTATTTCACTCATTTTAACAAATATCCATGCCTATTATGTGCCAGGAACTTAGCTAGGTATCAGATGTGGGATTGAGTTTT
Organism: Homo sapiens; assembly: GCF_000001405.40. Lineage (NCBI taxonomy): Eukaryota > Metazoa > Chordata > Mammalia > Primates > Hominidae > Homo > Homo sapiens. Next base: position 56,548,858 of record NC_000012.12, read on the forward strand.
CTACTGCTCTGGCAGTTCATAGTTAAGGGCCCAGGGTGAGGATGACTTTGATGGCAAATGAATGGATACAGGATTCATAAATTTTATGAACCTAAACTAAATGAGCACTTGATCGGAGAGCTTAATTTTCAGAAATGCAACTTCTTTATTTGTTTTGATTTGTTTTCTTGAGTCAAAGTCTCACTCTGTCACCCAGGCTGGAATGATCTCGGCTCATTGCAACCTCCGACGCCCAGGTTCAAGTGATTCTTGTGCCTCAGCCTCCCGAGTAGCTGGGATCACAGATGTGCACCACCACGTCTAATTTTTTTATTTTTAGTAGAGACGGGGTTTCACCATGTTGACCAGGCTGGTCTTGTACTCCTGACCTCAAGCGATCCACCTGCCTCTGCCTCCCAAAGCGCTCAGATTACAGGCTTGAGCCACTGGGCCGGGCCAGAAATACAGCTTCTTTAAAGACAATGTTTTACTTATACTAGATTATAATTACAAGTAGCTCGTCTGATTGGATCATTCTCTTAAAAGATCTGATGAAAACCTAGTGATTGGGAAGTAGGCATTGTGCCACCCTCCTTCTATCATTATAATCTCTTGAAAGAGAGCAAATGGAAGGACACTCTCTTTTCTCCTAGTTTCATGCGACTCAGTAAGACAGGAAACATGAAGTTTCTGCTACAGGTACAGGGGAATTCGATTTTTCTTTTTCTGGGTGAAAGATGAAGGAGTTATATATTTTTATGTCCACGTCCCCACCAGCCTTTCCCTCAGATTAATGAATGTTCTGGGGAAGGGAAGGATAGGACTGTATTATCACTCATACTAGTTTGAAATGGTTCTCAAGGGCCATCAGTCTTATGTCAGGCCCTATGCTAGAAAATGAAGAGCCAGGCAAGGTGCGGGGGCTCATGCCTATAATCCCAGCACTTTGGGAGGCTGAGGCGGGCAGATCCACCTGAGGTCAGGAGTTCGAGACCATCCTGACCAACATGGAGAAACCCCGTCTCTACTAAAAATACAAAATTAACCGGGCGTGGTGGTGGGCACTGTAATCCCAGTTACTCAGAAGGCTGAGGCAGGAGAATCGCTTGAACCCAGGAGGCGGAGGTTACAGTGAGCTGAGATCATGCCATTGCACTCCAGCCTGGGCAACAAGAGCGAAACTCCGTCTCGCAAAAAAAAGAAAATGAAGAGCCAGATGTTTTCCTTAATCCTCCTATACTATGGTGGATTTCATAAACTGCAGCAGATTCTAAATCTTAAATCTCATTTGCTATTTATTGATATGTCCTAAATGTCATTTTCATGTGAGAATCAATGTCAGGGTTATTAGAAGACATGAATTGGCTGAATTGTCAGTTCTCCAGGTTTCTCTTAAGAAAGGGATAGACTAGACCAGGTGCAGTGGCTCATACCTGTAATGCCAGCCCTTTGGGAGGCTGAGGTGGGCAGATTGCTTGAGCTCAGGAGTTTTGAGACCAGCCTGAGCGACATGGTGAAACCCTGTCTCTACAAAAATACAAAAATTAGCCAGGTGTGGTTGCATGTGCCTGTAGTCTCAGTTACTCAGGAGGCTGAGGTGGGAGGATCACTTGAGCCTGGAAGGTTGAGGCTACAGTGAACTGTGATCATGTCATTACATTCCACCCTGCCTGGGTGACAGAGTGAGACCCTTTCTCAAAAAAACAAAACAAAACAAAAAAAGGCCAGGCATGGTGGCTTTACGCCTGTAATTCCAGCACTTTGAGAGGCCGAGGTGGGTGGATCACATGAGATTGGGAGTTTGACAGCAGCCTGGCCAACATGATGAAACCCCGTCTCTACTAAAAATACAAAAATTAGCTGGGTGTGGTGGCACACATCTGTAATCCCAGCTACTTAGGAGGCTGAGGTAGGAGAATCGCTTGAACCCAGGAGGCAGAATTTGCAGTGAGCCGAGATTGCGCCATCGCACCCTAGCCTGGGTGACAGAGCAAGACTCTGTATCAAAAAAATAAATAAATAAATAAATAATAAAAGGAAGGGAGGAAGGGAAGGGATAGGCTGAGGCAGGAGGATTGCTTGAGGCCAGGAGTTCAAGACCAGCCTAAACAACATAGCAAAAAATTTAGAAATCAGCCAGGTATGGTGGCATGCATCTGTATTCCTAGCTACTTGGGGGACTGAAGCAGGAGGATCACTTGAGCCCAGGAGTTTGAGGCTGCAGTGAGCTATGATCGCGCACCACTGCACTCCAGCCTGGGTGACAGAGCAAGACCCTGTTTCAAAAAAAAAAAAAGAAAAAAAAAAGGGATAGATCTCTGCTCTAACATCCATCAATTTGCTTCACTCCTTTGAATGGCATGCGGTTTTATTTGGCTCCTAGAAAACGAAACCTTGCAGGTTTTTACTCATAACCTTGGTTTATGCTCATGAGGTGGAATGGCGGAAGTCATTTGAATTAGTGGTATTTAGAAGAGGACTCATAATTGTACTGTGCCCCTCATGATTTCAAGATTTAAGCAGAGCCATCACATGTGGCCTAAAATCTTAGATGTCTGGGATGATATTAGATTTGCTTTTAGAAGTAAGGGATGGTAGCATATCATCATGTAGCAAAGAAATATGTAAAGAAATCCAATAAAAGAGTATTCTAGGTATGAGTCTTCTTATGAAGTAGACTGGAAGTGAATGAGCAACATTAATGGGTTTATATAGAGAGAAATGACATGATCACATATACTTGAGAAGGCTAATGCTAGCTGCATTATTGAGGGTGGTTTGGAGGTGTAGGAGAACAGAGGCAGTCAGACAAGTTAAGAGATATTAGAAATAAGGGAGTTCAGGAAAAGGTACAGAAATTAATTTTAGACTTGCAGAATTTGAGATTACCTGCTTGATGTATATATGTTGAATGCTTTCAGAATAAACATGGGTTAATTCATTCACTTAGTAAACATTTGAGTACTTGAGGCCAGGCATGGTGGCTTACACCTGTAATCCCAGCATTTTGGGAAGCCGAGGTGGGCAGATCACCTGAGGTCGGGAGTTCAAGACCAGCCTGGCCAACATGGCAAAACCCAGTCTCTACTAAAAATACAAAACTTAGCCGGGCATGGTGGCATGCGCCTGTAGTCCCAGGTACGTGGGAGGCTGAGGCAGGAGAACCGCTTGAACCCAGGAGGTAGAGGTTGCAGTGAGCCGAGATCGTGCCACTGCACTCAGCCTGGGTGACAGAGGAAGGCATGAAAAGCCTGGTAGTGTGATGACGAGTCTTGAAGTATGATTTATTAACTAAAAGCTAATGTATTGCCTTAGAAACGTAGGCATGTAAAGGAAGTAATGTTTTTAAAAAGTTCTAGTATTTCACTGATTTTTTTGTGTGAAATGCAGGAATTTCAGTTTTATTCCCTGGAGGTGGGAAGTAGTCTCAAGGCTGGGGCTTTTTTGACTTTGGATCTGCCAGTGAAACCTAGACAGTACCCACTTGGTTACCAAGACAGAAAAGGAAACTTTGATTGATTATTCAAATTCAAAGCAGGATGCTAGGGAACAGCAGATTTAAGGTTAGTTGGATGACTGGAATTTAGCATATAAAGATGTGTGAAGACACCCGTGTGGAAAGGACATTTCTATTCCCAGAAGCATCACTCCCTTCTCAGAGTGAGCAGCCACACGTAAAAGCAGAAGGAAAGCAAGAGAGGTAGGATAACTGAGATGGTAGATATAAAATCCTTAGCACAGGCCAGGTGCAGTGGCTGACACTTGTAATCCCAACACTTTGGGAGGCGAAGTCAGGAGGATCCCTCAAGCCCAGGAGTACGAAACCAGCCTGGGCAACATAGCGTGTCTCTACAAAATTAAAAAATGTAGTGGCAAGTGCCTGTAGTCCCAGCTACTCGGGAGGCTGAGGTGGGAGGCTTGCTTGAGCCTGGGAGGTCAAGGCTGCAGTGAGTCATGATCATGCCACTGCACTCCAGCCTGGGTGACAGTGCAAGACCCTGTCTCAAAAAATAAATAAAATACTTAGCACCATATACAACAAGTGCCAAATATCAGTAATAGTTATTCTTTTAAAATTAAGAGTCCTTTTTTTTTTTTTTTTTTTTTTTTGAGACAGAGTCTCGCTTTATCCCCCAGGCTGGAGTGCAGTGGTGCACTCTCGGCTCACTGCAACCTCATCCTCCCAGGTTCAAGCAGTTCTCCTGTGTCAGCCTCCTGAGTAGCTGGGATTACAGGCGCCCAGCTAATTTTTGTATTTTTAGCAGAGACGGGGTTTCACTATGTTGGCCAAGCTAGTTTCCAACTCCTGACCTTATGTGATCTGCCTGCCTCGGCCTCCCAAAGTGCTGGGATTACAGGCGTGAGCCACTGCACCCTGCCAGGAGTCTTTTTTGAGACAGAGTATCACTCTATTAAGCCATCCTCCCACCTCAGTCTCTTGAGTAGCTGGGACTGCAGCCATGCACCATCATGCCTGGCTAATTTTTGTATTTCTTTTTTTGTGTGTGTATGTGATAAAGATTATTCTGTCGCCCAGGCTGGAGGGCAGTGGTGTGATCTCTACTCACTACAACCTCCGCCTCCCAGGTTTAAGCAATTCTCCTGCCTTAGCCTCCCCAGTACTAAGATTATAGGCGCACACCACCAAGTCCGGCTAATTTTTGTACTTTTAGTAGAGATGGGGTTTCACCATGTTAGCTAGGCTGGTCTCAAACTCTTGACCTCAGGTGATCTGCCCACGATGGCCTCCTAAAGTGCTAGGATTACAAGCATGAGCCACTGCACCCAGCCTAATTTTTGTATTTCTTTTAGTAGAGGCGAGGTTTTACCATGTTGCCCAGGCTGGTCTCAAACTCCTGGGCTCAAGTGATCCACCCGCCTTGGTCTCCCAAAGTGCTGAGATTACAAGTTTGAGCCACTGCATCTGACGAAGAGTCTGTAAAAATTGAGTCTTTTTTAAAAAAAGAATTCTTGTAATTTAATTTCTTTGTTTTTTTTTTTTTTTTGAGATGGAATCTAACTCTATCACCCAGGCTGGAGTGCAGTGACACGATCTCGGCTCACTGCAGCCTCCGCCTCCTGGCTTCAAGCGATTCTCCTGCCCCAGCCTCCCGAGTAGCTGGGACTATAGGCGCATGCCACTATGCTCGACTAATTTTTGTATTTTTAGTAGAGACAGGGTTTCAGCATGTTGGCCAGGCTGGTCTTGAACTCCTGTCCTCAAGTGATTCACCCACCTTGACCTCCCAAAATGCTGGGATTATAGGCGTGAGCCACCACACCCGGCCGAATTCTTCTAAAATTAGAACGAAGGACAAAATTCTCCTTCCTTTGCAGATATAGATAATTCACCCATATTGAGCTGTCATCTGTCTGCAGAGGCTTGATGTTTCCCCTATCAGCTGTCAAGGATCCAGGAGAACTTGAGATGCCTTTGTGGAAAGCATATTTAAAGATTTAGAGCTTTCTCTTCACAATAGAAAAGACATGGAATCAACCCAAATGCCCATCAATGATAGGCTGGATAAAGAAAATCTGGTAAATATATACCATGGAATACTATGTGGCCATAAAAAGGAACAAGATTATGTCCTTTGCATGGACATGGATGGAGCTGGAAGCCATTATCCCCAGCTAACTAATACAGAAACAGAAAACCAAACACTGCATGTTCTTGCTTATAAATGGGAGCTGAACAATGAGAACACATAGACATAGAGAGGGGAACAACACACACTGGGGCCTGTTGTATGGACAGGCAGGGTAAGAGCATCAAGATAAATAGCTAATGCATGTGAGGCTTAGTACCTAGGTGATGGGTTGATAGGTGCAGCAAACCACCATGGCACCTGTTTCCCTATATAGCAAACTCGCACATGTATCCTGAAACTTAAAATAAAATGTTTTAAATAAATAAATAAAATAAAATAGTAATATTAACAGTGGTAGTGGCGGTACTAAACAGCTTAGTTTTTTCATGTAGTAGTATATTTTTAGTATCCTTCCAGGAAAAGATACATGGATGTGCCATATTATTTTTAATGGCTTACATGGTACTCCTTTTATGTATGCACTATAATTTATGTAACCAGTTTTCTCATTGATGAGTATATGCTTTTTCAGTATTTTACTATTATAACGAATGATGCAATGAATATCCTTGTACATATATATTTGTGCACATATATAAGCATCCCTACAAGTGGAATTTCTGAATAAAAGGATATATACACTTTAAAAAAAAAAGATTTAGGGCTTTGAGGCAGGCAGCCAAGTACCTGGATACCTACTTAGTGAGCTGGCCCTCAACATCTTGAGGACTACCTCTCTCTGACTCAGAAAGTTACTTTTGTTTAAATTATATAGCAATTCCTTCTGTTTTGTTTTTTTTTAATTGTCTAGGACTGAGACTGAGATCTTTCAGACATAATATTAAGAAGACCTTGGTACAAAATTAGCCAGGCATGGTGGCACATGCCTGTAATCCCATCTACTCGGGAGGCTGAGGCAGGAGAATCACTTGAACCCAGGAGGCGGAGGTTGCGGTGATACAAGATCGCGCCATTGTACTCCAGCCTGGGCAACAAGAGCAAAACTTGGTCTCAAAAAAAAAAAAAAAAGGAAGAAGAAGACCTTGGCCAGGTATGGTGGCTCATACCTGTAATCCAAGCCCTTTGGGAGGCTGAAGTGGGAGGATTGTTTGAGGCTAGGAGTTCAAGATCAGCCTGGGCAACATAGCAAGACTCCGCCTCTATGCATTTTATTTTATTTTGAGACCAGGTCTCACTCTGTCACCCAGGCTGGAATGCAGTGACACGATCTCAGCTCATGCAGCCTCCACCTCCTGGGCTCCAGTGATCCTCCCACCTCAGTCTCCTGAGTAGGTGGGATTACAGGTGCCTACCACCATGCCCAGCTAATTTTTGTATTTTCAGTAGAGATGGGGGTCTCACCATGTTGCCCAGGCTGGTCTCAAACTCCTGGCCTCAAACAGTCCCCTCACTCAGCCTCCCAAAATGCTGGGATTACAGGCATAAGCCACCACAAATGTTTTTTAAAATTAGCCATGTGTGGTGGTGTGTGCCTTTAGTCCTAGCTACTTGGGAGGCTGAGGCAGGAAGATCACTTGAGCCCAGGAGTTTGAGATTACAGTGAGCATAATCATGCCACAGCACTCCAGCCTGGAAGACAGAGCTAGACTCTGTGTCTTAAAAAAAAAAAAAAGGAGAGAGGGAGTGAGAAATAACCTCAATTCCCTATAAATTGGTGGTGTAGTATTTAAATAATACTACACAGTGGCTCACTCAGGCCTGTAATCCCAGCATTTTGGGAGGCCAAGGCTGGAGGATTGCTTAAGCCCAGAAGTTCAAGACCAGCCTGGGCAACATAGCGAGACCTGAAAAATAATAAATAAAGGATAGAGAATTATGCTGTAAGATACCCTATAAAAATCTCTGGGGATCATATGATCTAAAGTATTTAATGTAAAAGTATGTCACTGTAATCTCCTCTTATACTAAACATGACTTTGTCTTTTAGCTTTTTTTTTTTTTTTTGATGACAGAGTCTCACTCTGTCACCCAGGCTGGAGTGCAGTGGCGCGATCTGGGCTCACTGCAACCTCTGCCTCCCGAGTTCAAGCGATTCTCCTGCCTCAGCCTCTGGAGTAGCTGGGATTATAAGCACGCACCACCACACCCAGCTAATTTTTGTATTTTTAGTAGAGACAGGGTTTCACAACGTTGGCCAGACTGGTCTTGAATTCTTGACCTCAGGTGATCCACCCGCCTCAGCCTCCCAAAGTGCTGGGATTATGGGTGTGAGCCACCTTGCCTGGCCTGTCTTTTAGCTTTTAAGCAGCTGCTGAGAACTAATACTAACCACATTCTGAACTATATTTAAGGCCAAAATAACATGAAAGAAGTATAGAGGTAAAACTGCTCCCTTGGTAGTTCACTTTATCAGTGATTGAATGGAGCTGAGAAGGCAGCTCATTCATGATGATGATATTAACTGATAATATTAACTGATGATATTATTTATTCATCAATAAAGTCACTATGGATTCAAAGATAGGCAACTCAGACAATTTTCTGCCTTTATGGAGCTTACAGTCAGCAAAAACACTGTGGGACTGGTCCCTCTAATCAGGAGGTAAATTCTTTAGGCTTTTTGCTCTATAGTAAGCCATTGCCTACCCTAGCCTTCATCTCTCTATCAATTTGGAAATAAACGCATTTATGATGCTCTCTTGTTGAAGAATTAGAACTTCCTCAGCTGAGAAACATAAGAAGGGAATCCATGGTAGGGTTCTGGAGAAACCATAGCTTCTTTTTATTCTTCCCTTCTCCGGTAAGAATATGTCAGTTCCCTGGGTGCTCATACGTATTACCCTTTTCTCTCTTACATATTATAGGTAAACATATTATTAGTTTACAGGGTCTTTGTCTCCAAAGTGTTTTAGGAAGCCAGATAAGCTTTACTTAGGGGCTTTCTTAACCATTTCTCCCCCCTTGTATTCTCTTACCCTTAAAAGTGAATATTTTTCCACCATTTTTCTTTGGTGTCAAACCTATGCAGCAATTTCAGAAGGTACGTGAGAATAGCAAGAGATAAAAGTTGTTTTATAGTAAGCAATGGCTTACTATAGAGCAAAAAGCCTAAAGAATTTACCTCCTGATGAGAGGGACCAGTCCCACAGTATTTTTGCTGACTGTAAGCTCAATAAAGGCAGAAAAGTTGTTTTCTTCTGAGCCGTATCTTCTTTTCTAAGAATTTTTTCAGGCCTTGTAGTAAGTTTATTATTGACTAAGTCATATTTTTAAACTATAGCTAAGACCTTAGTATTAAAACCAAGATGGTAAGCATGGCAGCAAACCAATAGCCTCTTTTTTCTTTTCTTTTCTTTTTTTTTTTTTTGAGACGGAGTTTCGCTCTTGTTGCCCAGGCTGGAGTGCAATGGCGCGATGTCAGCTCACCGCAACCTCTGCCTCCCAGGTTCAAGCGATTCTCCTGCCTCAGCCTCCTGAGTAACTGGGATTACAGGCATGCACCACCACGCCCGGCTAATTTCGTATTTTTAGCAGAGACGGGGTTTCTCCATGTTGGTCAGGCTGGTCTCCAACTCCCGATCTCAAGTGGATCCACCCGCCTCAGCCTCCCAAAGTACTGGGATTACAGGCATGAGCCACCTCGCCCGGGCTTTTTTTTTTTTTTTTTTTTTTTTGAGACGGAGTCTTGCTCTGTCGCCCAGGCTGGAGTGCAATGGCGAGAACTCATCTCACTGCAAGCTCTGCCTCCTCCTGGGTTCACACCATTCTCCTGCCCCAGCCTCCCGAGAAGCTGGGACTACAAGCACGCACCACCACGCCCAGCTAATTTCTGTATTTTTAGTAGAGACGGGGTTTTGCCATGTTGGCCAGGATGGTCTCGGTCTCTTGACCTCATGATCCGCCAGCCTCGGCCTCCCAAAGTGCTGGGATTACAGGCGTGAGCCACCAGCTGCCTCTCTTCAATTTATTTATTTCCCCAGTAACCCTTGTATTCTTGTTTGGACAGTCCTGGCATCACTGATACTTTCTTTCAGAAACATTATCTCACATTGAGAATGGGGATAGATGAACGCCAACTGAGGCAGGTGGTCTCTTCATCTGCTTGTGCTTGGCACATAGTATGGTGCTACTAAAGTTGCTTTCTTTTTTTCCCTCCCTCCCTCCCTCCCTTCCTTCCTTCTTTCCTTCCTTTTTCTTTTTCCTTTTTTTTTTTTTTTTGAGACAGAATCTTACTTTGTCACCCAGGCTGGAGTGCAGTGGCACGATCTTGCTTACTGCAACATTTACACCTCTGCCTTCCAGGCTCAAGTGATCCTCCCACCTCAGCCCTGTGAGTATCTGGGACTACAGGTGTGTGCCACCATGCACACCTAATTTTTGCATTTTTTTTTTATAGATGTGGGGTTTCACCAGGTTGCCCAGATTGGTTTTGAACTCCTGGGCTTGAGGGATCCGCCTGCTTCAGCCTCCCAATTTGCTGGGATTACAGGCTTAAGCCACTGTGCTTGGCCTCTTTGTTTTTTTAAGAGTTAGGGTCTCACTATGTTGCTCAGGCTAGTCTCTAACTCCTGGCCTCAAGCCAACCTCCCACCTCAACCCCCTGAGCAGGTGGGATTACAGGCTTGAGCTACCGCGCCAGCTGACAGTTGCTTTTATTATCATTGTTACTGTTGACATCGTGGCTATCATCATCATCACCCTCATCGCTGACAGACCTACAGTCTCATATTCAGAGAAGCAGCTTTGTTTTCTCAGCTAAGGATCAATAATAGCAACTCCTTAGAGATAAAGAAGGACATTTTTTTTTTGGAGACAGAGTCTCGCTCTGTTGCCCAGGCTGGAGTGCAGTGGCACAATCTCGGCTCACTGCAAGCTCTGCTCTGCCTCCTGGGTTCACGCCATTCTCCTGCCTTAGCCTCCCTGAGTAGCTGGGACTACAGGCGCCCGCCACTAAGCCTGGCTGATTTTTTTGTATTTTTGGTAGAAACGGGGTTTCACCGTGTTAGCCAGGATGGTCTCCATCTCCTGACCTCGTGATCTCCCCACCTCGGCCTCCCAAAGTGCTGGGATTACAGACGTGAGCCACCGTGCCCGGCCAAGAAGGACATATCTTATTTAATGATCTCCAGCAGTGAACTCCTTATTCTAAACTCAGGAACTGTGATTAAGAATTTAGGTCACGGCCGGGCGCGGTGGCTCATGCCTGTAATCCTAGCACTTTGGGAGGCCAAGACGGGCGGATCACGAGGTCAGGAGATCGAGACCATTCTGGCTAACACGGTGAAACTCCGTCTCTACTAAAAATACAAAAAATTAGCCAGGCGTGGTGGCGGGCGCCTGTAGTCCCAGCTACTCAGGAGCCTGAGGCAGGAGAATGGTGTGAACCTGGGAGGCAGACGTTGCAGTCAGCCAAGATCGGGCCACTGCACTCCAGCCTGGGCAACAGAGCAAGACTCTGCCTCAAAAAAAAAAAAAAAAAAAAAAAAAGGATTTAGGTCACAATCTTCTTTTTTTTTTTTTTTTTGAGACGGAGTCGCCCTCTGTCACCCAGGCTGGAATGCAGTGGCACGATTTCAGCTTACTGCAACCTCCGCCTCCCAGGTTCAAGCATTTCTCCTGTGTCAGCCTCCCAAGTAGCTGGGATTACAGGCATGTGCCACCACGCCTGACTAATGTTTGTATTTTTAGTAGAGACGGGGTTTCATCATGTTGGCCAGACTGGTCTTGAACTCCTGACCTCAAATGATCCACCCGCCTCGGCCTCCCAAAGTGCTGGGATTACAGGTGTGAGCCACCGTACCCGGCCATAGGTCATAGTCTTCTTGACTGCGTTTTATCTTTATGAAATATATATTTATCACAACCTTCATAATTTTTTTTTTTTTTGAGACGGAGTCTCTTTCTGTTGCCCAGGCTGGAGTGCAGTGGTGCAGTCTCGGCTCACTGCAACCTCTGCCTCCCGGGTTCACACCATTCTTCTGCCTCAGCCTCCTGAGTAGCTGGGACTACAGGTGCATGCCACCACACCTGGCTAATTTTTTGTATTTTAATAGACAGGGTTTCACCTGTTGCCCAGGCTGATCTTGAACTCCTGAGCTCAGGCAATCCACCCACCTCGACCTCCCAAAGTGCTGGGATTACGGGCGTGAGCCACTGCACCCTGCCTCAACTAATTTTTGTATTTTTTGTAGAGATGGGGTCTTGTTATATTGCCCAGGCTGGTCTCAAACTCATGGGTTCAAGCAATTCTCTCACCTCAGCCTCCCAAAGCGCTGGGATTACAGGTGTGAGCCACTGTGCCTGGACCAGTGTATTATTATTATTGCAGAACTAGTAATTAAATGGAAATTTCAAAGTGATTCTTTTTAAAATTTATTTAACTTTTATTTTAAGTTCATGGGTATATGTGCAGGTTTGTTATACAGGTAATCTTGTGTCATGGGGGTTTGTTTTACAAATTATGTTGTCACCCAGTTATTAAGCCTCATGACCTATTAGTTATTTTTCCTGTTCCTCTCCCTCCTCTCACCCTCCACCCTCAGACAGACCCCAGTGTGTATTGTTCCCCTTAATGTAAATATGTGTTCTCATCATTTAGTTCCCACTTTATAAGTGAGAACATGTGGTATTTGGTTTTCTGTTCCTGCATTAGTTTGCTAAGGATAATGGCCTCCAGCTCCAACCATGTTCCTGCAAAGGACAGGATCTCATTCTTCTTTATGGCTCCGTAGTATTCCATGTGTATATGTACAATCTTTTCTTTATTCAGTCTACCATTGATGGGCATTTAGGTTGATTTCATATCTTTGCTATTGTGAATAGTGCTGCAGCGAACATACACATGCTTGTGTCTTTATGATAGAATGATTTCTATTCCTTTGGGTATATACACAGCAATGGGATTGCTGGGCTAAATGATATTTCTGTTTTTAGGTCTTTGAGGAATCACTACATTGTCTTCCACAATGGTTGAAATAATTTACACTCCCACCAACAGTGTATAAGTGTTCCCTTTTTTCCATAACCTCATAACCTCACTAGCATCTGTTATTTTTTTACTTTTTAATACTAGCCATTCTGACTTTTGGGAGATGGTATCCCACTGTGGTTTTGAGTTGCATTTCTTTCTTTTTTTTGAGATGGAGTCTCGCCCTATCACCCAGGCTGGAATGCAGTGGCGTGATCTCGGCTCACTGCAAGCTCCACCTCCCAGATTCACGCCATTCTTCTGCCTCAACCTCCTGAGTAGCTGGGATTATAGGCGAGTGCCACTGCACCTGGCTAATTTTTTTTTTTTTTTTGCATTTTTAGTATAAACGGGGGTTCACCACGTTGGTCAGCTGGTCTTGAACTCCTGACCTCGTGATCCACCCCCCCCCTCCTTGGCCTCCCAAAGTGCTGGGGTTACAAGGGTGAGCCACCGCGCCCGTCCTGCATTTCTTTTCCAAACGTGCTGTCGCCCAGGCTGGAGTGCAGTGGCGCGATCTCAGCTCACTGCAAGCTCTGCCTCCCGGGTTCACGCCATTCTCCTGGCTCAGCCTCCTGAGTAGCTGGGACTACAGGCGCCCACCACCATGCCCAACTAATTTTTTTGTATTTTTAATAGAGACAGGGTTTCACCATGTTAGCCACAATGGTCTCGATCTCCTGACCTCATGATCCGCCTGCCTCGGCCTCCCAAAGTGCTGGGATTACAGGTGTGAGCCACCACGCCCAGCCTACAGACTGTTATCTGGGAAATCCTAATGTAAGTGCTGGCAAAAAGAGGGAAAAAGGAATAGGAAATATAAAGGATGTATTAAAAGCTACAACAGGATTTTAAGTCTTTGGGCTATCTCACAATGTGGTATTAATTTCTTCTTCTCTGCTAAAATATAGAGCTAAGGAACAAACTATGTGTGTCCAAGTGAGTGCACATTTGTGATTATATATAGTTTGGAATCATTTTTTCAAGAGGTCCAGGATCTTCCTCACTCTCCAACATGTAAATGGATAATCCTTCTACCTCTTCCTCATGTCTCCCTGCAGCCATATGTGTCATTGGCTCAGCAGATGGCACCACCTAGCCCAAGCAACAGTACACCTAACAGCAGTAGTGGAAGCAATGGAAATGACCAGCTGAGCAAAACCAACCTATACATCCGAGGATTGCAACCAGGCACTACTGACCAAGATCTTGTCAAGCTGTGTCAGCCGTAAGTTGGAGTACATGTGCGTAGGCTTCCAGGGACAGTATAGATTTGGTTTTGAGACAGGGTCTCGTTATGTTGTCCAGGCTAGTCTTGAACTCCTGGGCTCAAGTGATCCTCCTGTCTCAGTAGCTGGGATTACAGATGCATGCCACCACTCCTGGCCTTGCCAGCTCACTTATCCTAAAAGGCAATGGCATTTTGTTTCTACTCCATAGACACAAACTTTCTCAGCAGCCTCTTAAAAAATTCTACCTGCTACTGGCCGGGTGCGGTGGCTCATGCCTATAATCCCAGCACTTTGGGAGGCCTAGGCGGGCGGATCACGAGGTCAGGAGATCGAGACCATCCTGGCTAACATGGTGAAACCCCGTCTCTACTAAAAATACAAAAGAATTAGCCGGGCATGGTGGCGGGTGCCTGTAGTCCCAGCTACTTAGAAGGCTGAGGCAGGAGAATGGTGTGAACCCTGGAGGCTGAGCTTGCAGTGAGCCGAGATCATGCCACTGCACTCCAGCCTGGGCAATAGAGTGAGATTCCATCTCAAAAAAATAAAAATAAATAAAAATCTACCTGCTACTGATATATATTATAAAGCCTTTATGTGTTTCTCTAAGGAAAGCCAGTGTGGGACTGGCCTTTAAAGCCTAATATCCAACTTTATTTCCAGCACCTCCCCCAACCTGATGGTCTTAGTGGAAAGACTGCTGTCCTTACACCTTGAATAGAGAAGTTTAATATCTCTATAGATGTTAATTAGAAGGCATGAGAGAGCTGGCAGTGGGGATGGAAGAAAGTGGGACTCGCCAATCAAATCATGCACTTTGGAGACTTTCTGCTGCTGGAGATATTCCTTGGGAATGGAGACCTCAAATTAGCAGATAAAGAAGGTGGAGATAGGAACAATTATTCTGTATCTACCCCATGAAGACCCTTCGGAGTTCTTTTTAGTAGATTTGATTCATGGAATTGCCCAATTAGGAATGTTGGAAAAATGGCAAGAGTGCACAGATGTCCAGCTCAAAAAATAATAAGCAATAAAAAATAAAGTCTGGTGTATATAAAAAACTGGTCCTTGGGCCGGGCGTGGTGGCTCACACCTGTAATCCTAGCACCTTGGGAGACCAAGGCAGAAGGATTGCTTGAGCTCAGGAGTTCAAAACCAGGCTGGGCAACATAGTGAGACCTTGTCTCTATAAAAAATATAGTAAAAATATATATTAAAAAAAATTTTAAAACTGGTCCGTTATCTCAGCTTACCTTGCTAGAAAGGTATGTAAGTGGAATTAAGGGGACTGTCTTGGACTAGTAATTTTTGAGAGGTGGGAATTAGCAGAAATGTTGGTTTTTGAGGGAGCGAAAGAGTATCATACTAATATAGGTCCTTGATTTCTAAATTTTGTTTCTTGTACTAAATATAATGTGCTACAAAAATTCTCTCACATCACAAGACAGAGAAGAATCTTTTTTTTTTAAGACTGAGTCTCAGCCTCCCAAGTAGCTGAGATTATAGGCGCACGCCACCACATCGGGCTAATTTTTGTTTTTTTTTTTGCTAGAGATGGGGTTTTACTGTGTTGTCCAGGCTGGTCTCGAACTCCTGACCAGGTGATCTGCCCACTTCGGCCGCCCAAAGTGCTGGGATTACAGGTGTGAGCCACCGTGCCTCGCTCAGAGAAGAATCTTGATTAGACTACCATATATTCGTTCCTCAGTATCTGGGGGGGATTTGTTCCAGGACCTCCTCTGTCCCCCTGCATGGATACCAAAATTCACTGAGCTCATGTCCCTACGCTTTTTTTTCTTTTTAAGACAGGATCTTGTTCTGTCACCAAGGCTGGAGTGCAGTGGTGTAATCACAACTAACTGTAGCCTCCAGGGCTCAAGCAATCCTCCCACCTCAGCCTCCTGAGTAGCTAGGACTACAGGTACACACCACCATGCTTGGCTAATTTTTTGTAAATTTTGTAGAGATGAGATTTCATCATGTTGCCCAGGCTGGTCTCAAACTTATGCGCTCAATCATTCCTCCTGCCTCGGCCTCCCCAAAAGCTGGGATTACAGGCATGAGCTACTGAGCCTGGCTTCAAGTCCCTTAGATAAAATGGTATAGTGGCCAGGCATGATGGCTCATGCCTGTAATTCCAGCACTTTGGGAGGCCAAGATGGGTGGATCACCTGAGGTCAGGAGTTGGAGACCAGCCTGGCCAACATGGTTAAACCCCGTCTGTACTAAAACTACAAAAATTAGCTGGGTGTGGTGGTGGGCACCTGTAGTCCCAGCTACTCAGGAGGCTGAGGCAGAAGAATCTCTTGAACCCAGAAAGCAGACGTTGCAGTGAGCCGAGATCACGCCACCAGAAAGCAGAGGTTGTAGTGAGCCGAGATCACGCCACTGCACCACAGCCTGGGTGACAGAGCAAGACTTCGTCTCAAAATAATAAAAATAAAATAAAATAAAATGGTGTAGTATTTGCATATAACCTATGCACATGCTCCTATATACTTTAAAATTATCTCCAGATTACTTATGATACCTCAATACAATACAAATGCCATGTAAATAAATGTTATACTGTATTGTTTAGGGAATAATGACAAGAAAAAAGTCTGTATATGTTCAGTACAGATGCAACCATCCTTTCTTTTAAAAAACATTTTAACTTTTATTTTAGGTTAAGGGGTACATGTGCAGGTTTGTTACATAGGTAAACTCGGGACTTGGGTATTTGGTGTATAGATTATTTTGTCACCTGGGTACTAAGCATAGTACCCAACAGTTATTTTTTTAGTTTTTTTTCCCTGAACCTCTCTTAGAAGAAAGACTTTTTTTTTTTTCCTATATATTTTCAATCCATGGCTGGTTCAATCCACAAGTGGGAAACCCACAGATACAGAGGGATTTTTATTTTGCCTTTCTGAACAATTGCCTTATCTTTTGCTGTGTCTGAAGCATAAGTATAGTCAAGGGCAGCATGTAGGATCGAAGTAAGGAGCCCAAAAGGGGACTGTGGAGAGGCAGGAGTGAGGCAGGAATGAAAGAGGTGCCAGAGGAGTCCTGACTAGGAGGCTGAGCAGAGCAGGTGGGTGGAGCCCTCTGTCCGCTGTGAGCAGGGAGTTAAGCCTTTCTAGGAAGGATGTTTCTCATGCGTAGACGGACTTCCTGCCTTTGTCCCAGTTGTCTCTCCCTGGGTTGTAGAGGAAGTAAATATTGCTGGATCCTAAAGTCTGGCATGTGGGAAGGAGAGGCGTGGAGTCTAGGACTGGAACTCCTGTTTCTCGGAGGGGCTCCTTCAAGGAAGCAGCAGCAGTGACCCAGCTGTTGCCAGCTGCAGTGGAAATTCTGAGCTCAAAGTCTCAGCTGCTAGACCACAGCAAGCTCCACCCTGGGGCCTTCATAAGGATAGCAGCACTTGTGTCCTCTGCCCCACAGTCAGACTTCTCATGAGTCCCTCCCCTGCCTCAATTTGGGAATGAATCCAAGTGTGTAGCCTGGAAGGGCTAGGATAGCCACATCCATCCTCACCCTCCTTTTAATGTGTTCTGTTCCCAGCTTTCAGGGCATTGCTTGGCTTATTCTGTCTAATCCTTTGGATCACAGAAGTTCTACTAAAAAAGTCAGTGAGATGCCGCCAAGGAGTGAAAACAAATCAATCATCATATGTTCTTTAGGGATGGAAGGAGAGATGGGAAAATTGCTTGTTTGGGGTATTATTCTCAAATTCATTCCCTGACAACTATTTTCAGTTAGCTCTTGTACTTCTGACTTTGTTAGTGATTTCTGTTCTGTCTCTTTAATATTTTCACCCTCCTGGAGTGGAATGTAGAGGCTTTTTTCTAGTGGAACGCTTCTAATATAATCCCTGATCTGTGATACACTACTACTCAAGTTTTAGAAGTTCCACATGACTCTGCTACCAAAGTATAATTTTCAAAAAGTTGAAAAACACAACTGTTAGGCTGGGCACAGTGCCTCACACCTGTAATCACAGCACTTTGGGAGGCTGAGGCAGGTGGATCACTTGAAGTCAGGAGTTCGAGACCAGCCTGACCAACATGGTGAAACACCATCTCTACTAAAAAATACCAAATTAGCTGGGTGTGGTGGCGCATGCCTGTAATCCCAGCTACTCCAGAGGCTGAGGCAGGAGAATCGCTTGAACCCGGGAGGCGGAGGTTGCAGCGAGCCGAGATCACGCCACTGCACTCCAGCCTGGGCAACAAGAGTGAAACTCTGTTTCAGAAAACAAAAAGAAAACACAACTGTCATGCAAATATAAAATGAATATGTGTCAAAGATTTTTATAACTCATTAATGAGGGAACCAGCAGGATGGCAAAATGAGTTCAAAGAGCATTTGAGGAACTATTTATAGGAAATGAAGAAAGAATGTTGGAATAAGATTGCTACATTAGATAAAAACTGGTTTATGTCCTATAGGATAGTAAAGCCACTAACCTTTGCAATTATTTTATCTACTGCACAGAAATAATTTGCATTTTTACTGGACAAAAATCTATAACTTGGCCAAGTGTGGTGGCTCATGCCTGTAATCCCAGCACTTTGGGAGGCTGAGGCGGGTGGATCACCTGAGGTCAGGAGTTTGAGACCAGCCTGGCCAACATGGTGAAACCTCGTCTCTAGTAAAAATGTAAAACTTAGCTGGGTGTGGTGGCAGGCGCCTGTAATCCCAGCTACTCGGGAGGCTGAGGCAGGAGAATCGCTTGAACCTGGGAGGCGGAGGGTGCAGTGAGCTGAGATCACACCATTGCACTCCAGCCTGGGCAACAACAGCAAAACTCCATCTCAAAAAAAAAAAAAGAAGAGGAAGGAGAAGGAGGAGAAGAGGAAGAGGAAGGAGAGGAAGAAGAAGAAGAAAGAAGAAGAAGGAAGAAGAAGAAGAAGAAAGGATATGCAGCCCTTTGGCCTTATCACCAAAATTTAGATGGTTTTTTGTTTATAAGATGATTTTCTTAGAGCTGGGCATGGTGGCTCTCAGCTGTAATCCTAGCACTTTTGGAGGCCAAGGCAGCAGGACTGCTTGAGGCCAGGAGTTAAAGACCAGCCTGGGTAGCATAGTAAGATCCTGTCTCTACAAATAATTTTTAAAATTAGCCGGACATTGTGGTACACACCTTTGGTCCTCAGGAGGCTGAGGCAGGAGAATTGCTTGAGCCCAGGAGTTCGAGGCTGCAGTGAGCCATGTTCACACCACTGCACTCCAGCCTGGGCAACAGAGCCAGACCCTGATGCACACACACACACACAATTTTTTTTTTAATACTACAGTTCCCACTCCCCTCCCTAACACTCTCAAATCTTGACAATGAGAAATAGAAGTCTTAGAGTAAGGCAAAGAGATATTAAAGTTGAGGTTCCTTGAATATAATAATAGCAATTAAAAATTTTAAGTGCTTACCATGTGGTACACATTAATGATTTCTGTTTATTAATTCACAGTCCTAACAATCCTATCTCCATTTTACAGATGATGAGGCTGAGACACCAAAAGGTTCAATGACTTGTTCAAGATCACGCATAGCTAAAAAGTGGCAGAACCAGGATTTGAACCAAAGCAATTTGGCTCAGGTTGACCTTCAATTAAAGGGGTCAGTGGAGGGGTGATGGAAATAGGATATCAGAGAAGAAAAATGTCTATAGTTTTTTCATAGGATCAGTGGTGTTTTCCAAAAGAAAATAAGTAATGGCAAGGATTCTTTTTAGTCCTCAGGGAATTCCAGCCAGAGCTCTGCCTCTACACACTCTTTCGTGTGGACATTGCCAAGCTTCTTTCCCCAAAAGACAGTCATCTCTTTCCAACTAGTGTGTGAGTCTTAGCTGGGAAAGAAGAGAGAAATGTGTTGGTATTATAGGGACTACAGTTACCTTATTTCTTTTAGGTACCTTTGGGGAGGATGGGTTTATATTAAGTGTGGCATTTTTAACCCATTTCTTTTTTTTCTTTTTTTTTTTTTTTGAGATGTAGTGTCGCTCTGTCATCCAATCTGGAATGCAGTGGTGCCATCTTGGCTCACTGCAACCTCCACCTCACAGGTTCAAGCAATTCTCCTACCTCAGCCTCCCAAGTAGCTGGGACTACTGGCGTGACGCCCAGCTAATTTTTGTATTTTTAGTAGAGATGAGGCTTCATCATGTTGGCCAGGCTGGCCTCAAACTCCTGACCTCAAGTGATCCTCCAGCCTCGGCCTCCCAAAATTCTGGGATTACAGGTGTGAGCTACTGCACCCGGCCCCCGTTTCTTTTTTATTTTTATGAAGGTTTGAGTAGGAAAAGTTAGATCATGGAAAGGGCATGGATTTGTTGAGATGTCTGAATCTCTGTCCTATTCTTAGTCTCTGCCCCCCAGATTATTACTTTGCATTTTCCTCTCCCTTAGATATGGCAAGATTGTTTCCACTAAGGCCATACTGGACAAGACCACAAACAAATGTAAAGGTGAGAGAACAACTGTCCTTGGTGTTGGAGAGCACCAGTAAGTGAGGCCATCCCTTGACACTGCCCTTTACTGCTGAGAGTCCTGAGTCTACAGTGTCAGCGAGAAGTCCCTGAAGTTTTTAGGCTTAAAAGATTAGGAGATATTTAGATTCTTTGGTGACCAGATAGCTAGAGCTGAAAATGCTGTTTAGGGGCCCCAAGGCCAGAAGACTGTACAAAACACCTTTGAGTCTACTGAGCTTATTTTGGACTTTGTATTTCCCTGGATGAGGTGGTAGAAGTGGGTAAGTGAGATTTTCTTCTGCTTAGCAAAGTCATGTAAATGCCTTTTTTGGGGAGTGTTTTGGTGGGTGTTATTTTCTGAGGGTGAGTAGTTTTATTGGGGTTTTGAGCAGTTCTAGATAGAGCTGGAAGAGTGGAAGGAAGAGAAAGGGCTATAAGCTGGGGTGGTGAGGGTCTTCTTCCAGCAGGTGGCTGGTGGTCTGCTCTGGAGAGGCTGCATTCCCTACATGCCTAGCATTTCTGGGGTATATCAAGAAAAGAGGGGAGTGAATTCTTTTAGAGGTGTAGGGGGGCTTTGGGTTATTAGCAGAGCCTAGTTCCTGAAACCTCAAATTTCTTAAGGGGGAGGGAGAAGGGCAGGGACACCAGAGTAGCTCATTGCCTTGGCATTCTTAGCCACAAAGTAGATCACATCTCAGGGTTTGAGGAGCATGTGGATAACTACCTGAAACCTCTCAATAGCTCTTTCTCCCTCCCATTTCTGTTACATGGATCATAACTCTTCCTCTGTCTCCTGAAAAGCCTGGACCTCTCTGTTCCTTACACCTCCCACTTCCTAGTGATGCTGTTTCCTCTGTTCCAGGCTATGGCTTTGTAGATTTTGACAGCCCTTCAGCAGCACAGAAAGCTGTAACAGCACTGAAGGCCAGCGGTGTACAGGCACAGATGGCAAAGGTAAGGGTACTACCCCATGTCTGTTCCTCCAAGGGGTTTGTGGTTAGCACCAAAGTTCCAGTTCTAAGGTTTCCAGAGGGCTTAAGAACCATGAAATTGAGTGGGCAAGGGCTATCCGTGGTGCTTTCTAGACAGTCCATGAGCACCCCTGGCTGCTGGAGGAAGATGTATTCAAAGTCTATGGCAGGTAGCTCTATCAGCTCTCTTCCTTTCACCAAGTTATTGGCAGCAAGAAAGGTAAGGTGGCCTCTTCCGGTACTCCTGCTGCTTCCCCGTGTTCCCTATATTATTCACCCTGGCCCCACTTCCCTACCAGACAGCTTGTGGTGGTTTTGCAACATTCTCTGAACAAGTCAATTGTGCAACTCAGAATTTCAGAACAATGCTCTCCACCTCCTAATGTTGTTCCCCATACGGGCTGGGTAGTGGGCTGGGGAGGCAGGAGGGAAGCCACATCAAGGGAGGAAACTGTCTCTTCTCAGATCTGTCTGAAACTGTTGTCTTCACCTAGACTACTAGAAATCTAGAAGCTTTTCTCTCACTTCTTCTGTTAGGTGGGATTGTCTCCTTGCCTTTCTATTTTATTTTATTTATTTATTTATTTTGAGACAGCGTCTCGCTCTGTCGCCCCGGCTGGAGTGCAGTGGCGCAATCTCGGCTCACTGCAAGCTGCACCTCCCGGCTTCACGCCATTCTCCTGCCTCAGCCTCCCAAGTAGCTGGGACTACAGGCACCCGCCATCACCTCCAGCTAATTTTTTGTATTTTTAGTAGAGACAGGGTTTCACCGTGTTAGCCAGGATGGTCTCGATCTCCTGACGTTGTGATCCGCCCACCTCAGCCTTCCAAAGTGCTGGGATTACAGGCATGAGCCACCACGCCTGGCTGTCCCTTTGCCTTTCTGAAGCTGTTATGAGTATTATACATAGAGCTTGTGAGGCAGGCCTGCTAGACACCTTTTCTGTAATGGTTAAAGAAAAGGAAAACAAAAGGAAAAGGCAGAAGAGGATTAAGGTTGCTGGTGACCACTGTTTAGGGCAGAGTGACTGCTTAAATTCTTAAAAATACAACTATTGGATGATATTGCCATTTTGCACATTCTGTCCCCTGGAAGGGCTCTCCTACCTCTTCTTCCAGGAGTAAAACCCTCTGACAAAAGCTCAAAGGTTTAGGAGCCTTCAGGGTCCTAGGAGACTGTAGCTTTCAGGGCTCCGTGGTGACACAGTGAACTCTGCATCTGGCTCTCTCCCTGTTCCCTTCTCCCCTCCTCCTGCTCTTCCTCCATCAGGGAGTGAACAGGCATTCCTACTTAGAGGATTCTGCGTGGCTGGAAGAGAAGTGGGGAGGGGCTGCTCAAAACAAGCCAGCCAAGGAGCAAGGCAGTCTGAGGGAATCCAGCCTCTGGGACCGGCTGCTGGGGGAGAGCGGGAATGCTGCTCTGCCTGTTTCTAAAAGAGACAGCCAAACACCATTTATGACTTGTATGATGGGCTTGTATAGTACTAGAAATATTAAATCTGCACTTCTCCCTCCTGGAACTCAATATACAACCCGTGGTAGTGGGACTGGGTGTTAACAAATAGAATAATCTTTGTTTATGTGGGACCCTTCCTATAGTCTCTTTTCTGAAATGTCATTTGTGGGGAGGGCTGAGGGTGGGAGAGGGATAAGAGATGTGAGCCTCATTTTCTCACTGTTATTTCCACAGCAACAGGAACAGGACCCCACAAATTTATACATCTCAAACCTCCCACTGTCAATGGATGAGCAGGAACTGGAGGGGATGCTGAAGCCCTTTGGCCAGGTTATCTCCACCCGTATCCTTCGAGATACCAGTGGGACCAGCAGAGGTGTTGGCTTTGCAAGGTGAGGATGGCAGGAGTGGGGAAATGATGAGGTTAATAACAAATGTCACTTGGGGGTCACCAGAAAACAAAATCTATGCCTTTCCCACACAAGGTCAAAATACTTTACTATTATTCAAAAATACTTGATGGTAAGTCAAAAGTTCATTTTAGGCCAGGTGCGGTGGCTTACACCTGTAATCCCAGCACTTTAGGAGGCCAAGGCAGGCATATCACCTGAGGTCAGGAGTTTGAGACCAGCCTGGCAAACATGGTGAAACCCCGTCTCTACTAAAAATACAAAAATTAGCCAGACGTGGTGGCGCATGCCTGTAATCCCAGCTACTCAGGAGGCTGAGGCAGGAGAATTGCTTGAACCTGGGAGGCAGAGGTTGCAGTGAGCTGAGATCGCACCACTGCACTGCAGCCTGGGGAACAGAGTGAGACTCTGTCTCAAAAAAAAAAAAAAAAAAAAGGTTCATTTTATTATAGGTTACAATACTCAAAAACCCATTAGCCCCACCTAAATATTTTTTTTATAAAGATGGGGTCTTGCTGTGTTGCCCAGGCTGCTCTTGAACATCTGGGCTCAAGTGATCCTCCTGCCTCAGCCACCTAAGCAGTTGGGATTACAGGCATGAGCCACCACACTCGGCTAAGCTCCCTACTACTTCCTAGGGAAGTACTCTAGGCTTTGTTCCTTTAATCCAGACCCAACCAGAGTAAAAAATTCTGTATATTCTTATAGTTTACTGAGTATTTCTCATCTTGTCTCATTTAATCTTTACAACATCCCTGTGAGATAAATATTCTCTATCTTACAGATGAGGAAAGTGAACTCTTCAGTAGAAATGATTTGCCCAGGGTCTTACAGGAGTGGGTGTTAGAGCAGAGCCCTGATCCTTCTGGCTTTGAGAGCAGTAGGATGAGGTAGAAGTTTTGATCTTCCTTTTCAGATCTGTTGGGAGACCTGTATTCCAGAACAATTCTGCACCTGTGATATCAGAGCTTGTGAGCCTTGGTTCACTCTCTGAAGTGGAGATTGATTCAGATGAGTAATTTTCCCACAGTATTCCCTATACCTGCAGTTTTCCCAGGTGCCCTTCTTTGGGCTTTGGTATCTGCCCTCACTGTCGTAGGGTATCAGCCTCCCTTAGCCCACTTAAGAAATGGCTCTGCTTTTATTTATTTTAAGATTTTATTTGAAAGGAGATTCTTTTGACTTTTTTTTTTTTTTTTAGTTTCAAAATGACTGGACTAAGTGAGCCAAGCACCCCTTTTTGCTTTATATCTTGTCTGGTCCGTGAACACCCCCTTACTCTGAGTGTTTCAGACCTTGGGAACAAGAAATAGTTTCTCTTGGCTGGGCGTGGTGGCTCACGCCTGTAATCCCAGCACTTTGGGAGGCTGAGGCGGGTGGATCACCTGAGGTCAGGAGTTTGAGACCAGCCTGGCCAACCTGGTGAAACCCCGTCTCTACTAAAAATACAAAAATTAGCTGGGTATGGTGGCGGGCTCCTGTAGTCCCAGCTACTCGGGAGGCTGAGGCAGGAGAATCACTTGAACCCGGGAGGCGGAGGTTGCAGTAAGCCGAGATCGCGCCATTGCATTCCAGCCTGGGCAGCAAAGCGAGACGCCATCTCAAAAAAAAAAAAAAAAAAAAAAAAAAGAAGAAGAAGAAAAGAAATAGTTCCTCTTCCCCAGCTGACTCAAGCTTAGTAGCACCACCTGCTGGCAATCCCGTGTATATCTAAAGGAGAGTTCCTAGGCTTGGGACCATCGAACTTATTTTGCAGGTTGAGCAGAGGTTCTTAACCTTTCTCAGTTTGTGCCACCCTTAGTTATCTAATAGTTTTTCACCCTAGACCAAAAGAAATACCTAACAGTTCAATTTATTAAGTAACTGAATGGTCCACACTTTTTTTTTTTTTTTTTGAGACGGAGTCTCGCTCTGTCGCGTACCACAGGTGCGTACCACCACGCCTGGCTAATTTTTGTATTTTTGTTGTTGTTGTTGTTGTTGTTGAGACGAAGTCTCACTCTGTTGCCCAGGCTGGAGTGCAATGGCACAATCTTGGCTCACTGCAACCTCTGCCTCCCGGGTTCAAGTGATTCTCCTGCCTCAGCCTCCTGAGTAACTGGGATTACAGGCGCCCGCCACCATGCCCAGCTAATTTTTGTATTTTTAGTAAAGATGTGGTTTCACCAGGTTGTCCAGGCTGTTCTCGAACTCCTGACCTCAGGTTATCCAGCCGCCTCAGCCTCCCAAAGTGCTAGGATTACAGGCATGAGCCACTGCGCCCAGCCAGTCCACACAACTTTTTAAAAAAATTTCCTGACAGCAGTAACTTCATGGTCCATACAGCTTAAGAAGTGTTTATGCTTTAACAACTTTGTAGCTGTTTGAAAAAATAATACACAAACATTGAAAGAGAGCATGTCTTTATTTCATTCTAACTATACTTACTAATGGAATATGTGCCTGTTGGAATTGCACAACTTCTCAAAATTTGGTATCAGAATGGACACCTACACACTCATTTCCTGTTACGTATTGGTTTTCTTATGGTATTTGCTTTTGTCATAGCAACTATTTAAACCCAGCTTTGTGAAAATATGATGTTATCTATCAAAAGGATTGTAGGGGGAACTAATGTTGAAGCAGTGTACAATTTTGAGTTAGTAGTGCACACATTCTCCAACAGATATTGCTGTTTTTCTTCAAAGAGTTAAAATAACCCTCGTTGTGACCCTCTGAGTTCACCACAGCCACCCACAGTGCCTGAGAGCACAGTTTAGGAACTGTGGCTTTAGAGACTTTTGAAAAACTATGAAATCTCTTATATGTTTCTATGTTAATGTCTACAAGTTTTCTTCATATATTCAGATTCATGCAAAGTATGATTTCCAGCAAATTATAAATATTGGCATTTAAAATAAAACTGTTACTTCGTTTAAAAATGTATTCAAATGAGATCTAAATATCATAGCAATCTGATACACAAATCATTCATTTAAAAAATACCTGACTTTGGCCGGACTCCGTGACTCACGCCTATAATCCTAGCACTTTGGGAGGCCGAGGCGGGCGGATCATGAGGTCAGGAGATCGAGATCATCCTGGCTAACATGGTGAAACCCCATCTCTACTAAAAATACAAAAAATTAGCCGGGCGTGGTGGCGGGCGCCTGTAGTCCCAGCTTACTCGGAAGGCTGATGCTGGAGAATGGTGTGAACCCGGGAGGCGGAGCTTGCAGTGAGCCCAGATTGCACCAAGGCGCTTCAGCCTGGGCGACATGCACTTCAGCCTGGGCAACAGAGTGAGACTCGTCTCAAAAAAAAACCCGACTTTGGGAGGCTGAGGCGGGCAGATCACTTGAGCTCAGGAGTTCAAGACCAGCCTGGGCAACATGTGAAACCCCATCTCTACAAAAACAAAACAAACAAAAAAAATTAGCTGAGCATGGTGGCACGTGCCTATAGTTCCAGCTACCTGGGAGGCTAAGGTGGGAGGATCACCTGAGCCCAGGAGGTCAAAACTGCAGTCAACCATGATCACACCACTGCACTCTGGCCTGGGCTACAGAGTGAGACCCTGTCTCAATAAATAAATCAATACAGGAATATGGGTAGGGCTGGAGGCAGATGGGGTGGGTCTTGCCCTGGGGATGGAGCTATGGGCCCATAGGACCCCCAGCCACTTCCTAGTCCCCCTTACCCCTACACCCCCCCTCAAAAAAAAAGGGCTATTTTTTTTTAAATTAAATACAGTAGTCTCGGCCAGGCATGGTGGCTCACGCCTGTAATCCCAACACTTTGGGAAGCCAAGGCAGGCAGATCACCTGAGGTCGGGAGTTCGAGACCAGCCTGACCAACGTGGAAAAACCCCGTCTCTACTAAAAATGCAAAATTAGCTGGGCATGGTGGCGCATGCCTGTAATCCCAGCTACTCAGGAGGCTGAGGCAGGAGAATCATTTGAACCTGGGAGGCGGAGGTTACGGTGAGCTGAGATCACGCCATTGCACTCCAGCCTGGGCGACAAGAGCAAAACTCCATCTCAAAGAAAAAAAAAAAAATAGAGTGGTCCCCCCTTATTTATGGTTTTACTTTCTATGGTTTCAGTTACCCACAGTCAACTGAAAATATTAAATGGAAAAGTCCAGAAATAGTTACAAAGTTTTTAAATTGTATGCCATTCTGAGTAGCATGATTAAATTTCAGGCTGGGCTCGGTGGCTCATGTCTGTAATCCCAACACTTTGGGAGGCCGAGGCGAGCAGATCACTTGAGATCAGGAGGTCAAGACCAGCCTGGTCAACATGGTAAAACCCCATCTCCATTAAAAATACAAAGCTAGCCAGGAGTGGTAGTGTGCACCTGTAGTCCCAGGTACTCGGGAGGCTGAGGCAGTAGAATTGCTTGAACCTGAGAGGCAGAGGTTGCAGTGAGCCAAGATCACACCACTGCACTCTAACATGAGTGACACAGTGAGATTCTGTCTCAAAAACATAAATAAATAAAAAATTTCATGTTGTCCGCTCCATCCCACCCTTTGTCCAAAGTATCCACACTGCAAATGCTACCCACCCATTAGTCACTTAGTAGCCATTGTGGCCATCAGATGAAAAAGCGTAGTATATCTAGGGTTTGGTACTATCCATGGTTTCAGGCATCCACTAGGGGACTTGGAATGTATCTCCTGAGGATAAGGGGGGACTACTAGAGTCATAAATCTCATATCATTCTTATATTCCTTTTTTCTTCTTGAACTTGTGTTTCTATTCCATTTCTCTATAGAATTTTGTTTCTATTCCATTTCTCTATAGAATTGTATTCTAGTGTAAAATATTTTTATAAAGTCTTTATGGATCATCTTGTCATACTTCTCTGCAACAAAAATATGTATATAAATTAAAAATTTTGGCCAGGCATGGTGGCTCATGCCTGTATAATACCAGCACTTTGGGAGGCTGAGGTGGGCGGATCACTTGAGGTCAGGAATTTGAGACCAGCCTGGCCAAAATGGTGAAACCCCGTCTCTACTAAAAATATAAAAATTAGCTAGGTGTGTTGGTGGGCACCTGTAATTCCAGCTACTTAGGAGGCTGAGGTGAGAGAATCACTTGAACCTGGGAGATGGAGGTTGCAGTGAGCTGAGATCACACCACTGCACTCCAGCCTGGATGACAGAGTGAGATTCCAAAAAAAAAAAAAAAAAAAAGTTATCTTTACAATGATGAGCTCACAATTGCCCAGACAACATAAATATATTAAAATGTTCATACAAGGCCAGGGGCAGTGGCTCACGCCCGTAAGCCCAGCACTTTGGGAGGCCAAGGTGGGTGGATCACCTGAGGTCAGGAGTTCGAGACCAGCCTGGTCAACTCGGTGAAACCCTGTCTCTACTAAAAGTACAAAAATTAGCTGGGCGAGCGCCTGTAATCCCAGCTACTGTAATCCCAGCTACTCAGGAGTCTGAGGCAGGAGAATCATTTGAACCCAGGAGGCAGAAGTTGCAGTGAGCCGAGATCACACCACTGCACTCCAGCCTGGACAACAAGAGCGAAACTCCATCTCAAAAATAATAATAATAAATAAAATAAAATAAAATGTTCATACAAAATTATTATTATTATTATTATTATTATTATTATTATTGAGACAGGGTCTCACTCGGTTGTGCAGGCTAGAGTGCATTGGTACGATCCTGGCTCACTACAGCCTTGACCTTCTGGGCTCAAGTGATCCTTACACCTCCGCTTCCTGAGTATCTGGAACTACAGGCCCCCACCACCATGCCCAGCTAATTTTTTGGTGGGGGGATGGTGGGGGCAGCAAATTTTTTAATTTTTTAATTTTTTTTTTGGAGATGGAGTTTCACTCTGTCGCCCAGGCTGGAGTGCAGTGCTGCAATCTTGGCTCATGGCAACCTCTGCCTCCCAGGTTCAAGCAATTCTCCTGCCTCAACCTCCCAAGTAGCCGGGACCACTGGCACATGCCGCCACGCCCGGCTAATTTTTTGTATTTTAGTAGAGACTGGGTTTTACCATGTTGCCCAGGCTGGTCTCGAACTCCTGAGCTGAGCTCAGGCAATCCACCTGCCTCGGCCTCCCAGAGTGCTAGGATTACAGGCGTGAGCCACTGGACCCGGCCTAATTTTTTAATTTTTTTGTAGAGTTGGAGTCTCACTGTTTTGCCCAAGCTGGTCTTGAACACCTGGGCTCAAGCAGTCCTCCTGCCTCAGCCTTTCAAAGTGCTGGGATTGAGGCATGAGCTACTGTTCCTGGCCCAAATTTTTTTTTTTATTTTTTTGAGATGGCGTCTCGCTCTGTTGCCCAGGCTGGATTACAGTGGTGTGATCTCAGCTCACTGTAAACTCCGCCTCCCGGGTTCAGGCGATTCTTGTGCCTCAGCCTCCCAAGTAGCTGGGATTACAGGTGCATGCCACCATGCCCAGCTAATTTTTGTATTTTTAGTAGAGACAGGGTTTCACCCAGTTGGCCAGGCTGGTCTCGAACTCCTGGCCTCAAGTGATCCACCCAACTCGGTTTCCCAAAGTGCTGGGATTACAGAGGTGAGCCACCACACCTGGCCAAATTATTTTATAGAAGTAAATTTTATTGCATATACAGAAGCATCTATGACATGGATAGGTTTTGTTTTGTTTAGATTTTTCTAATTAGGACAGGTAAGCATAAATTAATATTGTTTATTACTGTAACAAGGGAGAGTTTAATGCCAGTTCTGTTTCTGCTTTTTGTTTTCATGCTGAGAAACCTTGTTCTCATAAATAAGTAGATGGGAGTGGAAAGGATTTTGTTAAAACAGGAATTTTAAAAATTTCTTCTGGCCAGGTGTGGTGGCTTGTGCCTGTAATCCCAGCACTTTGGGAGGCCGAAGCAGGCAGATCACTTGAGGCCAGAAGTTTGAGACCAGCCTGGACAACATGGTGAAACCCCATCTCTACTGAAAATACAGCAATTAGCCAGGCGTGGTGGCTCATGCCTGTAATCCCAGCTACTTGGGAGCTGAGGTAGGAGAATCGTTTGAACCTGGGAGGAGGAGGTTGCAGTGAGCCGAGATTGCACCACTGTACTCCAGCCTGGGCAACAGAGCGAGACTCCATCTAAAAAAACAAACAAAAAAATCCTTCTGAATTATATGCCAAGAACCAAGGTGTTCTGTCATCAAAATTGATTTTTTATGTGTGAATTGACAACTTGCTAAAGTCCCCCAACTTTGTTGTTTCTAAAGAATTGGAAACCATTTGAGAGGAGCTATTGTAAGAGGGGACTTCAGCCTTGATCATTAGCCGTCAGGAGCTCTCCCTCAGGAAGATCAGATTTAACAGTTTTTGAGAAACTTGAGATTCTGAAATGCTCCACGGCCTGCTTACCCTTTGGAAAGACTGTAAGGGGTAGAAGTACCCAACAGAAGACCACAGCTCTACGATACCTAATGTGTGGTTTTCTCTAAAAGGCTCAATTTAAGGACTTTTAACAATATCTTCTTTTGGCTGGTTGCGGTGACTCATGCCTGTAATCCCAGCACTTTGGGAGGATGAGGCGGGCGGATCACGAGGTCAGGAGATGGAGACCATTCTGGCTAACAGGGTGAAACCCCGTCTCTACTAAAAATACCAAAAAAAATTAGCCGGGTGTGGTGGCGGGCACCTGTAGTCCCAGCTTACTTGGGAGGCTGAGGCAGGAGAATGGTGTGAACCCAGGAGGCAGAGCTTGTAGTGAGCCGAGATCGCGCCACTGCACTCCAGCCTGGGCGACAGAGCAAGACTCAGTCTCAAAAAAAAAAAAAAAATCTTTTATAGGAATGGTTCATATTTCTGGTGGTCATTGGCACAGAAAATGTGAGTCTTACTTTAAATATGGGGAAATAGATTAAATATACTGAGTTAATTTAAATATGGAAATAGGTGAAAATACTGTTCCTTGTTCTATATAGTCCCTTATAATTTGTAGAACACATTTATATACATTATCTCCTTTGATCTACACAACACCATGTGGTAGGGTAGATGGATGTTATCTCTAAAGCACAAATAAGGAGTAGATCAGAGGGGTTTTTTTGTTTTGCTTTGTTTTTTGTTGTTGTTTTTGAGACGGAGTCTTGCTCTGTCACCTAGGCTGGAGTGCAGTGGCATGATCTCAGCTCACTGCAGCCTCTGCTTCCCAGGTTCAAGCAATTCTTCTCCCTCAGCCTCCCGAGTAGCTGGGACTACTGGCACGCACCACCACACTCAGCTAATTTTTTTTGTATTTTTAGTAGAGACGGGGTTTCACCATGTTGGCCAGGATGGTCTTGATCTCCTGACCTTGTGATCCGCCCGCCTCAGCCTCCCAAAGTGCTGGGATTACAGGCGTGAACCACTGAGCCTGGCCTTTTTTTTTTTTTTTTTTTTAACACAGATTCTCGCCCTGTTGCCCAGGCTGGAGTGCAATGGCGTGATCTCGACTCACTACAACCTCTGCCTCCCAGGTTCAAGCGATTCTCTCACCTCTGCCTCCTGAGTAGCTGGGACTACAGGCAAGTGCCACCACTCCCGGCTAATTTTTGTATTTTTAGTAGAGATGGGGTTTCTCCATGTTGTCCAGGCTGGCCTCAAACTCCTGACCTCAAGTGATCTGCCTGCCTCAGCCTCCCAAAGTGCTGGGATTACAGGCGTGAGCCACCGCACCCGGCGGATCAGAGGGTTTTTGTGAGTGTCCTAACTCACAGAGCTCTGGGTGGCGAAGTGGTGCTGGAATCTCAGTCTTCTGATTCCTTATTTCTCTTTCTCCAACAAGAAACTAACTCAGTAGACTCCAACATTCCTTTTTCTATCACTATGGGCCATGAACTCTTTCTTATTGCTTTTTCCTTCCACAGATTCATGAAATATTAATGATATTATCAATAGCTAATTAGACCTTGACCTTAATTACAACAAGGAGCAAAAAATAAATATTGGCAAATTCTTAGCTTGTACAATTTTATCAAATTAAAGGAACAATTTTCATTCAGAATTTTCTAATAAAAAATAATGGTAACAACCTCTATTTCTTGTATTCTTATTTATATGGCAGATACAAGAGAGGGCCCATGTTAATAGTCTGAAGACTGCCATTATTCCTATGAGGATCCCATACAGGGACCAGTTGAAAGAACCTTCATTACAAGCTGGGGTTACCTCTTCAAGAACCTTGAATTTGTGTGGCAGACACTCTGTGTTTCTGTAGTCATAACATTTGGAGCAGTTGTGGGGCTGGGAACTTAGAGCTTTGCTTTCTCTTTCAATGTGTGGAGAGCACAGATCCTGGAGAAGCTAGAGCCTAACCCCTCTTATGCTCCTTAGGATGGAGTCCACAGAGAAGTGTGAAGCCATCATCACCCACTTTAATGGAAAATATATTAAGACACCCCCTGGAGTACCAGGTGAGGCATCTGGGGCTCAGGCTGAGAGGGCCACAGGTTGTTACTTCCAGTGAAGATTCTGGAGCAGCTTTGCATGACTGTGCCTGGGCCACATGAGGTGGGACTCAGCTGCCCATCTGCCTTCTCTCTCGGCAGCCCCATCCGATCCCTTGCTTTGCAAATTTGCTGATGGCGGGCCAAAGAAACGACAGAACCAAGGAAAATTTGTGCAAAATGGACGGGCTTGGCCAAGGAATGCAGACATGGTAAGAGGACCTCTGAGGAGACAGGAGTACTAACGACATTAAAGTGGAACGGAAATGATCATGGCATGATTTCTGTGAGCTTAGGTGGAAAGCTTGAGAGCTACAGTACGTAATTGAGAAATGCTGGCTGTGAACATACTGCCAGTTTGTTCTCGAGTGTGGCTTTGCGGCCTGCACAATTAGAAAAACTCTGAAACAGCTGTAGTGGGACTTGTCTAGGCTTTAATTTGTTAAACCAAAACATTCCCAGCCTTGGACATTCTGGGCCAGCTCCTATTCTCACTCAAGGGCTCACAATGTGAACACTGTGTTCTTTCTTTATAGGGCGTCATGGCCTTGACCTATGACCCCACCACAGCTCTTCAGAATGGGTAAGGTTTTATATAATCAAGCCACCTGAAAATGATAATGGCCTGTGTCCAGACACTCAAATGATTCATCTTGATTCTCTCTATTTGAAAGTCAAGGGAACGTTGGCTGTGCCTATCAGTTGGGACCCTTCCCTTGTGGTTTCCTGTGACTCAGTACTGATTGAGGTTCCTTCCCACAGGTTTTACCCAGCCCCCTATAACATCACCCCCAACAGGATGCTTGCTCAGTCTGCACTCTCCCCATACCTTTCCTCTCCTGTGTCTTCGTATCAGGTATGTTCATGCCTGAAAAATGGTGTGGTGGTTTTCCCTACTACTGTGCTTTAAGTGAAGTAATATAAGGCTAGGAACTACTTGTTTTTTGTTTTTCCTTTTAATCATATTACACACAATTTTACATAACAGCGTAAAAGATGATCTGTGCATGTGGTCATATATATGGTATACAGTTTTAATGGTGTCCTCTTACTCCCCCTCCACCACCTCCACAAGTAAACTCATGTTAATGTCCTACTGTGTAGCATTTGTCATATTTTTTCATATGAATACACATATGTATAGCATTTGGGGAGTTGTTTATTTTACAAAAATTGGACCAGATTAAATATATTTTTACATTCACTCATCTCACTTAACAGTATCCTACACCAGTGATTCTCAAAGTGTGGTCCCTGAACAAGCAGCATCAGCATCATCTGAGAATTTTTAGAAACAGAAATTTTGGACTACCCTCCAAATCTACTGAATTACAAACTCTGAGGATGGGGCCCAGTGATCTGGGCTTTTGTTTGTTTGTTTGTTTGTTTTAAGAGGGCGTCTCCCTCTGTTGCCCAGGCTGGAATGCAGTGGTGCAATCTCGGCTCACTGCAATCTCCGCCTCCTAGGTTCAGGCGATTCTCCTGTTTTAGCCTCTGGAGTACCTGGGATTACAGGCATGCGCCACCACGCCCAGCTAATTTTTGTTTTTTTTAGTAGAGACGGGGTTTCACCATGTTGGCCAGACTGGTCTCAAACTCCTGACCTCAGGTGATCCGCCCGCCTCGGCCTCCCAAAGTGCTGCGCCACGCCCAGCCGTGATCTGGGTTTTAACAAGCCCTCCAGGTGATTCTGTTGCAGCTAATGTTGAGATCCTCTGCTCTAATTTTATCTTTTTTAATGGTTGCATTATATTTCATGCTGCAGATATGCCAGAATTCTTTAGCTATACCCAATGGGGGCATTCACTTAGATTCGTTTTTTTGCTGCTATCAATAATGCTCCACTAAACACCCTTGTGCTATATTTTTATATATGAATGCTTCTATTTCTGGGGGCTAGAGTCCCAGGAGGTGGATTGCTAGGTTGAATGCTATATGGATTTTCAGTTTTATAGATGTTGCCAGATTGCTTTCCACAAAGGCTGTGTCACCTCACATTTCTACCAGCCATGTATGAAAGTACCCATTTCCTTCCAGGCATAGGTGCTACTGCTCTTTTAAAATTGTTCCTGTCTTGCTGGGCACGGTGGCTCATACCTGTAATCCCAGCACTTTGGGAGGCCGAGGCAGGTGGATCACCTGAGGTCAGGAGTTCGAGACCAGCCTGGCCAACATGGTGAAACCTAGTCTTTACTAAAAACACAGAAATTAGCTGGGCATGGTGGCGGGCGCCTGTAATCCCAGCTACTTGGGAGGCTGAGGCCAGAGAATTGCTTGAACCCAGCAGGCAGAGGTTGTGGTGAGCCGAGATCGCGCCACTACACTCCAGCCTGGGCGACAAGAGTGAAACTCTGTCTCAAAAAAAAAAACAAAAAAATTGTTCCTGTCTTGATGAATGTAAAGTACATCGTTATTTTAATTTGCATGTCCCTTACTATAGGTGAATTTAACCATTTCATTTGTCATAGTTTGATTGGCTTCTCTCTGATTGCTATTCATATGCTTTGTCCATGTTTCTATTTGGTTATTTGTTCTTTTCCCATCAACTTATAAAAACTCCATGTAAGTATTAATCTTCTAAATGTTATCTTTGTTACAAATTTTTTTCCAATTTTATTTTTTGGCTGTTGAATTTGTGGTCCTCAAACTTTAGCGATGTATCAGAATCATGTGGAAAGCTTATTGAAAACTGGATTGCTGGGCACCACACCCAGTTCCTGGTTCAGTAAGATGGGTGGAAGGCAAGAATTTGCATGTCCAACAAGTTCCCA
Organism: Homo sapiens; assembly: GCF_000001405.40. Classification (NCBI taxonomy): domain Eukaryota; kingdom Metazoa; phylum Chordata; class Mammalia; order Primates; family Hominidae; genus Homo; species Homo sapiens. Next base: position 56,584,068 of record NC_000012.12, read on the forward strand.
GGTGATGCTGCTGCCACTGCTGCTGGTCCAGGGACCATAGTGTGGGAATCACTAGTTTTTGCCATATAAAAGTTTAAAATTTGGCCAGGTGTGATGGCTCATGCCTGAAATCCCAGCAGTTTGGGAGGCAGAGGCAGGCAGATCACTTGAGCTCAGGAGTTCGAGACCAGCCTGGGCAACATGGCAAAACCCCTGTCCCTACAAAAAATACAAAAATTAGCCAGGTGAGGTGGTGCGTGCCTGTAATCCCAGTAACTCAGGAGGCTGAGGTGGGAGAATTGCTTGAGCCCGGAGATTGAGGTTTCAGTGAGCTGTGATCGCGCCACTGTACTTCATCCTGTGCAACAGAGCAAGACCATGTCTCAAAAAAAAAAAAAAAAAGTTTAAAATTTCTATATAGTTAAATTTGTCTTTTTCTTTTATAAATAACTTTTGAGGCCAGGCACGGTGGCTCACGCCTATAATCCCAGCACTTTGGGAGGCCGAGGAGGGCGGATCACAAGGTCAGGAGATCGAGACCATCCAGACTAACACAGTGAAACGCCGTCTCTACTAAAAATACAAAAAATTAGCCGGGCATGGTGGTGGGCACCTGTAGTCCCAGCTGCTGGGGAGGCTGAGGCAGGAGAATGGCGTGAACCTGAGAGGTGAAGCTTGCAGTAAGCCGAGATCGCGCCACTGCACTCCAGCCTCGGCGACAGAGTGAGACTCTGTCTCAAAAAATAAATAAATAAATAACTTTTGAACTTCTTGTCTTTTTTTTTTTTTTTTTTGTGACCGAGTTTCGCTCTTGTTGCCCAGGCTGGAGTACAATGGACCAATCTCAGCTCACTGCAACCTCTGCCTCCTGGGTTCAAGTGATTCTCCTGCCTCAGCCTCCCAAGTAGCTGGGATTACAGGCATATGCCACCATGCCTGGGTAATTTTGTATGTTTAGTAGAGATGGGGTTTCTCTGTGTTGGTCAGGCTGGTCTCAAACTCCCAACCTCAGGTGATCCACCCACCTCGGCCTCCCAAAGTGTTGGGATTACAGGCGTGAGCCACTGCGCCCGGCTAAATTTCTTGTCTTAATTTAAAAAAGTATTCTCTGTCTCTATACTGTGTATCTGGTCTCTAAGATTTTATGTTTTACATTTACATTTAAATGTGTAATCATCAGGAATTTATCTTTGTGTATGGCATAAGATAGGAGTCTGTTTTCTTTCAGAGTGTTAACCAGTTGGCCTAGCGCCAAATTATTAAATAATCTCACTTTTTGGATTATTTAATCCAATATTGGATTATTTCAAATCCAATTTTAATTGAAATGTCCTTGCAACCCATTATATACTTCTGTGTCTATGGATTTGCCTATTCTGGATATAATAGGCAAAGCTCAGAAAATTGTATGATTGTGTGATTACACAAAAGTAAAATCATACAATATGATTTTTTTGCGTCTGGCTTCTTTCACTTAGTATGTTTTCAAGATGTATCCATGTTGTAGCATTTATCAGTACTTCATTCTTTTTATAGCTGAATAATATTCCATTATATGGCTATACCACATTTTGTTTATCCAGTTATCAATTGGTCATCATTTAAGTTGTTTCCTTTTGATCATTATGAATAATACTGCTATAAACATTGATATACAAGTTTTTGTGTGGACATATGTTTTCATTTCACTTGGATATATACCTAGGAGTGGAATTGCTGGGCTACATAGTAACTCTATATTTAACTTTTTGAGGAACTGCCAAAGCATTTTCCAGAGTAGCTGCACCATTTTACATTCCCACCAGTGGCAGTGTAAAACACTTGTTATTCTATCCTTTTAATTGTAGTCATGCTGGCCTTGCACTGTGGCTCATACCTGTAATCCCAGCACTGTGGGAGGCTGAGGTGGGCGGATCACTTGAGCTGAGGAGTTCAAGACTAGCCTGGGCAACATGGCGAAACCCCGTCTCTACAAAAAATACAAAAAGTAGCCAGGTGTGGGCCGGGCACGGTGGCTCACGCCTGTAATCCCAGCACTTTGGGAGGCTGAGGCGGGCATATCACGAGGTCAGGAGATTGAGACCATCCTGGCTAACACGGTGAAACCCTGTCTCTACTGAAAATACAAAAGCAAAATTAGCCGGGCATGGTGGCGGGCACCTGTAGTCCCAGCTACTCAGGAGGCTGAGGTGGGAGAATGGTGTGAACCCGGGAGGCGGAGCTTGCAGTGAGCTGAGATCCTGCCACTGCACTCCAGCTTGGGTGACAGAGCAAGATCCTGTCTCAAAAAAAAAAAGTAGCCAGGTGTGGTGGTGCACACCTGTAGTCCCGCTACTGCACTCCAGCCTGGGCAACAGAGCAAGACTCTGTCTCAAAAAATAGAAATAATAATTGTAGCCATCCTAATAGGTATGAAGTGGTATCCCATTGTGGTTTTGATTTGCATTTGAACCTCTTTCATGTACTCATTGGCTATTTGTATATCTTCTTAGAGAGATATCTTTCCAAACCCTTTTTTTTTTTTACTAATTTTTTTAGTGACAGGGTCTCACTCTGTCGCCCAGGCTGGAGTGCAGTGTCAGAATCATAGCTCACTATAATTTTGAACTCCTTTTTGCCCTTTTTTAAACTGGATTATTTATTGAGTTTTAAGAATTGCTAATATTTTAAAAACAGTTTTTCTTAATGTTTCTATTTTGAGTGGGGCATTCAAACTTTTCTGAGCTTTGTTGAACATTATTAGATCTGTGGGCTGAATAATAGTTTCCAGGCAATTAACATTTTTGTTTTTGCTTGTTTTAGAGAGTGACTCAGACATCTCCTCTACAAGTACCTAACCCATCCTGGATGCACCACCATTCATACCTCATGCAGCCTTCAGTGAGTATTCAGAAGTGGGCAGAAGCCAAAGAGGCAATTTGATGTAAAGAAAAAACTGGCTGGGCACTGTGGCTCACGCCTGTAATCCCAGCACTTTGGGAGGCCAAGGCAGGCAAATCACCTGAGGTCAGGAGTTCGAGACCAGCCTGGCCAACATGACAAAACCCTGTCTCTACTAAAAATGCCAAAAATTAGCCAGGTGTAGTGGCGGGTGCCTGTAATCCCAGCTACTCAGGAGGCTGATACAGGAGAATTGCTTAAATTCGGGAGGCAGAGGTTGCAGTGAGCTGAGATCGTGCCATTGCACTCCAGTCTGGGCAATAAGAGTGAAACTCCGTCTCAAAAAAAAAAAAAAGGCCTTTGATGCCAGGAGATGTGGGTGTGAGTTCTGGCTCAGACCCTTGTGCAACCCAGCAGTAAGACCTAAGCTTGTTATTCTTAGACGAGGGTCCTTCCACACTGACAGGCAGAGTTCCTATTCTTGTTGCATAGTTGGGTTGCTGCTCACTTACCATTTCCCAGGATTCTTAAATGTCTGTCTCCAGTGGTCCTGACAGCCACCGATCACTGCTTTAGGCAGCCTCACAGGATGCTGCAGCTAACCCTGTCCTTTGTTGCTGCCTCTAGGGTTCAGTTCTGACACCAGGGATGGACCATCCCATTTCTCTCCAGCCTGCCTCCATGATGGGACCCCTTACCCAGCAACTGGGCCATCTCTCCCTCAGCAGCACAGGCACGGTAAAGCAGGATATTTCTGATTGTAAACTCTCCTACTGAGCAAGGCATACCTGTGTAATACTCTTCAGCGTAAGTAACTTATGAATAATGATGGAATTACTTCAGTGTCATCCGGGGCACACTCAGAACAGGACATAAACTACAATGGTAGTGCTCCATGAGCCAGGAATACAGCCATTCTGCTCCCCAGCCCACCCCTTTTAACTGATTCCTACTCATGCACCTTGTGAATAGTGCTTCTGTCTGCATATTAGTTTAAGATACACACACGTCCTAGGAATCCTCATCAAAATAGTACCTGGAAGGATGGAGGAAGCTCATTAGGTTTCTTTTAGGCCTACTGCATTCCTTTTTGCATAGAAAGGGCTCAAGGGTAGAGAAGGGAGTGTGTTGAGGAAAAGCAGAAGAAAGTCAGGAAAGAGGAGGAAAATAAGTCATATAGGGAGACGTCTCCCTAACAGTGTACTTTAGAACCACCTGAAGTGCTTTTAAGATGCAAATGCTCAGACCAATTAAAATAGAATCTCTGGGGTAGAATACAGGTGTCAGTATTTTTTTTAAAGCCCCTCAGCTGCTTCAAATGTAGCCAAAAATCACTGCTGTAAGCCTGTTGATGTTTCTCTTTCTAGTATATGCCGACGGCTGCAGCTATGCAAGGAGCTTACATCTCCCAGTACACCCCTGTGCCTTCTTCCAGTGTTTCAGTCGAGGTAAGGGTGTTATCATTTCTTTGGATTGAGATTAGGAAAATGAACGGAGGCAGGTTTCCCCCTGATCAAGATCTTTCTCTCACAATGATGCTGATTCTGTGTTCACAAATAGCTGGTAGGTATACGAAGAACGTAGGAAGGATGTGCTCGCTTCGGCAGCATGCATACTAAAATTGGAACAATACAGAGAAGATTATGGCCCCTGTGCAAGGATGACATGCAAATTTGTGAAGCGTTCCATATTTAAAAAAAAAACAACAGCAGATGTAGGAAAGAAGGACTTGGTCTGAGTTCATGAATGAGGCCCTTCCTTACATTTGGCCAGCCAGTAGTTGACACCAGGATGCTGGCTTGTATTGACTAATGCGTCTTGGGAAGAGGACAGGCTGTAGGAAGGTTGGGGAAGTGGTGGTGTGGGTGGAAACACTCACACATGAGTGTGGAGAGTGGGTAGGTTTGGGAGGGCACTCGATGTAGGGTGGGCTTTGGTCAGGCTGCTGTAGTGGAGGTGAGGAAAGGAATGCGCAAGATGACCCCCCTCCTTGGCTATGGCACAGGAGAGCAGCGGCCAACAGAACCAAGTGGCAGTGGACGCACCCTCAGAGCATGGGGTCTATTCTTTCCAGTTCAACAAGTAACAGTGGGTAAGAACCACATGCTGGGGGGCAGGGAGGGCTGCACTGGCAGACAGCAGCTCAGCCCGGCCTGAAGTCAGACAGGTTCTCATGTTTGTCTTGTCTCCTCTCTGGCTTGTGCCTTCTTTAGGATTCCCCTCCCCATCTTTACTGAATAGAAATGAATTCTTGGAGATACTCATGCTCCCAGATTCCAGAGGGTTAACCAGGAATGGAGACCATCCGTCGGCCCTGCTAAGGACTAACACTTAGCCATCGTTTTTCACAGGCCTGGGCCTGGAAAAAGAAATCTCTACGTTCCTGCCCTTTACTATTGCTGATGGAGCCTGGGGGAACCATCACTTTTTTTGTGTGCTACATTCAAGGAGATCAAAAAAACTTTTCTTCTTTTGCAAAGAAAGCTTTTTGTTTTTAACTGCAACGTACTTTTCCCCTACCTTGAAGAGACATGGTGGTCGCAGCTTCTCATCTATATGAAAAAGTTTTCGATGTATTGGAATTATTTGGGAATGCTTTTAAAACAATTTGTAATTATTTCTTTACAAACCAAAACAGAACAGAAAGGTGTGGTGCTGGAACATCGATGAAGGAGCCCTACTTACTGAGCTTAGTTATGGACTTTTTTGATGCATGTGTGTATGTGTTTTAAAAAGTATGCAGGCTCTAAAAATGTTATTTTGTAAAGCTCTCAGCTCATGCACCCCATCTCCTCTTCACCCATATTATGCCTTCTTTCTCTTGTCCAGATTCTTCTTTTTCTCTTTTCTAAACAGCTGAGCCTGCCTACTTTGCCCTTTTACAGCTTTTAATTTTATGGATTTTTAAAAATGAAATTTCATGTGGAATTTGGGGTTGGGGGGCAGGCTGGGCAAGGAACAAGGCAGAACACTAAGTAGGCCATGGAAGTGGCTGTTCTTTCCCCCACCCTGCCACACCCTGGGAGAAAAAACTAGACTTTGGCTTCAGAAAGCACAGATGTGACCCAGGCTTACTAAAGAGACAACTCCACAGCCCTGGGAACACACCCTTGAGCCAAACTTGGTTGAAGACTAGGTCTTCCCTGGCAAGTTCCGGAAGAATGGACTTACTGACTTTTATCAACTCTTCTCACTGCCAAGGCCAACAGCATCTGAGGTATAGCTTTTTGGGAGTACCTGCTTTCTTGCCTCCTGGAGGATATTTTCTGTCCTGGGCTTCATGGCCCCTCTCTTCCCTGTTACACATTGCTGTGCTCAGAGCCTTTGCAGCTGCGACCTAGTTGAATCCACATAGGCTCCTTCCACACGGTGGAAGATCTGCTGCTTCACTCACAGACCAGGAGTTCTCAATCAGAGGTGGTTTTGTCCCTCAGGCCTTTGGCAACATCTAGAGACAGTTTTGATTGCCACGCCTGGAGGTGGGATGTGTGTGCTACTGGCATCTAGTGGCTGCTAAACATCCTACACTGCATAGGATAGTCCCCACTACCCCCAGCCAAGAATTATCTGACTCCAGGGGTCAATATTGCCAAGACTGGGAAACACTGATATAGACAGTGTTGTCCCTGCCTCCTGGGTTAGGGTAAATTTTCACCCCAACCCTGGACAAACAGTGCCTTTTGACACTCATGCAACTGTTGGGGAAGGACTGGACTGGGATCCTTGAATTCTCCCCAGACTTTGACTTTTGATAACTCTGCATATAGCAAGAGTGATTCTTGAAAGAGCTGTGGCTCCATGCTGAATGCACACATGTACTCAGAGGGATTCAGGTGGGCATTGTTCTGGTGTGTGCTGTGCAATGGTGGGAAAGGACAAAGCTCTCTAAACTGTCCAGAGCAACCTGCCCTGCCCCGGTGTGCTTGGACCCTTTGCCCAGGGAACCAGGACATCAGAAATAATGTTCCTTCTGTGGAAGGACAACGGGGAGCTAGGGTAGCAAAGAGCAATAAATTCCAACTCTTTATGAGGTCAGGAGTCCTTTAAAAAAGCCTATGTCTTGGTCTTTAACTGTCCCCTTCTGCAAGATGTGACTCTATACACATGGAGACAGATTGAAGAAAGACTTCACCCATCTTCTAGGAAATAAAATCCTGCTCTTGTCTTCTCCCAGTCACTCCCTTATGCACTGAAAGGAGAATTTGACTCCCTTGCACTTCAAGGCCAGGTGCCTCTCCACTAGACAGTCAGACAAAGGCAAATAATGGAGGATAGAGAGACAGGTGTTCATTAGGCTGGCCATAGGGAGAGGAAGGGGGTGACAGCAGGGGAAAAGAAACTGTAGTATCAGTTGTCACAAGTAGAGCTCGGCCCAGCTTTCCCTCCCTTCCCAGCCACCCTAGAATTGAGAGTCCCAGTGCCCCTAGTGTCGACTTTCTATGTACATCCTAGGGGTGAGGGAGTGCGGGGCAATGGGTAGGATATAAAGCGTAAAGGACAAATTGCCGCAGTCTTCTAATTGATGCTTCCAAACTCAGGAAGGGCTTATCCAGTGTAAAATAGCCCCAAGCCCAGCAACCTTCTAGAGGGCTCTGGCTGGGCAGATAGCTTTTGTTTTTGAGTCTCCAGCCCTCAGTCAAGGAAAATATACCATAGCTGCTTTCTTGTCAGTGGCCTTTGAGAGAAAGAGAAAACAAATCTAGAATTCTGTTCATCTGATAGACCGGGGGAGCTTTGCTATGGTAGGAGGTTTAGGAAGGGCCTTTCACGCATAGAAACCATTGTTGATATTGCCACTCCCCTCTCCTCTGCCTCACAGAACTCCTGATTCTGTCTTCTTTCTCTCTCTATATATATATTTTAAAATGTTTAAATGGCTCTAATTTTTTGTTTTGAATTTTGAATTTACCTTTTGGAGTTCTTCTCATGTGAATCTACTTGTTAGATTGTATTAATGAGTGTTTCTGGTTTGGGCATGGGAAGTGATGGGGGCCTGAAGTTATTTTGCAGTGGCTAATGGCACTGAGGAATTTCTTTTTTGGTGCATTTGGTTTACACTCATTTCCTCTCCTAATTGTTAGTTCATTTGTAACAGTGGGTGAGTGTTTGGAGGAAAGGAGGGAGAAGAAAGGAGGGATACTGTTTCTCCCATGAAATAGTCTAATTGGTTGGGTTGATGGCAGAAGGAAACATAGGGGAGCCTTCCAGCTCACAGCCAAGGGTTGGGCTCTTAAACACTATGCCTAGTGTTTTCTGAATGCTGTCTTCATGGAGCCCAGCTCTTACTCTCTTTGTACTTTACATCTCACCCCCACTCATTACAGATGCTCATAACATTCTTAAAATATTTTAGTACTTGGCATTTTTCTGTTTTCAGTCAGCTAGAACACACTAGAGTCCTTTCCTCAGATGGCATAATCCTTTATAGGCTCTGAGCCTGCCTAGCCATCTCCTATCGGTGTTATTACTCCTCATCTCAGGCTCTGAGATGATACTCAGACCCTAAACTGATTGGACTTTTTGGAGGAGGGTGCCAGTAGAGAGGTCAGGAAGATGTGGAGATGATGATGGAGAGAGATGTTTTTATTTTATTTTATTTTTTCAGACAGAGTCTTGCTCTGTCGCCCAGGCTGGAGTGCAATGGCACGATCTCGGCTCACTGCAACCTCCGCCTCCCAGGTTCAAGCAATTCTCCTGCCTCAGCCTCCCATGTAGCTGGGATTACAGGCACCCACCACCATGCCCGGCTAATTTTTTTATTTTTAGTAGAGATGGGGTTTCACCATGTTGGCCAGGCTGGTCTCGAACTCCTGACCTCAGGTGATCTGCCCGCCTTAGCCTCCCAAAGTGCTGGGATTACAGGCGTGAGCCACCGCGCCCGGCCTTTATTTTATTTTTTAGAGATGGTCTTGCTGTGTCACCCAGGCTGGAGTGCAGTGATGCAGTCGTAGTCTACTACAGTCTTGAATTCCTGGGCCCAAGGGTTCTTCCCACCTAAGCCTCCCAAGTAGCTGGAAGTACAGGCACATACTACCAAGCCCAGTTCGTTATTTTAAGTTTTTGTAGAGACAGGGGTCTTACTATGTTGCCCAGACTGGTCTTGAACTCCTGTCAAGTGAGCCTCCCACCTCAGCCTCCCAAAGTGCTATGATTACAGGTGTGAGCCTCCATGCTTGGATGAGATGTTGTTTTTAATGTTTTTGGTTTTTTGGTTTTGTTGTTTTGTTTTTTTGAGACAGGGTCTCACTCTGTGGCCCAGGCTGGAGTGCAGTGGCACCATAATGGCTCACTGCAGCCTCGACCTCCCAAGGCTCAGGTGATCCTCTTGCCTCAGCCACCCCTTCCCCGGCCACCAAGTAGCTGGGACTATGGGCTTGTGCCACCATGCCTGGCTAATTTTTTTATTTTTAGTAGAGATGGGGTTTTACCACGTTGGCCAGGCTAGTGTCCAACTCCTGACCTCCAAACAGCTAATTTTTGTATTTTTAATAGAGACAGGTTTTCGCCATGTTGCCCAGCCTCGTCTCGAACTCCTGGGCTCAAATGATCCACCCACCTCGGCCTCCCAAAGTGCTGGGATTATAGGCATGAGCCACCACACCTGGCCTTTTCAGTTTTTTTATTTTTATTTTTTCTTTGAGACGGAGTCTCGCTCTGTCGCCCAGGCTGGAGTGCAGTGGCGTGATCTTGGCTCACTGAAACCTCCATCTCCTGGGTTCAAGCAGTTCTCCTGCCTCAGCCTCCTGAGTAGCTGGGATTACAGGTGCCTGCCACCATGCCTGGCTAATTTTTGTATTTTTAGTAGAGACAGGGTTTTGCCACATTGCCCAGGCTGGTGTTGAACTCCTGGGCTCAAATGATCCACCTGCCTTGGCCTCCCAAAGTGCTGGGATTACAGGCGTGAGCCACTGCACCCGGCCCTTTGTAGTGTTTTTAACTAAAGAATTTGTAGAGTTGCCCAGGCCAGGAAGCCTGGTGGCTCTAAAGGGTAATAGACCTTGTCAGTAACAGATAAGGAGTGGTAAGAGGACATTACTCATATTGAAGATGAAGACCAGACTTTGCTGCTTCACAGGCCATGCGCTGGGTTGGGCCACTTCAGCTCCACTCCATTCGTTTTCCTTTCCTAACTTGACAATCAGCTCACTCACCCTCCCTTAGTGCCTCCAGTGCCTACTCCTGTCACTCCAATGTCAACCCATTGGGAGTTGAGGCCTGTCACTCCAATGTCAACCCGTGGGCTGTTACTTTGCGTCATATGATGCTGTGAGAGGCCTTGCTGGAATGTCCTAGGAATCCCTAGTAGCAGTGGCTATTAGTCTTCTAGAAAAGAACTATTGCTGCTGCCTTGTGCACATGCCCCACCTTCTGGGCAAGTGGCAGCATTGCGCTCATGAGGGGCTTTGCATTCTTAGCCAAGGGCAATAAACTGGGTGGGTGATCTGGCCCAAACTTGCCCCTAGGCTCTGCTAGCCCTGAATCAGCAGGCTTCAGAGACGAGGGTGGGTGTTATAAAAGCCAGTCTGTAAAGGGTAAATTCCAAATCTTGTGCCTTGTTATACCAATCCTTCCTGATTCCCGTTTAAACCAACTACTCTATTTCTGTGCTGCCTACATTTTCAATCCTCCCACGCATTAGCAAATTCCTGAAATTTCCTCATTTGGTAGGCCTTCCATAGGAGTCAGCTATGGACTTCCATAGGAGTTGGCAGCTAAAACCAGACTGTGAGCTTCTGTCTCCGTTCTGATTTTTGCTGCACCTCCCAGGGGACAGTCCCCACATGATTACAAAAGCCAGGTGCCCTCATCACCCGTTACCCCTGACCTGTCCACTTGTTTTGAATAAACCTTCATTCTCCAAGCAGATCCCCAAACTTCCTTGTCCTTGTTACACGTCTACCTCACAACCTCACAATTCAACAACAGGTAAATACCTGGATTCACTGATTTCTTTACTGTCCTTCTCTGAGGGTTGGGAAGGTGGGGGCTAGAAAAGGCTCATAATTTTTAAACTCTTGGGAATTAAACTTGGGAATTTCTATTCCTACAGTGTTTTCTCTGGGATTTTTAGCTCACTGATCGCCCTAGAATAGTGTGAACTCTCCAGATAGGTCCTGCTGTGATAGGCCAGGGGAGTAGGCTGTGCAGTGACGGCTTAGGGTAATAAGTAATGGTTGGAGGACACCAGCATAGGAGCAGAGTTTAGAACTTAAGAGGACAAGAAAGCTGCTCAGTGGCTGGCGTATAGCTGTGAAGGTAACCAAACACCAAAGAGGGAGTCTGTCATTTTTATAAGGCTGGAAGCGAATGTTCCTTTTCTACCTTAACATACAGTTTAGGGGGTTGCACCAAGACAAAGTTTCCAGGCTGGAGGGTAATACATATCCAGCGCGAGTGAAGTCCCCACTCCAACATATACCCTTTTTGGGTGGGTAAACACCTCTTTGCATGTGGACAGAAAATGTTTATACTTAAACAGACATATTTTGCATATTTTTATCTGGAGACTTCTTCTAGTTTTATACTCTTCCCACATCTATGCCAATGCCACCATTCTAAAACTTACACTCCTTTTCTACCCCTGGTCTTTTCCTTGTCCTTCCCTACAACTTGGTAGAGGTCCATTTTGTCTTACTTCACACTTTTTTTTTTTTAAATAAAACACAAAAGTCTACGTCTTGGTGTCTTATCCGTGAGTGGGAAGTGGTAAGCTGGTGATGGTCCCATATTTGCTATGACAGGAACACAGAGGTGGCAGCTTAGGAAGCTGGGGCCACATCTCACAAGGCAGGACCTGGATGCACTGAATCCCCCTTTGCTCCAGCAACTCAGCCAGACATTTAGGCAGGAGCACTAATGACCCTTTCCATCCACACAGAGGGTATGGAACAGGAGCCCCTGTTGTTCCCTTGCCTGTGGTCTCTTAAGCCAGTCATACCTATCCCAACGCCGTCTCCCCCTCAGGTGTGTAGAAGGGAAGATGAATACACAGAGTCTTTTGAATCTCTATCAAATGTGGTTTTTTTTATTCAACAACTGACAAGCACTTTTCTACAGCTGCACTTGTGGAACATCACATGGCAAAAACAGGAGTTTTTTCGCTAGACTTTTTTTTTCTTTTTAACCTTATTAAAAATGAGATTGGTCCTAAAAATATAGAAAGAAATAAATTTAAATTCACAAAAAACTGTACATTATCAAAAAGTCACTAAAACACCACATTTGGTTATATAAAAAGTCCCTTTTGCTGTAAAAGGAACACAGAAACTTGTTGGTGTTGATGGTGTGGTTTCTTCCTGTCAACCAGACTGATGGGAGGGAAGCAAAAGGGCAGGGGGTGGGTTGTCTTTTTATTTTAAACCTGCTTTCCCTACCAAATACTCTTGTCATGAAGAGAAAATCCACCTAGCTCAAGGGGGCAGTGAAGATGAGGAAAGAAAAGCAAGAAATGGCCCCTTTGATCATGCCCTATCCCTACCACCCCCAACCCCGCTCCAGCCCCCACTTCTTCAAACTGAGGCTAGGACCCCACCCCGCCATATGAGTGCCTGGTCCCTAGGGAAAGAGATGGAGCTGGGAGAGGAACACAAAGCAGGAACCATGGAGATTTCACTCCCCCATCCACCTCACAATTTCACTCCCCCATCCACCTCACAATGAAATTAATCTAGCACATCTTATACCAGGGGAAAATTGCCAGGGGGAAAAAGCAGAGCCCCCAACTCTAACAGTTTCAACTGTCTAACACAAAGTTTGTTACAGCGCAGTTATTTAGATAAAATATAAATATTTATGCATAATATAAAGTCAATTCAAATATTCTTCAATCCACCTCTTAAAAGCAAAAAAAAATCTCAAATAAAATTAAAAGTTTTGAGGTTTATCTGACAGAAAAGGCGACTTTAGAAATAGGCTATGAGGGAGAAGGGGCATAAAGGAATAAAGGGGCTGCCCCAGGACCTACACTGCCCCTACCCCCTTCAGTGGCTCTTCAGTGCTGCCAGAATACAAGGAATGCTCCACCTCACCTGGCACCCCCACCCCCCAATGGAACATTTCTTGGATGCCTCAGCTCTCTGCTTGGGCCAGCCAGCAGCCACCTCCCCAGTGCAAGTACCCGTAATCTCTGAAGGGAGGGGCTCTGCTGAGCAGGAAAAGCAGGGGGCCAAGTGCCCATGGCTATAGCTGGGAGTCAGCAGCTTTCCTCTCGTGTTGGGGGCTTAACTTGGACATAGTCACATGTAGGGCAGTGATGGACCCAGAACCCCTCCTCCCTACTCTCCTGTGCTCCAGGGTCTCTGCTGCTGGGGAAGGGGTCCTGGGGTATGAAGTAAATGAAGAAAAGCACAACTAAATGGGATTAGGAAATGATCCAGTTCTACCACTCTCCCGTAGAAGCTTAAGATTCAAAGCTACCGAGAAGAGAGGGAGTTCCTGCTGAAAGATTGCACAGTCTGAAGAGGCTGGAACAAAAATGACCAGGAGAGAGACACAGCCTTGTCTCCAGAGAAATTGTTCCTGTGGTTTCCCAAAGACAAAAAAGTGATGGTTTTAAACAATGGGAAAAATGGGAATGAAAACAGGTACTTGGGGAAACTGAATGGATCCTATCAAACAATACAGGGTCACAAGCACGCACACACACACACACACACAGCGCGCGCTCTGAGGCTGACACACACACACACACACACAGCGCGCTCTGAGGCCGACACACACACACACACACACACACACACACACACACAGCGCTCTCTCTGAGGCCGGCCCCATTGCTACCTGGCCTCCATCTTAGGGTGCACCCAAACTCAGCAGTAGTTGTCCCTGAGGAGTTCCCAAGAGGGTTTGGGAAGGAGGTGGGGAAGGAGGCTGGAAGGCCCAGGAAGCCTCCCTGCCCTCTCCCCAGCTACTGAGTTTCAGAAAAGGCTGGAAACTCAGCATGTGAGGAGCATCCAACATCATACAGGGGATAGCTATCGGCAGGAAGATGGGGACAGAAGACAGGGACCTCTGAACATTTTTTTTTCCTTTGAAGGGAAAAGATTTGGGAGAAGAGAAAAGGAGGGAGGAACCCGTACACGATAGTTTTACATTATTGGATGAGAGAAAATCTGAAAACTGGGGGGTGGGAGGTGGGAAAAGAAAGACAGCGAGAAGCAGGGAAGGGACTGAACATGGAAGCAGCATGTCCAGGGCCCGGTGTCCGGCGCGACACACTTGGGAGTTAAGTCCACTTTACTGGCCGTCACTGCGGGTCCGCACACAGTACAGAGTGTTTCTTGGTTTCACACATTCACTAGAACTATTGCTATTGTTAAATAACCCCAGAATGCTGGGGCACGTACAGGGGAGGAGAGGAAGCAGGGAGGAGGAAGTAGGGACGACTTTCCCCCTCCCCATTTTTAATTAGCAAATAAAACAGAAAAGAAAAATTATTTTTTTCTTTCTTTTTTTGGCTTTTAGTCCAGAAGGACCTCATCTCTGCACCTCTTACTTGAGGAGCAAGAGGAGGGAAGGGAGAAAGGGATGTAGGAATAAGAGGATGTGGGGCACTGCCAAGGGCAAGGTCAAAAATCAGGGTTGTATCTGACTTGAGTCTGGACCCAGGGCAGCATCAGCAGGTGAAAATGGCAGGTTTTTGTTTGGAAGGTGGGGGGAGATGCCACAAGGTGACTCCCCACCTCCCTTGCCTCACAGATTGGCCTGTTTTCCCTGATAAAACTCCTCCCAGCGGCTCTCGAAGAAGCGGCGCATGATGTGCCCAGCCTTGCCTACTTCAGAGTCATCCTCGTTGAAAGTCTGGCAGTTGTCAAATACCAGGAGGGCATCAGCCGCAAACTCCTCTGAGCTGGTGTACCTGGACAGGGCAGGGGCAAAACTGTGAGCTGGGTAGGAGTTGCAGCAGTAGCAAAGACCGGGCGGTTCACCCACATCTACTTACCCTCCCCTGAGCAGCCGCTCCCGCATGGTGGAAAAATCCATAGGATTTTTGATGATGCGCCGGTACCCACTCACCAAACGTGGGTTCACAGGCTCTAGGAAAGGCCAGGCTGCATCATGGGACTCCATCTCCATCAGGATAATCCTATCATTAGAGGGACAATGATGGCTCCATCTCAGGAAGCAAATATACTGACCCCTCCCAGCCCTTTCCTCTGGCAGAGGTAGAGCCAACTGTCCCCCCAGGATTCACTCAACTCACTCGCAAAATGTGAGATCACTGTGGTGGTTCCGCATAGAGAGTCGCCGCCGCTTGGAGGGGGAGAGCCCTTCTTCCGAGTACCGAGGCCCTGCTGCTGGGCTTTCTCGGCCCCTCAACAGTACCCGGCGTCGGCGGCCATCACCCTCTGAGAAGTTCAGCGAATAACCACTTTTCCGCTTCTGGCCACGCTTTGGGAAACCAGGCTTCTGAGTGAATTCTCCCTCCACCTGCTTAGTATAGGAAACAGGTGAGATTAGCAACAGCTGGAGATGCACTGCTTGCCCTACTACAATCTCTGCCTAAATATGATTTAAGGCTTCAAAATACTATCATGCATAAGCCGGCATTGGTTTATTCACATAACCCAATGAAGTAGGTAAAAGGGAAGGTATAGTTATTCTCATTTTATAGAGACAGCAATTAAAGCTATAGAATTTAAGTGACTTGTCCAAAAAAGGACTTAGAACCCAGGTCCCCTAATACCCAGTCTAGGACTCTTTCCAAGGAGAGGAGAGATTGAGGATAATCTCTGATTTCTGTTTGAGTGTGGGAAAGAAAGAGCAGAAGCCTTACCTGAGCCAAACAGACAGTACAGAACCAATCTCCTTCTGGGACAGCCTCCATCTTGGGACGATGGCAGTAAATGTGGCAGCCACGGTCACACCCATCACAAAGCAGAAGAAACTCATCATTGTCACCCTTCCGGCAGACTAGACATGTCTGGACCAAGGTTGTGAGGAGGCAGAATGAGCTCTCCAGCCTCTACCTGCCAGTGACCCCACCCCGCCCCTGCTGGCTGGCCCCTCAGCCTCTCCAGGCTCTCTCAGCCTCTTACCACTTTGTTGACAGACTTCTCCCAGGCAATGGACCTCTCCAGCTGGCCCAGGCACAAGCACACCTGGGCTGCGCTCCGGCACCGCTCGAGGGTCTGGCGCCAGACACGAATGCGAGGGGTGATCTCATATGATCTGGAGGGAGAAAGTGGTGATCTTTGGAGAAGGAGCGGATCCACTAAAGAGGGAACTTATCCCTTTCTCTCCAAGACCAAGAATGGAGGGTGGGAGTCACTCACATCTCTGTAGTGGTGCCCTCAGGGGCACCATTAGGTGTGCTAAGCAGGGCCTTCTCCAGCACAACCTCATGAGTTGGCCAGAGGGGCTCCCGCAGGTACCGCCGTTCTACATTCTGTTCCAGGGCAGCCAGCCGCATCACAGCCAGGTCCAAAGGGTTGGTAGTTTTACGCTGAGGTGCCAGTCCCTCCCTGCCCCGACCTCGCCAGGTGATATCCTCCTGGGAGTCGGAGAGGTGCTCACAGTAGGCCAAGTCTTCACGGGTAGAGTCTGGGCTAGGACATGTCCAGCCCTTCAGTTAAGAGAGAGGAATAAAACTCACTGTAAAAGGAGGAAAATTTGGCATAGGAAAAAAAAAAACAAAAACAAGACCCACTTAAGGTAGGTCACCTGTGAAGTAGGGACCCAGGGTTTTTTCTAACAGGGCATAAGGGACTAATGCTTTTCCCCAACCTTCCTACACAGTGCCAATCCCAGCATACCCGAATCTGCAGATCAGACATGATAACCCGCTGCTCCAGCTCCTCTACCCATTGAAGCACTGCTAGGTCTGTCTCGTATGTCTTCTCTTTGGGGGACCAGCTCATAATCCCTTCTTGAAAGGCAGGTAGTTGCCTGGGCTCAAAGATGGGGTCTGAGAAGAGAGGTGGCAGAGGGAGAGGCCCATCAGGCTGTTGTCCCTAGCAGCAGCTCAATGCTTATCCTGGGCTCTTCAGCTCAAGCTGGGTGTAGGAATGTATTTACCAGCTGAGGGCCGCAGGCAGACTTCCTGCAAGAAGTCCCTGTGCTTGTTAAGGTGTTTGTGAAGTGCCTTCTCCCGGATACCTCGGGGGTGTAGGGCCTTGAGCATGGCATCCAACATCTCAGGATCTCGTATCCACCACCAGCCTGAGCACATCTCTGTGAGCAGATGAGATATATGTGGGGCGCCAGCTGTGAAGCACTGCCCACACCGGATGCCCTCACTCCAAGGTCACTCACCAGGTGGGACAGGCTGGGCTGTCAGCTGGGTTAGGTAACGCTGTTCCATCTGTTTGAAGAACTTACTGGGAGGTCTCCCTCTCCGTTTGGGCTGTCCCAGCCCTGTGGGACTCTGTGGCATTTCTCCAGGGTCTCCTGCTCGCCTCTTAGGGGCCAACCCAGCCAAGGGCGTGGAAGAGAACTGCACTGGAGAACAAGGGTTGGCAGCACTAGGTCTATTCATCTGTGAATAAAATGAGACATAAGGAAATGAGGATGTTTTCATGTTTATAGGTTCCCTCAACTTCAGGCAGCAGCTCCACACCCAGGCAATGGTGCCTGTGGCAAGATGAAATCAAGTGCATACTACTAATTCTGGCTACTTACTGGCTTGGAGGAGGCAAGCTGCTGAGGGGAGGGAGTGGGTTGGTCCTCAGAAACTGCAGGGGGCGGTGTGGGGGCAGCATTGCAGGGCATCTGGGCTGAGATGTTAAACCAGAGTGCTTGAGGATCAGGGCTGGATTCTGCCTCATCAGGCTCTGGCTCCTCCGGGGGTTGTGATGGAGCTGGGTCTAGTTTTCCCGGACTGCTATCAGGTGTGAGGACTGAGCTGCTCAACAGGGAGCTATGGCTCTGAGTCTGGCTCAGCCAAGACAGGAAGGCTGACTGGCTGAGGTCATGCTGGCTCTGACCCAGTGACAAAGGGGAGCCTTCTTGCTCCAGGAACCCCTTATGGGACTGAAGCTGAAGCTGAAGCTGAGGCTGGGGCTGGGCAGGAGCATGAAGCTGAGCCTCAGGCTGAAGCTGGGCCTGGGGCTGTTCTGAATCCTGACCCCTGACAGGGGACTTAAGATGCCTAGGTTGCATAGACCCGGGCTTAGTTTTTCGAGGTCGGCCTCGGGCCCGGGCAGGAGAACTGGCAGTGGTGTTGGAGCCAGCTAACTCCATCTTCATAGAGAAGAGGGCAGGGTTGAGTGACGCATGGGCTGCCACTTTTAAGGAGTCAGTTTCCTTCTTTATCACCTCCTCAGGAACTGTAAAGAGAAGTAAAGAGTTAAGCCATATGCTGACATACAAGGGAAAAGTAAGAGGGTATATAAACTTAGGACCTATACTTTCTTTTTCTCTTGGACTTAGTCCCCCTTTTTTGAGATTCCACTGGGAAGAGCTTATATGCCAATGAACACAGTATCTGGGGAAGAAACACTATTCTCCCAAGTAATCAGCAGCAGCAGCACAATCATAAGCTAACATTTATTGCGAAACAACTACGGGTTAAGTATTATTCTAAGAGACTTAACTCATTTTAATCCTCTCAGTAGCCTTATGAAGTACATACACTATTATTATCTCAACTTCACAAATGAAGAAACAGAATCATACAGCTGGAAATGGCAGAGCAGGTGGGTAGGCAGCTTTACTCTAAAATCTGTGCTCTTAACCATTACGCTATATTATCAGAAAATGAAAGAAGCCCAAGACTACTAAGGAAAAGGAATTATTTAATTCTTGTTTGATAGGACTCAGAATCCACACTCCCACAGGCACACCTACCTAAGTTCCCCTCTGTTCCTTCTACAAAGATACCAGCCAAATACGGCAATACCCAGTAGCGACGTCTGTAGCGGTCCTGACCCAGGGAGACCGCCCGAAGCATCTGGGATGAGTGAAGCAGCTTTTTGCGAAAGAAAAGCTGACGCTGGGTAGACAATGAAAATGAAGATGAATAAACACATTTCCAGAGTGACAGTGGTGAATTCATCCAGTATATCAGAGAAAGGCAATGGCTCTCAGTCCCTCTATAAAAGTGATGCCATCTGGGCCTAATTCAGAAGGTGATTAAGTTTGGGAGCGGTGGCTCACGCCTGTAATCCCAGCACTTTGGGAGGCCAAGGCAGGTGGATTGCTAGAGCCCAGGAGTTCAGAACCAGCCTTGGTAACATATGGAAACTGTCTCTACAAAAACACAAAAATTAGCCAGGCATGGTGGCTCCTGCCTGTAGTCCCAGCTACTTGGGAGAATCACCTAAGCCCAGGAGGCTGAGGCTGCAGTGAGCCATGATCGTGCCACTGCACTCCAGCCTGGGTAACAGAAACCCCATCTCAAAAGAATAAAAATTAAAATTCAGTTTAAAAAAGAAGCTGATCAATTCTTGCCCAGCCCATATCTCCAACTCTTGGGAGGTTAGAAGCACAATACCTTGCTGAGTTTTTCTATCTGGCGCTCTAGCTCTGGGATGCTAGATGCTGTGGCATCAACCTAGGGAGAAACACATGGGCATTATGAAAAAGGAGGTTATCAGATTCAAGAAAGAGGAATTTATTTTCTAACTCCCACTTTCCTTGATCTTGGGCCAGTACCTCTCCATCTCTTCGACCCCTGCGGCCAGGGACAGCTGCTATAGACTCCTCTTCTTCCTCTTCTTCCATGCCACTGGTCTCCTCCATGATCCGAGAACTGCGCCTCCGTCCCAGGCATTCCTCTGGCCCTTCCATCTCTACTTCAGACCGCCCAGTTCGCTTGGCCAGAACAGTTTTCAGCCTTGAAATAGATGGAGAAAGATTAAGGGAAGGCCAAGTGTGGTGGCTCACACCTGTAATTCCAGCACTTTGGGAGGCCAAGACAGGCGGATCACCTGAGGTCAGGAGTTCGAGACCAGCCTGGCCAACATGGTGAAACCCTGTCTCTACTAAAAATACAAAAATCAGCCAGGTGTGGTGGCATGGGCCTGTAATCCCAGCTACTTGGGAGGCTGAGGCAGAAGAATCGCTTGAACCTGGGAGGCGGAGGTGGCAGTGAGCCAAGATTGCGCTATCGCATTCCAGCCTAGGCGACAGAGGAAGACTCCATCTCAAAAAAAAAAAATTACGGGAAACTGGTGAGGAACATGATAGTGCCACAAAAGAAATACCTTGACTCTAAACCATCCTGGGCCCTGGTAAGGTCCCAAACCCAGGGAAGGGGCTAAAGCATCACATTTCAAGCCAAAACCCTGGCTATGCTTCACCCGCCCCACTTCTCTCCTCTCTGAGGCTCTACTCTCTGTCTGGTCCCTACCTCCGGAGCCGGCCTTCAACAATCCACTTGTTTTTCCTGTAGCTGGACATACTCTCCAGAGTCTTGTCAATCTCACTGCAGGGGAATAGGGAATAGGATGAAGTGGCAGCACAAAAAAAGGGAAAGGAGGCTCAAGGGTAAAGGGGCTGCAGCTGAAAAAGGAGTTCCAGCCTAGAACCCAGATTGGGTGAATGGCAGAAGGCTTAGGCTCTCCCAGGGAGGGCACTGCAATTCAGTCCCAAGTCATTCCAGCATCTTCAGAACATGGCAGTGAACACACATTTCTGAGGACTTCTGGAAGGCTACAAGTCCTCCACCCCATTCTGATGCAAGGGATACAATGACCATCCCCACTCCCAGCCTCTCACTTGATGATGAGGGTGGAGCCATTGAGCTCATGCACAAGGAAGGCCAGGACAGCAGCCTTCTGCTGGGGTGGCTGGGCCTGAAAAGGCTGGGTGCGCAGGCGGTCACAGAGGGCTGGCTCTACTCCATATGCCATAAGGAAGCAGCGCAGGATCTCTGACACATTGTCTCTTGTCAGTGGGATCTCAGACACCTTCTCCCCCAAGATCTTTAGGGACTGTGTGGAGGACAGCATAATGGGGGTGAGTAGGGAAAGATGCACAACCAAGTTGGGTGAATGTGCAAGAGGAAAATACATCAGAAGAGAACTATGGGGGTTAAGACAGAATACGAAAGAAGACCACAAAAGAAAAGGAAAAAATAAAGAAAAATAAAATAAGGAGAGGAGTCAGGAAGAAAAAGAAATGGAAAAATATAAGGAAAAGAGAAACACTAAGTAGTTACATCTCCTTTACTTGTCCTGGTTACTTTGGGAGGGACTTGCACTCACCTGACAGTAGGAGGGAAAGCCAGGATCATGGAGTGCAGCCTTCAGCAGCCTGACCAGCAGGTCTTGCACCTCACCCAAGCTGTCACCTTGACACAGGAGTCCCTCCTGCAGGACCCCCAGGCTAGGCACATCTTTGGCAGGATCAAAGCCCAGCACCTTGCCAAAGCTATGCAGGAACTCCACAATGGTCAAGCAGTCTGAGAAGGCTCCACTGGGCAATGTCAGACCAGGGACTCGTGAGAAGTCAGGCAGGGGCTAGAGAGAGAAAAGTGAGTAGAGAGTTCTGTTAAACATAACAGAAGATGACAATTTGCATGTCTACAAGAGGTTCTTCCTTTAATTTTTATGTAATTTTTTTTTTTTTTTTGAGATAGGGTCTCACTCTGTCACCCAAGCTGGAGTGCAGTGGCATGATCTCTGCTTACTGCAGCCTCGACCTCCTAAGCCCAAGCAATTCTCCCACCTCAGTCTCTCAAATAGCTGGGACTACAGGTACATGCCACCACACCCAGCTAATTTTCGTATTTTTTGTAGAGATGAGGTCTCGCCATGTTGCCCAGGCTGGTCTTGAACTGCTGGGCTCAAGCGATCTGCCCGCCTCGGCCTCCCAAAGTGCTGGGATTACAGTGTGAGCCATGGCACCCGGCCTTCCTTTAATCTTTAATGGAAATGTCTCTCCCATTGCAGAAGTCCTTTTTTTTTTTTTAAAGGAAAGTCTTCCCAGCTGACCCAGGAACTGTTACTCTCTCCTCACTACCTGGTGGTCAGTCAGACACATATCCTCTGTCGGCTTCTTCATTTCCTCCAAGATCATCTGCTGCCTCTGCCGTTCCTCCAAGCGCCTCTGTGTGGCCAGGGTCTTATCTGCTTTACAGGCTGGCTTGGCTTTGGTCACCTCCTCCTTTTCCTTCATTTTTACCTTCTCCTTCTTTTCCCTCTTGACTTTTTCCTTCAGTTTTTCCTGCTTTGTCTTTCCTTTTTCTTTCTCAGCCTACCCAAGGAAGAGAGGAACCAAGACTGCCATAAAGATATCAGTCACTATCCTTCCCTGGTCCCAGTCCTCCCAACCTCACAGCCCAGAAATCTCACTATAAAACAAGACTGATGTACATGTCCTGCAAAATCAGTTTAGTGGCTTCGAAATTATACTTGGCAAGTTTGTACATGCACCTACCTTGGATTTCTTCTTAGCTTCCTTCTGCTTTAAGCTCTTGGTCTCTTGTTTCCGCTTATTTCTGGCCTGTAAACCATAAGGGAAGTCATTTCTCCTCAAACTCTGAAAGCATCTCTGCTTGGGCTAGGATTCAAAAACAGACAAGGGTGCTGGGGAGGAGAGGTGAGAGATGGAATGAGGGGTTGGCAATGGATTAATTCTCTCACCCTAGAGATGCCCACGTTATTTTTGAACAAACCCAATTCTCTAAATCAAGTGCAAGAAATTTCAGGGTAATGAAGATATGCTGCTACACAGGGAGTGACGGATGTGGGAAATGAAAATAAAAGATGAAGTAAGTTGTAGGAAAAATTAACCTACTGTTTCATCTCTCTGATGTCCCTCACCTGCCCTTGGATAGTAGTCTGACACTCTCCCCGTTGAACCTTCTGCCTCATCTTCTTCTTGCTTTTAGCAATCTTTGCTTTATCCTCCTCATTCAATGTTTCTGTGAGAGCAGAAAGAAAAATGAAACAAGTGAGGCAGGAAGGCAGTTCTCTAGCATCCAGGGCAACACATGCCCGTCTCAAAGCTGGCCTCCCAAGCAGCTCCCTGAAGAATCTAGAGTAGCTTTTTTTTTTTTTAAGTATACATAATAAAACATTGGGGGAAAAAATGTAGGAGAGGCACCTGCTATGGGGGTGGCACAAAGAACTCAAATGACATCTCCTGCCCAGAAGCACCAGCCCCTGGCTCCAATCAGACTGCTTTAGAAGGTGTCCTGCTGATAGAAAAGAGGCCACAATGGCAGAGTAGCCTTGGAGCCAATCTCTCTCCCAGGATACCTGACAAGAGCAGAAACCCACGGACTGATTTTAGAGCAGAAAGCAGAGAAAGGATACAGCAAGCCAAACTGCCAGGGAAAGAGGGTAGTAGTTAGAAGCACTGATTAACCAAGGGTGTGCCAGAAAAAAGGCCCACACAGTGGACACCTCAAAAGAATCACTGACATAGTTATTGATCATGCTCAGCTCCATGTCTTGCTTCACTAAAAGTTCTGAATTTCTTCCTTTCGGGAAGACTTGTGGAAGTATAATTCTGCAAACAAGAGTATTTCATAATTGATGTTTCTGACATGACTATATATACATATATATATTTTTTGACACGGAGTCTCACTCTGTCGCCCAGGCTGAAGTGCAATGGCACAATCTCGGCTCACTGCAATCTCCACCTCCCAGGTTCAAGCGATTCTCCTGCCTCAGCCACCCCAGTAGCTGGGACTACAGGCGCGTGCCACCACGCCCAGTTAATTTTTAGTATTTTTAGTACAAGCGGAGTTTCACCGTTTTAGCCATGACGGTCTTGATTGCCTGACCTCATGATCCGCTGGTCTCAGCCTCTCAAAGAGCTGGGATTACAGCCGTGAGCCACCGTGCCTGGCCCTGACATGACAATATTTATTATTTTGTTTCTGGTATAGAAACGCCACCACATGTCTACGTGACAACCCTCTAAGACAGATATTATGGGCAGATGAACTACCTAAGGCTTTGATTAAAATATGAGACTTAGCTGGGTGCAGTGGCTCACACCTGTAATCCCAGCACTTTGGGAGGCTGAAGCAGGCGGATCACCTGAGGTCAGGAGTTCGAGACCAGCCTGACCAACATGGAGAAACCCCATCTCTACTAAAAATACAAAATTAGCTGGGCGTGGTGGCATATGCCTGTAATCCCAGCTACTCTGGAGGCTGAGGCAGGAGAATCGCTTAAACCTGGGAGGTTGCGGTGAGCCAAGATCGCGCCATTGCACTCCAGCCTGGGCAACAAGAGCAAAACTCCATCTGGAAAAAAAAAAAAAAAGGGCCAGGCGTGGGGGCTACACCTGTAATCCCAGCACTTTGAGAGGTCGAGGTGGGCGGATCACGAGGTCAGGAGATCGAGACCATCCTGGCTAACATGGTGAAACCCCGTCTCTACTAAAAATACAAAAAATTAGCCAGGTGTGGTGGCGTGCACCTGTAGTCCCAGCTACTCGGGAGGCCGAGGCAGGAGAATGGGGTGAATCCAGGAGGCAGAGCTTGTAGTGAGCCAAGATCGTGCCACTGCACTCCATCCTGGGTGACAGAGTAAGACTCTGTCTCAAAAAAAAAAAAACAAAATGAGACTTGTTCTAGGTCATTTGGTTGAAACATGACACGGCTAGATGTCTGAGTGAAAATCAAAAGACTAAGTTTTTTCACATTCTTCACACTACACCAGGGTAAACACACTATTTACTGAAAAATGTAGGTATTTCTCACCTGTCCATCCACTAAAACAGTGCCTATTATTATTATTATATTATTATTATTATTTTGAGATGGAGTTTCACTCTTGTTGCCCAGGCTGGAGTGCAATGGTGTGATCTCAGCTCACTGCAACCTCTGCCTCCTGGGTTCAAGCCATTCTCCTGCCTCAGCCTCCCGAGTAGCTGGGATTACAGGCATGCGCCACCATGCCTGGCTAATTTTGTATTTATAGTAGAGACAGGGTTTCTTCATGTTGGTCAGGCTGGTCTTGAACTCCCGACCTCAGGTGATCTGCCCTCCTCAGTCTCCCAAAGTGGTGGGATTACAGGCGTGAGCCACCGTGCCTGGCTTTTTTTTTTTTTTTTTTTTTTTTTGAGACAGAGTCTAGCTCTATCACCAAGCTGGAGTGCAGTGGCGCAATCTCAGCTTACTGAAACCTCCACCTCCCAGGTTCAAGCTATTCTCCTGCCTCAGCCTCCCAAGTAGGTGGGACTACAGGCACACACCACCACGCCCAGCTAATTTTTTGTTTTGTATTTTTAGTAGAGACGGGGTTTTACCATGTTCGCCAGGATGGTCTCAATCTCTTGACCTCACGATCCGCCCGCCTTGGCCTTCCGAAGTGCTGGGATTACAGGTGTGAGACACTGTGCCCGGCCTATTATTTTTTTTAGAAACAGGGCCTTGCTCTGTTGCCCAGGTTGGAATGCAATAACACAACTGAAGTTTACTGTAGCCTCCAAACTCCTGGGCTCAAGTGATCCTCTGCTGCCTGCCTCAGCCTCCTGGGTAACTGGGATTATTAAGCACACACCACCATGCCTGGCTCCCAATTATCTTTTGAATTCAGATGTGAATTCTGAACCTCCATGATAGTAGAAATGGGTAAGGTAAAAGGGTACAACTGAACCAGTATATGATAAGGAGCTAAAAGATGGAAAGAAAGGGCAAGAAAGTCCTCTCCTCTGGGCTAAACACACCTGGGGGCAGCCCAAGGTTTCACTGGTAACAGCAACTCAAGAAAGACCATGGCTGGAAAAGTAGTATTCCCAAGCGCTGGGACTAGGATGCTGGATTCCAAGGAGAAGCTGATTCAGATTCATTCTTCCCAGATAATGTTAGTTACACTCCTGGGAAATCCAGGTATTAGCAATTCATCAACATTTTAGATACCTCATGGAGGGAGCAGAATCCCAAAGTAAGAAATACCACTGTACCTTGGGCCTCCAGTTTCTTTAGGGGGCGGTTGTCTGTCTTGTTCAATAGCTCAGTGATTTTGACCTTAGGTGGCCGACCTCGACCCCGTTTCACCTTGGGGACTTCCTTAGTCTTAGCCTTCTCAGTGTTTCGAGGTCGACCCCGTTTGCCAGTAATTGCCTGAATCCTCGACGGGATCTCCTCTGCTGAGAGCTGCACCCACTGCAAGCCCTAAGGTAGCAAGGGAGACTGTTACAGTAGTAAGGAATCAGTGCAGGCCACGAGGCCCTCGGAACCATTCAATGCCCCAGAACCTTCAAACCCCACGAGAGGAAGCTGCAGCTTGTCCACCAACTCTTCCTCAGGGACAAAAGCATATTTAACCCTTGGGTCTGCACCTCTGGCGTGTCTCTTTCTTCAAAGAAATCTCCAACAGGCATACGGGGACTGAAGCTGAAGTGCTCTCGGCGGACACTGTGTACCACGTTGCGGCTCAGGTACTAAGAGGAAGAAGTAAAGTAACATTAATAAAGTTGGATCCTACCATGTCTTTGGCCAGCAAAGGCATAAGCAGAACAGGCCCAGAGCAGACAATGCCAGCCTGTTGTCACTGAGCCCAAGAACGGAGTCTTGGGCAGTGGAAAGGAGTCCACTGAGCCCAAGAAAGCAGTCCTTTAAAAAAAGCTACATTACCTTGATCACTTCTGGAAATTGCTTCATCCTCTTCCCACAGGGGCCATAATACCAGGTCTCCCCCTGCCATCGGTGGCTGCCCTTCTTGATGCGCACCTCTCTCCGCCACCTGCCAGAGAAGCACATGGGCCCTGCCGCCAGGTCACACCCCTACCCACTCCCATGCCACCTAAGCGCGAAGCCCTCTGAGCAGATGGCCCTCCCCACATTTGTATCTCTAGAACTGCATGCAGATGCAAAAGCACCAAGAGAGATAAGCTTGGCTAGAAGGCTGACTTGAGCTCCAGCAAATACATCAAGGCCCTTAGGAGAAAAGCACTACACCAAACTGCACAAGCTCAGAGAGATCTCCATCCCTCCTTTACAAAATCAGTGAGATAAGCTGCCAGAAACCCCTCCCTGAGCCATTCAGGGCAGTTACTGGATTTCCAGTAAAGAGGATAAAGACCTAAGGGGAATAAAGACAGAAGACAAAGGGCAGGGAGGCAAGCAGAAAAATAAATTTGCTGCTGATTCCATGAAAAGACTCAATATGCCAGGGTTTAGTTAGGAACTCTGTGTTCTGAGCAGAACACAAAGTTAGTCAGAGTTAGTTCTAAGACTAACTCTAATCTTTCTCTCAAAATTTTAAGCAGTACTCAGACTTGGTGACCACAAGTAGCCTTGAGGGGCAGGGGTGGGGAAGATCCAGGAAGGCAGTTATTTCCACAAGGCCCTGGTGTCAGCTAGTTTGTTCATTTTGGTCATGTACTGTTCCTGCCCTTACCTCTCCTAAGAGCATTAAAACAACAAAACCACCTCAATTCATTAGTACTAAGTCACTCCTCATTCATTACTATCCCTTGTCCACAGAAATAGGACAAGCCAGCTGGTTTGGATGTGAGCCCTAGGGTTTGGAAAAGATAATAGCTGGAGCTCCTTGGGCAAAATTGAGTCACTACAAGATGAAAAAAGAATAGGTGATGGAAGACAGACCTTGAGAGAAGAAGGAAAACCTAGGAATCTCATGCCAAGAAACATTATCACTGCAGATAACTGTCCTGTAATCTACTCTTGTCTGGCCCATTCCTCCCCCACCTCAGAGGAAAAGAGGCATTCCCTTCTTTCTAGAGTTGTGCATTAAACTTGTCAAGGTCAATAAATGTAGCAAACTAGAGCATTTACCCATGTTGGAGGGGAAGACGAACTTCTTCTGGGGTAGCAATACGTCTCCTCATGACATCACCTTGGGAGGAAGGGATACCCAAGTTAAGAGTTCAAGCAAAATATTTAAACAATAGGCCAATAGGGAAAGGCTAACTACAACATGGGACAGAAAAGTTTCTTGGAACCAGACAGGGATAGAATAGAATCTGGATACTCACCACTACCAGAAGCAGTGAGTCCTTCTCCAGTGATCTCTTCCACGTCAGCAGTGGTTTCTAGAAAGCTGCTGACATCCTTATTTGCTGGGGAGGCTGTTGGAAAGGCAGCTGCTGGGGAA
Source organism: Homo sapiens (assembly GCF_000001405.40). Lineage (NCBI taxonomy): Eukaryota > Metazoa > Chordata > Mammalia > Primates > Hominidae > Homo > Homo sapiens. Next base: position 56,611,892 of record NC_000012.12, read on the forward strand.
GTTACGGGAGAGGCTTTTGGGGATGTCACTGAAGCCGTCAACGGGACTTCTAAGGAGACTGCTGGGAGGACTGCTGAGGAAGCTGGAGAGACCACTGAGAAGACTGCTGGAGAGACAACTGTAGAAGCTGCGGGACAAACTTCTGGAGAGATTTCTGGGGAGGCTGCTGGAGAAACCACTAGGGAGACTGCTGGGGAGGTTGTTGGCGAGACTGCTGGTGAGGTTGCTGGATGTAGCTGAATAGTGGATGACTGATCAGGAGCTGGCTGGGTCAGGGATGGTGGGAAGTCTGAAGATTGAGTTTCCATTTCTTCCTGTTCAGCGTCACTACCATTATTCAGGTCAAAGCTGTTATCTAGAATCCAAAGGGACAGGATAGGCTTTAAAAAAAAAAAAGGCATCACATAAAACAAGAGAATCTACTCAGTCAACCCTGGACCAAGCTAAACAGGGTTACTTCAAGGGGTCTTCCCTAGGGTTGGAAAAAGAAGTAGCTTTTTCTCCCAACCAATCATGAGGATTAAAGGGTAAAGTTGCTACAGATGTCATTGTGTGAAGAAATACCTTTTACCTGGTGCCAATAAAGCTTCTAGCCTCCTTCTCCCTACAAATTCCAAGTCTCACAAGTTCTTCAAAGCAGAGGGCACAGGTCGGAGTATAGCAGCCTATACCTCTTTTAGTTCCACCATACACTATCCCATAGCCCCTCAGCTCCCAGCAAGGTGCTCTTGCTTTCCTACTTTTTTTTTGAGATGGAGTCTTGCTCTGTTGCCCAGGTTGGAGTGCAACGACACAATCTCGGCTCACTGCAACCTCTGCCTCCTGGGGCCAAGCGATTCTCCTGCCTCAGCCTCCCAGGTAGCTGGGATTACAGGCATGTGCCAACACACCTGGCTAATTTTTGTATTTTTAGTAGAGGCGGGGTTTCACCATGTTGGCCAGGTGGTCTCAAACTCCTGATCTCAGGTGATCCACCCGCCTCGGCCTCCCGAAGTGCTGAGATTACAGGCGTGAGCCACTGCGCCCAGCCAGATTTCCCACTCTTAAGGCCCTAACTATGAAACTTATTCTCTCATCTTTTCTCAGGTAAAGGTCTTTCTTTGTCCTACCTACCGTCACTTACCTTGCAGGACAGACTCCCCTAGGACAGGTGGAGAGGTGGGACTGGCAAAGATAGAGGTTGATGTTTGACTATCATCTGCCAGGAGACTGAAGGCAGTAGCATTATTGAGGGAAGGGCAATCAAGGGCAGAAATCACAGGGCTGTCCTCAAGAGGCAGCTTGTCCTCTGCACCCATCAGCTCCGTGTCATCAATACCATATAGTCCTCCACTCACTGGCTCTGTTTACAAGGGTAGAAAAATCAGAGCAGGATAATGAGAAAAAAATCAGAAAGCAAGATTTAAGAAACACTGGTCAGAAAACATCCAATTCTAGTTCCCACAATGTGAAGATTCTTCCTAATATTAAGTTAGGTAACAAGTAAAGCCTTCTCCCTGAAAGAGTAGTCATGAGATTATAGGGATCATAAAAGTTTGAGGGGAGGCCGAGGCAGAAGAATTGCTTGAGGCCAGAGTTCAAGACCAGCCTGGACAACATAGCAAGACCTCATCTCTACAAGGTGAAAATGAAAGGAAAGGCATTGGTGGTATTATCTACCCAGAGACCTATGCAAAATTCTAGGATTTATCATAAAATATGTCTTTCTTGTACTTCAGTGGAGTAAAAGGTAACTGCTCACTGACAAATGTTTTCTTCCTAGTTTGTCAGAACCCAGAAAGATCAACTGTGTGATAATAAGTCCCTACCCAGTGAATTATTACAGCCCAGAGCTCTTGGCCAAAAGGAATACTGGGAAAGAACCTGGGACATGAACCAATTCAGCTCAGAATTCAGTTAGGGCACCAAGTCCTGTGGCATGTAACTGTGGTCTGCCTTAGGCCTACCTGGAAGCCCCAGTGCCCCTGATTGCCTAATACTTTTCCCATTTTACTGTCTCTTTCAGGTAAAGTTTGGCTACTCTGCATGGATAAGTTAAAGGGACATAGCCTCCAAACCTACCTGGTGCCAGAGAGTTGAAGGGCTCCAGAGAGTCTTCACTGAGGATTGGAGTGTCTTCCAGTTGATCAGGAAGATGTGAAGGATCATCTAAACAGCTCACTGTGGGGTCAGGGACCAGGACTGAGACCTCTTGGTGTAACGATTCCACAGAAGGGACAGAGCCATTGTAGCCACACATCTTCAGTTCTAGGAAATCACAGGAGAGACCAAAAGTCAAAATCAGTGCCTTATATTGGTTCACTTAGCTATACTAGGCAGTCAATCTTTGCTAGAAGGATGTTCATTCATTCAACATTTATTGCGGCCAGTTCATTGCTGGGAACCGATCACATCAAGATACTCTGAGCAGAGATGTGCTGGTAAAATCAATCCTACAGCAGGCAAAGAGAGGAAAAGAGAGTGGGGTCTGATACAACATCTCTATCATGTTCTCAGATATCTCCTCCATCCATTGGGAAACGAGAAAACATCCTGTAATTTTACAGAGTGGTGGTTACCCTTGTACCAGGAATCAACTGGAAGCTAAGCTTTTATCTATTTTGAGGGAAAAGATGAGAGGGGCTGTCACGTGTACTAATGCTAAACAACAAAAAAAAGGAAACTGAGTAGACAAATAATGATATGCTCTGCCTGCTTCCTTCCCTCCTTCGCATGCCAATCACTACATTGGGCTCAGACGACTTTAACAGCCAGTCTGATCCTGCCACAGTCAGTTAAAACAGCCTCAATGCCCGCTGCTAGACCCTAACCACTCCGTATATTTTGAAAGAAGCCTTTCTTGATGCAGGGTGTCTGTTGGGGCTGTTTCGGGCTCGCCCACCTGCCCTCTCCAGGCCAGAAGCTCTGCATGAGCTTGAAATAATTTGCACTCCCACTCGCGAGCTGGTGCTGCTGCCACAAAAACACCAGCCACTTGGCTCTGCTAATTGCTAATCACCAACATGCAAATCAGCCTCCACTGCAGAGAGCTGGAAAGACAAGTTTTTCTCACCTCAAAAAGCCACTATCCCCCCCGAGCTCCATTTTTCCTTTCCCCACCCAGTTCACCAACCCAGTTATACCTGGCTGCTCTTCTTCCAGCTCCAAGCTGCCTACCAAGCCAGTGCCATTCTCTGCCACAACTGAAGTCATCTCCTTTTCTGCTGCCTCATCAGGATGGATACCACTGCCTACCTCCTGGGAGGGTGCAAAGGTTTGAATGCTAGATCCCAACATAGGAGAAGTCTGTGGGGAGGTGAAAAAACTAGGGGGTCCATTGGGCATCACCTCAAAATTCTGGTCAGGAAAGGAATCATACAGTTCTTGTGAATCAAAGTTAAGCCCCATGGGACTCTGGGTACCGTTGGCCCAGAACTCTTGGCTCCCAGCCCGAAGGTTAGTGTTATGACTTGGGGATGAAGGTTGCCGGCTGCCCCCAAGGATGCCGTTGAGTGGGTATTGTCCCCCCGAGAACTGGGAGAGAAGGGGTGGGTCCTTGAGGTTGCTGCCAGGATTGGCAGATGGGTACTGTGAGTAGTTCCAGAGACAGTCGTAGGCCACGCTGGGGTGATGGAGGTGTGAGGTGCTGGAGGAGTGGGGAGCAGAGTTCAAAATCCCTGAAGTAGTAGTGTGAGATACAGTAGATAAGCCATTAACATTCACATCCCCATTCAAACCTGGCAGAGAAAGAAAGAAAAGGTCAGTTACAGATATGTAGGCAAGCAACTTTACCAAAACAAACTCAAAGTAATAGCACTGACTAGAAAAAGACATGGTAAAGGGAAGGGGGATTCCTCCCCTGCTATATTTAGTTTTTGGGTCTCTGGAGAACACCAAGCCCAGAGGCTCCTGGATGTAGGTTTAGCAACTGCTGCTGAGGCTGAGTAGGGGGCTAGAGAGCTCTCCAGGCCTACCATGAGAGCCACCAGCAGAGCTGGTTGCTGCTGCTTACTGCTGGCTTTTTTTTGGTTTATTTTTTGTTTGTTTGTTTTGAGACGGAATCTCGCTATGTCACCAGGCTGGAGTGCAGTGGTGCAATCTCGACCCACGGCAACCTCTGCCTCCCTGGTTCAAGTGATTCTCCTGCCTCAGCCTCCCGAGTAGCTGGGACCACAGGCGCCCATCACCACGCCCGGCTAATTTTTGTATTTTCAGTAGAGACGGGGTTTTACCGTGTTGGCCAGGATGGTCTCATCTCTTGACCTCGTGATCCACCTGCCTCGGCCTCCCAAAGTGCTGGGATTACAGGCGTGAGCCACCACGCCTGGCCTTTTTTTTTGTTTTTAATTAAATGAAACTGTTTGCAGACTCCCTACAGTGACTTGCATTCTGCCCTACTCTCATTCCCTAGGGGATTTCTTCCCTTGGAGGGGCATGACTGAATTCGCTAGGGGCCCCCTTTCCCCAGTGCCTATTTGGCCCCACAGTGGTACCAAAAGGAACAACCTCCACCTCACTGGCACATGCAGATCCAGCACTTTGTGCTGGGCTAAGAATAGAATTTGCAGTCACCACAGCGACAAGAACCCAGCTCAGAAGGCTGGGCTTGGCCCTTCCCTATAGGCATTGGAAGGTAATATGCCAGCTGGCGGGGTAGGGGGGGCACTTTGTGTGCTGTAGAATTCAGCTCTCATCATCAATGGCAACCTCTGGGATGGAGGACAATCAATCAAAAAGAACCAAGATATTAAGGAAGCTTGAGGGTAGGGTGGAATCCAATGAAATAAAGGAGCTTCTACCATCTGCAACCCTCTTCGAGAGGATCGGAGGGAGAAGTAGCAGGATTTTTCTGCTACAAGAAAGGAGGGAAGCATGTGGGCTTCTCTCTGCTTCCAAGTATAAAGGACTTGAAACCCAAGCAAGATTACAGAGGTACCTGGCGAGTCATGGTACAGAGCAACTGGTAAGCCAAATCCAGGAAAAGACCCAATCCTGGCAGCAACACCTCCATATGGAATTATGAACTTCTCTCTGGGGGAACTAGGTAAGCATTAAACTTTCCCTTGTCCCTACCTTCCATCCAAGGACAGAAGGTGGAATAAGTACTTCTAGCATCTGCCTTTCTCTGATGTACAAACTAAAAGGCAATAAATACACTGCAACCTTCATTCAACTCTCAGTCCTGGCCCAGTGTAGCTTCCCTAACCTCTAAAAACAGCTTCTTAGAAGGCTAGCACTTTATCTCTCTCATGGGTTATCAGCAGCAGTAGCCACTTCACTGCTCTGTCAGCAGCCAGGGGAACAGGGCTGACAGAAGAACAGGCTAAGATGAAAAAGCCAGTGGGTTTTTCTAATCTCTTCCAACCTTAAATCAATACAAAAAATGTTTCCAAAAAACCCTAGAACTTGTTCTTAGAAGTTGATTTCTCTCCAGCAGCAAAGTAGAGCAAAATATCCCCCCATGAATCTGCCCTAAAGGGATGATGCCCATTCCCTCCCCAGGCCAAGCAGCCCTCACACTCACTTTTCCCTTGCTGGGGGAAGTTCATGGGAGACCCGTTAGTGTAGAGGCCCTCCCCTGAGGAAGGAGAGGGTTTCAGTCCTGAGGCAGCAGGTGCAGGGGGAAGGCCAGTAAAGTTAAAATGGTCGTTTGCCTCCATTTCTGCAGGAGGGGAGAGAGAGGGAAAAAAAATACTGGCGGTTAAACAAGGTTATGTCACCTGGAATCTTCCAGGGGCAATGACCCCTCCCCTCCACCTACTTACCCTTCTCCTACCTAAGTACTGTGTGAGGGAAGGTACAGAATAAGAAAAGAGAAGGAGAAAATATGCCTCTAGCCTGAGCAATGAACCTATGAAAACAGTCTTTTAAAGCCAGCTTTGTAGATTAAAAAACAAAGCAAGTTAGCGAGAAAAACCAAGATACAAACCTGGAGGAGTCTTCCCTCTGTGTAAGCCCCACTCAGCCCAGGTTACCCTTCTATATTAGATATTAGCCTCTACTGTACCACTTAACATTCTCCATCCTTTTGTTTTTATCCCCAAGGTAAAGTCTCCCTCCCAGGCCCACAAAAGGTTCTCAAAGCCATCTTTTTGACAGAAAAGCATATTTGATAAACACTCTTTGTTTCATTATTAAACTTGAGCTAAACATAATTTCTAATTATCCTATCCATAGCCCTAGATATCTCAAGATAGTAGTTACATTAGTAAAGGGATTTGAAAAGGAGAATACATTTCAGGAAGGTGATCATAATGGCAAACCTCGAATCATCCAGCAATACTTCTACTCTTTATGCTCCCCAAGAACACAGGTCAGAAAAATGTCAGCAGTGGAAAATTGATTAAATATGAGGGTATCCCAAAAAATATTATTCTGTTATGTCTATTATGGTTATTTCCTAATGTTTTAGTTTTGTGGCTTAAATATAAAGAAACGGTCACAGGGAAAATAAAATAGCAAGATACTTATATTTGTAAAGTGCAATGGCTCATTGAGGTATGGCTAAAAAGTTTTTCACCCTTTCTGAATACTACTAAGAATGATAAGAAGCCCTTGATCAGAATGAATTTAACTTTGACAGAGGAAAGGAAAGAAAGCAAGCAGAAGCCAGAATTATTGGTAAACTCTAACATATCAATCGGATTCTTGTGACATCCTAGTGCATACCAACTTGATATGTGAGAAACATAATCTGTCTTGATACAGAAAAAGCAACTCCTTGAATTATGTTACTACATTTTAAAAAAGAGAAGAATTCAGGCCAGGTACGGTGGCTCACCTGAGGTCAGGAGTTCGAGACCAGCCTGACCAACATGGTAATACCCTGTCTCTACTAAAAATACAAAAATTAGCTGGGTGTGGTGGCAGGCACCTGTAATCCCAGCTACTCAGGAGGCTAAGGAAGGAGAATCGCTTGAACCCGCAAGGCAGAGGTTGCAGTGAGCTGAAATTGCGCCATTGCACTCCAGCCTGGGCGACAAGAGTGAAACTCCATCTCAAAAAAAAAAGAATGAATACACTGGTTAAGTACATATATGATGAGGCCTGGCATAGTGGTTCACACCTATAATCCCAATACTTTGGAAGCCAAAGCAGGAGGACTATTTGAGGCTAAGAGTTTAAGACCAAGCTGGATAACATGGCGAGAACCGATCTCTACAAAACATTTTAAAAGTAGCAGGGTGTGAAGGCCAGGCACGGTGGCTCACACCTGAAATCCCAGCACTTTGGGAGGCCGAGGCTGGCGGATCACCTGAGGTCAGGAGTTCAAGACCAGCCTGGCCAACATGGTGAAACCCTACCTCTACTAAAAAATACAAAAATTAGCTGGGCGTGGTGGCAGGCACCTGTAATCCCAGCTGCTCGGGAGGCTGAGGCAGGAGAATTGCTTGGACCTGGGAGACGGAGGTTGCAGTGAGCGGAGATCATGCCATTGCACTCCAGCCTGGGGGACAAGAGCGAGACTTCATCTCAAAAAAAAAAAAAGGAGCAGGGTGTGGTGGGGCACACCTGTGGTCCTAGCTTACTCGAGAGGCTAAGGCAGAAGGATCACTTGAGCCCAGGAGGTCGAGGCTGCAGTGAACCATGATCATGCCACTGCACTCCAGCCTAGGTGACAGAGCATGACCCTGTCTCAAAAAAAAAAAAAAAAAAGAAAAGAAAAGAATATATATGCCCACTGGCCAAAGTCTGCAAGAGTTACATTCATAAATATGCTACATTACTAAAATTAGACACCATTAGTATAAATGTGAATATAACATAAGTCTGAGCATGATATATAAACCCTGCATAGTATGTGGGAATTGTCTGTATCTTAATCAATTTTAACTGAAATTTTAAAAATAAAAATAGGCCAAGCATGGTGGCTCATGCCTGTAATCCTAGTGCTCCAGGAGGCTGAAGCAGGAAGATCACTTGAGGTCAGGAGATCAAGACCAGCTTGGGAAACATAGCAAGGCTCTGTCTCCACAAAAAATAAAAAAGTTAGCTGAGCATGGTGGTTCCTGCCTGTAGTCTCAGTTGCTCAGGAGGATGAGGCAGGAAGATTACTTGAGCCCAAAAGTGCAAGTCCAGCCTATGCACCATAGCAAGACCCCATCTCTAAAAACTAAAAGCAATGTGCATTTGTTGATTTAAGGGAAAAAGTTTTTAGGACTTACTTATCTCCCATATAGGATATCTCATCTTTAGTCTAAATAGGGGTGTCCAATCTTTTGGCTTCCCTGGACCACACTGGAAGAAGTGTCTTGGGCCACACATAAAATACACTAATGAGAGCTGATGAGCTTTAAAAAAAAAAAAAAAATCACAAGAAAATCTCCATGTTATCTTTTAAGAAAGTTTACAAATTGGTATTGGGCCAGATTCAAAGTTGTCCTGGGTGGGCTGGACAAGCTTGCTCTAAATTAAGTAGCAGACCTAAACCTGCCATGCATCAGTGAAAAAATGGAGTCTTTATAGTGAAAAGACCCCAGGTTAGCCAGGCATGATGGTGAGCAGCTGCAGTCCCAGCCACTTGGGAGGCTGAGGCAGGAGGATTGTTTGAGCCTGGGAAGCAGAGATTGCAGTGAGCCAAGATCATGCCACTGCATTCCAGCCTGGGTGACAGAGCGAAACCCTGTCTCAAAAAAACAAAACAAAACAAAACAAACAAACAAACAAAACACACAGGGTCCTCCAGGATTTCCTTTTTTTTTTTTTGAGACAGAGTTTCCCTCTTGTTGCCCATGCTGGGGTGCAAGGGTGTGATCTCGGCTCACTGCAACCTCCACCTCCCAGGTTCAAGCGATTCTCCTGCCTCAGCCTCCCCAGCAGCTGGGATTACAGGCACCCGCCAACACGCCCAGATAATTTTTTATCTTTTTAGTAGAGACGGGGTTACACCATGTTGGCCAGGCTGGTCTTGAATTCCTGACCTCAAGTGATCGACCCACCGCGGCCTCCCAATGTGCTGGGATTACAGCCATGAGCCACTGCGCCCAGTCAGGATTTCCCTAGTATAGTTAACAGCTACTCCTCAGCAGTAGGGGGTCTGAAAGATAAGCATCATGAGATTAATAATCCTTCTTAAGTGCAAGAATTAAAGGAAAGTTCATTCCTTAGTCTCCAGTTAGGTTCCTTCCAAAGCTTATACCACAGAGCAAGGAGGACACTCTTCACTTCAGAAGTCCTGGAAATACTATGCCTAGAGGGCCAATTTCATCTGATCCTCACCTCTCCTCTCCCCAGTTTTTTGTACACCTCCCCTGGTGTGGAGGATACATGCAACTTCCATCCTATGTGCAGTGGACTATATCCTCCTCAATGATGGGTCACGGTTCATTTTTCCATTCTCTATTTGAATCCAAGAACAAAGTTGTGACCTCCTCTCTGCTGCTCTGGAAAAGCACAGCATATCCTGTTTTTGTAAATATTAATAACAACATGTCGATGGCTCACAGAAATCAGAGAATTAAAAAGAATGGGAAGTTATTTAGTATGTGAGATCAGTTTCTCCACCTGTCTCTTCTGAACTGTCATCAGAACCACAACCACTTCATTTACGAGAAGCTTCCTAGACACATAAAATTGTCTTTGTGCTATGCAATGTGGTCAGCACAATGTAGTGGGCTCTAGGTTCAAATCCCAACTCTACTATTTACTAGCTAGCTGTTTAACCTTGGACAAGTTACTTATACTTGCTGGGCCTAAGTTTCATCATCTGTAACAATTTTTGTACCCACTTTTAAGGACTGGTGAGGATGAAATGAGAAAATCTAAATTAGAGCCCCAGCACAGTGTCTGTCATCCAGCAAGCACTCCATAAACGTTAGTTTTTTTTTTTTCTTCTTGAGACAGAGTCTCACTCTGTCATCCAGAGTGGTGTGCAGTGGCATGATCATAGCTCACTGCAGCCTGGAACTCCTGGGCTCCAGTAATCCTCCTGCCTCAGCTTCCCAAGTAGCTAGGACTACAGGTGCTCACCACCACACCTGGCTAATTTTTAAATTTTTTTGTAGACACAGGGTCTCGCTATGTTGCCCATGATGGTCTCAAATTCCTGGCCTCAAGCAATTCTCCCACCTTGACCTCCCAAAGTGCTGGGATTACAGGCGTGAGCCACCTTACCAGGACTACATTAGCTACTATTATTAGACAAACAGTAAAAGACTGTGTAGTTTTCAAAAAGATAATCAGGCCTGGCCAGGCGCAGTGGTTCACGCCTGTAATCCCAGCACTTTGGGAGGCCAAGGTGGGTGGATCACCTGAAGTCAAGAGTTCGAAACCAGCCTGGCCAACATGGCGAAACCCCATCTCTATTAAAATTACAAAAAATTAGCTGGGCGTGGTGGCGGGCACCTGTAATCCCAGCTACTCAGGAGGCTGAGGCAGGAGAATTGCTTGAATCCAGGAGATGGAGGTTGCAGTGAGCTGAGATCGCACCATTGCACTCTAGCCTGGGTGACAGAGCAACACTCTATCTCCAAAAAAAAAAGATAATCAGGTCTAAACGGTCTACATATAAAATAAATATAATTTAAAACTAGGGATGATCCAGCCAGACTTCCTTATATACAATTTGACTCCTGATTTCAGATGTCACTTAAATATGGGAATTAATTATGTCACAGTATGGGAATACGAAAAACATGTGAACACCTCCTCTCAACAATGAACCTAGGTTTATTTCATTTTAACCTTCCTACTCAAGATGCTTTTCACAATAAACCCTAAAGGTAAACTCTGTCCTCCCATCCAGAGCTAGTAAGAACAGTAAAGCAAAGGAGAGCATCTCCCTTTGAACTAATAGGATTTTCACCAAATGAGAAAAGAAATCAGCCAGTGCCCAACCCCTAGAGTAGCAGATGACTCTCATACCAGGAAGTACATTCATTCAAGCACCCAGCCCAGTCCCAGCTATACATAAATGGATCTTTTAAGAGCTCCTATGTTTCATTTATAAGAGTAAGGGACATTGCCCTATAAGCTTGAAGCAATAAAGCCCTCCCCACAGGGCCGAATAGGTTGCTTTTCTCCCAGTTCCAATCAAAGAGCTGCTACTCTGTGGGCCTGTGACATGGTTTAATAGAAAAAGGCTGACAACACCAAGAGCAGTGGCTCGTGTAATCCCAGCACTTTGGGAGGCCGAGGTGAGCGGATCACGAGGTCAAGAGATCGAGACCATCCTGGCTAACACGGTGAAACCCTGTCTCTACTAAAAATAGAAAAAATTAGCCAGGCGTGGTGGCGGGCACCTGTAGTCCTACCTACTCGGGAGGCTGAGGCAGGAGAATGGCGTGAACCCGGGAGGTGGAGGTTGCAGTGAGCCGAGATCGCGTCACTGCACTCCAGTCTGGGCGACAGAGCGAGACTCCATCTCAAAAAAAAAAAAGAAAAAGGCTGACAATGCACAAAGTGTTGAAATAAATATTATATATTGCAACACTGTTACAGGTGTCCTCCCTGACCAATTCTAACCCTCCAGCCTCTGAGGCTACCCCCCAGGACAACAAGACACATTAACACCCTCCAGCTGGATACTGCAGTGGTCCCTGCAGCTCTTGGGTTCATTCTTCTCATGTAGTACATCAAAATCTCACAAATGGGGTTGGGGGGTGAGAGAGATTTCAAATGTTTATCTTGACTAAACAGCAAAGGCAAATTCTAGAGTAAAAATCACACCACTACATTTTAGCTTTGTAATTGTGAACATCATGAAGGATATTTCTTAACTCTACACATCTCTGGATTACCCACCACACTCTAATACAGAGGTTCTCATCAGGGGCAATTCTGCCCCGTAGGGGACATTTAGTAATCTCTGAAGGTATGTGCTACTGGCATCTAGTAAGCAGAAGCCAAAGATGCTGCTAGGCGTCCTTCAACAAACAGGACAGCGCCCCCCACAACGAAGATATTATCTGGCCCACGTTATCAATAGTGCCAAGGCTGAGAAACCCTGTTCTAATGTAAAAGCTGTCCCATTCCTGCCCCACACCTTGGGAAAGTTCCAAGTTTTCACTGTTCCCAGTTCCTGACACTGCAAATGAGGACGCTTTGGCTTTTGTATCTAAAAACCTCATCTCCCTGGCTAAGCCATGTTCCTCCACCAATAAGAGTTCCATGTAGGCTGGGAGAGGTGGCTCATGCCTATAACCTCAGCAGGATCACTTGAGGCCAGGAATTCAAGACTGGCCTGCGCAACACAGTGAGACCCTATCTCTACACTAAAAAAAAAAAAAAAATTCCAAGTACCAAGCCACAGAATAAATATGCCCTCTTCTCCAATCACGATAACCCATTCTGAGTGCCCTAGTAACAAGCTTCCCTTGAACTCTGACTCGGACAAACTATATCATATACTGACTGAGGCTCAAAATATCCATCCTCTCCTTAACTACCTTCCCTAGTCAGGACTCCAAGTGAGGCAGAACAAAGATAATGAAAGAAGGAAGATTATACTAAGAGGGGGCTACTCAAAGAAAACTGTCACGTCCAGGCTGTTCAGAAGAATTCAAAGATGACTGTTCTCTGTCCTTATTTCTTCTACATTATGTCGGTTCCACAGCATCAGTTGGATATAAGTTCCACCATTATATCCCTAGCACCTAATTTAGTGCTAAGTATACAAAAGAACCAAAGGAAATATTTGTTGAGTCCATGGACTGAAGAAATGAATGAGTAAATCTACCTTTTCTGCCACTACCAGCTTACTTATCCAATGAAGGTCATGGGCTTTGCTCTTACTATTTTCAGAGAACAAAAAAAAAAAAAAAAAACTCAGCTTCATTCTTCACAGAGATAAAAATTTCAAGAGAGAAGAAAGGCCTCAAATCTTGACGTACTTAAATAGCCATTCCTTGAAGAAAATAAGGCCTGAAAATAGGGAAGTACTGATAATGTAAAAAGCCAATAAATTAGCTAGGCATGGTGGCATATGCCTGTAGTGCCAGGTTCTCCGGAGGCTGAGGTGGGAGGATTATTTGAGTCCAGGACCTGGAGGCTGCAGTGGGCTATGATCACACCACCGTTTTCAACCAAATAAAAAAATAAATAAACGTAAGCTCTGAATTAATAAAACATTCTACTTGGTTTAACTGAACACTTGAGGCATATAATAGGTTTTTATATATTTGTTAATTAAAGAAACTACAGGTTAAGTTTTCTGCCACATTTCCAGTCACTTTACTCTCAGAAGACCAGGAATGCCTCTGAAATTGCAGGACACTAAAAGCCACAGTCCAGAGGTTATATTAAGGTAATTTCCCTCTTTCAGCTCTGATTGTTTCTTAGAATTTCTTTTTTTTTTTTTTTTTTTTTGAGACAGTGTGGCTCTGTTGCCCAGGCTGGGGTGCAGTGGCACGATCTCTGCTCACTGCAACCTCCATCTCCCCGGTTCAAGCAATTCTCCTGCCTCAGCCTCCCAAGTAGCTGGGATTACAGGCGCCCACCATCACACCCGGCTAATTTTCATATTTTTAGTAGAGACAGGGTTTCACCATGTTGGTCAGGCTGGTCTTGAACTCCTGACTTCAGGTGATCCGCACGCCTCAGCCTCCCAAAGTGCTGCGACTGCAGGCTGAGCCACCGTGCCCAGCCAGAATTTAAACTCTAACAGTTAAGGACTCCACCCTTTCCACCCCCAAATATGAGCTAAGCAGGCAGGTTAAGGACCCCATTCATGAGGCAGGTTACAGAGTCCAACCTCAAAAGACTAAAAGTAGGAAGACCATCTATCTTTTAAAAACTTCTTGGCTCACGCCTGTAATCCCAGCACTTTGGGAGGCCGAGACGGGCGGATCATGAGGTCAGGAGATCGAGACCATCCTGGCTAACACGGTGAAACCCCGTCTCTACTAAAAATACAAAAATTAGCCGGGCATGGTGGCGCGCGCCTGTAGTCCCAGCTACACGGGAGGCTGAGGCAGGAGAATGGCGTGAACCCGGGAGGCGGAGCTTGCAGTGAGTCGAGATCGCGCCACTGCACTCCAGCCTGGGCGACACAGCGAAACTCCGTCTCAAAAAAAAAAAAAAAAAAAAAACAACAACAAAAAACTTCTTCCTTTCTTTGGTAAATTTTTGGCAAGATTACAGTATTTTAGTCTGCAAAATGCCCCCATAATAACTGTTCTCTTTAAAGAGGAGAAAAGACAAAACACTAAGCCAATGCTACTTTTACTGCTAGTGACAGTATCTTCAAAGTATCAGATATCTTCAAAGATGGGCTTTTTTGTTTTGCACAATTTTTTAAATTTCCAAATTAGGCAGACTGATAATAACAAGCTGGTGAAAAATAGTCCTACTGACCCACATGAGATAATACTGAGAAACTATTCATCTTGGGCTATATATAAGGCATATGAGGACACCAACATCCTAAGAAACAAACCAAGAAGGTTATTTACCCCAGGAATTATCTCAAATTTTATACTTGGCATTATTGCTGCTCTTGATACATCTTACACAAGGTCAAACATCATTATCAATGACTAACTTCTATACTGTTTCAGCAGTAAAAATAGCAGTTTGGTGCTTGACCTCTTCAGTGGTGACAAGAAAGGTCAACAGCAGGAAGACACTGTCAGTAACCCTAACAAGCTTTGCTTCTCTCCCAGTAATACTTGATTCCAGAGCCGCAAGACTACAAGATGAACCCTTCATTCTAGACTGGCTCTGGGGTCAGCCCATACAGCTCTCTTTACACCTCAGATTTTTTCTTTCATCGAGAAGCTTGAAATATTAAGAAATATATTTCTCTGACAGAAAAATGCACCCATTTTATAAGAAGGCCATGAAAGGTTTGCTTCATTCAGCTCCCAATTCAATCATGTATCAAATGAAATCACTATTTTCTCAAAATCAGCTTTTCTTTTAAAAGTCCAAAGACTCAAGAGTAGTTATCTCTCCTTTCTTTACTCTTTTAACCCCCAACAGGGAAAATCAACTTGCTGTTCTGTCAAGTGCCAATTCAGGTAAGCAAAGGCTGAAGAAAGGGGAACTTAAAATCAGCATCAAATCAACCCCATCAGACAGCAACTTAAAGGAACTAATCAGGGGCAAGAAAAAGGATGCTGACATCAGATGGACTTGTTTTTACTGTTTCCAGAATATCAAAAACCCCAACAGCCCCAGTGAGAAGAGCAATGATGCTGCTATCTTACTAGTGATGATGCCACTTTCACACAATCATAAGTGTCTATCTGCTCCCATACTGGATCTTTAATCTAGGGATCTTCATCTAGGTGGGAGGGGTTTTTGCCTGGAAAATAAATAGTGAAAAGATGATTTAAATGACAGGCTTACGTAGTTTTCAGAATAGTCCAAATAATCTGAAAATGTTATCTTTCAAGGCTTGGCCCTGTGGCTTATGCCTGTAACCCCAGCACTTTGGGAGGCTCAATTCGAGTTCGAGACCAGCCTGACCAACATGGTGAAACCCCTTCTCTACTAAAAATACAAAAATTAGCCAGGCATGGTGGCGCATGCCTGTAATTCCAGCTACTGGAGGGCTGAGGCAGGAGGATCGCTTGAACCTGGGAGGCGAGGGTTGCAGTGAGTCCAGATGGTGCCACCGTACTCCAGCCTGGGCAACAGAGCGAGACTCCATCTCAAAAAAAAAAAAAAAGAAAAAGAAAAAAACAAAACTTTATCTTTCAAAATCTAAAATCCTGTGGTCCTGGGGTCATAGGCCGGGCATGGTGGCTCATGCCTGTAATCTCAGTACTTTGGGAGGCTAAGGCAGGCAGGTCACTTGAGCCCAGGAGTTCAAGACCAGCCTGTGCAAACTGGCAAAACCCCACCTCTACAAAAATTACAAAAAATTAGCTGGATGTGGTGGTGCGTGTCTGTGGTCCCAGCTACTCAGGGGGCTGAGGTGGGAGGATCACTTGAGCCAAAGAGGTCGGGGCTGCAGTGAGCTATGATGGCGCCACTGCACTCCAGCCTGGGCATCGGAGTGAGACCCTGTCTCAAAAAAAAAAAAAAAGAAAGAAAGAAAGAGAAAAGAAAAGAGAGAGAGAAGAGAAAAAAAAGAAAAGAAGAGAAGACCAGGCATGGTGGCTCACACCTGTAATCCCTGCACTTTGGGAGGCCGAGGTGGGTAGATCACCTGAGGTCAGGAATTCGAGACCAGCCTGGCCAACATGATGAAACGCCGTCTCTACTAAAAATAAAATAATTAGCTGGATGCGGTGGCGGGCTCCTGTAATCCCAGCTACTCGGGAGGCTGAGACAGGCAACTCGCTTGAACCCGGGAGGCAGAGGTTGCAGTGAGACAAGATCACACCACTCCAGCCTGGGCGACAAAAGCAAAACTCCGTCTCAAAAAAAAAAAAAAAAAAAAAAGACAGAAAGAAAAAAAAAGAAAAGAAAAAGAAAAGAAAGAAAAATAAAATTCTGTGGCCAACTGTTGCCCCTAACCAAATCCAGTGTGCCACAAAATGCCTGGGGACATAGCACACAGTCCATCACTATATGTTACAGGAGAAATATCCTGGGATTATCAAGTGAAAAGAAAGAAAAAAAAAATCTGGGCACGACTTTGCAGGGAACAGAGGAAAAGCTTACCAATCTCCAAGAAGAATAAGAGGGGAGACGTTCTTTTATGGATTAAAGAGTAAGTCATATGATAACAAACTGTACTATTCTAATTAGTTGATTCTGCAGAAGGTAGTATCTCCAGCACCCCTTAGTCAAATAACAAGCTTCCCACAGGGGCTGCCCTTAGGCTAGAATCACCACCAAGGACTGAGTTCACCAATCTCAGTCTGTTAATCAGTCCCTACCCCCGACACACAAATCCATCTAATAGTTAAATCTTCCTCACCCCTTCCTCTTCGTCCATTTCTTAGAATCTACCCTTCTTCACAAGCTCACTTGCTCAGGTGCTCTGCAATATAGAAACTGTCATAATAACTATACTAAAGTAGGACCCCAAGAAGCTACTCGTGCCACAAAAGCTCTCTAGTCTCCCTGACAGCTCTCTATGCTGAGGGAATTTGCATCACTTACATAGAGCGTACCCCGCTGGTAGATAACTGAGTTTGCTTCTCTATGACCTCTAGCTAAAGGGAAAACAAAACGAAACCAGACAGGAAGACAGAGATGTTCTGGAGAAGGGATTGGGATACGTGAGTCAACTGAAGTTGACTACTTCCAGTTGACAAGTTTACAAAAAAAAAAAAAGTCCAACGAAAGGTCTCTCGGGCCACATGGTTGGCAAGATCCAAGCTTGCCCAGAAGGCTTCAGAAAATGAAACCAAATCTGATTAAAATGGACATTTCAAAACAACAAGACACGCAGCAGCAAACGCACAGCTGCCATTTCCCGGCCACTTCCTGCGGGAGGCTGGGGGAGGGGCTGTTTGTGTACAGATAGAGGTGGAAAGCTATCCCCTCCGTCGTCCCCCAAAGCAGACAAATCTCTCACTCCAATTAACCCTACAAAGGACAACTGCTATTGACATTGCCTTCTCCTGAAAACTGGGAACACCGGGAAAGAAAGGGATGATGCGGTATCATCTTTCTGCCACGGAAGCGGGGATCCCCTCAGTGAGGAATCTCCTTGGAAAAAGGAATTCCTCTTTATTCTTCCCTTCTGCCCCTCAGCCCAGCTCAAATTGGAAAGCCTCAGCGGAAGCCCTATCAACCTCCATCCCCGGAGTGCGCGATTCTCCCGGGACGCGAGGGCCCCAAGCCAAGCGCAGCACCACCCTCAGCAAGGAAGGCCCTCTCCTGATCTTCACGCTCAAGAGAATGGGTGCGCTCCCCGAGGGAGACACCCTCAGACCCCTGGAAACCCCTTCCGCCCTCCACTCACCACAGTCAAAACGCCCAGCTCCCCGCAAACGGAGCGTTTTAACCCGCCAAGGGAACCCCCTCACCCACCCCTCGCGCTCAGGCAATCCCCACCCCCACCCGAGGAGGTGGAGCCCCTCCCGGGGATTCCACCCCAAGTCCCCCACAGGAGTCATCTCCACCAGCCAGGCGGCTTCTCCGCCTCCTCACTGTCGCCGGGAGCCCCTACAGCTCCTCCTGCCCCCGCGGCCCCGTCCGGGGTCCTCAGCAGCCCCACCAGCCCTGTTCTCCTCCCAGACCCCAGAGCAAGGAGACCCTCGCCTCGGGTTGGATCCTCGCAGGAAATAAGCTCCCGTCGGCTTCCCGCCCCGGCAAGGCTCAAGCCGGCTCTGGAGCTTCTGTTCCCCGAGGGAAGCCTCGGATGAAAGCGGGGCTCCCTCCCCCTCAGGCCCCTGGCCACAGACCCCACAAACCTGAGGCAGCGGCGTCCAGCCGGGCTCGGGGCTCGTCTCTCCCCGGGGTACAAGCGGTTCACATGGCCGCGCTCCGGGCGCCAGAACGGGTGGAGACGCCCGCTGGGGAGGGGGTCTGGGGTCCGGGGTTCGGGAAGGGGGAGGGGGACGCGGCTCAACCGCGGGGCCCGAGAGGAGCCAACATGGCCGGCGGGGGAGGAGTGAGTCGGAGCCGGAGGGGGCGGAGAAGCCTCGGCCGGGAGAGAGTCTCCCCACGCGGCCTCCGCCACAGGGTCCTAAAGCCCGCCAGCCCATCTTTCCGACCCGGACCTGGGTCCTAGCGCCGCTGTGCCTCCTGCAACTCTGGCCACCTTGCCCACCTGGCAGCTCCCTCTGCACCCGCATCTCATGGAGGCAGTGGTCCTGCTTCACACAGGGCAAACTGAAAGGCATGCCACAGTCCCAAGGTTAACTTAAAAGACTAGACCAAACGTCTAGGCCCAAAGGCAGGTGCCACTTCTCTAACAGGCTGGTAGGGGTAAGAGTCAGGGGAATTTCGGGGGCAGTTATTTCCCAGGTAGGGTAATGGAAACGTGGAAATAGAAAGGTTAGTCACTCAGGTCGCGATTCAGTAAAGGGATGGGGAGAGGCAAGAGTCAGCCACCCACTCACCTCTGTCCCTTCAGTGCAGCCTGGTCCTGCCTGGATCACCACTTTCCTGGCGACATCTGCAGGGCCCTGGTCACCGGAAAGGAAAGATTCCTGTGCGTGGGGGAAAGAAGGTTCGGCTCTGGAACCAGACAGCAAAGACCTGAGTGTAGCCTAAATGCAGTCAGAGAAGTAAAGGATAAGCTGAAAACTAATCAGCAAAAAGATGCCACAAATGTCCACCCATTCTATGGTTCTGGGAATTTTTTTCTGACAGGGCTACATAACTGTGTGAAAACTCAGAAAAGTAAAATCTAGCAGAGGACTAGAGTTTGGCTGTCACCTAAAATGTCCACTGCAGGGCACCAGGATGAAGAACAGTGTCATATGATGTTAGAGCTTAGAGAATTTCTAGTTCAGGCCGGACGCGGTGGCTCACGGCTGTAATCCCAGCACTTTGGGAGGCCGAGGCAGGTGGATCATGATGTCAGGAGTTCAAGACCAGCCTGACCAACATGATGAAACCCGGTCTCTACTAAAAATACAAAAATTAGCTGGGTGTGGTGGCGTGCCCCTGTAATCTCAGCTACTCAGGAGGCCGAGGCAAGAGAATCGCTTGAACCTGGGAGGTGGAGGTTGCAGTGAACTGAGATCGCGCCATTGCACTCCAGCCTGGGTGACAGAGGGAGACTCTATCTCAAAAAAAAAAAAAAAAAAAAATTCTAGTTCAACCTTCTCTCCTTCATCAAATGAAGAAATTAAGACCCAAAGAGGTTCAATGACTTCTTCAATGTCAAACAGTGGATAAAATATGACAAGAAAGGAAACCAGGTTTCCTTTCCTTGCAACTCAACACTTTGCAGCCTTGAAGATAATTCCCATTTAATTCAATGCAATGCAGTTCTAGAAACAGTTGCCTAAACTGTGCAAAGCTCAGGCTGCTGAATATTCTGGAAAAGCAACAGAGTGGGGATGATGAAACTCTGGCAAGTTGGGGTGTCAACAAATACGTTTTCCTCTGGGGGTCTGAGGAGGAAAGAGATCTGAAAAATGGGCAGAGTTGGGGGGTGAGATCCATCAGTCTACATTGGATTTCCTTACTCCACAGAGGGGTGGGCTCTTCCTGAATTTTGGGGAAAGACTCCACCCCTCCACCCCCCCACTACAAATGGCTCAGAGAGGATAAGAAGGAAGCTAGCTTTAGCAAAGGCTCACAGAGTGTGTGGGCCACAGACACAGAAGGCTAAGGGGGTTTCTCTTCCTCTCTCGAGATAAGTAGATTACCAGTGGAGGGAATAGGCAGGTGGAAACCAAAACCCTTCTCTCCTCCCTGTCAAAACAACAGATTTACAGGTCACCTTGGGGAAAAAAAAATACTCCTCCAACAGCCTGCTGACCTCAAGTCCCTGAGTAAGTAGAGGTCACACTCAGGGTAGAGGTTTCCTTCCTTCTGGAGAAAGGAGGGCTCTGGCAAACTTCTGCTAAGAAATGCCTCTCTATCCCCAAATAAAAAATTAAGGCAGGTGAAGAAAGGCATAAAACTGAGGCCTCAAGGGCGGCGGGATGGGGGTGTGGGTAAGGAAGCTGGTATCCTTTTGTCTTCCCTGCCCTTTTCCAGAGCAGATGAGGGAGAATCTTCCTACCTCCTGCTCCCAATCTTAAAGGGGGCCAGTCGGGGACTGGGCAGGCAGGGGAGGAGCCTGCGCCCGTCAGACGGGTGTAGCCACGCCCCTCCCCACACCCACACACACCCACCACTGGCTCCACTCTGCTCCGGAAGAGCCGGTTACTCCTGTGCCCCACTGACCGCCCCCACCCCTTCCGAGCCCCAGGCCTAGTCTCCAGGGCAACCTTTAGGACTATTCCAGCCAGGAGCGGTTAGGAAGAGGGGTGTTGGATAGGAGAGGACCACTTGGGATTAGAAAAGAAAATGAGGTAGGATCCATTCTTCCCATCTGGTGCAGAAAGACTACAATCATCCTCATTCCTGAATGAGACCCCACCTCATCTCATCTAATCAGGATCTTCCTTGCTCTGAGGAAGGATGAGGTTGGGGTGACAGTGTGCCCAACAGCTGGATGTTTACTTCTTGCTAGAAGTCACCCCATGCTGCAGCTGTGCTTCTCCCCCCATCCAGACGAGAGAGGGCAGACTGACCCCAAATGTCCCGAAACACTCCTCAATCCCATCAGATGTGGCTGATCACCCACCCACCTCTCTTTTCCCCACCCATTTCCCTTCAGGAAGCTACTAGAAAGGGGAAGGGGCAAATGGTCATTTTATCAGCAACTTGTAAGGAGAGTCTCCAGGGAATAGGCTGAACCTCCCTCAAGCCAGGCCAGTGGACTAGTCATGAAGAGAATGGGGAGGGACAAATTAGCACCTGCACCCCCTTTCTCACCCTCCCTGTGTTCCTGCAGCACCTCCCTGACTCTGGGGTCAGCTGCCACAGTGCCTGGCTCCACTCTGTAGCCAGATGGCTAGGGCTGGGAGGAGGAAGAGAGAGAAGGGGATTCGTTTGCATCCCTCTACATCCTTCCCTCTCCCCCACCAGATACTCCTGGCATCCAACCCCAAACACCACTGCTGAACACCCTCTCCTCCCCCCAGCACCCCCTCCAAACATGACTTAGAAGAGTCTGAAGCAGATCTTGGCAGCCAGTCCCCTAATTCTGGAAGTGAGGAGTGGGAAATGAAAGAGCATAGCTAGGGGCGCAGCTGGACTGGGGGTGGAGGGGGAATTCTCTAATGGAGGTGGGATAATTATTAAAGACCTGCCTTCCCCTCACTGGCTGAATGGATCATACTGTTAACAGGATCTGTCTAGCAGGGAGATGGCTCTTAGCCGGGTAACCATTCCAACTAGACCCCCCCACCAGGTTAAAGCAAAAGTCTTCACCCCCTCTACAATCTGGGAAGGCTAGATTCTCCCATAACACATCACAAGGAAAACACCCCTCCCCTTCTTCCCCCACTTTTGTTTGTTTGTTTGTTTTGTTTTGTTTTGAGACAGTCTTGCTCTGTCACCCAGGCCAGAATGCAGTGTTGTGATCTCAGCTCGCTGCAACCTACGCCTGCCAGGTTCCAGCCTGCCAGGTTCAAGCGATAGTAGCTGGGATTACAGGCACACGCCACCACGACTGGCTAATTTTTGTATATTTTGTAGAGACAAGGTTTTGCCATGTTGCCCAAGCTGGTTTCGAACTCCTGACCTCAAGTGATCTGCCCACCTTGGCCTCCCAAAGTACTGGGATTACAGGCGAGCACACTCCACCCGGCCCCCTTCTCCCCTTTAAGTCGACAGGTGGCTCCTCAGATTCACACAGACTTGTTTCCAAACTTCCCAATGGGATTCTCTATGGTGGTCCTGGAAGTTAGAGAAAGCCCCTATTTCCTAGGGAGTCGGGGGGCTTCCTTTGCATCTGAACAGAGAAGACTGGACTTCTCTTGCCTTCCCCATCGCCCCAACTCCCTTAGAGATTTAGCCCCAGCTCCCCACGCACTCTCTCCCAACTGTCCCTGAGGCCCTGAAGCACAAGATTCCGGCAGCGCCCTGGCCCCCAGCTCCCAGGTTCTGGGGGAGGGGCCTTCCTAGGCTGCACCGACCAACCCTAGGCCCAGGAGGAGAGTCCTTCCCACCTGGGCTCAGTAGGCGGTGCTGAGGTTGGACCCCAAGCTCCCGGAGATGTAGGGTGGGGTGAGGACTACAGAAAAGGTTTAGATGGGACTTAGCTGAACTTAAAGGGCTGAGCGGAGCAGGGACAGATAGTGCTGTCGATGTTGCTCCCCCGCCCCCCTTACTACGGGGAAGGAGAGGAGTTGGGGTGGGTATCCCCCCTCCCATTGGGGTTAGGAAGGCGTGGGAAAGCGCTAGTTCAGAGGGGAGGAGGCGAAACCCAGACCGCGGGAGATTTTTCTGGCGAAGAAGGCGCGGGGGAGGGGGAGATCCTGGGCCCAGAATAGGAAAGGTACTCGGGAGACGATGGCGGAGAGGCGTGAGAAGCCTCCGGATTCCGGTCGCGGAGGACAGGGGGAAAATGGGCGAGTAGATAGTTCAGGGGAGAGAGGAAGGGCAGCTCCCTCAGGGGGAGAGTCAGATCCCGAATCCCGGGGCAGCAGGGATCCCGGGGCAGGATACCGCAGGAACGGCCCGCCAAGGGACTCCGGAGCTGGAGGTGGGTGCCGGGCCTCACCTGGAGCAGGGCCGGGCCGCAGGCGGCGGCGGCGGCGGCAGAGGCGCAGGTGGCCGAGCCGGGCGGCGGCTGCGCCTCCTCCCCCAGCCCTGGGCCGGCGGCGGCGGAGGGGAGGAGGTGGTGCTTAAAGGGGCAGGAACTACCGAGGTGAGGACAACCGCTCAGGAGAGCAGTCGCGAAGGATCCACTGGGGGAGAGGATAGCGGGTGGCGTCTCCTAGGGGCCAGAACCAGGAAGGATCCCAGATGGGAGGAAGAGAACGGATCCCAGAAAGAGACAGAAACTTCTGCGGTGAAGTGGGGGATGGTGGTAGGTCCGAAAGGAAGGACTTGGGAGAGCTCTGCCCGCGCTCCCAGGGCACCAGCAAAGACCGCTTCACAAAAGAGGCCGGGGAAGGCAGAAAGAGCTACATGGGCTCCTAGGAGGCCTAGGGGTGCAGGAGAGGGAACTCAAGGCCGAGCCTGCTGGGGGTCACGCGCAGCGCCCTACTAGGTGAACTGGTTCCCCGTGTTTCAGCTCCTCAGGGCTCCATCCCTACGGCTGTGGGGCCTTTGGAATCAGGAAGCCACGAAGGCAAAAACCTCCTATCCTCTCAACCTCAATCCTGCGTCCCACTCAGTGCCCTCAGTGACTGTAGTGTGGGGGCCATCAATAGCAGCCCTGGTGAGGCTGATGTGGGACCATGAGAATCGACTTTGGTTCAGTTTTCCCCCAACCACCACCACCCTTGCTTCAGTCTCTGGGGCAACAGGAAGCAGCTGCTCAGTGCAGCCCCCACCTGAAGGTGGGTCAAGGTGGGGGAGGAGAGAAGACAGACTTAAAAGGCCTTAGAAAAATGAGAGGGAGGGGAGGCATTTTAAAGACCTTCCAGCACTGCCAAAAGCCGGCTTTACTTTTGTGGGGGCTAGCAGTGAGTACTGTCAAAATTTCCTTGAATCTCAACAGCTTAAATGGGGAGGAGCAGGGGCAATCCTCCACGGGGCGGCGGGGAGGGGGCTGGGAAAGCCCTGGCCTAAGATGCGTCTCAGGCTCTTCCTTAGAACTGGGGCTTGCCCATACTCAGGATCCCGTGGTCGGCAGCCTCGCTAGCTGAGCCCTGTGCCCCCCGTCCCCCAGAGTCCTGTTTCCTCTCCTTCAGCCCCCAAATGAGCAAAGGTTAGGCCCCACCCCTGCTGAGTCAGCCAGGGAGGGAGTAGGCATCCCTCAGGCCTTCCCCGGGGCTGGTCCCCATACTCACCCATGTCAGGCTGGCACAGCTCCAGGCTGGGACCACCCAGCTCCTCACTGTCCTTGGGCCTCCACTTCACGTAAAGGTTGGTGTTGGATCCTCCCAAACTGTGAGCTGGGAACTAGCAAGAATCAAAAAGCCAGTGTATGCTTCCTGCGAACCACACAGCCTGAACTGCTGTAGGGTGATGTCCCTGTGTGACAGACTGGGGTGGGGAGGGAGGAGGGAAGGGCGGGGCTTTCTCTGGGTGGAGAGAGGGAGGAGGCGAGGACAGGGCAGACCAGGAGAAATATGGAGGAAGGTTAGAGAGCTGTGTTGACACTCCAGTGGCATGGTAGAAGAGGCCGGCAAAGGGGGAAGGAAACAAATAGTTGCAGCTACTGAGAGGGAGAAGGTTCTCGATAAACGCTGAAGGACGTGAACATGTTGGGGGAAGGGGTGGAGGGATGCAAAAGACCTTTAGGATTTCAGTTCCCAGGTCTGTATCGGGTGACGTGAGAAAACAAAGCAGAAAGGGCTGACCTGTACCCTAGGGCTTTTTCTACCAGCTTCTTACCCACTCCAGAGTCAGGACCTAGAGGAAGTGTCCACACCCCCATAACTCAGCATTTCCCCAAATCCCAGCTTTTCTGGGAGCAAACTACCAGCACAAGCAGCTCAGGGGCTCCACCTTCTGTCCAGATCATGACACAGGAGAGACTGCGGGAGAGGCTGCTGCCAAGGACGTCACAGGCAGATGGAAGGAAGCTTAGAGGCCCCTACTCCACCCCTGGCCCCGCGCCAAAAAGCCCTCCCCAACCTTCAGCCCCCAGGGGCCTCTGAATTGGAGCTCAGCTTGTCCCCGCCCAGCTTCTACCTAACTTGATGGACTCAGCGGGTGGAGCTTATAGATACAGGCTCCTCCCCAGGACAAAAGCCCCAGCTGGTCTGTAAACAGTCTTTAACTGAGAGCCACATCCCAGCAAATGGCCTTCATGGATTTGAAAATGGGATCAGAGTTCTTGCAGAGTCTCCAGTGCTACCGCGAGAGGGCAGTCGGATGGGTCTGGTCCCGGAAAAGAACACAAGAGGAACCCAATCTGACCTTGCACGCTTCTTTTAAATTGAAATGGTAAAATATATCTTCTACCCCTGCACCTCTCAGTCGGCTAAAATGAAGGGAAAATAACCTAACTTCATTAGTTTAGAAGCCCAAGCCAGCAACTCTGAAAATTGCTATTCCCTTGTAAGATTATCTTTTCTGGACTTTCATAAGGGGATCTTCACAGAGGGTGGACTAGGCCTTATGGTATTATATGCCTCTGCATAGCCTCAAGGAATCACAAGCAACTTTTATTTAGGCTTGCCCAAAATGTCAGGAAGTAGTTAAGTACACTTTCTGAAGACATGAAGGCCTAACCAAGATGTAGAGAACCCTTTTGATTCCATTTTAACAAAGATCAGTATTCTTCATCACTATTTCTTGAAAATTTAATTCATTAAACTCAGATTAACCCCTGGAAATAAGTTATTTCTAAAACGAGTTTTTCCCAATATGCCCTTCAAAAAAGTCCTATTTTTAACCAAGAAGTAGGGATGTGCCACATGGAATAGAGGCCAAAAAAAAAAAAAAATCAATTTGTATTGAACAAAAGGCCCAAAACTGAGGCCCTACTAAGATCACACTACCCACAGGAAACCCCTCACAAGAGGTACGGTTGTCCATCAACAAAAGAGAATGGCTATTTTTAAGGACCAATTTCAAACATACATGGCCCACTTCATGCTGAAACTGCTTCTTATAGCCACTCTAAAAATCTAATTGTTGAAAACAGTGCTGGTGATGTGAGACTACATACACCTGTAGCCCCAGCTACTCAGGAGACTGAGGTGGGAGATCTCGAGCCCAGGAGTTAGAGACCAGTCTTGGCAACACAGCCAGACACCGTGTCTCTAAAACTAAAATTAAATACATAACCCTTCAGTGTTGACTATGTTGTCAGAACCAAGAGAATCAGACAAATTCTGAGGGGTGTACATTTTATTGGAAACCTTAAATACTGTTCAGAAAGAATATATCTTCAATCAAGGCTCTTGTGCAGCCTACACAGAAAAATGAAGCTTTTTGGGTTAGGGGCAAGGAGAGAGACAGTACAGAGGACAAAGACCCCTCACGATGAATGCTCTTCAGCCAGCTTATCAGCTTTTGCCACAGCTTCTTCAATGGGTCCCACCATATAGAAGGCCTGTTCTGGGAGATGGTCATATTCACCTGTATGATGGGGGAGAAAAAAAAAAAGAGTAAGAAGCGGAGGGATATCAACTTTCTGCATCATGTAACATTCCTCACCACTTCAGGCCATCAGTTAGAATGTGATGAATTCATGTCATCTTAGAAAGCTTAAATTTCCCTCACAAATCAAATTTACAAGATATGATACAGTATGAATTAAGAACACATGGGCCAGGCACGGTGGCTTACACCTGTAATCCCAGCACTTTGGGAGGCCAAGGCAGGCGGATCACCTAAGGTCAGGAGTTCGAGACAAGCCCAGCCAACATGGTGAAACCCCATGGCTACTAAAAATACAAAAATTAGCCAGGCGTGGTGGCGTGTGCCTGTAATCCCAGCTACTTGGATGGTTGAGGCTGGAGAATCACTTGAACCCGGCAGGTGGAGGTTGCAGTGAGCCAAGATTGCACCAGTGTACTCCAGCCTGGGCGACAGAGACTCAGTCTCAAAAAATACATATAAAATAAAAGGGAGCTAGAGAATCAAGTAACAAATCACACTCAAATTAAATGTAGAGTATTTTCAAACAAAATCAATGGGTAAGTTTGTTTTTTAAATTAAAAAATATAATTAAGCATAGTATATTACATATATTGCTTGACGGTTGTTGGAATGGGACCACAGCACAGTAAACATTCAAGATTTGTACTCAAAATCTCACCTGCCAAAATCTGCTGGAATCCTTTGATGGTCTCCTTCAGGGGTACCAGCTTCCCCATATGACCTGTGAAGACCTCAGCAACCTGGAATGGCTGAGACAAGAAACGCTGTATTTTCCGTGCACGGGACACGGTCAACTTGTCTTCCTCAGAAAGTTCATCCATACCCAGGATGGCAATGATATCCTGGAGGGATTTGTAGTCCTATGAGAAAAAAGAAGACTGAGTTAAGTATTCTCATTCCTTTAATTTGGACAAGCTAACAAAGGGAAAGTTACATGCTAGGGGGCAGAGAAGGTGGTGGTGTTATGAGGGCCCTCAGCCAAGAAAGATCAGTGTCTTGTTCTCCATAGTCCTAGTTTGGTGCTGTTAGAAAAATATTGCATTCCGCCGGGCGCAGTGGCTCACGTCTGTAATCCCACCACTTTGGGAGGCCACGGTGGGTGGATCATGAGGTCAGGAGATCGAGACCAGCCTGACCAACTGATGAAACCTGGTCTCTACTAAAAATACAAAAAGTAGCCAGGCATGGTGGCGCGCACCTGTAATCCCAGGTACTCAGGAGGCTGAGGCAGGAGAATCGCTTGAACCTGGGAGGCGGAGGTTGCAGTGAGCCGAGATGGCACCACTGCACTCCAGCTTGGGAGACACAGTGAGACTCATCTCAAAAAAAAAAAAAAAGAAAGAAAAATATTGCATTCCAAAGCGTTAAGTACCTGGAAACTCAAGAGACCTCATTAGCTCTCACTAGCAATTGCCAGCCTCAACTTTCCTTGCTCCAAAACAAATCACTAAGAAAGATCCAGTCCTCATATAGTCCCCACAGGCCCTCTTTTTGACTTTCCGGACACTGATCCCACATAGTAATATACTCACCTGCAGGATCTTTTGCACCCCACGGGCAACATCGTAATGCTCACTGCCAACAATGTTGGGATCCATGATACGAGAGGTGGAGTCTAGAGGATCCACAGCTGGATAGATGCCCAGCTCAGCAATGGCACGCGACAGTACAGTGGTAGCATCCAAATGGGCAAACGTAGTAGCAGGGGCAGGGTCAGTCAAGTCATCAGCAGGCACATAGATAGCCTAAAGTGAGATCCCATGAAGAACAGGAACCAAAGTAAATTTTTTTTTTTTTTTTTGAGAGGGTCTCGCTCTGTCGCCCAGGCTGGAGTGCAGTGGTGCAATCTCGGCTCACTGCAACCTCTGCCTCCTGGATTCAAGCAATTCTCTGTCTCAGCTTCCCGAGTGGCTAGGACTACAGGTGCCCATCACCACACCCGGCTAATTTTTTTGTATTTTTAGTAGAGACGGGGTTTCACTATCTTGGCCAGGCTGGTCTTGAACTCCTGACCTCGTGATCCACCCGCCTTGGCCTCCCAAAGTGTTGGGATTATAGGCGTGAGCCACCACGCCCAGCGAACCAAAGTAATTTTACTTAAGCCATCCCCCTTTCTGACCTATCTTTATCATCTCACTCCATATTCTTAGCACTCAAAAGACCCTTCTTACCACCCCTAATACCTGCTGAATAAGCTGACAGATTATCTGGTCTCTCAGCCATGATGGAAGAATTTTTAGTATCATTCTTTTTGTTCTTCATCTTTTATTTTAACTATTTTAATGCCCACTTTTAGAATTAAAAACAAGAGGCTGGGGGCCAGGCACGGTGGCTCATGCCTATAATCCCAGCACTTTGGGAGGCCAAGGAGGGCAGATCACGAGGTCAGGAGTTCGACACCAGTAGAGACGGGGGTCTCTACTAAAAAAAAAAAAAAAAACGGAAACAAAAATTAGCCAGGCATGGTGATGCATGCCTGTAATCCCAGCTATGCAGGAGGCTGAAGCAGGTGAATCGCTTGAACCCAGGAGGTGGAGGTTATAGTGAGCCAAGACTGTGCTACCACACTGTAGCCTAGGCAACAGACTCCGTCTCAAAAAAATAAAAATTAAAAAAAATAAAAAAATAAAAAAGAGGCTGGGCACAGTGGCTCAAGCCTATAATCCCAACACTTTGGGAGGCTGAGTCAGGCAGATCACCTGAGGTCAGGAGTTCAAGACCAGCCTGACTAACATGGTGAAACCCCGTCTCTACTAAAAATACAAAAATTAACCGGGCCTGGTGTCGGGCACCTATAATCCCAGCTACTCAGGAGGCTGAGACAAAGGAATCACCTGAACCCAGGAGGAGGTTGCAGTGAGCCCAGATCGCACCCATTGCACTCCAGCCTGGGCAATAAGAGTGAAACTCCGTCTCAAAAAAAAAAAAAAAAGAATTAAAAACAAGAACAAAAAACTTCTTGCACAATAGTTCATTACACTGAATCATGAAAAGTTCCTACAGTTTAGCCACATTTTTACTATATGTAAAATTTATGTAATTTTACTATATATCCCATCTATATATATTTGAAAATGTATAGTACATTAATGCAGTAAATTTTTTTTTTTTGTAGACGGATTATCACTCTGCCGCCCAGGCTGGAGTGAGTGGCCCAATCTCAGCTCACCACAACCTCCTGCAACCTCCGCCTCCCAGGTTCAAGCAATTCTCCTGCCTCAGCCTCCCGAGTAGCTGGAACTACAGACAGGTGCCACCACGCCCAGCTAATTTTTTGTATTTTTAGTAGAGATGGGGTTTCACTGTGTTAAGTCAGGATGGTCTTGATCTCCTGACCTCATGATCCGCCTGCCTTGGCCTCCCAAAGTGCTGGGATTACAGGCGTGAGCCACCGTGCCCGGCCCCAAAGTGCTGGAATTACAAGTGTGAGCCACTGCACTCAGCCCTAATACAGTAAATATTTAATGCTCAGTTTCCATATAGCGCCGGACTCCCCTCAGACTAGAAACCATTGCTTTGTGATCTACATTTAAATGTATACCTTCATTTATTTTTTTTTAATTTTTTGAGGCAGAGTCTGACTCTGTCACCCAGGCTGGAGTGCAGTGCCCCAATCTTGGCTCATTGCAACCTCTGCCTCCCGGATTCAAGCGATTCTCCTGCCTCAGCCTCTGAGTAGTTGGGATTACAGGCGCCTGCCACAACGCCCAGCTAATTTTTTGTATCTTTAGTAGAGACGGGATTTCACCACGTTGGCCAGGGTGGTGTCTTAACTCCTGACCTCATGATCCGCGTACCTCAGCCTCCCAAAGTGTTGGTATTACAGGCATGAACCACCACGCCTGGCCCAGTCAGTTTTATACATCTCTCTACATACATACAGCTTTGTTCCCCAGGCTGATCTCTTGGGCTCAAGCAATCTTCCTGCCTCAGCCTCCTCAGTAGCTGAGATGCACCACTGCACCCTGCCTTTATACAAATCAGATCTTCATCTATGTAATTTTTCTTACCTGTACAGAGGTGATAGATCCCTTCTTGGTAGTGGTAATTCTTTCCTGCATAGTACCCATGTCAGTGGCCAGGGTAGGCTGATAGCCCACAGCAGAAGGGATTCGGCCCAATAATGCAGACACCTAAAAGAAAAAAAGGTCTTAGGTGTCTACATCCTTAGCCTCATCCGAAGAAAGGCCAGATGAACCAGGTCCTCTCAAGCCTTCCCTCTTACCTCTGAACCAGCCTGGGTGAAGCGAAAGATGTTATCAATAAATAGCAGTACATCTTGACCTTCTTGGTCTCTGAAGTATTCAGCCACAGTCAGCCCAGTCAGAGCTACCCGGGCACGAGCACCAGGTGGTTCATTCATTTGACCATATACCAGCGCTACCTGCAGTAATCATACATAATCGTAAAACCTGACAAAGGAGTAGAGAAGCCACATACTGAAGGTTCCCAAATCGGAGAAACGACCACAGATCCTTTCTCAGAAGGTGTCAGCGTTTTTGTGTGCAAGTTTCTTTTCCCTATTAGAGATGCAGTTCAAAAAAAAAAGACAGCTTCTTATATTAGTAAGGCAAAACTATAGTAGAAAGGAAATAAAAACCTATTCAAGTTAAGTGAAAAGTACAAAATAGGCTTAACTGAAACATATGTACCACGTCCAATCCAGCCCTCCCAAAATTAGCTTTCAAATGATGGGACTATCTACCAAAAAGAAAACCTGGAAATGTTATTTAATGTCAGTATCAAAGAGGAAAGAAAATGTCCATTTGTGTATTGGAAGTTGGGGGGGAAAACACTAACAGGTTTCCTTTGTAGGCCCTGGGACACGAAAATGAAAATATTAACATTTTCTTAAAAAGAAAAAAAAATTAAATAGAAAATATAGAACATGGCTTCAGTTGGCAATAGTTTCCTGGCGTAACTACCACGTGGACATCAATTAGCTCAATGCTTACCTTAGAGGTGGCATCTTTTAAGTTGATAACACCAGATTCAATCATTTCATGGTATAAATCATTGCCTTCACGGGTCCTCTCACCAACACCAGCAAACACAGAGTAACCACCATGGGCTTTGGCGACATTGTTGATTAACTCCATGATCAGTACAGTCTTGCCAACTCCAGCACCACCAAAAAGCCCTATAAGAGGTTGAAAAGAAAGAATATTTAAGAGTTCTGCTTTCCTAAATAAGCAAACTTCAAAAAAAGTAATTGCTTCCTTCCATCCTATTCCTTCTCAGAAATTGCATCTGGCTTCAGCAAACTCAGAAGAACGAAAGTCAGAACGTACTCATCAGTGAGGAATAGATGTCAATATCCACTCATAACATTGTATGAGTTTTTCCTCCCATATTAGGTTTGGAAAATATGTACCCCTTAATAACATACCAATTTTGCCACCCTTGGCATAGGGAGCTAGCAGATCGACAACCTTGATACCAGTCACCAGAATTTCCTGCTCAACACTCATTTCCATGAACTCTGGAGCCTCAGCATGAATGGGAGCAAATCTGTAAAGGTAGAAGAGAGGATAGTATCTATTCACCTTGTTGAAAGCAAATGATAATCTTATATATCCCTCCCTATCAACTCTCAAGTCCATCCCTTTACCTGAGGAACCACAGTCTTACCTCCCCTTTCTTACATAAATCAGATAAACTATCATCTAGGATCTAACCCAACTTTCTGCAATAAAGAAAATTATTATCTTAGGAAACAATAATCCCATTCCCTGACTTTAACTGTCATAAATTTTTCATTTTACTGAGCCTTAACCTAACAGCATTCCCTCACATAGCAATAGCAAATACAAAAACCTACAAGTTTTGGAGACTCCTAAACCTAAGCCATAAGACCGAGTCTTAAAAATACTCAACTAGCCAGGCGCAGTGGCTCATGCCTGTTATCCCAGCACTTTGGGGGGCCGAGGTGGGGGGGGAATCACCCAAAATCAGGAGTTCGAGACCAGCCTGGCCAACATGGTGAAACCCCATCTGTACTAAAAATACAAAAATTAGCCGGGCATGATGGCATGCACCTGTAATCCCAGCTACTCAGGAGGCTGAGACAGGAGAATCACTTGAACCCAGGAGGTGGAGGTTGCAGTGAGTCGAGAGCGAAACTCCCTCTCAAAAAAAAAAACCTCAAGTAGTAGGCTTTTGTCAATCAGAAATTCTGCATCCTAATTTCTTCAGGTGAAACTGCACTGTGTGATTTTAATAATCGAACGTATCAGAAGAAAAATTCTGCTTTAGGAGAACATGTCACCTTAATGTGTAAAACTGCAAATAACAGAAGTTCCTTTGTGCATAGATGCAATAAGAGCAACTTACTGTTTGGTTTTGATGGGACCTCTTTCATCAATAGGTTCTCCAATGACATTCATGATTCTGCCCAAAGTCTCAGGACCAACAGGAATTTTGATTGGTGCACCAGAATCCAGTACTTTCTGGCCTCTAACCAAGCCTTCTGTACCATCCATAGCAATAGTCCTTACTGTGCTCTCACCTGTTAGATACAGGCATCGCAGGGTTATACATAAGGATAAATTGGTATCAAGACCTAAATCGACCAAGACTCCTTCTCAGTACCTAAATGTGGCTTCAGCAAACTCAGAAGAACGAAAGTCATTTTGATAAAATCATCATAGAAGGCAGACAGCTTGGTTTTGGGGATATTTGGGCTACACAAGGTCTTTACTATTCCTAACAAACTCTACTTACCCAAATGCTGGGCCACCTCCAAAACCAGTCTGGTCTCCCTGCCTTGCACTTCCAGGGCATTTAGAATTGGTGGTAGTCCCTCATCAAACTGGACGTCCACCACTGCGCCAATGACCGCCACGATGCGCCCGGTGGCGGCGCCTGCTTTTGGCGAAGGAGATGTTTGCGCCGCATAGTCCCTGACTAACAGACAAAAGATATTGGAAGGAGCTGGGGTCAGGCCAGTTAAAGGTCATCGGAAGCCAGGACTTAACACACAAGGAGAGGAAAACTCAGCCGAAGTCAGGCCTCTTTCCGCTTGTACGGAACGCGTGTCCAAGAGGGAAGGCCGCGCAGCGATCGATAAAGCGCCTGCACAGCCTTCCCATCCGCATGCACAAGACCCCATTTTTCGAGAGTTCAGTACCCCTATTCAACCGGAAGGTCAACGCACCTGCCCGCACCTTTTCCGTCACACAAAGGACTTTATACAAAATGGGACAGAGCTGGGTCGAAGAAACCTCCTATGGGTGTCCCATTCTTGTTCTCCAGCCATTAGAGAGCAAGACGCGGCTCCAGGCATCCTTTTAACACCACGGATCCCTTAGGCCCGAGCTACCATCGTTCCCCGGCTCAAGGTCATGGGGCGGCAAAATGGAACGTTAGCTCCTAGAGAAAAGCACTTACCAGGATGGACCGCCGTCGGAGCGGCCCGCAGTAAGAGCTGAGCTGGGGGCAGCGACGCTGAAGGGGTGAGTCTCCGCAAGGCCCCGGAGGCCGGAGCAGCGGCCACCCGACCCACAAACCCCAACATGGCGTAGTCCGGGTGGAGACTGAAGGCTGCAGCAACCGCAGCCGCCTGCTCTCCTGCCGTTGAGGCGAGGCCTACGCTGCAGTAGGCAGGTCCATTGGGTGAACTGGCTGCTCATCATTCTCTGTGCTGCTTCTACAGGTTAATACACGCTGATCTTCTCATCCATTGGTCAAAACTGGTGCTAATCTGAAACTCCTTTTTTTATTGGACAGTGTGAGGTTAGAGGGCGTCACTCTGAGCCTCAAAACTTAATTGGATCATAGCGACGTCCGTTGGACAGGGTAATCAGAGGAACTACGTTTAGGAAAGGGGCCGAGTTCCTGTTGAAAGTGCGTGGCCTGTCTTTGCCTGTCCTTGGGCTTTCTCCTTAGATAGGTCCTTGATCTAGGTGACAGCCATAGGGGCGGTGGTTAGGGAAGTGGTAGTGCGGTGAAGCACCACTGAAGGTGAGCGTGGCGAAGTCAGGAGCCCTCTTTAGAGCCAAAATAAGGTTTTTCTCTCGAAGTAGTGAGATTGCAAGCTCCCAGGCGATTGCACAGATTAGCAACCTAGACAGGATCTTTATCATTTAAACCTATTAAAATGAAATAAACTAATGTAACCAGTACTTTAGCAGGGCATTGAGGAGACTCAATAATAAGATAAATAAGACTAAGAACCTTCCTTTTAAGGTCCAGGTGAACAAACAATGCAATAATGTGATGGTTCCTGGTTAGCATAAACTGGGTGCACGAAAGACGAGGGGATAAAATTGGGTCACCTAGAGATACAGAATTGTCCACCTTGAAGGAAGCTGAGAGACCTCAGCTATGAAATGTGAATAGAAATTCTTAGGGTAGGCTGGGAGCGGTGGCTCACGCCTGTAATCCCAGTACTTTCGGAGGCCGAGGCAGGTGGATCACCTGAGGTCAGGAGTTCGAGACCAGCCTAGCTAACATGGTGAAACCCCGTCTCTACTAAAAATACAAAAATTAGCTGGGCGCGGTGGCTCACGCCTGTAATCCCAGCACTATGGGAGGCCAAGGCGGGCGGATCACGAGGTCAGGAGATCGAGACCATCCTGACTAACACAGTGAAACCCGGTCTCTACTAACAATACAAAAAATTAGCCGGGCGTGGTGGCGGGCGCCTGTAGTCCCAGCTACTTGGGAGGCTGAGGCAGGAGAATGGCGTAAATCCGAGAGGCGGAGCTTGCAGTGAGCCGAGATAGCGCCACTGCACTCCAGCTTGGGCGACAGAGTGAGACTCTCTAAAAAAATAAAATAAATATATAAAATAAAATAGGCTGGGCACGGTGGCTCACGCCTGTAATCCCAGCACTCTGGGAGGCCGAGGTGGGCAGATCATGAGGTCAAGCGATCTAGACCATCCTGGCCAACATGGTGAAACCCCGTCTCTACTAAAAATACAAAAATTAGCTGGGCGTGGTGGCGGGCGCCTGTAGTCCCAGCTACTCAGGAGGCTGAGGCAGGAGAATGGCGTGAACCTGGAAGGCGGAGGTTTCAATGAGCTGAGATCGTGCCACTGCACTCCAGCCTGGTGACAGAGCGAGACTCCGTCTCAAAAATAATAATAAAAAATAAATAAATAAATAAATAATAAAATAAGTAAAAAGGGCTGGGCTGGGCACGGCCAGCCCAGTAATCCCAACACTTTGGGAAGCCGAGGTGGGTGGATAACTTGAGCCCAGGAGTTCAATACCAGCCTGGGCAACGTGGTGAAACCTTGTCTCTAAAAAATATGTAAAAAAATAAACACACACACACACACACACACAGACACACAATTAGCCAGGTGTGGCATGTGCCAGTAGTCCCAGCTACTGGGGAAGCTGAGATGGGAATATGGCTTGAGCCCAGGAGGTAGAGGTTGCAGAGAGCTAAGATTGCACCATTGTACTCCATGCTGGCTGACGTTGTGAGACCCTGTCTCAACAAAAAAAGAAAAATAAAAAAGAAGAAAAAAAAATTAGGGCTGAAAAAAATCCTCTGGGTTTGGGTTTGGCAACTAGGAAATCATTCCATGGTGGAGTGGGATCAAAACTAATTTCAGTGGACTGCATCAAAACATAGGATTTTGGCTGGGTGTGGTGGCTTACACCTGTAATCCCTGCACTTTGGGAGGCCAAGGCCTGTAGATCACCTGAGACCAGGCTGGCCAACAAGATGAAACCCGGCCTCTACTAAAAATACAAAAAAATTAGTCCGGGCGCGGTGGCTCACTCCTATAATCCCAGCACTTAGGGAGGCCAAGGCGGGCAGATCACCTGAGGTTGGAAGTTCAAGACCAGCCTGACCAACATGGAGAAACTCGGTTTCTACTGAAAATACAAAATTAGCTGGGTGTGGTGGCCTGTAATCCCACCTATTTGGGAGGCTGGGACAAAAGAATCACTTGAACCCAGGAGGCGGAGGTTGCGGTGAGCTGAGATTGCACCATTGCGCTCCAGCCTGGGCAACAAGAGTGTAACTCCATCTCAAAAAAAAAGAGAATATTGCATATTGCCACTGGAGCCAGGCTGGGAATCTTGTGTTTGCCACTCACTAGCTGTCATTGGGCAAGTTATTTAATCTCTTTACATCAGTTTCCTCATCCATAAAAGGGATACTACTACTAACAATGGGGATTATATCCTAGGATTGTTTTGAGAATTAAGTAGACTAATATAAGAAAGAAGCATTGAGAACAATGCCTGGCACAAAATTAGCCCTATATATACATGATATTATTATTTTTGTTTACTATTGACTAATGTCAATGTTATCCTATCCAATCCATTCAATAATTTGTTCCTCTCATACATTTTGTGAGCAGAGTCTGTTTAGTATAATGCCCTTGAAAAAGTAATATAGGGCAAATAATGTTGAGGATGTTTTTTAAATTCTAGACAATGTGGGTTGCTTAAAAAAAAAGCAGAGATGAAAAAGAAATCAAAATAAAGATTCCTTTTGTCATTTGTGAGCCTGTTATATCATATCTATGGCCTCATCTGTTTCTGACCTGAACAAGGATAATTTTACAGGCTGGGCATGGTGGCTTGCGCCTATAATCCCAGCACTTTGGAATGCTGATATGGGGGCATTACATGAGTCCAGGAGTTGGAGACCAGCTTGGGCAACATGGTGAAACCCTGTTTCTACAAAAATACAAAAATTAGCCAGGCATGGTGGTATATGTCTGTATTCCCAGCTACTGGGAAGGCTAAGATGGGAGGATGGCTTGAGCCCAGGAGGTAGAGGTTGTAGTGAGCTAAGATTGCACCATTGCAGGAGGCTACTCAGGAAGCTGAGGTGGGAGGATTGCTTGAGCCTAGGAGATGGAGGTTGCAGTGAGCCAATATCTGCGACACTGCACTCCAGCCTGGGCAACATAGTGAGACCCCCATCTCAAAAAAAAAGAGATAATTTTATATAAAAGTGAAGAAGCTCCAAGACTTCCTCCCTCTCCCAACCTTTCCAGCAAGACTTAATCTGATTTGAGAACTTTGGTTTTGTATCATCAATTTGGGTCTTGGCAAAATTAGAGTATTATTAACCATTAAACACATTACTCTGTCATTTTTTTCTTTTTTTTGAGATGCAGTATCAATCTTGTTGCCCAGGCTGGAGTGCAATGGTGCTATCTCGGCTCGCTGCAACCTATGCTTCCCAGGTTCAAGTGATTCTCCTGCCTCAGCCTCCCAAGTAGCTGGGACTACAGGTGCGCACCACCATGCCTGGCTAATTTTTTTGTATTTTTACTAGAGACAGGGTTTCACTATGTTGGCCAGGCTGGTCTCGAACTCCTGAACTCAGGTGATCCGCCCACCTGGAACTCCCAAAGTATTGGGATTACAGACGTGTGTCACTGCCCCCTGCCTACTCTGACATTTCTTTTTTTTTGAGACAGAGTCTTGCTCTGTCACCCAGGCTGGAGTACGGTGGCACAAACTCGGCTCACTGCAACCTCCGCCTCCCAGGTTCAAGCAATTCTCCTGCCTCAGCCTCCTGAGTAGCTGGGATTACAAGCGCACACCACCACACCTGGCTAATATTTTGTATTTTTAGGAGAGATGGGGTTTCACCATGTTGGCCAGGCTGGTCTTGAACTCCTGACCTCGTGATCCACCCACCTCGGCCTCCCAAAGTGCTGGGATTACAGGCATGAGCCATTGCTCCTGGCCTACTTTGACATTTCTTTTTTTTTTTTTTGAGTCAGAGTCTCGCTCTGTTGCCCAGGCTGGAGTGCAGTGGCATGATCTCGGCTCACTGCAAGCTCTGCCTTGCGGGTTCATGCCATTTTCCTGCCTCAGCCTCCTGAGTAGCTGGGACTACAGGCGCCTGCCACCACACACCCAGCTAATTTTTTTTTTGTATTTTTAGTAGAGACGAGGTTTCACCATATTAGCCACGATGGTCTCGATCTCCTGACCTCGTGATCCGCCCGCCTAGGCCTCCCAAAGTGCTGGGATTACAGGCGTGAGCCACCGCGCCTGGTGACATTTCTTAATCCAAGTTTCTAAGAAAAACATTCATACCAGGTAACCGAAGATCATCACTTTTTGAAATGTATCACACATTTGTCCTCTTATCAAATTACCAAGTAATTTAACTTTTCTTGGGTATTAGGGTTATTCATTCAACAAACCTTTTTATCACATTGCAATGCTAAATGCTTTCAGTGTTAATGAGGTGGGGCTCCATGGCTCACGCCTGTAATCTCAGCACTTTGGGACCCCAAGATGGGAGGATTCCTTGAGCCCAGGAGTTTGAGACCAACCTGAGCAATGTAGGGAGACCCCGTCTCTATTAAAAAAAAAAAAAAAAAAAAAAAGGGCCGGGCATGGTGGCTCACGCCTGTAATCCCAGCACTTTGGGAGGCAAAGGCAGGTGGGTCATGAGGTCAGGAGATTGAGACCATCCTGGCTTACGCGGTGAAACCCCGTCTCTACTAAAAATACAAAAAATTAGCCAGGTGTGGTGGTGGGCGCCTGTAATCCCAGCTACTCGGGAGGCTGAGGCAGGAGAATGGCGTGAACCCTGGAGGCGGAGCTTGCTGTGAGCCAAGATCACGCCACTGCACTCCAGCCTGGGCGACAGAGGGAGACTCCATCTCAAAAAAAAAAAAGTTAAAAGTAAAAAAGAGCTATTTCTCCATGAGACCATTAAGCTGAAGTTTGTGAACTCTTAATTTTTCTCACTCTGTTGCTATCAATGTTGGCCTTTAACAACCTCCTCTCCCTCTCCTCTGAAATCAGTTAAATTTATTAATATAAGTAATAATGTCTAAAATAGAATAAGCTTGATTAGCTCAGATTGAGATATGCCTTAACCAGCATTCTGAATAAATAATGTAATCTATTTTAGAGTTGTAACATGTTTTTGTCCTACATATTTTTTTTTGAGATGGAGTCTTGCTATGTTGCCCGGGCTGGAGTGCAGTGGCACGATCTCAGCTCACTGCAAGCTCCGCCTCCGGGTTCACGCCATTCTCCTGCCTCAGCCTCCCGAGTCGCTGGGACTACAGGCACCCGCCACCACGCCCGGCTAATTTTTTTGTATTTTTTTTAGTAGAGACAGGGTTTCACTGTGTTAGCCAGGATGGTCTCGATCTCCTGACCTCGTGATCCGCCCATGTCGGCCTCCCAAAGTGCTGGGATTACAGGCGTGAGCCACGGCGGCCGGCCTTTCCTACGTATTTCTTGATTGAGACCCAGATTGTCCAAGTGATATTTTATATAAAGTACAAGTCGGGGTGGCTGGCCGGGCGGGGGCTGCCCCCCACCTCCCTCCCGGACGGGGCGGCTGGCTGGGCGGGGGCTGCCCCCCACCTCCCTCCCAGACGGGGCGGCTGCCAGGTGGAGACGCTCCTCATTTCCCAGACGGGGCAGCTGCCGGGCGGAGGGGCTCCTCACTTCTTAGACGGGGCGGCCGGGCAGAGACGCTCCTCACCTCCCAGACGGGGTGGCGGTCAGGCAGAGACACTCCTCAGTTCCCAGACGGGGTCGTGGCCGGGCGGAGGCGCTCCTCACATCCCAGACGGGGCGGCGGGGCAGAGGCGCTCCCCACATCTCAGACGATGGGCGGCCAGGCAGAGACGCTCGTCACTTCCCAGATGGGATGGCGGCCGGGAAGAGGCGCTCCTCACTTCCCAGGCTGGGCGGCAGGGCAGAGGGGCTCCTCGCATCCCAGATGATGGGCGGCCAGGCAGAGACGCTCCTCGCTTCCCAGATGGGGTGGCAGCCGGGCAGAGGCTGCAATCTCGGCACTTTGGGAGGCCAGGGCAGGAGGCTGGGAGGTGGAGGCTGTAGCGAGCCCAGATCATGCCACTGCACTCCAGCAAAGACCAGTCAGGCGTGGCGGCACGCGCCTGCAGTCCCGGGCGATCGGCAGGCTGAGGCAGGAGAGTCGGGCAGGGAGGTTGCAGTGAGCCGAGATGGCGGCAGTGCAGTCCAACCTCGGCTCGGCTTCAGAGGGAGACCATGGAGAGAGGGAAGGGGAGGGGGAGGGGGAGGGGGAGGGGAGGGGGAGGGGAGGGGGAGAGGGAGAGGGAGAGGGACGGAACCTGAAGTTCTAGAGTGATGCAGGAGTTACCCCTGCAAGGATGGTTATGTAAAAATGTCAAAAATAAATGGAACCTGAATGGAAAAAAAAAAAAAAAGTACAAGTTATTTTTCACAGGGGAATAGGAACCACACAGACCCACCCAATCTGGTTTCTTATCTGAAGTTAATTCCAAATGACTGTGCTCTGTAATTTAAAATTCATCTTGAAGTGAAAATTACATTTTCCACCAAATCCTTTCATTACTGCTATCCACATTGGTCATACCCCCACATCCTTCCAGTACTCTGGTAATTGGTGGAATGTGTTTTTTTGGTCTCTACTACATTTCTTGACAATCATCCCGGATTATTTCAAATTCCACGAAAAGAACCCATTCAATGCCCTGGCTTCAGAGATCCTCAACCACTTCAATTCCAATTAGTTTTTCACATTCCCATTTCACATAAGCAGCCTACTTCCACAGCCATTCCCAAGTTGAAATATTCTCTTTCAGAAATCCAATATTCCTTTCTTAGGTCACAATTTGGAAGCACTATTTATTACACAAGTAACATATGAACATATTCTAGGTGTACAGGATGAGTTCTTTCACCATTACTTCCAAAACTTCCACTGTCCTTCCCAAAAATGACCATTGAAAAAACTTTTTGCATACATTCCACTCACTTTCTGTTTCATATACATATAATGCAGGGTTCCCCAGTGCCTGGGCCACAGACCAGTACCCGTCCATGGCCTGTTAGGAACCAGGCCACACAGCAGGAGGAGAGTTGTGGTCGAGTGACCAAAGCTTCATCTGTATTTACAGCTTCTCCCCACTGCTCACGTTACCACCTGAATTCTGCCTCCTGTCAGATCAGTGATGGCATTAGATTCTCATAAAAATGGAAACCCTATTGTTGCGGGAAGTCAGGGACCCCAAACGGAGGGACCGGCTGAAGCCACAGCAGAACATAAATTGTGAAGATTTCATGGACATTTATTAGTTCCCCAAATTAATACTTTTATAATTTCTTACGCCTGTTTTTACTGCAATCTCTGAACAGAAATTGTGAAGATTTCATGTACATTTATCACTTCCCCAATCAATACTCTTATAATTTCCTATGCCTGTCTTTAATCTCTTAATCCCGTCATCTTCATAAGCTGAGGATGTATGTTGCCTCAGGATCCTGTGATAATTGCATTATCTGCACAGATTGTTTGTAGAGCATGTGTGTTTGAACAATATGAAATCTGGACATCCAAAAGGAACAGGATGGCTGCGATTTTCAGGGAACAAGGGAGATAACCATTGGGCCTGACTGCCTGTGGGGCCGGACAGAACAGAGTCATGTTTCTCTTCTTACAAAAGCGAATAGGAGTAATACCGCTGAGTTATTTTTCTCAGCAAGGAACAGCCCTGAGAAAGAGAATGCATTCCCAGGGGGAGGTCTCTAAAATGGCCGCTCTGGGAGTGTGTGTCTTATATGGTTATAGATAAGGGATGAAATAAGCCCTGGTCTCCTGTAGCACCCCCAGGCTTATTAGGATTAGGAAATTCCTGCCTAGTAAATTTTAGTCAGATCGGTTGTCTGCTCTCAAACCCTGTCTCCTGATAAGATGTTATCAATGACAATGTGTGCCCAGTGGGACATGAAACTTCATCAGCAATTCTAATTTTGCCCTGGTCCTGTGACCTCACTCTGCCCCTATTTGCCTTGTGATATTTTATTGCTCTTGAAGCATGTGATCTCTGTGACCCACACCCTATTCGTACACCCCTCCCCTTTTGAAATCCATAATAAAAACTTGCTGGTTTTGCAACTCAGGGGGCATCACGGATCCTGCTGACATGTGATGTCTCCCCCGGACACCCAGCTTTAAAATTGCTCTCTTTTGTACTCTTTCCCTTTATTTCTCAGACCGGCTGACACTTAGGGAAAATAGAAAAGAACCTATGTTGAAATATTAGGGGCTGGTTCCCCTGATACCCTATTGTTGTTTTTTGTTTTGTT
Source organism: Homo sapiens (assembly GCF_000001405.40). Lineage (NCBI taxonomy): Eukaryota > Metazoa > Chordata > Mammalia > Primates > Hominidae > Homo > Homo sapiens. The sequence goes on from NC_000012.12 coordinate 56,654,506, forward strand.
TTTTGTTTTTTTTTTTTGAGACAGAGTCTCGCTCTGTCGCCCAGGCTGGAGTGCAGTGGCATGGTCTCAGCTCTCTGCAAGCTCTGCCTCCTGAGTTCATGCCATTCTCCTGCCTCAGCCTCTGGAGTAGCTGGAACTACAGGCACCCGCCACCACGCCTGGCTAATTTTTTTGTATTTTTTTTTAGTACAGACAGGGTTTCACCATGTTAGCCAGGATGGTCTCGATCTCCTCACCTTGTGATCCACCCGCCTCAGCCTCCCAAAGTGCTGGGATTACAGGCGTGAGTCACCGTGCCCTGCCGGAAACCCTATTGTTAACCGAGCAAGCAAGGGATCTAGGTTGCACACTCCTTATGAGAATCTAATGCCTGATGATCTGACACTGTCTCTCATCACCCTAAGATGGGACTGTCTAGTTGCAGGAAAACAAGCTCAAGGCTCCCACTGATTCTACATTATGGTCAGTTGTATAATTATTTCATGAACCATATCCCCCACCCCCATCCATGGAAAAATTGTCTTCCACAAAACCGGTCCCTGGTGACAAAAAGGTTGCTCACTGCAACCTCCACCTCCCAGGTTCAAGCAATTCTCCTGCCTCAGCCTCCCAAATAGCTGGGATTACAGGCACATGCCACCAGGCCCAGCTAATTTTTGTATTTTTAGTAGAGACGGGGGTTTCACCATGTTGGCCAGGCTGGTCTCGAACTCCTGACCTCATGATCCGCCTGTCTCAGCCTCCCAAAGTGCTGGGATTACAGGCATGAACCACCGTGCCTGACCCTAGTACTCCTTTAATACATATTCCTAAACATGTTGGCTTAAAATATGCTCACTTAAATAAGATTCTGCCAAATTGCCTTCGCAAACCATCTTGCTAATTTACCAGGTTCCCAGCATCTTTGCCAAAACTTTATTTTTAAAGGTGGCTAATATAATGAAATTATTGACTTAATTAACTTTTTTTGAGACGGAGTCTTGATCTGTCACCCAGGCTGGAGTGCAGTGGTGCGATCTTGGCTCACTGAAACCTCTGCCTCCTAGGTTCAAGTGATTCTCCTGCCTCAGCCTCATGAGTAGCTGGGACTACAGGCTCCCGCCACAATGCCTGGCTAATTTTTTTGTATTTTTAGTAGAGAAGGGGTTTCACCATATTGGCCAGGCTGGTCTTGAACTCCCGACCTCAGATGATCTGCCTGCCTTGGCCTCCCAAAGTGCTGGGATTACAGGCATGAGCCACTTTTTTTTTTTTTTTTTAGACAGGGTCTTGCTCTGTCTCCCAGGCTGCAGTACAGTGGAGTGATTACGGCTCACTGCAGCCTTCGCCTCCTGGGTTCAAGTAGTTCTTGAACTAGAACCTCCCAGGCTCAAGTAATCCTCCCACCTCTGCCTCCCGAGTAGCTGGGACCAGTCATATGCACACACCATCAGGCCCTGCTAATTTTTGTAAAGACAGGGTTTTGGCTGGGCATGGTGGCTCACGCCTGTAATTCCAGCACTTTGGGAGGCTGAGGTGGGCGGATCACAAGGTCAAGAGATCGAGACCATCCTGACAAACATGGTGAAACCCCGTCTCTACTAAAAATACAAAAAATTAGCTGGGCATGGTGGTGTGTGCCTGTAGTCCCAGCTACTTGGGAGGCTGAGGCAGGAGAATCGCTTGAAACCACCATAAGGTGGAGGTTGCAGTGAGCCAAGATCATGTCACTGCACTCCAGCCTGGGCAATGAGAGCGAAACTCTGTCTCAAAAAAAAAAAAAAAGGGGGGGTTTCAACATATTGCCCATGGCTACCTTCAAGTCTGGTGGTGGGACGGGGGTAGCTCAAGCAATCCATCTTCCTTGGCCTTCCAAAGTGTTGAGATGACAGGCATGAGCCACCACGCTCAGCTCTAATGGCTAGTAAGATGGAATATTTTCATGTTTGTTGGTCAGTTGTATATCTTCAGTTAATTACTTGTTTCCATCTTTTGTCAATTTTTTCCTTTTGGCTTGTCATGATTAAGTGTTCTTCAAATGCTTTGTTAAGCATGTTGTAAATGTTTTCTTCTAATGTTATCTTTTAATTTAGTGGTATGTTTTGACCTATTATTTATTTATTTTTTATTTTTTTGAGACGGAGTCTCGCTCTGTCACCCAGGCTGGAATGCAGTGGCACTATCTAGGCTCACTGCAAGCTCCACCTCCTGGGTTCACACCATTCTCCGGCCTCAGCCTCCCGAGTAGCTGGGACTACAGGTGCTCGCCACCACGCCCGGCTAATATTTTGTATTTTTAGTAGAGACGGGGTTTCACCATGTTAGCCAGGATGGTCTCGATCTCCTGACCTCGTAACCCACCTGTCTCGGCCTCCCAAAGTTCTGGGATTACAGGCATGAGCCACTGCGCCTGGCCTGTTAATTTTTATTATTATTATTTTTTGAGATGGAGTCTCACTCTGTTGCCCAGGCTGGAGTGCAGAAGCGCAGTTTCGGCTCACCACAACCTCTGCCTCCTGGGTTCAAGCAATTCTCCTGCCTCAGCCTCCCAAGTAGATGGGACTACAGGCATGCAGCACCATGCATGGCTAATTTTTGTATTTTTAGTAGAGACGGGGTTTCACTATGTTGGCCAGGCTGGTCTTGAACTCCTGACCTCGTTATCTGCCCGCCTCGGCCACCCAAAGTGCTGGGATTATAGGCATGAGCCACCTCACCCAGGCTTATTTATTTATTTATTTATTTATTTGTGAGACAATGTCTTGCTCTTTTGCCCAAACTGGAATGCAGTGGTGGGATCTCGGCTCACTGCAATCTCCACCTCCCTGGTTCAAATGATTCTCCTGCCTCAGCCTCCCGAGTAGCTGGGATAACAGGTGCCCACTACCATCCCCGGCTAATTTTTGTATTTTTAGTAGAGATGGGGTTTCATCCTGTTGGGCAGGCTGGTCTCAAACTCCTGACCTCAAGTGATCCACCTGCCTTGGCCTCCCAAAGTGCTGGGATTACAGGCATAAACCACCTCGCCAGGCGACTTTTCTGAGATGGAGTCTCACTCTGTTGTCCAGACTGGAGTATGGTGGCACGATCTCAGATCACTGCAACCTCTACCCTCTGGGTTCACATGATTCTCATGCCTCAGACTCCCGAGTAGCTGGGATTACAGGTTTGTGCCACCATGCCAGGCTAATTTTTTGTTTTTAGTAGAGAGGGGGTTTTACCATATTGTCCAGGCTGGTCTGGAATTCCTGGGCTCTAGCAATCCACCTGCCTTGGCTTCCCAAAGTGCTGGGATTACAGGCGTGAGGTACTGTGCCTGGCACATTGACCTATGTAATTTTTGATGTTAATTTTCTCTGTAGTATCCAAATTTATCATGCTTGGATTTCCCCATATCATCTTAGGCAAGTAAGAATTTGGTTAATGAATCATCAGTGGACCTGAAACCACCTACGTCAGTATCATCAAACTCTGCACTATCTAATATGGTAGTAACTAACCATATAGGATTATTTAAAAATTTTTGTTTTGTTTTTTGAGACAGGGTCTCTGTCACCCAGATTGGAGTTCAGTGGCATGATCTCAGCTCACTACAATCTCTGTCTCCCAGGCTCAAGGATCCTCCCACCTCAGCCTCTAGAGTAGCTGGGATCACAGGCATGCACCACCACACCATGGTTTTTTTTTTTTTTTTTTTTTTGTAGAGATGGGGTTTCACCATATTGCCCAGGCTGGTCTCCCTCCTGAGCTCAGGCCTTGGCTTCCCAAAGAGTTGGGATTACAGGTGTGAGCCATGGTGCCCAAACTGGATTATTTAAATTTAGTAAGATTTAATGTAATGGTTTTTTTTTTTTTTTTGAGACGGAGTCATGCTATGTTGCCCAGGGTGCAGTGGCACGATCTCTTTTCACCAAAACCTCTGCCTGCCGGGTCCAAGCGACTCCTCTGCCTCAGCCTCCCGAGCAGCTGGGACCACAGGTGCACACCACCACGCCCAGCTAATTTTTGTATTTTTAGTAGAGACAGGGTTTTGCCATATTGGCCAGGCTGGTGTCGAACTCCTGACCTCGTGATCTGCCCACCTTGGCCTCCCAAAGTGCTGGGATTATAGGCGTGAGCCACCGCACCTGGCCTGTAATGATTTTTATTTAAAAATCATTTCTTAATTGCACTAGCTTTTCAGGTCCTCAGTAGCTCTATTTGGCTAGTAGTTACCTATCGGACACTGGATATATGGAACATTTCCTTCATCACAAAACATCACACTGCACATGGCTATCTCAGTAGGACCAACCGAATGAGAACCTACGTTTTAGATCCAAAACAGTAATGAGACTTTGGCATACATCAGAATCACCCGGAGAGGCTTGACAGATCACTTGACCCCACCTCCAAAGTTTCTGATTTAGTAGGTCTATTTGGGGGCCAGAATTTGTATTTCTAATGAGTTCCTAGGCAAAACTAATCCTGCTAGTCTGGGGATCACATTTTAGGAATCACTGGTTTCTAGTTATCAATAATATTCCAAATCCCTGGCCCCACATGGACAAGCTTATCTCAGAGATAAGACCTAGGAATCCACATTATCACAAAAAACTCCATGATTTTGATTGTTTGAGAATAGGTTCAAGATGAATCACAGCGCAATAGAAATAGGGAAGTAACTAAAGCTATAAAGGCTAATTAGCTGTGAGGCCAGAGAAGGAACAGTGGTTGAGGGGCAGTTAGACTGCATGACACTTAGTTGTAGTATAAGCAGCTTTGCAGTTCTTTCACTCATGATGATGAGATACATAATGGGAATGGGTTGCTAAGTACTCAACTGAAGGCCATTGGATTTGAGATTAAGAAATTTAGGATTGGGGCTGGGCAGGGTAGCTCACGCCTGTAATCCCAGCACTTTGGGAGGCCAAGGTGGGCAGATCACCTGAGGTCGGGAGTTTGAGACCAGCCCGACCCACACAGAGAAACCCCATCTCTACTAAAAATACAATATTAGCTGGGCTTGGTGGCGCATGCCTATAATCCCAGCTACTTGGGAAGGCTGAGGCAGGAGAATCTCTTGAACCTGGGAGATGGAGGTTGCAGTGAGCTGAGATTACGCCACTGCACTCCAGCCTGGGCAACAAGAGCAAAACTCCGTCTCAAAAAAAAAAAAAAAAAAGAAAAGAAAAGAAATTCAGGATTGGCCTGGCACAATGGCTCAATCCTGTAATCCCAGCACTTTGGGAGGCTGAGGTGGGTGGATCACTTGAGGTCAGGCGTTTGAGACCAGCTTGGCCAACCAGGTGAAACCCCATCTCTACTAAAAATACAAAAATTAGCCAGGAGTGGTGGCACATGGCTGTAATCCCAGCTACTCAGAGAGCTGAGGCAGAAGGATCGCTTGAACCTGGGAAACAGGCTGCAGTGAGCCGAGATCATGCCTCCATGTCAAAAAGTGACTCCGTGTCTAAATAAATAAATAAATAAATAATTTAGGAGTGAGTTCTGGATAAGTTCTTCACATGAACAATGAAATTACCCAGACTGACAATACAACTTGCGAACAAATGATTTGTCACTTTAGACTATCTGGGAAGAGCAAAGCAAGCCTGGCAATATCATTATTTTTTTCTTTTTGAGATGGAGTCTAGTTCTGTCCCGTGGGCTGGAGTGCAGTGGCTTGATCTCAGCTCACTGCAACCTCCACCTCCTGGGTTCAAGCAATTCTCCTGCCTCAGCCTCCTGAGTAGCTGGGATTACAGGCGCATGCCACCATGCCCAGCTAATTTTTGTATTTTTAGTAGAGACAGCATTTCACTGTGTTGGCCAGGCTGGTCTCCAACTCCTAACCTCATGATCTGCCCGCCTCGGCCTCCCAAAGTGCTGGGATTACAAGCGTGAGCCACCGCACCCGGCCAAGCCTGGCAATATCTTAAATGAGTTGTCACCAAGCCTTATTTGACCACCTACATATACCTGGATTCCAGATCCCATTACCATTGCCTAAATTTAGCCCTTCATCTCTTACCACTTGAATTACTGCACAAACTTGTTTCTTTACCTCCAAATCCACCTGCAAAACATTACTCATGCTATGGTATTTCTGAAATGTATTTCACCATACTGTGTTGAGGGAAAGATATTTGGTGGCGATATACGACGCTTTTTACTAGCAGGAATAGACATTCAACATTTAATTGTGGTCAATGTTTAAATGAAACCCACAGATCAGCCTGGCCAACATGGTGAAACCCCATCTCTAGTAAAAATATAAAAATTAGCTGGGCATGGTGGCACACGCCTGTAGTCCCAGCTACTCGGAAGGCTGAGGCAGGAGAATTGCTTGAACCTGGGAATTCAGAGATTGCAGTGAGCCGAAATTGTGCCACTGCACTCCAGCCTCAGCGACAGAGCGAGACTCTGTCTCAAAAAAACAAAAAACAAAAAAACACAATTGTCCCTTGGTATATTCCAGAGGAGTGGTTTCATGACCCCTCCACCACCAAGCATACCAAAATCAGACAGAACCCTCCGTATTCATGGGTTTGGCATTTTACAAATACTGTATTTTTGACCTGCATTTGGTTGGAAAAAATCCACCTAAAAGGGGTTCAAACCCATGTTGTTCAAGGTTCAAGTGCTCAAGGATGACAGAATGTAGGGGTTAGAACAGGCCTTTACAAAAATCCTTAGAATTCACTGTTAAAATTCTCCATCCTACTGCCACCCTAGAACTCCATTTCAGTTGTCCTCTTATTTGCACAGGCTGCTAGATTCGACCAGGAAGTCCTACTCTGTATTCCCTATTACACCCTTAGTTATCAATTTATTTAATCACTATCAAAGCAACTAGATGTTAAGTTTTTCACAAAGTGCCAGCCTCCTCCCTACCTAGCCTACATCTTTTCCTATTTGGTACAATGCTGGGTGATCCACAAATAAAAAATTGTATTTTCAAAAATTTCTCAAAAGAATTCCTGCTAAACAGGAGAAATTTCAATTAGCTTAGAACTAAAATGGGGGAGAAAACCTTCATGCTACTGTAGCAATCACCCTCAATCTGCCCTCCTTGGAAATAGCTAAGTTTAGGGAACCGTATAGCACCAATATCACAACCTATCAATATGGACAAAAAATATGCTATACCCATTCATCTAAACTTAAAAAATTTCACTCACAATCTTAAATTGATCATTTTTTTTTTTTGAGAGGGGGTTTTGCCATGTTGGCCAGGCATGAGTCACCACGCCCAGCCCAGAACATTTTTTGAGACAGTCTCGCTCTGCCGCCCAGGCTGGAGTGCAGTGGCGCCTCAATGGTGTGATTACAGAATTGAGCCACCTTGCCCGCCCCAGAAAATGTTCTTAACAGAAGCTTTGAATTAGAGATGAGGTACAACGCACAAGGTCTGATACCTAAGCAATAAGGACTGATGAAAACCTGTTCAAATGTTTGAACACAAAATATTTAAAATTATAGCCAGGTGACACACAGTGACACACACCTTAATACTGGCACTTGTGGAGGCCAAGGCAGGCATATCACTTGAGCCTAGGAGTTCGAGACCAGCTTGGGAAACATGGAGACCCATCTCTACAAAATATATGAATAAAGTCCACCAGGTGTGGTGCTTGAGATATGATTGCACCACTGCACTCCAGCCTGGGCAAGACCGTCTTTTTGTTTTGAGATGGAGTTTCACTTGCAGCCCAGGATGGAGTGCAATGGTACAATCTGGGCTGACTGCAACCTCTGCCTCCTGGGTTCAAGCGATTCTCCTGCCTCAGCCTCCTGAGTAGCTGGGGTTACAGGCATGTACCACCACGCCTGGCTGATTTTTTTGGATTATTAGTAGAGACAGGGTTTCACCATGTTGGCCAGGCTAGTTTTGAACTCCTGATCTCAGGCGATCCTCCCGCCTCAGCCTCCCAAAGTGCTAGGATTACAGGCGTGAGCCACCGTGCCCGGCTTTTGAGACACTTGTCTACAGAAAAGTTCGTGGTGCAATCTTGGCTCACTGCATCCCCAATGGCCCAGGCTCAAGTGATCTTCCCACCTCAGCTTCCAGAGTAGTTGGGATTACAAGAACATGCCACCACACCCAGCTATTTTTTTGTCAAGATGGGGTTTCGCAGGCCGGGCGTGGTGACTCCTGCCTATAATCCCAGCTCTTTGGGAGGCCGAGGCAGGCTGGAGTCCGAGACCAGCCTAGCCAACATGGTGAAAACCCAGCTCTACTAAAAATAAAATTAGCTGGGTACGTGGAGTGCGCCTATAATCCCAGCTAGTCAGGAGGCTGAGGCAGGATAATCGATTGAACCTGGAGGGTGGAAGTTGCACTGGGCAACAGGGCAACACTCCGTCTCCAAAAAAAAAAAAAAAAAAAAAAAAAAGGGAGTTTCACCACATTGCCCAGGCTGGTCTCAAGCAATCTGCCCGCCTCAGTCTCCCAGAGTGCTGTGATTAAAGGCAGGTGGGAGCCACCGTGCCGGCCTGTATAATGCGTTTCAAGGCTGGGCAGTAAGCCAGTGAATCATTAATTCCCAAAACTGAAGTATAAATTTTTTGAAGAAAAACAAGTTTTTTTAAAATGTTTTCCCCCCTGAAGCTAAGAACTACACATCGTAATACATTATGCGTATCTATTATCGCACTTTCCATCAAGTTTTTGTCTCATGTTTGTCTCCCCTAGCCTGTGAGCTCTCTGAGCTCAGCAATCATCTGAAATATTAATCTTTGTATCACCAGCACTTTAACTGCCTGCAACACAGGTCCTGAATATCTGACAAAGAAACACTAAAATACATAGTGTTTCTACATTATGACAAATACAGAAGCTGTGAGGGAATGAAAACTGCCAAAATGCAGAAGTTCAAAGATTTAGGAGGACAACACATTTAGTTTTATTTCAATCAAATCACACAACACTTTCTTTTCCAACTGCTGCAAAGTGCATCTACAATATGCTATTACAGATCCACTTTTAAAAGGTTTCCTGTGACATTACAGCAAGCCTCTTTTTTCAAACAGAGGAATAATCCCAAATTCTTCCTCAAATAAACTCCATTCCAGTAAATGGTAAATACATAAAAATTACAGTAAGCCAGACACTTAAAAGGACAGCCAAGAAGTCTTCCAACAGTTTATTAGAAAGAATGTAGACATTTAAAAAAATCCCCACTGTCATGAACATAAATTGAGGTTTTCAGCCCGGGTATAAGCTGAATCAAAAAAAGGAAATAAAAAATCCAATAGTGTATTAAACATTTTTCACTCATTTGCCATACTGACAGTGCAAATACAAATCTGGACTAAATGTACAGACTCTCAAGCAACAATGTACAGCTTTCTTCGTCCTCCATGCTAAGAGATGTAAAAGCTTAAGGGTCAAACAATACCAATTGTATAGGCTTCAAAAACCATCTAAGTTAGGGCATTCTCTAGTTTTAGCTAAGATACACCTGGAACACTGACAAGTCATCACTTACATAGAATAATGTGAAGTAAATTTTTTGAAAAATAAATTTTAGTGGAACAATCCTGAAGGATAACACCAGAAGAATAGCAGGTTACCAGTAAGGTGTCAGCCAATTTGTTCCAGTCACTTTTGAATCCATGTTCTATAATCTAAAATTTATTCTCTTTCCCTAAGCTGAGAGCTTCCTATCATGTCAGTATCTATGTTATGAAGAAAAGGAGACTTAGGTGAGATGTTTTTATTTATCGCAACTGCTGCATTAATTGCCTAGGACCTCAACAGCTTCATGAAAGTCTGGGAAATGTTCATGCATAAGGTTATTGCCTTAGCTGACTTAAAATTGCCCCATACAATGGTACATATCAACCCTTAGTGAAGCCTTTTAAAAAACAAACAGGTTGAAAAATGGGTTAAAGTAGGCAAATACAGCATATCTGCCTTTAGAGCTATCAACTCAGGAATTCTCTCAATTATGAAATCTTGCAGAGAAGTTATTTTTCTTTCTCAAAATCCAGGTGATGACAATATTCCTTACTCCAGATCTGGCATTTCTGAAAGAATTTTTAAAAATATTAGTATATAGTACAAGTGAATAATCTACCAATTTTACTGTCTTAAAGGAAAAGCAACCAAAAATCGAAATACATAGTTGCCCAATGAATTAATAGGTTGTCTTGCTATCAAGTTATTCACATTTCTGCTTTGGTTATTTATTCAAGGTCATAAAGAAAAAATTACTTTACTTCCAAAGAAGTTAACATCTCTATTTTGAGTTTGTTTTTTGATGCAAAGTATCACTGTATAAACATACTTTTTATATACACTTACTTTCATCATCACTGTCTTGTGAATCCTGAAAGAGGGAAAATAAAGTTACCGAGCTGATCAAATATTCGTTTGCTAACTGAACAGTTTACCTAAAAAAGTTCAAGTGCTATATTTTTGACTAAAGTAGCACAGGTAGGTAGTCATATCAAGCCTAGAAATTTAGTCATTGGACTTGACTAGGTTTACCTAAGGTGAATGGATGTACAGCAGAGGATTTATCTACCTATAAAAAATGATGTGTGCCTTTTGGTGACAATTTAGCCCACCCGTTGAATCCATTCCTAAATTAACCTATCTCGGCATTCAAAGAGAAAACATGGATCAATATGAAGAAAAATGGACTGATAGAAGACAGTGAACTCTAATCCTAGCTGTTGAGTGAATATTAAGTGTTTTTCTAAATAGCATTAAATAACTTTCTGGGAGATGTTAACAGGATGCTGGGGTTGGAAAGATGTTGAGAAAAGTAGTTTAGTGTATCTTCCTCTTACAGATTTCCAATGTCCATCTTTTTTTTTTTTTTTTTTTTGGGTGGGGGGAGATGGAGTCTTGCTCTGTCACCCAGGCTACAGTGCAGTGGCGAGATCCGGCTCACTGCAACCTCTGCCTCCCGGGTTCAAGCGATTCTCCTGCCTCAGCCTCCCAAGTAGCTGGGATTACAGGCACCCGCCACCATGCCCGGCTAATTTTTGTATTTTTAGTAGAGATGGGGTTTCGCCATCTTGGCCAGGCTGGCCTGAAACTCTTGACCGCATGATCCACCCATCTCCGCCTCCCAATGTCCATCTGTTTTATCGGTCTCTGACCAATCCTGACATAAAACCTATTTAACTTACTTTCTTAGTCAAAATCATACCTATAAACTGACTCTCTTCTTTCTTTTTGAGATGGAGCCTCGCTCTGCTGCCCACACTGGAGTGCAATGGTGTGATCTTGGCTCACTGCAACCTCCGCCTCCCAGGTTCAAGCGATTCTCCCACCTCAGCTCACCAGTAGCTGGGATTACAGGCACCTGCCATCATGTCTGGCTAAGTTTTTAAGACAGGGTTTCACCATGTTGGCCAGGCTGGTCTCGAACTCCTGACCTCACGTACTCTGCCCACCTGGCCTGCTGGGATAACAGACATGAGCCACCTCGCCCGGCCTAAACTGACTGTTATAATTGAGTACGGTATTAATATATAATGTCTCTATACAATGATTCTTTGGAAATCTAATCCATTTAGGAATGGTCTACGGTACAACCAGTTCCCTAATAGATACCCCCATTCGTCAAAAATGGGCACATTTTAAAAATTGCTTTTCCCTTTTCTTTTTTTTTAGAAAATAAGAAGTAATTGTGAATCTATATAAAACCATTTGTAAATATGTTGTTTCTTACTATTTAATAGTATGAAAGTAAACAGAAAAAAGAATTTTTAGACTTACATCATCTGCTCCATCTACTTCTGGTAAATCTACATCCTCATCACCACCCATGTTGTTCATCATCTATTTGAAGTGTAAAAATTAGTTTTAAAAATGATGTTAAGTTAGGCCCTAATTATTAATGCTGTATGCTTCAGAATAAACCTTAAGTCTGCCACAGATATCAAAAAATGCAAAATGCAAATATAAGCATCTTTCCCTTCTGGAAAAGGAAGATTATAGGTAATTATACAAAATCCTAAAAACCCATATGGAAATTAAAACTAAATTTTCCCTAAAGAAAAGCAAAGCTATTCATGCAACAGGTTTGACAAACATTAAAAATTCTACTTGAGTAGTGGTTACCTCTGGTGGTTAAGGAAAAGAATGGGATTCATTTGTAGTTGCACAGCTATCTATCTTAAGTTAGGTGGAACATGTATTAAGGTATTCTTTTTTTTTTGAGACAGAGTCTAGCTTTGTCGTCCAAGCTGGAGTATGGTGGCGTGATCTCAGCTCACTGCAACCTCCGCCTCTGGGTTCACGCAATTCTCATGCCTCGGCCTCCAGGGTAGCTGGGATTACAGGCGCGTACCACCACACCCAACTAATTTTTTGTATTTTGGTACACACGGGGTTTCACCATGTTGCCCAGGCTGGTCTCGAATTCCTGGGCTGTAGTGATCCACCCACCTTGGCCTCCCAAAGTGCTGGGATTACAGGCGTGAACCACCATGCCAAGCCTTTTTTATTTTGAGATGGAGTCTTGCTCTGTTGCCCAGGTTGGAGTGCAGCAGCACAATCTCGGCTCACTGCAACTTCCGCTTCCCGGGTTCAAGGGAGTCTCCTGCCTCAGCTTCCTGAGTAGCTGGGATTACAGGCAGATGCCACCACGCCCAGTTAGTTTTTGTATCTTTGGTAGAGACAGGGTTTTACCATATTGGCCAGGCTGGTCTTGAACTCCTGGCCTCAAGTGATCCCCTTGCCTCGGCCTCCCAAAGTGCTGGGATTACAGGAGCAAGCCACTGTGCCAGGCCTGGTATTCTCATCATGGTTTTAGATATTGTGAAGAACCAAGAAATGATTTAAACTTAAACTATTATCAGATGATGAGAAACTTATTTTCTCAAGTTTAAACCATTTTTGTAATGTTTAAATTTTAGAAAAATAAAATCACATATGCATGGAAAAAAAATCAAACTTCAAAAATACATGATTACCCAGATTTTAGAATGGGAAAGGACCTTAAAAAGATAGTCAAACATACAATGGAATGTGTTCAGCCTAAAAGTATCATTCAGCCTTAAAGAAAAAAATCTGCCTTATGTGACAAAACACAATGAAGAATCTGAAGCACGTCATGCTATGTGAAATAAGCCAGTCACAGGACAAATACTGCATGATTCCACTTATATGAGATACCTAAGATTATGTAAGATACCTAAGATAGTCAGACACACAAAAATAGAGAGTAGAATGGTAGATGCCAGGAGCTGGGGGGAAGGAAAATGCAGAGTTGCTACTGTTAAATAGGTATCAAATTCCAATTACACAAAATGCATAGTTCCAGAGACCTACTACTGTACAGCATTATGCCTATAGTTAACAATACTGTATCATGCACTTAAAAGATAGCTGGGCGTGGCCAGGTCTGGTGACTCATGCCTGTAATCCCAGAACTTTGGGAGGCCAAGGCGGGTGGATCACCTGAGGTCAGGAGTTCGAGGCTAGCCTGCCCAACATGGTGAAACCCTGTCTCCACTAAAAATACAAAAATTAGCCGGGCATGGTGGTGGGCACCCGTAATCCCAGCTACTTGGGAGGCTGAGGCAGGAGAATTGCTTGAACCCAGGAGGTGGAGGCTGGAGTGAGCCAAGATCGTGCCATTGCACTACATCCTGGGCAACAAGAGCAAAACTCTGCCTCAAAAAAATAAATAAATAGTCTGTTAAAAGAGTAGATTTCATGTGAAGTGCTCTTACCTCAATTAATTAAACACACACAAAAAAGGATTCAGTATAAAAATTTTGGGCAATCTATCTTGAATGAAATGAGTAACTGGGAGTTTCCCTACCTCCAAAAGCACTACTCAATACTTTAAGTTTCTTTGGGCAGGAAAAATGCTAAATGTACCAAGCATAACGCTACGTGCTTAAGATAAACAGCAAGAGAAAACTGTACATATTCAAGAGATATGTAAGAGATAACAACAAAAACTGGACAACAAAGATAGCAAAATAAAACAAAAAACAAAAAACAAAAACAGTGTTATAAGGCTGGGGGTGGTGGCTCAGGCCTGTAGTCCCAGCACTTTGGGAAGCTGAGGCAGGAGGATCACTTGAGCTCAGGAGTTCAAGACCTGCCTAAGCAACACAATGGCTTGCACAGCTAGGTAAATGGTGGCACCGATTTCTACAGGTAAGGAAAGTACAATTAAAAAATAATATGAATAGAACATCCTCCCTTCCTGTTGAAATCACCATGCCAGAGTCACGTGTGGAGAACTGTTAAATAAGCAGTTGCATAAAGCTGGAAACTTAGCTCCTTTTATTTAACTCTTAAGGTCTCAAAATACAAAATCTAGTTAATGAAAAATTTCAAATAGCAACAAGAAATGGATTTCATCAGTATGCATTCGACTTATACACTAATGTTCTTTCTGTACTTAGTTTTATTCTACTACATTTGATAAAGTCTATTCTGCCTATATAGAGATGAATCATTTATTCTTGGGCCATGGCAACGTTATTTGGGTGACATCTTAGAAAACAGACTTTCTTAAACTTTTTTCCTTGTATATCTCATGGTAAACATTTCACCATGAATTTTTTTTTTTTTTTTTTTGGAGACAGAGTCTTGCTCTGTCGCCCAGGCTGGAGTGCAGTGGTGTGATCTCGGCTCACTGCAACCTCTACCTCCTGGGTTCAAGCAATTCTCCTGCCTTAGCCTCCGGAGTAGCTGGGATTACAGGCGTGCACTACCACGCCTAGCTATTTTTTTGTAGTTTTATTTAATTATTTATTAATTTAGAGACGGCGTTTTGCTCTTGTTGCCCAGACTGGAGTGCAATAGCGATCTCGGCTCACCGCAACCTCCACCTCCCGGGTTCAAGTGATTTTCCTGCCTCGGCCTCCCGAGTAGCTGGAATCACAGGCATGCACCACTACGCCCAGCTAATTTTGTTCACGCCTTCTGGGTTCACGCGATTCTCCTGCCTCAGCCTTCTGAGTAGCTGAGATTACAGGCGCCCGCCACTGCACCCGGCTAATTTTTGTATTTTAGTAGAGACGGGGTTTCACCATGTTGGTCAGGCTGGTCTTGAACTCCTGACCTCAGGTGATCCGCCCATCTCAGCCTCCCAAAGTGCTGGGATTACAGGCGTGAGCCACCGCGCCCAGCCTATGATTCTTGTGTTTAACAGTTTATCGTTCTGCATTTATTTATTTATTTGACCGAGTCCCGCTCTTTCGCCAGGCTGGAGTCCAGTGGCACGATCTCGGCTCACTGCATCCTCTGCCTCCAGCGTTCAAGCAATTCCCGTTTCAGCCTCAGGAGTAGGTGGGACCACAGGTGCGCGCCACCATGCCCAGCTAATTTTTTTTGTATTTTAGTAGAGATGAGGTTTCACCAAGTTGGCCCGTATGATCTAGATCTCCTGACCTCGTGATCTGCCAGCCTTGGCCTCCCAAAGTGCTGGGATTACAGGTGTGAGCACCGTGCCCGGCCAAAAGTTTATAGTCTTATTTTATGACTTCAAAATCCAAGTCAACTACTGCAATCATGCTTTAAAAAAAAAAAAAAAAAAAGTCCCAATGATGAAATTAGCAAACTAGCTGTGTTAGTTTGTCTTAATGCATTAACTTTTGTAACTTTTGTAGCTAACACTAATTCCTTTTAAAATCATTAAAATGGTTCAACTTCAGGATTAAAATTGCCATTGTTAACATCTATTTACTATGACTGCAAAATGGTCTTAAAAATAAAATAACATGCATCATGAATACCATTAGGTGCCCAAAACCATATTAAATTGACTACATAGACAGGTACCGTGTGCTTCGAATGGGGAGAGGTCCATTTAAAGGAACTTACCTCAGAGAAACGATCAAAATTAGACATGTCTTCATCTGAATCATCTTCCCAGTCTTTCCAATTATTGAAGTCGACACTAAGCCAATTAAGCTATAAATCAATACAAATATCACCCTAAGATTAGGCTAATTTGCATTTGGCATGAACCTTAAGACTACGTTTTCTTTTCTTCTAAAGAGACCAGGTCTTGCTATGTTGCCCAGGCTGGAGTGCAGCAAGCATTCACAGGTGCAATCCCACTATTGATCAATATGTGAGTTTTGACCAGCTCCGTTTCTGACCAAGGGTCTTGTTTACCCTCTTCAGGCAACCTGGTGGTCCCCGCTTCCTGGGACAACACCGTACTGATGTTAACTTAGCGTGGTTACCTGACATATGGCAATGCAACCCAGACTTGGGCGCAAGTATTTCTCCCACTTCACCCTCCAGAGTAGCTTTTAACTACAACAGGCACATGCTACTGGTGCCTGGCAAAACAATATTTTTTGAACTGTGACTTTGTATTTTTAGGAGGGCATGTAATTAGCACACAAAGAATAGACTAAGCTAAATGAGGTGGCTCACACCTGTAACCCCAACACTTTGGGTGGCCAAGGTGGAAAGACTAGTTGTGTAATCCTTCAGGAGTTCGAGACAGCCTGAGCAATAGTGGATCCTGTATCTGGGGAAAAAACAAAAAAACAAATTTCCTGGGCGTGGTGGCACATTCCTACAATCCTAGCTATTTGGAGAGGTGAGGTGGGTGGGAGGATCGCTTAAGCCCAGGTGGAGGCTACAGTGAGCCATGTTCACACCAGTGCACTCTGGCATGAGTGGCATGAGACTACCTAAAAAAAAAGACTAGGCTGGTGTCGTGGCTCATGCCTGTAGTCCCAGCACTTTGGGAGGCTGAGGTGGGGAGACTGCTTGAGCCCAGAAGTTCAAGACCAAGCTGGGCAACACTGTGATACCCCTTTCTACAAAAAATACAAAAATTAGCCAGGTGTTGTGGCATGCCCCTACAGTCCCAGCTACTTGGGGGACTGAGGAGGGAGGATCACTTGGAGCCTGGGAAACTGAGGCTGCAGTGAGCCAAGATCGTGCCACTGCACTCCAGCCTGGGTGACAAAGAGAGACCCTGTTTTGGGGGAAAAAAAACACTGAAAATTGTTAAACATACCTTTTGAAAACAAATTTACTAGTAAGAACTATTTTCAGTTGATTATTTTTTCACCAAGCTTTGTCCCCTCCCATGTGATAGCTGAGTAATTTATGCAAAGTCTGTCTCTTAAGTACAAAAGATTCTACACCAGTTAATAACTGATATTCTGATCACACTTCGTATTAAAACTGAGTAGACAAAAAACATGAACATGAGGCTTTATACTTAGCTGTGAAACAAAAACACAGCCATATTCCTTACATCAAATAAGTACATCTTTTATTACCTAAAATAAAAATATCAAACTTTTCAAAAAAGGAAAATGAAACCTACCTTTGCCCTTTCTTTTGTTAACCTTGGCCATGACTGGCCAGATTCTCCTTTTCGTAAACAACATAAAATTGATCTGTCCGTTCTTTTATGCTTGGAATCCTAAAAACAAAAGGACCATCATACCATTTATCTTTCCAGCATCACTACATGATAGAAAATAGCTTGTCATTTCTCACCTTTCTCATTTCTTTACCTAAATTTTCTCTGGACTCTGAAACATGCCCTTGACTACTAAAAACTTCAAACTATCCAACTGCCCCAACCCCCTTTAAGTTTCATTTAAAAAAAAATTTTTTTTTCCCTTCTATTTCCTACTGAAATAATCTGCACAACAATAAAGTTTAAAGTTTAACCTGGTACCATTTTTTTCTTTCCTGCACACGATAAACAGAATAAAACCTTAAAAACTTTAACTAAAAATGATATAACCACAGAATGGTTTAAAGATTCTATTCTTAGATAAGGGAAGCCTTGGCCGGGCGCAGTGGCTCATGCCTGTAATCCCAGCACTTTGGGAGGCCGAGGCAGGTGGAACACCTGAGGTCAGGAGTTTGAGACCAGCCTGACCAACATGGTCTTTACTAAAAACACAAAAATTAGCCAGGCATGGTGGCATGTGCCTGTAATCCCAGCTGCTCCAGAGGCTGAGGCAGGAGAATCCCTGGAACCTACGAGGCAGAGGTTGCAGTGAGCCGGGATCGCTCCATTGTACTGCAGCAGTCTCAAAGAACAAAACCAAACAAACAAAAAAACAAAACAAATAAAAAAGATGAGACGAGCCTCAAGGATACTACTCTAAGCCCAAACAGTGATAGCAAAAACAAAAAGTATGCAGAAACCAATTTTGGAGGAAATATTCTACAAAATGTAAATATACATAGTTTGCCTCACTGTTAAGAAAAACAGAACTAATGCTCATTGCTAAAAAGAATACTTGGTATGTCTGTTTCCTCACAACTAAAATTTGGATTAAAGCATAAAGACTACTTACATTTGGATCAATACAGTGAAAAAGATCAATTTCATTTAAATGCTTAAAATTATCACTTCCTCCGAGACAACTGTATAAAATAATAAAGAAAGAATTAAGCCTCTTCAAAGAGACAAAGATTAATAATAACTTCAATGAAAAGACAAGCCAGTCAAAGTTATTCAGTTGTGTGAATGACTATTTTACATCATTGGATAAAAAGCTTAACTTACCTGAATGTAAGTTTGGATTTTTCAAAATTTACATTAACATCCTTACTGTCTTCAACACAAAATTCAATGAAGACATAGTCCCTTCGATCGTACCACTTTGCAGAAGCAGGCTGCCTACAAAAGGATAAAGTAGGGAAAGTCAAGCTGGAATTCATTAACTAAACATTCACATACTAACCTTCGACACCATTATAGCATTATTTCAGGGCAGTTTGTTACAATTTTAAACAAAAACTACATTTTTACCCTAACAGCTACATTCCAAGTTAAAACCTATGGGTCTAACAAGATTTAGTTTCAGAATGATTCCAATTTCATAATAGGAAAGATTTAAAAACCAAACAATGCTTAGTAGAGTTAGCCGTTTATCTAGTCCTATCAAAAATTATGTTACTTGGCTGGGTGCAGTGGCTCACACCTGTAATCCCAGCACTTTGGGAGGCCAAGGCAGGTGGGTCACTTGAGGCCAGGAGAGCTAGAGACCAGCCTGGCCAGCACAGCGAAACCCCGACTCTACTACAAATACAAATACGGAAAAAAAAAAAAAAAAAAAAAAAAAAAGCAGGGTACGGTGGCTCACGCCTGTAATCCCAGCACTTTGGGAGGCTGAGGTGGGTGGATCACCTAAGCTCAGGAGTTCGAGACCAGCCTGACCAACATGGTGAAACCCCATCTCTACTAAAATACAAAAATTAGCCAGGCACAGTGGCAGGCGCCTGTAATCTCAGCTACTTGGGAGGCTGAGGCAGGAGCATCGCTTGAACCTGGGAGGCGGAGGTTGCAATGAGCCGAGATTGCGCCATTGCACTCCAGCCTGGCAACAGAGCGAGACTGTCTCAAAAAAAAAAAAAAAAAAAAAAAATTAGCTGGGCATGGTGATGCAGGCCTGTAGTCCCAGATACTTGAGGGATGGGACTGAGGCACAAGAATCACTTGAACCCGGGAGGTGGAGGCTGCGGTGAGCTGAGATCATGCCACTGCAATCCAGCCTGGGCAACAGAGACTCTGTCTCAAAACAAACAACAACAACAAAAAACACTGGTACATCAGAGCTTCACTTTTTACATTAAGTTCACTGAAACCAGGAGAATCAATCTCCTTTCCTCAAATTCAGCAATCTAGAATTTTATCAGTTTCCTCAAAATTAATACATTGAAGTCCTAACCCCCAGTACATCTTAAGAATGGGATTGTATTTGGAGAAAGTGTCTTTAAATGACAAGTAAATATGAGGTCTTAGGATAGACCCTAATCCAATGACTGTTGTCCTCCTATATAAAGAGATTAGCACAGAGGGAAGAAAGAAGATAGCTATCTGCAAACCAAGGAAAGGCCTCAGAAGAAACTAATCCTGCTGACACCTTCGCCTTGGATTTTCAGCCTCGTGGAAATGTGAAGAAATAAATTTCTGCTGTTTAAGCCACCCAGTGTGTGATACTTTCTTATGAAAGCCTTAGCAGGCCAGGCGCGGTGGCTCACGCCTGTAATCCCAGCACTTTGGGAGGCGAGGCAGGTGGATCACCTGAGGTCGAGAATTCGAGACCAGCCTGACCAACACGGAGAAACTCGTCTCTGCTAAAATTACAAAAAATTCAGGCGGGCACAGTGGCTCACGCCCATAATCCCAGCACTTTGGGAGGCCGAGGCAGGAGGATCACAATGTCAGGAGATTGAGACCATCCTGGCTAACACGATGAAACCCTGTCTCTACTAAAAATACAAAAAATTAGCCAGGCATGGTGGTAGGCGCCTGTAGTCCCAGCTACTCGGGAGGCTGAGACAGGAGAATGGCATGAACCCAGGAGGCGGAGCTTGCAGTGAGCTGAGATCAGGCCACCGCACCCCAGCCTGGGCAACAGAGCAAGACTCCATCTCAAAAAAAAAAAAAAAAAAAAAAAAAAAAATTCGCCAGGCGTGGTGGTGCATGCCTGTAATCTCAGCTACTCAGGAGGCTGAGTCAGGAGAATCGCTTGAACCTGGGAAGTGGAGGTTACGGTGAGCCGAGATCAGGCCATTGCACTCCAGCCTGGGCAACAAGAGTGAAACTCGGTCTCAAAAAAAAAAAAAAAAAAAAAAAGTGCTGGTTCACACCTGTAATCCCAGCACTTTGGGAGGCAGAGGCAGGCGGATCACGAGGTCAGGAGTTCGAGACCAGCCTGGCCAATATAGTAAAACCCCGTCTCTACTAAAATTGCAAAAATTAGCTGGGCGTGGTGGCACGTACCTGTAGTCCCAGCTATTTGGGAGACTGAGCCAGGCCAATCAGTTGAACCCAGGAGGTAGAGGTTGCAGCGAGCCAAGATCACGCCACTGCACTCTAGTCTGGGTGACAGAGCAAGACTCTGTCTCAAAAAAGAAAAAGAAAAAGAAAAAGAAAAAAAGCCTTAGCAAGCTATATGATCATGTCCCAGATAAAACAAATTTAAATTATCAAAACCTGTGGTTAGGCCATGAACCAAAAATGATTCCTACATTTTTTAAATGTATATTTTTAAAAAAACACAGGAGGCGGAAGTTGCAGTGAGCCAAGATCACACTACTGCACTCTAGCCTAGGCAACAGAATGAGACCAAAAAAAAAAAAAAAAAAAATGTGAATGAGATAAGAGATATTTGTGGCCTGCAAAGCTGAATATTTACTGGCTGACCCTTTATACAAGTTGGCTAACACATTAAAACTACAAACAGGGCCGAGTGCGGTGGCTCACGCCTGTAATCTCCAGCACTTTGGGAGGCTGAGATGGGTGCATCACCTAAGGTCAGGAGTTCAGAGACCAGCCTGGCAAACATTATGAAACCCCATCTCTACTAAAAATACAAAAAATTAGCTGGGTGTGGTGATGGGCACCTGTAATCCCAGCTACTCAGGATGCTGCAGCAGGAGAATCGCTTGAAATAAGGAGGTGGAGGTTGCAGTGAGCCCAGACCACGCCATTGCACTCCAGCCTGGACAACAGCGTGAAACTCCGTCTCAAAACACAACACAAAAACTGCAGACCAGGCGCAGTGACTCAAGCCCATGATCCCAGCACTTTGTGAGGCCAAGGCTGATGGATCACCTGGGGCTGGGAGTTTGAGACCAGTCTGACCAACGTGGAGAAACCCCGTCTCTACTAAAAATACAAAATTAGCCAGGCGAGGTGGCGTATGCCTGTAATACCAGCTATTTGGGAGGCTGGGAGGGGGAGGGGGAGGGGGAGGTGGAGGTGGAGGTTGCGGTAAGCCGAGATCACGCCACTGCACTACAGCCTGGGCAACAGAGAGAGGCTGTGTCTCCCCCCCCAAAAAAAAAAAAAAAGCCAAAATAGGATTGGAACCCAGCATTTCTGACAGAAGGCTTATTTTTTTTCACTTCACAAAAAGGGACAATAATTTCTCCAGCGGTCCTTTTATTGCAAAGTAACTAACCATGTCTCTGTACTTCCAGTTTGTTTTATTATATAATCTAAACTAGCTTCTGCATACTTGACAACATGATAATGGAGTCCTGAGAGTCTAAAATTTGTTATGGAGGCAGTGAGAGAGTGATATTTGACCTTGAGTCTTTCTTGAACAAAGAAAAATTCTTTTATCTCCTGGGGATGTTAAAAGAAGAATGCTTCAGGGTCTAAAACCAAAGCAAGAAAGTAATTTTTTTAAAAAAAGAGTGCTCAAAAGACGGAATGTGGAAAGCCACAAGAGTTGCTTGATAGAAAAGTGCTAAGTGGGTATGCGTGGTGGTTCATGCCTATAATCCCAGCACTTTGGGAGGCCAAGGCAGGTAAATCACTTGAAGTCAGCCTGGACAACATGGTGAAACCCCATCGCTACTAAAAATACAAAAATTAGACAGGCATGGTGGCGCGCTCCTATAGTCCCAGCTACTTGGGAGGCTGAAGCACAAGAATCCTTGAACCCGGTGGTGGAGGTTGCAGTGAGCTGAGATCGTGCCACTGCACTGCAGCCTGGGTGAGAGAGTGAGATTCCGACTCAAAAAAAAAAAAAAAAAAAAAAAAAATAGTGCTGGCTAAGTGCGGTGGCTTATGGCAGTAATCTCAGCACTTTGGGAGGCTGAGGTGAGCAGGTCACCTGATGTCAGGAGTTCAAGACCAGCCTGGCCAACCACCGTGGTGAAATCCCGTCTCTACTAAAAATGTAAAAATTAGCTGGGCATGGTGGTGCACACCTGTGATCCCAGCTACTAGGATGGCTGAGGCGGGAGAATTGCTTGAACATGAAAGGCAGAGGTTGCAGTAAGCCAGATAGCGCCACTGCACTCTAGCCTGGGCGACAGAGTGAGACTCCTTCTCCGCACCACCCAAAAAAAAAAAAAAAAGTGCTACATTTTCCATAAAACATTACCTTGAACAGCTTTCACCTTTGTATCTTAGAGTGGAAACTACCACATAAAATAACTCGCTAGGACAGAGGTTCACAAGCCTTCCTGGTATATAGTGCCCTTGGTGTCTGAGGAGTTTTGTTGTGCTCTTAAGCCAAAAGGAGTAACTAGCAGTTGCTTTGATGACATAGCTGTATCCAAGCAACATAACTATATTGTCTTAGCAGCCTAGTAGCTATTGGAAAAACGAATTTACATTATTGGAAAGAAAAATATATATAGTTTCTTATATAACCATACCTATCAATGGAATGTGTATGGCTTTTGGATACTATATAACTTCTCAAACTTTGAAATGACTTCTATCATCTCACTCCTTGTTCCCCATTATTATTATTATTTTTTTTTGGTGGGGTGGGTACCTGTGTTTTTTTGAGTTATAGCAACCACCAGAAATTCAGTTTTTAGAAGATGAAACTTAATGGAGGGGTTTGCAGTACAATCTCATATTGAAACTGAACAACCTGAAACTAATAGTTTGCTTAGTGTCTTGGCTTATGTTGAGTATCACTGAATTACTCTGAAATTTAAAATATCCCAAGGTAGTTGTGAGTTCCTCCATGGGGCCCTGATACATCTTGGCACATGATTTGGTAGCCACAGGCCACAGGACTAGCAGGTTTATTCAGAAAGTTTTATAGTACTACAGCTGATTACAGAAGATCTCAAATATCTTACGGTTTCCCTGAGCAATGAGTATGTGGGAGACAGCTTGGTGTCAGACATTTATAGGCAAGGTGTTTGATACCTAAGAAGGAAAAACCATTTATGAACTCCAGGAACTACTTTTTTCCTTTCCATAGCAGAACTTTGATGTCTCATTCCTCACATATTACAAATAGGTATTTTTAATTTATTTATTATTTTTGAGATGGAGTCTGGCTCTGTCGCCCAGGTTGGAGTGCAGTGGCGTGATCTCGGCTCACAGCAGCTTCTGCCTCCTGGGTTCAAGCAGTTCTCCTTCCTCAGTCCCTTGAGTAGCTGGGATTACAGGCGCCCGCCACCAAGCCTGGCTAATTTTTGTTTTTTAGTAGAGGCAGGTTTTCACCATGTTGGCCAGGCTGGTCTCGAACTCCTGACCTCAGGTGAGCCACCCGCCTCAGCCTCCCAAAGTGCTGGAATTACAGGAGTGAGCCACCATACCCAGCCTGTTTTGTCTTTTATAATAAAATGTGCATTGCACATAGTAAAACTATCAAATGGATTAAAATAACTGGGACACTTTTCCTAGCAAACTGTTTCCATCTAGCTTCTTTGGTGCATCAATTTTTTATAGTGAAGGGTGCTTGCAGTGTTTTATAAATTAGAGTTATAACTCACCAGATACTAACATATTAAAATTATGGTATTTAGGAACAAATACGGTCTCTGTCCTTTCAAGGCTAACAAAGAGACCTTTTAGATAGGACTATAGAGGATTTTAGGTTATGCAAAATGTAATTGCTTGGATTGGTATATATAGCCCTTCTATTGAGCTTAGAAATGCTTGTCACATCAGCATGGAATAGGCTGGGCACTGTGCCTCATGCCTGGAATCCTAGCACTTTAGGAGGCCAAGGTGAGAGTATCATTTTGGGCCAGGAGTTCAAGACCAGCCTGGGCAACACTGCGAGACCACATCTCTGCCAAAAAGAAAAAAATCGCTGGCCATGGTGACACATGCTTGTAGTCCTAGCTAACTGGGGGGCACTGAGGTGGGAGAATTGCTTGAGACAAGGAGTTTGAGGTTATAGTGAGCATGGTTGTACCACTGCACTCCAGCCTGGGCCACATAGCAAGACCCTGACTTAGAGAAGCATGGAGACCAGGAGTGATGGCTCACATCTAATATCAGCACTTTGGGAGCCCAAGGCTGGCAGATTACTGGAGGCCAGGAGTTCAAACCAACCATGCCAACATGGCAAAACCCTGTCTCTACTGAAGATACAAAAATTAGTTGGGCATGGTAGCATACCTGTAATCCCAGCTACTTGGGAGGCTGAGACATGAGAATCGGTTGAACCCAGGAGGCGGAGGCTACAGTGAGCTGAGATGTGCCCCTGCTGCACCCCAGCCTGGGCAACAGAGTGAGACTCTGCCTCAAAAAAAAAAAAAAAAAAAAAAAGCATGGAATGTCCGCCTGTGGGGTTTATTGTTGTTTTGCTTTAAGTAGATTATTTACATAATGTATGCAGAGGTGGAAAGTTTTGAATCTATAGGGATATTACTATTAAAATGAATTAACAGTCTTACACAATGGTTATGAGTTTAGCCAGTGTTAGCAGAAAGGCTAGAGATAAATCCAGTATAATTAGTTTAGAAGCTAAAGTTAAAGCTAAACTCAGCCCCCTCTCCATATGTTTTGGGTTTGTTTTTTTAGACGGAGTCTCACTCTGTCACCCCGGAGTGACAGGCTGGAGAACGGTGGCATGATCTTGGCTCACCGCAACCTCCACCTCCCAGGTTGAAGCAATTCTTCTGCCTTAGCCTCCCGAGTAGCTGGGATTACAGGTGCCTGCCACCATGCCCGGCTAATTTTTGTATTTTTAGTAGAGACGAGGTGTCATCATGTTGGCAAGGCTGATCTTTAACTCCTGACCTCAAGTGATCCACCTGCCTTGGCTTCCCAAAGTGCTAGGATTACAGGCATGAGCCACCGCACCCAGCCCTCTCCATATGTTAATAGGAGAAAAAGAGATGGTGTAATCCTCATGGAAGGCAAAAGGAGATTTCATAAACGCTGGTTTTCCATTTTTGTTTTATTGGTTTTGGTTTTTTTTTTTTTTTGAGAAAGTCTTGCTGTCGCCCAGGCTGGAGTGCAATGGCGCGATCACAGCTCACTGCAATCTTCACTTCCGGGGTTCAGGTGATCCTCCTGCCTCAGCCTCACAATGAGTAGATGGAACTACAGGCATGCGTCACCACACCTAGCTAATGTTTTCACATTTTTAGTAGAGATGAGGTTTTGCAATATTGGCCAGGCTGGTCTCGAACTCGGCCTCAAGTGATCTGCCCACCTCAGTCCCCCAAAGTGGTGGGATTATAGGTGTGAGTCACTGCACCCAACCCAATTTTCTTTCTTTTTTTTTTTTTGGGGGGACAGAGTTTCACTCTTGCTGCCCTGATTGGACTGCAACGGCGTCATCTTGCCTCTCTGCAACCCCTGCTTCCCAGGTTCAAGCGACTATCCTGCCTCAGCCTCCCAAGTAGCTGGGGTTACAGGCATGTGCCGTCAGGCCTAGCAATTTTTTTTAAGTAGAGATGGGGTTTCACCACGCTGGTCAGGCTGGTCTCCAACTCCTGACCTCAGGTGATCCTCCAGCTTCAGCCTCCCAAAGTGCTGGGATTAACAGGCGTGAGCCACCACACCTGGCCCAGTTCTCCTTTCAAATGAGGGAATACATATGTGTTTATTCCTGATTCAGGATAAGTGTAGGGCACCCTCCACCCACTTGTAGTTTTTGTTTTTTAAAAGTTTTTTTTTTTTTTTGAGACCAGTTCTTGCTTTGTCATTCAGGCTGGAGTGCTGTGGCGTGATCTCAGCTCACACAGCCTTGACTTCGCAGGCTCAGGTGATCCTCCCACCTCAGTCTCCATGGTGGATGGAACCACAGATACATGCTACCACACACCCAGGTTATTTTTTGTAGAGATGGGGTCTTACCTTGTTGCCCAGGCTGGTCTCAAACTTCTGAACTCAGGTGATGCATCCACCCCGGCCTCCCAAAGTGCTGGGATTACAGGTGTGAGTCACCATACCTGGTCCCCCCATTTGTAGTTGTGTTTTGTTTTTTTGTTTGGACAGAGTTTTTGCTCTTGTTGTCCAGACTGGAATGCAATGGCTTGATCTCGTGAACCCCAATCCTATTTCAGACAGCCCCAATCCTATTTCGGACAGCCCCTTTATGATTCTCAAATTAGTGCTGTGTAAATGGGTATTTTAAGAATCAGGCCGGGCGCGGTGGCTCATGCCTGTAATCCCAACACTTTGGGAGGCCGAGGAGGGCGGATCACGAGGTCAGGAGATCCAGACCTTCCTGGCTAACAGAGTGAAACCCCGTCTCTACTAAAAATACAAAAAATTAGCCGGATGAGGTGGCGGGAGCCTGTAGTCCCAGCTACTCGGGAGGCTGAGGCAGGAGAATGGCGTGAACCCGGGAGGCGGAGCCTGCAGTGAGCAAAGATCACGCCACTGCACTCCAGCCTGGGCAACAGAGTGAGACTCCATCTCAAAAAAAAAAAAAAAAAAAAAAAAGAATCAGCCGGGTGCAGTGGCTCATGCCTGTAATCCCAGCACTTTGGGAGGCCAAGGCGGCAGATCTCCTGAGGTCAGGAATTTGAGACCAGCCTGACCAACATGGCGAAACCCCATCTCTACTTAAAAAAAAAAATACAAAAATTAGCCAGGTACGGTGGCATGCGCCTGTAATCCCAGGTACTCAGGGGGCTGAGGCAGGAGAATCGCTTGAACACCCAGGAGGCAGAGCTTGCAGTGAGCCGAAATCACACCATTGCACTCCAGCCTGGGCGACAGAGCAAGACTCCATCTCAAAAAAAAAGAGTCTCACTCTGTAACCCAGGCTGGAGTGCAGCAGTGGCGCATTCTCGGCTCACTGCAACCTCCTCGCCTCCTGGGTTCAAACCATTCTCCTGCCTCAGCCTCCCAAGTAGCTGGGATTACAGGCACCCGCCACGGTGCCCAGCTAATTTTTGTATTTTTAGTAGAGACAGGGTTTCACCATGTTGGCCAGGCTAGTCTGGAACTCCTGACCACAAGTGACCTGCCCGCCTTGGCCTCCAAAAGTGCTGGGATTACATGTGTGAGCCACCGTGCCCAGCTGACATTGGCACTATCAAATGAAGTGTGGCTTCATGTGAATGAGCACCTGAGGCACAGAAAAGCCCCAACAGCACATTTTATTCAGCTTCAGAATACAAAATGGGAAAAGAGCATATGCTGAAGGTGAAGTTAAAATATCAATGAGCAAGTGGCTCCAATTCCAGCACTCTGGGAGGCTGAGGAGGGAAGACTGCTTGAGCCCAAGAGTTTGAGACAAGATAAGCCTTAGCAACATTGTGAGACCCCCGTCTCTAAAAAAAATTAAGTTAGCTGGGTGTGGTGGTGCACACCTGTAGTCCCAACTACTGGGGGACCAAGGCAGGAGGATGGCTTGATCCCAAGTTTGAGGCTGCAGACAGTGATGACACCACTGCACTCCAGCCTGGGCAAAGTAGTGAGACAGTGTCTCAGAAAAGAAGAAATATTCCCGGAAAACCGCAAGTTCAAAGGTATACCAAGGATCGGGTGCAGCAGCTCACACCTGTAAACCCAGGACTTTGGGAGGAAGATCACTTGAGCCCAGGAGTTCAAGACCAACCTGGACAACACGGTAAGATCCCGTCTCCATTTAAAAGAAAAAAAAAAAAAAAGGCCGGGCGTGGTGGCTCACACCTGTAATCCTAGCACTTTGGAAGGCCAAGGTGGGATGATTGCCTGAGCAAAACGGCGAAACCCCATTTCTACTAAAATACAAAAAATTAGCTGGGCATAGCGGCACATGCCTGTAGTCCCAGCTACTTGGGAGTCTGAGAGAGGAGAATCGCTTGAACCTAGGAGGCAGAGGTTGCAGTGAGCCAAGATCGCGCCACTGCACTGCAGTCTGGGCAACAGAATGAGACTCCGCCTCAAGAAAAAAAAAAAAATTTACAAAGGTATACCGAGGAAGCAGGGAAGCAGCCTCATTCTAGAATCTATCATTGCCGGCTGCGGCAGTAGCTCACGCCTGTAATCCCAGCACTCTAGGAGTCTGAGGCGCGTGGATCATGAGGTCAGGAGTTCAAGACCAGCCTGGCCAAGATGGTGAAACCCCATCGCTACTAAAAATATATAAAATTAGGCCAGATGCAGTGGCTCACACCTGTAATCCCAGCACTTTCTGAGGCCGAGGCGGGTGATCACCTGAAGTCGGGAGTTTGAGACCAGCCTGACCAACATGGAGAAACCCCATCTCTACTAATTAGCCGGGCATGGTGGCGCATGCCTGTGATCGCAGCTACCCGGGAGGCTGAGGCAGGAGAATTGCTTGAACACAGGAGGCGGAGGTTGCGGTGAGCCGAGACCGTGACATTGCACTTCAGCCTGGGCAACAAGAGAGAAACTCTGTCTCAAAAAAAAAAAAAAAAAAAAAAAAAAAATTAGCCAGGCATGGCGGCAGGCACCTGGAATCCCAGCTACTCAGGAAGCTGAGGCAGAGAACTACTTCAACCCAGAAGGCGGAGGTTGCAGTGAGCCGAGATCGCACCAGTTCACTCCAGCCTGGGCGACAGAGCCAGACTCCATCTCAAAAAAACAAACAAAAACCAAAACTATGGGCCGGGCGCGGTGGCTCACGCCTGTAATCCCAGCACTTTGGGAGGCCGAGGCAGGCGGATCACGAGATCAGGAGATCGAGACCATTCTGGCTAACACGGTGAAACCCCGTCTCTACTAAAAATACAAAAAATTAGCCGGGCGAGGTGGCGGGTGCCTGTAGTCCCAGCTACTCGGGAGGCTGAGGCAAGAGAATGGCGTGAACCCCAGGGGGCGGAGCCTGCAGTGAGCCGAGATCGCGCCACTGCACTCCAGCCTGGGCGACAGCGAAACTCCGTCTCAAAAAAAAAAAAAACAAAAAAAACAAACAAAAAAAACCCCAAAACTGTAATTGCCGATCCACACAGTAAATAGTAAAAAGTTCAATACACTATTTCCATAGCAAAATATGCTCACTAGAGTATTTTTTGAGCTCACGTAAATATGATCTTAGGTGTTTAACAGCGAGATTGGTTCTGAACAGTTGATATTTACAAAGGTTTTTTTTCCCCTGAAAAGAGACAATCGCTAACCACAAGACCCAAAAATGATAGCTTGTAGATTTTTAAACCGAGAAAATCCAATTAGTCAGGAGAATCTTAATTTAGCAATAAAACACTGGCTTGCACTCAAGAAATTTTTCACTTCCAGTTTCTACTGCCTTCTAGTTAAAGTCTAACTGAACACAGGAAGAAAAATTAAAAATCCAGTTGCCAGGTTACAGTGCACAGGAAATCAATACTGAACAAAGGCCACCCACCATCAGATACTCAAGTTATAGCAATTAACAATATAGCATATGTTCACTACGACAATTTGTTTTGCAGGCTAAAGATGGACAATTTTATTTTGGAGATTCGTTCCTACACAGCTGAATGACAGGAAGATTTTTACCAAAATCAGAGACGCAAGTTTCTGGACAACTTCCTAATTATATACAAGACATTAGACAGGAAAAACAACAACTTCCAACATCTCTAAAATAAATAAAACATTTTACTTTTTCTCTATTTTTAATCGGTCGAACGACAATGATTCAAAAAGAAAATGCGAAGTAGCACCCTCTGGCAAGGTTAGTTAAGCGGAAAATCTTAAGTGGGGGAAGGTCCTAAAAATCCCAGCCTTCTCCAAGATAGGTCCGAAATTAAGAGCTTTTATGTAAATTATGAGACAAACTTTTATAACTTAGGATTTAAAGAAATGTAACTACGAAATCGCTGAAGAGCAAATGAGTAAATCAAATGAGAAAACACACTCCCAAGCCTTTAAGACACCCAGCATAAATCTCTCTCTCCCCAGAGCTTAAAAAAAATTTATTAGCCAGGCATGGTGGTGCTTGCCTGCAGTCCCAGCTACTCGGGAGACTGAGGCAAGGAGGATCGCTTGAGCCCGGGAGGTAGAGGTTGCAGCTGCACTCCAGCCTGGGTGACAGAGGAAGACCCTGTCTCCAAAAAAAACACTTTTAAAACAAGTTATCAACAAAATAAACCCTTATCAGCCAGATTCTTAAGACTGGATGACGACCCATTAAAGGCTTCTTCCACTTCAAATAACTGACTTACAACTTTCATTTTAAAATTTAAGTCTTTAGCTTGTTAAGAGTCCCTGAAGAATTTACTAAACGGCATATATTATTTTTAAAAGAATATTTTAGCTGGTCTCTTCAAAACACTTGTTTCCCCCAGCCCAACACTCTTCAAGTGGCATTGAATCACTCGTTTTGAAGGTAGCATTTTTTCTTTTCTTTTTTTTTTTTTTTTTTTTTAAGACAGTCTCGCTGTGTCGCCCAGGCTGGAGTACAGTGGCGCAATCGCCGCTCACTGCAAGCTCCGCCTTCCGGGTTCAAGCCATTCTCTTGCCTTAGCCTCCCAAGTAGCTGGGACCACAGGCGCCCGCCACCACACCCGGCTAATTTTTTGTATTTTTAGTAGAGACGGGGTTTCACCGTGTTAGCCAGGATGGTCTCGATCTCCTGACCTCGTGATCCACCCGCCTCGGCCTCCCAAAGTGCTGGGATTACAGGAGTGAGCCACCCCGCCCGGCATGAAAGTAGCATTTTTATTTTTTAACTAGAGAGGCTACTTTTTGGAATAGTCTCTCTACTGCTACACTTACTTTTTTTTTTTTTTTTTTTTTTTTGAGACGGAGTCTCCCTCTATTGCCCAGGCTGGAGTACAACGGCGCAATCTCTGCTCACTGAAACCTTCACCTCCTGGGTTCAAGCGATTCTCCTGCCTCAGCCTCCGGAGTAGCTGGGACTACAGGCATGCACCACCACACCCAGCTAGTTTTTGTATTTTTAGTAGAAACGGGGTTTCACCATATTGGCCAGGCTGGTCTCTAACTCCTGACCTCGTGTTCCGCCTGCCTCGGCCTCCCAAGTATAGGGATTACAGGCGTGAGCCACCGCGCCTGGCCTTACACTTACTTTTCACCCAAGTTTTTAAATCTACTTTCCTAGTAATAGCCGTTCCTTACCTATTTAAATATCTCATGTGGCCTCCATCAAATGCTTCTACTTCAAGCCAATTTTAAACATACTTTTCGCGAAAAGATATGTTGTTTGGCTCTATTATTAAAAGCTGCTTAATGCCTCATCTGACAAAAAATTTCCCCTTACAGATTTTCAGAGTATGAAAGGTTAAGACTGATGTCCCTTCTACATTACTTAGGAGAGCTTTCAAATAGAAAAGCAAAAACTATTTTATATACATTCAAATTTATTTATTTATTTTGAGACGGGTTTTCACTCTTGTTGCCCAGGCTGGAGTGCAATGGCATGATCTCGGCTCACCGCAACCTCCACCTCCCAGATTCAAGCGATTCTCCTAACCTCAGCCTCCCGAGTAGCTGGGATTACAGGCATGTGCCACCACGCCCGGCTAATTTTTTTTGTATTTTTGCAGCGACGCGGTTTCTCCATGTTGGTCAGTCTGGTCTCGAACTCCCGACCTCAGGTGATCCGCCCGCCTCGGCCTCTCAGAGTGCTGGGATCACAGTTGTGAGCCACCGCGCCCAGCCTAATTCAAATTTTTTAAAACCCCGATTACGTATCACTTTCGGGGAGGGGGCTCCTTCAAAAATTCTAACATGCTGTGCTCTAGAAGCTTGTTCCCAGTGATAAACTCGCTTCAGCCTCACGCATCCCTTTAGATTTCTAGCCAATATACTCAGCCTCAGTATCATGACTTGAATCAAGCAAATCCTTATTACTTTTCCAAAGACATAAAGTCACTCCCCTCTTCTCTCTTCTGAATGGAGTCTAAAACAAAAGAAAAAAAAGGTTCCACCTTAATTGTTCTCCATACCTTTTAGGACGTAGTTAGTACCTTGAAAAATAACCTCCCGTCAAAAAAAAAAAAAAAAAAAAAAAAACCCTGTAAAACCGGCAGTTCCCACTGTACGCGGCAGTGCCAAGAATTCTTACCGGTTAAAATCGCCAAGGCTTTCCTTTATCATCGTAAAATGAAGACTGCCATAGAATCTGTATTCACCTCCACACAAATTTAAGATCTTTGGGACGACTGTAGGTTAATTAAATGCCTACTACATACCTATTTCATCCTACACTGTAACAAGATAGTGAAACCTCACCTCAAGTAGAACATGAAACACAGAAAATGTCCGTATCTTTCCAAAGTCGACACGTGCGGAACTACCTGCTCAATGGTAACTCCTCCTCGCTGCCAGGGAAGCGGCTGAGTTTTGGCAACCTCCCGTGTTTTCAAGAGACTGGAGTTAGGAGGCGGACTGGAAGTACCCACACTCAAGAAACCCAGACACTGGAGAGGGAAGTATGTTGCGGCGTGGGCATGGCTTCCTTCTAGTTGCCTAGCAGTACCTGCAGCTCACGGCGAGGTCCGCGTGGGGCTCTCCCAGGAGCTCCGCCAGGCACCTGGCGGCACCCACCACAGGTGCACTCGACTCAGGGCCTGGCCCCGGGACCACAAAGCAACAGAACCGGAGCGCCCAAGCAGCCGAGAGGCGACCCACGAAGGTTCACGCTTCAGGGCGCCGCATGGCGAGCAGCTACCGGGAGCTTAAGGCCTAGGGTGAAGTTACCGAAAGAGGCGAGTAACCCAGACAGCCAAAGGGGTAAAAGTAGGATTTCCGGCATGGGGAAGCCAAGGAACGGTTCAGGGGTGGGGGAAGCAGACATCTGGAGGAAAAATGTCCTCCACCCGCCAACGGTAACCGGAACAAGGATCCTGGACCTCCCGCCCCCAGGCAGGAACGACTGCCACCACCGATGCGAGAAAGGCTAGGGGGCCGCTTCCAGGGAGCCCCCAACGCGGCCTCGGCCTCACTCGGCGACCTTCCCTCGGCGGGGTGTCGCACTCACATTGTGAACGGGGCAGGGGGACGGGCGAACTGGTGGGCGGGCCTCTCTGGCGGCGGCTGCTGCTAGGGAGTCGACTTCTCTCCGGTGGCGACTCCGCTTTTTCTCTCCGGTCGCGGCCTCTTCTCGCTTCCCTCAGGCGACGGCGGCAGCGGCGGGCTCGACCTCGGGCCCCAGAATGCACCGCGCGGAAAGAGCGGCTCCTCCGGTCGGGGAGAAGAGGAAAGTGTAGGAAAAGGGGCGCGAGGACGGAGAATGAACGTGCGTGCGTGCAAACGAGGGGTGGTGAGGCCGGGCGGCGGCTGGTGACGCAGCAAAATGCCCGGGCCTTGCCGCCGCGCGTGCGCAGTCCTTGTTTTTGGGCTCCGGCGCGGCTTTCTAGAGATATCTACGGAAAGGGCGGGGCCTCCCAGCTCCTTCGCGATCCTTCCTGGCGCCGGCCCCGCCCTTCGTCCGCCACCCCACCCCCACTCCGCCCCCTGCTAGTCCCTACGCGTTCCCGCCTCTCCTCCCGCTCTGTCTTCTCGCGTTAGAAAACCGTTAGTGGCCCAACTGCCCTGCCATGCGCCTTCGGCGATTTCTCTGAGAAACGGTTGCGTTGACAGTGGGAGGCAAGGCTGAGGCGGAGGGACACGGAGTCGGGATCCTGGAGAACTGAAATGGCGCGTTGGTTACTCTTGAGGGAGTAAATCAGCTCACTGAGTCATCATTCCACCACAAAAACCTGTAAAAAGCCTGTGCTGTGGAAAAGGGCTCACTTCAGAATCAAGGGCCTGGGTCCACCTCGCCATTTTTCTGAAGGTTGGAGGCTCTGTCCAGGGACAGCGGAAATTCGAGGTTCTTGGCGGAGGAGGAGCATTTGCCAATTGGGGCGGGCTTTTGCCCCTACCTTGAGACCTTAGTGCTGTAGATGAGCCAGGAAAGGTATTTGAGGGGAGAGTCTAGGTTTCTGGGAATGGAGAGAGTAGGACATTGTGTGTTTCCACGCACATCGTTTGGGGGAGAAGGGGTTCCCCGTCGCTTTGTGCAACATATTAGTAGGGTGTAGTAGGGGTAGCAACCAAGAGACCCAAAACAGTCCTGCTTAAGAAGAAGCCGCTTAACGGTGGATTGGGGAAAAATACTCTAGTGCGCTGCATTTTGAACAGGAAGGAGGTTTAACGAAAGTGCTATAAAACCTTTCTGAAGAACGGGGCTTCATAATAAGCACTAAGGTATTTAGTGTCTGTGTTGTGCAGGACAGGTAGTGGGAGCTACGAAACCTGGACCCTAGCTCAAATGCCATTAAAAAGGGAAATTGGGCGGGGCGCCCGTGGCTCACGCCTATAATCCCAGTACTTTGGGAAGTTCGGTGGGCGGATCACCTGAGGTCAGGAGTTCAGGACCAGCCCACCCAACATGGTGAAACCCCATCTCTACTAAAAATACTAATTAGCAGGGCGTGGTGGCACTTGCCTGTAATGCCAAATACTAGCTAGTATGAGGCGGGAGGATAGCTCGAACCCCGAACCCGGGAGGCGGAGGTTGCAGTGAGCACTCCAACTTGGGCGACAGAGTGAGACCCTGTGTCAAAAAAAAAAAAAAAAAGGGAAGGGGCCGGGCGCGGTGGCTCACGCCTGTAATCCCAGCACTTCGGGAGGCAGAGGCGGGCAGATCACGAGGTCAGGAGATTGAGCCCATCCTGGCTAACATGGTGAAACCCCGTCTCTACTAAAAATAAAAAAAAATCAGCCGGGTGTGGTGGCACACGCCTCTAGTCCCAGCTACTCGGGAGAGCGAGACAGGAGAATCGCTTGAACCCGGGAGGCGGAGGTTGCAGTGAGCCGAGATCGCGCCACTGCACTTCAGCCTGGGCGACAGAGTGAGTCTGGGTCTCAAAAAAAAAAAAAAAAAAAAAAGGAAGTTAACTTGGCGCACTGGTTCACGCCTGTAATCCCAACACTTTGGGAGGCCGAGGCCAGTGGATTACTGGAGATCAGGAGTTCAAGACCAGCTTGGCTAACATGGTGAAACCCCCGTCCCTACTAAAAATACAAAATATTTGGCCAGGAGCAGTAGCTGACGCCTGTAATCCCAATACTTTGGGAGGCCGAGGCGGGCGGATCACGAGGTCAGGAGTTCAAGACCAGACTGGCCAACATGGCAAAACCCCATCTCTACTAAAAATACAAAAATTAGCTGGGCGTGGTGTGCCTATAATCCCAGGTACTCAGGAGTCTTAGGTGGGAGAATCTCTTGAACCCGGAAGACGCAGGTTGCAGCGAGTCTAGATTGTACCACTGTACTCCAGCTTGGTGACAGTGAGACTCTGTGTAAAAAAAAAAAAAAAAAAAAAAAAAAGAAAAGAAAAAATAGGTCACAACCAAATAATGGTGGCACTGAATGTCAGGCTAAATTTTTTTTTTTTTTTATGTTTTTGAGACAGGGTCTCACTTTAACTCAGGCTGGAGTGCAGTAGTGGTATCACAGGTCACTGCAGTCTTGACTTCTGGGTCCAATTGATCCTCCTGTAACGACTGAATTTAAATATATGTCCAGAGTCACAAATTGCAAAAGAGAACTTTATAGACTGATTTGAGCAATTAAAAAAATTGTTAATTGAAGGTGAGAACAATCCTATTTTATAAGGGGGCTTTCTAATAAGATAACAACTTAGAAGTTGTTAATTTTGTATTAGGAAGTCAAAGGGAAAGGGTGCAAAATGGTAAAAATGTCTCCTGGAGGCCGGGCGCGGTGGCTCACGCCTGTAATCCCAGCATTTTGGGAGGCCGAGGCGGGCGAATCACCTGAGGTTGGGAGTTCGAGACCAGCCTGACCAACATGGAGAAACCCCATCTCTACTAAAAAACACAAAATTAGCCGGGCGTGGTGGCGCATGCCTGGAATCCCAGCTACCAGGGAGGCTGAGGCAGGAGAATTGCTTGAACCCAGGAGGTGGAGGTTGCAGTGAGCCGAGATCATGCCATTGCACTACAGCCTGGGCGACAAGAGCAAAACTCTGTCTCAAAAAAAGAAAAGTCTCCTGGGTATAGGGAATAAAAATTGGGCCGGGCGCGGTGTCTCATGCCTGTAATCCCAGCACTTTGGGAGGCCAAGGCAGGTGGATCACCTGAGGTCAGGAGCTCAAGACCAGCCTGGCCAACATGGCAAAACCCCATCTCTACTAAAAATACAAAAATTAGCTGGGCGTGGTGGCAGGCGCCTGTAATCCCAGCTACTTGGGAGGCGGAGGCAGAATTGCTTGAACCTGGGCGGCAGAGGTTGCAGTGAGCCGAGATCATGCCATTGCACTCCAGCCTGGGTGACAAGAGCGAAACTCCATCTCAAAAAAAAAAAAAAAAAAAAAAAAAGACGGGGCACGCGTGGCTCACGCCTGTAATCCCAGCACTTTGGGAGGCTGAGATGGGTGGATCATGAGGTCAGGAGTTCAAGACCAGCCTGGCCAAGACGGTGAAACCCTGTCTCTACTAAAAATACAAAAATTAGCCAGGCTTGGTGGTGGGTGCTTGTAATCCCAGCTACTTGGGAGGCTGTGGCAGAACCTGTGAGGTGGAGGTGGCAGTGAGCCGAGATCTCCCCACTGCACTCCAGCCTGGGTGACGAGACTCTGTCTCAAAAAAAAAAAAAAATTGGCCATAAACCTTAAAAGAGATATTATGACCCAGCTTAATATAAACATTACTAGTAGCCACCTGTAGTCCCAGCTACTTGAGAGGCTGAGGTGGGAGGATTGCTTAAGCCCAAGAGTTCAAGTCCAGCCTGGGCAACGTAGGGAGACCCTGTCTTTGAAAAAATAAATTTTTTTTTTTTTTAGATGGAGTCTCTGTCGCCCAGGCTGGAATGCAGTGGCACGATCTCTTTTTAGTAGAGACGGGGTTTCACCATGTTCACCAGGCTGGTCTTGAACTCCTGACCTCAGGTGATCTGCCTGCCTCGGCCTCCCAAAGTGCTGGGATTACAGACGTGAGCCACTGCGCCCAGCAAATAAAATCATTTTTAAAATTACTTATGTTTTAGGCCAAGCATGGTGGCTCATGCCTGTAATGCCAACATTTTGGGAGGCCAAGGTGGGAGGATGTCTTGAGGCCAGGAGTTCAAAACCTGCCTGGGTGGCCATGAGCAGTGATTCACACCTGTAATCCCAGCACTTTGGGAGGCTGAGGCAGGTAGATCATCTGAGGTCAGGAGTCAAGACCAGCCTGGCCAACATGGTGAAACCTCATATTTACTAAAAATACAAAAATTAGCTGGGTGTGGTGGTACATGCCTGCAGTCCCAGCTATTTGGGAGGCTGAGGCAGGAGAATGGCTTGCACCCAGGAGGCAGAGGTTGCAGTGAGCCAAGAATGCACCACTGCACTTGCCACTGTACTCCAGCCGAAATGACAGAGCGAGACTCTGTCTCAAAACAGAAACAGGCCAGGTGTGGTGGCTCATGCCTGTAAGCCCAGCACTTTGGGAGGCCGAGGCGGGTGGATCACGAGGTCAGGAGATTGAGACCATCCTGGCTAACATGGTGAAACCCCATCTCTACTAAAAATACAAAAAATTAGCCAGGCGTGGTGGCTTCGCCTGTAGTCCCAACTACTCGGGAGGCTGAGGCAGGAGAATGGTGTAGACCCAGGAGACGGAGCTTGCAGTGAGCCGAGATCACGCCACTGCACTTCAGCCTGGGCGACAGAGCGAGACTCCGTCTCAAAACAAAACAAAAAACAGAAACAAAAACAAAAACCTGGCCGGGTGTGGTGGCTCCTGCCTGTAATTCCAGCACTTTGGGAGGCCAAGGTGGGCAGATCACCTGAAGTCAGGAGTTCGAGACCAGCCTGGCCAACATGGTGAAACCTTGTCTCTACTAAAAATACAAAAATTAGCTGGGCGTGGTGGCAGGCGCCTGTAATTCCAGCTACTTGGGAGGCTGAGGCAGGAGAATCGCTTGAACCTGGGAGGTGGAGGTTGCAGTGAGCCAAGATGGCACCACTGCACTCCAGCCTGGGCGGCAGCGAGACTCCGTCTCAAAAAAAAAAAAAAAAAAAAAAAAAAGCTATTTACCCGCTGGGCGCTGTAATCCCAGCACTTTGGGAGACCGAGGCGGGTGGATCACAAGGTCAGGAGTTCAAGACCAGCCTGGCCAATATGGTAAAACCCCATCTCTACTAAAAATACAAAAATTAGCCAGGCGTGGTGGCGCGTGCCTGTAGTCCCAGCTACTCAGGAGGCAGAGGCAGGAGAACCACTTGAAGCCGGGAGGCAGAGGTTGCAGTGAGCCGAAATAGCACCACTGCACTCCAGCCTGGGCAACAGAGTGAGAGTCTGTCTCAAAAAAAAAAGGTCAGAAGGTATTTACCTGTAAAAATGACATGCATTGAATGAAGTATTTTTAAAATGGTGGCCGGGCGCAGTGGCTGAAGCCTGTAATCCCAGCACTTTGGGAGGCTGAGGCGGGTGGATCACAAGGTCAGGAGATCGAGACCATCCTGGCTAACATGGTGAAACCCCATCTCTACTAAAAATACAAGAAATTAGCTGGGCGTCGTGGCCCATGCCTGTAGTCCCAGCTACTCGGGAGGCTGAGGCAGGAGAGTCACTTGAACCCGGGAGGTGGAGTTGCAGTGAGCCAAGATTGCACCACTGCACTCCAGCCTGGGCAACAGAGCGAGACTCTGTCTCAAAAAATAAGTAAATAATATAAAAAATAAAAATATAAATGGCCTTCTGCTGGGCACGGTGGCTTATGCCTGTAAACCCGGGACTTTGGGAGGCTGAGGTGGGTGGATCACTTGAGGTCAGGAGTTTGAGACAGCCTGGCCAACATGGCAAAACCTGTTTTTCCTAAAAATACAAAAATTAGGCCCGGCGCAGTGGCTCACACCTGTAATCCCAGCACTTAGGGAGGCCAAGGCAGGTGGATCATGAGGTCAGGAGTTCAAGACCAGCCTGCGCAAGATGGTGAAACCTCACCTGTACTAAAAATACAAAAATTAGCTGGGTGCAGTGGCAGGTGCCTGGAATCCCAGCTACTCAGGAGGCTGAGACAG
The DNA here is from genome assembly GCF_000001405.40 of Homo sapiens. NCBI lineage: Eukaryota > Metazoa > Chordata > Mammalia > Primates > Hominidae > Homo > Homo sapiens. Next base: position 56,694,029 of record NC_000012.12, read on the forward strand.
GAGAATTGCTTGGACCCAGGCAGCAGAGGTTGCAGTGAGCCGAGATCACACGATTGCACTCCAGCCTAGGTGATAGAGGAGTAAAACTCCATCTCAAAAAAAAAATTAAAAAAATTAGCTGGGCATGGTGATACATGCCTGTAGTTCCAGCTACTTGGGAGGCTAAGGCAGGAGAATTACTTGAACCTGGGAGGTGTAGGTTGCAGTGAGCTGAGATCGTGCTGTTGCACTGTCAGTCTGGGCAACAGAGCAGGACTCTGTCTCCAAAAAAAAAAAAAAGATCTTCTACCCCACGTCTCCAACCTCCAGGCTGTGGCAATCCCCAGGCTGTGGATAGGTACTGGTCCATGGCCTATTAGGAAAGCAGCCACACAGCAAGAGATGAACGCTCCATGAGCCAGCATTACTGCCTGAGCTCTACCTCCTGTCAGATCAGTGATGGCATTAGATTCTCATAGGTATGCGAACCCTATTGTGAACTGCACATTCAAGGGATCTAGGTTGTGCTCGCCTTATGAGAATCTTTTTTTTTTTTTTTTTTTTTGATACAGGATCTCTGTCACCCAGGGTGGAGTGCCGTGGCGAGATCTTGGCTCACTGCAACCTCCGCCTCCTGGGTTCAAGCGATTCTCCTGCCTCAGCCTCCTGAGTAGCTGGGATTACAGGTGCTTGCCACCATGCCCGGCTAATTTTTTATTTATTTTTTTTAGACGGAGTGTCGCTCTATCACCAGGCTGGAGTGCAGTGGTGCGATCTCAGCTCACTGCAAGCTTCGCCTCCCAGGTTGACGCCATTCTCCTTCCTCAGCCTCCCTAGTAGCTGGGACTACAGGTGCCTGCCACCATGTCTGGCTAATTTTTGTATTTTTAGTAGAGATGGGGTTTCACTGTGTTAGCCAGGATGGTCTCGATCACCTCTACTTCGTGATCTGCCTGCCTCGGCCTCCCAAAGTGCTGGGATTACGGGCGTGAGCCACTGCGCCCTGCTGTGCCCGGCTAATTTTTGTATTTTTAGTAGAGATGGGGTTTTGTGATGTTGGCCAGGCTGGTCTTGTACTCCCAACCTCAGGTGATCCACCAGCCTTGGCCTCCCAAAGTGCTAAGATGACAGGCGTGAGCCACTGCGCCTGGCCACTTCGAGAATCTAATGCTTGATGGAACGGTTTCATTCCAAAACTATTCCCTCACCATGGAAAAACTTGTCTTGCACAAAACCCATTTCTGGTGCCAAAAACTTTGAGGACCACTGTTCTACCCCAAACATCACCTTATCTTATGTTTACATCTGAAGTTTATATTATAGAAAATAAGACCATTGAGTGGGCAGGGTGGCTCATTCCTGTGATCCCAGTACTTAGGGGGCCAAGATGGGAGGTTTGCTTGAGCCCAGGAGTTTGAGACCAGCCTGGACTACATAGGGAGAGCCTGTCACTACAAAAAATAAAAAATTAGCCAGATGTGGTATATGGTGATGCTGGGATTACAGACATGAGTCACTGTGCCTGGCCTGGTGGACACATGTCTTGAGTGAGACCACTGCCGTCATGCTTTTCTCACTATTCTGAGTCCCTGGCACATAGTAGATGCTCAAAAATGTTTGTTAAATATATTAATAATTTAGCTGTAATGGAGAAAAACTATGGACAAACCAGTCATGGTAGTTTAGGCAAGAGATTAGACCCAGAACTAAAGCAGTGGCAGTAGGAGTGGACAGATAAAGCTAACCCAGAATTTTGATGTATTTCTAACTTTGAAGACCAGTTAGAAAAGGAATCAGATAAGGAGGTTTCTAGTTTGGGAGACTGGGTGAAATGCGACACCATTAGCTGAGACTGAAAGGGACAGATGGAGGAGTAGAAATATAATTTAATATAGTTTATATTTAGCAGTTGAGGAAAGGGTTTTTTTTGTTGCTTGTTTAGGAATGGGATGTTTTATCATGTTTGATGGGTGAGAAAAGAAGCCAGTGGAAAGAGAGGAGGGGTTTAAGAAGACAGGATAACAGGGAGAACAAGGTCTGGTATGAGGCAGGAGAGGATAAAAGCCAAAGGAAACAAAGAGAAGGCATAGGAAGAAGGAAGGAGATGAAAGTCTAAGGGAAGGGCTTTTAAACTTGATTCTGGCTCTCGTGCTCTCTCTCTCTTGCTCTGTATCTGTGTGTATACACACACAAAAAGAATATACATACATACATACACACACACACACACACATATATATACATTTTTTTTGAGACACATCCTCTGTTGCTCAGCCTGGAGTGTAGTGATGTGATTATGGCTCACTGCAGCCTTGACCTCCCCAGGCTCAGGTGATCCTCCCACCTCAGTCTCCCAAGTAGCTGATACTACAGGTGTGCACTACCACACCCAGCTAATTTAAAAAAGTATTTTGTAGAGATGGGGTTTTGCCATGTTGCTCAGGCTGGTCTCCAACTCCTGGGTTCAAGTGATCCATCTATCTCGGCCTCCCAAAGTGCTGGGATTACAGGCTTGAGCCACTGTGCCTGCCCACTCAATATGTATTTGTTGAATGAATGAATTAGGTGCCAGATCCATGACAGAAATATATTTTACAGCAAAGGAACTCAGATCACTTAAGCTTTTCGTTTGCAGGTTTGTTGGGTACTACAACCTGGAAGTTAATATCTAACTCCCATGTAGTATCTAACTTGTGAAATCTTGTTTTGCTTCCATCTCTAAAGAAGTGTCCTTCTGGAGGTTGCAGGGAGCCGAGATCATGACACTGCCCTTCAGCCTGGACAATAGATTCAAATCTTGTCTCAATTAAAAAAATAATAATAATAAATTTTTTTAAAAAGTGTCCTACTTCAAGCACAGGATGACCTTTTCTGCGTGTGTTCTCTTTTTTTGAGACGGAGTTTTGCTCTTGTTGTCCAGGCTGGAGTGCAGTGGCACGATCTCAGCTTGCTGCAACCTCCGCCTCTCACATTCAAGCAGTTCTTCTGCCTTAGCCTCCCGCATAGCTGGGATTATAGGCATGCACCACCACACCTGGCTAATTTTTTGTATTTTTAGTAGAGACAGGGTTTTGACATGTTGGGCAGGCTGGTCTCGAACTCCTGACCTCAGGTGATCTGCCCACCTCAGCCTCCCAAAATGCTGGGATTACAGTGTGAGCCACCGTGCCTGGCCATCTGCATGTGTTCTTAATGTCATTGTCTCTGGCCTTTTCCAGGAGTATGAATCTTCAGTTTATTCCCTTAATCTTTCCATTTTGTCTACAAATATGCTTAGGTGTTCCATTCTAAAAAGCAAGACAAAACAAACCTTTCCTCAGGCCTCCTTTTTTTTTTTTTTGAGATGGAGTCTCGCTCTGTCGCCCAGGCTAGAGTACAGTGGCGCGATCTTGGCTCACTGCAAGCTCTGCCTCCCGGGTTCAGGCCATTCTCCTGCCTCAGCCTCCCGAGTAGCTGGGACTACAGGTGCCCGCCACAATGCCCGGCAAACTTTTTGTACTTTTAGTAGAGACGGGGTTTCACTGTGTTAGCCAGGATGGTCTCAATCTCCTCACCTCATGATCCGCCCACCTCGCTCCTAAAATGCTGGGATTACAGGTGTGAGCCACCGCGCCTGGCCACCTCAGGCCTCCTTTTTATGCTGTGGTCTGTTAAACTTTTTCCACATTTCTAAGATTACTCCATAAACTATTCTCACTAAAGGTACTTCTTTGCTGTCCATTCATTGGTTCCCACTCCCCCAAGCTACCAAAGTGGATACACTGAAAGCCACTCAATTGTCAAATTCAAAGGCCCTTTTCTTCAGGCTGGGCACTGTGGCCCATGCCTATAATCCTATTATTTTGGGTAGGCAGATCGCCTGAGCCCAGGAGTTCAAGATCAGCCTGGGCAACATGGTGAAAACCTGTCTCTACCAAACCCCCACCCCCCCAAAATTAGCCATGTGGCCTGGTGTGGTGGCTCACGCCTGTAATCCCAGCACTTTGGGAGGCCGAGGTGGGCAGATCACCTGAGGTCAGGAGTTCGAGACCAGCCTGACCAATATGGTGAAACCTTGTCTCTACTAAAAATACAAAAATTAGCTGGGCGTGGTGGCGGGCGCCTGTAGTCCCAGCTACTTGGGAGGCTGAGACAGAAGAATTGCCTGACCCTGGGAGGCAGAGGTTGCAGTGAGCTGAGATCATGCCACTGCACTCCAGCACTCCAGCCTGGGCAACAGAGTGAGACTCCGTCTCAAAAAAAAAAAAAAAAATTAGCTGGGCATGGTGACTCTCATCTGTAATCCCAACTACTTGGGAGGCTGAGGCAGGAGAATAGCTTGAAACCAGGAGGTGGAGGTTGCAGTGAGCTGAGATCGCACCACTGCACTCCAGCCTGGGCAACAGAGTGAGACTCCGTTTCACAAAAAAAACAAAAACAAAAACAGTTAGCCGTGTGTGGTGCAGTCCTAGCTACTTAGGAGGCTGAGGTGGGTGGATCACTTGAGCCCAGGAGGTCAAGGTGGAAATGAGCTGAGATCATGCCATGTACTCCAGCTTGGGTGACAGAGACACTGTGTCAAAAAAAAAAAAAAAAAAAAGGCCGTTTTTTTCAGTCTCTGTTCTTTTTTTTTTTTTTTTGAGACAGAGTTTAGCTGTTGTTACCCAGGCTGGAATACAGTGGTTCACTGCATCCTCCGCCTCCTGGGTTCTGGGTTCAAGTGATTCTTCTGTCTCAGCCTCCTGTGTAGATGGGATTACAGGTGTGTGCCACCATGCTGAGCTAATTGTTGTATTTTTAGTAGAGACGAGGTTTCACCATGTTGGCCAGGCTGGTCTCGAACTCCTGACCTCAAGTGATCCACCCGCCTTGGTGTCCCAAAGTGCTGGGATTACAGGCATGAGCCACTGCACCCAACCTGTTCTTGGTCTCTTTGAAGTGTTACCACAGAGGGATCCCTATTCAGACCCCAGGAGAGGGTTCTTGAGCCTCAAGCAAGAAAGAATTTGGACACATCCATATGGTAAAGTGAAAGCAAGTTTATTAGGAAATAAAGAAATAAAAGAATGGCTACTTCATAGCCAGAGCAGCCCCGAGGGCTACTGGTTGACTACTTTTATGATTATTTATTGATTATATGCTAAATAAGGGGTGGATTATTTATGAGCTTTCTGGGAAAGGCATGGCAATTCCCTGAACTGAAGGCTCCTCCCCTTTTTAGACTTATTGGGTAACTTCCTGACTTTGCCATGACATCTGTAAACCTTCATGGTGCTGGTGGGTGTGTCTTTTGGCATGCTAATGAATTATAAGCATATATAATGAACAGTGAGGATGACGAGGGGGTCATTTTTCATCACCATCTTCGTTTTGGTGGTTTTTGGCCAGCTTCTTTACCACATGCTGGTTTTATCAGCAAAGTCTTTGTGACCTGTACCTTGGGCCAACCTCCTATTTCATCCTGTGACATAGAATGCCTGACATCCTGGCAATGCAGCCCAGGAGGTCTAAGCCTCATTTTACCCTGCTCCTATTCAAGATGGAGTTGCTCTGTTTCAAAGGCCTCTGACAGAAGTTTTTGACATAGTTGACCAGCCATTCCTTTTTCTTAAAAAGGCTGTCTTCTGTTTCTTTGTTATTTATTTTTTGAGACAGGGTCTCACTCTGTCACCCAGGATGGAGTGCAGTGGTGCCATCTTGGCTCACTGCAACCTCCACCTCATGGGTTCAAGCGATTCTCCTGCCTGAACCTCCCAAGTAGCTGTGAGTACAGGTGCGCACCGCCACACCTGGCTAATTTTTGTATTTTTAGTAGAGACAGGGTTTCATCATCTTGGCCAAGTTGGTCTCGAACTCCTGGCCTAAGGTGATCCACCTGCCTCGGCCTCCCAAAGTGCTGGGATTACAGAGGTGAGCCACGGCACCCGGCCTTATTTATTTTATCTTTTTGAGACAGGGTTTCACTCTGTCACCTGGGCTGGAGTGCAGTGGCACGATTTCTGCTCACCATAGCCTTGACCTCTGGGCTTGAGTGATCCTCCCGCCCCAGCCTCCCAAGTAGGTGGGACTACAGGCGGGCGCCATCACACCTGGCTAATTTTTTTTTTGAAAAGGAGTTTCGCTCTTGTTGCCCAGGCTGGAGTTCAATGGCCGATCTCGGCTCACTGCAACCTCCGCCTCCCGGGTTCAAGTGATTCTCCTGCCTCAGCCTCCGGAGTAGCTGGGATTACAGGGGCGCACCACCACGCTTGGTAAATCAAGGTCAAAAATTATTCTTTTTTTTTTTTTTTTTTTTGAGATGGAGTCTCGCTGTATTGCCCAGGCTGGAGTGCAGTGGCGCCATCTTGGCTCACTGCAAGCTCCGCCTCCCGGGTTCACGCCATTCTCCTGCCTCAGCCTCCTGAGTAGCTGGGACTACAGGCACCTGCCACCACGCCCGGCTAATTTTTTGTATTTTTAGTAGAGACGGGGTTTCACTGTGTTAGCCAGGATGGTCTGGATCTCCTGACCTCGTGATCCGCCTGCCTCGGCCTCCCAAAGTGCTGGGATTACAGGCGTGAGCCACTGCCCCCCGCCTTTTGTTTTTTTTTTTTTTTTTGAGAGGGAGTTTTGCTTTGTCGCCCAGGCGGGTGTGCAATGACGCGATCTCGGCTTGCTGCAACCTCTGCCTCCCGGCTTCAAGCGATTCTCTTGCCTCAGCCTTCAGAGTAGCTGAGATTACAGGTGCCTGACACCAGGCTCGGCTAATTTTTGTTTTTTTAGTAGAGACAAGGATTCACCATATTGGCCAGGCTGGTCTCAAGCTCCTGACCTCAAGTGATCCGCCCGCCTCAGCCTCCAAAAGTGCTGCTATTACAGGCATGAGCCACCGCGCCGGCCCCAAGTGACTCTCATGGGCTGGAGACACAGGCTATTATGAATTGCTAACCACAGTCTCTTAGTCTCCCTTTTAAATAACAAAAGAGGAAATTTCTTCACTTCCTGACACAACTCTCCATCATACAGTTGGCCAAGAGCAGTTAGAAACTTTCATCCTTAATTTGTGTCCTTTGGGAGTTGCTGCTTTCTTAGAGTCATTAAATGCATGTAGGCAGTGTCTGCTTCATTAAGCCAGATTTATACCAAATGAAAAGGCAGAGAAAGATCTAATTTAATGAATATTTCTTTTTTTTTTTTTTGAGACGGAGTTTCACTCGTCACCCAAGCTGGAGTGTAATTCGTGGTCTCCGGTCACTGCAACCTCCGCCTCCTGGGTTCAAGCGATTCTCCAGCCTCAGCCTTCCAGCCTCAGCCTCCCAAGTAGCTGGGATTACAGGTGCCCGCCACCACACCCAGCTAATATTTGTATTTTTAGTAGAGACAGGGGTTTCACCATGTTGGGCAGGCTGGTCTCGAACCCCTGACCTCAGGTGATCCACCCTCCTTGGCATCCCAAAGTACTGGGATTGTAGGCATGAGCCATCGCACCGGGTCTTAATTAAGATTTCTAAGAACTAGATCAACAAATCAGTGGGACTGTAAAGGCAATTCTTGGGACACAGGTCAGGAAACTCTGTGCTTAATTCAGAAATCAAAAATCCAGCAATCTCACTTCTGGGTGTTAGAACTGTAGAAAATAAAATTTTAGACCGGGCACGGTGGCTCACGCCTGTCATCCCAGGCCGAGGCGGGTGGATCACGAGGTCAGGAGATCGAGACCATCCTGGCCAACATGGTGAAACCCCGTCTTTACTAAAAATACAAAAATTAGCCTGGTGTGGTGGCGTGCGCCTGTAGTCCCAGCTACTCCGGAGGCTGAGACAAGAGAATCACTTGAACCCGAGAGGCAGAGGTTGTGGTGAGCCGAGATTGGGCCATTGAACTCCAGGCTTGGCAACAAGAGCGAAACTCTGTCTAAATAAATAAATAAATAAATAAAAATATAAAATTTTAAGCCCCCCAACTGACTGAATGGATCCCCATTTGGCCAAGAGGACCCCCAAACTCCTGAAAAAGTAGTTCAGGCAATGTGGGGAATGGGAGGCATTGAATATGCCTCATTATACTCTCTTCCCTTTGGAGTTCTGGCACAACTGACCAGCATTAACATTAAAACAGAGATCTTGGCTGGGCACTATGGCTCATGCTTGTAATCCCAGCACTTTGGGAGGCCGAGTCAGGTGGATCACCTGAGGTCAGGAGTTCGAGACCAGCCTGGCCAACATGATGAAACCCCGTCTCTACTAAAAATACAAAAAAATACAAAAAAATAAAATAAAAATTAGCTGGGTGTGGTAGTGCATGTCTGTAATCCCAGCTACTTGGGAGGCTGAGACAGAAGAATCGCTTGAATCTGGGAGGCGGAGGTTGCAGTGAACAGAGATCACACTACCGCACGCCAGCCTGGGCAACAAGAGCGAAACTCCGTCTCAGAAAAACAGAAACAACAACAACAAAAAGAGTTCGAGACTAGCCTGGCCAACATAGCAAAACCCCGTCTCTACTAAAAATACAAATGTTAGCGGGCTGTGGTGGCGTGTGTCTGTAATCCCAGCTACTCAGGAGGCTGAGGCAGGAGAATTGCTTGAACCAGGGAGATGGAGGTTGCAGTGAGTCAAGATCCTGCCACTGCACTCCAGCCCAAGGGACAGAGTGAGAGTCTGTCTCAAAAAAATAAAATAAATAAAATGAATAAAATAAAACAAGAGATTTTAAGACTGACAAACGAGGCGGGGTGCGGTGGCTCAAGCCTGTAATCCTAGCTCTTTGGGAGGTCAAGGCAGGCCGATCAGGGGTTTGAGACCAGCCTGGCCAACATGGTGAAACCCTGTCTCTACTAAAAATACAAAAATCAGCTGGGCGTGGTAGTGCACACCTGTAATCCCCGCTACTCAGGAGACTGAGGCAGGAGAATCTCTTGAACCCGGGCGACCCAGGTTGCTGTGAGCTGAAATCGAACCACTGCACTTTAGCCTGGGCAACAGAGTGAGACTCTCTCAAAAAAAAAAGGGGCGGGGGGAAGGACAAAAGAGACTAGCAAAATTCCAACATGATGCTAGTATAACATCACATAAAAGATAAAAAAAAGGAAATCAAAATATTTTACCCCAAAATATGTTTCTTTGCTATATTTTGAAATGGTGGGCACAGTGGCTCTTGCCTGTAATCCCAGTACTGGGAGGCAGAGGCAGGAGTATTGCTTGAAGTCAGGAGTTAGAGACCAGCCTGAGCAACAAAGACAGACTCTGTCTCTATAAAAATAATTAAATTAAATATAAATAAATAGGCCAGGTGCGGTGGCTCACGCCTGTAATCCCACCACTTTGGGAGGCCGAGGCGGGCAGATCACGAGGTCAGGAGATCGAGACCATCCTTGCTAACACGGTGAAACCCCGTCTCTACTAAAAATACAAAAAAAAAAAAAAAAAAAAATTAGCCAGGCGTGGTGGCAGGCGCCTGTAGTCCCAGCTACTCAGGAGGCTGAGGCAGGAGAATGGCGTGAACCCAGGAGGCAGAGCTTGCAATAAGCCAAGATTGCACCACTGCACTCCAGCCTGGGCAAGAATGAGACTGTCTCAAAAAATAAAAATAAATAAATAAGGCTTGGTGTGGTGGCTCACGCCTGTAATCCCAGCACTTTGGGAGGCCGAGGTGGGCAGATCCTGAGGTCAGGAGCTCGAGACCAGCCTAACATGGTGAAACCCCGTCTCTACTAAAAATACAAAAATTAGCCAGGTGTGGTGGTGTGTGCCTATAATCCCAGCTACTCAGGAGGCTGAGGCAGAAGAATCACTTGAACCCAGGAAGCGGAGGTTGCCGTGAGCTGAGATCGCGCCACTGCACTCCAGCCTGGGCAACAGAGAGAGACTTCCTCTAAAAAAAAAATTAATAAAAATAAATAAAGTCCCTGCCAAGCCATCTTTTGTGGGGGAAAATTTGCATCTGTAAATAATCTGTACGAACATAACTAGATCTTTCTCCTACCAGGTCCACCCAATTCTGAAGAGATTAACTGACAGTCTAGTTTTTTTTGTTTGTTTGTTTGTTTTTGAGATGGATTCTTGCTCTGTTGCCCAGGCTGGAGTGCAGTGGCAGGATCTCGGCTGACTGCAATCTCTGCCTCCCCGGTTCAAGCAGTTCTTCTGCCTCAGCCTCCCTAGTAGCCAGGACGACAGGAGCACGCCACAACGTCTGGCTAATTTTTTTTTTTTTTTTTTTTGAGGAGTCTCGCTTTGTCGCCCAGTTTGGAGTGCAGTGGTGCAATCTCAGCTCACTGCAACCTCTGCTTCCTGGGTTCAAGCAATTCTTCTGCCTTAGCCTCCAGAGTAGCTGGGACTACAGGCATGCATCACCAAGCCTGGCTAATTTTTTTTTTTTTTTTTTGTATTTTTAGTAGAGACGGGGTTTCTCCATGTTGGTCAGGCTGGTCTCGAACTCCTGACCTCAGGTGATCCACCTGCCTCAGCCTCCCAAAGTGCTGGGATTACAGGCATGAGCCACCATGCCTGGCCTGTTTGTCTGTTTTTTTGAGATGGAGGTCCCACTCTGTCACCCAGGCTGGAGTGCAATGGTGTGATCTCAGCTCACTGCAACCTCCACCTCCTGGGTTCAAGAGATTCTCCCCCATCAGCCTCCTGAGTAGCTGGGATTACAGGCACCTGCCATCATGCCTGGCTAATTGTATTTTTGTAGAGAAGGTATTTCACCATGTTGGTCAGGCTGGTGGGAGTGTAGCAGTGAGGAGGACCAGAAGTCACTCTGGTGGCCATCTTGGTTTTGGTGGGATTTAGCCGGCTCCTTTACTGCAACCTGTTTCTTTTGTTTGTTTGTTTTTCGAGATGGAGTCTTACTCTGTCTCCCAGGCTGGAGTGCAGCAGGGTGATCTCGGCTCATTGCAACCTCAGCCTCCTGGGTTCCAGCGATTCTCCTGCCTCAGCCTCCGGAGTAGCTGGGATTACAGGCGTGTGCTACCACAACTGGCTAATGTTTGTATTTTTAGTAGAGACAGGGTTTTGCCATGTTGGCCAGGCTGCTCTCTAACTTTTGACCTCAGGTGATCCATTCGCCTGGACCTCCCAAAGTGCTGGGATTACAGGCATGAACCGATGACAAGCATGAGCCAATGTGTCTGGCCTGGTTTAAACACTTCTGACATTTACCCCATCCCTTTTATAAGAGAACCCTTAATCTTTTTTTTTTTTTGAGACGGAGTCTCACTCTTTCACCCAGGCTGGAGTGCAGTGGCACAATCTCCGCTCACTGCAACCTCCGCCTCCTGGGTTGAAGCAATTCTCCTGCCTCAGCCTCCAGAGTATCTGGGATTACAGGTGCCCCCAACCATGCCTAGCTAATTTTTTTGTATTTTTAGTAGACACGGGCTTTCACTATGTTGGCCAGGCTGGTCTTGAACTCCTGACTTTGTGATCCACCTGCCTTGGCCTCCCAAAGTGCTGGGATTACAGGCGTGAGCCACCGTGCCTGGCCTTTTTTTTTTTTCTTTTAATTTTAAGCAGAGTCTTGCTCTGTTGCCCAGGCTTGAGTCCAGTGGCACGATCTTGGCTCACTCCAACCTCCGCCTCCTGAGTTCAAGTGATTCTCCTGCCTCAACCTCCCGAGTAGCTGGGATTACAAGCATGCGCCACTACACCCGGCTCATTTTTATATTTTTAGTAGAGACGGGGATTCTCCATGTTGGCCAGGGTGGTCTCAAACTCCTGACCTCAGGTGATCCACCCACCTCGGCTTTCCAAAGTGGTGAGATTGCAGGCATGAGCCAGTGCGCCCAGCTTTCTGTAACTTCTTCAGGATGAATAAGGGCGATGATATTCCTGCCTAACTATTAGGATCTCTTGTGTTCAGGGTAGATAGGAGCTCAGTTAGAAAGCATCGGTATGGTGAGGGCCATTTATAACTCTGGAGTTCCAACAAAAGGTGATGTCTGGAAGATTAGTAAATATTCATTTAAGAAAACATTCAGGGGTCGGGCATGGTGGCTCATGCCTGTAATCCCAGCACTTTGGGAGGCCAAGGCGGGCGGATCACCTGAGGTCAGGAGTTTGAGACCAGCCTGGCCAACATGGTGAAGCCCCATCTCTACTAAAAATGCAAAAATTAGCTGGGCATGGTGGCACAGGTCTGTAGTCCCAGCTACTCGGGAGGTGAATCGCTTGAACCTGGGAGGCAGAGGTTGCAGTGAGCTGAGATTGCGCCACTACACTCCAGCCTGAGTGACAGAGGGAGACTCCATCTCAAAAAAAAAAAAAAAAAAAAAAAGAGGAATCATACAATATTTGCCCTTTTGTGGATGGCTCATTTCATTTGGCATAATGCCAACAATTTATGTTTCAGCATGTGACAGAATTTCTTTCCTTTTTAAGGCTGAATAATATATATATATACACATATATATAAAATAATATTTTATACACACACACATACTGTTTTTTTTTGAGATGGAGTTTTGGAGTTTTGCTCTTGTCATCCAGGCTGGTGTTCAATGGCATGATCTTGGCTCACTGCAACCTCAGCCTCCCGGGATCAAAGGACTCTCCTGCCTCAGCCTCCGAAGTAGCTGGGATTAGGGGCATAGGCAACCACACCTGGCTAATTTTGTTTTTTTTTTTTGAGACAGAGTCTCGCTCTGTCGCCCAGGCTGGAGTGCAGTGGTGCTGTGTCAGCTCACTGCAACCTCCACCTCCCAGGTTGAAGTGATTCTTGTGCCTCAGCCACCTGGCTAATTTTGTTCTGTATTTTTGTAGAGACAGGGTTTCACCATGTTGGCCAGGCTGGTCTTGAATTCCTGACCTCAGGTGATCTGCCTGCCTCGGCCTGCCAGAGTGTTGGGATTACAGGCGTGAGCCACCATGCCCAGTCTTATATATTTTTTTGACACAGGATCTCACTTTGTCACCCAGGGTGGAGTGTAGTGGTGTGATCATGGCTCACTACAACCTCTGCCTCCCAGGGTCAAGGGATCCTCCCACCTCCGCCTCCCTAGTAGCTGGGACGTCCCACCATGCCTGGCTAATTTTGTAATTTTGTGTGTGTGTGTGTGTGTGTGTGTGTGTGTGTGTGTGTGTGTGTTTTAGATGGAGTTTCGCTCTTATTGCCCAGGCTGGAGTGCAATGGTATGATCTTGGCTCACTGCAACCTCTGCCTCCTGGGTTTAAGTGATTCTTCTGCCTCAGCTTCCCAAGTAGCGGGATTATAGACGTCCACAACCATGCCTGGCTCATTTTTGTATTTTTAGTAGTGACCAGGGTTTCATCGTGTTGGCCAGGCTGGTCTTGAACTCCTGACCTCAGGTGATCCATCCGCCTTGGTCTCCCAAAGTGCTGGGATTATAGGCGTGAGCCCCAGTGCCTGGCGTGTGTGGTTTTTTTTGTAGAGACAGTGTTTTGCCTTTTTTTTTTTTGGGGGGGGGATGGAGTCTAACTCTGTCTCCCTGGCTGGAGTGAGTAGTACAGTGGTGTGATCTTGGCTCACTGCAACCTCTGCCTCCCAGGTTCAAGTGATTCTACTACCTCAGACTCCTGAGTAGCTGGGACTACAGGCATGTGCCACCACACTTGGCTAATTGTTGTATTTTTAGTAGAGAAGGGGTGTCACTACGTTGGCCAGGCAGGTCTCGAACTCCTGACCTCAGGCGATCTGCCCGCCTCGGCCTCCCAAAGTGCTGAGATTCGCCATTTTGCCCAGGCTAGTCTCAAAAGTCCTGAGCTCAAACGATCCTTTATACTCCCAGGCCAAGCGATCCTGGCTTCCCAAAGTGCTGGGATTACAGGCATGAGCCACTGCGCCCGGCCGAATAATATTCTCCTGTTGCTATATACCACATCTTATTTAACCATTCAACTGTTGATGGACACTTGGGTTTCTGCTGCCTTTGTCTATTGTGAATAATGCTGTTATGAGTATGGTTGTAACACTGAGTCCCTGATTGTAATTCTTTTGGGTTTAAAACCAGAAGTGGAATTGCGGGATCATATGGTAAATCTATTTTTAATTTTTTGAGGATCTGCCATACCATTCCATAGTGGCTGCACCATTTAACATTCCCACCAACAGTGCACAAGTGTTCCAATTTCTTCACATCCTTGCTAACACTTTTTTTTTTTGATAAGTAGTCAGCCTAATGGGTTGAGGTGACATCTCATTTTTTGTTTTAATTACATTTTTTTCTTTCTTTTTTTTTTTTGAGGTGCAGTTTCGCTCTCGTTGCCCAGGCTGGAGTGCAATGGTGCGATCTCGACTCATCACAACCTCCACTTCCTGGGTTCAAGCGATTCTCCTGCCACAGCCTCCCTGGTAGCTGGGATTACAGACATGCGCCACCACACCCAGCTAATTTTTTATTTTTAGTAGAGATGGGCTTTCTCCATGTTGGTCAGGCTGGTCTCGAACTCCCAACCTCAGGTGCTCCGCCCACCTTGGCCTCCCAAAGTGCTGGGATTATAGGCATGAGCCACCGTGCCTGGCCTTTTCTCCTTTTTTTGAGATGGAGTTTTGCTCTTGTTGCCCTGGCTGGAGTGCAATGGTGTGATCTCGGCTCACTGCAACCTCTGCCTCCCAGGTTCAAGCCATTCTCCTGCCTCAGCCTCCTGAGTAGCTGGGATTATAGGCATAGGCCACCATGCCCGGCTAATTTTGTATTTTTAGTAGAGATGGGGTTTCTCCATGTTGGTCAGGTTGTTCTCGAACTCCTGACCTCAGATGATCCGCCTGCCTCAGCCTCCCAAAGTGCTGAAATTACAGGTGTGAGCCACTGCGCCCGGCCCTAGCACCTTTTCATGTGCTATTGGACATTTATCTATCTTCTTTGGATAAATGTCTTCATGGCCCTTTCACATTTTGAATCAGAGTTTTTGTTGAGTTGTAGGAGTTCTTTATATAGTCTGGATATTATCCCCTTATCAGATACATCATTTGCAAATATTTCCTCTAATTCCATGGGCTGTCTTTCTTACTGTTTTGTTCTTTAATACACAAGTTTTAAATTTTGATGAAGTCCAATTTATCTTTTTTTCTTTTGTTGCTTGTTTTCTTGCTTTTGGTGTCATCTAATAGTTTTTTATTTTTTCTGTCACCCAGGCTACAGTGCAGTGGTGTGATCTTGGCTCACTGTAACCTCCGCCTCCCAGGTTCAAGCAATTCTTGTGCCTCAGCCTCCCAAGTAGCTGGGACTACAGGTGTGCGCCAACATGTTCAGCTAATTTTTGTATTTCTTGGTTTCGTCATGTCGGCCAGGGTCGTTTTGAACTCTTAGCCAGGCATGAGCCACTCTGCTTGACTCCAAGAACCAAAAATTTAATCATTCTAGTAATAGAGGAAGTTATCTGCATTTCAATTGTGGTGAAGCAAAAGACTGAGAGGAAGGCCCGTTGCGGTAGCTCAGGCCTATAATCTCAGCACTTTGGGAGGTCGAGGCAGGAGGATCATTTGAGGTCAGGAGTTTGAGACCAGCCTGGACAACATGGTGAAGCCTTGTCTCTATTAAAAATACAAAAATTTGCTGGGCGTGTGGTGTGGGCCTCTAATCTCAGCTACTTGGGAGGCTGAGGCAGAATTGCTTGAACCTGGGAGGTAGACGTGGCAGTGAGCTGAGATTGTGCCACTGCATTCCAGCCTGAGCGACAGAGCAAGTCTGCATCTCAAAAAATTAAATAAATAAGAAAGACTGAGAGGTAGGAATTAATAGCAGAAGAAAAGGGGGAACTGATGTTGTGAGATTCTTGAGGTGGGAAGTAGTGAACACTACTGCAGTGATGCAAAAAGGGTCTTGAACAAGATAGTTGTTTTTAAAAAAATTGGGAATGAGTATCTAAATTTCTTCCTGAAATAATTATTGGATTGACTCAGATTGGCTGTTAGGCGCCTTTTTTCTCATGAGATTTTGTTCATCAAATAATCAACTGTTTTGAAATGAGATGAAAGGTCTTCATTCTGAGCCAATCTTCAGATTTCTATTTGTGCTCCCACAGTACAGCCTACTACTTCCTAGCTGGGGGAAACAAAAGGCCCTGCTGTTTTTAGTGGCTTTGAGAAAGTCATAAACTCCTTAGTCCTCAGCTTTCACTCACATCTACTAAAATAATGCCTTTTTTTTTCTTTTTTTTTTTGAGATGGCATCTTGTGGCCCAGGTTGGAATGTAGTGGCGCGATCATGGCTCACTGTAGCCCTGACCACCGAGGGTCAAGGGAGCAGGGTCAAGGGAGCAGGCTCAAGTGATCCTCCCACCTCAGCCTCCTTAGTAGCTGGAACCAAAGTGCACAATATCACACCTAGCTAGTATTTTTAGTTTTTGTAGAGGCAAGGTCTCTGTATGTTGCCCAAGCTGGTTTTGAACTCGTGGGCTCAAAGGATCTTCCTGCCTGTACTCCCAAAGTGTTGGGATTTCAGGCAGAAGCCACCCTCCTTGGCCTCTGTTTTTTTTTTTTTTTTTTGAGATGGGAGTCTTGCTTTGTCACCTAGGCTGGAGTGCAATGGTGCCATCTCGGCTCACTGCAACCTCTACCTCCTGGGTTCAAGCGATTCTCCTGCCTCAGCCTCCCGAGTAGCTGGGACTACAGACGCATGCCACCATGCCCAGCTAATTTTTTTTGTATTTTTTTTTTTTTTTTTGAGACGGAGTCTCGCTGTCGCCCAGGCTGGAGTGTAGTGGCGCGATCTTGACTCACTGCAACCTCTGCCTCCCGGGTTCAAGCAATTCTCCTGCCTTAGCCTCCTGAGTAGCTGGGATTATAGGCGCCCGCCACCACGCCCAGCTAATTTTTCTGTTTTTAGTAGAGACGGGGTTTCACCATGTTGGTCAGGCTGGTCTCAAACCCCTGACCTCGTGATCCACCCGCCTCGGCCTCCCAAACTGCTGGGATTACAGGCATGAGCCACCGCGCTGCCCTTTTTTTTGTTGTTATTTTTAGTAGAGATGGGGTTTCACTGTGTTAGCCAGAATGGTTTGGATCTCCTGACCTTGTGACCCGCCTGCCCTGCCTGCCTCAGCCTCCCAAGTTGGTGGGATTACAGGTGTGAGCCACTGTACCCGGCCGGCCTCATTTTTTATGGAGACCAAAAGACTGAATTCTATAAAAATGTCTTAACTCCTTTAGTTCTAAAGCCCAGTTTTAGATGTTAGCCACATTTATTCCCATTCTAACATATTCCTTCTAGGTGTATTTTCACATGTTCATTTCAGGATTCTTGCCTCTACATTTACTTGTAACTTTCCCATTTCTAAATTGTAGCCCTTTGATTTCCTCCAAACCATTCTCTGACAACCCAAACTGAGTTTTTCTTGGAATTCCTATGTAGCTATCTGTAAACTAACTGTTATGTTTTAGTTAGCCTGGGAGAGTCCTAGTTTTCATTTATTGTCCTAATATGTAATTATGGCTGTCCTAATCAGAAGCTACTTTGTAGATTAAAATGTCTGTAGAGAATATGCTTAAGAGCAGAAAGTTTACAATATACTCAAAATCTTCCCCTTCAGGAGGTAGCTTTTTCATGTACCTCCAACTTTCTCTTCAACCCTGTACCAAGCTCTTACATGTCGATATGTAACCAATGTAAACTCCTCAGAGGCCACAAAAGCCCCAGTGTGCATTCAGAAAGATTGGAGTTCAGTGAAGGGGCTGATTACTAGATACAGAAGAATCGGGATCTGCTAACAGTTAACATCTGGGAAAGAAAGTGGAAATGAGAAACTATTTTTTTGAGACAGTGTCTCACTCTGTCGCCCAGGCTGGAGTGCAGTGGTGTGATCTCAGGGATTACTCAGTGATCCTATTTTTTGTAGAGGCGGGGTTTTGCCATGTTTCCCAGGCTGGTGTCAAATTCCTGGGCTAAAGAGATCCACCTGCCTTGGCCTCCCAAAGTGTTGGGATTACAGGTGTGAGCCGTCGCGCCTGGTCAGAAATGAGAAACTTTATAGTCAAGTTGTATTTCCTTAAGTTAAGAAGGTCCTAACAGCCTAGTATAGTAACTTTTTTTTTTTTTTTTTTTTTTTTGAGATGGAGTCTTGCTCTGTCTGTCGCCCAGGCTGGAGTGCAGTGGCGTGATCTGGGCTCACTGCAAGCTCTGCCTCCCAGGTTCACACCATTCTCCTGCCTCAGCCTCCCAAGCAGCTGGGACTACAGGTGCCCGCCACCACGCCCGGCTAATTTTTTGTATTTTTAGTGGAGACGGGGTTTCAACGTGTTAGCCAGGATGGTCTCAATCTCCTGACCTCGTGATCTGCCCCCTCCTTGGCCTCCCAAAGTGCCAGGATTACAGGCGTGAGCCACCACGCCTGGCCAGTAACTTCTTAAAAGAGGTATAAAGTCTGAGATTCTAAGTGGGAAATCTGTGGCACTAAACCTTATCAAATGAGGGAGGCCTTAGGAGTAATTAATAAATTACTAGAACCTTTTTAAGTTTTTTTTTTTTTTGGTGTGGGGGGGTGGCGGGGAAGAGACCAGTCACCGACTGAATTCATCCAACAAGAAGCCATAACTTTATTTATGATAGAAACAGTACAAATTTCAAACCAAGCTGCAGTTACTCCTTTGAGACACCAAAAAAAGTTGCTTCCATATGGTTACATTGTTAATTCCTGTAACAGAGAAAAGATAATTAGCGGTTCTTATAGGCAAATCAGGAGAATTCAGGTCACTAAAACTCTTACAGGCAAATCAGGAGAATTTAGGCCACTAAAACCTATACGGCAACTCAGAAGAGGCTCTGGAATGAGGTTCCTTAATTGGCTGATATTTAGCAAGACAAAATAAAGTCACTCATAATTGGTCAGGGCAGAGGGAGTCAAGGAACAAAGGCTTGAACACTTACCATAATCGCATTTACAATATCATTACTGTTGTTCTTCAGGGCTCGGACTGCCTTTGCTCTCGACACATTTGCTTGTGACATGACCAATTCAATGTCCTTAACTTCTACACCTGTTTCATCGACCTGAGAGATGAGAGGGAAAAAGCAGTAAATTAAAGGCAAGAACAATTTCAGCAGTTCTTTGGAGTCTCCTGAATCTAGTTTTTAATATAGCTCACCAACACGAACACAATGCTATACGGCGAGAGTTAAATTATGAAAGATTTCCTAGTATACCTCTTCCTCTTCACTCTCCTCTTGTACAGTTGGAGTCTGTGTGTTTTCTTGAATGTTTGAGACAGCTTCACCTTGAACTTTGAATTTCTCAGCAGCTGCTAGTTGTGCTTGCTGGGATAAATCTTCGATCTACAGGGTAGAAAATACAGATCCATGTGAGTAGATTAGCAGTCTTTGAAAAATAAATCATATAGTTTCACAACTCTCTGTAAACCCATTCAGGTAACTTATTGTACAGCTTTAAACTGCTTGCCCTCACAGTAGAAAGAGTAGTTGTTTAGGTTTAGAGCAGTGGTTCTCAACTAGGGGGTAGTTAGGTCTCCCAGGAGATATATGGCAATGGAGTTTTTGGGTAATCAAAACTGGATGTAATGGATAGCCCTTCCATAACAGAGAACTATCTGACGCAAAATGTCAGCAGTGCTGAGGTTGAGAAACCCTGGTCTGGAACAATGCCCAAGAAAAGTTTACTCACCTTGGCTTCCCCAAAAACTATGTAAGTATCTGAAGCAGGGCTCTTGTAGACATCTGGTTTTGTGATGACAAAGAGGATATTCTTAGATTTCCGGATAGTGACTCTAGTAACTCCTGTAACCTGCCGAAGACCCAGTTTGGACATAGCCTAAAGAAGAGAAAATAGTATCAGGTTTTCAACCTCTTTAGAAGCAGCCTAAAGAAGCAAGGAACATAATACAACATCCAAAGCAAAGCCTTTCCCCAGGCTGAGAAAAGTTCATACAAGAATAGAGAATGGGTTTTCTGCCGTAGTAACTTCTGTTACTTTATTTTTTATTTTTTGGAGGCAGGTCTTGCTCTGTCGCCCAGGCTGGAGTGCAGTGGTGCAATCTCGGCTCAATGTAATGTCCGTCTCCCAGGTTCAAGCAATTGCCGTGCCTCAGCCACCTTAGTAGCTGGGATTACAGGAGCGTTACCACCATGCCCTGCTATATATTTTTGGTATTTTTAGTAGAGATGGGGTTTCGCCATGTTGGCCAGGCTGGTCTTGAACTCCTGACCTCAAGTGATCCATCTGCCTTGGCCTTCCAGTGTGCTGGGATAACAGGTGTGAGCCACCAACCTAGCTACTTCTGTTACTTTCAACGGGATTCTACCACTACTAAGAATTGGGTTCAGTGTATACTGCTTGGGTGACAGGTGCACCAAAATCTCAAAAATCACCACTAGAGAACTTACTTGTATAACCAAAATACCACCTGTTCCCCAAAAACCTATGGAAATAAACAGTTCCACTCTGTATAAAGGTGCTTCATAAGATCCTGAAATCCTTTTCAAATCTTACCTTCCGTGCCTTCTTTTCACTCCGACTCTGTTTTGCTTTACTGACTGGTTCTTCATCAATTTCAGCTGCTGCCGCCAGCTAAGAAGATAAAACAGCTATTAGTTAACCAGAATCTAAGATCTGGATAGCACAATCTCCTTGTGGGTTTTCCTTTATGAAGGTTCACAGTTCCAAATACAAAAGTTGCCCTGATCAACCCTGCTTCTTTGACCCAATACCAGTTAGTAAGAGAATACCCACCTGGGCTTGTTGTGTGGTTGCCTGGGTGGAATCCTGTTCTTCAAGCTCTGGTACTGATTCATCACTGTCAGATTCTGTTCCAGACCCTAAGATGAGAAACAACTTTTACTGCTTTATAGTAGAAATTATAAGAGAAGGTACTTCACCACAGCCTGCCCTGGACTAGAGGTGAATGCCTCATGCTAGACCTAAGAATGTTAAATGTAAACCAACTGGCTTGTGTGAAGTCAGCTTGATAGCCCCTAACTTAGTCACTAACTAGCGGGTACACATCTAGTAAAGACCCAGCCCTAACCCCAGAAATGAGGACTAATCACTAGAAATAGCTGAGCAGTTTAATATACTGTAACTGCTTTCTTTCCCTCAAGGTCTTTGTTTCTTGGCACAGGCAAATAATGACCCATATGACTCTAAAATTTTACCCAATAGTCCAATTATCCCTGTAAAGTTCTGTCAGAAGGTGCCCCCAGATACACTTAAGTGAAAAAACCAAAATCACACCGTGGAGGCACAACAGGTTGGGTGGTTTTCCCCTCAACTTTTAAACTGGGTTGGAGGAAGTCAAAAGCAGACACGTACACATATTCAGCCTCATTTTCAAACCATTCACCCCAGCAATGTGATCTAATCAATATAATTAGAAGATTCTCAATGATGATGACCTATATCTCTAGTTTTTCCAAACATAATTCACATAAATTTCTTTCAATTCAAAGGCCAAGCATCAGTAAAGACTACTGAGGAAAAAAAGCATACACCTGCACCATTTTCAGGCTAGGAAAAACAGATTTCTACATTTTTATGAAAAGGGAGTCCCTGGGCAACTGGTCATTACTAAGTCTAATAATGGAAAAATAAATACAAATAGTTCAATTCTCCAATAATTTTACCAAATCTCAGGCCCAGGGACAAGGTTAGTTAGTGATGTGGTAGGGATTAGAGCAAATGAAAAGGTCTGGCAGGTCTTGGTTTTCAATGTCAGATCAATTAGGTAAAATAGATGGCATGGCAGGCTCAGGGTAGTCCGGGCCACATTACACAAAAATGATACACAATGTACTATGTATCTATCTGAAGTAATGAAAACCAAGATTTGGTTTCATATTCCTAGAACTTTTGCATTTAAAATTATCATTCTATGTTCTACATCCAAACCCAAGCAGATTCACTGGAGAAAGCGGCGCATCACAGGGTTAGTATTGGTGGGTAGCGCCCAAGAGGGGTGTGGACGACAGACACACCATGCACACGGCAAACCAAGGCAAATACCCTTGTTGTTCTTCGTAACAGGTTGCTTGGCAGAGGGGGTTGGGACAGGGATTCCAGCAGATTTAGGGGTGGGCATGTTGACGAGGACCGACTGGAAAGGCACTCCCCCAGAGATTGGTTCCGGGGGAATCAGAGGCAGCAGCTCATCCTCATCAGCAGGGGCAAGGGGTTTAGAGGGTGATTCCAACACCAGCCCAGGAGAGGACGGCAGAAATTGCTGTTTAGGAGGCAGAGTGGGAACTGGGGAGGGAGCAAGAGGCAGAGAGACTGGTGGGGAGGGTGCTGCAGAGACAGATGCTGATTCAGGTTTAGGAAGGACCTTCTCAAAGGCAGCTGCTGTTAGAGGGGTGGACGCCTTAGACTCAGGAGGAGCCAAGGGGCCCTTTGGGGAATGAGAAGCATCTTTGCCTTTTGCTGTCTTTGAAGAGTCTTTCTGAACAGGGAGTAGAGGGGCTGGAGCCACTGTGGAAAGGGGTCCTTTAGAACCATTCTTAGCTGAGGGATCTGGGCATATAGGAGGTGAAGTAGCAGAACTCTTTTTGGTCTGTGGACCTTTCCGAGTGGGAGCTGTGATGATTGGCGTGCTTTCTGGAGCTGGGGCAACAAGTACTTCTTTCAGAGCTGTGGGGCCTTTCTTTGCTGGAAGCCCTTTAGATGCTTGAGGAACAGTGGCCCCCATTTTACATGTGACAGAAGCTGGGGAAGTAGGGGAGTCTTTGAGGGAGGAAGGAGTCACAGGTGGGGAAGTGGGAGTCCCTTTGGGGGCTGGAGTTGCTGGGCCCTTTTCGGGGGATGGAGGAGTCACAGCTGGAGGAGTAGGTGCCTCTTTGGGGGAAGGAGAAGTCACAGCTGGTGGAATGAGGAGCTCTTTGGGGGATGGGGCCCCTTTGTAAGTGGAAGGAGTCACTGCTGGGGGACTGGAGGCCTCTTTGGAGGATGGGGTAGCTGGGGCTTCTTTGGGGGTTGGAATTGCTGGGGTCTTTTTAGGGGAGGGAACAGTCATAGCTGGGGGAATGAGGGCCTCTTTGGGGGCTAGAGTTGCTGGGGTCTTTTTAGAGAGAAGAGTCGCTGTTGGGGCAATGGGGTCCCTTCTGGAGGATGGGGTAGCTGGGACCTCTTTGGGGGAAGAAGGAATCACAGCTGGCAGAGTGGGGGCCCCCATGGGGGCTGGAGTTGCTGGGGCCTTTTTGGGAGAGGAAGAAGTGGCAACTTGTTTGGGGGCTGGGGGCTCCTTGGGGGAAGGAGGAGTCACTGCTGGGAGGGTGGGATCCCCTTTGGAGGATGGGGTAGCTGGGCCTCCTTTGGGGGCTGAAGTTGCTGGGGCCTTTTTGAGGGAGACAGGAGTCACTGCTGGGGGAGTGAGATCTCCTTTGGATGGGGTGGCTGCGCCTTCTCTGGTGACTGGAGTTGCTGGAGCCTTTTTGGGGGAGAGAGGAATCACTGCTGGGGAAGTGGGGTCCCCTTTGGGAGATGGGATAGCTGGTCCTCTTTTGGGGGAGGGAGGAGTCATAGCGGGACCTCCTTTGTGGGAGGGGGTTGCAGCTGGGGGAGTGGGGCCCTCTTTGGAGGATGGAGTAGTTGGGCCTCCTTTAGAGGAGGGAGTTGTAGCTGGGAGAGTAGGGGTCCCTTTAGGGGAGGGAGGAGTTACAGCTGGGGGAGTGGGGGCCCCTTTGGGGGGTGGGGTACCTGGGCTTCCTTTTGGGGAGGGAGGAGTTGCAGCTGGAGGAGTGGGGGCCCCTTTGGGGGGTGAGGTAGCTGGGCCTCCTTTTGGAGAGGGAGGAGTTACAACTGCGGGATTGGGGGCCCCTTTGTGGGGTGGGGTAGCTAGACCTCCTTTTAGGGAGGGAGGAGTTGCAGCTGGGGGAGTGGGGGCCCCTTTGGGGGGTGGGGTAGCTGGGCCTCCTTTTGGGGAGGGAGGAGTTGCAGCTGGGGTTGTGGGGGCCCCTTTGGGGGATGGGGTAGCCAGACCTCCTTTTGGGGAGGGAGGAGTTGCAGCTGGGGTTGTGGGGGCCCCTTTGGGGGATGGGGTAGCTAGACCTCCTTTTGGGGAGGGAGGAGTTGCAGCTGGGGTTGTGGGGGCCCCTTTGGGGGATGGGGTAGCTAGACCTCCTTTTGGGGAAGGAGGAGTTGCAGCTGGGGTTGTGGGGGCCCCTTTTGGGGGTGGGGTAGCTAGACCTCCTTTTGGGGAAGGAGGAGTTGCAGCTGGGGTTGTGGGGGCCCCTTTTGGGGGTGGGGTAGCTAGACCTCCTTTTGGGGAGGGAGGAGTTGCAGCTGGGGTTGTGGGTGCCCCTTTGTGGGGTGGGGTAGCTAGACCTCCTTTTGGGGAGGGAGGAGTTGCAGCTGGGGGCATGGGGGCCCCTTTGGGGGATGGGGTAGCTGGGCCTCCTTTTGGGGAGGGAGGAGTCGCAGCTGGGGGAGTGGGGGCCCCCTTGAGGGATGGGGTAGCTGGACCTCCTTTTGGGGAGGGAAGAGTTGCAGCTGGGGTTGTGGGGGCCCCTTTGGGGAGTGGGGTAGCTGCTGGACTTCCTTTGGGGGAGGGAGGAGTTGCAGCTGGGGGTGTGGATGCCCCTTTGGGGAATGGGGTAGCTGCTGGACTTCCTTTGGGGGAGGGAGGAGTCACAGCTGGGGGTGTGGGGGCCCCTTTGGGGGATGGAGTAGCTGGACCTCCTTTGGGGGAGGGAGGAGTTGCAGCTGGGGGTGTGGGGGCCCCTTTGGGGGATGGAGTAGCTGGACCTCCTTTTGGGGAGGGAGGAGTTGCAGCTGGGGGTGTGGGGGCCCATTTCGGGGATGGGGTAGCTGGGCCTCCTTTAGGGGAGGGAGGAGTTGCAGCTGGGGGTGTGGGGGCCCCTTTGGGGGATGGGGAAGCTGGGATTCCTTTAGGGGCTGGAGTTGCTCGGGCCTTTTTGGGGGAGGAAGAAGTCATGGATAGAGCAGGAGCCTGTTTGGGTGCTGGAGTAGCTGGACCCTCTTTGGGGAAGGGCAGATTCACCACTGAAGGAGTGGGGGTCTCTTTGGGGGGTAGTGTTACTCCTTTGGGAGACAGAGGAGTCACAGCTGAGGGAGTAGGGGCCCCTTTGGGGGATGGAGGAGTGGGAGAATGCGTCGTGGCTGGTGAGTCTTTAGAGCCTTGGAAAGAAAGACTATTCTCTGGAAGAAATGAAGCTTCAACTGGAGAAACAGGGGATGAGAGATTTCCAATAGGAGTATCAGGGCCAGCAGAACCCTTCTTGGTTGGAGGTCTTTTAGTCTGAGGAGACACACTAACCCCTAAAGGAGATGGGGAATCAGCTAGGTAAGTCAGAGTTCCTTTGGAAGATGCAGTAGCAGAAGCACCAGAGTCCTCAGTTGGGCACTCTTTGGGAGAGGAAGCAACAGGTGCCAATGCTGAAGTATGAGAAATACCATCAACCTTTTTTGTACCTGGAGGAGTCCCAGCTGGGGGAAGAGAGGGTGAGGGCACAGACTTTGGGATTTCAGGGGCCAGCACTAAGGTAGCCAGAGGAGCACAGGTATTCTGGGGGGATGGAGCCACAGGGCAATTTTCTGAAGCTGTAGGAACCAAGGGTAAAGTAGTAAGAGTACCTTCCTTAACTGGGTGGTTTTTAGGAGCTAAAGAGACAGTTCCTTCTAGAAAAGGGCTGGCTGTAGTTGTATAAGTTGAGGTACCTTTGGCAGTTGTGGGAGCCACCCCGGCAGGGTCAGCACTTTCCAAAGGAAATGCAGCCACTGTTGGGGTAATGAGAGAACTTTTGAGAAGCGGACCAGCAGAGTCTGGGCCTGCATAAGAATCTGTCTTGATTACAGAGGCCGAGGAGTTAACACCCAGAGGGGAGGTCATACTGCTGGCTGGCTTACCTATAGGGAGAGGCTCCCCAAGGCTTTTCTTTGCTAGGGTGGCTTCAGGAGAAAGAGGTATCTCTGGAGAAGAGGATGTACTTTGGAAAGAAGGGGAATTTTTAGGGGCTGCCTGGACTAACGGTAATACAGTAGGGTCTTTCTTGGTGGTGAGTCCTGCTTGGGCTGGAGAGAAAGGGGCTCCTTCAAGAGAGGCAGGTACAGTTTGGAGGTCTTTTTGTGTTGGAAATTTAACCAATACTGAACTGGGGAGATTTTTGAGGTCTTCAGGGTCTGGCAGAGGAGGAGAGACTGGTATCCTCAGAGTGGTTGCTACTTGAGTAGAAGGCTCTTTGGGAGCCACAGGTGCCATAACCAAGGCAGCAGGGGAAGTTGGTTCTATGTTACTTATGGGACCTGATGACATTGGAGGAGAAACACAAGTAGCTACCTCAAAGGTAGTAGTAGGTGCTGCAGCAATTGTACAGGGGTTAGTCACCACAAGTGGGGTGGTTCCAACAGAAGAAACGGGCATTTGGGCCACTAAAGGATAATGATAAGTGGCATTAGGAGAGCTTTTGAGAATGAGAGAGGTTGTAGGAGATAATGAAAAAGAGGTAGCTACATTTAAGGAGCCAGAAGGGCTGCAGGTTATGCTAGAGATGGTAGAGGGACCTTTGTCAACAGATGGAGCCACCACTGGAAAGGCAGCCACAGTAGCAGGAACTACCTCATTTCTGGAAGGAAGGGGAGGAATTACAGATCTCTGAGAAGGATAAGAGGCCCCTGTGGAAGAATGATCTACAGAAATGGTCTTCACTGTAGGGTCTGACAAAGCACTAGGACCTGTTTGACCTAAAAGTTGGACAGAACCAAAAGAACTCTGATGTAAAGGTGCAAGATGAGAGCCCAGAGAAATGGGAAAATCTGGGGGGGTGTTGGGACCCGCAGTCTTTTGAGAAGAGGTCACCACAGGAAGAGACTGAGTTGAAAGAGATAAGGCAGCAGGTGGACTAACAGGCCCCTTCAGGCTGAGGCTTCCTGGGTTTTGTGGAGAAATCAGAACTGAGGAAATGGTGGTATCTTTGACTTGAGGGGAAGCGATGGCTAGGGTAGTTGTGGGTGTTGTCTGAGGAAGGGAGGCCACTCCAGATTGAATAGAGGCCATGGGAGTCACACAGTGGTAAGGAACAGTACTGACTATACATGGAGGGCTGGGGGTGCCTTTTGGATTAGGGACTACCTCAGAGGGAACTTTATTAAGATTAGTCTTTGGTTCTGAGGGAGCAATGGGAGCTGACAGAGTTATCACTGACCCTGACTCAGCTACAGCCACTGAAGGAGGTGAAGTAAGAAGGTTAGGTGGAAAAGCAGAACTCTTCTGAACTGAGTGGGGAGCCAGGGCAACCAGAGCTAAGGGAGCTGAAGAGGAAGGGGTCCCTTTCAGAGTTGGAGCTATCATGGGAGAGGCTAGAGCTAAGGCAGCTGGGGAGATGGGAGGCCCTATTAGGTTTGGTAGGAAGGTTGGGGCTTCAGGGGCAGTTCCCAAAGGTAGGGCTGTTCCAGAGGATGACTGGGGAAAAGGAACTTCTAAAGGGGTCGAGGCAATAGTAGAGGGGGAAGGGAATGGGGAAGCCTGGTTAGCAGCTGAGAGAGGGCACTGTTGTGGGGCAGGAGAGCAAGGAGGGGGGAGGGTAGGTCCAGGCTGCCCTAAGGCAGCAGTGACACTCAAGGCTGAAGACATAGGTAGCACAGCTGGAGAAAGGCAAAAGGAGATAAAGAAAGGGGGAGGGGGAGGAGAAAAAAGGTGAGTTATGCAGCCCAACTTGGTACAACATGCCTCCTAGGAAACACTGGAGTTTAAAATCTGACAGTCTAAGTCACCACGCAGGATTAGATAAAGGTGACAGGCAACAACAACCTTCCCCAAACATTTTTCAGTGGTCAAGTGAGAAGACATTCCCCTCCTAATTTCTCACACTTCCCCAAGTTCTACCAAAGTAAACCAACTATTTTAGGGTGAGGAGAACAGTCTAAGAGCAGCCTATCTCTAAATGGGGAGCACAGACTCTTGGTAGGTTGAGAACAACATGCTTTCTATCCTTTCCCAGTTGTGCCCTCCCCTTACTTCTTGAAATGGACTGTATTCCCAAGTCTTTCTCACAGCCAACAGAATTCCCACGAGAAGAACAGCTGTGCTACTCTGTCCACCCAAATATCATGAACAGAAAAGATACTGAAAACTGGAACAAAGAAGTTAGTGAGCAGTGACGATGATGGGGAATCTGAACTGAATAAGAAAACACAGGCTTTTATACTTTCAGGCTTCCACTAGGCTAGGAAACATCTGACTCTGTTAGAATAGTTTTGGGAAGGAGGTGCACAGCACAATTCAGTTCTTCCTAAAGTTGAAACACTTCAGAATTTAATATCAAGTATTAAAGTCACTTAGCTTCTTTATACCTTACCAGTTTACTTACTCACAAAACCCAAACAAGAAAACCAACCACAAAAGGACTGTAATAGTCTCTATAAACCTTCCTAGGTGATGTTAATTCTTCAGACATCAATCCAAGATGAATTAGACATGAATTAGACCTCCAGGCAGAGAGCTTACTCACAAGGGTAGGGACTGTATTATGAAACTGTAACCTAACTTGTTAAACCAGATTGTGGTGCTATTTTGGAAGAAGAGAATTGGAGAGCCTGTAACAGTGGCTCATGCCTGTAATCCCAGCACTTCGGGATGCCTGGGAGGGCGGATCACGAGGTCAGGAGTTCCAGACCGACCTGACCAACATGGTGAAACCCCGTCTCTACTAAAAATACAAAAATTAGCTGGGCGTGGTGGTGTACACCTGTAATACCAGCTACTCAGGAGGCAGAGGCAGGAGAATGGCTTGAACCCAGGAGGTGGAGGTTGCAGTGAGCCAAGATCGCGCTACTGCATGCACTCCAGCCTGGGTGACAGGGTGAGACTCCGTCTCAAAACAAAACAAACCAAAGAAGACAATTGGAGTGGCGAGAATACACTGGATCCCCACTCCTTAACTTGGAATTTAAGTGTTTCATTATGTCAAAATACACCAATGTTTGGCATGACAGTAAGACAGTATCTCTGGCATTCAGGAGGTAACACAGAATTGGATCAACAAATGCTCAATGCTTAGAAGGGAATGTTAAGGGGGGCGGGGGGGAAGCCCGTGGTACCAAAATTCAAATTCAAAATTCACTCAACCAGTAATTCTGAAGTTCTTATGGCATCCTACCATGGAAAAGACAAGGTGGCTCAACTAGTTTTTCCTGGAGAGTGGGTAGGCCAAAGTCTAACGATTACAGGAAAACGCTACCAAACATAATGAATCAGAATTAAAAACATGGAATATGTTTTCTTCTGACTGGACCTCAAATGGAATAAGCACTCAAATACTTGCTTTGACACCATCAACAATTCCTTGAGCTTCCTTCTTCATTCTAATAGACTATCATTACAGATAAAACCTTGTGTATTTATCATTGGTACTTCCTTAATATAAGCCTACTATGCAACTCAGACTATTCAGGAATACGTTTAATAGCATTAAGGACTGTTTCAGAAGTAAATGCATTAGTTTTGAAGCTTGAATCAGATTATTCTAAATTCATCTGAATTTCAAATCTTCGTATTTGTAAAATTAAGTTGTTCAATGACACAATCTCTAAAATCTCGTTTTGTACTGAAATTACAGAATCTTTAGAGAACAGTACTTTATTTTTTCCCTTCCTTAAGCCCCTTGTACTTCAAGAATTTCATATTGTTTATACTCCAGCTTAGAGCCCCCTATTGTCCTTCCTAGCAGCTGTATTAATCCCTTCAGCTGTTAAAATCAAACAGGTGGGAAGAAACTTTATGCTTTCAACTATAAGCAACTCTACTGTAACTCCAAAAAGGGACAGGAATTGCCCTTAAATAACAAATGAAATTTAAAAAAAACCAAAAAGGTGAGAATGAAAATTACAGCCTGAAGATTTCCTTCATTTAACGCTGCACAACTGACTCAGAAAGGCTATCATTTTAAGAACTTTTCATTACCTCCTCCTAAGTTTTCTACAGAGATATGTTTTAACCAGAATTTAAAATTAGCCTTCACAGTCGTTAATTTCGACGCTGAGGATAAAAGGATTTATTTCAATCCTGGGTTTCACACAATGATGCAGGAACTATTCCAGCACACTAGAAGTATCTCAGCACCACCAACCCATAAACAAGTTATCCGACCTAGGACGACTCTGGGGCCCAGTAGGACACATTTACCACCAGCACACATCTCATCCAGACATGTGATAAAGGCACAATGCCAAGCTCTGCTAACTAAAACCTTGATGCAACTTGCTGGCTGGAGTTTCACAAATGCTCCGGGCTCCTTGGCCTGTGTCATCTAGTTCCAATAGGTAAGAATCACTGAGCCCATTCCCTGCTGAGTTTTCCTATGTGAGGTGGGGGTTCCACAGGAGAGCTTCTTTTGAGGCGACAGGCATAACATAGAAAGCAAGCTAGGGTACTTTTAACGTCCACGAATCTTAAAAATATTATTTTTACTCCAAATCCCTAAAGAAGTATCTCCAGGATAGTAATTTTACGGTCTATCCTCCTTGGTAAAGCTGCAACCCCATCCTCCTAAAAAGTGTATTTCCCCTTGGTCATTTTGCCCACCAAATGGCTTTAGGGTTAATTTTAATTAATGGCAAGGAGGGTAGGGAAACCTACCTGTCTCAGCCTGGGGCTGCGGCAACTCCTGCTCTGTAGCAGGGACGGTTTCTGTGGCTTCGCCGGGCATTTCTGAAGGAAGGGAATAAAAAGGAGGCCTAAATTGATTGGGATACATTCACTTGCCCAACCCGGAGATAAGTATTCTTAAAAACTCCGAGGAGGGCTGTTAGAAAAAAATCGTGAGGGTGTTTGGTGACAACCTTCCCCAAAGCACCTGGGAATAAGAGGTAAATATGATGTGACCCTCACGCCTCTATCAAGGCCAGCAAT
Source organism: Homo sapiens (assembly GCF_000001405.40). Taxonomy (NCBI): domain Eukaryota; kingdom Metazoa; phylum Chordata; class Mammalia; order Primates; family Hominidae; genus Homo; species Homo sapiens. The sequence continues at coordinate 56,724,725 of NC_000012.12, forward strand.
TCCCACTGCATTCTCAACCCGAGGGAGAGGATCCCGGGCTGGCTCTCGATCATGGGAGACTTCAGACGCTACTGTGAACCCCCTCCACTCCTAATACTCACACTGGCTGGGCTGGGGCCTCCTGGACTACGTTTGCCGACTTTGGGGTACCAGGAGGGGAAAGACGGTGTTTTAAGTCCAACACTTGCTTGTCACAGGGAGAACGGTGTTACAGGTTCTAAGGCTGTGACCCCTTACCCTTTTCTGGATCCTGTGAAGCAGTTCCCAAAACAAGACGCACTCCTCTTCCGCCCTCAACACTGCAACTGCTCCCATCTCTGCAGGCTCGGATTCTGGGCCCGCCCCGCAGCCCTTCTACCCTGCTTTTGCCAGGACACCAACCGCAGACCCCATTTTGTCCGGAGGCCCAGGGGCGAGTAGGAACCCTGTGGCCCAGTAAAGCCTCCAACTCTCCTTAACTCTCAGTCCCCGGGGCGGCTTAGCCCGAAAGAAAGGCGGATGGCTGCGGATAGACAGTAGCGGCACAGAAAGTACTTACTGTGCAGGGAACGCGGAACCAAGATGGCGGCAGAAAGACCGAGCGAGAGCGTGACCCACGCCTGTTGCAGAAGGAAGCCTGGAGCGGAGGGGGTGGGACTAGGATCCGATTCCGGGTCAAGAGCTGCCGGCAGCCACTTCCTTTGACGAGTGACTGTCAGGCCGTTCCCACGGCGGGGGTGGTGACAAGGACTAAAGGGTAAGAATTTAGAACGGGACGCGCAGGCCTAGCAGGAGCTCTCTGCGCGGACCCACGCAGTCCTCAGAACTAAGCAGACTCCGCCCTCCGGTCCGCGAAGTGGCGACTGCGGTATTAAGTCGACCTCGCGATTTCTCAAATAGTGCAGGAAGAAGACATTAAATAGCGAATGCTAGAGACTGCATTCACAACATTGGAGGGTGGAAGTGACTTAGGCTAACCAGTTATTTTTGGAACACACGATGTGAAAACATTTAAAAGCTGCTGGACCCTCTCCCCCCCCATCAACAACAACAAAAAAACCCATTTTAAAACTTGAGAGATGTGATGGGTCACATATAACTTCAGTTCAGATTATAAATTTAATTCGATTTTTCTTGTTCTGTTCAATGACTAGAGAGACTCAAACGATGTCACCAGATGACAGCAACTCATGCGTGTTAAACTCTTCGTAAAACAATGTTAGCTGTACCCCCGCCCCCCCCCCAAAAAAAACACTTCTTGTAACCAAATTCTGTAATTATGTTCCAACCTTGTATGGATAACGTAATCCAGCTAAAAACTCCTCTGTCTCCCTAAATAAATGAAATCGTAACTTCTCTACTTCTGAAGGCTGACTCCATTCTTTGGAGGTTTTCTGGTTGGTCCATCCTCACACTGCCCTTGAATAAACTCTTTAAATAGATTCCGGCCCTTTTGATTGTTTTAGGTTCACGACAATTTAGCCGATGTTGAAATTATAAAGCTGCAGATTCTCCTTCCCAGAAAAAAAGAACATAGGCACATATACAATTCCTTTGCTTGCTATTTTGGGCACTTCTTGGATTTTTTTTTTTTTTTTTTTGAGTCGCTCTGTCGGCCAGGCTAGAGTGCAGTGGCACGATCTCGGCTCACTGCAATCTCCGCCTCCAGGGCTCAAGCAGTTGTCCCGCCTCAGCCTCCCGAGTAGCTGGGATTACAGGTGTGTGCCACCACCCCCGGCTAATTTTTTATTTTTAGTAGAGACGGGTTTCACCATGTTGGCCAGGCTGGTCTTGAACTCCTGACCTCAGGTAATCCGCCTGCCTCGGCCTCCCAAACTACTGGGATTACAGGCGTGAGCCACCATGCCCAGCCTGTTTGTTTTGTTTTTGGGACAGTCTCACTTTTATTGCCCAGGCTGGGGTGCAAAGGCACGATCTCGGCTCACTGCAACCTCCCCTTCCCGGGTCAAGCGATTCTCCTGCCTCAGCCTCCCGGGTAGCTGGGATTACAGGCATGCGCCACCACGCCAGTCTATTTTTTGTATTTTTAGTAGAGACGGGCTTTCTCCATGTTGGCCAGGCTGGTCTCCTCCTGACTTCAGGTGATCCGCCTGCCTCGGCCTCCCAAAGTGCTGGGATTACAGGCGTGAACTACCGCCCCTGGCACTTCTTGGATATTCTAAGCTTATTTATTCTAGGTGTCTGGGACCCCACCTTAAACCATGCTTTGTACAACTGTATTTTTGAAAAGTAGAATGTAAAATCAGTGTTGTGTTAATGAAAAGCCTCCCATATCTTCCCACAGCCCTACAAAAGAACTCAACAAATATTTGCTGTACCTGAATTAGCTAAACCAGTCAACATTTATTTATTTTTTGAGGCGGAGTCTCGCTCTGTCGCCCAGGCTGGAGTGCAGTGGCGCGATCTCGGCTTACTGCAACCTCGGCCTCCCGGGTTCAAGCGATTCTCGTCTCAGCCTCCAGAGTAGCTGGGATTATAGGTACCCGCCTCCCCGCCCGGACTCCTGACCGTAGGTTATCCGCCTGCCTCAGCCTCCCAAAGTGCTGGGATTACAGGTGTGAGCCACTATGCCTGGCCTGATTTAATAGCTTTAAGACGACTGTGGCCACCTTTTTTTTTTTTTTTTTTTTGAGACGGAGTCTCGCTGTCACCCAGGCTGGAGTGCAGTGGCGCGATCTCAGCTTACTGCAACCTCCACCTCCCGGATTCTGGCAATTCTCCTGCCACAAAACTTCTCCTGTTTCACCGTGTTGCCCAGGCTGGTCTCGAACTCCTGAGCTCAGGCAATCCACCCGCTTCGGCCTCCCATAGTGCTAGGATTACAGGTGTGAGCCACCATACCTGGTGTGGCCGCCTTTTAAGGGAAGCAGTGAAAATTTAAAATGCTTTGAAAGCTACTTTAACATTTCTGAAATCCTTAGCGTAGTGAAATGAGGATTAGGATTGGTGAATTAAAATTAAGTGAGATAGTGGGGTTTACCAGGAATGGGAAATTCTGAAATCCTCCTCAAATAGGAGAGGCAATATTGTGGAGTCATTAAAGACAGACTCTGAAATAAGACTCCTTTGTCTAAATCTATTAGGTCAGTTTAGGCAATTAACCTATATATATATTCATGTCAGTTTCCTGATCTGTAAAATGGGAAAAATAGTAGCTGCTTGATAGGATTGTTTGGAAGATTAAATTAGTCTGTGTGTATATATACACACACACACTCACACTCTAATTGGAAGGAAAAAGAAACAGTCTATCTCATAAAATTATCCCATGTAATCTTTACATAAAACTTAAAAAGTTTGTTACTATTAAATTGTAGACATAATCAATTTCTACCTAATAAATACATGATCTGGAAGATTTTCAATGCAGTCCTTTAGTCCATTTACCTTCAGAAGGACCAGAAATAGCCAATTTCCTTAGACAAAAGTACATATTCACAATTTTTCTTTCTTCCCCAGCAAGCCCACTTACTTTTTCCTCTCTCTGTAGTAATGACTAGCCAAGGAAGGATGTATTTTTTTTTCCTTTTTTTTTTTTGAGACAGGGTCTGGCTCTGTTGCCCAGGCTAGAGTACAGTGGGGTGATTATGGCTCACTGCAGCCTCCGCCTCCTGGGCATAAACGATTCTCCCACCTCAGCCTCCCGAGTAGCTGGAACTACAGGCACACAACACCACACCCAGTTAATTTTTGTATTTTTTGTAGAGACGGGGTTTTGCCATGTTGCCCAGGCTGGTCTTGAACTCCTGGCCTCAAGTGATCTGCCCACTCTGCCTCCTAAAATGCTGGGATTACAGGTGTGAGCCACCACACCCGGCTAGCGTGTTTCTTAAGTTGGCAATTTTGAAGATAGAAGCCATTTCTTTGCCCCTTTGTTTCTACAGTTCTAATATGTGACTGAATTGGCAAATCAAGAAAAGGGGAAGTCAGTAGTCCTTGGGTATATTTTTGCTGTCTTTAAGAACTAAACATTGGCTGGGCGCCGTGGCTCACACCTGTAATCTCAGCAGTTTGGGAGGCCAAGGCAGGTGAACTGCTTAACTCAGGAATTAGAGACCAGCCTGGGTAAGATGGCAAGACCCCGTCTCCACAACAAAATAAAACGTAAGCCTGGCAAGGTGGCGCATATCTGTAGTCCCAGCTACTCCAGAAGCTGAGGCACGAGGATCCCTTGAGCCCAGGAGTTAAGGCACTTCAATGCTAGACATATTTATAAAATGATAATGAAAGCTGAAAATGTCTCTTTTTGAGGCCGGGCGTGGTGGCTCACGCCTGTAATCCCAGCACTTTGGGAGGCCGAGGCGGGTGGATCACGAGGTCAGGAGATCGAGACCATCCTGGCTAACACGGTGAAACCCCATCTCTACTAAAAATACAAAAAATTAGCTGGGCATGATGGCACGCACCTGTAATCCCAGCTACTCACGAGGCTGAGACAGGAGAATGGCGCGAACCTGGGAGGTGGAGTTTGTAGTGAGCCGAGATGGCGCCACTGCACTCTAGCCTGGGCCACAGAGTGAGACTCCGTCTCAAAAAAAAAAAAAAAAAAAAAAGTCTCTTTTTAAAAGCATACCAGTCTTTCCACTCTCCTTCTGAGTTCTTTACTGATTAGTTCTGGAATAATGAGTCTCTAGTAATTTTGTATTCAGGAGTTTTAATCGACCCACTGTTTCTAGAACCTGAAGACTTAATAACCTATAGTACACATAAGCTCAAATAATGAAGAGTTTTTGGGCCAGGTGAGGTGGCTCACACCTGGGAGGCCAAGGCAGGTGGATTGCCCAAGCTCAGGAGTTCGACACCAGCCTGGGCAACATGGTGAAAACCTGTCTCTACTAAAAATACAAAAAATCAGCTGGGCGTGGCGGCGTGCACCTGCAGTCCCAGCTACTCGGGAAGCTGAGGCAGGAGAATCGCTTGAACCTGGGAGGTGGAGGTTGCAGGGAGGCGGATTGCTCCACTGCACTCCAGCCTAGATGACAGAGTGAGACTCTGGCTCAAAAACAAACAAATAAACAAACGAAAAAACCAAACAACGAGGAATTTTCCTTTTTTTGAGACGGAGTTTCACTCTTATTGCCCAGGCTGGAGTGCAATGGTGCAATCTCGGCTCACTGCAACCTCTGCCTCCCGGGTTCAAGTGGCTGGGATTATAGGCGTGCATCACCAGGTCTGTATTTTTAGTAGAGACAGAGTTTCACCATGCTGGTCAGGCTGGTCTGAAATTCCTGACCTCAAGTGATCTACCTGCCTCGGCCTCCCAAAGTGCTGGGATTATAGGTGTGAGCCACTGCACCCAGCAGGAATTTTCTTAAAATATAGGTCAAGGAATCAATGTGTTGACTGCATTATAGAGTCTGTTTCATATAAACCAGAAGATAAGAAAAGATTGATTGTAGAGGAAACAATGTTAAAGGAAATGCAAAGGAAGGAAAATTTTCATTGTCATTAAAAGCACCAGCCTGACAGCTTGCTTCTCAATGTTTCTCGGAAGACAGAATATAAACTAGAATGACTGTTTTGTTTAGATTAGTTGTAAAACAGGGCAAGAGAAATCGGACATATTAGAACCCATCTCACAAAATCAAACTTTAAAAACTGAAGTACCTAGATACATAAAAAGTCCCAAGTATTTTCACAAGTTTAATACGTTTTATTTATTTTATAATTTTTATTTATGTTGCCCAGGATGGAGTGCAGTGGCGTGATCTCAGCTCACTGTAACCTCCACCTCATGGGTTCAGGTGATTCTCTTGCCTCAGCCTTCTTAGTAGCTGGGATTACAGGTGCCCGCCACCACACCTGGCTAATTTTCTTGTATTTTTAGTGGAGACCGGGTTTCACCATGTTGGCCAGGCTGGCCTTGAACTCCTGGCCTCAGTCGGGTGTGGTGGCTCACACCTGTAATCCCAGCACTTTGGGAGGCTGAGACAGGCAGATCACAAGGTCAGGAGATCGAGACCATCCTGGCTAACATAGTGAAACCCCGTCTCTACTAAAAATACAAAAAAAATTAGCTGGGCGTGGTGGCGGGCACCTGTAGTCTCAGCTATTTGGGAGGCTGAGGCAGGAGAATGGCATGAGCCTGGCAGGCAGAGCTTGCAGTGAGCTAAGATCGTGCCACTGCACTCCAGCCTGGGTGACAGAGCAAGACTCTGTCTCAAAAAAAAAAAAAAAAAAAAAAGAACTCCTGGCCTCAGGTGATCTGCCTGTCTTGGCCTCCCAAAGTGTTGGGATTACAGGTATGAGCCACTGTGCCTGGCCCTCTAGATATAATTAAATGTCTAAAACTTAAGGACAAAACCATCATTCACCCAAACATATGACGTATCAAGTGAGCTGAGATGACAGTCCTATTACTGCTCACTTACCTCTATATATGGCAACTAGTAGAACTGGGTATTTATATCAGAAGCCTTAGAATTATCCTTGTAGAATATTGAATTTTACAAAATTATCTGCAATCCACTTATGCCTCCTTTTATTTCTCCTTCCAGGAACCTTGACACTCTCCTTGGTCGTCTCAGGAAATCTTACTTTTTTTTTTGTTTTGTTTCTTTTTTGAGATGGAGTCTCGCTCTGTCGCCCAGTGGCTGTGATCTCAGCTCACTGCAACCTCTGCCTCCTGGGTTCAAGCAATTCTCCTGCCTCAGCCTCCCAAGTAGCTAGGATTACTGTATGCACCACCACACCCGACTGATTTTTGTAGTTTTAGTAGAGACGGGGGTTTCACCATGTTGGCCAGGCTAGTCTCGAACTACTGACCTCAGGTGATCCGCCTGCCTCGGCCTCCCAAAGTGCTGGGATTACGGGTGTGAGCCACTGCACTTGGCCAGGAAATCTTTTCAACATAAATTATTTCTCAAGGAAAATTTACTTTGAGGTTTAAGACACATATATAGTTCTGCCATATTTATTAAATGGCTCTTGAAGTATTTGATCTGTGGTTGAAGGCAGAAGATATCCACAATGGTTTGAGGAGCTCTGTCTTCAGAAATCTTTTTGTAAATCTAAAATAGAATAGATAATATATGGAAGAACAGCAAAGGAAACAAAACAAAGCCCATTTACTTTTACATTCTTTTTTGCCTAATGCTTCTATTTAACACACATCATGCACAAAGATTTGCTTACACATTTGCTGAAGTCCACATCATAGGCTGAGCTAGTATGGAACAGTGAGGATACAAAGGACTTAATACGGCCAGTTGCAATGGCAGCTTCAACCAGGCTTTCCAAGCTCAGAGTTGTTGTTCATCCAATAATCACACATATGAGTGTCTACTGAGTAGAGCATTATCTTAGGCACTACTGCTTAAACTATCACATATTTAAATAAAAAATGAAGTGGCAAGATAATTTGTATTGCTATAACATTGTCACAGTTTTCTAGAGTAGCCTTCATCTCTTGAATAATATTCAATCTGCTGATTTTTTTCATATTGGCTTATACATATGCTCATATGTCTCCCATTTAGAGTACCCTTCATTTGACACTGCTATCCTCTTTGTGTTTCTTTCCAGTTATTATATGCAGCAGGATTTTATTAGTTTCCTACTGTACCTGACACTTGATAATCTTGCACTTTTCTTTCCCCTGGCTTCTATAACATTTTCCCTTCCATCTTTCATCTCTTCACTTCTAAATCATTAGCAAGTCTCAAGGATGGTTCCAGTATTTGCACCTTTCGGAGATCTCCAGTGCTACTGTTCTAGTGGCAATAGCGCAGTTGGCCTCTTGGGCTCTATTCTAGTCCCTGTCTTGCCCAGATTTATCTTTCTAGATAAAAACTACAAATCATGGCATTCCCTTCCTCAGAACTTTTAAAAGCTTCCTATTAAGCCCAAAACCAAGCCCAAACACATAAGCTTGGAATTCAAGGCCATTCAGTTTGCTTCTTTGGATTTATAGCCCATCACTTCTGGACACACCATATACTAGATTAGCTGTACTACTTGATGGCTTCCAGAGTAACTGGATGCTTTCCTGTCTGTCTTTGCTCTTGATGTTCCTTCAAGAATGAACAACCCTTGGCCTTTTTCCACCTCCATACCCTTTATCTTATCATATTTCTGCTTGTGGAAATCCTTCTCATACCTTATGGTATAGTATATTGGCATTAGGGATTAGAAATTTTTTTTTTTTTTGAGATAGTGTCTTGCTCTGTTGCCCAGGCTGGAGTGCAATGGTGCGATCTTGGCTCACTGCAACCTCCACCTCCCAGCTTCAAGTGATTCTCCTGCCTCAGCCTCCCAAGTAGCTGGGATTACAGGCGCACAATACCACGCCCGGCTAATTTTTGTATTTTTAGTAGAGACGGGGTTTCACCGTGTTGGCCAGGCTGGTCTTGAACTCCTGACCTCAGGTGATCCACCTGCTTTGGCCTCCCAAAGTGCTAGGATTACAGGTGTGAGCCACCGTGTCCGGCCTAGGGTTTTTTTTTTTTTTTGAGACGGAGTTTTGCTCTTGTTGCCCAGGCTGGAGTGCGATGGCACAATTTCAGCTCACTGCAACCTCTGCCTCCTGGGTTCAAGTGATTCTCCTGCCTCAGCCTCCCTAGTAGCTGGGATTACAGGCTCCCACCACCACACCCAGCTAATTTTTTGTATTTTTAGTAGAGATGGGGTTTTACTATGTTGGCTAGGCTTGTTTTGAACTCCTGACCTCAGGCGATCCACCTGCCTCAGCATCCCAAAGTGCTGGGATTACAGGTGTGAGCCACTGCACCCGGCTAGGGATTAGAATTCTTACAGCAGCTACACTGAAAGGAGTTCAGATACCACCATTTTCATATGAAATCTCAGAGTCCATCAGATAAAATCTCTTTCTTAGCATTTTGTACTTTTTTTTTTGTATTAAGTTAGTACTTCTTTTTTTTTTTTGAGATGGAGTCTTGCTCTGTTGCCCAGGCTGGAGTGCGATGGTGTGATCTCAGCTCACTGCAACCTCTGCCTCCCCGGTTCAAGCGATTCTCATGTCTCGGCCTCCTGAGTAGCTGGGATTACAGGTGCCTGCCACCACGCCCAGCTAATTTTTTGTATTTTTAGTAGAAACAGGGTTTCACCATGTTGGCCAGGCTGGTCTCGAACTCCTGACCTCAAGTGATCCAACTGCCTTGGTCTCCCAAAGTGCTGGGATTACAGGCGTGAGCCACCGTGCCTGGCCAAGTTAGTACTTCTTAAGGGCAAGGAGGCATGATGTTAATTCATCTTTGTCTCCCTTATAGACCTGATACTTAGAATGTGTTTAATAACTATGTGTTAAATTGAATTAAGGAACCTCAATTTCCAAAACATTAAGGATAGTAAGATAAATCTGTAAATTTTGGGAGGAGGGCAAAGAAAGACTAGAACTCAAAAATTGCTCATTTCTACTAATAATAAGATCTAACTAGATAGAAGGGAAAGGCATAGCGTCTTACCACTCTTCTTAAGAAGTTCTCCTTTTCGGGATTTATCCAGATTTTCAAGAAAATGTTCAAAAACTTTCACATAAGGTGCTAGACTGGTCTTCTTATAATCTAAATTATGAAGAATGTACATTATAATTAGCATACTGGCAGCAAGAATAACATGAAAACACAACTAAGTTTCTTATAAGAATTCTCTAGGGCTGCCCAATTGAAATATGAGAGAAACATACATACTTTTAAATACTATATTAGTCACATTAAAAAAGGTGAAATTATTACTGAGACAGGATTTCACTCTGTCATGCAGACTGAAGTACAGTGGTTCCGTCTTGGCTCACTGCAGCCTCGATCTACTGGGCTCAAGGGATCTTCCCATCTCTGCTTCCTGAGTAGCTATAACTACAGGCATGTACCACCATGCCCAACCAATTTTTTTTTTTTTTTTGGTATTTGTAGAGACGAGGTCTCACTCTGTTGCTCAGGCTAGTCTTGAACTCCTGAGCTCGAGTGATCTCCCAGCCTCGGCCTCTGAAAGTGCTGGGATTACAGACACATGCCACCATGCCCAGCTAAAATATTATTTTTGCATGTAATAAAAATTGAGATATATGATACTCTCTTTCATACAAGTCTTTTATATTTATATATATATATATAATATATATACATATATTTTCTTTTTTTTTTTTTTTGAGACAGAGTGTCACTCTGTTGCCCAGGCTGGAGTGCAATGGTGCGATCTCGGCTTACTGCAACTTCCGCCTCCCAGGTTCAAGCAATTCTCCTACCTCAGCCTCCCGACTAGCTGGGATTATAGGTGCCCGCCACCACAATGAGCTAATTTTTTGTATTTTTAGTAGAGATAGGGTTTCACCATGTTGGCCAGGCTGGTCTCAAACTCCTGACCTCATGATTCACCCACTTTGGCCTCCCAAAGTGCTGGGATTACAGGCGTGAGCCACCGCGCCCGGTCCATGCCTTTATTTTTGAGTCTTGCTCTGTTGCCAGGCTGGTATGCAGTGGTGCAATCTTGGCTCGGGAACCTCCGCCTCCCGAGTTCAAGCGATTCTCCTGCCTCAGCCTCCTGAGTAGCTGGGACTATAGGTGTGTGCCACCATGCCCGGCTAAGTTTTTGTATTTTTAGTAGAGACGGGGTTTCACCATGCTGTCCAAGATGGTTTTGATCTCTTGACCTCGTGATCCACCTGCCTCAGTCTCCCAAAGTGCTGGGATTACAGGCGTGAGCCACCGTGCCCGGCCCCATGTCTTATTTTTGAGACACTGTCTTGCTTTTTTGCCCAGGCTAGAATGCAGTGGTGCAATTGCAGCTCACTGCAGCTTTGACTTCCCTGGCTTAAATGATCCTCCCACCTCAGCCTCCCAAGTAGCTGGGATCACAGGGAGTGCCACCACAGCTGGCTAATTTTTTATTTTTAGTAGAGACAAGGTCTTGTGTTGCTCAGGCTCTGGTCACGCCCTTTTGGAGATTATTAGAAGTTTTTACATTGAGTATTCTTGTTTTTTTTTTTTTGAGATGGAGTCTTGCTCTGTCTCCCAGGCTGGAGTGCAGTGGGGCAATCTCGGCTTATTGCAACCTCCACCTCCTGGGTTCAAGCGATTCTTCTGCCTCAGCCTCCCGAGTAGCTAGGATTATAGGCGCCCGCCACGACGCCCAGATAATTTTTGTATTTTTAGTAAAGATGGGGTTTCGCCATGTTGGCCAGGCTGGTCTTGAACTCCTGACCTCAGGTGATCCACCCGCCTCAGGCTCCCAAAGTGCTGGGCCTACAGGCATCAGCCACTACGCCTGGCCTGCATTAAGTATTCTTTGATTTATAAAATAGTTTAAAAAATGTATACAACAAAAAATTTAATATAGGCAGGGTGCGGTGGCTCATGCCTATAATCCCAGCACTTTGGGAGGCCGAGGCAGGTGGATTACGTGAGGTCGTGAGTTCGAGACCAGCCTGACCAACATGGAGAAACCCTGTCTCTAGTAAAAATACAAAAATTAGCTGGACGTCGTGGCGGGCACCTGTAACTCCAGCTACTCAGGAGGCTGAGGCAGGAGAATTGCTTGAACCCAGGAGGCGGAGGTTGCAATGAGCTGAGATTGCACCATTGCACACCAGCCTGGGTGACAGAGTAAGACTCTTTCTCTAAAAAAAAAAAAAAAAAAAAAAAAAAAAAGAATATACAATTTTATTCATCCATTTAATTATATAACCTATAATGATACCCAATGGGAAAATATGATTGAGAATAAGAAAGGAGTTTCACATAAAATTTGGATTTTAGTAGTATCCTACGTTTGCATGGAATTAAGAATCCTCATAATAGTTCTTTAAAAAGAGTAAGAAAGAAATTATACTTTTTTTTTTTTTGAGACGAAGTCTCACTCTGTTTCCCAGGCTGGAGTGCAGTGGCGCAACTTCAGCTCCCTGCAACCTCTGCCTCCCGGGCTCAAGTGATTCTTGTGCCTCAGCCTCCTGAATAGCTGGGACTACAGGTGTGCACCACCATGCCTGGCTAATTTTTGTATTTTTAGTAGAGACGGGGTTTAACCGTGTTGGCCAGGCTGGTCCCAAACTCCTGACCTCAGGTGATCCACCCACCTTGACCTCCCAGAGTGCTGGGATTACAGGCGTGAGCTACTGCGCCCGGCCACATAATTTTCATTTTGAGACAAGGTCTCTCTCTGACACCCAGGCTGGAGTACAGTGGTGTGGTCAAGGCTTACTGCAGCCTTAACCTCCTGGGCTCAAACAGCCTCTTGAGTAGCTGAGACCACAGGTGCCTGCCAGCATGTCTAGCTAAATTTTTTTTTTTGGAGAGACAGGGTCTCTCTGTGTTGCCCAGGGTGGTCTCAAACTCCTAGGCTCCTCTTGCCTCGGCCTCCCAAAGTGCTGGGATTACAGGTGTGAGGTGAGCAGTAAGCGAGCATTACCGCCTGAGCTCTGCCTTATGTTAGATCAGCAGAAGCACTAAATTCTCAAAGGAGCATGAACCCTATTGTGAACTGCGCATGTGAGGGATCTAGGTTGCGCACTCCTTATCAGAATCTAATGCCTGATGATCTGAGGTAAAAAAGTTTCATCCTGGAACCATCCCCAACTCCTCCCCCTCTCTTTGCAGTCCGTGCAAAAATTGTCTTCCACAAAACTGGTACCTGATGCCAAAAAGGTTGGGGAGTGCTGCGCTGCTATGCGGCATCTTTTTTTTTTTTTTTGAGACGGAGTTTTGCTCTTGTTGCCCAGGCTGGAGTGCAATGGCGTGATCTTGGCTCACCGCAACCTCCACCTCCTGAGTTCAAGCGATTCTCCTGCCTCTGCCTTCCGAGCAGCTGGGATTACAGGCATGTGCCACCACAGCCGGCTAATTCTGTATTTTTAGGATAGACAGGGTTTCTCCATGTTGGTCAGGCCGGTCTCGAACTCAGGACCTCAGGTGATCAACCCACCTGGGCCTCCCAAAGTGCTGGGATTACAGGTGTGAGCCATCGCGCCTGGCCTGCAGTATCTCTTAGGTGTTAGATTTGCCTTCCATTAGCAGGAAGATTTAGAAATTCCTTAGCTTCTTCAAATTCTTTTTTTTTGTTTGTTTATTTGAGACAGTCTCCCTCTGCCGCCCAGGCTGGAGTGCAGTGGCACAATCTTGGCTCACTGCAACCCCTGCCTCCTGGGTTCAAGCGATTCTCCTGACTCAGCTTCCCGAGTAGCTGGGATTACAGGTGCCCTCCACCATGCCTGGTTGATTTTTGTATATTTAGCAGAGTTGGGGTTTCACCATGTTGGCCAGGCTGGTCTTGAACTCCTGACCTCAAGTGATTTGCCTGCCTCGGCCTCCCAAAGAGCCGGGATTACAGGCGTGAGCCACTGCGCCCAGCCAGCTTCTTCAAATTCTTGAATATACAACTTGGTAAACAGTTTAGACATATGTTTACCATAAAACCCACCTATATGCATCAGAAACAAAGAAAAAAAGTACTGCATATATAATAGTTGTTAAATAAATAGGTGGTGAATCTCAGAGACTGATTATTCATACTTATTGATAGTTTAATCTTACAGTATAGATCCTAGCATTAAAAGTTACTTAGGAAATATGTGTTGAATCAGACTGGATTCAATAACACCACTTGGGCTGCTGTTGAAGAAAGGACACAAACATTGTATGCAGTTCCAGGACAAATGCTGATCCATTCTAGTTGAATCAGAGAATTAATTACTGGAGTGACAGATGGATATCTATATAAAAACCCTGTATTTAAAGTGAAGCTTCAAAATATTACCTTACCTCTGGTTCTATGTTTGACATCAGATTCAGCTTCATTCTCCTCTTTTTCCTCTTCATTAGTGGAAATGGCATCCAATTCACGGCAGATGAAGCTGCAAGTAACAGAACAAGAGAATTTTGTTTTTGTTTTTGTTTTTGAGACGGAGTCTTGCTCTGTTGCCAGGCCGGAGTGTGGTGGTGCGATCTTGGCTCACTGCAACCTCCGCCTCCCAGGTTCAAGTGATTCTTCTGCCTCAGCCTCCCAAGTAGCTGGGACTACAGGCATATGCCACCAAGCGCAGCTAATTTTTGTATTTTTAGTAGAGACAGGGTTTCACCATGTTGGCCAGGATGGTCTCGATCTCTTGACCTTGTGATCCACGCGCTTTGCCCTCCCAAAGTGTTGGGATTACAGGCATGAGCCACCGCGCCTCACCACGAACAAGAGAAGTTTAATGTTGGTTTCTGATCAGCATTATCCAGTGTATAATAGCATGTGAATCCCATAAAATTTACTGTAAAAAAATTATGCGGCCAGCTAAATTTGGGATATTCTAAACACCATGATCTCTTCTTGGAGTTTTTCATGCATATTATCATATGAAAGACTGTGAAATACTGTAGTAAAAGATACTTTTAATCTGTTTAAGTCAGAATTTCCTAAATTTACTTGACCTTAAAATCTTTTTCTTACATAACAGCAGGTGAAAATCTTGTATTGTTCTATTAGGGCATCGTCATCTAACCTTTGAACCTTATTTGGTTTCCATAACCAAATATACCATTCCCATGCAACTACTTCTCTAAGGAGGCTAATTCAATTTATTTAAAATTCATAACAACAATTACAAACAAGGAGTGATCAATGATCTGAAACATACCTTATGGTCGGAACAGTAAATGGATCAAACTGGTCCACTTTCTGCAAATCAATAGGCACAGATATGCGACCTGTAAGACACAAAAGTTATAAACTGATGATTGTGGACTATAAATCATTATAGTCATCTCCTACAGGTTATTTTTGGTTAAAATTTTTATTTAAGGCTTAGACAAAGGGTTAAACTTATCTGTTAAGAAGAGTATTTAGAAATATAAATTACTTTCACATTAGCTGTGCCCTTACTCTTTTTTAGAGTTAATGCCTCACTTTGTCACCCATGCTAGAGTACATACAGTAGCATGGTCATAGCTCACTGCAGGCTTGATGTCCTGGGCTCAAGTGATCCTCCCACCTCAGTTGTCTCCCAAAGTGCTAGGATTATAGACGTGAGCTACTGCTCCTGGCCTGGCCAGTTTTTCAATTTTTGTTGAGTTGGGGTCTCACTATGTTGCCCAGAACTCCTGGCCTCAAACAATCCTCTTGCCTCAGCCTCCTGAGTTGCTGGGATTACAGGTGTGAATGACCATGTCCAGCATGCCTTTTATTTCTCTTTAAAAAACCAGCCAGGTGCAGTGGCTCACGCCTGTAATCCCAGCACTCTGGGAGGCTGAGGAGGGTGGATCACAAGGTCAGGAGTTCAAGACCAGCCTGGCCAAGATGGTGAAACCCCGTCTCTACTAAAAATACAAAAATTAGCTGGGTGTGGTGGCGGGTACCTGTAATCCCAGCTACTTGGGAGGGTGAGGCAGAGAATTGCTTGAACCTGGAAGGCAGAGGCTGCAGTGAGCCAAGATCGCGCCACTGTACTCCAGCCTGGGTGACAGAGTGGGACTCTGTCTCGAAAAAAAAGGAAAGAAAAAAAACAAAAACAAAAACCAATAAGCAAATGTGAAGACTGTTGAGCTATTTCCCAGTTGCTCTTATCCCTACTTTTATTTCTATATTTAGAAATAAAGTATATTTAAATATTCCATATTTAAGTTCAGAACAATCTCAGAGTTAGTGAGTCCTGAAAATAGAACAAAATAGATGAAACTATAATATTTACATTGGCTTGGTTTATTTGAGATCAATACAGATACCCACATGTCAGACACCTTTAAAAAGCATTTAGGAAATAAAATAGAAATTCCTCTACTCTTTTATAATACCCCCCTAGGATACCATATAGAATTTAACACATCTCAAAAGTGACGTAATGAGGCTGGGCGCAGTGGCTCTTGTCTGTAATCCCAGCACTTTGGGAGACTGGGGCAGGTGAATTGCTTGAGCTCAAGAGTTCAAGACCAACCTGGGCAACATGGCAAAACCCTGTCTACAAAATATTAGCTGGCTGTGGTAGCACATGCCTGTAGTACCAGCTACTCAGGAGGGTGAGGCAGAAGGATCGCTTGAGCCGATCGGTGAGCCGAGATTGCACCAGTGCACTCCAGCCTGGGTGACAGAGTGAGACTCTTTCTCGAAAAAAATTTTTTTTTGTTTTTGTCAGTGCTAGGAGTAGAGTTCATTTCATTTCTTTCTTTTTTTCTTTTTTTTGAGACAGGGTCTCACTCTGTTGCCCAGGCTGGAGTGCAGTGGCACCATCACAGCTCACTGCAGCCTCAACTTCCCAGGCTCAAGTGATCCTCCTGCCTCAGCCTCTTGAGTAGCTGGAACTACAGGCATGCACCACCACGTCTAGCTAATTTTTGTATTTTTTGTACAAAGGGTGTTTAGACATGTGGCCTAGGCTGGTGTTAGACTCTGGGGCTCAAGTGATTTGCCCACCTTGCCCTCCTCAAGTGCTGGGATTACAGGAGCAAGCTACCACATACAGTCACACACAATTTTTTTTTTATGACCTTGGATGGGTTACATCTTGGGCCACTGTTTTCTCATCTGTACAATGAGAGCTGTTGTCCTAAGATTTTGATGGTCCTCTCCAAATCTAATATGGAACCTCAGAAACCCAACTGAAAAACAGTTACATAGTAGAAACTCATCTGGTAGCTACTTAACTGACTTAGGTATTGGGTGACAGAGCAATTCTTCTACCTTTAAATCATAGACATTATATATATTCAGACCTAATGCCATGCTTACTAAAGCCAATAGCAACTCATTTTTCTTTTAGTTTTCCTTAGTTTCCTTGTGTAGTACCTGTTTTAGGATGAACACTAAAAGGGCTCTTCAGTAGATGATTGATTCCTTTGCTGACATTGATATCCAGCCGTGGAAAACAGTACTGGAGCATAATCTCCCACTCCAGCCAGGGTCCATATTTGTCATTTTTGATGTTATTCTAAAAGCAGATACAAGGCCAACATGAGGATCAGTAGGAACTGTTGAAGATTTCTTTAAAGAAAGTTAAAAAAACGATCTTCAACCATCTTTAACTGACTAGGCAAAGCAATCAATTTAATTAAGAATTGCATTATTATATCTGTAATACAGATTTCAGTGGCATATACCTGATATCTGCTGGCTACTTTCTTCAAGTGCTCCCAACGCTGAAGTGAATTGTGAGACTTTTGGAAGCTTTGTTGAAGTTCATCATGAATTGGTGATGGGTCATTAAGGAACAGACTCATTTAGGGAACATCAATGAACAATTTAGTT
Organism: Homo sapiens; assembly: GCF_000001405.40. Taxonomy (NCBI): domain Eukaryota; kingdom Metazoa; phylum Chordata; class Mammalia; order Primates; family Hominidae; genus Homo; species Homo sapiens. Next base: position 56,741,894 of record NC_000012.12, read on the forward strand.
TTAAGTATGTATTACCACAAGGGTGTCTTACAAATATTCAGAAAGTAGTTATTAACATTTCTTGAAATATAAATGTTGACTGGGCGTGGTGGCTCATGCCTGTACTCCCAGCACTTTGGGAGGCAGAGGTGGGTGGATCACGTGAGGTCAGGAGATCGAGACCAGCCTGGCCAACATGGTGAAACCCCATCTCTACTAAAAATAGAAAAATCAGCAGGGCATGGTGGTGCACATCTGTAATCCTAGCTACTCTGGAGGCTGAGGCAGGAAAATTGCTTAAATCTGCAAGGTGAAGGTTGCAGTGAGCTGAGATTGTGCCACTGTGCTACAGCCTGGGCAACAGAGTGAGACTCCATCTCAACAACAAAACAACCCACCCCACAAATGTTAAACTCAACAGCTGTATCCGGCCGGGCACAGTGGCTCATGCCTGTATTCCCAATATTTTGGGAGGCTGAGGTGGGTGGATCATTTGAGACCAGCTTGGCTGACATGGTGAGACCCCGTCTCTATAAAAACACAAAAATTAGCTGGGCGTGGTGGCGTGTGCCTGCAGTCCCAGCTATTTGGGAGGCTGAGGCAGGAGAATTGTTTGAACCCGGGAGGCGGAGGTTGCAGTAAGCCAAGATCACACCACTGCACACTCCAGCCTGGGCAACACAGTATAAGACTCCGTCTTAAAAACAACAACAACAACAAAAAAACCCCAAACCAAACCAACACCAGTTGTATCATTGAAATCTTCCCCTGTAAAAATACAGTGATGATATAACAGAAAGAATGCCAAAATAACTATAAGGTATGATGTAAAGTTTTCCCTGGTCTGCATGTATTTTGACTATGTAATTCACCATTCTTTAGCTGTTAATTCTAGGACCAACTTCCAAAATGAGAAAACTGATTTGCAACATGGCCCCATTTTTTATTATGTTCCAGACCAGAGATACTAAAATCCAGAAATACAGGAGATATTTTGTGTAAAAAAGATTAAACTTATAAGTATATGAGAACTTACAAGCAGACATGTCTAACATTTATAATATCACAGATCAAAACAACTAGCTCACACAGAAATGATCACGGGAAAGGATATTTTCAGGAACAAGGGCTAAAATCTTATCCCAGCTTTCTTTATTTTCGAGAATATCTTGATTAACCAAGGCATATTCTTCAAAGTATTTTTTTATTATGTTTATAGATTTTCTGTAAGAACAACAATAACAACAGAGTCCCAACACTATCAGTAACACATATGCCACATAGGTATTGCTGCCATTGTGGGGAAAACTACTGCTTATTTTCATGACATTTTCAGAACTTAACTAGGTAAAATGGGAATACTACCCTGTGCAGGGTTATGATAATTAAATGAGACACTTTTAAGGGAAAAGAACCTGACATAGAACCTGGCACAGAATGGGTATACAAGAAATGTTTACTTTTTAAACCTCACAACTTAGAAGGTTAATATACGCAATAAGGGTAGAAAGTAACCAACCCAGGACACCATAATACATCAGTAGTAGAATGTGGGATGCAGCCTACACTTTCCACTGTGAATTGCTTGTATTAATATCTCAACAATCATATAATGTTTGCAGTTTACAAATATGCATCACATTTACTCTTTCACTTAATCATTGATACAACTGTGAGACAGGTAGAGTGCATGCTGTTCTCCCCATCATAGAGATAAGGAAATGGAGGCAGCAATATTTTGTCAATATTTTATCAAGATCATAGTAAGTGGCAGAATAGGAATTTTTACTCCTAATATAAGGCTTTTTCCACTATCCTAGAGAAGTAGTGAATTCAGTGGAAAAAGCATTGGAGTAGGCTTTACAGTCAGGCAGACCAGGGCATGAATCCTAAATTTAACAACTAACTTGTCGTGTGATGCCAAGCTCATTATAAAATCTCTCTAAAACTCATTTTCCTTATCTATAAATGGAGATACCATCAAGTCTCTTGTGGGGTTTTTTTGAAGAGCAATGAGAACATCTGTAAAGCACCTTTTAGGAATACTGCAGCATAAAATAGGCACTCAATTAACCATAGCTATTATTATTATAAAATGCTACCCAGCAGTGAAAATTGATAGCAAGGTAACTCTAAAGGCACATGCCGGTAAATCAGACACCTTAAAGTGCTTGGAGACTTTTCCAACAGACCTGATAAAAGGGTGAATTTTTTCACTTAGGTGAACTTTCTTTTTAACGTCTTGACCACCCTGAAAAATAAATCATTAAAAAAGAACTTCAGGTATACAATATAAATACAGTCATGTGCAGCATAACGACATTTTAGTCATGATGGACTGCATATAAGATGGTGGGCACGGTGGCTCACACCTGTAATCCCAGCATTTTGGGAGGCTGAGGTGGGTGGATCACCTGAGGTCAAGAGTTCAAGACCAGCCTGAATCCCATCTCTATTAAAAATACAAAAAATTAGCTGGGCATGGTGGCGCATGCCTGTAATCCTAGCTACTCGGGAGGCTGAGGCAGGAGAGTCGCTTGAACTCGGGAGGCAGAGGTTGCAGTGAGCCGAGATCGCATCATTGCACTCTAGCCAGGGTGACAAGAGCGAGACTCCATCTCAAAAAAAAAAGAAAAAGATGGTGGGTCCCATAAGATTGCAATACTGTATTTTTACTGTGACTTTTCTATGTTTAGGTATGTTTAGCTACATCAGTACCTATCATTGTGTTACAATTGCCTACAGTATTGAGTACAGTAACATGCTGTACAGGTTGTAGCCTAGGAGCAATAGGTTATACCATATAGCCTAGATGTATAGTAGGCTATACCATCTGGGTCTGTGTAAGTATACTCCATGACTTTTGCAAAGTGATGTATTTCTCAGGATGTATCCTTATTGTTAAGTGATGCATAATTATAATTAAAACATTTCTAGGGCTGGACGCAGTGGCTCACACTTGTAATCCCAGCACTTTGAGAGGCTGAGGCGGGCGGATCACCTGAGGTCAGGAGTTCGAGACCAGCCTGACCAATATGATGAAACCCTGTTTCCACCTGCCAACACGCCTGGCTAAATACAAAAATTAGCCGGGTGTGGTGGCAAGTGCCTGTAATCCCAGCTACTTGGGAGGCTGAGACAGGAGAATTGCTTGAACCCGGGACGCGGAGGTTGTGGTGAGCCAAGATAGCGCCACTGCACTCCAGCCTGGGTAACAGAGCAAGACTCCGTCTCAAAAAAAAAAAAAAAAATTTGTAGGCTGGATGTAGTGGCTCACACCTGTAATCTCAGCATTTTGGGAGCCTGAAGTGGGAGGATAGTTTGAGTTTAGGAGTTCAAGAACACCCTGGGCAATATAGTGAGACCTTGTTTCTGCAAAAATTAAAAAATTGGCTGGGCGTGGTGGCGCATGCCTTTAGTCCCAGCTACTCAGGAGGCTGAGGTAGAAGGGTCACTTGAGACCAGGAGGTCAAGGCTGCAGTGAGCTGTGGTCACGTTACCGTACTCCAGCCTGGGTGACAGGGTGAGACCGTGTCTCAAAACAAAACAAAACAAAACAAAAAAAACCAAAAAAACAAACCAAAACCAAAACCAAACTTTAACATGTTCTATTATTTTATATATAATAAATCTATTTTATCTATTATTTTACATATGCCACAAAGCAAGATATTTATAGCAAAATAAAATGAAATATCTTAAAACATGTAGCTACTATGACTTTAAATGATCTATTGGTAAGATCATTTACTCTGCAATGTGAATGCCATTAAAGATAAGTTTTAGGCCAGTGTGGTGGCTCATGTCTGTAATCCCAGCACTTTGGGAGGCTGAGGTGGGTGAATCACCTGAGGCTAGGAGTTCTAGGCCAGCCTGGCCAACATGGCGAAACCCAGTCTTTACTAAAAATACAAAATTTAGCTGGGCACAGTGGCAGGAGCCTGTAGTCCCAGCTACTCGGGAGGCTGAGGCAGGAGAATTGCTTGGACCCAGGAAGCAGAGCTTGCAGTGAGCCAAGATCATGCCATTGCAGTCCAGCCTGGGCAACAGAGTGAGAGTCCATCTCAAAAAAAAAAAAAAAAGATAGTTTCATTTTCTTTGACAGTAAACATATCAGGCTTGGTAACATCTAGAAACTAAAGCAATGCAAATTAGAATTAAGAGGATCTTACCTTTACAAGGCTCAAATACTCAACTATCCCAGAACGTACTGCAGAAGACAGTTTTCTAACTGATTCATCACAGACCCAACAATGAACACCTCTCCTTCCAGAATATACCCAGAGACGATGCTTAAATCCAAAGTCCTCTGAGGAAGAGAGAAATAATAGGTTTTAAAACAAATCTATAAACTCCTTAATTAATGTATATTAAATTACTTGTTGTTTCCTGTGCTCCCCATGTTCTTGCTTCATCTCTTTACCCATCCTGGTCTCTCTGCTGGGAATTTCTTTCTTTTTTAAAAAACTATTTTATTAGGCCAGGTGTGGTAGCTCACGCCTGTAATCCCAGCACTCTGGGAGGCCGAGGTGGGCAGATCACGAGGTCAGGAGTTCGAGACCAGCCTGACCAACATGGTGAAACGCTGCCTCTACTAAAAATACAAAAATTAACTGGGCGTGGTGGCGTGCGCCTGTAGTCCCAGCTACTCAGGAGGCTGAGGCAGGAGAATCACTTGAACCCAGGAGGCAGAGGTTGCAGTGAGCCGACATTGTACCACTGCACTCCAGCCTGGCTGACAGAGTGAGACTCGTCACACACACACACACACACACACACACACACACACACACACACACACACAAATTAATGAGATTTGATCACAAAATACAGAGACTAATAGTTAATAGTAGTCAGAGGAAAACCGATTCTTACACTTGACCCCATTCAGAAACTGCTGATACTTGCCCTTCAATGCTCTGTCAATGATGCGTATGGCCATTGTCATGAGGGTCCAGCACTTAGGACATATGTCTGCAGAACTAAAGCAGAGTCATCATTACTCATTGTCAGTGATACCACCCACCCTAACAGCAAGACACACAGTGCTCACCTACAACATCTCCTCACATCGTCATAGTCTGTCATGTCAATGTCAAATACCAGTTCTTTTTCCTGAGCCTGGAAAGCTCCCAGCTTCACTGTATTGTGTTGATTGGGCTACAGATACAAAATATTGATCAGTTTCTATAAGAGCTGCCACACTGCTAAATCTGCTTATTTTCTACACATATGGAAAAAGTTGCCAAACAGAAATAAAGAGACTATATAATGCCAACTTTATGACAGTGAAAGTTCATTATTTTGGATCTTACACATACACTATTGATGAGAGTCTTAACTTTCACCAACTTAAAGCAGGGTTTAATGAATACATATCCATCATAAATGTTTGTTGGTCAATAAGGATAATAATAAAGCTGTTTTTAGTTTTCTGACAAGGGAACGTATACAAATAATGGCCTATTGCAAGGTGTTTTAAGAACCTTTACTTGTTACCATACATAGAAGTATTTAAAAATTTTTCAATAATTCAAAAAGATCTCCCCAATTAGTTTGAATTGAGACTTTATTATAAAGAGGCTATGAGAAGCTGGGCACAGTGGCTCATGCCTGTAATCCCAGCACTTTGAGAGGCTGAGGCGGGCAGATCACTTGAGGTCAGGAGTTTGAAACCAGCCTGGCCAATATGGTGAAACTGTCTCCCTACTAAAGATACAAAAAATAGCCGGGTGTGATGGCATATGCCTGTAGTCCCAGCTACTTGGGAAGCTGAAGCAGGAGTATCATTGAACCCGGGAGGTGGAAGTTGCTGTGAGTCAAGATCACGCCACTGCACTCCAGCCTGGGTGACAGAGCGAGACTCTGTCTCAAAAAAAAGAACCTGAGAGGTTAATTCCACCATAAGTTTTTATAACTGTAAGTCAGAAGGGAGTGATTACTGAGGAGATTCATAAAACTAAATCTTAGGCTGTCAGTAAGGAAAGATAAGAGGCGCAACCCAATTTATACCTCAGAACCCCCAAAAGGCTCAGGGATAGGTGATACCAGGTATTGTTGGAATGAGTAAGTGCGTGTTTAGTGAAGCTGAGATGAAAAACAGGAAGATTTTTCAAGGCCACCCTTGACTGAAGGAAAAAAAAAAGGAGGATTGGTTCAAAGCATAGTTAAGAAGCAGTTAGCTACCCAGATTCGTACACTTAGCTTGCAGAGCTAGGTGACTGCTCTTTCATTTCCCTGGCAGAAGACACCTGAATTATTTTCCAGAGAGCATAAAACAGAAGGTCCCTGGACTTGGACAACAAGTACAATTGAAGAGTGTGTTGTATTGATATTACAAATTGATATTAGGGGAATAATTAGACATTTATATGTGGAATGTTAAGACCCAGCCCTTTCCACCCACTTCTGTACTCTTCCACTACCAACTCAGGCAGGAAGCTAGAAGATTTCTCTCTAAATAATCTGAACAGGGCTGGGCGCAGTGGCTCACGACTGTAATCTCAGCACTTTGGGAGGCTGAGGCGGGCAGATCACGAGGTCAGGAGATCGAGACCAACCTGGCTAACATGGTGAAACCCCGTCTCTACTAAAAATACAAAAAATTAGCCAGGCGTGGTGGCACACACCTGTAATCCCAGCTACTCGGGAGGGTGAGGCAGGAGAATCGCTTGAACCCGGGAGGCGGAGGCTGCAGTGAGCCGAGATCATGCCACTGCACTCCAGCCTGGATGACAGAGCGAGACTCTGTCTCAAAAAAAAAAAAAAAAGCTTTAGCTAAAAGAAAGTGGTTGCTTCTGGGTCTGGGTGTGGTAGCTCATGCTTGTAATCCCAGCATTTTGGGAGGCCAAGGCGGGTGGATCACTTGAGGTCAGGAGTTCGTGACCAGCCTGGCCAACATGGCAAAACCCCGTCTCTACTAAAAAACACAAAAATTAGACAAGTGTGGTGGTATGCGCCTATAATCCCAGCTACCCGGGAAGCTGAGGTGGGAGAATCACTTGAAACCGGGAGGCAGAAATTGCAGTGAGCTGAGACTAGCCACTGCACTCCAGCCTGGGCAAGAGAGCTAGACTTGTCTCAACAAAAGAAAGAAAGAAAGTAGTTGCTTCTGGGTAGCAAAAAATGAGGGGGAAGGGTAGCAGAATTTTTTTTAGACAGGGTCTCACTCTGTCGCCCAGGCTGGAGTGCAGTGGCGTGATCTTGACCCACTGCAACCTCCACCTACCGGGTTCAAGCAATTCTCCTGCCTCAGCCTCCTGAGTAGCTGGGACTGTAGGCATGTGCCACCGTGCCCGGCTGTTTTTGTATTTTTTGGTAGAGACAGAGTTTTACCATGTTGGCCAGGCTGGTCTTGAACTCCTGACCTCAAGTTATCTGCTCGCCTCAGCCTCTCAAAGTGCTAGAGTTACAGGTGTGAACCACCGGCCCAGCCTGGTAGCAGATTTTTTAAAAGCCGAATAGAAGTACTTGATTTTGTAAACCATGTGCATACATAACTGACAAAAATCACAAAACAAAACACAAAAAGTAAATAAAGGTCTATAGATGCTTCTGTCTTGGCCCAAGAAAAAAATGAGACGTTTTCTCCCTTTAGAAATTAAGGAGAAGGAAGTAGAGAGTGGCACCCTAACCCTTCTTAGAAGTTCATTTTCAGTTTTATTCTCAACCTATAAAGGGGAAGTAAAACAACTCCAAAGTATTTTTTTCTGCCTGCCTTTTATTACCTCTTCTCCCCTTACTTTGATGATGAGAGACGGGTCTGGGATTTAGAGTCAGAAACCCTGGGTTTAAGTGCCAGCTCTATCATTTAGAAATTGTGTGTGAGCTTGTGCAAACTATTCAAGTTCTCTGGGCCTGTTTCCTCCTTTGTAAAAAGAATGAGGATTGATACAAGTAACAAGTTATATAACATGAAAAACTCCACATAAAAGCTATTATGCTATGTATGTATTCCCTCCACCCACCAGTGTATATATTTGAGAAGGGGAAGAAGGGCAATTTTGGTTTGTTCATTCACTCAACAAATATTTATAGTGTACTGTCTCTTGCCAGGCACTCTTCTAGGGTACTTAGAATATACCAGTGGCAGGGGGTGGGAGGAGTGGCAGGTTTTAGTAGACCTCACTGAGAAGGTGCTATTTGAGCAAAGATTTGAAGGAGGTGAGGGGATGAACCAAGTATAGAAATGGGTTTTAGGCAGTGGAAACAGCTTGAGCAAGGGTCAGTGTGGCAGGAATGAATGAGGGGGAGAGAAGGACTTTTAGTCAGTGAAATGAGCAGCCACCAGAGAATGTTTTCAGCAGAGGAATCACAGATTCTGAGTTGTTTTAAAAGGATTACTCTAGCTTCTGTATTGACAATGGACTCTAGATTCTACAAAGGCAAACTGTTAGGAGGTTTTTACAGTAATTCAGATGAGATGATAATGTTGGTAGCACTGGTAGTAGTGGCTGGATTTTAGATACACTTATGGTAGAGCCAAAGGGATTTCCTAATAGAATGGGTATGGGAATGTGAGAAAGAGAGGAATCAAGAATAACTCCAGGGGTATGAAGGAAAAAGAATATAAATGTTTATTATGACTGAACTGTACACTTAAACGTGGTAAAGATAATAAGTTTTATATGTATATTTGACCTCAATAAAAATAAACAATTAAAAGAAAAAAAGAATAACTTCCATGGTGGAAGAGAATGTAATTCTCTTTTATTTCCCTCTTTTTTTTTTTTTTTGAGGCCAAGTCTCGCTCTGTCGCCCAGACTGGAGTGCAATGGCGCGATCTTGGCTCACTGCAACCTCCACCTCCCGGGTTCAAGCGATTCTCCTGCCTCAGCCTCCTCAGTAGCTGGGATTACAGGCGCGTACCACCACGCCCGGCTAATTATTTCCCTTTCCTAAATCATGTCGACTTCCTCTTCCTAGTAGCTAGATACTCAATTTTTTTTGTCCTAGTAAAAATGCAACCAATTCACTCCCAAATGATTTCATCAGTAATGCAGAACGTCAAAGAACAAAAAAGGATTAATCACTTGCCAAACAATTAAAAAGTGGCTTTTCATCTAGAATAAACTCTAAAAATTTAATCTCAAAACGCAAGAGGAATCAACCCATTCTTGGTTTACAAAATAAAACAACAAAATATATTAAAAAAAGATTTCTTACTCTGTGAGAATATACTGCGCCTATATCAATCTTGTATGGATTCATTTTCTGCATCTCCTTTTCCAGATCACTCTGGTTGTTGAAGGATTGGTAGCGAATGTAAATATCATCTTTCAATGTGAATGAAAATTCACGGTGTTGAAAGTAATTCTTTATCACTGCAAAATAAATGTACATTTTAAAGTTAATTTGCTACTTTATTTGGCTCAGGGCATTATAATTTTAGCCAATGAGAAGTTTTTTTTTTCGGTGAGGGAATCTTGCTTGCTTCCTGCTCTGTCGCCCAGACTGGAGTGCAGTGGCTCGATAAAGGCTCACTGCAACCTCCGCCTCCCGGGTTCAAGGGATCCTACCACCTCAGCCTCCCGAGGCTGTAGCTGGGACTACAGGCATGCGACCCACCATGCCCAGATAATTTTTGTATTTTTTGTAGAAACGGGGTTTCACCATGTTGGCCAGGCTGGTCTCGAATTCCTGACCTCAGGTAATCCGTCCTCCTCGGCTTTCCAAAGTGCTGGGATTATAGGCGTAAGCCACGGCACTCGGCCCGAGAAGATGTTTTTAATGAGCCCCCTATGCTCAACACCGTGGTAGATGTAAAAGAAAAACAAAACAAAATCCACATGACCTAGTCCCTAATTTGAAAGCAGTTACCATTCCGTATTTGCTAGGGAACGGTACAAAAGATGAAACAGATGCATAAATATTTTAAATATGTAATGCCACCCCTCTCTCCTCGATTCGCACTAATAAATTCAGCTGCAAGGAAGAAAGTATTTCTCTTCCTCTGAGAGAGGCTCTTCCGCTCCTGATGCAAACCATGCCTCAGCAGCTTCACGCTACGCCCCAGTAACCCCCTGGGCACCGCTGCAGGTAAACGGGGCACCTAATGTGAGCCTGACCACGCAGAGGTAGGAGCGGCGGCTCTGTTTTTTTTTTTTTTTTTTTTTTTTTTACAGCGTGGCCGCAGGCTGGCTTATTATATCCTCTCTCGGCCCATTTACACCTATGAAGTGGTGGGGCGGGCTCGAGAGAGCAAATGAAGGCGCGCGGCACAAAGCCTGGTGCACAGAAGGCGCTTCATATTGTCATTCTAAGGACACCCCGCCTCCAACCTCCTCACACTCCGCTCCCGAACCCATTCCTCGCCTCCATCACCTCCACCGTAGTTGAGCCAGCGATAGTACTGAGAGTAGGGAAAGAGCCTCCGGTAATAAAGTTTAAGCAGCTCGGGCAGCTCGGTGGGGTCAAACGTCTCCATTGAGCGCGGAACTCGCCACGGTAAGGATTACCACAGGAATTGGCGGGAACAGCACGGCCGGCGGCCCCGCGACTGCGCAGGCGCTTATGGCCGAGGTCGGCTGTCTGACCCGGCGGCCCGCAGTCCGCCGGGGCCGCCGGGAATTGTAGTTCCCACTTGGTGCGCGCGGGGGCTGCGGGAGACGCAGCAGTTTGCGATCTGCCCACGCGTTCGGGCACTAGGGCCACCGCTCTTGTGGGCAGAAGGCCGCGTCCATTCCAGGAAGAGGATCTTCTCCGGAAATGTGAGACCTATAGCATATTGATTTAGGTTATTAAGATGAAGTAAAAAGGATGCTCCACGTGAACTTTTTGGATGTTTTAGAAATAACACCAGTATCTTTTTTTTTTTTTTTTTGAGACAGAGTCTCGCTCTGTTGCCCAGGCTGGAGTGCAGTGGCGCGATCTCGGCTCACTGCAAGCTCCGCCTCCCGGGTTCACGCCATTCTCCTGCCTCAGCCTCCCTAGTAGCTGGGACTACAGGCGCCAGCCACCACGCCCGGCTAATTTTTTTTTATTTTTTTATTTTTTTATTTTTAGTAGAGACGGGGTTTCATCGTGTTAGCCAGGATGGTCTCGATCTCCCGACCTCGTGATCCGCCCGCCTCAGCCTCCCAAAGTGCTGGGATTACAGGTGTGAGCCACCACGCCTGGCCGACACCAGTATCTTTTAAAAACGTTTGTAGGCAGGTGCGGTGGCTCATGCTTGTAACGTCAGCACTTTGGGAGGCCAAGGCAGGAGGATCGCTTGAGGCCAGGAGTTCGAGACCGGTTGGGGCAACATTGTGAGATCTCTGTCTACACACACGCACCCACACACAACTAGCCAGATGTAGTTGCGTGCGCCTGTAGTCCCAGCTACCCTAGAGGCTGAAGGGTTGGGGGCGGGGAGTGGGGGGAGGGGGCAATCAATCTCTCGAGCTTGGGAGGTCCAGGCTGTTGTGAGCCATGATAGTGCCACTGCACTCCAGTCTGGGCAACAGAGAAAGACCGTGTCTAAAAAAAAAAAAGTTTTGGAAATTAGTTCTTCATGGAATTTCATGAATTACTAGATCCAATATGTGGAAATAAATAACCAAATGAGAAAAGCATAGGCTATTTATTCAGAGCTTACTATAGCAAGGGAGTCAGCCATCATCACTTGCATTTGACAGGACTCAAAGGCAGGCAGAGGAGTAGGAAAGCTTTATAAAAAAGGGAAGCCGTCAAGGTATTCTTTGATTGGAGGCTGTTGGCATGGAGAAGCTGTACCTGGGCTAACTAGTAGTAGGATGCGGTATGTGATTGGTTTAGGGGTGGGTGTTTGGCTTTCTTTGGTTGGACCTATGTTGGAAGCTGTTAAGGAAGCTGTAGGATACTAGTTAAGGCATTTGGGCCCATTGCTACAGGGGTTGTTGTTTGGCCTCCAGGATCATCATTAGAGATAGCAGTTTGACTTTATACAAGTCTGACTTGTAGCAAGCTTGCTTCCTGTGCTGTTTATTATAGATAAGGGGGTTGGTTTCCCCAGCAGGTTGCTGTAGATTGTGGGTCAGAGTTCTGTTTTTATATATGGTCTGGCTGCTGTTCATATATTTAGTCTCTCAAATAGAACACCCAGGTATAAGAAAATATGAATTATAGGAAGCTTGCAGAATCATGGAGAGCTTTACAAGTATGAAGGGAACCCATCTGCTATTGATGTGGAGATCTGCCAATCACTCTTACTGTGTAATGATACCTTATGGCAATTGTGGGCTAGAGTGGGCAGTCACATGAATAACATGTCACATGAAAAACATAGTTTTATTTTATTTTACTTATTTTTTTGAGACAGAGTCTCGCTGTGTCGCCCAGGTTGGAATGCAGTGGCACAATCATGGCTCACTGCAACCTTGGTCACCCAGGCTCAAGCAATTCTCATGCCTCAGCCTCCCAAATAGCTAGGATTACAGGTGTGCACTGCCACACCCAGCTAACTTTTGTATTTTTAGTAGAGACAGGGTTTCACTATGTTGGCCAGGCTGGTCTCAAACTCCTGGCCTCAAGTGATCCACCTGCTTTGGCCTCCTAAAGTGCTGGGATTACTTGTGTGAGCCACTACCTCTAGCCTTGTCTAGCACTTTTATCTTATGGAGATGGCTTCTCTCCTTAAACCTCATGAACCAACTTCTGCTGGCTTCAAACTTCTGCAGCTTTCTCACCTGTCTCAGCTTTCATATAATTAAAGAGAGTAACCTTGCTATGGGTGAGGCTTTGGCTTAAGGGAAGTTATGGCTGGTTTGATCTTCTATTCAGCACACTAAAAGTTTCTCCATATCAGCAATAAGGCTGTTTCACCTTCCTATCATTTGTGTGTTCCCTGAAGTAGCACTTGTAATTTTCTTCAGGAACTTTTCCGGGAAGGAACTTTTCCAGGCCAGGCCTGATAGCTTACACCTGTAATCCCAGCTCTTTGGGAGGCCAAGGTGGGCAGATCGCTTGAGTCAGGGAGTTCAAGACCAGTTTGGGCAACATGGCAAAACCCTGTCTCTACCAAACCAAACCAAACAAACAAAAAAGCCCAGAAAAATTAACAGGGTGTGGTGGCATGCATCTGTGGCCTCAGCTGCTCAGGAGGCTGAGGTGGGAGGATCACTTGAGTCAGACAGGCAGAGGTTGCAGTGAGCCAGTATCGTGCCATTACACTCCAGCCTGGGTGACAGAGTAACACTCTGTCTCAAATTTAAGGCCGAGTGCAGTGGCTCACGCCTGTAATGCCAGCACTTTGGGAGGCCAAGGTGGGAGGATTGCCTGAGTCCAGGAGTTTGAGACCAGCCTGGGCAACATAGCGAGACCTCATCTCTACAAAAACTACAAAAATTAGCCAGGTGTGGTGGCGCAGGCCTGTGGTGCCAGCTACTTGGGAGGCTGGGGTGGGAGGATCACCTGAGCCCAGGAGGCGGAGGGTGCAGTGAGCCAAGATTAGGGCACTGCACTCCAACCTGGGCAACAGACTGAGACCTGTCTCAAAAAAACAGAACTTTTCCTTCGTATTTACAACTTGGCTAATTGCTTGGTGCAAGGGGCCTAGGTTTTGGTCTGTCTCAGCTTTCAACATTCCTTTCTCACTAAGCTTAATCATTTCTACGTTTTGATTTAAAGTGAGAGATGTGGGGCTCTTTTTGTCACTTGAATACTTAGAGGTCATTGTAGGGTTGTTAATTGGCTTAGTTTCAATATTGTTGTGTCTTAGGGAATAGGGAGGCCTGAGGAGAGGGAGAGAGAGAGGAGAACAGCATATTGGCAGAACAGTCAGAACACACACAACATTTATTGATTAAGTTTGTCTTCTTATATAGGCACAGTTCGTTGCACCCCCAAACAATTACAATAGTACCTCAAAGATCACTGATCACGGATCACCGTAACAGATACAATAATAATGAAAAAGTTTGAAATATTGCAAGGATTACCAAAATGTGACATAGAGACATGAAGCAAACACATGCTGTTGGAAAAATTGCACTAATAGACTCACTGTATGTAGGGTTGCCACAAAGCTTCAATGTGTAAAAAATGCAATATCTTTGGAGCATAATAAAGTGAAGCACAATAAAATGAGGTATTCCTGTATATAGCTTTTGCCATGATGTCAGGTACCATTTTATGAATTTATCCCTCATGAGAACTCTATGCGGTAGTTGCCAACATCATCCCTATTTTCTTTTTCTTTTCTTTTCTTTTTTTTGAGACGGAGTCTTTTTCAGTCGCCCAGGCTGGAGTGCAGTGACGCGATCTTGGCTTACTGCAAGCTCCGTCTCCTGGGTTCACGCTATTCTCCTGCCTCAGTCTCCTGAGTGGCTGGGACTACAGGTGTCCGCCACCACGCCCGGCTAATTTTTTTTGTATTTTTTTAGTAGAGATGGGGTTTCACCATGTTAGCCAGGATGGTCTCGATCTCCTGACCTTGTGATCCACCCGCCTCAGCCTCCCAAAGTGCTGGGATTACAGGCGTGAGCCACCACGCCTAGCCTCTTTTTTTTTTTTTTTTTTTTTTTAACGCTTTTCCTGTTTGGAAGGAAAAAGTGCAGCTCGCTGCCAGCAGTCATTTAATTTTACATAAGCATGCTCTTTGAGGCTGAAACAAATCTGACTGATTTCCAATGTGAAAATAAAATATAAAAACTGTTCTTGGAGTTCTTTCTCTCTCTCTCTCTCTTTCTTTCTTTCTCTTTCTTTTTCTTTCTCTCTCTCTCTCTCTCTTTCTCTCTCTTTCTTTCTTTTGAGGTAGAGTCCCGCTCAGTCGCCCAGGCTGGAATGCAGTGGTGCAATCTCGGCTCACTGCACCCTCTGCCTCCCAGGCTCGAGCCATTCTCCTGCCTCAGCCTCCTGAGTAGCTGGGATTACAGGTGCCTGCCCACATGCCCGGCTAATTTGTGTATTTTTAGTAGAGATGGGGTTTCACCATGTTGGCCAGTCTGGTCTTGAACTCCTGACCTGAGGCGACCCACCCACCTCATCCTCCCAAAGTGCTGGGATTACAGGTGGGAGCCACTGCGCCTGGCCTCTTGGAGTTATTTCTAAACAGAACTAACATTAAAGTCATTGGAATAATTAGAATTGTGGATTAATCAAAGAATGATGTTAACATCATACATAGGAATTCAGCATTTTCTAGGATTTGACAGTTTTAATGATCAGAATTACTGTATTTTGTAAGTGGAAGTACCACTACTGAAAACAGAATGCTGTTAATAGAATGATGTCTTTTGTTTCCAAAGTCAGTAATACTAGAGCAATATGAAAATAATAAAAGCAAGATATTTCACGGCAAAGTTATCTCTGGATAAATGCTGCAGCTACAAGTGCTGCCAGCAAGTATTCTTGGGGCAAATGGGAAAAGGGTTAAATTTTAAATTTATTGTTATTTTTATTTTTTGTAGAGATGGGATCTCACCGTGTTGTCCAGGCTGGTCTCGAACTTCTGGGCTCAAGCAATCAGCCCACCTCGGGTATATTAAGTATATTCAGAGGAACGGGCCAGGCCAGGTGGCTCATGCCTGTAATCCCAGCACTTTGGGAGGCCGAGACAGGCAGATAATGAGGTCAGGAGTTTGAAACAAGCCTGGCCAGCATAGTGAAACCCCATCTCTACTAAAAATACAAAAAAATTACTAGCCGGGCGTGGTGGCATGTGCCTGTAGTCCCAGCTACTCGGGAGGCTGAGGCAGGAGAATCGCTTGAACCAGGGAGTCGGAGGTTGCAGTGAGCTGAGATGGCGCCACTGTACTGCAGACTGGCGACAGAGTGAGACTCCATTTCAAAAAAAAAAAAAAAAAAAAAAAAAGTGCTCTGGCATAGAGGCCTTTATCTCAAATGCCACTGGGAGGCAGTATCACCATTCAGTTTGTTTCCCTTTGTGATTTCATACACATAGGTGCAAACCCCTTTTTTCCTTCAGTCCTTATGCTACCTGGCTCTACCATCGTTTTTAGTCTTTTTTTGTGGTATATCTATCAGCCTCAAGTTTCTTGCCCCATGTTGTTTGCAGACTTCGACACTTGCCTCATTGATTGCCTGTCTAGTTTAAGTCCTATTGTTATTCTGGGTGTTTTTAGCATCTGAAAGGATGATCTATTCTGTAAAGGTATGGTTGATTCAGTCATTCATGAATTCATTCATTTATTCCACAAATAGTTAATGAACATATGTGTTGGGCACTGAGATGAACTGTGGGGAAAATAATTAATGACATTATTTCTGCTTCTGAGAAAGCTATATCATACTAGGGGCAATAGACACAAATAAAAAAGTGTAATGAATGAGCTGGGCATGGTGGCTCATGTCTGTAATCCTAGCATTTTGATAGGCAGAGGCAGGTGGATCACTTGAGCTCAGAAGTTTGAGACCAGCCTGGCCAACATGGCGAAACCCCATCTCTACAAAAAATACAATAATTAGTGTGGCATGGTTGCTCATGCCTGTAGTCCCAGGGAGGCTGAGGTGGATTGCTTGAGCCCAGGAGGTTGAGGCTGCAGTGAGCTGTGATTATGCCACTGTACTCCAGCCTGGTGATAGAGCAAGACCCTGTCCCCCCGCCCCAAAAAAGCGTAATGAAGTATTATAGGTGCATTTTTAACCCAACTGTCTATTTGTTTTGCCATGTTCTTAAGACATGGATAAGATTAGTACAGGGAACACAGGCACAAAAGTATAAATGGCACTTTTGGGAAGCTGCCAATAGTTTCATATGGACAGAGCCCAGACTTCAAGGGAGGGTATAGTGAGAGATGGGGCTAAGAGGTAAGCCATGGTCAGAGCATTGCCTGCCAAGTTAAGGAGTGTGGAAGTAAAAATTATTCATCATCTACTTTATTTGGTTAAAATGAAAATAAACTATTGATCCTATTAATATTTGACAAGAAGCCTTGGGAGTTAAAATCCTGTTGAAGTAAGTAAGTTGCTTGAAAACTTGGAGTACTCCTATGTTAGTTATTTTCCTTGTTAATAAAATAAAGAAGAGAAGATTAGAAAATATGTTACAGGACCAACAGGTTTGTATGCCCACTGCACAGCAACATACCAATACACTGAGACAGTAGGGTTTGCAGCAGAGAAAGAGTTTAATGATTGCAGGGCGGCTGAGCAAGGAGATGAGAGGAGATCTTCAAGTCCATCTCCCTGAGGAGTTCTGGGCTGGGGTTTTTAAGGGGATTGTGGAGAATGAGGGACTGGAAAATTGGGGTCATTGAGTGGTTGGGGTCAAAGGGATGAAGTCGTCAGGATGTGGAAACTGCATTCAGTGAGTCAGCTCCTTGTATGATCCTTCAGAACTGCTGATGTCGATGGGGTCCTTCAGATCAGCTGACCTCATTAGTTTCACTGGTGTGCAGGACCTGAAAGGATATCTCAAATGGAAACAACATTTTATAATGTTCAAGTTGTTATCTATAATAGAGCAGTTAAGGGGAACTATACTGTCTGATCTATGTGATTCTAGGACAATATGCCTAAACAACGATGAGAAAGCAGGTCAGAGAGCCGGCTGACCTAATGATTAATGCTGAATGTGTTGCAAGCTTGGTTTGTTTTCATTTCTTTCTCTCCCTGCTTTCCTGATTAATTTTCAAAGGTTCATAAGGACAGTTTCAAATATGTTCTATTGACACAGGAGCATAATAAACAAAAGGAGAATGGGGCCAAAGTCACATCTCAGTTTAAATATGATAAGCTCTGTCTCTTGTTATCATAAACTACTGAAAAGTAGCAGAGAGTTCCATCATATTTGTTTAAATGCCAGAGTTTTGGATTGATCTCACAGGAATGTTCCCTCTAACAGAGCACGTGATGATCACAAAGCCAATAAAACGTGTTCTGGGACGTTGCAATTGCTCTTTAATCTATTTGGTGCGTTTGGTATAGGAAACTGAGTATTTAAAACCTAAACTGTAAATTAACCTACCAGACTTTAGATAAGCAATCTGCCAATATAAATATTGTGTAGGTTCTCTTGTTAGCCATAAGGCTATACATGTTTTGGCTCTAGCTTTCTCCTTGCAGACTGCTTGAAATAAAGGATTGGCAGATTCACATTAAAGCACAACATTAAGCCTTGTTCCTTCATAGGAATTTGGATTTGTGTGAAGACAATGGGAAGCCATGGAAGGGTTTTTTTTTTTTTTTTCAGAGTGTCACTCTGTCACCCAGGCTGGAGTGCAGTGACGCCATCTCAGCTCAAGCGATGACCCTTGGGTTCAAGCGATTCTCATGCATCAGCCTCCCTAGTAGCTGGAATTACAGTTATGTGCCACCATTCCCAGCTAATTTTTTTGTATTGGTAGTAGAGGTGGGGTTTTGCCATGTTGGCCAGGCTGGTCTCGAACTCCTGACCTCAACTGATTCACCTGCCTTGGCCTCCCAAAGTGCTGGGATTACAGATGTGAGCTACCATTCCTGGCTCATTGAAGGGTTTTAAGCAG
Source organism: Homo sapiens (assembly GCF_000001405.40). Lineage (NCBI taxonomy): Eukaryota > Metazoa > Chordata > Mammalia > Primates > Hominidae > Homo > Homo sapiens. The sequence goes on from NC_000012.12 coordinate 56,760,277, forward strand.
AGTAGAAACATAATCAGAGTTGTGTTTTGTTTGTTTGTTTGTTTATTTATGAGACAGGGTCTCTGTCATCCAAGCTGGAGTGCAGTGGCATGATCATGGCTCACTGCAGCTTCAACCTTCCCAGGCTCAGGTGATCCTCCCACCTCGGCCTCCCGAGTAGCTGGGATTATGGGCATGTGCCACCACACCCGGCTAATTTTTGTATTTTGTGTAGAGACGGGGTTTTGCAATATTGGCCAAGCTGGTCTCGAACTCCTAGGCTCAAGTGATCTTCCCACCTCGGCCTTCCAAAGTGCTGGGATTACAGGTGTGAGCCACCGCCCCCGGCCTCAGAGTTGTGTTTTATAAATAAACTCTGGAGCCCTGTAGAGGGCAAATAGGAGGGTAGAGAGAAACCAGAGGTGGAGCAATCCTAGCAGACTGTTGCCGGAAACCAGGTGAGAAATACTGATGGCCTGAGCTAAGGCAGTAAAGTGGAGATGGAAGGGATGGGATGGACATAATGACTTTAAGGAGGTAGAATTAATATTGATTGGACATGGGGGATGAGGAAGGGGTCTAGGATGATTCCCAGGTTTCAGACTTGGGCAACTGGATGGAAGGGAGTTGCCTGGCATCTATTAAGCACTTATTAAATTTGTTGAATACATATGCAGATAGGAAATAACATGAAAATGAGGAGGACCAGATTGCAGTGAATCATCATCATTTTAGTTTTGAATGTGTTGAGTTTGAGGTACTGTTGTGATTCTCCCTAAGTACGATTTTACTACGGGGTCGTACTGTGACTCGTCACATTTAATATAAGACAAAAAATGAGCAAAAGATTTGAATAGGCATTTCACCAGAGAAGACAAACAAATAGCCAATAAGCACATGAAAGGATGCTCAACATCATTAATCATTAGGGAAATGCAAATCAAAACCACAGTGAGATATCAATCCATACCAACTAGGATGGCTAAAATAAAAAAGATAATATGGCCAGGCACGGTGGCTCATGCCTGTAATCCCAGCACTTTGGGAGGCCGAGGTGAGTGGATCACTTGAGGTCAGGAGTTTGAGACCAGCCTGGTCAACATGGCGAAAACTCGTCTCTACTAAAAATACAAAAATTAGCTGGGTGTGGTGGCATGCACCTGTAATCCCAGCTACTCAGGAGGCTGAGGCAGGAGAATCACTTGAACCCAGGAGGAAGAGGTTGCAGTAAGGTGAGATTGCACCACTGTCCTCCAGCCTGGGTGACAGAGTGAGACTCCCTCTCAAAAAAAAAAAAAAAAAAAAAAAGATAATAAGTGTTGGTGAGCATGTGGAGAATTTGGAACCCTCATATGAAGCTGGTGAGATTGTAAAATGGTGCAGCCTCTTTGGAAAACAGTTTGGGAATTCCTCAAAATGTTAAAAATAGAGTTATCATTTGACCCAGCAATTTCACTCTTAGGGTACATATATCCAAGAGAATTGAAGGCCCATGTCCACACAAAAAATCTGTATGTAAATATTCGTTTCAGCATTATTCATAATAACACAAAAAAGCAGAAACAACCCAAATGTTTATCAGTTGATGGATGCATAAACAAAACGTGGAATAGCCACACAATGGAATATGATTCAGACATTAAAATGAAGTACTGATAAATAGATGAACCTTGAAAACATTATGCTAAACAGAAGAAGCCAGTCACAAAGGTCACATATTGTGTGATTCCATTTATATGAAGTGTCCAGAATAGGCAAATCCACAAACATGGAAAGTAGATTACTGGTTGCCAGGAGTGGGGTGTGGGAGGAAAGAATGGGAGGTGACTGCTAAGGAGTATGGGGTTCTTTTGGGATAATAAAAGTATTCTGAAACTAGATAGTGATGATTGTTGCACAACCTTGTGAATATACTAAAACCCATTGAATCGTACACTTCAAAAGAGTGAATGGTATGATATGTGAATTATGCCTCAATAAAGCTGTTACTTAAAAAAAAAATATATATATATATATATACACACACACACACACACACACACACACACACACACAACCCTAGGTCCAGGGCTCAAGCTATGAAACAGCTGCAGTTCTTTCAGAAAGGTGACTGAGCCAGCCCCAGCTTGCAGCAGCTGATCTCAGGTTGGCAGTCTTAAGAAGTGGGCTTTGCTAAAATCAACCTGCCCTCTGACCCCATTCCAGCAGGGGATTTGCATTGTAATATTCCAGTTTAAATTAGAGGATGGGACCAGGCACGGTGGTACACGCCTGTAATCCTAGAACTTTAGGAAGCTGAGGCAGGCAGATCGTTTGAGCCCAGGAGTTCGAGACCAGTGTGGGCAAGCTGGTGAAACCCCATCTCTACAAAAAACAAACAAACAAACAAACAAACAAAAAAACTCAAAATTAGTTGGGCATGGTGGCGTGCACCTTTAGTCCCAGCTACTCTGGAGGCTGAGGTGGGAGGATCACTTGAGCCTGGGAGGTCGAGGCTGCAGTGAGCCCAGATTGTGCTACTGCACTCCAGCCTGAGTGACAGAGGGAAACCCTGTCTCAGTAATTAAATAGAGGGCTGGGTGCGTCAGCTCATGTGTAATCCCAGCACTTTGGGAAGTCAAGGCAGGTGGATCACTTGAGGCCAGGAGCTCGAGACCAGCCTGGCCAACTTGGTAAAACCCCATCTCTACTAAAAATACAAAAATTTTTACAGGCGCCTGTAACCCCAGCTACTCCAGAGGCTGAGGCAGGAGAATTGCTTGAACCCGGGAGGTGGAGGTTGCAGTGAGCCGAGATCATGCCACTGCACTCCAGCCTGGGTGACAGAGCGAGACTCTGTCTCAAAAAAAAAAAAAAAAAATTAGAGGATGGGGGCTGAGGAGCATACAAGACTCTCTGGTCAGGGCAGCTCTTTTCTTTCTTTCTGTTTTTCATTTTGGTAGTAACAGATCTGATTCTGCAGCTGATCAAGGATGACACTGGTGAGAACCCTATGAGGGAGTGAAGCAGCCTGGACTCTTACCACAAGAGGGAGGTGTTATAAGAGCAATGCAGAGGTTGGAGTGGGCAGCAGTTGGGGCAGGAGGAAGCCGACTGCTGCCTGGTCTGCAAAGAAGTCCTTTCAAGTCTCTAGGACTGGACTCTTCCTAAGCAAGTCCGGTATGTAGGTGGGTAAGGGTGGTTGTGTGTGTGTGTGTGTGTGTGTGTGTGTGTGTGTGTGTGTGTGTAGGGGATATGGGATATGGTCTGTTTGGAGACAGGTTTTGATTATGATTTTTTATCATCTTAAAAGATCCTTCAACTTTGATTCGTGAAAGAAATTTTGTCACGATTGCTTGCTCTGCTTTTTTGATCTTTACTCCCATGAAGTTTGGGAGAGTACTGGTTACAAGTTGGGAGTGATTTCATACTTACAAATAGGGACTCTGGGTATCCTCTGAAAACGGGATTCTCGGCAGTGGGGGAAACAAGCTCTTTAATGGTTAATGCTGATAGCTGTTGGGTAAGTTTGTGAAACTTTGGGTAAGCGGAAAGGGGCCTTCTGTGATTGGGCCAAGATCCCAGAACTCTGAGAGGTTGAGGAGTGAGGATCCCTTGAACTCAGGAGTTTGGGACCAGCCTGGGCAACATGATGAAACCCTGTCTCTACAAAAAATACAAAAAATTAGCTAGGTGTGGTGGTGCACACCTGTGGTCCCAGCCACTTGGGAGGCTGAGGTGGGAGGATCACCTGAGCCCAGGAGGTCGAGGCTACAGTGAGCTGTGATTGCACCACTGCACTCCAGCCTACATGACAGAGTGAGACCGTGTCTCAAAAAAAAAAAAAAAAAAAAAAGAAGAAAGAAAAAAAGAAAAAAAAAAGAAAATCAAAAAGAAAAGAAAAAACAATTATTGACTTGAGGAATACTTAGCCTGTATGCCCAAGTGGGAAGAAAAGAATGTCATGGTGGATCAGTTCAGGGAGCCATGTGCTGTTTACAGACTTGCTCTTAGGATCAGTGACTAAGCTGACTGGAGTTTATAGACAAACCCATGTCTGAAGATTTTAACCAAAGAAGGGAATAAAGGCTACTTCTTACTTTGCCATGTATTATATTGCAGAGAGAGAGGTCCTCGCTTGAGACAGAAGGAAGTTAAGGTGCACGAGCATGGCCCAAAATAGTGATAAAGAGCTGATAGAAATGATTAAGGATGTTGCAATATGTGGAGTTATGCATACTGTAGAAAAGTGGTGGTGTAATGCACCAGATAATGCACATTCCCATGGCACAGTTTCCTTCTATGAAAGCTCAGGGGAAGAGACAGGGCTCAGGGAGAAAGGCAATATGGCAATAATAAGACAACAACTACCCAAAATAATACTAATATCTAACAATTATGTATTGCTTTACATGCATTAACTTATTTAACCCTCTCAATAAATCACTGAGGTTTCTTTTTCCCATTTTGAACACGAGCACACAGGAACAGAGGCCAGTTCACTTACTCAAGGCTGCAGAACAAGTAAATCTCGAAGCCTGATTTTGAACCCAGGCCATCTGGCCTCAGAGTCTATGCTCATGATTCTATTTTTTATTTTTTTCTTTTGAGAGAGAGTCTCACTCTGTCTTCCAGGCTGGAGTGCAGTGGCATGATCTCAGCTCATTGCGGCCTCTGCCTCCCAGGTTCAAGCTATTCTCCTGCCTCAGCCTCCTGAGTAGCTGGGATTCCAGGCGCCCGCCATCACACCTGACTAATTTTTGTATTTTTAGTAGAGACGAGGTTTCGCTATGTTGGCCAGGCTGGTCTTGAACTCCTGGCCTCAAGTGATCTGCCTGCCTCGCATCCCAAAGTTCTGGGATTAAAAGCATGAGCCACCATGCCTGGCCTCATGATTCTATTTAAGAAAATTTTTTTTTAGGCTGGGTGCGGTGGCTCACGCCTGTAATCCCAGCACTTTGGGAGGCTGAGGCAGGCGGATCACGAGGTCAGGAGTTTGAGACCAGCCTGGGCAATATGGTAAAACCTTGTCTTTACTAAAAAATACAAAAATTAGCCGGGCATGGTGTTGCATGCCTGTAGTCCCAGCTACTCAGGAGGCTAAGGCCGGAGGATCGCTGGAACCTGGGAGGCAGAGGTTGCAGTGAGCTGAGATCACGCCACTGCACTCCAGCCTGGCGACAGAGCAAGATTCCGTCTCAAAACAAACAACAACAAAAACAAAAACACACACACAAAAAACCAATCCTTTTTTTTCTTATTATCTATTTATTAATTTTTCCAAACAGGGTGTTGCTCTGTTGCCCAGGATAGAGTGCGGTAGTGCAATCATGGCTCACTGCAACCTCGACCTCCCAGGCTAAAGTGATTCCCACCCCCTCCCCCCACCGTGTCAGCCTCCAGAGTAGCTGGGACTACAGGCACTCCCCACCATGCCTGCCTAGTTTTTGTATTTTTTGTAGAGATGGGATTTTGCCATGTTGCTCAGGCTGGTCTCGAACTCCTCAAGGAATTCGCCTACCTCAGCCTTCTAAAGTATTGGGATTACAAGTGTGAGCCACTGTGCCCAGCCTCATGATTCTATACTATCCACAAAATCAGGGTTGGGGCAGGAAAGCTCATGCAGAGAGGTTCTTGGAAAGAAAGAAAAGGAAAGGTGTCAGGCCTCTGAGCCCAAGCTAAGCCATCACATCCCCTGTGACCTGCATGTATACATCCAGATGGCCTGAAGCAACTGAAGATCCACAAAAGAAGTGAAAATAGCCTCAACTGATGACATTCCACCACTGTGATTTGTTCCTGCCCCACATTAACTGAGTGATTAACTTCGTGAAATTCCTTCTCCTGGCTCAGAAGCTCCCCCACTGAGCACCTTATGACCCCCACCCCTGCCTGCAAGAGAAAAACCCCCTTTAAATGTAATTTTCCGCTACCCACCCAAATCCTATAAAATGACCCCACCCCATCTCCCTTTGCTGACTCTCTTTTCGGACTCAGCCCGCCTGCACCCAGGTGAAATAAACAGCCTTGTTGCTCACACAAAGCCTGTTTGGTGATCTCTTCACTGGGACGCGTGTGACAAAAGGTAGTCGGAATCATCCAGAGTAGTCTTGTTGGTATCTCCATTTATTAGTGCTCTGTACTTGCCATGTTCCAGGTCTTTGCTCTCACTATTCCCTTTGCCTGAAATGCCCTGGTTCCCAATCTCTGCATGTCAAATACCATCTGTCCTCCAAGGCTCAGCAAATCATACTTCCTTCATTTTAAAGCTCTTTGGTTTTGATGGAACATAGGCAGTGTGAGAAAGAGGAGGGGGAGAAAAGGTCAAGATCCAATCATGGAGGGCCTTGTACAACTAAGGTTTTAGATTTAGATTTTCAGTAGGTTGAATGCTATTCAGGGAGTGACATCGGCAGAGCTGCGCTTTAGGGAAATTAACCAGACAGCCCTATGTGGATGAGAGGGGAAGTGAGAGTGACACTGTGGGGTTAGTGAGAAAGCTTCTGTGATAGGCCAATCAAGAGGCATTGAGGAGTCCTTGCATTTAGGGTAGAGAAGGGAGAGGAGGAGCTGGGAGGGGTGAAGGGGAAGGGACGCTGTCTGTGACTGCTGTAGGAGAACGGGAGTAGAGCATCTCAGAAGTGAACGGAGAAGCGTGTGCTTCAAATTGGGTAGTCAGAAGGATTAAACTATGGCTTCTGGCTGTGAGAGACAGGAGCCAAGGGGCAAACGTAGGCCATGGCCTGACCATGAAAAATCAGCTAATTTTTGTATTTTTAGTAGAGATAGGGCTTAGTCATGTTGCCCAGGCTGGTCTTGAAAGGGAAAGGCAGTGTAGTGCAGTGGTTAGATGCAAGGCTTCTGCAGGTGAACACTCTGGAGTTGATCCTGTCTCTACTATTCACTCTGTTTCACCTTGGAAAAGTCACTTAATTCTTGCCTTAATCTGTGCTTCAGTTTCCTCATGTGAAAAGTGGGCATAATAATTGCATACACTGCCAGGCGCGGTGGCTCACGCCTGTAATCCCAGCACTTTGGGAGGCTGAGGTGGGAGGATCACGAGGTCAGGAGATCGAGACCATCCTGCCTAACACGGTGAAACTCTGTCTCCACTAAAAAATAAAAAAAAAAAATTAGCCGGGCGTGGTGGCAGGCGCCTGTAGTCCCAGCTACTCGGGAGGCTGAGGCAGGAGAATGGCGTGAACCTGGGAGGCAGAGCTTGCAGTGAGCCGAGATCGCGCTACTGCACTCCAGCCCGGGGACAGAGCGAGACTCCCTCTCAAAACAAAACAAAACGAAAACAAAAAAAAAACAAAAACAAAATAATTGCATATACCCTCTATTGTGTATATATATTATATATATACACATACATATATTAATATATAACATATATATTATATTAATATATTATATATATTATATATATAGTGTATATATTATATATACACAATAGAGGGTATATTATATATACACATATATACACACATATATAATATATATGTATTATATATACGTATATATATGTGTATATATTGTGTATATTATGTATATATAATATATATGTGTGTATATATAATATATATGTGTGTATATATGTGTATATATAAAAATATATGTGTGTGTATACGTGTATATATACACGTATATACACATATATATACAATGTATACACACACGTATACAATATACACACACACACATATATATGTGTGAAACCATGTGTGTGTGTGTGTGTATATTGTGTATATATATATATGGTTTCACACAGTGCCTGGCAAGGAAAGTTCTCTATAACTGTTCACTATTATTATCGTGTGTCAAGCTGAGGAGTTCTGACTTTATCCTGTGGGTGACAGGGAGTCACAGACAGAATCCAATGAGAGCATGGCACGATCTGAAAGCAATCTTCTTCTTCTTCACTGAAGGCCAGGTTAGGATCTAAGAATCAGATAAAATCATAAGAAAAAAGAATGTGCTAAATATTGCAGTGAGGTCTGAGGAGAAGAGAGAGGAAGCCTTGGGAATTGTCTGCTAATAGGTCCTTGGTGAGCTGTGAGAGAGTTTCCAGAGAGTGATGGGAATGGAAGGTGAAGTGCAAGGAGCTCGTGGGTGGCAAGAAAATAGAGGGCCTGTGCTTGCCCTTTGAATATTTTGGCCATATGGGGAAGAGAGAGGATGGTTATTAAAGGGGTGGCAGGTTAGGATGGTCTTAGGGAGGATGAAAGGCAGAAGAAAGAGGATAGAAGACAATACAGAGAAATTTAGAGCAGAGGTAGCCTCACTGGGCCCTGGAACCCCCTGAGATGACAGGCAAAATGTTGTGGGTAGGAATTAGAGTGTCCAGGTTGAGCAGATCTGGATTTTGGCAGGGAAGCAACGTGTATGCTCATCTGTGGAAGGAGAGCTAGGTAAACATGAGGTTGGGAAATTTTGAAGGCTAGTAAAGATTTGGAACAGGTGTTGTTGCGAAATAATAAGGGAGGAGTCAAATGGAGGCAAACAGAAGGTTTGCCTTATATTGGCGGTGGGCGGGGGGGAGGGGGCGCAGCTGAGATAGGATAACATTGATTTGTTGTATAAAAGTTTGTTTTCTGGTCTTTCTCTAGCACCACTTGGCAGCTGGCAGCTAGAGAACATGGATGGTAAAGGCTTTGGGGTGCTAGTGAAGCACCCCTAAAATGGCCAACTATGAGACCTGTGCTGAATAAGGAGGCAAATGAAACTGTGAGAGGATTGCAGTAATAGAGAGAGACTGAGGAAAAGGAAGGCAGAGCAGGAAGAAAGAAGTAGAGGGGAGTGGGGGGAGGGGAAGAGCCCCAAAGATAGGATGGGGCTGTGCAGAGAGGGCAGTTTCAGCTTTTCAAGGTTTTTTTTTTTTTTTTTGAGGCAGAGTCTCACTCTGTCACTTAAGCTGGAGTGCAGTGGCGTGATCTTGGCTTACTGCAACCTCTGCCTCCCAGGTTTAAGCGATTCTTGTGCCTCCGCCTCCCAAGTAGCTGGGACTACAGGCACTGCCACCACACTCAGCTAATTTTTGTATTTTTAGTAGAGATGGGGCTTAGTCATGTTGCCCAGGCTGGTCTCGAACTCCTGACCTCAGGTGATCTGCCTGCCTCAGCTTCCCAAAGTGCTGGGATTACAGGCGTGAGCCACCGTGCCTGGCCTAGCTTTTCAAGATCTTTGTGGGAGAGTAGCTTCAAGCAATGATGAAGCCCAAGATGGGGATCAGACCTGAAATAAACAGTGGAAGTTCTTAACCTATGCATGTGTGATTATGAAGGTGTTTTCTAGGCTCGACCTCAAAACTCATTAAATAAAATTAACCAGATAGCATAGTGTAGATGAGAAAGGAAGAGACTGACAATATGATGTAAGAAAGCTGAATTCTTATTTACCATAGCAGGAAGTTAATTGAGAATGTCAAAAATTGGTAAATCAAGAAATAGCAGCTTAAGTACTGTGTATAAATAATTTGAGTCAAAGGCAAAAACGTAAAGTAATTGCACAGCTTTTGCAGATGAATGGTTTGTAAAAGCAAGCAGGCCACGCCACTTCGGGTATTTGGACATTTGAAATATTCGAGGCACATTCAGGTTTGGCCTAGGGTTTGGGATTCCGCCAGGTGTATCTCTTCTGCAGGTCTTCTTGCTGCTAGGCATGCGATGGCTGAATAGTAATGCCCGGGGAAACTGTGAGGGCCAAGCTTCTCTCTAATGGGGGAAATACGTTTTCATCTTTGACTGGCAACAGAAAATTACCTTTTAGTCAATAAACAGTCAGGTTGAAGCTCTCTGTGTTACTGTAGTGCACCAGGGAATGCCACTTAGGCAGAACAGAGGCAGCTGGCTAGAGAACACAGAGCTCTCAGATTGGAGAGAGGCAAAGGGCTTCAGAGAAGGAAGGAGAGAGACAGAGGGAAGAGGGGAAAAGGAGAGAAAGAGAAGATGGTGGGGGAGGGAGGAGCAATATATGCCTCTCTCCACTGTTTTCTCCCTTTCACTGTCTCCTTCCACTTTACTTGCCTACACCCTAAGTTGCCCTCTCGCTACTTACTGCCTTCTCTCCTCTCCTTCCCAGACCAGGCTTTTGAAAAAGAGTCTCCACTCGGCTCCACTTCCTGCCCTCCAATTCATGCAGCAGCCCACTGAAGATTGGCTTCTGTGCCCTTCACTGTCTGAGTCTTCCCGTTAAGAGCACCAGTGCCCTCCTATTACCCAGCAGACCTCCTGGTTGCATTGCTGATCCTCATTAAGCCCCCCTTTCCTTGGCTTTCATCAGCTTGCTTTTTCCTACTTCTCTGGCTCATTCTCCCTGCTTTTTTTCTCTCAATTTTTTATCAGGATATTTTTACTTAGTATAACTTAATTTATCTAACATTTATTAAGTATCTGCTATGTGCCATTCACTGGGCCAGGTGCAGACTAATATGTAACCTGGGCTCTCAAGGGCCTTATAGTCTAAAAATGGGGAAGAGCAGTGCAATGAAGTACAGCAGGCATCATGATAAACCCAGGCCACAATGGGGACACTAAGGAGGGTATAGTCAATTCTGTTAGACCATGGGGCAGGTTAAATCAGGGCAGGAAAGTCTCTTGCCTGGACCATTTTTTGTCCCCTCTGTCTAGTACTGTATGTAATCTCTCAGTGCTCACCTATGAAACAGTGTGGCAGCCATTGAGGTGCATTGCTCAGATCACTCAAGAAAATCTGCTATGAGGAGTGAGGTTGACTTCCAGCCTCCAGTTGTGGCACCCTCCGATCTGCTGTGGTATTTACACTGAGGCACGCTCCTCTTGGGCACTGGTCAGCCAATGACCAGAAGGATGGCAGTACTGGAGCTGGACCAGTTCAGCCCAGTGTGGAACTTCTCCAGTGGCAGTCTTTGCTCAGGCTCATGGGCCTGGCTGAGACTTTCTTGGGGCTCTACTACAGTCTAAAGCTCTTCCTATCTTCTCCTCCTTCTGTTCCCCTCTCCTTCCCGAGGTGTCAGATCTGCATTACCACCTATTCCTGTGCCTTCCCCCTTTGTCCTCTGAGGGTGTTTCCCCCATAATCTCTTGCATGTCTAATTTTGTCTTGGTATCTGAACTGACACAGAGGAATAATGATGGGACCTGTCTTGTAGGGTTCTTGTGAGAATTCAAAAAGTTAATATATGTGACATCTTAGAACAGAGCCTGATACACAGCAAGTGCTCGGCAAGGGTTGCAATTTTTTTTTTTTTTTTTTTTTTTTGAGATGGGCAGAATCTCGCTCTGTCACCCAGGCTGGAATGCAATGGCATGATCTCGGCTCACTGCAACCTCCACCTCCCGGGTTCAAGCGATTCTCCTGCCTCAGCCTCCCAAGTAGCTGGGATTACAGGCGCCCACAATCATGCCTGGCTAATTTTTGTATTTTTGTAGAGATGCGGTTTCGCCATGTTGACCAGGCTGATCTCAAACTCCTGACCTCAGGTGATCTGCCTGCCTTGGCCTCCCAACATGCTGAGATTACAGGCATGTGCCAGTGTGCCTGGCCTAGCTATTATTTTTTAATTATCCTTTTGATATGGTTTGGCTTTGTGTCGCTACCCAAATCATATCTTGAATTGTAATTCCTAGGTGTTTAGGGAGGAACCTGGTGGGAGGTGATTGGATCATGGGGGTGGTTTCCCCCATGTTGAGTTCTCATGAGAGCTGATGGTTTTATAAGCGTTTGGTAGTTCCTCTCTTGCTTGCTTTTGCTTTCCTGCCATCATGTGTTTGCTTCCCCTTCTACCATGATTGTAATTTTCCTGAGACCTCCCCAGCCATGTGGAACTGTGAATCAATTAAACCTCTTTTCTTTATAAATTACCCAGTCTCGGGTGGTATCTTTATAGCTGTGTGAAAACGGACTAGTACACCTGTAGATCTCAACTTATATTTTATTCTCTCTAGGAAGCTTCTCAGACCTCTCTAAACTGCCTTAGAAGCCTCTCCTGAGTGTTCCAGCAGCCTCCTGTTTTTACTTCTGTTATAATGCATTGTTGTCAGTCTTCATAATGAGACTGTGAATTCAATGAAAAATGGACTATGTATTGTTCACTCTTGTGTATCAGTGCCTAACACTGTGTCTGACTCAAGTAGTTGTTGAATTAATGTTTGCTGAATGAAAGTGATGATTAGGCTGAGACTTAAAAGATGAGTGTTATGGCTGGGTGTGGTGGCTCATGCCTGTAATCCCAGCATTTTGGGAGGCCAAGGTGGGTGGATCACCTGAGGTCAGGAGTTCACGACTAGCCTGGCCAACATGGTAAAAAACTCTCTCCCTACTAAAAATACAAAATTAGCCCGGCTTGGTGGCACGTGCCTGTAATCCCAGCTACTCGGGAGGCTGAGGCAAGGAGAATCACTTGAACCCAGGAGGCGGAGGTTGCAGTGAGCTGAGATTGCGCCATTGCACTCCAGCCTGGGCAAAAAGAGTGAAACTCTGTCTCAAAAAAAAAAAAAAAAGAAAAAAAAAAGAGTGTTATTTGCCAAGTAGATGAGGGCTACTTCTTTCCAGTAGAAAGAAGTGTATGCAGAGGCGTAAAAAGCCTGTGCTTTGCAGGGGACTGAAAGTTGTTTGTTTTGGCTAAAGAGTAGGATGCAAGAGAGAAGCCTAAGTAGCCAGAGTGCTGGGGACATTCATGTCAAACTAAGGAGTTTGAATTGCATAGACTAGCCTCATGCAGGCGTTGTGGTATAGGCCTTATGATGCTAGCGGGCCCATACCCATATTTGACCTCTACCTATGTTGTTATGAATTATGTTAGTTCAGCCAACATGTATAGATTACTAAAAAATGGTGGACTTTGCTCCAGAATTTCATATAGAAACATAGGCATCTGTGAACACTCATTTCAACAATGCTTCTGATTGGTCTAGGTTTACAAATTGCTTTGGCTGCAATAACTCACCCAAACTATTGGATCTCCTAATGGATCTCACTGCCTTCACCACACCTGTTTCATCTATCCTCCACTGCCATTGTGAGACAAATCTTCCTAAAACTTAATCTGGCCACCTGACTCTAGTAGCATACTCTGTTTAATGTCTTCTAGTAGCATACTCTGTCCACAGGATAACATCCAGATTCCGTAGTGTGGCTTACAAGGCCTTTCATGATTTGGCCCTTCACTACCTCATCTCCAGTCTCTTCTTATGTATGTTCTGCTCTGCACTCATGCAGAATTGTTTATAGGTCTCAAGAAGTTCTGTGCTGCTCACGACTCCCTTCATGTACACATTGTTACTGCCTGGAATGTTGTCATCCTTATCCACTTTTTGAACTTACTTATCCTATTTGGTAGGAAGTAGTACCAAAATCATTCCTTCTGTGCTAGGCTATCGGTCATCTTCCTTTGTAGACTGTGTGTATACTTCTGTTATGGCACCTTTCACACTGCATTGGATTTGTTTGGTTACCTCACTGACTTCCCTCTCTAGACTGTGGCCCCTTGAGGGTAGGACTAAGTATTAATCAATAAAGAGTCCCTATCACCTAGTGCAATGCCTGGCACATGGCAAATACTGAATAGATATATTGGTTAAATAATAAGGAAGGAATAAAATGTTTTCTTTCTATTGAAAGAGAAGGAAGCACCCTCACTATGTGGCTCTACCTGGCGGCCTTCGTGGGCCTGTACTACCTTCTGCACTGGTACCGGGAGAGGCAGGTGGTGAGCCACCTCCAAGACAAGTATGTCTTTATCACGGGCTGTGACTCGGGCTTTGGGAACCTGCTGGCCAGACAGCTGGATGCACGAGGCTTGAGAGTGCTGGCTGCGTGTCTGACGGAGAAGGGGGCCGAGCAGCTGAGGGGCCAGACGTCTGACAGGCTGGAGACGGTGACCCTGGATGTTACCAAGATGGAGAGCATCGCTGCAGCTACTCAGTGGGTGAAGGAGCATGTGGGGGACAGAGGTATGAAATATTTTCTCCTTTTATTTACTTAGCATGAAGATGCTAAGGTTATATATACAGTTGTTCCTTGGTGTCTCCTGGGGATTGGTTCAAGGACTGCTTGTGGATACTAAAATCCGAGGATGCTCAAATCCCTTATATAAAATAGTGCAGTATTTGGTTATAACCTATGCACATCCTTTAAGGTATGGATACTTTAAATCATGCCTGGGTTACATAAAATACTAAATACTTTGTAAATGATATGTAAATAGTAGTTATACTGTATTGTTTAGGGCAGCCGTCCCCAGCCTTTTTGGCACCAGGGACCGGTTTTGTGGAAGACAGTTTTTCCATGGACAGGGAGTGGGGATGGTTTTGGGATGATTCAAGTGCATTGCATTTATTGTGCACTTCATTATATTATTACATTGTAATATATAATGAAATAATTATACAACTCACCATGATGTAGAATCAGTTGGAGCCCTGAGCTTGTTTTCCTGTATCTACATGGTCCCATCTGGGGGTGATAAGAGACAGTGACAGATCATCAGGCATTAGATTCTCAACAGGAGTGCATAGGATATATCCCTGGCATGTGCAGTTCACAATAGGGTTAGTGCTCCTGTGAGAATCTACTGCTGCCACTGACCTGACAGGAGGCGGAGCTCAGGCAGTAATGCCTGTGATGGGGAGTGGCTGTAAATACAGATGAAGCTTTGCTTGCTTGTCTGCTGCTCACCTCCTGCTGTGTGGCCTGGTTTCTAACAGGCCATGGGCTGGTACCAGTCTATGGCCCAGGCACTGGAGACCCCTGGTTTAGGGAATAATGACAAGGAAAAAAGTCTGTATATGTTCAGTACAGATGCAAATTAAAAATTGTGTTTTCTATCCACAATTGATTGAATCCATGGATATGAAGGGCTGACTGTGTGTATCAAAGCTGAGCTTAGAAGGCTGGCCTCGTCATTTGAAGGACTGTTGAGGTCTTTTGTGGCGTTTCATTTCCTTAACAATGTTTATTTTGTTGTTGAAAAATAAGCTCAATAGATTTGAAGCTATTATCTCATATTGGAAGTAGAGTATTTATAAACATAATTCTTTATATTTGAGGAGTTGGGGTACAGTGGCATGATCATAGCTCACTGCAGCCTTGATCTCCTGGGCTCAAGCAATCTTCCTGCCTCACCCTTTCAATTAGCTGGGATTAGAAGCGGTTGCCACCATGCCTGGCTAATTTTTTTTTATTTTTATTTTTAGCAGAAACACGGTCTTGGTATATTGCCCAGGCTAAGATGTTCTTAAGAATCTGATTATCTTGGCTGCTACTTAAAATATAGGCATTTCTTGAAGTCAATCTTTGGTCTTCTTTAAAAAATGTTTTAAAATTTCATTATATTTAAAAATCAACACACTATTTCTTAGAGAAATTTTAGGTTTATAGAAAATTGAACAGAAAGTACAGAGTTCCTATATACCCCCTCAACAATTTTCCCTTTTTTTTTTGAGACAGAGTTGTTACAATTGATGAACCAATGTTGATATGTTATCGTTAACTAAAGTCCATAGTTTACATTAGGGTTCACTTTGTATTATATAGTTCTGTGGGTTTGAACAAATGTGTAATGACAAGTAGCCACCATTATTGTATCACACAGAATAGTTTCAGTTCCCTAAAAGTCCCTCGTGCTTTACATATTCATCACTCCCCACATTCCTGGCAACCACTGCTCTTTTTACTGTCTCCATAGTTTTTCCATTTCCAGATGTCATATAGTTGGAATCATATTTTTTTGAGACAGAATTTCACTCTTGTCACACAGGTTGGAGTGCAATGGCATAATCTCGGCTCACTGCAACCTCCACCTCCCGGCTTCAAGCGATTCGCCTTTCTCAGCCTCCCAAGTAGCTGGCACTACAAGCATGCACCACCATACCGGGCTAATTTTTATATTTTTAGTAGAGATGGGTTTTCACCATGTTGGCCAGGCTTGCCTCGAACTCCTGACCTCAGGTGATCTGCCCGCCTTGGCCTTCCAAAATGTTAGGATTACAGGCGTGAGCCATCGCGCCCGGCTGGAATAATGTTATATGTAGTCTTTTAGACTGGCTTCTTTCACTTAGCAGTATGCATTTAAGATTCCTTCATGTCTTGCCTTTTTTTTTTTTTTTTTTGAGACAGGATCTTGCTCTGTTGCCCAGGCCTGAGTGCAGTGGAATGATCATGGCCCACTGCAGCCTCACTCTCCTTGGTTCAAGCGATCCTCCCACCTCAGCCTCCCAAGTAGCTGGAGTACAGGTACACACCACCATGCCTGGCTAATTAAAAATTTTTTTTCTTTTAGAGACGTCATCTCACCATGTCACCCAGGCTGGTCTTGAACTCCTGGGCTCAACTGATCCTCCAACCTTGGCTTCCCAGTGTTGGGATTACAGGCATGAGCCACCACACCTGTTCTCCATGTCTTTTCATGGCTTCATAGCTCATTTCTGTTTTTTTGTTTGTTTGTTTTGTTTTGTTGAGATGGAGGTCTTACTCTGTTGCCCAGGTTGAAGTGCAGCGGTGCAATAATAGCTCACTGCAGCACTGAACTTCTGGGCTCAAGTGATCCTCTTGCCTCAGCCTCCCAAAATGCTGGAATTACAGGTATGAGCTACTGCGTCAAGCCTGACAGCTCATTTCTTTTTCTCGCTGCATAGTATTCCATTGTATGTATGTACCACAGTTTATCATTCACCTATTGAAGGACATCTTGGTTGTTTTCAGTTTTTGGCAATTATGAATAAATTCTCTTTTTAAGTTCTATTTTGTCTAGATATTATTCAACTCCTCTTTGATTACCTTCTTCTCCTTCTCCCTTGGTTTTATGATTCAGTAGATTCTGGTAATTGGATCTCCTAAATAACTCCTCACTCTAGGAGTTGCAAAGTAGCAATGAAATTGCTTCTTTTGGCTGGGTGTAGTGGCTACACATCTGTAGTTCCAGCTACTTGAGAGGCTGAGGTGGGAACATTGCTTGAGCAGGAGTTTGAGGCTACAGTGGGCTACGATAGCACTTGTGAATAGCCACTAGAGTAGCTGGGACTACAGGGGTGCACCACCATGCCTGGCTAATTTTTGTATTTTTTGTAGACATGAGGTTTCTCCATGTTGCCCATGTTGGTCTCAGACTCCTGGGCTCAAGCCAACCACTTGCCTTGGCCTTCCAAAGTGTAAATTTTTTTTTTTTTTTGGAAATGGAGTTTTGCTCTTGTTGCCCCGGCTGGCGTGCAACGGCATGATCTCCGCTCACTGCAAACTCCGCCTCCCAGGTTCAAGCGATTCTCCTGCCTCAGCCTCCCAAGTAGCTGGGATTACAGGCGCCCGCCACCATACCCTGCTAATTTTGTATTTTTAGTAGAGCTGGGTTTCTCCATGTTGGTCAGACTGGTCTCGAACTCCTGACCTCAGGTGATCCGCCTGTCTTGGCCTCCCAAAGTGCTGGGATTACAGGCGTGAGGCACTGCACCTGGCCCAAAGTGTAAATTTTTTAAAAAACAATTTACTTTAAACTTGAAAATTTACTGATTTGACTAAAAAAATTTTGAAAATCTAAAATGTATTTTAAAATATTACTTCCTTCCAGCACTTTGGGAGGCCGGGGTGGGAGGATTGCTTGAGCCCAGGAGTTCAACACCAGCCTGGGCAACACAGTGAGATACCATCTCAATTTAAAAAAATAATAAAATATTGCTTCTTGTCTGAGGATGTTCTTAACTCCCCCAGGCAGAGTCAGAAGTTATGGGTAGTTATAGTCTCTTTGCTGTGCATACCCGTTTATTTCTATTGTATTGTTATTGTTTTCCCATCTGTTAGACTGTGAGCTCCTTGAAGATATGGGCCTCTCTTACTCATTTTTATATTTCCAACTTCTGGCACCTTGCCTGGTACATGTTAAGGGCTCAATAAATGCTGAATGAATCCTCTATACTCATACTTTTGTCTATTACCCTTTTTATCTGTGCCCTTGGTTTCTTACTCCTCACATTTGAATTTCCAACTACTTGCCGCATTTCTCCATCTGGAAATTCTACTAGTGCCTGAAACTCACAAAATCTAAAGGAGTCTTTGTTTTCCTCTCACCTCTTCACCAATTCTTTTTTGTTTTTTCTTTCTTGGAGATAGAGTCTTGCTGTGTCACCCAGGCTGGAGTGCAGTGGCGCGATCTCAGCTCACTGCAGCCTCTGCTTCCCGAGTTCCAGCGATTCTGCTGCCTCAGCCTCCTAGGTAGCTGGGATTACAGGCACACACCACCATGCCCGTCTAATTTTTGTATTTTTAGTAGAGACGGGGTTTCACCATGTTGGCCAGGCTGGTGACCTCAGGTGATCCGCCCGCCTCGGCCTCCCAAAGTGCTGGGATTACAGGCATGAGCCACTGCGCCCGGCCTTTCTTCACCAATTCTACTTTTCTTTCTAGTCCTTCTCTCAGTTTATAATGTTACTATCCCTTCAGTTACAAAGACTTTTTACCTTGGAGTCTTTTTCTTTTTTTTTTTTTTTTTTGAGACGGAGTCTCACTCAGTCGCCCAGGCTGGAGTGCAGTGGCGCAATCTCGGCTCACGGCAAGCTCCGCCTACTGGGTTCACGCCATTCTCCTGCCTCAGCCTTACAAGTAGCTGGGTCTACAGGCGTCCGCCATCAGGCCCGGCTAATTTTTTTGTATTTTTAGTGGAGACGGGGTTTCACCGTGTTTGCCAGGATGCTCTCGATTTCCTGACCTCGGGATCCGCTCGTCTTGGCCTGCCGAAGTGCTGGGATTACACGCGTGAGCCACCGCGCCCGGCCACCTTGGAGTCTTTTTTAATCCTTATACTTTCAACTTTTCTGTGTCTCTGTATTTTATGTGAGCCTCTTGTAAGTAGCATATAGCTGATATAAAAACTAATCCAATCTGACAATTTTTTTTTTTAGTAGAACATTTCTTTCATCTATACTACTTTATTATTATTATTTTATTTTTTTTTAGAGGCAAAGTCTCACTCTGTCATCCAGGTTGGAGTGTAGTGCCACGATCAGCTCACTGTAATGTCGAATTCCTGGACTCAAGCCATCCTCCCACCTCAGCCTCCTGAGTATCTAGGATTTCAGGTGTGCACCACCACACTTAGCTAACTTAAAATAAAAAAGTTTTGTAGAGTGGGTCTCACTGCATTGCCCAGGCTGGTCTCAAACTCCTGGTCTCAAGTGATCTTAATGCCTCAGCTTCCCAAAGTGTTGGGATTACAGGCATGAGCCACTGAGCCTGGCCTTAATTATTATGTTTGGATTTATTTCTTTCATCTTATTTTGTGCTTTTTATTTGTCCCATTTTTTCCTGTTTCCTTTATGCTCTTTTGAATTGATTGAATTTTTATTCCACTTTTTCCACTACTAAATTGAAAGTACTATAATATTCTCTATTTCTGTTTCCCTAGTAGAAATTTTAAGTGCATATGTGGTTTATCAAATGTAAAATTAACATCTTTACCTTTCTCCTGAGTAATCCAAGGCCCTCAGAACACTCACATTTCAGTCATCCTTCCTGACATACATGCTCTTGCTGCTGTGTATTTCAGTTCTGTTTTTTGGCTCTCCAATATGCAATGTTTGTTTAGATTTATCCTCTTTTTACCTTTTTTTTTTTTTTTGCTCATTATTCCTTCTTGAATTTTCCATCTAAAATTGCTTTCTTCGTTACCGAATATATGCCTAAGAATTATAGAAGATGCTGGGGCAAAATCTTTTTTTTAAAAAAAAATTTATTAAAATGTCTAATTACCCTCATTCTTGAAAGATAATTTTGCAGATAGGCTAGTCTATGTTAATAATTACTTTCTCTTGGCACATTGAAGACACCATTCCAGTCTTCTGTCTCCTGTTGTTCATGTCTTGATAAGTCAGTTGTTAGCCTAATTGTTTTTCCTTTGAAAATAATCTGTCTTTCCTTTCTGGCTATTTAAGGATATTCTCTTCTTTGATTTTATTTTTTCTTTGATCTTTATTTTGGTGTGTTTAGGTATGGATTTCTCTGTTTATACTGCTTGGGATTTATTTTTTGGGGGGTGTAAAAAGTAAAGTGGAGGTTCCTCCTCAAAGACTTTCCTCCCCATCTGATTGGGAATAAATAGTGACTTCTCTTAAAAACATAATTTATTCAAAGACCTGTACTAACATTCTTAAATATCTGCTAGCTGTAATAAAGAAATCAATGTACTTTATGTTCTTAGCTCCCACAATTTAACCTAAATATTTGCCCTGGCGTGCTTATACTGGTCCAAACAAGCATTAGGTCATAGCCTGTTCCTCTTCCTTATTTGAAGGTGTTTTTACCTTTTTCAACATTCCACAAGTTACTTCCTCCTTCCTTTGTTCTCCTCTGCCTTTGCCTCTTTTAAAAAGTTCTAAGTGAGGCCGGGTGCGTGGCTCACATCTGTAATCCCAGCACTTTGGGAGGCCGAGGCGGGCAGATCACGAGGTCAGGAGATCGAGACCATCCTGGCGAACACGGTGAAACCCCCGTCTCTACTAAAAATACCAAAAAAATTAGCCGGGCGTCTGTAGTCCCAGCTACTCAGGAGGCTAAGGCAGGAGAATGGGGTGAACCCGGGGGGTGGAGCTTGCAGTGAGTGGAGATCCCGCCACTGCACTCCAGCCTGGGCGAGACTCCGTCTCAAAAAAAAAAAAAAAAAAAAAAAATTCTAAGTTGCTAGCCAATCGAGACAAATATAAAATGTGAGGTCCTGCTGCAGTCAGTAAAAACCAGACACAACAATAAAATAGACATGTCAGGTTATAAATGACCCTGTCTCCTTTGTTCAGTATACTCTCATGGCAAATCTGCTGGCAAGTATACCCTTTCCGCAAAAAGTGAAAAAAATGGCCTTACTAAAAAAATTAAATTTATGTTCAAGTGCTATTTCTTTACGACACCAAAAAGCAAACATTTCAAACAGGGGGGCTTCTTTAATCTGTTCATTATCAGTTCTGGAAAATTCTTAGCCATCATTACTTCAAATACTGCCTTTATTCCATTTCCCTCCCTTATTTCTGGATCTTATTAGACATATGTTACATGTTTTTACTTTGGTCTTGCTTCCCTTTTCTTTCATGTTTTTAATCTCTTTATATTTGTGCCATAGTCTGTATATTTTTCTTTACTGTCTTCCAGTTTGCTACTTTCTTTCTTCCACTATGTCTATCTACTATTAAACCTGTCTAACAAATTTTAAAATTTCAATAGTTGTATCTTTTATTTCTGAAGTTTTATTTGGTTCTTTCTCAAATCTGCTTGATCAATTTTATAGTATTTTAATGAATATTTTCAATCCTTTTATTTAAAAATTATATTTAGCAGGCTGGGCGTGGTGGCTCACGCCTGTAATCCCAGTACTTTGGGAGGCTGAGGCGGGTGGATCACGAGGTCAAGAGATGGAGACCATCCTAGCCAACATGGTGAAACCCCATCTCTACTAAAAATACAAACATTGGCTGGGTGTGGTGGTGCGTGCCTGTAGTCCCAGCTACTTGGGAGGCTGAGGGCAGGAGAATTGCTTGAACCCGGGAGGCAGAGTTTGCAGTGAGCTGAGATCGTGCCACTGCACTCCAGCCTGGCGATAGGGCGAGACTTTGTCTCAAAAAAAAAGTTATATTTAGCAAACTTGTATGTTATATCATTTGGGCTGCAAACTCTCATGGGGGTGGTTAGTGGTTATGATTCCTCAAGAGTGATTCTTTCCCCACCAAAGTTCAAAATAGAGTATTTTTGCCTGAAACCAAACTCCTGATATGACTTTTAATTGTTTTAGGACTCTGGGGACTGGTGAACAATGCAGGCATTCTTACACCAATTACCTTATGTGAGTGGCTGAACACTGAGGACTCTATGAATATGCTCAAAGTGAACCTCATTGGTGTGATCCAGGTGACCTTGAGCATGCTTCCTTTGGTGAGGAGAGCACGGGGAAGAATTGTCAATGTCTCCAGCATTCTGGGAAGAGTTGCTTTCTTTGTAGGAGGCTACTGTGTCTCCAAGTATGGAGTGGAAGCCTTTTCAGATATTCTGAGGTAACTTAAGTTAAAACAAAAACAGCTATTGAGCACTGAAATATGTCTTAGGCATTGTGCTAGTTGCTTTCGCCTATCTTATTTCATCACTCCTCAAATCTTGATACATAGATATTATTACTAGTCTATTTTATATAGCTAACAGGCTCAAATTTTCTCATCTGTCCCAGAGTTCACCTACCATAGCCAGAATTTGGCCGAACTGTGTTTTGACCCAGGTCTTTGTCTTCTACCACTATGTCACACTTCAATTCTCAATATTTATTTTTTATTTTTGAGACAGGGTCTCACTCTGTTGCTCAAGCTGGAGTGCAATTGTGTGATCATCATGGTTCATTGCAGCCTCAACCTCCTGGGCTCAAACGATCCTTCCACCTCAACTTCCCTGGTAGCTGGGACTATGGGTGCACGCTGCCATGCCCAGCTAATTTTTTTTTTTTTTTTTTTTATTGATCATTCTTGGGTGTTTCTCGCAGAGGGGGATTTGGCAGGGTCATAGGACACTAGTGGGGGGAAGGTCAGCAGACAAACAAGTGAACAAAGGTCTCTGGTTTTCCTAGGCAGAGTGTTTGTGTCCCTGGGTACTTGAGATTAGGGAGTGGTGATGACTCTTAACGAGCATGCTGCCTTCAAGCATCTGTTTAACAAAGCACATCTTGCACCGCCCTTAATCCATTTAACCCTGAGTGGACACAGCACATGTTTCAGAGAGCACAGGGTTGGGGTTAAGGTCACAGATCAACAGGATCCCAAGGCAGAAGAATTTTTCTTAGTACAGAACAAAATGAAAAGTCTCCCATGTCTACTTCTTTCTACACAGACACGGCAACCATCCGATTTCTCAATCTTTTCCCCACCTTGCCCCCTTTTCTATTCCACAAAACCGCCATCGTCATCATGGCCCGTTCTCAATGAGCTGTTGGGTACACCTCCCAGACGGGGTGGTGGCCGGGCAGAGGGGCTCCTCACTTCCCAGTAGGGGCGGCCGGGCAGAGGCGCCCCTCACCTCCCGGACGGGGTGGCCGGGCGGGGGGCTGACCCCCCCACCTCCCTCCCGGACGGGGCGGCTGGCCAGGCGGGGGGCTGAGCCCCCCACCTCCCTCCCGGACGGGGCGGCTGGCCGGGCAGGGGGCTGAGCCCCCCACCTCCCTCCCGGACGGGGCGGCTGGCCGGGCAGAGGGGCTCCTCACTTCCCAGTAGGGGCGGCCGGGCAGAGGTGCCCCTCACCTCCCGGATGGGGCAGCTGGCCGGGCGGGGAGCTGAGCCCCCCACCTCCCTCCCGGATGGGGCGGCCGGCCGGGCGGGGGGCTGAACCCCCCCCACCTCCCTCCCGGACAGGACGGCTGGCCGGGCGGGGGCTGACCCCCCCACCTCCCTCCCGGACGGAGCGGCTGGCCGGGTGGGGGGCTGACCCCCCCCACCTCCCTCTCGGACGGGACGGCTGGCCGGGCGGGGGGCTGACCCCCCTCACCTCCCTCCCGGACGGGACGGCTGGCCGGGCAGAGGGGCTCCTCACTTCCCAGTAGGGGCGGCCGGGCAGAGGCACCCCTCACCTCCCGGACGGGGCGGCTGGCCGGGCGGGGGCTGACCCCCACCTCCCTCCCGGAGGGGGTGGCTGCCGGGCGGAGACGCTCCTCACTTCCCAGACGGGGTGGCAGCCAGGTGGAGGGGCTCCTCACTTCTCAAACGGGGCGGTTGCCAGGCGGAGGGTCTCCTCACTTCTCAGACGGGGCAGCCGGGCAGAGATGCTCCTCACCTCCCAGACGGGGTCGCGGCTGGGCCGAGGCGCTCCTCACATCCCAGACGGGGTGGCGGGGCAGAGGCGCTCCCCACATCTCAGACGATGGGCAGCCGGGCAGAGACGCTCCTCACTTCCTAGATGGGATGGCGGCCGGGAAGAGGTGCTCCTCACTTCCTAGATGGGATGGCGGCTGGGCAGAGACGCTCCTCACTTTCCAGACTGGGCAGCCAGGCAGAGGGGCTCCTCACATCCCAGATGATGGGTGGCCAGGCAGAGACGCTCCTCACTTCCCAGACGGGGTGGCAGCCGGGCAGAGGCTGCAATCTCGGCATTTTGGGAGGCCAAGGCAGGCGGCTGGGAGGTGGAGGTTGTAGCGAGCCGAGATCACGCCACTGCACTCCAGCCTGGGCACCATTGAGCACTGAGTGAACGAGACTCCGTCTGCAATCCCGGCACCTTGGGAGGCCAAGGCTGGCGGATCACTCGCGGTTAGGAGCTGGAGACCGGCCCGGCCAACACAGTGAAACCCCGTCTCCACCAAAAAAATACGAAAACCAGTCAGGCATGGTGGTGCATGCCTGCAATCGCAGGCACTTGGCAGGCTGAGGCAGGAGAATCAGGCAGGGAGGTTGCAGTGAGCCGAGATGGCAGCAGTACAGTCCAGCTTCCGCTCGGCATCAGAGGGAGACCATGGAAAGAGAGGGAGAGGGAGACCGTGGGGAGAGGGAGACGAGGGAGAGGGAGAGGGAGAGGGAGATTTCTTTATTCTTTAAAATATTCAGTAAAGGTATTTTATAATCTTTTTTGTTTTGCTTTTCCTTCCTGAAAGCATTGAAATGGTGGTGGTCTTTAATCATAACTTGTGGGGTTTTATTTCAGGCGTGAGATTCAACATTTTGGGGTGAAAATCAGCATAGTTGAACCTGGCTACTTCAGAACGGGAATGACAAACATGACACAGTCCTTAGAGCGAATGAAGCAAAGTTGGAAAGAAGCCCCCAAGCATATTAAGGAGACCTATGGACAGCAGTATTTTGATGCCCGTAAGCTTTTTTCTTTTGATAGGGATAATGGGTACCCTGTATTAGTCCATTCTCATGCTGCTATGAAGAAATAACTGAGACTGGGTAATTTATAAAGAAAAGAGGTTTAATTGACTCACAGTTCTGCATGGCTGGGGAGTCCTCAGGAAACTTATAATCATGGCAGAAGGCACCTCTTCACAGGATGGCAGGAGAGGGAATGAGTGCAAGCAGAGGAAAGCCCCTTATGAAACCATCAGATCTTGTGAGAACTCACTACTAAAAGAACAGCATATGGGAACCACCCCCATGATTCAGTACCTCCCACCAGGTCCCTCCCACGACATGTGGAGATTATGGGACTATAATTCAAGATGAGTTGGGTGGGGACACAAAGCCAAACCATATCAGTACCCTTGCATGAGAAGGGGAAAAGAGGGTTGGTGGACAATGATTGGCAGATCCTCTCAGGACAAAGCTCCTTAAATAAAGCATTCCCAGAACAGAAGGAAGTCAGGAAGGTCCCAGTGGTCTCATGGTTGGCTTGGTCTGATGACTATCATGGTTGAGGAGGGGGACATATAGGCGGCCTGGGGCCAGGCTCTTCCCTGCCTTGTCCTCTGTGGGCCAGGGCACCTGAGCACTAGGAGGTATTACATACTTAGAGGCATGGACCCTTGAGAGGGTGTGCCCCTTGGTAGCATTGCAGGGCTGGTGTGAGATGTCTGCTCAACTAAAGTGCAGTCTTCATCATTGTTTACCTTTTGATAACAAAGGGCTTGTCCACAAACTATGTGTCTTAATGTGACAGGAGAAAGCATGTAGGTGGGAAGAGGTAAGTCAGTGAGGATAAGTCTTTGCAGAGCCCTATGGGCCATTCCCTGAGGCTATATTTCTCTTGTTCAGGTGATAGGAGCTTTGTGGGAGTGGGATTTGTCAATTTCCTATAAGAATATTATTCTGAAGACCTGGAGGAGGAGGTAGCAGCAGCGGTGAAAAATGGGAATGACTTCTAATAGGTACAGGGTTTCTTTTTGGGATGATGAAAATGTTCTAAATGTAGATTGTGATGATGATTGCACAACTCTGAATATACTAAAAATTATTGATTTGTACACTTTAAATGGCTGAATTTTATGATATATGAATATCTCAATAATGTTAAAAAAATTTCCAGTTGAAAAAGTATATTCCCATATCTGTGTTGTTCTAAACCTATTTAAAAATCCTCTAGTAACAGAATTAAGTTGTGTGTTTTTTTTTTTTTTTTTTGAGACAGAGTCTCGCTCTGTCACCCAGGCTGGAGTGCAGTGGCGTGATCTTGGCTCACTGCAACCTCTGCCTCCCGGGTTCAAGCAATTCTCTTGTCTCAGCTTCCTGAGTAACTGGGACTACAGGCATGCACCACCAAGCCTGGCTAATTTTTGTATTTTTAGTAGACATGGGGTTTCACCATGTTGGCCATGCCGGTCTCGAACTCCTGACCCCAAATTATCCACCCACCTCGGCCTCCCAAAGTGCTGGGATTACAGGCATGAGCCACTGCACCCAGCCATCAGAATTGAGTTTTGAGGCCAGGCGTGGTGCCTCACACCTATAATTCCAGCACTTTGGGAGGCTGATGTGGGAGGATCGCTTGAGCCCAGGAATTCAAGACCAGCCTGGGCAACATAGTGAGACCTTGTGTCTACAAAAAATAAACAAAATTAGCTGGGCATGGGGATGCGAACCTGTAGTCCCAGCTATGTGGGAAGCTGAGGAGGGAGGATCACGAGCCTGGGAGGCAGAGGTTGCAGTGAGCTGAGATTGTACCACTACACTCCAACCTGGGTGACAGAGCAAGACCCTGTCTCAAAAGAAACCCCAAAAAACAACCAAACAAAAAAAGAAAAATGATTGAGTTTTAAAATTAAAATTAAATAAAATCCAAAATTTAGTTTTTATTCCAGTGCATTAGCTATTGTTTAAGTGCTCAATAGCTACATGTGGCTAGTGGCTATCATATTGGGATGCACATTCTAGATCATTCTATTTTGTAGAAATTAGATGTGGTGAGACTTCTGTGACTGCATGATCTTAAAAATATAAGGAATAAGATTGTTGACCACCATTTCTTTTTTTGTATACAGTTTACAATATCATGAAGGAAGGGCTGTTGAATTGTAGCACAAACCTGAACCTGGTCACTGACTGCATGGAACATGCTCTGACATCGGTGCATCCGCGAACTCGATATTCAGCTGGCTGGGATGCTAAATTTTTCTTCATCCCTCTATCTTATTTACCTACATCACTGGCAGACTACATTTTGACTAGATCTTGGCCCAAACCAGCCCAGGCAGTCTAAAGAAAACTGGGTTGGTGCTTCTTGGAATGAAGGCAAAAATCTGAAATTGTTAGTGTCTCAGTAATCCTGATTTAGAACCCAGGCTTTTTGTAACAATGTGTTTTCTTGCCTAAATTCATTTATCTGGCATCATCAGAGTACTAACATGTTTATATTTCAGATATCCAAAGCTTACCACTTTAGGTGATGAATCTTTACTATTTTAGCCCTTTTTTGATGAGACTATTTGTCTAAAGTGAATCATTTGTTCTTGCCTTATTAAACAGAGTAGATGGAAAACAATTTAACCTATTTTGAAGTCATTTCTTTATGAATATGAATAATTGTTCTATGCTTTAATAATCTATTGTGAGGAAACTACTAAGAAATATGTTGGTGTGTTTGTCCTTACTTGAAATGGGTCTGTATTATGGTACTTTTAATAAATATTTGATTTTTCTTTCTCTTCTCTTTTTGTCAGCAGTCTTTTTTCCCCAATATATTTCTTCCTTTTTTAAAAAGAAATTACTTTTTAAATTTTAAATCAAAATAATGTTATACATATATAGCTAAAAATTCAATTAATATTCAAAAGCTTAAAATGAAAAATGGCAATCCTTGCCCTTATCCTCATCCTTCATTGCTGCTCGTCAGAGGCAAATGGTCTCAACTTTTAGCTATTTCTTCTGGTATTTATCTCTGAACTTCTAAATGATATACTGTTATTTTTTATTAATTTTAGCTATTCTCAATTGACTTTCTGTTATGGTGCAAATTTGGCTTTTTTTTACATCACTTTCCTGCCCATTTCCTTTATCCTTATAGTTTGAATATAATTTTATCACATTTCTGGTTAAATGAATAGTGTTTATATAATTAAGTATGTGAATATTATTAACTATTTAATCAAGTATTTTTCTTTTATAGTAACATTTTTTGTTTTTCTTGGAGTTAATTATTGCCTTGCTTTTTTGCTTGCAAAGGTTTTTATTTACCTTAACCTTTTTTTGGTTGTTCTCTCAGATCTGTCACTACCAGTAGTGTTCTCTAAATAATTAAATAGATTATAGACTTATTCAGTCTATTTCAACCCCCCAACCCTCCTGTCCCTGGAGATTTCCCTCTCACTGCTTTCTTTTTTTTTTTTTTTTCTAATTGATCATTCTTGGGTGTTTCTCGCAGATGGGGATTTGGCAGGGTCATAGGACAATAGTGGAGGGAAGGTCAGCAGATAAACAAGTGAACAAAGGTCTCTGGTTTTCCTAGGCAGAGGACCCTGCGGCCTTCTGCAGTGTTTGTGTCCCTGGGTACTTGAGATTAGGGAGTGGTGATGACTCTTAACGAGCATGCTGCCTTCAAGCATCTGTTTAACAAAGCACATCTTGCACCGCCCTTAATCCATTTAACCCTGAGTGGACACAGCACATGTTTCAGAGAGCACAGGGTTGGGGGTAAGGTCATAGATCAACAGGATCCCAAGGCAGAAGAATTTTTCTTAGTACAGAACAAAATGAAAAGTCTCCCATGTCTACTTCTTTCTACACAGACACGGCAACCATCCGATTTCTCAATCTTTTCCCCACCTTTCCCCCTTTTCTATTCCACAAAACCGCCATCGTCATCATGGCCCGTTCTCAATGAGCTGTTGGGTACACCTCCCAGACGGGGTGGTGGCCGGGCAGAGGGGCTCCTCACTTCCCAGTAGGGGCGGCCGGGCAGAGGCGCCCCTCACCTCCCGGACGGGGCGGCCGGGCGGGGGGCTGACCCCCCCACCTCCCTCCTGGACGGGGCGGCTGGCCAGGCGGGGGCCTGAGCCCCCCACCTCCCTCCCGGACGGGGCGGCTGGCCGGGCAGGGGGCTGAGCCCCCCACCTCCCTCCCGGACGGGGCGGCTGGCCGGGCAGAGGGGCTCCTCACTTCCCAGTAGGGGCGGCTGGGCAGAGGTGCCCCTCACCTCCCGGATGGGGCAGCTGGCCGGGCGGGGAGCTGAGCCCCCCACCTCCCTCCCGGATGGGGCGGCCAGCCGGGCGGGGGGCTGAACCCCCCCCACCTCCCTCCCGGACAGGACGGCTGGCCGGGCGGGGGGCTGACCCCCCCACCTCCCTCCCGGACGGGGCGGCTGGACGGGCGGGGGGCTGAGCCCTCCTCCTCCCTCCCGGACGGGGCGGCTGGCCGGGCGGGGGGGGGCTGACCCCCCCCACCTCCCTCCCGGACGGGACGGCTGGCCGGGCGGGGGGCTGACCCCCCTCACCTCCCTCCCGGAGGGGACGGCTGGCCGGGCAGAGGGGCTCCTCACTTCCCAGTAGGGGCGGCCGGGCAGAGGCACCCCTCACCTCCCGGACGGGGCGGCTGGCCGGGCGGAGGCGCCCCCCCCACCTCCCTCCCGGACGGGGCGGCAGGCCGGGCGGGGGCTGACCCCCCACCTCCCTCCTGGATGGGGTGGCTGCCGGGCGGAGATGCTCCTCACTTCCCAGACGGGGTGGCTGCTGGGCGGAGGGGCTCCTCACTTCTCAGACGGGGCGGCTGCCGGGCGGAGGGGCTCCTCACTTCTCAGACGGGGCGGCCGGGCAGAGACGCTCCTCACCTCCCAGACAGGGTCGCCGCCGGGCAGAGGTGCTCCTCACATCCCAGACGGGGTGGCGGGGCAGAGGTGCTCCCCACATCTCGGACGATGGGCGGCAGGGCAGAGACGCTCCTCACTTCCTAGATGGGATGGCGGCCGGGAAGAGGCGCACCTCACTTTCCAGACTGGGCAGCCAGGCAGAGGGGCTCCTCACATCCCAGACGATGGGCGGCCAGGCAGAGACGCTCCTCACTTCCCAGACGGGGTGGCGGCCAGGCAGAGGCTGCAATCTCGGCACTTTGGGAGGCCAAGGCAGGCGGCTGGGAGGTGGAGGTTGCAGCGAGCCGAGATCACGCCACTGCACTCCAGCCTGGGCATCATTGAGCACTGAGTGAACGAGACTCCGTCTGCAATCCCGGCACCTTGGGAGGCCGAGGCTGGCGGATCACTCGCGGTTAGGACCTGGAGACCAGCCCGGCCAACACAGCGAAACCCCATCTCCACCAAAAAAATATGAAAAGCAATCAGGCGTGGCGGCGCCCGCCTGCAATCGCAGGCACTTGGCAGGCTGAGGCAGGAGAATCAGGCAGGGAGGTTGCAGTGAGCCAAGATGGCAGCAGTACAGTCCAGCTTCAGCTTGGCATCAGAGGGAGACCATGGAAAGAGAGGGAGAGGGAGACTGTGGGAAGGGAGAGGGAGAGGGAGAGGGAGAGGGAGAGGTCTCACTGCTTTCTCCTCCTGTTTCTGTGTGGGCTGGCTGTTCTCTGGTTCTGCTACTCAATTATTTTTCTAGGACTTCCCTACATCTCTTTCCTGCTGTCTGAAATCCTGCTTCCTGGAGCATATGGCCTCTTGGTTTTCTCCTTTATTTTAACAGAACTCATTCTTACTAGCTAAGTCTTTGCATGTTTAAAAAGGTCTCTGTTGGCCGGGCGCGGTGGCTCACAGCTGTAATCCCAGCACTTTGGGAGGCTGAGGAGGGCGGATCACGAGGTCAGGAGATCGAGACCATCCTGGCTAACACAGTGAAACCCCCGTCTCTACTAAAAATACAAAAAGTTAGCCGGGTGTGGTGGCAGGCGCCTGTAGTCCCAGCTGCTTGGGAGGCTGAGGCAGGAGAATGGCGTGAACCCGGGAGGTGGAGATTGCAGTGAGCCAAGATCGCGCCGCGGCACTCCAGCCTGGGCGACAGAGTGAGACTCTGTCTCAAAAAAAAAAAAAAAAAGATCTCTGTTGGCCAGGCGTGCTCTGTTGGCCAGTCATGGTGGCTCACGCCTGTAATCCCAGCACTTTGGGAGGCCAAGCTGGGTGGATCACCTGCAGTTAGGAGTTCGAGACCAGCCTGACCAACATGGTGAAACCTCATCTTACTAAAAATACAAAAATTAGCTGGGTGTAGTGGTGGGCACCTGAAATCCAGCTACTCTGGAGGCTGAGGCAGGAGAATCGCTTGAGCCCGGGAGGTGGAGGTTGCAGTGAGCCGAGATCGCACCACTGCACTCCAGGCTGAGTGAGAGGGTGAGACTCCGTCTCAAAAAAAAAAAAAAAAGAGAAAAGGTCTCTGTTCTTATAATAGATTAGCTGAGCATGGACTTCTAGGGTTGAAAATAATTTTCTTTCAGGATTTTAAAGACATTGCTTCACTTTCTTATCGTATCCATTAAGAACCTTAATGCCATTCTGATTCTTGTTCCTTTGTTCCTTTTTGTCCCTATTCTATGGAAGGTTTTAGGCTCTATTTAGAAGATAAGTACATAAATGTTTATTTTATTTGGAATCTTTATCTTTTATTGCAGGTGTTCCAAAACTTCACAATGATGGACATAGGGGTAGCTCTTCTATTCAGTTATTGTACTGGGTACTTAGTACAAGTCATGATGTAGGAGAGAGATTGGAGAATTGCTAAAATGATGGCAAGGAGGTTGAGAGAGGATTCAGTTTGGTGCATAAGTGGGAGAACGGGCTTCAAATAGCATGACTTAAGTAAGAGTTTGTTTTCTTAGGCCAGGCACGGTGGCTCACGCCTGTAATCTACCACTTTGGGATGCTGAGGTGGGGGTGGATTACCTGTGGTCAGGAGTTTGAGACCAGCTTGGCCAACATGGCAAACCCTGTCTCTACTAAAAATACGAAAATTGGCCAGGTGCGGTGGCTCACTCCTGTAATCCCAGCACTTTGGGAGGCCGAGGTGGGCGGATCACTAGGTCAGGAGTTCGAGAACAGTATGGCCAACAAGGTGAAACCCCGTCTCCACTAAAACTACAAAAATTAACCAGGCATGGTGGCAGGTGCCTGTAATCTAGCTGCTTGGGAGGCTGAGGCAGGAGAATCACTTGAACCTGGGAGGCAGAGGTTGCAGTGAGCTGAGATCGTGCCACAGCACTCCAGCCTGGGTGACAGAGTGAGACTTCGTCTCAACAACAACAACAACAAAACAAAAAAATTAGCCAGGGGTGGTGGTACACACCTGTAATCCCAGCTAATCAGGAGGCTGATGCATGAGAATCGCTTGAACCTGGGAGATGGAGTTTGCAGTGAGCTGAGATCACAACACTGCACTCCAGCCTGGGTGACAGAGCAAGACCCTGTCTCAAAAAAAAAAAAAGAAAAAAGTTTGTTAGGTAATAGTAAATTAGCGGATAGGAGGTCACTGGCATTGCTTCAGTAACTCATCTCTGTCAGGATTAAACTCTATGTGCATCTTCTGGCCTTTTCTTCCAGCTTGTCACTTCAAGGTTGTAAGATGGTTGCTGCGGATCCAGACATCACTTTCAAGTGACACCATATAAGTCAACCTAAATAACAAAGGGAGGCTCTCTGAAAGAAAAAGACATTTATTTGGGAATAGAGTATTGCAATGAGAATATACCCGTCATAGTAAACTACGTGCATATTCAGGGAGGTAAAGGAAGACAAAGGTTTTTAAAGAAAAGAGGGAAATTGCACAATTGTTTTAAAATAATTATATTTGGCTACAAAGATCAATAACAAGGATGATGTCAGTCCAGGTTGGACAGGCAGTTCTGGGGCAGATGTTCTTGCAGTGTTTTTTATGGAAATTTCTGGTGGCTTCTGTGCAAGGATATGATTTTTCCAGAGTCTTTTTTGTGAGGCATACAAGCATAAAGAACCTTCTCTTCATGGCCTTCTATGGCTTGATTTGTCAGGGCTCTTCTTTCTTTAAACATTAGTGACTCCATTTTGATTCTGGCAACTTTCACACAAAAGAGAATGATGGTATAAGGGAGAATGGTGGTGATGTCTGCATCTATCATCTTCTATGAGGAGAACAAAAGATTTCTCAGAAATCCCCACAGCAGACTTTCCCCTATATGGGTGACCTCTATATGGGTTACTTTTGAGAGTGAAAGGAGGCACTTTTATTTATTTATTTTTTGAGTCAGAGTCTTGCTCTGTTACCCAGGCTGGAGTGCAGTGGCGCAATCTCGGCTCGCTGCAACCTCCATCTCTTGGGTTCACGTGATTCCTGTGCCTCAGCCTCCTGAGTATCTGGGATCACAGGCGTGTGCCACCATGCCCGGCTAATTTTTGTATTTTTCATAGAGACAAGGTTTCACCATGTTGGCCAGGCTGGTCTCAAACTCCTGACCTCAAGTGATCCATCCGCCTCAAACTCCCAAAGTGCTGGGATTACAGGTGTGAGCCACCGTGCCTGGCCAGGAGGCACTATTAATCATTTACACGGAACCCTGATTTTATCTTTACACATTATATGAATGTATCAAGTTATCCCCAAAATAAGTACATCTATTATGTATGAACACAAAAAATTAAAAAAAATTTA
Source organism: Homo sapiens (assembly GCF_000001405.40). NCBI lineage: Eukaryota > Metazoa > Chordata > Mammalia > Primates > Hominidae > Homo > Homo sapiens. Next base: position 56,793,689 of record NC_000012.12, read on the forward strand.
CACAGGGATAACAAATATAAATGAGTACTGTCCTAGGTAAATCGAGATATCTGGTCACCCTGCTTTGATGTAATACCATTATCTAATCTTTAGTTCTTATATAAATTCTGCCAGTTGTTTGAAAAATGTTCTATATAGCAATTAAATTTTTTCCCCAGGATCAAATGCAGCATCTTACTTTGCATTCAATTGTCATGTTCCTGTTCTCACTTAATTTTGAATAGTTTAATTTCTTTTTCACAATTCTGTCTTTCACATTTCTGACATTTTTAAAGAGTGTGGGCCAGTTATTTTGTAAAGCGACCCCAAGTTGGATTGTATGCTGTGTCCTCATGATTAGATCCAGGATATGCATTTTGGCAGAAATGCCACAGAAGTGATATTGTGTCCCTCTCACTGCATCACGTCAGTAGCATAGATGTGTTTATCTCATTATTGGTGTTAATTGTGAATCCTTGCTTAGAGTCTGCCATGCTTCTCCACTGCAAAGTTAACATTTTTTCCTTTGTAATTAATGAGTAATTTGTGAGGCTATTTTGAGATTGTATAAATGTCCTGTTCCTCATCAAACTTTAACAAGTAATTTTTAGAATTACTAATGATTCTTATCTAAATCAGTTATTACTACGATGGTTGCAAATAGTGATTTCCAACTTCATCATTCCACCTATGTTTAAAAGGTGACATGTCTATCTCCTTTATTTTTTATTTAAGAATGGACTAATTGGCTGGGCGCAGTGGCTCACGCCTGTAATCCCAGCACTTTTGAGAGGCCGAGGTGGGGATGGATCACCTGAGGTCAGGAGTTCAAGACCAGCCTGGCCAACGTGGCAAAACCCCATCTCTACTAAAAATATAAAAATTAGCCGGGCATCATGGTGTGCACCTGCGATCCCAGCTACTTGGTAGGCTGAGGCACAAGAATCGCTTGAACCTGGGAGGGAGATGTTGCAGTGAGCTGAGATTGCGCCACTGCACTCCAGCAGAAAAGAATGGGCTAATTAATTCTTGTTTTATTCAATTAGTTATAAACCATTTCTATCACTATGTCTTGAAGCAAATCTCAGACATAATATAGAAACTAATTTTTAAAATGTTATAATTTGCAATAGCAACAACAAAAATATAAGGTACCTAGGAATAAATCTGACAGAATTTGTATAATACTGTGTCCGGAATTAGTGGGTTCTTGGTCTCACTGACTTCAAGAATGAAGCCGCGGACCCTCGCGGTGAGTGTTACAGCTCTTAAGGTGGCGCGTCTGGAGTCTGTCCCTTCTGATGTTCAGATGTGTTCGGAGTTTCTTCCTTCTGGTGGGTTCGTGGTCTCGCTGGCTCAGGAGTGAAGCCGCAGACCTTCACAGTGAGTGTTACAGCTCTTAAGGTAGCGCGTCTGGAGTTGTTCGTTCCTCCCGGTGGGCTCGTGGTCTTGCTGGGCTCAGGAGTGAAGCTGCAGATCTTCGAGGTGAGTGTTACAGCTCATAAAAGCAGTATGGACCTAAAGAGTGAGCGGTAGCAAGATTTATTGCAAAGAGTGAAAGAACAAAGCTTCCACTGTGTGGAACGTGACCCGAGCAGGTTGCCAATGCTGGCTCAGGCAGCCTGCTTTTATTCTCTTATCTGGCCCCACCCACATCCTGCTGATTGATAGAGCCGAGTGGCCTGTTTTGTCAGGGCGCTGATTGGTGTGTTTACAATCCCTGAGCTAGATACAAAAGTTCTCCACGTCCCCATCAGATTAGTTAGATACAGAGTTTCCACACACAGGTTCTCCAAGGCCCCACCAGAGCAGCTAGATACAGAGTGTCGATTGGTGCACTCACAAACCTTGAGCTAAACACAGGGTGCTGATTGGTGTGTTTACAAACCTTTAGCTAGATACAGAGTGCCGATTGGTGTATTTACAATCCTTGAGCTAGACATAAAGGTTCTCCACGTCCTCACCAGAGCAGCTAGATACGGAGTGTCGATTGGTGCACTCACAAACCTTGAGCTAAACACATGGTGCTGATTGGTGTATTTACAATCCCTGAGCTAGATATAAAGACTCTCCACGTCCCCACCAGACTCAGGAGCCCAGCTGGCTTCACCTAGTGGATCCCGCACCGGGGCTGCAGGTGGAGCTGCCTGCCAGTACTGCGCCGTGCGCTCGCATTCCTCAGCCCTTGGGTGGTCGATGGGACTGGGCGCCGTGGAGCAGGGGGTGGCGCTCGTCGGGGAGGCTCCGGCCGCACAGGAGCCCACGGAGGGGGTGGGAGGCTCAGGCATGGCGGGCTGCAGGTCCCAAGCCCTGTCCCATGGGAAGGCAGCCAAGGCCTGGCGAGAAATCGAGCGCAGCGCCGATGGGCCGGCACTGCTGGGGGACCCAGTACACCCTCCACAGCCACTGGCCCGGGTGCTAAGTCCCCCATTGCCCGGGGCCAGCAGGGCTGCCTGGCTGCTCCGAGTGCGGGGCCCACCAAGCCCACGCCCACCCAGAACTTCAGCTGGCCTGCAAGTGCCGCACACAGCCCCGGTTACCGCTCGTGTCTCTCCCTCCACACCTCCCTGCAAGCTGAGGGAGTGGGCTCTGGCCTTGGCCAGCCCAGAAAGGGGCTCCCACAGTGCAGTGGGGGACTGAAGGGCTCCTCAAATGCCACCAAAGTGGGAGCCCAGGCAGGGGAGGTGCCGAGAGCAAGTGAGGGCTCTGAGGACTGCCAGCACGCTGTCACCTCTCAATACCTTCCTGTAGAAAAGTATAAAACTGGCCGGGCGTGGTGGCTCATGCCTGTAATCCCAGCACTTTCGGAGGCTGAGGCGGGCAGATCATTTGAGTTCGAGACCAGCCTGGCCAACATGGTGAAACCCCGTCTCTACTAAAAATACAAAAGTTAGCCAGGCATGGTGGTGCATGCCTGTAATCCCAGCTACTTGGGAGGTGGAGACAGGAAAACTGCTTGAACCTGGGAGGTGGAGGTTGCAGTGAGCTGAGATTGCGCCATTGCATTCCAGCCTGGGCGACAGAGCAAGACTTGGTGTCAAACAAAACAGAAAAGTATAAAATTTTATTGAAGACATTAAGGCCTAAATAAGTGTAAACATATACAATACCCATGAATAAGGAGTCTCAATATCATAAAAAGATATATAAAATAATTTATAAATTTAGTATGGCTCCAATTCAATCAATCAAAATCCCAATAGCTTTTTTTTTTTTTGCAATTTGAGAAGGTGATTTTCAAATTTAATTGGGAGAGCAAAAGGGCAAACAGAACCAAGACAATTTTGAAGAACAAGGTGAGGGAAACTTGCCTCCCCAAACATTAAGACTTGCAGTAAAACTGTAGTAACATAAACAAATAGGTGCAAGGTAAACATAGACAAATAGATGTAAGCAATAGAGTGGAAAGGCCGGGTGCAGTGACTCATGCCTGTAATCCCAACCCTTTGGGAGGCCAAGGTGGCCGATCACCTGAGGTCGGGAGTTTGAGACCAGCCTGGCCAACATGGTGAAACCGTGTCTCTACGAAAAATACAAAAATTAGCTGGGTGTGGTGGCACACACCTTTAATCCCAGCTACTCAGGTGTCTGAGGCACGAGAATTGCTTGAACCTGGGAGGTGGAGGTTACAGTGAACCAAGATTGTGCTATTGCACTCCAGCCTGGGCAACAGAGTGAGATTCTGTCTCGAGAAAAAAAAAAAAAAAGAATAGAATGGACATACATGAAAACTTGATATGACAGTGGGAGGAAAATGAGGTGGTGGGGAAATGACCCAATAAATGGTGAGAGGACAACTTTTAAAAAACAGAGAATTATAAAATTAGATACTTATCCCATACCAGGCACAAAAACAAATCCCAATGCAATAAATACCTAAATGTGAAAACCAAAACTTTAAAAGATTTAAAATAAAACATTGAGAATATATTTATGTCTTTAGAACAGGGAAGCCTCTTGAAATAAGGTACACAAAACTTAATCATAAAGGAAGATTGTTAAATTTGACCAAAATTAAGAACTTCTCTACATCAAAATACCCCTTAACTTAGAGCAAAAAGACAAGCCACCAGCTGGGCAATATATTTGCACCATAGATAACCACAAGGTTTTATTGTTAAGAAAAAGAATTTGGGCCAGGCGCAGTGACTCACGCCTGTAATCCTAGCATGTTGGGGAGGCTGAGGAGGGCGGATCACGAGGTCAGGGGATAGAGACCATCCTGGCTAACATGGTGAAACCCTGTCTCTACTAAAAAGACAAAAAATTAGCCAGGTGTGGTGGCAAGCGCCTGTAGTCCCAGCTACTAGGGAGGTTGAGGCAGGAGAATGGCGTGAACCCGGGAGGTGGAGCTTGCAGTGATCCAAGATTGCACCACTGCACTCCAGCCTGGGCGACAGAGCAAGACTTCGTCTAAAAAAACTGAAAAACAACAAAAACAAAAAAATAGAAATTGTAGGCCGGGTATGGCGGTGTACACCTGTAATCCCAGCACTTTGGGAGGCTGAAGGAGGTAGATCACCTGAAGTCAGGAGTTCAAGACCAGCCTGGCCAACATGGCAAAACCCCATCTCTACTAAATACAAAAAATTAGCCAGATGTGGTGGCTCATGCCTGTAATCCCAGCTACTTGGGGGGGTGAGGCAGGAGAATCACTTGAACCTGGGAGGCGGAGGTTGCAGTGAGCCGAGATTGCCCCATTGCACTCTAGCCTTGGCAACAAGAGAGAAACTCTGTCTCAAAAAGAACAAAGCTGGAGGCATAACGCTACCTGACTTCAAATTATACTACAAGGCTACAGTAACCAAAACAGCATGGTACTGGCACCAAAACAGATATATAGACCAATGGAACAGAACAGAGGCCTCAGAAATAACACCACACATCTACAACCATCTGATCTTTGACAAAGTGACAAAAACAAGCAATGGGGAAAGGATTCCCTATTTAATAAATGGTGCTGGGAAAACTGGCCATATGCATTTCTAGCCATACACAGAAAACTGAAACTGGACCCCTGCCTTACACCTTATACAAAAATTAACTCAAGATAAATAAAGACTTAAATGTAAAACCTAAAACCATAAAAACCCTAGAAGAAAACCTAGGCAACACCATTCAGGACATAGGCATGGGTAAAGACTTCATGACTAAAACACCAAAAACAATTGCAACAAAAGCCAAAATTGACAAATGGGATCTAATTAAACTAAAGAGCTCCTGCTCAGCAAAAGAAACTATCATCAGAGTGAACAGGCAGCCTACAGAATGGGAGAAAATTTTTGCAAACTATCCATTTGACAAAGGTCTAATATCCAGAATCTACAAGGAACTTAAACAAATTTACTTAAACAAAAGAAAAAAAACTCAATCAAAAAGTGGGCAAAAGATATGAACAGACACTTCTCAAAAGAAGACATTTATGCGGCCAATAAACATATGAACAAAACCTCATCATCACTGGTCATTAGAGAAATGCAAATCAAAACCACAATGAGATACCATCTCACACCATTTAGAATGGCGATCATTGAAAAGTCTGGAAACAGATGCTGGAGAGGATGCAGAGAAATAGGAACGCTTTTACACTGTTGGTGGCAGTGTAAATTAGTTCAACTATTGTGGAAGTCAGTGTGGTGATTCCTCAAGGATCTAGAACCAGAAATACCATTTGACCCAGCAATCCCATTACTGGGTCCCAAAGGATTATAAATCATTCTACTATAAAGACATGCACACGTATGCTTATTGCAGCACTATTTACAATAGTAAAGACTTGGAACAAACCCAAATGCCCACCAATGATAGACTGGATAAAGAAAATGTGACACATATATACCACGGAATACTATGCAGCCATAAAAAAGAATTTCACGTCCTTTGCAGGGACATGGATGAAGCTGGAAACCATCATCCTCAGCAAACAAACACAGGAACAGAAAACCAAACACCATATGTTCTTATTCATAAGTGGGAGTTGAACGACGAGAGCTCATGGACACGGGGAAGGGAACATCATACACTGGGGCCTGTTGGGTGTGGGGGGCAAGGGAAGGGAGAGCATTAGGACAAATACCTAATTCATATGGGGCTTAAAACCTAGATGATATGTTGATAGATGCAGCGAACCACCATGGCACATGTATACCTATGTAACAAACCTGCACTTTCAGCACATGTATCCCAGAACTTAAAGTAAAAAACAAAACAACACAAAACAAAAAAACCCAAAAAAACTACAGTAACAACATATAATTTAAAAAAAAGAAATAGAATTTGTATACATTTATTAGCAAAACAAATCTTCATAGAAAATTGGACAGACGAACAGAAAGTCAGAATGGCCAGTAAACATAAAAATATGCTAATTTTCACTAGTAGTCAGGTAAATGCAAAGTAAAACCACAGTGAGATACAATTTTACATTATTCATAGTGGCAAAAAAAAGTCAGCCAATACCATGAATAAAGCTCTAAACCAAAGTGCAGCTTAAACACTTCTGGGGCAAGTGTGAATTTGTACAACCACTTCTGTAAGCAATTCGGAAAATATCTGTTAAACTTGAAACATGTTTGCCCTATGACCAAATAATTGCAATCTCAGATACAGGTGGTAGATGTACATGTACACAAGAAGACTTGTACATGAATCTTCATTGCTCTATTTGAATCATAATAAACTGAAAACAATGTATATGCCCATTCATAGGAGAATGAGTAACTTGTAGTATGTTCATGCAACAGTTGGTCCTTTGGTCTGTTTACATCTAACTATTATCTATCCATCCTGTTCATCCATGTATCCTTTTTATATGATGGTTAACATGAATGAGGTTGATTTGCATTTATCAATGTGGGTAAAGTTAATAACATAATGAATGAAAAAGTAAGTTGCAGAACATGTGAATAGTGGTATGACATTTTGCTTAAAATGTTAAAATTTGGCTGGGTGTGGTGGCTCACCCCTGTAATCCCAGCACTTTCGGAGGCCTAGGTGGGTGGATCACTTGTGGTCAGGAGTTCGAGACCAACCTGACCAACATGGTGAAACCTTGTCTCTACTAAAAATACAAAAATTAGCTGGGCATGCTGGTGTGCCTGTAATCCCAGCTATTTGGGAGGCTGACGCAGGAGGATCCTCTGAACCTGGGACGGGGAGGTTGCAGTGAGTTGAGATCATGCCACTGCACTCTAGCCTGGGCGACAGACCAAAACTCCATCTCAAAAAAAAAAAAGTTAAAACTTGCAGGAAGTGCTACATATTGTTTATGGATATATATGTATATAGTAAAAGTACTAAAATATTTTTGAGAATGAGAGACTGATAAACATCAAATTGTTGGCAGTAGTTACCTTTGGGGATTGAGGAGGGATATTGGAGATGTTAACTGAAGTAATGTATTTTTTTGAGACGGAGTCTTTCTCTGTCACCCAGGCTGGAGTGCAGTGGTGTGATCTTGGCTCACTGCAACCTCCGCCTTCTCGGTTCAAGCGATCCTCCTGCCTCAGGCTCCTGAGGATCTGGGACTATAGGCACATGCCACCACATCTGGCTAATTTTTGTATTTTAATTTTGTATTTTTAGTTCGAAGTCTCGAACTCCTGACCTCAAGTGATACTCCTGCCTTGGCCTCCCAAAGTGCTGGGATTACAGGCATGAGCCACCACGCTGGCCTTTTTTTTTTTTTTTTTTTAACTTTTAGGTTCAGGGGTACATGTGCAGGTTTGTTATATAGGTAAACTCATGTCAGGGGGTTTTGTTGTACAGATTATTTCATCACCTTATGGGTTAGATACATCAGTATAGGTGATAATCAATATTGTCTATAATATTTTGTATTCTTCAAATATTTAATAATAAAAATAAAATGTCATGGTCTGTGTAATCTCTATAGGAACTACTTTACACACATATTACTATACCTTATATAAAACAGTAAAAAGCACTTGTTGAATTAAAAAATAAACTATATATTTTCAATAGGGACTAGTAATTTAAATCTGCTTTTCTATGTTCTCATTGTTACCTAGCAAGAAATGGCTTGCTGCCTGATATGCATAAAAGCCAATACTATTGCACCAGCTTTTGAGAAAACAAAGCTTTATTGCAAATTGACTGGCCACAAGACAGGAGGCAATGTTCAAATTTGTCTTTCAAGCTGGAGTCTGAAGATGGTAATGAGGCATGATCTGATTGGATCTTGCAATGCAGTAATGCCAGGAGGCATGATCTGATTGGATCATGCCATGGGATGATGCCAGGGTTCAATCTGATTGGATCATGGATCATGCCATGAAGTGTCCTCTTGCTTTTTTTTTCTTTTTTTGTTGAGATAGGGTCTTGCTGTGTTGCCTAGGTTGGTCTCAAATTCATGGCCTCAAGAAATCTTCACACCTCGGCCTCCCAAAGCACTGGCATTACAGGTGTGAGCTACTCTGCCTGGCCTGGTGTCGACTTCTTAATTCCATCCCCTTTCCTTGGTTCAGGCATTTAGATGCTGCCCATGGTTGCATTCTTGGTTCACCTGGGCACACTCAGTTTATATAACTTGCAACCTGGGGTCAATAGCAATTGAAAAACAACACATTATTTTATTATACAAAGTGGAACCAGATTGCGCTAATTTTGAGGGTAATGGATATTGCTGGGAAGTTTCTTGTGGCCAAACACTGTTTTAAAGAATTTTTTTCAAGCTGATTATTAACAGGAAGACCTTTTAATCCTGCCAACTGATCTAAGTAAAGTGTAGAATGTTTGGAGGGCATCGGCATTACGAAAGACCTTAGTCCTTGGGAAGAAATGAATAAATGTGTCAATAAAATTTTAACCTAGATACAAGATCTTGTACCTAGTAGTTATTCAATAAATATTTGCTGAATGAAGCAAACACAGAAAATATAAAATTATGTGAAGTGTAAAGTCTGTTTTTCTGATGCTTTGTGAGGGAGAGATTATTTTTAAAATGTATTTATTTATTTTTAACTTTTTAAAAATTAAACTTTTTTTCTTTTCTTTTTTTTGAGACAGGGTCTCATCTTGTCACCCAGACTGGAGTGCAGTGGTGTAGTCTCAGCTCAGTGCTCACTGTAGCCTTGACCTCCCAGGTTCAAGCAATCCCCCTGCTTCAGCCCCCAAAGTTGTTGGAACTACAGGCACACACCACCACACCCGGCAACTTTTTGTATTTTTTGTAGAGATGGGGTTTCACCATGTTACCTAGGCTGGCCCCAAATTCCTGGGCTCAAGCAATTAACTTGCCTGGACCTCCCAAAATGCTAGGATTACAGGCATGAGCTACCATGCCCAGCTTACTTTTAACTTTTATTTTAGTTCAGGCTGGGGTACATGTGCAGGTTTGTTAATACAGGCAAACGCATGTCATGGGTGTTTGGTGTACAGACCATTTTGTTACCCAAGTACACTAAGCATAGTACCTGATAGCTATTTTTCCTGATTCTCTTTCTTCCTCCCTCCTGCGTCCCTCAAGCAGGCCCCAGTGTCTGTTATTCCCCTCTTTGTGCCCATGTGTTCTCATTATTTAGCTCCCACTTATATGTGAGAACATGCAGTATTTGGTTTTCTGTTCCTGTGTTAGTTTGCTAGGGATAATGACTTCCAGCTTCATTCATGTTCCTGCAAAGGACATCATCTCGTTCTTTTTTACAGCTGCATAGAATTTCATGGTGTATATGTACCACATTTTCTTTATCCAGTCCACCATTGATGGGTATTTAGGTGGAATCCATGTCTTTGCTATTGTGAGTAGTGCTGCAGTGAACATTAATGTGCATGTGTCTTTATGGTGGAATGATTTATATTCCTCTGGGTATATACCCAGTAATGAGATTGCTGGGTTGAATGGTAGTTCTGAATTCAGTTCTTTGAGGAATTGCCTTACTGTTTTCCACGATGGTTGAGCTAATTTACATTCCAACCAGCAGTGTATAAGCATTCCTTTTTCTTGGCAACCTCGCCAGCATCTGGTATTTTTTGACTTTTTAATAATAGTCATTCTGACTGGTGTGAGATGGTATCTCATTGTATTATGGGATCTTTGGGGTGTTGTTTTTCTAGCCAGGAACCTCTGTGGCTGGTGGCCCCTGTGCCCGAGTTTTGCTCGGGCCCACTGGGCTTGTTTCACCTACTCAGCCTGGCAGGCTGTGTTTGGCTCACCCTACTGGCCTGGGACCCATGCCTGCCAAGGGTGAGTCAGGCATGGAACAGTGAGGAGTGTGTGAGTGAGTGTGGGATCCGGCCACTGTGCACAGTCAGACGTACCAGCTGCCGCAGTGGGCCGGGCAGCTCCAGGTGCTGGCATGGGCTCTGGCTCTCTGTGAGGCTGCAGCTAGACCAGGCACACTGCAAGCAGCTTCTACGGCTGGCACTGGAGGACACATTGGCACCCAGAAGCTCGGAGATGCCAGGAACCACAGGGCCCCAAAATAGGAGTCACAGCCCTGGTCTGGGGAACTCCCAGGTCTGGGTTCCCCAAAGGGCTGCAGCTCTTCTTTTCTTCTCTTTGCCCACAATGAGGCAAGCAAGGGGCATGTCTCAGCCCTGTTTGTGTTACAGCTCTTTTATCCTTGCCATTCAGTGGGTCCTGAGTTCTTGTCCTGTGACCAGGAAGAATGAGGTAGGCAGAAAAGAGGAGAGTGAGTAAGATGAAGGGGAGCTTTATTGAGTGATAGAACAGCTCAGAGGAAACCTGCAGGGGGCAGCTACTTTCTGCAGCCAGGGTGTCTTGATGAGTGTTCAGCTCCTAGCAGAGAGGGTAGCTCCTCTCTGCTAGGCAATTCATCCTGACAAGTGTTCAGGTATCAGCAGAGAGAGTAGCTTTTGTCTGCAGGCAGGTCATCCCAACATCTGCTCAGCTCTGGCTGAACCCAGGGCTTTTATGGGCCTCAGAGGGGAGGAGGTGAGCACTGATTGTTCCATGGGCAGCCATGGATGGGCCTGGAAAAGACACCACAAGTTTCCACTGCAGTCTATGGGAGCAGCAGCCTGGCCCCCAGCCTTCAGGCCCTCCCTGGCCTGAAGGTGGGGCCTCACGTGGGACCCACTCCCTTCCCCCCAGGAACCTGTCTGCCTCCTGCTGCCATTCATGGCACCCAGGCTGTACGTGCCAAGGGGCACCTGCAGGCCAGTGCCAAACTGCCCTTATCACCCCCTCAGCTTCCCTCCTGTGCTCTTTGGCACCCAAGGTCCAGAGGCGGGCTGAAGTGGCAGGGGGCTGGTGTGTCAACACTTCCCTGAGCATGTACACACCTGGCTGGGCTGTGACAGAGCTCAGGCTTGACCATGACTTTGCTCTTAGATCGGAGTGGGTACCGACAGCAGGGAGAAGCCAGGCGGCAGGAGCAGGCACTTCCAAGCCTGTGAGGGCAGGGGGAGAGGACCATCCTGGGTCTCCAAGAGTGCAGGGATGCCTGGGTTCACAGCCACAGTTTGGGTGTCTGCAGCTGCATCCAGGGGGTGGGGGTCCTGCTCTGTGGAGTGGGAGGTCATGCTCTGCAGTCACGACTTGGGTGGCTGCAGCCACGCCTAGGAGGACAGGGCTCCTCCCTGCTCCCAGCACCCCCAAGAGCACAGGGAGGCCTGGGTCTGCAGCCATGACTTGGGCAGCTTAACCTGTGCCCCAGGGGGTGGGGCTTCTTCTTGCTCTGTGCTTTGGGAGGCCCAGTTTGCAGCCATAACTTGGGCAGACTTGTGTCTGCACCTGGGGAGCTCCCACCCTAACAAATCAGAAGGGGCAGGGCTCCCACTTGTCTGAGGCTCCCACCAGCTGCATGGAGTATACAGCTCTGGCTGTACCTCCCTGCTGCAGCCTGTGTGATGGCAGCGGCCACTCTAGATGGCCCACCACTGCCATCAATCACCACTCTGTAGAGGTACATCTAACTGCCGTTAGGATAGGGACAGTGACCATTCTTAACTGCTTCATGCTGACAGGGGGCATTGTTTTTGGGAAAATGGCAGTCAGGTTTTCTCTCAGGGGCCTATATAAGGGTCTCCAGTAAAAGGGAGCCATTGTCCGAGGCTCCATTTGCATGACCATTGGAGTTTGACGGCCCATCCTTTTTGTTTCTTCTGAGCTGCAGTCAGAGATCACTGGTTGGTTCACCCTCACAACTGTCAAAAGCTACAAATATCTCAAAAGGAAAGCTTCCTTGATTCTGAAAAACAAAACGAAGGATCATCAATGGTTCAAGCAAAATGTCAAAAAAGATTACTTCAGTCTTCTGTTAGTTCCGTTCACTCAAAGAAACTCCTGTTCACAATCTCCAAAATTATCAGAAACCTTGGGACAAAAAGGTGCCTCAAGAGGGTGTATGGGCCCATTAAATTAGTCCCAGGCAGCCCTCACCAAATTGCAGCTAGCAACTGGCTGGGGCTGCTCCTCTGTTGCCTCCCTATCATAAGCAGGTGAAGCTGTGGGACCAGTTCCTCCTCAAACAAGGGAGAGAATGGGAGTCCCAGGAATTGGGGACCTGGCCTAATAAGGTGCCTCCTGAAAGGAAAAAAAGCTAACCTGTTGCAAGAAAAAGCTTCCTGTATTCACAGGACTATGACAGTGGCAGAAGGAGACCTGAGATGCCCCTCACGGTTGTGCCAAAGGAGGAGGAGGGCCTAGATTGAAGAGGAGAACTGAAAGACCTGCTCCAGAGTCCAGAAGGAGGTCAACCCTCCTTCCCTTGATGCCCAGAATCACCTGGGGCTCCTGGGTGGCAATGGTAGTCTGAACAACCGGAGCTGGGGAGAGGAGCCCCAGAGCCTGTCAGTCCCGCTGCACTATAAGGGAGGCCGGCCCTGGACCGGGTGACCCGTGTCTCCAGGGATAGTCCGCCCTCTAATTGTCCTCATCACAAACTGGACAGGGTCGAGGTGGCCTCCCCACACTGTCCAGACAGTCCCTCCTAAAATGACCTGGCCTGCCACATTTGCAGTAGTCAACAGGTGCATATCAGGGACTCTGGGGTCCATGAGCCCACAGAGCAGCTATTAGAGCCTCTGCCTTTTTCCTGTATCTCCCCTCTTTTCTGGACTTCCTCCCAGTTCCCACTGCAAAAGACCAACGTGGCTCCTACCAGGAAGCCCTCCAAAGTACCATCTGGTCCCACAGCCCGTTTCTGCTGCCCCCTCCTGACATCAGGGGCCACCTGTGTGATAAAGTCAGTGCCTAGGACCAGCTATTCTGCTACTGAATCAGGAGATAGAGAGGTGTGTTTTACCAAGGCCCCTCCCTCTTAGCCTTTCCAGGAAGCCAGTGGGATTCTCATCAAATCCCTATTCTACCATGAATAGGTTGGTGTAATTCAGGGCCTTAGTCCTTGTCCTTCATAAGCCCTCCGGTATACACACCTGAAAGTGTTTCCTCTTCTATTCTCCTATTTCATCATTGGGGTCCAATTTTCAACCTCCAATGGTACTGCTATTTTTCCAATCAGATAAGTCTCATACCCTTTCCTGGTCCTATATAAGATATAAAGCTCATTGGCCAGGCACAGTGACTCACGCCTGTAATCCCAGCACTTTGGGAAGCTGAGGCAGGTGGATCATGAGGTCAGGAGATCGAGACCATCCTGGCTAACATGGTGAAACCCTGTCTCTACTAAAAATACAAAAAATTAGCCGGGCATGGTGGTGGGCACCTGTAGTCCCAGATACTCAGGAGGCTGAGGCAGGAGAATGGTGTGAACCTGGGAGGTGGAGCTTGCAGTGAGCTGAGATTGCACCACTGCACTCCAGCCTGGGTGACAGAGTGAGACTCCGTCTTTAAAAAAAAAAAAAAAAAAAAAAAAAAAAAAAATATATATATATATATATATATATATATATATATATATGGCTCATTCCCCAAATTCTCTGCCACTTGCAGGGTGGCCTGCTTTTCAGCGGTGGTCAGGGTTTGATTCAAAAGTAACATGAGGCTTGGTGCAGTGGCTCACACTTGTAATCCCAGCACTTTTGGAGGCCAAGGCAGGCAGATCATCTGAGGTCAGGAGGTTGAGACCAGCCTGGCCAACATGGTGAAACCTGTCTCTACTAAAAATACAAAAATTAGCCGGTTATGGTGGTGGACACCTGTAATACCAGCTACTCAGGAGGCTGAGGCATTGCCTGAATCTGGGAGGCAGAGGTTGCAGTGAGCTGAGATCACGCTATTGCACTCCAGCCTGGGTGACAGAGTGAGACTCTGTCTCAAAAAAAAACAAGTAACATGACATCCTTCCAGGAGAGCTCAAATACTTTGGTTAAGTTCTGGAAAGCCCCTATATACCTGTTAGAGCTGTCTAAAAACTTGCCAAGATCCCCCTTAATTTGCCTTAAGTCCTGTAGAGAAAAGGGAACCTGGACCTTAATGGGGCCATATTCACCAGGCATCTGTTGTAGGGGCAGTTGTGACTGGGACCTGCCTAAAATGAGGATTTCTAGGCTGGGCCAAGCTTGAGAGAAAACAGTGGAGGGGGTTGATTCCCCCACTGGAGGTACCTCTGGGGTTTGCTTCCCTATTTCCCTGGGATTGCCCTTTGCAGGCTCTCCTGAGATGGCCATGAGGTGAGCTGATTCAATCCTACCACATCAGCAAAGGTTTGGATTACCCTGCAAGGCAAAAAAGGCCTGCATGTATGGGACCTTGGACCATTTGCCCTTGCATTTACAGAAAAGCTTCCTTCCTGGGGCCATGCTTCTTTTCTGTGCCTCAAGGTTCTTGGCACTAAATTGGCAACCAAGGAAATGACAAGAACATTTTCACCACAAATTTATGTACAGATACCAAGGCCCACTTTGCTTCATCTGTGCTACTCTTAACCTTCCATTTTATACTTTTGAAGACTAAGCCAAATGCTTATTCTACCCAGTAATATTTCTGGTTTGCAACAACATCCTTAACATTCGACGTTGTATATAAAGTAGAGATAGGAACTTTGACAGCCGTGAAAGAAAGAAAGAGTGGGAAAGAAAGAAAGATAGGAAAGATGGGAGGTTCTAGTGGCAACACCCTAATGGGCAGTCGGGGACTGGAGTTAGTCCAGGGGCCTTTGGATAACGAGGCGAAGCCTCAGCCAGATACTCTGAGTTGCCCCACAACCTCCTTTGTCTTCCACCCAGTGGCTAGACCTCCATGAAAGGAAACCGGGTTGGAATAAAGCCAACATTCCCAAAACCTGAGGGTGATGGGGGATTGACAGTGTCCTCCCCAGCGAGCCTGTCCTCTGTGTCTTAAGTCCAGCAGCCACACTAGTTGCTTTTAACTGGCTGACAGAGGCTGGCATTTTTCTTTCATTTTAGCTATTGTGGAATTTAGGGACTCCAAAAAAGGACAGAAAGAGCAGATCTGCTTTTACTTACCCTTCCACAGATCCTGGATGAGCCCCCAAAATATTACAGGATCTTTGGGGTGTTGTTTTTCTCACTGGAAACCTCTGTGGCTGGCGGTGCCTTTGCCTGAGTTTTGCTTGGGCCTGCTGGGCTCATTTTGTCCACTTGGCCCAGCAGGCTGTTTTCAGCTTACGTTACTGGCCTGGTTCCCATGCCTGCTAAGGGTGAGTCAGGTGCGGAATGGCGTAGGGTGTATGAGCAAGCATGGGGTCTGACCAGTGTGCACAGTCAGACATGCCAGCTGCTTCAGTGGGCCAGGCAGCTTCAGGTGCTGGCATGGGCACTGGCTCTCTGCTAGGCTAAGGCTGGACCAGGTGCACCGCAAGCAGCTTCCATGGCTGGCGCCAGGGAATATGGTGGTGGCTGGAAGCTTGGAGATGCCAGGAACTGCAGGGCCCCAAAGAAGGAATCACGGGCCAGTCTTGGGGAGCTCCCAGGTCTGGGATCCCCAAAGGGCTGCAGCTCTTCTTTCCTTCTCTTTGCCTGCAACATGGAGAGCAAGGGGGAAGCATGTCTCAGCCCTGTTTGTGTTACAGCTCTTTTAGCCTCACCATTCAGTGGGTCCCAAGTTCTTGTACTGAGACCAGGAAGAATGAGGTACGTAGATAAGTGGAGGGTGAACAAGACAAAGAGGAGCTTTATTGAGCAATATAACATCTCAGAGGAAACCCACAGGGGGCAGCTCCTTTCTGCAGCCAGGTTGTCCTGATGGGTGTTCAGATCCTAGCAGAGAGGGTAGCGCCTCTCTGCAGGTGGTTGTCTCGTCGTCTATACAGCTCTCAGGAGAGAGGATACCCTAGAGTGGGTGGCTCCCCTCTGCAGGCAGGTCATCCTGTCATCTCCCTGTCATCTCTCCATCAACTCTGCAGCTCTCAGCAGAGAAGAGGCCCTAGAGTGGGTTGCTCCTCTCTGCAGCTGGTTGTCCCGACATCTGCTCAGCTCTGGCTGAGCCCAGGGCTTTAATGGGCCTCAGAGGGGAGGAAATGAGCACCAGTTGGTCCATGGGCAGCCACGGGCAGGCATACAAAAGACACCACAAGTTCCCACTATGGTCCATGGGACTGGCATGCTTGGCCCCCAGTCTTCAGGGTCTCCCTGGCCTCAAGGTGGGGCCTCACCAGGGACCCACCCCCTTCCTCCCAGGAACCTGTGTGCCTCCTGCTGCCATTCATGGCACCCAGGCTGTAGGTGCCAAGGTGCACCTGCAGGCCAGTGCTGAGCTGCCCTCAGCCCCTTGTCAACTTCCCTCCTAGGCACATCAGTGCCCAATGTCTGGAGGGGGCTGAGCTGGCAGGGGGCTGGCATGTCAGCACTGCACTGAGCATGTGTACATCTGACTGGGCTGCGACAGCACCCAGGTTTGGCCCCAACTTTGTTCTGAGATCAAAGCAGGTGCCAACAGCAGGCAGAAAGCCAGTCAGCAGCAGCAGCAGGGATTTCTGAGCCTGTGAGGGCAGGTGGGACCTTCCTGGGCCCCCAAGAGTGCAGGGTAGTCTGGGTCTGCAGCTGTAGTGTGGGTGGTTGCAGCTGTGCCTAGGCAGTCAGGGCTGCTGCCTAGTTCTGGCCTCCCTAAGAGCACAGGGAGGCTCAGGTCCACAGCATTCGGGGTGCCAGGGCTTTTGCCTCCTCCATGCAGCAGGAGGCCCAGGTTTGCAGCCATGATTTGGGTGGCTGTGGCTGCATCCAGGGAGCTCCTGCCCCACCAACTCAGAAGTGGCGGAGCTCCTGCTTGTCCCCAGATCCCGCTGGCTCCATGAAGCATAGAGCCCCAGTCGCGCCTCCTTACTGCAGCCAGCATGATGGGGTTCTTGTTCTGGGAGTAGGAGAAAGACATTTGGGATAGATGATAGGGTGGGTGCTAGGGAGAGCACAACACAAAGCCTCTGTAATCATTTGAAGGCCAGGTTGATACTCTTAGTCGAATGGGAAAAGTTATCTTGTCCTCCTCACAGGGCGTGTGACAGGGGAGCTGCTCGCTTCTTCAATGCCCCACTGCTCAAACCTCTAGGGGAGCATACAGATGGGCAGAATGTGATGCTCCGACCCTATAGCAGCATCTAGGGGTGGATGGTTACAGTTCCTGAGCCCCAGAGGGCGTGTGCTAAGGGGTGCTCTTTTAGTTTTGCTGTCTATAGGTGGTTGTGTTAACCAGCTCAATTAGACCCTCTACCTTGTTGCAAGGACAGAGGGTTTTCTGTATCCTGGATTCTTGCCCTAGTGTATTGGAAGAATCAGATCACACCTGGGCTTGGAGAATGAGTGCAAGGTTTTATTGAGTGGAGGTAGCTCTCAGCAGATGGGGGAAGCCAGAAAGGGGATGGAGTGGGAAGATTTTCCCCTGGAGTCAGGCTACTCAGCGGCCTGGGCTCTCCTTCAACTGCCCTGGCCAAATTCTGTGTCATTCTGCTTCTGCTGGTCAGTGGCCTGCTGGCATACCAGTGCCTGTTGGTGCGTTCTTCTTGACCTCCAGCTGCCCGTGTGTTCCTCTGCTGATATGCTCCATTTGACGTCCAGCTGCCCGTGTCTTCTTCCACCGATCTGCTCCTCTCAACATCCAGCAGCTTGTGTGTCTGCCTGCTAGGGTCTTGGGGGTTTTTATAGGCACAGAATAGGGGTGTGGCAGGCCAGGGGAGGTCTTGGGAAATGCAACATTTGGGCAGGAAATGCCTGTCCTCACCTAGGTCCATGGGGGTAGAGCCCTAGCCAGGGACCATGCCCTCCTCTACCCAGCACTTCCCTTCCCCACTTCTGTATTGTTTAAAGAGACCACCCTCTTCCCTTCCCAGCACTTCCATATTATTGCCACCTGCAGAGCTTCTTATTGCAACCAAAGCCTCTGTAATCATTTGAGGGCCAGGTTGATACTCACCACCTGCAGAGCTTCTTATTGCAGGAGTACCAAGTAAGTAGCTCTTGATGTCAGGCCTTTACTTCTTGTTAAAGGAAGTAAAGCCCCAGAATGGTTTTCAGGGTTTTTCTTGACTCGGACATTTTACCTCTGTGACAGCAGCAACTATCACTTCCCAAATGTGGGGCAGCAAGTCCGTAAGGAAGTCTGAAGTCCTGGCCCAGGGCACTTTCACCCACTGACTGTGGGACTATAAATTGATTCAACTCTGTTTGATTCAGTTTGTATACATCATTTGAAGTTGTAACATTAGAATATTTTTACATCCAGAAATTTAATTTTAAGACTTTATTCTATGGAAATAAAGTACAGACCCAACAAAGACTTAATTACAAGGAATGTTCCTGGCTGCATTAAAAAAATATAATAAGGAACAGGTCAGGGATGGTGACTCATGCCTGTAATCCCAGTACTTTTGGAGGTTGAGGTGGGAGGATTGCTCGAGCCTAGGTGTTGGAGACCAGGCTGGGCAACATGGTGAAACCCCATCTCTACAAAAAAAAAAAAAAAATGCTGGGTGTGGGGGTGTACGCCTGTAATCCCAGCTACTCAGGAAGCTGAGGTGGGAGGATTGGTTGAGCCCAGGAGGCGGAGGTTATAGTGAGCTATAATCGCATAATTGCACTCCAGCCTGGGTGAAAGAACGAGATCCTGTCTCAAAAAAACCCATCTATCTATCTATCTATCTATCTATCTATCTACCTACCTACCTATCCACACACACACGTGCACACACACACGTATAATAAAGAACAAATGAGAAATAGCCTGAATTGTCAAAAATAGGGGAAATGGTTTATGAAAAATGAAGCAGCCATATCATAGGAGAATATTTAATACATATATTCATAATATACTTCAAAAATGAAAAGGGACTACAAATCAGTCTGAATTGTATGATCCTACTTTGATTTTAAAATAGGATACATAATACACACATCCACCTAAAGAAAAGCCTGGAAGGATACACAATGATTATTCACAAGGTTTATCTCCCGTGGGATTATTGTAGTTCTTCCATCCTTTGTTTGCCTTCCTTCCTTCCTTTGTCCCTTCATTTCTTCTATTTTTTTTTTGAGATGGCGTCTTGCTCTGTTGCCCAGGCTGGCATGCAATGGTGCTATCTCTGCTCACTGCAACCCCACCTCCTGGGTTCAAGCAATTCTCCTACCTCAGCCTCCCAAGTAGCTGGGATTACAGGCCCCCACCACAACGTCTGGCTAATTTTTTGTATTTTTAGTAGAGACAGGGTTTCACCATGTTGGCCAGGCTAGTCTTGAACTCTTGGCCTCGTGATCCTCCCGCCTTGGACTCCCAAAGCTGGGATTACAGGCGTGAGCCACCGCACCTGGCCCTTGTTCTTCATTTCTTCTTTCCTTTCTTCCTGTATATCATATTTCCTAAATTTTCTTTCTTTTTGAGACGGAGTCTCGCTCTGTTGCCCAGGCTGGAGTGCAGTGGCGCGATCTCGGCTCACTGCCACCTCTGCCTCCCAGGTTCAAGTGATTCTCCTGCCTCAGTCTCCCAAGTAGCTGGGATTATAGGCACCGCTATCATGCCCAGCTAATTTCTGTATTTTTTTAGAGATGGGGTTTCACCATGTTGGCTGGGCTAGTCTTGAACTCCTGACCTCAGGTGATCCACCTGCCTTGACCTCTCAAAATGCTGGGATTACAAGCGTGAGCCACCACACCTGGTCCTAAATTTTCTACAATGAGGATTGTAATAAGAAAAAAAAGGAATAATAATAGTTTTTTAAAGTCTCAGGGCAGATTGCATGATAATGTGAATGTAATTAATGCCACTGAACTGTACACTTAAAGTGCTTAAAATGGTAAATTTTATGTTATGTATATTTTATTACTACAATAAAAAAGTCTCAGTTCAGGGTTCACTTCTGAGAACACCTCCTCAACTGCCCTTCTATCCCTCTTAATCTGATGAATTGCTTCTCTTCTGGTCATAGCACAACATCAGGGTGTATGGCTGCCCTAACACTTACCACATTATAACCAAAGCGTTGAGTAACTTAGCTATTTCTTCCACTAGCCTGTAAAATTTTGAAGACTTCAGTTTCCCCTGGAGCCTGCCAGTACTTGGTACATGGAGGTTTGTAGAGTGAATGAATAAAAAATACAAAGAACATCTCTGGTTCAGTTGTC
This sequence comes from Homo sapiens, assembly GCF_000001405.40. Classification (NCBI taxonomy): domain Eukaryota; kingdom Metazoa; phylum Chordata; class Mammalia; order Primates; family Hominidae; genus Homo; species Homo sapiens. Next base: position 56,814,119 of record NC_000012.12, read on the forward strand.
TCCCTACATGTATGTTAAATAAAGTTTGGAGTTGGAGTATGGTTTTAAACAATAATCCAAATCTTGTACCTTAGTATTAGTTTGTATCTTACTATAATACATGCTATCCCTACCACCTGGAATGACCCGCCCGGGTATCCTTTCCTTCCTAGGGATTCCTGTGCCACTTCATCAACTGTATTCTGGAGCTGCTTTCTGTTTTCTATCCACAGACTTCTCTGCCACTGTAGATTATAACATTCTGGAGAACAGTATACCCCTCTGAGTATCTAGGCTAGGTAGTACCTAGGGCTAGCCAGATATAAACACAGTAAATATTCTGTGGAAGGAATGGATGTCAACGACTTTCCAGCATCAATATGTCAGATTGAAAAAAGCAAATCATAACATGGCAAAAAATGTTAAATTCCTATCTTTGACTTTCAAGACAAGTTGTTTATTTTAAAGGAGGGATGGGGACAAGTGCAGAGAGACAGACATGCAAATCCTAAGTAGAAAACTCAATGGGATGTTCTGAAGATATTTGAACATGGGAGAATGTTGAAAATGTAATGTTAATTGCAAAAAATGACCAGGCCAGGTGTAGTGGCTCACACCCGTAATGCCAGCACTTTGGGAGGCCGAGGCAGGAAGAATGCTTGAAGCCAGGAGTTTGAGATCAGCCTGGGCAACATAGTGAGACCCCATCTCTATTAAAAAAAATAGAAACTTAGCCAGATGTGGTGGCATGTACCTGTAGTCCCAGCTACTTGGGAGGCTGAGGATCCTTTGAACCCAGGAGTTCAAGGCTGCAGTGAGCTATGATTGTGCCACTGCACTCCAGCCTGGGCAATACAGTGAGACCCTGACTCAAAAAAAAAAAGAAGAAAGAAAGAAAAAAACCCAGATGTAAAATAGTATATGATCCCAAATATAGGGTGACTAAATAATTTATTGTCAAAACCAGGACAATTTTGGGAATGAAAGTGGTGATAAAATAATAATTTTTGAAATATGTATTAACTGACAAATTTGTTTTTGGATTTTTTGCGACAGAGTTTGGCTTTGTTTCCCAGGCTGGAGTGCAGTGGTGCAGTCATGGCTCACTGCAACCTCTACCTCCCAGGCTCATGTGATCCTCCCATCTCAGCCTCCTGAGTAGCTGGGACTGCATGTGCACAAAACCATGCCGAGCTAATTTTTGTATTTTCTGTAGAGATGGGGTTTTGCCATCTTTGCTAGGCTGGTCTCGAACTCCTGAGCTCAAGTAATCCACATGCCTCAGCCTCCCAAAGTTCTGGGATTACAGGTGTGGACTACCATGCCTGGCTGACAAATTAGCTTTTATTTTTATTAGAATACATGTAATAATTCTACTAAAATCTATTTTAAATTTTTTTTTCTAAAATAACATATTTGTGAATATTAAAACATAAAATCTTTTTTTTTTCCACATTTAAAACAATTCTCTTGTAGGCTGGGCATGGTGGCTCACGCCTATAATCCCAGCACTTTGGGAGGCCGAGGCAGGAGATCACCTGAGGTCAGGAGTTCCAGACCATCCTGGCCAACATGGTGAAACCCCGTCTCTACTAAAAATACAAAAATTAGCTGGTGTGGTGGCCTGCACCTGTGGTCCCACCTACTCGGGAGGCTGAGGCATGAGAATCACTTGAACCCAGGAGGCAGAGGTTGCAGTGAGCCGAGATCACGCCACTGCACTCCAGCCTAGGCCACGGAGCAAGACTCTGTCTCAAAAAAGAAAAAAAAAAGAAAGAAAATTTAGGAAATATGATATACAGGAAGAAAGGAAAGAAGAAATGAAGAACAAGTGCCAGGTGCGGTGGCTCACGCCTGTAATCCCAGCTTTGGGAGAGACAGAGAGGATAGAGAGGTGTTGTGCCCATACCGTGGATAGGGGAGGACAAGGTGTTGGGATTTACATACCCACCTAGCCTGCAGACCACAGAGAGAGGTAATTCTCCAAAAGGAAATCAGGGTGCTACATTAGAAGAGGAAGAAATGGAAGCTGGGCCGTCAAAAACCAAATGTCCACCATACCCATTATGTTTTCACCTGGCTTAGGACCTTCCTCTCTGTCACAGTCCTGCCATCATTTTGAGTGTCTTTGGTGCTCATGAAGACGATACAGTATCTTAGTTTCACCCTTGATCTCTCCAACTTTAGTGATCTTCATTTGTTTCAGGCAACCACACAGATCATAACCTCAATCTGGACTTTAAGCACTCAGAGCCACTCCTTCTCTGAAGTCTTAAGTTTCAGTACCTAATTACTGATTTCGTAGTCCTATCTTTCCAGGTCTCTCCCTTCTGTCCTCCCAAATCCTGTTGTTTGACCTCATGGAAACTGCAGGTCCCTTGACCATTGCTTCCATTTTCTTCAATCTGTCAACATGTTCCTGCCTTCATTTTCTTCCTAGGAGGAGGAAGAAGGGAGAGTGGCTTCTTCCTCTGTGTGTCCTCACGCTCACCATCCTTTGTTTCAGTTACTCACTTGCTAATACAATACTGAGCTTGCAGTCCAGCACTGAGCTTGTTGCAGCAGTTATGTCCCTAACCAGCTGTCTCCAATTTCCCCAAGTGTTATTTTAAACACTCACTATTGTTTTCAATGCCCTGACACCACTGACTACTTGTCACACTGAGAGAAAATTGTGTCACATGAGAAATCCCTTCATTTCCTGTTTTCCCCACTGCCCAATATAATTTCTTCCCCTGCAGTTTTATGGCAGAAGTGTCCCTCTCCTATGGAGGGCAAATTCCTTCCCTTCTGTTCTGAATCCAATCTCCAGCCCCCCACCCCCACCCTCATCCTCAGCTTCTCCTGTCCACTGGCTCGTCTGCCAAGCCTAGATACACATTTGCATCTCTCCACTGTCTTTAAAAGGCCCCTCTTGGTACCCTGGGACCTCTTTTAGATACTATCCTGTCTTGGTCTTCTTTTGAAATCAGATTCCTAAAAGAGTAGTTTACACTCTCCCCTCCACTTTGTCACCCTCATGCCTTCCTCAATCCAATGCAATTCAGTCCTTTTCATTGCCAGCACTGAAACCGTGCTTGTAACTGGTGAATTGCAGAATTAGTGGATGCTACTCAGCCTTTACTTCAGTTGAGGTTGCTATAGTGTCTGCCCCTTGATTACCATTCTTTTTTATATTTCTTCCCCATAACACCACGTTTTCCTAAGTCTCCTCTGAGGAGGTCCCCTTCCTTTGTGTGTCTCAGGCTTTCTCTACCTCACTCCAGCCCTGTTCTCAACACAGAATGAACTTTGTTAACTTCTTTTTTTTTTTTTTTTTTTTTTTTGAGACGGAGTCTCGCTCTGTTGCCCAGGCTGGAGTGCAGTGGCGCGATCTTGGCTCACTGCAAGCTCCGCCTCCCGGGTTAACGCCATTCTCCTGCCTCAGCCTGCCGAGTAGCTGGGACTACAGGCGCTGGCCACCACGCCCGGCTAATTTTTTTTTTGTGTTTTTAGTAGAGATGGGGTTTCACCGTGTTAGCCAGGATGGTCTCGATCTCCTGACCTCGTGATCCACCCGCCTCGGCCTCCCAAAGTGCTGGGATTACAGGCGTTAACTGCTTTATCGCATGAGAAACTGAACTTCTATTTCTGTGCAATTCAATGTTATGAGGAAGAGTGATGCATTTTGTTACAGGAGATATAAGACCTTCAGTTCTGCCTGTGTGAGGACGCACTTTACTTTTCTGGTACTGTTACTTCTCATTAGGCATAGGAGTGATCATGAACAACAAAGTTTTTCTAAACTTAAATAGCCTTATTTTAAAAGCTGTTTCTAGATGCTTGTATCATGTGGGCAGCCTAAGTTATAAAGTTGAAAAGGCACAGGGAAAGCTAGGACAGGATGTACTGATTTTGAAAGCACAAGTTGCAGAGGTAAAGCTGGACGCATCCTCATCCGTCATTATTCAGTGTCTGGGTGTACATTTATAATAATGCCCCTATTTACTTCTGGCGGTGGGTCTCAAGACGGCTGCCCAAAGAGATTGTTCCTTGCACATAATAGTTGCTTACTAAATATTCATTGAATGAGAAAGCAGGGACAGGCACTTTAGATCTTTGCAGACATAAAGAATTGCTCATTGAGATGTACTGCAGGTTTCTGGTGTGGGTGGAAGTGGTAATAAAATGGCAGTTTTATGTGGAACACGCAGGGCACCGAGGCAACACGATGGCAAATAGCACTGTGAAAAACTTCTGATGTGATTGTATAACAAAGTTACTCAGAACTGAGTTCTTTTCAGCCTAGACCCAAGGAAATCTGATGTCTCCTAAACCTTTCGTATATTCCTTTTTCTTTTCTTTTTCAAATTGGCATCCATTTAACACAACTGAGCTCCCATGAGCCAGGCACTGGGACCGCTGAGGTCAGGAGGCAAGCATCCCTGTCTTGGGAGGGCACATAGCTTAAACTGCAGCAAAAAACTACCTCCCATGTGGGACAACAGCAGCTGGTGCTGGGACAGTGGGGCTCAGAGAAAGAAGTCATTGCTCAGAGAGGGGAGGGAAAGGAAATAATTTGGGGAAGGTTTCTCAGAGAATGTACTAGGTGAGTAGGCCATGAAAGTAGAGCAGAAATTTGCTTCCAAATAAATCATGTGTGTGGTGGTGTGTGTGTGTGTGTGTGTGTGTGTGTGTGTTGAAGAGAAAGGACTTATCAGTAGCTGACAAGGCATGAAGTGATTGGTGAAACAAATATGAACTTGCTGAAAATCATTTTCAAGGATTTGAAGTCAGGTAACAATTATGCTGAGTCACCCTTGCTGGTGCTGGTGGGCCTTCAGGCTGTATCTTTCCTGAGGGAATTGGGAGAAGACAAGTGGGAACTGAGTCCCCTCATGGAAAGGGGAGCACGGAAGAGAAGTATCTCCTTTGGAAGAACAGAAAATGGTGAATAACAGGTGATTGCGTCTGTTACAGGTGACATCACTGGCCTCTGAACGGGCCTTTCACCTTTAGCTTCTGCCCATCCTGCTTTTCGGAATGGCTTTTCATGACAACCTCAGTTCTCTTGTTCAAAAAACTTCAGGATCCATCATCCATGTTACGGTAAAAAAAATAGCCATTAAAGGTCAAATTGTAGAAGGATGATGCTTAATGAATGAGGAAATGTTCATGTTATATGGTTAAGTAAAATGTAGATTATGTTGGGTATGATCCAATTCTGTTAAAAATACAGGTCAAAATGATATATAAATCAAGACGCTAACAGTGGTGCGATTTCAAATGATCTTTATTTTTATTTTTCTGTATTTTCCAATTACCTACAATAAATGTATCTTACTTTTGTCTTCTTATTTATGGTGGCCAGGCGCAGTGGCTCACGCCTGTAATCCCAGCACTTTGGGAGGCCAGGGTGGGTGGATTGTTTGAGGCCAGGAGTTTGAGACCAGCCTGACCAACACGGTGAAACACCGTCTCTACTAAAAATACAAAATTAGCTGGGTGTGGTGGTGGGCGCCTGTAATCCCAGCTACTCGGGAGGCTGAGGCAGGAGAATTGCTTGAACCCAGGAGGCAGAGGTTGTAGCGAGCCAACATCATGCCATTGCACTACAGCCTGGGTGACAGAGCAAGACTCTGTCTCAAAAAACAACAACAACAACAAAAAAAACAACTCACCATAATTTTTTTTTTTTTAAAGAGCAAGTCTTCCTCTTGTTGCCCAGGCTGGAGTGCAATGGTGTGATCTCGGCTCACTGCCACCTTCACCTCCCGGGTTCAAGCCATTCTCTTGCCTCAGCCTCCCGAGTAGCTGGGATTACAGGAGCCCGCCACCACAGCCGGCTAATTTTTGTATTTTTAGTAGAGACGGGGTTTCACCGTGTTGGCCAGGCTGGTCTCAAACTCCTGACCTCAGGTGGCCTGCCCTCCTCGGCCTCCCAAAGTGCTGGGATTACAGGCGTGAGCCACTGTGCCTGGCCACCATAAACTTTTTTAAAAGACAAAAATTGTGATATAGTCGTATGGTGGAAAATTATTCAGCAGTGAGAATAAATGAACTACACTATACAATATCGATATGGATTAATCTTAGTAATGTAAGGCTGAGTGACAAAAGGAGGTTTAGAAGACTGTAATGTGAAAAGATTTTTATAAAGTTCAAAAGCAGCAAGGAAAACTAACCTAACGTTGTTTAGGGAGAGAGATATATATCTATATATCTGTATGTATATTAACATATAGTAAATCTATAAAGCAAAACAGGAAAAAAAATAGGTAGCAGGATGGTGGTTACCTCTGGGGGAAGTAAGAGCTTTTGGTGGAGAAGGACTCACCAGGAGCATCAATTATTTTGGTAACTTTCCAATTCTCAGATACATACATAGTTCTGTGGTCTTTAATCTAATGGGGTCTTGATGTTTTTGTCTACCAACATGTATGGACATTTTATATGACATAGCTATTAAGTACTTGCTTATCATGTTTGCTACACCTTCTATGTCCCAGAGAGAAGACACAATTGTGACCAAGATAGTTATGATCTTTAATGTCAAATTAGTGGGAATAAGGAGTAAGACTGGAGAAGGGGGTATCAGAAGGGTACAGGGACCTAACTAAGAGGAGGTGATGACAATGATGACCTGGAGTAAGGAGAACATAGTGGAAATAATATCTCACATTTGTATAGTACTTTCTAGTTTACAGAAAACATTAAAAAACTGTTATCTTATTTTGAAATGGAGAGAAAGAATGGATCCTAGAGACACTGCAAAGAAAGAATGAGTGGGACTTGGTGACTGATTATATAGAGTGATGGTGAGGAGAAATGCCAGTGATCCAAAAGGACCAAGAGCAATTATCTTCTTCACTTTTGTAAACTGCCTAGTGTACATACATGAAAAACCCATTTTTTTGCTTCTAATTTTTTTTTTTTTTTTTTGATATGGGGTTTCACTCTGTTGCCCAGGGTGGAATGCAGTGGTGTGATCATGGTTCAAGCAATTCCTCAGCCTCCCAAGTAGCTGGGACAATAGGTGCGCACCACCACACCCGGCTAATTTTTAATTTTTTTTTTTTAAAGATGGGGTCTCCCTATGTTGCCTAGGCTGGTCTTGAACTCCTGGGCTCAAGCACTTTGGGAGCCCAGCCTCCCAAAGTACTGTGATTATACAGGTGTGAGCCACTGTGCCTGGCCCTCTACTTCTTAAAAGAGAAAATAATCTGGGGTTAGGCTGAAACAGAAACTATCTGGCAAAATTCAGTAAACCCAGCCAGGAGAACATCTAATGTAACTTATATAACATTTATGTGACATTAACACCTTTTTACAAGTGTGAAATATTGACAAATCTATTGAAATAGATGGTTTTGACACTGTTGGGCTTTCATGTTCATCATGGTTCACATTTGCTCAGGGCAGAGAGATATTACAAGGCATCATTTGAATGAAAGAGACTTCTTTAATGTCAAGATCTTTATCTTGGGTGGGTAGGTTAGCGTTCAGAATTTATGTTTTTACAAAATATGAGATTAAGGTATTTAAGGAACAAAAAAGGAATTGATTTGAGGACGAAATATTCCAAAGCATCAATATGATTGAGAATAATATACCTGGTCATATATTAAATTCATGAATGAGTTTTCCAACCTCACTTTTTCTTTTTTTTTTCTTTTTTTTTGAGTCAAGGTCTGGCTCTGTCACCCAGGCTGCAGTACAGTGGTTTAATCATTCCTCACTGCAGCCTTGAACTCCTGGGCTCAAGTGATCCTCCTGCCTCAGCCTCCCAGGTACCTGGGACTTCAGGCACGTGCCACCATGCCTGACTAAAAAATATATCTGTTTAAAAATATATGTTGTAGAGACAAGGGTCTTACTGTATTGCCCAGGCTGATCTCAAACTCCTGGGCTGAAGTGATGCTCCCTCCTTGGCCTCCAAAAGTGCTGGGATTACAGTCATGAGCCACCGTGCCTGGCCAATTTTCTTTTCTTTTCCTTTTCCTTTCCTTTTCTTTTCTTTTCTTTTCTTTTTGTAGGCAAAAGAAAGAGAGATCAGACTGTTACTGTGTCTATGTAGAAAGGAAAGACATAAGAGACTCCATTTTGAAAAAGACCTGTACTTTAAACAGTTGCTTTGCTGAGATGTTGTTAATTTGTAGCTTTGCCCCAGCCACTTTGACCCAACCACTTTGATCCAATCTGGAGCTCACAAAAACATGTGTTGTATGAAATCAAGGTTTAAGGGATCCAGGGCTGTGCAGGACGTGCCTTGTTAACAAAATGTTTACAAGCAGTATACTTGGTAAAAGTCATCGCTATTCTCTAGTCTCAATAAACCAGGGGCACAATGCACTGCGGAAAGCCACAGGGACCTCTGCCCTTGAAAGCGGGGTATTGTCCAAGGTTTTGCCCCATGTGATAGTCTGAAATATGGCCTCATGGGATGAGAAAGACCTGACCGTCCCCCAGCCCGACACCCGTAAAGGGTCTGTGCTGAGGTGGATTAGTAAAAGAGGAAAGCCTCTTGCAGTTGAGATAGAGGAAGGCCACTGTCTCCTGCCTGCCCCTGGGAACTGAATGTCTCGGTATAAAACCCGATTGTACATTTGTTCAATTCTGAGATGAGAGAAAAACCGCCCTATGGTGGGAGGCAAGACATGTTTGCAGCAATGCTGCCTTGTTTTTCTTTACTCCGCTGAGATGTTTGGGTGGAGAGAAACAAATCTGGCCTACGTGCACATCCAGGCATAGTACCTTCCCTTGAACTTAATTATGACATAGATTCTTTTGCTCACATGTTTTTTGCTGACCTTCTCCTTATTATCACCCTGCTCTCCTACTACATTCCTTTTTGCTGAAATAATGAAAATAATAATCAATAAAAGCTGAGGGAACTCAGAGACCGGTGCCGGTGCAGGTCCTTGGTATGCTGAGCGCCGTTCCCCTGGGCCCACTGTTGTTTCTCTATACTTTGTCTCTGTGTCTTATTTCTTTTCTCAGTCTCTCGTCCCACCCAACTAGAAATACCCACAGTTGTGGAGGGGAAAGTCACCCCTTCACTTTTCTTTTCTTTTCTTTCTTTTTCCTTCCTTCCTTTTTCTTTCTTTTCTTTCTTTTTTTTTTTTTTTGACGGAGTCTTGTTCTGTCACCCAGGCTGGAGTGCAATGGCGCTATCTCGGCTCACTGCAACCTCCACCTCCCAGGTTCAAGCAATCCTCTTGCCTCAGCCTCCCGAGTATCTGGGATTACAGGCGTGTGCCACCACGCCCAGCTAGTTTTTGTATTATTAGTAGAGATGGGGTTTCACCATGTTGGCCAGGCTGGTCTCGAACTCCTGATCTCAGGTGATCCACCTGCCTCAGCCTCCCAAAGTGCTGGGATTACAGGCCTGAGCCACCGTGCCCGGCCCAGAACAATTTTCATATAATCTATTGACTTGCCTGCCCTAAGACAAAGGCCGTTGTTTTGAGGTAGCCTTAGTTTACTTTCCAAGTTCCATCTGCTTTTCCACTGGAGTTCAGAGGTCTTTCATGGCCAGCCCATTCTGCCATCCATGACCTTTGATGGAGCCTGTTCTCAGCTCAAGGCAATCTCCAGAAACTGAAGAACATGACCTTTCTAAATGCAAGTAAGAATTCGTCAAAGAAACTTGTGCTGGTTAAAGCTTAAGATAACCGGATAGCCAATAAATTCAGAGATAGAGGCATGACTACTTGGGACAGGCTTTTAAGAAAACTGTGATTATATTTCTTTGGCAAAATTAAAACTTGATGGAAACTCAGGGAACATTTTGTCTAACCTAGATAATAAAAGCAAAGTCATATCTTTTCCTTGTTTAAATGACATGGGGGGGGGCTGGGTTGGATGAGAGTGAACTGGGAGGACACAGAGATCTGTATTTGGAACATGAGAAAATGTGCTAGGCAATCTGAAACAATATTGATCATTACTCTTTTAGCTACATCTTATAAGTTGATTACTTTTTACAGAAATAGAATTTTGTCTAGACTATTGGATAAGCTCTAGGAAAAAAAGTTGATTTCCCACATGAATGCTTGGGATCATCAATTTTCATTTATGCTTTTGATCAAATACTATTTGGCTAATACATTCATAGGGTCCTCTAGTTTTCCCAACCTTTTTATCTATCCCGACTAAGAAATACAGAGTGCCTTGACCACTCTGTGACCTGGCCAGTTGCATGTTTTTTTGCAGGGTTAAGTCAGGTCCTTGAACATTCCCAGGCTCTGGTAAACATGTTTAGGTTGTTGTCCAGAACACTGAAAGAAACTAGCCCCAGCCCTTAACCAAACTCCTCAAACCCTCATATAAACTCCATAACACAACCCCCTTATTGCAGACATAGCTAGGTGGAACATCTCTTTCGCTTGCTGTTGAGAGGATTCCTGCAGCCCCTTTTGTAAGTAAGTTCCCCTGATAAATACTTTAGACTAATTACCCTGGTGTTTAGTGCTTCTCTCTTTGGAATCTCAACCAGCCCCATCTCCAAATGGTTTACAGATAATCCTTCTTGGGAATTTCCCTGCTACAGACTTTGGGGCTCCAGTTTTGGTTTCGGCCTGGACAAAACAACACTGCAGGAATAGTTTAAGGTATTTGCCTTTTGTGATAGTGTCCATTATAATATTATTTTCTTATTACTATTAATTTTTTTTTTTTTAGAGGCAGAGTCATCCAGGCTTCAGTGCAGCAGTGGCGATCACAGCTCACTGCAGCCTCAAACTCCTGGGCTTAAGTGATCTGCTCACCTCAGCCTCCTGAGCAGATGGGACTACAGGTGTACTACCACATCTGACTAATTTAAAATTTTTTTTATAGAGATGGTGTCTCCCTCTGTTGCCCAGGCTGGTCTCAAACTTCAGGGCTCTAGGGATCCTCCTGCCTTGGCCTCTCAAAGTGTTGGGAGTACAGGTGTGAGCCACTGCACTTGGCCTATTATTACTATTATAATTATTTTTCAACCACCTGGTAAATTTGCGAGGGTTGTTTTGTTAAGTAAATAAATCAAAATCTTCCCTGGAAATTTAAGGGAGAAATGTCGAGGAAGAAGTTCATGTCATTTGAGGATAATTGGCTGCACAGTTACTCTTTTGCAGAGGAAGGCATGTGTTTGTGATGGACATAGCAGCTGTCAATATGCCCCCACTATCAGAGGGTATACCAAACCTGCAAACTCTTTGTTTCGGCAGCAAAATATATTAACAAAAATTCAGGAGTGGACAGAAGTTTCTAATTTTGATGTAGTCCAATGTGTCCATTTTTTTTCCTCTTGTTGCCTGTGCTTTCAGTGTCATATCCAAGAAATCACTGCCAAATCCAACGTCATGAAGCTTTCTCCCTGTTTTTTTGTTTTTTGAGACAGGGTCTTGCTCTGTTGCCCAGGTTGGAGTGCAGTGGCATGATCAGAGCTCACTGCAACCTCTGCCTCCTGGGCTCAAACAATCCTCCCTCCTCAGCCTCCCTAGTAGCTGGAACTACAGGTGCATGCCACCATGCCTGGCTAATTTTTGTATTTTTTGTAGAGATGGGGTCTTGCCATGTTGCCCAGGCAGGTCTCCAATTCCTGGGCTCAAGTGATCCACCTGCTGTGGCCTCCCAAAGTGTTGGGACTACATGTGTGAGCCACCACACTCGGCCATCTCCCTGTATTTTCTTCTAGGAGTTTTATAGTTTTAGTTCTTAAATTTAGGTCTTTGATCTATTTTGAGTTAATTTTTGCATATAGTGTAAGGTACAGGTCTAACTTCATTCTTTTGCAGGTGAATATTCAGTTTTCCCGTTACCATTTGTTGAAAAGATTGTCCTTTCCCCATTGAATGGTCTTGGCACCCTCGTTAAAAATCATTTGACCATATATGCAAGGGTTTATTTCTGTGTTATCTATTCTATTCCGTTGGTCTAGGTATCTGTCTTTATGTCAGTAACACACTGGTTTGATTATCATAGCTTTGTAGTAAGTTTTGAAATCAGGAAGTGAGAGATTGCCATCTTTGTTGTTCTTTTCAACATTGTTTTGGTTATTTGGGGTCATTTGATATTCCAAATGAATTTTAGAATGGATTTTTAAAATTTATGTAAAAATATTGTTGGGATTTTGATAGGGATTGCATTGACTCCGTAGATCACTTTTGGTGGTATTAATATCTTTACAATCTTAAGTCTTCCAATTCATGAATATGGAGTGCTTTCTGTTTATTTGCATCTTTTTTGTTGTTGTTGAGATGGAGTCTTCCTCCTTCGCCCAGCTGGAGTACAGTGATGCAATCTTGGCTCATTGCAGCCTCTGCCTCCCAGGTCCAAACGATTCTCCTGCCTCAGCCTCCCAAGTAGCTGGGATTACAGGTGCACACCACCACGCCCAGCTAATTTTTTGTATTTTTAGTAGAGATGGGGTTTCACCATATTGGCCAGGCTGGTCTCGAATTCCTGACCTCAGGTGATCCACCCGCCTTGGCCTCCTAAAGTGCTGCAATTACAGGCGTGAGCCACCATGCCTGGCCTGAGCCACTACCATGCGTGGCCTTTTTTTTTTTTTTTTTTAGAGACAGGGTGTCCTCTGTTGCCCAGGCTGGGGTGCAGTGGCACAATCATAGCTCACTGCAGCCTTGAACTCCTGGGCTCAAGTGATCCTCCTGCCTCAGCTTCCCAAGCAGCTGGGACTACAGGCATGAACCACCATACCTGTCCCAATTTTTGTGCCTTTTAAAATTTCTTTCTGCAACATTTTGTGGTTTTTAGTGTACAAGTATTTTGCTGCCTTGATGAAGTTTATGCCTTAGTATTTTATTCTTCTTGATGCTATTGTAAATGGAATTTAAAAAAATTTCCCTTTTGGATTGTTCATTGATAATGTATAGAAATGCAGTTGATTTTTGTGTGTTGCTTTTGTATCCTGCAACTTTGTAGAATTTGCGTATTAATCTAACAGGTGTGTGTGTGTGTGTGTGTGTGTGTGTATGTGTGTAACCTTTAAGGTTTTCTATGTATAAGATAATCTCATCCATGGACAGAGATCATTATTTCTTTCCAGTGTGGTGGCCTTTTATTTCTTTTTCTTGATTGATGGCTATGGCTGGAACTTCCAATACAATGTTGAGTAGAAGTGGTGAAAGTGTGCATGTATAGACCACTCTTTGGAGAAGTGATCTATATTAGGGGAGCAAAGAAATGCAGTATTACATGGAGGGGCAAAATGCATTTTCTTTTTTGCTTGTCTTTCCTTTTTTTTTTTTTTTTTTTTGATAAAGTGAGAGAAACAGTGTGTTTGTGTGCTGATGGGCTGGCCTGAGTAGAAAAGGGGAATGAGGTGGAGGGTAGGATCTGGTGCACAGGAGACAGCTTCATGGAGAGCTCATCTTTGGTGACAGGAGAGAAGACTGGCTATGCACTGGAAGACACTGACAGGAGAACCACATGGTGCTGGGAGTGGTGGAAGTTTTCTTTAGAATGCTTCAATTTTCTCAGGAAAGTAAGAAGCAAGGTTATTGACTCAAAGTGGGATTGGGGGGAGATACTGGAAGTCTGAAGGGAGAAGAAAAGGTATAAATCAGCTGCCTAGGAGAGTGGGAGACAGAATGGTCTAGGGAAATATAGTATAATTGCTGGGCAGTACTCACGGCCCAAGGAAGGTTTGTCAATTTATTTATTTACCTAAAATGTAGAGACGGGGTCTCACTGTGCTGCCTTGGCTGGTCTTGAACTCCTGGGCTCAAGTGATCCTCCCACCTTGGCCCCCCCAAATGGGATTACAGGCGTGAGCCACCATGCCTGGCCAAGTTTTGTCAATTTAAATACACATCAGCTTGGTTGTTCTTCAGCTATGTTCATGTGGAGCAGCCAGAGATGGATTCAGCCAGCTGTGGTATGGCTGAGTGAGTACACTTTTCCTGGAGACAGGCAAGTAAATTGATTATGAACAAGGGATTGAAACAATTGTTCATGGAATGTAAGCTGGCTAGAGTATGGAGTGAATACATGAAGGGTATGAATGACAGTGAAGAGATGGTAGAATGAGTGTGAGTGTAGATCCTGGTGGGATGTAAGGATATTTACTACATTTACTACTGTAAGGGTGTGAGCTAGAAAGATAGGAAAAGGTGGTCAAGGACAAGGATTCCTGAAACAAGACTGCAGAGACTTCCACAGCCGAGGAGGAAATGATTCCAGGGCACCTTTGTGTGCTGCCAAGAGTGAGGCAGTTCCTGTGAGAATCTTGATGTACTCAGATAATTGTAGGCCTATCATAGGCATGTCCCCACACCTTATTCCACCGAAAAGCTTTATCAATTCAGAGTATGTTTGCATCATATCCAGACAGAGAAAAAACATTAGTTGAAATTTAAATAACTGCAATACTGATAGATTGCTTTAGAAATAGACATTGGAGGAAATGTTCCTGGGGCAATATGTATCTTGGATCTTAACTTTTCTCTCTCTAAAAGATCATGGTCAAATCATGTGAAAAAATCACTAGTGTTCCTATAGACCACTAACAGTCAAGCCGAGAGCCAAATCAGGAACTCAATCTCATTCTCAATTGCCACAAAAAAGTAAAATACCTAGGAATACAGGTAACCAGGAAGGTGAAAGACCTCTACAAGGAGAACTACAAAACACTGCTGAAAGAAATTAGAGATGAAGACCTGGCATGCTGGCTCATGCCTGTAATCCCAGCACTTTGGGAGGCCAAGGGGGGTGGATCACCTGAGGTCAGGAGTTCAAGACTAGCCTAGCCAACATGGTGAAATCCCATCTCTACTAAAAATACAAAAAATTAGCTGGGCATGGTGGCACATTCCTGTAATCCCAGCTATTTGAGAGGCTGAGGCATGAGAACCACCTGAACCTGGCGGGTGGAGGTTGCAGTGAGCTGAGATCGTGCCATTGCACTCCAGTCTGGGCGACAAGAGTGAAACTCCATCTCAAAAAAAAAAAAAAAAAATCACTGATGATACAAATAAATGAGAAAACATTTCATGCTCATGGATAGGAAGAATCAACATTGTTAAAATGGCCATACTGCCCATAGCAATTTATAAATTAAATGCTATTCCTATTAAACTACCATTAACATTCTTCACAGAACTAGAGAAAAAGATTTTAAAATTCATATGGAACCAAAAAAGAGCCAGAATAGCAAAGGGAATCTTAAGCAAAAAGAACAAAGCTGGAGGCATCACACTATCCAACTTCAAACTACACTACAAGGGCTACAGTAATCAAAACAGCATGGTACTCATACAAAAACAGATACATAGACTAATGGAACAGAACAGAGAACCCAGAAATAAGGCTGCACACTTACAACAATCTGATCTTTGACAGACCTGACAAAAACGAACAATGGGGGAAGATTCCTTATTCAATAAATGGTGCTAGGATAACCGGCTACCCACATGCAGAATTGAAACTAGACCGCTTCCTTACGCCATATGCAAAAATCAATTCAAGATGGGTCAAAGACTTAAATGTGGAACCCAAAACTATATAAACCTTGGAAGACAACCTAGGCAATACCATTCTGGACATAGGAATGGGGTAAGATTTCATAATGAAGACACAAATAGCAATCACAACAAAAGCAAAAATTGACAAGTGGGATCTAATTAAACTAAAGAGCTGCACAACAAAGGAAAGTATCAACAGAGTGAACAACCTACAGAATGGGAGAAAATTTTTGCAAACTATGCATCTGACAAAGGTCTAATATTCAGCATCTACAAGAACTTAAAAAAATTTATAAGCAAAAAACAAACAACCCCATTAAAAATTGGGCAAAGGGGCTGGGCATGGTGGCTCATGTCAGCACTTTGGGAGGCCGAGGTGGGCACACTGCTTGAGCCCAGGAGTTCGAGACCAACCTACCAACATGGCAAAACTCTTGTCTCTACAAAAATACAAAAATTAGCTGAGAGTGGTGGTGCTTGCCAGCACCACTTTCTTTCTTTTCGCTTTCTATCTTTCTCTTTCTTTCTTTCTTTTTCTTTCCTTCCTTCCTTCTCTCTCTCTTTCCTTCCTTCTTTCTTTCTCTTTCTTTCTTTCTTTTTCTTTCTTTCTTTCCTCCTTCCTTCCTTCCTTCACTTGCCTTCCTTCCTTCCTTCCTTCCTTCTTCTTTTTCTTTCTTTTTTTCTTAACAGGGTCTTGCTCTCTTGCTCTCAATCCCAAAGTGCTGGGATTACAGATGTGAACCACTGCACTCAGCCTCCTTCCCTATTTTTATTTTTTAAGAGTTAAGGATTTATGGGTCTAGAGGGTGGCATCTTGCACAATACATGCCTTTGGCTCCATGCTCCCCCTCACCCGCTATCTATTACTGAGTTTTCTTCTCAGATGAGAAAGGACAAAGGATCTAGTCCTGGTGCTGTACTAGCACCAACTGGTGCAGGAGATATTTACTGATTCTTCTGTGTCCAGCACCACCGAGAGCTCCTGAGAAAGACCGAAAGATTTTCTATCCATACTAAACATGCACACATATAATTATGGCAACATCCTTTCTCTCAAAGAGTTTATAACTTGCTCTATATAAAAAGCATATTAAACAAGTACATGAAGTGTTCATTGTTAGTAAATATGAAAGGATCTAGAACAGGATTATAGGCTAGAATTGTTACCAGTGGCAAATCCCTATGGGCCTGCAGCAACCTTAATTCTTGCCTCCTCAGAAGAAAGAATTAGACTGAGGGTCATAAGGCAGAAGGAGAGACCGAGGCAAGTGTTAGAGCAGGAGTGAAAGTTTATTATAAAGTTTTAGAGCAGGAATGAAAGAAAGTAAAATACATTTGGAAGAGGGCCAAGTGGGCGACTTGGGAGATCAA
The DNA here is from genome assembly GCF_000001405.40 of Homo sapiens. Lineage (NCBI taxonomy): Eukaryota > Metazoa > Chordata > Mammalia > Primates > Hominidae > Homo > Homo sapiens. The sequence continues at coordinate 56,830,915 of NC_000012.12, forward strand.
GCACATGGTTTGACTGACTTAGGGTTTTATATATTGGCATATTTCCAGGGTCTTACATTTCTTCTCCCCGATTCTTCCCTTGGGACTCCTAGCACTTGGGAGGGGCCACATGTGCAGGGTATTTACTGGAGTTGTAGGCATACTGACTTGAGGTAATTTTGCCTTACCAGTCCAGTGTTCCTAGAGGAAGGTCATCTGCTGTTTTGCCTCTTAGTGTTCATGCGTGAGCCCACTTGCCCAACTCCTGAGATCTAATTGGGAAGCTGCTGATCACCAGTTTTAGGTACTTCTATCTATTGGAAGACTACCTTTCCCTGGTGCTGGCTGTGACTAATTATTTTTCAGATTTTCAGAGAGACAGTCTGACAACTGCCTGACCATCACCTGATTGTTGCCTGACATTCCTGGTGGTAATGGGGGGTGGCCCTCTGTTGCCCTGCTCATGTCTGATTAGCTACCTACTGTATTTTCCCCCTCAAGAGTCCAAGACCTCAATTCTTTGGGGGAAAATGGACAAAGGTCAGTCTTCCGTAACTGCTTCCTGCTGACAGAGGGGTGGGGGTGGTTGTTCTGTGGGTCTTGGCCTCTTGCTAGCTGTCAGGGCAGGGTGGCTCTGTAGTTTGGTGAAAACAGTATCCAGCCAGGTCCACAGGAGACAGTGTCAGGGTTTCACCTCTGTCGTGTCCCACTGATGGGCAGTTTAGGGGTCCCCTGCAGAAGGATGACTCTTGAATATTGAGAGGACGGTATCCCTCACTGAGGATCATCTGGAGTTGGATGGCCTATCCCTCTTGTTTTTTCTGAGCTGCAGCCAGAGACCACTGGTTGGTTCACAGGAATAAGCAGGGTCAATCTAAATTGCAGACAAAAACTGAAAAACAACTAATGAGACTAGAGTCTAATAACAGGTGTACCATAGTTCTTGAGTCATAATTTTTCTCTCTCCAGTCCTCATTTTTATTAAAAACAAATAATGATAGGACTAATTTGTTTGCAAAATAAGTTTTAGCTTTATTCTACTTGGCTTATTTGCATAAAGCACAACAAGAATAATTATTTGCCATTTAGGCTCCTTTTTAAATCGGCTTTGATGGAACTTTGTTCTGTAAGGAATCCCGGATGAGACTTTTTAAAACCCTTAAGCCTAGCCATGGGTTGATGACATCAAATACCTGTATGAGTTGGGTAAATTCCTCTCCTCTTGAGGTATCAAGATAACTTGAGACTCTTGGGCCTGTTACAAAGTGAGATTCTTTACTTACTACAGGTCAGGAGCCCTGTACAGGGACTGTGTAGACAAGGTATGAGGCCAGTTTTCCCAAGGGACTTTTATTGGCTCAATAAGTCAAATTTGATTCCTTAAAGGAAAGCATGCCATTCTAGTCAAAGCCTTGGTAAAATAAGCAGTGTCTCCAATTGTGTCCGGATACGAAAAAAACAGATTCTTATTGCACTTATGCAAATAACTATATTAATGTAAGTTAATAATACTCACAAATAGTTTTCAAATTTTGGGGAAAAATGATAGAGAGAAATATGCTCCAAATTTTGTTTATAGGAGTATACTTTACTCAATTGTTAAAAGCTGTAAATAGCTCATGAGAAAAGTTTTCTTGGCTTTGAAAAACAAAGGATTAGCAATATTTTGAGCAAAAAGTCATAAAATGTTTATTTTAGTCTTTTATTAGTTTAGTTCATGCAGTTAACTCCTGTTCTGCTTGATATTCATGAACATTTCAGCTTTCCATGAGCATCCTGAAAGTTTTCCCTTTATTCTAATGTCACAATCTCCAAAGTTATCAGAAACCTGCATTTAAGAGCAACTGTAAGGCCATGCACATGGCTCACCCCTGTAATCCCAGTACATCAGGAGGCTGAGGTGGGTGGATCACCTGAGATCAGGAGTTTGAGACCAGCCTGGCCAACATAGTGAAACCCTGTCTCTACTAAAAATACAAAAATTAGCCAGATGTGGTGGTGCGTGCCTGTAGTCCCAACTACTCAGGAGGTTGAGGCAGAAGAAGCACTTGAACCTGGGAGGCGGACGTTGCAGTGAGCTGAGATCATACCACTGCCCTCCAGTCTGGGCAACAGAGTGAGACTCTGTCACACACACACACACACACACACACACACAGAGCACCTGTTCGAGTCCTATAGCTGATTATGAAACCACCTTTTAAAAAGTATTAAAACAAGACAACAATTTTATGTCGATGACAAAAAGTCTTAGGGCAGCCATATTTAAAGGCACAATTGACAAGGAAATTTGTTACCTCTGTGGCACACAATAATTTAACAGAACAATCATAATTATTACTGATAACATATACTGTTGTATTAGAATTATAGAAGTTTCACATAATTTTGGAGCACATACCAATAAGACATTTATACAAATGCAGCCCCAAGAAAGCCAGATACTACCTTGCATTAGTGTACATTGATGTCAAACCCAGTTCTTAATAAAACCTTATAGACAAATCTATCCAATCTTAATCAGTTTGAACATAAGGTAATATTCTCATAAACCTTTTATAACCCTTTACAATTTTCTGTTAAAGAGCAGAACAATGCTGTAAGAGTTGTATGCATGCTCACTTGAGGCATTTTTCCCTTCTCAGTCCATGTTGTGCTTTTATTCCAATGTTTGATTTATGGATAAACTGAATAATACCCCTATAATTTAGGTAGTATGTTCACATACAGAATTTCTTTTTCAAGATTAATCTTTCATAAACCTTCCAAAACTTGCTTAAACCTTCAGCTTTATCCTAACTTAAAACAATCCTTTAACCCTCTAAACTTAGGCAAAAAAAAAAAAAAAATCCACATTCCCATGCCTTCTCATAATCTTTTACCAAAAACACATTCTATTTTCCTTATACTCCTTGCATGAAAAGCTGTTTTTCCAGTAGTCTCAAGTACATGTTTCACTGTTAACTCTTAGTAACTTTTACTTTTGGTGAAAAACCTGGTGCGATTTTAATTATATGTGGCACCCAGGACACCAGACAGAAGTGCAGATACAGTCGGATTCTTTCCAGCATAGCTGGGGGGCGTGGCTAACTCTGCATGTCCCCAGGCTTTACCTACTTTTAGAGCAGGCAAGTTGCACAGTTAAGAGTAATAACAGTGGTTTATGAAGCATGTAGAGGGCCTAATAACTTTTAAAATTGTATAACATTTCTTTCATAAATTCCCTTTCAAGAATCTTTTTCATGACTCACACAGACTAATTATGACATCCCTGGTCTTTCTGACTTGTCCTAAGCATCCCTCTGTTTAAACAACCAGTTATTTTACTTTAGGACAATAATTTACCATACCAGATCCTTTTTCATACACAACCTCTTTATAACCTTCCTTACAAAAAATACCTCTTTACTTTATCTTTTAATAAAACAAATCATTTTCCCTCTGTTAGAAAGTTAAGATTTGTACTGTATGTTGCTGTGTGGGTCCTGTGAAGGGGGAGCAGATAAGAGGTTATCTACGTACAGTAGAAGTTATCCCCCCTCAAGAGACTGCTCAGTTAGATTTTTGCTTAGGCTTGTCCGATTTAGTGTGGGCTATGTCTAAACCCCTGAGGCAGGACTGTGTAGGATGAAGTTTTTGATTAAAGATTTAGGTAGCTTTCCCAGGAGAAATAGGGCTACAACAGGGGTGTCCAATCTTTTGGTTTCCCTGGGCCACACTGGAAGAATTGTCTTGGGCCACACATAAAATACACTAACACTAATGATAGCTGATGAGCTAAAAAAAAAAAAAAGCAAAAATATAATGTTTTTTAAAAGTTTACAAATTTGTGTTAGGCCACATTCAAAGCTGTCCTGGCTGTATGTGGCCTATGGGCTATGGGTTGTACAAGCTTGGGCTAGAGGGAAAGATGAATTCAAAGGTTGGGTAAATACTAAGTAAGCACCCATCTTGGAAAGTATATTTTTGCCCAAAGGGGTGTGAATCTTTTCTTTTGGAGGGAGGAGGTGCCATTTGCCCCCATTACCTGACTGGATTTGGAGGAGAGCTGCTCAGAGGAGATTAGGACAGAGTAGGCAAGTCTTGAACCCAAAAGGGAAATTTATAATTTTACTTGCTGTCTCCAGAGTTGCCCTTGGCTTTATTCTGTTGATGACGATGTCTGATTCGGAAGCCAGCCAGAGTGGAGAGCCCTTTCAGCTCAAGGCCATCAAAGGTTGGGATCTTGTCCCAGGGGCTCTTCAGCCCTCAGTGTAGTCCCATTCCAGTGGCTGAGCTTGTGGCAGAGGGAACAAGCCTAGAGGGGCTTTTTTCCCATTTATCCCATTGGGGAAGTTTGCCTTCTGATGCCTTGGCTCCCCACACCAATGGCAGTTACCTGGGAGGGTATTCTGAGGGCAATCTGGAGGGGACTGGAGAGCTTGTAAATCAGCCAACAGCTGAGCCTGCCCCTTGTCCCTGTTTTTTTTTTCTTTTTCTTAGCCCTGTCCTCCTTATTCTGCAGTCAGTTATGAAAGACTGAGGAGGTTAATTTGCGGATTTCCTGCATAAGGGCACTGGGTTCTAAGGCTGACTTTTGTAATTTTCTGTCAGTTCATTTTTAGGCCAAACAGTATTATAAAGGAAAATGAGTTTTTGTTTTTTGTTTTTTGTTTTTTTTTAGGTTTGGGGGAATCAAACTTTTCCCAGTTTTTGGGGATGCATCCGAGGGACGTGTCCTGTGGTATGATGATGCGATTACCCATCTGCAAAGAGAAAACAGAGAAGAACAAAAAAGGAAAAAAGGAAAAAGAAGGCATACCCTTTTACTTTCCTTCTATCCTGAATAGGGCAACCCCCATTAACCCTTAGGGTTCTGGAATGAACTGGTCTCAGTGTGTACCCTTAACCTTGGTCCCGTCTCATCACAATTACCCACTTGAGAACAGAGGAGACACTGGAGTGAACAGTGGGCCCCCGGTTAATCCTTGGGGTTCTGAAATGAACCAGTCTTACTATGTACCCCTAAACTTGCCTGCATCTCTGTTCTAATGGTAATCTGTTAGCCTGGGACGAACCTTCATCTTTGTCCTATGGGTCTGTTGTACCTGCAGCCTTAGGCTGTCCTATAGCCTTATCTCTATGACCTTATAGTGACTCTCATTTGGAGCATTCTAGCAACAAAATGATAACCTCTTTTCTCAGATTCCTATTTCCCATATTTTTTTTTTAGCTAACTGCTTCAAGGGGGCTGGACTTCCCTCCCTTCTAATATGACCTTGGAGGTCTTGATGCATATTGAGAAGGGCATGGAACTAATTAGAGAAATGGAGGCTACAGGAGGAAGTGGGAGGAAGTGAGAAGAATACTCATGGAAAGCCTTCATATGTTTGTAAAAACAGCGGCCCTTGAATTCCTGAGGGCAACATTTATTTGCCCTCTTGACATAAAGTAGTAACCTCCAGAGGACTTGGGACTTGGAGTAAGAAATCACAAATGGCAAAGAAAGAATTTCCCCTCCTCCCAAAAGGGTGCAAAGTCAAAAAAAGCAAGTACATGGGATCCTTAAAAGACCACAGAGTGAGGTCCCGTACAGACAAACTGCTTCAAGAGCCACAGGAAAACTTGGCCCTGGGGCATAACAGGAATGAAAAGCATGTGTTAAGTCATAAGGAGCTGGCAGACCTGGGGTTCCAGTTAGTGTCTGTCCTGGCAATGTGCCAGCAGACGGAGAACAGTTTGAGGTCATCCAAGCTGGTAGGGTGAAAACAAGTATAAATCTCAGGGGATATCCTCAAGGGAGCCCGTGTCTTTGTGGCCATGCAGATGCAGCAAGAGCTGTGGGTGCACAAATAACAGGGATTGTGTGTTTAAGAAGTCAGATGGCATGTGAATTGAAAGTAAAGAGGCAGACTTGCCCCCAGGGAGTACAATCCAGTGGGTGCACAAGGCCATTTCAGAATACACATGGAGAAAACAGAAAAGGCAGTGTGGGTTCTTGGGAAAGAGGTGATTTTAGTTGAAAAAGCAGAGAAGACCCCAGACATTGCATGGTTTTAGCTTTAGCCCTACCACTCTTGTGCACCTCCTGTCCTGGAGGACCATTAGGTTCTCCTTCTACTCAATGTGGACCCCAAGGTCCTTCCCACCCCATGAGCCACCCATCAGGTGAGCTGAGAGATCAACTAGGGGGAGCAGAGCCACTTGTGGCTGAGAGGAATCATTCTGGGGGTTTGTTAGTAAGCAGGAGAGCAAAAGGGAAAAAGGAAACCACGTACGGGGATTGAATGCTTCAAGCCAAAGAAGGAGAGGCATAGAGGTGTCTTACCACCAGGAAATGACATGAGTCACGTGGCACCAAAGTATGTTAGCAGCAGAGCATATCTGAGTCACGGCAACAACTTATGTTACTGGCAGTGAATCCATATGGGTCTGCAGCAACCTCAATTCTTGCCTCCTCAGAGGAAAGAATTTGACTGAGGGGCATAAGGCAGAGGGAGAGACTGAGGCAAGTCTTAGAGCAGGAGTGAAAGTTTATTACAAAGCTTTAGAGCACGAATGAAAGGAAGTAAAGTACGCTTGGAAGAGGGCCAATCATCGACCTGAGAGATCAAGCACATGGTTTGACTGGGGTTTTATATGTTGGCATACCTCTGGGATCTTGCTGTCCTTCTCTCCTGATTCTTCCCTTGGGATGGGCTCTCTGCATACACAGTGGACTGCTAGCACTTGGGAGAGGCCACATGTGCAGCGTGTTTGCTGGAGTTGTAGGCACGCTCATATGAGGTGTTTTTCCCTTACCAGTCCAGTGTTCCTAGAGGAAGGTTGTCTGCCATTTTGCCTCTTAGGGTGCATTCTTGAGCCTACTTGCCTAATCCTGAGATCTTATTGGGAAGCTGCTAATTACTAGGTTTGGGTGTTTCTATCTATTGGGAGGTTGCTTTCGCTGGTGCTGGCTGTGACCAATTATTTTTTAGAGACAATGCAACAACTGCCTGACCATCACCTGATTATTGCCTGACATTCCTGGTGGTGGGGGCTGAGAGTGGCCCTCTCCTGCCCTGCTCACCTCTGACTAGCTACCTACTGTAACAGAATCATCATGGAGGTGTTCAAGGAGGGAATTGCCTTTAAAAAGAGGGTTAGGTTCAGAGAGGAGGAAAAAGTTGGGCAAGGTGAACCTAGGAAGCTGCCAGTACCAGCAAGTTGGGATTTAGGTCCTCAAGGTGTAATGGGATTATTTCTGAAAACAAGGAGGGTTATGACTTTGTGAAACTCTTCAATCTTTAGTCAGTTAGTCAGATTTATATCTGAGATAGCAGAGGTCCTTTTTCGTCTGAGTTTTATTCCTATAAAAGGGAGAGGAAGAGGAGAGAAATAAAGAAGCATTTCTAGCATGGCCACTTTACTGTAGGCTCTGTGTCTAGGAAATTTTCAAGGATCCACAAAATTTCTTTTGGTTCTCAAACATTATTTTCTCCAGATTATAAGGACAATAGCAAAATAAAAAACACTGATTTGAGTGTAATTAGAATATATCAACCTCATTAGTTGATTAAATTTGTTCCTAAACATTATGGCATTTAAAAATAAATTATAGATTAGTTATCATTACCTGAAACAAATTCCTGATCCTGCAAGATGAAAAGTGATAAGTAATTATGTTAAAACAAATTAATGGTAGCCAAGTAATTTTCAGTGAACTAGTGATAGCCACATTTTAAAAAGATTTTGTTTTTGTTTATTAAAAACTATCACACAGTTTTATTTATGAGGCATTAGAATCTTCAGCTGTTTGAGCATGCCAGGGGGGTAATCCACGTGGGTAGAAAGCTAGCCAGGCGGGAGCAAAGACAGAAGGGATTCCATTTTCCCGGCCTTTTTTTGGCCTTAGTTTGTTGCCAAGTAAATCAGAAACCTAAGAAAAACAGATTAAGCGGTTTCCTTGTGAGTTTTAACCACAAATCTATGCTGCTGTCAAGAGCTGTAAGAAGGCTTTGCTTGCTCAAATCTCAAAAGGAAGACATTTTACTTTCCTCAAACAGAAATAGTCCCAGGGCTAAAATATTCACTTCCTTTGGTCATGCCTGGACCCAAGGCCCCGGGGACGGGAGGACTCCAGGGTCAGGGAGAGAATATTAATTCCCTATTTCCTTTCAAAATTTGGAGCAGAAGGGATATGTGCAGGAGGGAAATGCAAGATAACTACAGATTGAATTCTAAAGAAGGCAAGTCCTTGTGCTGCTCACCAACCTCCCTCTCCTGCACTCACCCCTCTCAATGCCCTGCCCTGATCCTTGAGAAAGTAAATATTAATTTGAACAGAGAAAGTATCTTTCTGGCTGGCCAAAGGGTTTTTTGAAGGACATGCTGCAACTGTAAAGTGTCTTAACGACCTCTTTCTTTGAGTGACTATAGACTTTTTACTCACTGAGAAATCTTGTTCTGTAAAAGCAAAGACTATCAAACACTTCAGTGTTTAAAATTCTATTGTAAGAGGCCAGGTATGGTGACTCACATCTATAATCCCAGCACTTTGGGAGGCCAAGGTGGGAGGATGGCTTGAGGCAAGAAGTTTGAGACCAGTTTGGGGAATAAAGCAAAACCTCATGTCTAAAAAAATTATATCATAAAAATGAATATCCCACCCTTGCCTGAGTCACTTTGACACAGAAGCAGCCTCATTATATAACCCAGGTGCAGAACTTTAGATAGGGGTTGCTGGAAACATTTCACATCTAAACTGTGCTTTCTAATGAAACAAGACCTTGGGACCATTTTGTAATCCAGACCTGGAGTTGATCTCTTTTCACAGAGCCCTGCTTTGCTTGGAGTCTATCAAGAAATTGCTTCATCTCCATATCCTATAATAATTCTCTTTTCCTTTGATCAGACAACCCATGAGTCCCCTGGTATGCAGTCTTCCTCATGGCAATAGGACAAAAGACCTGACTTTGTTGGACCTTAAGTTTATTCCTGGTGCCTCAGGCTGATTAGGAGACCTTTTGGCTTCAGCCTCTCCCTGTGGGGTTTTCTGTCCCTCACCCCTCAGAGGACTTGTGTAGGATGCCAGCTGGCCCTGAGGCCTGTGCCACATTGATGCAAGGATGAGAGTCAAGATCTGCCATGATAAGTCAAGGGAATGTGTAAAATGGCATGTTGGAACTCAGCTGCAGCTGGTCCTGCTGTCCTGCTCGGTGTACCCCCCAGCCACCAGAGGGCCCCAAATGGCCTGCTTTGGAGTTTCTCCAGCAATCATTGAAATTTGGCTCTTGTCTTACAGTCTTTGGTTAGGCTCACAAAGTTTCTGCCAATTCCCTGGGCTGCTTCAAAAACTCTAGCTTACAACTGATGGTAGGAAAACAACACCTAGAAAAACACAGACCATGCCTTAGTGATCAGAATATAGATGTGATTTGATTGCCTCATACTAAGACTCAGCTAGGGGTACTTTTTGAATAATAAAACTTATTAAGAATCCCCCTCGATTAATCAGGTCTTTCTCATCTTATGATTAAGTAAGCTTGGAAAACACTGATTTACACAAGTGATCCACCCTCAGTAAGGCAAAATAAAATGTAGACAGTGTAATTACCTCCTGCTTTAAAGGATGCAGCTAAGAATCCTTTTGTGAAGTAAGTTTCTCCAAATAAGAGTGAAAAAGAATAAGCACCTCTTATTTACTAAGTTAGCATTTTCATGCCCTGGATTTTTGAGGGCCACTGTTCTTGCAGTTTGCTTTCTATACCAGTTTCTATACCTTTATTATCTATACCTCCCTATCTTTCATTCATTCCCTCCTTCTACCCAGATATATACACGTACCACACAACCTGAATATTTCAGAGCAATCTTGATTCCAAGCATTCATTCACTGTTCTCATAAAAATGCTTGTATTTGTCAGTCCTAAGAACAGTCATCATTCATAATGTATCTGTCAGCAATGAAAACACATCCCCAGTATATGCCTAAGCTAACCCCTAATATTTTGTACCTGGAACATTATCTGGCTAACCAGAGACATTGAGGACAAAGCAATTTGTCTGAAGGACAGACTCCCCCACTGCCCCCGCCATCCATCCCCTGCACTGTACTCTGTCCCCCATGCATCCTTCACTCCCTGGGTGGCTGCAGCGATATTCTCTGTCTTGGTGATGTCCAGGGTCACCGTCTCCAGCCTGTCTGAAGTCTGGCCCCTCAGCTGCTCTGCCTCCTTCTCCATCAGACACATAGCCAGCACCCTCAAGCTTTGCGTATCCAGCTGTCTTGCCAGCAGATTCCCGAAGCCCGAGTCACAGCCCATGATGAAGCAGTTATCTCAAGGGAGGCTCACCACCTGTCTCTCCCACTACCAGCGCAGAAGGTAGTACAGGCCCACGAGGGCTATCAGGGAGAGTCCCATGGCAGGGGTCTCTCCTTCACCTTGGGAAAGAAAGAAAATCTTCTAAACCTTAAAAAGTATGTTCTCTGACCACAATGGAATTAAATTAGGAATAAATAACAGAAAAGTATCCAAAAAATCTCCCAGTAGTTGGAAAATTACAAAATATTTGGCTAAATGATACATGCATGGATTAAAAAAGAAATACAAAGAAAAATTAGAATATATTTCAACTGAGTGAAAATGAAAATGTGGTACATTAAAGTTTGTGGAGTGGGGCTAAGCTGTGCTTAGAGAGAAATTTATAACACTAAATGCCTATATTAGAAAAGAAGAAAGGTTTCTTTTTTTAACATTTATTTTAAGATCGGGGTACACGTGAAGGATTGTTACATAGGTAAACGTGTATCATGGGGTTTGTTGTGTAGATTATTTCATCACCCAGGTATTAAGGCTAGTACCCATTAGTTATTTTTCTTGATCCTCTCCCTATCCCCACCCTCAACCCTCTGATAGACCCCAGTGTTCATTGTTCCCCTCTATATATCCATGTGTTCTCATCATTTAGCTTCCACTTATAAATGAGAACATGTAGTATTTGGTTTTCTGTTCCTGCATTAGTCTGCTAAGGATAATGACCTCCAATTCCATCCATGTCCCTGCAAAGGACGTGATTTCATTCTTTTGAATGGCTACATAGTATTCCATTGTGTTTATGTACCACATTCTTTATCCAGTCTATCATTGATGGGCATTTAGGTTGATTCCATCTCTTTGCTATTGTGAATAGTGCTGGAATGAACATATGCATGTATGTGTCTTTATGATAGAGTAACTTACATTCCTTTGGGTATATACCCAGTAATGGGATTTCTGGGTTGAATGGTAGTTCTGTCTTTAGGTCTTTAAGGAATTGCCACACTGTTTTCTGTAACGGTTGAACTAATTTACACTCCCAACAGTGTATAGGTGTTTTTCTCTACAACCTTCCCAGCATCTGTTATTTTTCGACTTTTTAATACCAGCCATTCAGACTGGTGTGAAATGGTATCTCATTGTGGTTTTGATTTGCATTTCTCTAATGATCAGTGATGTCGAGCTTTTTTTTCCATATGCTTTTTGGCCACATGTTATGTCTTCTTTTGAAAAGTGTCTTTTCATGTCCTTTGTCCACTTTTTAATGTTTTTTTTCCCTTGTAAATTGGTTTAAGTTTCTTATAGGTGCTAGATATTAGATCTTTGCCAGACGCATAGTTTGCAAAACTTTTCTCCCATTCTGTAGGTTGTCTGTTTACTCTGTTGATATTTTTTTTTCTTACTTTCTTTCTTTTTCTTTTCTTTCTCTCTTTTTTCTTTTTTTTTTTTGAGACAAGAGTCTCACGCTGTCACCCAGGCTGGAGTGCAGTGGCACAATTTCAGCTCACTGCAGCCTCTGCCTCCTGGGTTGAAGCAATTCTCATGCCTCAGCCTCCTGAGTAGCTGGGACTACAGGCAGGCACCAGCATCCCTGGCTAATTTTTTTCTTTTTTTTTGGAGATGGAGTTTTGCTCTGTTGCCCAGACTGGTGTGCAGTGGCACGATCTCTACTCACTGCAACCTCCACCTCCCAGGTTCAAGCAATTCTCCTGCTTCAGCCTCTCGAGTAGCTGGGATTACAGTCACATGCCAACACACCCGGCTAATTTTTTATATTTTTGGTAGAGATGGGGTTTCGCCATGTTGGCCAGGCTGGTCTCAAACTCCTGACCTCAGGGAATCTGCCCACCTCGGCCTCCCAAAGTGTTGGGATTACAGGTGTGAGCCACCACGCTTGGCCCAATTTACTTTTAATCTATATATGTTTTTATATAAAAAGTGGGTTTCTTGTAGACAGACTACTGGTTGGGTCCTGTTTTTCTATTTCCTCAGACAAACCCTGTTAATTAATTGGTCTATTTAGACTATTGACATTCAAAGGGATTATTGACATAATTGAATTAGTATCTATCATATTTTTTGCTGTTTTCTATTTGTTGCTCTTGTTCTTTTTTCCTATTTTTGTCTTCTATTGTTTTTTCTGTCTTTTGTGGTTTTAATTGAGCATTTTATATGACTCTATTTTTTTTCTACTTTTTAAGCATATCAGTTGTACTTCTTTCTAAACTTTTTTTTTTTTTTGAGACGGTGTCTTGCTCTGTCGCCCAGGCTGGAGTGCAGTGGCGCAATCTCAGCTCAATGCAAGCTCTGCCTCCCCGGTTCATGCCATTCTCCTGCCTCAACCTCCTTAGTAGCTGGGACTACAGGCGCCTGCCACCATACCCGGCTAATTTTTTGTATTTTTAGTAGAGACGGGGTTTTGCTGTGTTAGCCAGGATGGTCTTGATCTCCTGATCTCGTGATCCGCTCGCCTCGGCCTCCCAAAGTGTTGGGATTACAGGCATGAAGCCACCGTGCCCAGCCTTAAAATTTTTTAGTTTAGTGGTTGCCCTAGAGTTTGCAATGTATATTTACAATTAATCCAAGTCCACTTTCAAATAACACTATACCACTTCATGGGTAGTGTGAGTAACAAAATAACAAAATAATAACAAAATAATTCTAATTCCTCTCTCCTGTCCCCTCTGAATCATTGCTGTCATTCATTTCACTTATACATATATGTTCTGTACATATGTGTGTATATTTATGTAGACACACACACATGCACACCCCCCCACACACACAATCATCCCTCAGTAACCACAGGAGATTGTTTCCAGGACCCCCTGGCCAATACCAAAATCTGCAGATGCTCAAATCCCTTATACAAATTGGCATAGTTTTTGCATATAGCCTATGTACATCCTCCTGTATTTTAACCTCCTGTAAATTATTATACTGTACTGTTTTAAAATCTGTATTATTTTTATTGTTGCATTGTTATTTTTAATTTTTTTTGAAAAACAATTTTTTCAGTCAAGGTCTTGCTCTGTCATCCAGGCTGGAGTGCAGTGGCATGATCATGGCTTACTTTAGTCTCAGACTCCTGAGCTTAAATGATCCTCCCACCTCAGCTTTTCAAGTAGCTGGGACTACAGGGGTGCACCACCACACCTAGCTAACTTTTTATTTTGTAGAGACTGGGACTTGCTATGTTGCTCAGGGTGGTCTTGAACTCCTAGCGTCAAGTGATCCTCCCGTGTACACTGGCCTCCCAAAGCACTTGAGATTAAAGGTGTGAGCCACTGTGCCTGGCCTTCTTTTTTGTGTGTGAATATTTTTGATCCACAGTTGGTTGAATCCACTAACGGGGAACCCACAGGTATGGGAGTATAATATATGTGTGTGTATGTGTGTATGTAAAATCAAATACATTGCTGCTATTATTATTTTGAACAAACTGTTACATCAATTAAGAATAAAATTATTTATTTTACTTTCACTTATTCCTTTTCTGATGCTCTTCTCTTCTTTATGTATTTTCAATTTTATTTTATTTTATTTTTTTGCTTTTTCCATGTAAGCCTTCCTGCACAACACTTCTTTATGTAGGTCTGAGTTCTGAACCAGAAGTTCTTGGTCTTCTATATTGATCTTATTTTTCTATGAAGACTGAATTCCTTATTTCTATACATGTGGTTGAAAATGTCTACCCTATCTGAAGAATCAATATCATGAAAATGGCCATACTGCCCAAGATAATTTATAGATTCAATGCTATCCCCATCAAGCTACCACTGACTTTCTTCATAGAATTGGAAAAAACTACTTTAAATTTCATATGGAACCAAAAAAGAGCCTGCATAGCCAAGACAATCCTAAGCAAAAAGAACAAAGCTGGAGGCATCATGCTACCTGACTTCAAACTACACTACAAGGCTACAGTAACCAAAACAGCATGGTATTGGTACCAAAACAGAGAGATAGACCAATGGAACAGAACAGAGGCCTCAGAAATAACACCACACATCTACAACCATCTGATCTTTGACAAACCTGACAAAAACAAGCAATGGGGAAAGGATTCGCTATTTAATAATTATTGCTGGGAAAACTCGCTAGCCATATGTAGAAAGCTGAAACTGGATCCCTTCCTTACACCTTACACAAAAATTAACTCAAGGTGGATTAAAGCCTTAAATGTAAGACCTAAAACCATAAAAACCCTAGAAGCAAACGTAGGCAATACCATTCAGGACATAGGCATGGGCAAGGACTTCATGGCTAAAACACCAAAAGCAGTGGTAACAAAAGCCAAAATAGAAAAATGGGATCTAATTAAACTAAAGAACTTCTGCACAGCAAAAGAAACAGAGAGAACAGGCAACCTACAGAATGGGAGAAAATTTTTGCAATCTATCCATCTGACAAAGGGCTAATATCCAGAATCTACAAAAAACTTAAACAAATTTACAAGAAAAAAACAACCCCATCAAAAAGTGGGCAAAGGATATGAACAGACGCTTCTCAAAAGAAGACTTTTATGCAGCCAACAGACATATGAAGAAAAGCTCCTCATCACTGGTCATTAGAGAAATGCAAATCAAAACCACAGTGAGATACCACCTCATGCCAGTTAGAATGGCGATCATTAAAAAGTAAGGAAACAACAGGTACTGGAGAGGATGTGGAGAAATAGGAATGCTTTTACACTGTTGGTGGGAGTGTAAATTAGTTCAACCATTGTGGAAGACAGTGTGATTATTCCTCAAGGATCTAGAACTAGAAATACCATTTGACCCAGCAATCTCATTCCTGGGTATATACCCAAAGGATGATAAATCATGCTACTATAAAGACACATGCACACATATGTTTATTGTGGCACTATTCACAATAGCAAAGACTTGGAACCAACCCAAATGTCCATCAGTAATAGACTGGATAAAGAAAATGTGGCACATATACACCATGGAATACTATGCAGCCATAAAAAAGGATGAGTTCATGTCCTTTGCAGGGACATGGATGAAGCTGGAAACCATCATTCTCAGCAAAATATCACAAGGACAGAAAACCAAACACTGCATGTTCTCACTCATAAGTGGGAGTTGAACAATGAGAACACATGGATACAGGGAGGGGAGCATCACACACCGGGGCCTGTTGGGGGGTGGGGGGCTGGGGGAGGGATAGCGTTAGGAGAAATACCTAATGTAAATGACGAGTTGATGGGTGCAGCAAACCAACATGGCATATGTATACCTATGTAACAAATCTGCATGTTATGCACATGTACCCTAGAACTTAAAGTATAATAATAATAATAGAGAAAATGTGCACCCTATCCGTACTTGGTCTCCAAGTTCAATAACTCAGCAGAGAATTAACAAGCGGCTCTGAGTCCCAATTCCAATTTCCAGATAATACGATAGGCTAACCAGGATCAATTCTACCTTTATCTGATAAACTGTGGTCAAAGGGATGGGAACATATGGCCCACTATCCACTCAGCAGACACAATGTGAGCACATCAAAGTAGGAGGGGCAAAATCTATCGAGAGGGGGTTATATGACACAAATATCTGGCACTTGGCATTTTTTTTTCATAGAATAATATAAATCATGCATATTCTGGACTAAAATCAAGTTGTTCTAAAATATGTTTATTTTTCTCTGATTATAAAATCTAACTCATTGTAGAAATTGTGAAGACTATAGATAATGTATTAGTCCATTTTCACACTGCTGTAAAGATAATATCTGAGACTGGGTAATTTATAAAGGAAAGAGGTTTAATTGACTCACAGTTCCACATGGCTAGGGAGGCCTCAGGAAACTTACAATCATGGTGGAATGCAAAGGGGGAAGCAAGCATAGGCAGCAGGAGAGAAAAGTGAGTGGGTGAGGAAATGCCATACTTTTAAAACCATCAGATCTTGTGAGAATTCCCTCACTATCACAAGAACAGCATGGGGGAAACTGCCCCCATGATCAAATCACCTCCCTTCCTCAACACGTGGGGATTACAGGACCCTCCTTTGACATGTGGGGATTACAATTGGAGATGAAGATTTGGGTGGGGACACAGCCAAACCATATCAGATAAGTATAAAAAACAAAATAAAAGTTAAAGGAAATCCTGCAACCTAGTAATAACTACTGTTAAGATCAATTGCATATCCTAGGTTTTCTTTTTTTTTTAACATTTATTTTAAGTTCAGGGCTACATGTGCACATTTATCATATAGGTAAACTTATGTCATGGGGGTTTGTTGTATAGATTATTTTATCCCCCAGATATTAAACCTTGTACTCATTAGTTATTTTTCCTGATCCTCTCCCTCCTCCCACCACCCACCCTCTCACAGGCCCTAATGTCTGTTGTTTCCCTCTATGTGTCCATGCGTTTTCATCATTTAGCTCCCACTTATAAGTGAGAACATGTGGTATTTGGCTTTCTGTTCCAGTATTAGTTTGCTAAGGATAATGGCCTCCAGTTCCATTTACGTTCCTACAGAGGACATGATCTCACTCTTTTTTTATAGCTGCATAGTATTCCATGGTGTGTATGTATCACATTTTCTTTATCCAGTCTACCATTGATGGGCATTTAGGTTGATTCCATGTATTTGCTATTGTGAATAGTGCTGCAATGAACATGCATGTGCATGTGTCTTTATGATAGCATAACTTATATTCCTTTGGATATACACCCACTAATGGGACTGCTGGGTTGAATGGTAGTTCTGTTTTTAGCTCTTTGAGGAATCACCACACTGATTTCCACAATGGTTGTACTAATTTACACTCCTACCAACAGTGGATAAGTGTTCCTTTTTCTCTGCAACCTTGTCAGCACCTGTTGTGTTTTGACTTTTTCTTTTTTATTTTATTTTATTTTCTTTTAAAATTTTACATAATAAATGGAGATGGGGGTCTCACTATGTTGACCAGGCTGGTCTTGAACTCCTGGTCTGAAGCGATCCTCCCATCTCAGCTTCCCAAAGTGCTAGGATTACAGGCATGAACCACCATGCCTGGCCGTTTTTTGACCTTTTAATACTAGCCATTCTGACTGGTGTGAGATGTTATCGTATCTCATTGGGGTTTTGATTGCATTTCTCCAATGATCAGTGAAGTTGAGGGTTTTTTTCATATGATTTTTGGCCGTATATATGTCTTTTTTTGAAAAGTGTCTGTTTATGTCCTTTGCCCAGTTTTCAATTTTTTTTTTCTTGTAAATTTGTTTAAGGTCCTTAAAGATGCTGGATATTAGACTTTTTTTTTTTTTTTTTTTACGAAGTCTCACTCTTTTGCCCAGGCTGGAGTGCAGTGGCATGATCTCAGCTCACTGCAACCTCTGCCTCCTGGGTTTAAGCGATTCTCCTGCCTCAGTCTCCCGAGTAGCTGGGACTACAGGCATGTGCCACCATGCCTAGCTAATTTATGTATTTTTTAGTAGAGATGGGGTTTCACCATGTTGGCCAGGATGGTCTCAATCTCTTGACCTTGTGATCTGCCTGCCTCAGCTTCCCAAAGTGCTGGGATTACAGGCATGAGCCGCCGCACCCGGCCTATAGTTTTAAGTTTTACACTTAAATCTTTAATCTGTCTTGAGTTGATTTTTATATATGGCATAAGGAAGGGGTCCAGTTTCAATTCTATATATGGCTAGCCAGTTATCCCAGCATCATTTATTGATTAGGGAATCCTTCCTCCATTGCTTGTTTTTGTGAGGTTTGTTGAAGATCAGATAGTTGTAGGTATGTGACATTACTTCTGGGCTCTGTATTCTGTTCCATTGGTCTATATGTCTGTTTTTGTACCAGTATCATGCTGTTTTGGTTACTGTCACCCTGTAATATAGTTTGAAGTTGGATAATATGATGCCTCCAGCTTCGTGTTTTTTTTTTTTTTTTTTTTTTTTTTTTTGCTTAGGATTGCCTTGGCTATTTGGTTTCTTTTTGGGTTCCATGTGAATTTTAAAATAGTTTTTTCTAGTTCTGTAAAGAATGTCATCTATAGTTTAATACGAATAACATTGAATCTGTAAATTGCTTTGGCCAGTATGGCCATTTATTGAAATCGATTCATCCTATTTAAGAGTATGGAGTGTTTTTCTATTTGTTTGTGTCATCTCTGATTTTCTCAGCAGTGTTTTGTAGTTCTCCTTGCAGAGATTTTTCACTTCCCTGGTTAGCTTATTTCTGAGTATTTTATTTTATTCTTTTTGTGGCAATTGTGAATGGGATTGTGTTCCTGATATGGCTCTTGGCTTAGCTGTTGTTGTTGTATAGGAATGGTCATGATTTTTTATTTATATATATGTTTTTTGAGACAGGGTCTCACTCTGTCATCCAGGCTGGAGTGCAGTGGGGTGATCTCAGCTCACTGCAACCTCCGCCACCTGAGTTCAAGTGATTCTCATGCCTCAGCCTCCCAAGTAGCTGGGATCACAGGTGTGAGTCAGCATGCCTAGCTAATTTTTGTATTTTCAGTAGAGATGGGGTTTCACCATGTTGGCCAGGCTGGTCTTGAACTCCTGACCTCAGATGACCTGCCCGCCTCCACCTCCCAAAGTGCTGGGATTACAGGGATGAGCCACTGCACCTGGCCAGTAGTGATTTTTATATGTTGAATTTGTTTCTTGAGACTTTGCTGAAGTTGCATATTGGCTGAAGGAGCTTTTGGGTTGAGACTATGGAGTTTTCTAGCTATGTCATCTGCAAACAGGGATAGTTTGATTTCTTCTCTTCCTATTTGGATGCACTTTATTTCTCTCTCTTGCCTGATTGCTCTGGCCTGGACTTCTAATACTGCGTTGAGTAGGAGTGATGACAGAGGACATCCTTTTCTTGTGTCAGTGTTCAAGGGGAATGCTTCCAGCTTTTGCCCATTCAGTATGATGTTGGCTGTGGGTTTATCCTAGATGACTCTTATTATTTTCAGGTATGCTCCTTCAATACCTTGTTTATTGTGAGCTTTTAACATGAAGGGTGTTGAATTTTATCGAAAGCCTTTTCTGCATCTTTTGAGATAATCATGTGGCTTTTGTCTTTAGTTCTGTTTATGTAATGAATCACATTTATTGATTTGCATATGTTGAACCAACCTTACATCCCAGGAACAAAGACTACTTGATTGTGGTGGATTAGCTTTTTGATGTGCTGCTTGATTTAGTTTGCCAGTATCTTGTTGAGGATTTTTGCATTGATGTTCATCGAGGATATTGGCCTCAAGTTTTTTTTTTTTGTCATGTATCTGCCAGGTTTTGATATCAGGATGATGCTGGAATTGGTTAGGGAGGAGTCCCTCCTCCTCAGTTTCTTGGAATAGTTTCAGTAGGAATGGTACCAGCTCTTCTGTGTACATCTGATAGAATTCAGTTGTGAATCCTTCTGGTCCTGGGCTTTTTTTTTTTGGTTGGTAGGCTATTTATTACTGATTCAAATTCGGAGCTCATTGTTGTTCTGTTCAGGGATTCAATTTCTTCCAGGCTTAGTTTTGGGAGGGTGTATGTGTCCAGGAATTTATCAATTTCTTCTAGGTTTTCTAGTTTGTGTGCACAGAGGTGTTTATTATATTCTCTGGTGGTTATTTTTATTTCTGTGAGGCCAGCAGTAATATCCCCTTTGTTGTTTCTAATTGTGTTTACTTAGATCTTCTCTCTTTTCTTTCTTAATAGCCTAGCCAGTGGTCTATTTTATTAATTTTTTTCAAAAAATCAGGTCCTGGATTTGTTGATCTTTTGGATGATTTTTGTGTCTCAATCTCCTTCAGTTCAGATCTGATTTTGATTATTTCTTGTCTTCTGCTAGCTTTGGGGTTGGTTTGCTCTTGGTTCTTTAGTTCTTTTAGTTGTGATGTTAGGTGTTAAATTGAGATCTTTCTAAGTTTTTGATGTGGGCATTTAGTGCTATAAATTTCCTTCCTAACACTGCCTTAGCTGTGTCCCAGAGATTCTGGTATATTGTATTTTTGTTCTCATTAATTTCAAAGAATTTCTTTATTTCTTCCTTAATTTTATTAAACAAAAGTCATTCAGGAGCAGTTTATTAAATTTCCAAGTAATTGTATGATTTTGAGTGAATTTCTTAGTCTTGATTTCTAATTTGATTGCTCTGTGGTCCAAAAGAGTGGTTGTTATGATTTCAGTTTTTTTTTTTTGCATTTGCTGAGGAATGTTGGTATCTGATTATGTGGTTGATTTTAGAATATGGGCCATGTGGTGATGAGATGGATACCTATCCTGTTGTTTTTAGGTGGAGAGTTCTGTAGATGTCTATCAGGTCCATTTGATCCACTGCTGAGTTCAGGTCCTGAATATCTTTGTTAATTTTCTGCCTCATTGATCTGTCTAATACTGTCAGTTTAGTGTTGAAGTCTCCCACTATTATTGTGTGGGAGTTTTAGTCTCTTTAAAGGTCTCTAATAACTTGCTTTATGAATCTGGGTGCTTCAAAAATATTATTCCCTTCCTTTCTATGGCTGAGTAATATTCCATTGTATGGATATACCACATTTTGTCCATTCATCTGTTGATGGACATTTAGGTTATTTCCACTTTTTGGCTATTATGACTAATATTATGAATATTCATATACAAGTTTTTTTATGTAAGCGGACATATATTTTAATTTATATACAAGTGAATATGTTTTAATTTCTTTTGGATATATACTTAACAGTGGGATTACTGGGTCATATAAAACTCTATATTTAAATTTTTAGAGGAACTGCCCAACTCTTCTCCAAAGTGGCTGAAACATTTTACAGTCCCATGAGCAATGTATGAGGGTCCCAATTTCTTTACATTTTTACCAACATTTGTTATTGTCTGTCATCTTCATATTAGCCATCCTACTGGATGTGAAGTGATATGTCATAGTTGATTTGATTGGCATTTCTCTAATGACTAATGATGTTGAGCATTTTTTCATGTGATTATTGGTCATTTGTAGATCTTCTTTGGAGAAATGTCTATTCAAATCCTTTGCTCATTTTAAAATTGAGCTATTTGTCTTGTTATTATTGAGTTGTAAAAAGTATATATTTTGGATATTAGATCCCTGTGAGAGATATGACTTGCAATATTCTTCTTCATTCTGTGAGTTGTTGTTTCATTCTCTTGCTAGTGTCCTTTGAAGCACAAGATTTGTTAATCTTAGTGAAGTCCAATTTATCTATTTTTTTTTTCTGATGGCTTGTGCCAGAGTCATACCTAAGAAACTGCTGTCTAATCCAAAGTCACGAAGATCTACATCTACTTTTTCTTCTAAGGATTTTATGGTTATAGCTCTTATATTTAGGACTTTCATTCTTTTTGGGTTAATATTTTATATGTGGTGTGATATAGGGAGTACAATTTCATTTTTTTAAATTTACACATGGATATACAATTGTCTTAACACAATTTGGAAAAAAAATTCTTCCCCTATTGAATTGTCTTGGCACTCTGTTGAATCATCTTTTAATTTCTTTAAAATGTTTTTTGGTAATAAAGAGGTTTTTAATTTTTTTTCAAGTCTATAAATCATTACCTTTGTTTCATTTAGGTTTTTGTGTAATGCTTGAAAAGACTTTCTATGTTGTGGGAAGTCAGGGACCCCGAATGAAGGGACCAGCTGGAGCTGTGGCAGAGGAACATAAATTATGAAGATTTCATTTTAATATGGACATTTATCAGTTCCCAAATAATACCTTTATAATTTCTTATGCCTGTCTTTAATCTCTTAATCCTGTTATCTTCATAAGCTGAGGTTGTACGTCACCTCAGGACCACTGTGATAATTGGGCTAACTGTATAGATTGATTGTAAAACATGTGTGTTTAAACAATATGAAATCAGTGCACCTTGAAAAAGAACAGAATAATAGCGATTTTTAGGGAACAAGTGAAGACAACCATGAGGTCTGACTGCCTACGGGGTCAGGCAAAAAGAGTCATATTTTTCTTCTTTTTTTTTTTTTTTGTTTGAGATGGAGTCTCGCTCTGTCGCCCCGGCTGGAGTGCAGTGGTGCGATCTCGGCTCACTGCAAGCTCTGCCTCTTGGGTTCATGCCATTCTCCTGCCTCAGCCTCCCGAGTAGCTGGGACTACAGGCGACTGCCACCACGCACAGCAAATTTTTTGTATATTTAGTAGAGACGGGGTTTCACCATGTTGGCCAAGATGGTCTCGATCTCTTGACCTCGTGATCCACCTGCCTTGGCCTCCCAAAGTGTTGGGATTACAGGCATGAGCCACCGCGCCCGGTCGCATATTTTTCTTCTTGCAGAGAGCCTATAAATGGATGTGCAAATAGGAGAGATATCGCTAAATTCTTTTCCTAGCAAGGAATATTAATATTAATACCCTGGGAAAGGAATGCATTCCTGGGGGGAGGTCTATAAATGGCTGCTCTGGGAATGTCTGTCGTATGCAGTTGAGATAAGGACTGAGATATGCCCTGGTCTCCTGCAGTACCCTCAGGCTTAGTAGGGTGGGGAGAACTCCACCCTGGTAAATTTGTGGTCAGATGGGTTCTCTGTCTCAAACCCTGTTTTCTGTTGTTTAGGATGTTTATCAAGACAATACATGCACCGCTGAACATAGACCCTTATCAGTAGTTCTACTTTTGCCCTTTGCCTTGTGATCGTTGTTGGACCCTTATCAGTAGTTCTGCTTTTGCCTTTTGTCCTGTTTCTTCAGAAGCATGTGATCTTTGTTAGACCCTTATTGGTAGTTCTGCTTTTTGCCCTTTGAAGCATGTGATCTTTGTACATACTCCCTGTTCTTACACCCCCTCCCCTTTTGAAACCCTTAATAAAAACTTGCTGGTTTTGAGGCTCAGGCGGGCATCTTGGTCCTACCAATATGTGATGTCATCCCTGGCGGCCCAGATGTAAAATTCCTCTCTTTGTACTCTTTCTCTTTATTTCTCAGCTGGCTGACACTTATGGAAAATAGAAAGAACCTACATTGAAATATTGGGAGTGGGTTCCCCCAATATTTCTGTACTCCAAGGATAATAAAACTATTCTCCTATATGTTCTTTTAATACTCATATGAATGCAAAACAATTCTAATTATAATCTACAAATAAGTTATATTTGTTCATGATGTGAGATAGGGATCTAATTTGTTTTGCTTCCAATTGTATAGCCAATTCTATCAACACCATTTATTGAAAAGCCAGTATTTTCCTTACTGATTTAAAAGACCAGTTTTTATCATACACCTATTCCATATAGTATATATTTGGTTGTATTTTGGTGTTCTCTATTCTGTTTTCCAGAGAAATGTGGAAATTTCAGTGCCAGCACAGCACATTTTTAGTACCTATAGCTTTATAGTTTTGATATTTGACAGAGCAAGCTCCTCTTATTCTTTTTCAGAATTTATTATTCTTGCCTTGTAGTTCTTTGTAAGTCTCTATGTGAACTTACAAAGAACCATTTTGTGTAAAAGGCTTCTTCTCCACTTGTATTATTTCCTTACTATAAATTCCAAGGAGTAAAATTATAAATTCAAAGGGTAAAATTGTTAAGGCTTTTGGAGACTGTTGCCATATTATCTTCTTAAGGAATTATGTTAATTGACACCTCTACAGTTTTCCTATCCTTTATCCCATCATGAAGTATTTTCATCTCTCTCTCTCTCTCTCTCTCCCTCTCTCTCTCTCTATATATATATGTATATATATATGTATATATATGTATATATGTATATATACGTGTATATATATGTATATATATGTGTATATATGTATATATGTGTATATATGTGTATATATATGTATATATGTGTATATATGTATATATATGTATGTATATATATATGTATATATATGTGTATATATATGTGTATATATATACATATATATATTCCACATTTCTCTGGAAAACAGAATATATATATATATATATATAGAGAGAGAGAGAGACAGAGAGAGAGACAGAGAAAGAGAGAGAGACTGAGTTTTGCTCTGTTGCCCAGGCTTGAGTACTGTAGTGCAATCTCAGCTCACTGCAACCTCTGCCTCCCAGGTTCAAGCGATTACCTTGCCTCAGCCTCCCAAAGTAGCTGGGATTACAGGCACATAACACCATGCCCAGCTAATTTTTGTATTTTTAGTAGAGACAGAGTTTCACCATGTTCGCTAGGCTGGTCTCAAACTCCTGACCTCAAATGATCCACCCTCCTCGGCCTCCCAAAGTGCTGGGATTACAGGCATGAGCTACTGCACCCAGCCCTATTTCAATATATTTTTGAGAGACAGGATTTCACTCTGTCACCCAGAATGGAGTGCAGTGGCACGATCATGGCTCACTGTAGCTTAGACCTCTTGGGCTCAAGCAATTCTCTTGCCTCAAGCTCCTGAGTAGCTTGGACTATAGGTGCACACCATCATGCCCAGCTAATTAAAAAAATTTTTTTTGTAGAGATAGGGTCTTTATATGCTGCCCAGGCTTGTCTCAAACTCGTGGCCTCAAACAATCCTCTTGCTTTGGTCTCCCAAGTGTTGAGATGACAGGTGTGAGTGACTGCACCTTACCTCTTAAAGATCTTGAATATGAACTTGATTGGATTCATTGAGGTGACACAGAACTTTCATCCCCTTATCAGAAAGGCCAGGAGAAGAGTAATCAATGTTTCTAGCTGAGATGGGAGAATATCTGTGTTTGATGGTAGCTACTGCATTTCTAAGTATGGTGTAGAAGCTCTTTGTGACAACCTGAGGCAAGAGCCTCACTGCTGAGGAAGACTTGACCATTGCTAAAGGAGTGTACTCCTGAGTGATAGGCCTGGGTTGCATTCTTACTGATGCCATCTGAAATGAGGGCCTTTGGAAGTGGAATGTCCAAATCTTGCAAATGTATAAGATAATTCATTAGGGAATGCAAAGGAGATATCAGGACTTAGATTTATTCTTATTGCTGTTCCTTTAAAATGTCTACCTGTTTCAAAACCAATGTAATGTTACTATAAGACACATACGCATATGAATATATATTTTATATATACAAAATATATAAAATATACCCCATATGGGAATGATGGGAATGGGTCTGTTACTAAAGAATTAATTGTTTATTAAGTACCTTAAGTCACTAAACCTGACTCATGGTTCCTATGAGGAAAGAGTGAACATCAGAGAGTTAATTTAAGGGCAATGCTGTGTCAAGTGCCCTATTTACTCCTTACAGAAACTCTGTGAGTTAGACAAAATTCTCCACAGCCAAATGAGCCAGAATCTGAACCCAGTTCTGTGGGTGAAAACATTCTGTAATGGCTATACAATAAATACAAATGCAGGTATATACCAGGTGCTCAGGGGCACCAATGACAGGGTGACTTACCTTCTCTTGGTGCAGAGAGAAGACTTCACAAAGGAAATGAGTTCTAACCCATGCAGGTAGGTGAGAAGAGAAAAGGCATTCTGGGTGAAAGGCAGAGACAAGGATAGGAATGAACTTGGATATTCAAGGAACTAAATGTCTCTAAGCATGGCTGTTGCAGAGGATGGGTCAGTGAGAGAGATATGAGACTGGGCTGGCAAGTGGCAGCACTAACACCTCTCTCCTCTTGAAGCTCTTCAGATCTGGTAAGGAAGCGGTCTGTATTTCTTGCCCCTTTGAGTTTGTACTTGGACATTGTCCCCAGATGCATGGGCATACTCTTTCATGTCCTTCCCTGACTTATGTGCCTTTCTTAAAATATTTTGCCTTGGACATTCTTTGTAAAGAAGGGATAGGATTGGTTAAGTCACAGTGTCATCACCCGATGGGCTCTTCCTGCCCACTGTACAGACAAAACCAGTTCATTGAGACTGTGGTGGTATTACAGTAAAGAAAGAGTTTAACTGACATGAGGCTGGCCATGTAGAACTGGAATTATCTCTCAAATCAGTCTTCCGAAAGGCTCAGAGGTTAGGGGTTTTTAAGGAGAGTTTGGTGGGCAGGAGACTAGGGAATAGTTGTCACTGATTGTCTAGGGACATAATGATGGGGGTGTGGAGAATGGTCCTCATGCACTGAGTCAGCCTCTGGGGGTGGGGCCACAGGACCAGTTGAGTCATGAGCCATGAGTCCAGGTGGTGTCAGTCAGTTGCCTGAATCCAAAAATCTGAAATACATCTAAAAAGACAAATCTTAGGTTTTGCTGTAATGATATTATCTATAGGAGCAATTGGGGAAATAAAAAATCTTGTGACTTGAGCAGTAAGGAATTACAGAAACTACACATATCTTCTACAGTTGATTTTCTTTTCTTTTCTTCTTTTTTTTTTTTTTTTTTTGAGACCGAGTCTCACTCTGTTGCCCAGGCTGGAGTGCAGTGGCGTGATCTCAGCTCACTGCAACCTCTGTCCTGGGTTCAAGAGATTCTCATGCCTCAGCTTCCTGAGTAGCTGGGACTATAGGTGTAAGCCACCACACCCGGCTAATTTTTGTATTTTTAGTAGAGATGAGGTTTTACCATGTTGGCCAGGCTGGTCTCAAACCCTGACCTCAGGTGATCTGCCCTTTTTAGCCTCCCAAACTACTGGGATTACAAGCATGAGCCACAACACCTGGCCTGATTTTTTTTAACATAAAATATATTCTATTTTCATATTCTGCAGCATGCCCCTTTTATTCAAGATAGTTTATCAATCTATGCATATTAATACATGTAGATTTTGTCCTTTTTAGCTTCTGTATAATATTCTATTAAATTTATGCCTTTTTTAGATTAATGAACCCTTGTTTTCCATTTTTCATTACTAAGAACCATGCTACAATGAACATCCTCCTAAATGCCTCATTGTACATATATACAAGTGATTCTCTAGTACATACCTAGAAATCAAATTTCTGGTCACATTAAAAATATGTATTATTTATTTTAAAATATTAATTAAAAATTTTTAATTAAAAGTACATACATATGGTAAAAAAAGACTTCAATAAAAGAGGTGAAATGTAAGTCTTGGCAGGGTGCAGTGACTCATGCCTGTAATCCCAGAAATTTGGGAGGTCAAGGTTGGTGAATGCTTGAGCTCAGGAGTTTGAGATTAGCCTGGGTGACATGGCAAAATCACGTCTCTACAAAAAATAAAAATAGCCAGGCAAGGTGGTGCACGCCTATAGTTCCAGCTACCCAGGAGGCCGAGGTGGTAGGATTTCTTGAGCCCAGGAGGTTGAGGCTATAGTAAGCCATGTTCACGCCACTACACTCCAGCCTGGGCAACAAAGTGAGACTCTGTCTCAAAAAATAAAGAAATGTAAGTCTTTACCTCTCCCTCAGGACTGTCTCCCAGTTTTCCTGTTCTCTTCCCTAGAGGAAAGCAATATTGCTAGTTTCTTGGGTATTCTTCTAGAGCTAGTCAGTGTCCCATTTTAACATAAATATTGCTTTATGATACATTCTATTTTGTGCTTTGCTTTTTTATATTGAAGCAATCTCAAATATGCAGAAAAGTTGCAAATACAGTGTAAAAAACCTTTTTTTTTTTTTTGGAATTGCGACCAAGTTGCTAACATGATGCCCTATCACATTTGAATACTTTAGTTGTATTTCCTATTAACAAGGACATTCTTCTACAGAGCCACAATATAGCCATCAACATCAGGAGATGGACATTGTTACATTTCTATCATCTAATCTTAGACCCTATTTATGTTTCACCAATTGATCAGATATTGTTCTTTGTAGTCAAAGATTCAGTTCTGAACCATATGTGGCAGTTAGTTGTCAGTCTCTTAGGCTCTTTCAATCTGCAACAATGCTTCAGTCTTTCCTTGCCTTTCATGCCTGTGATGGTTAATACTGAGTGTCAACTTCATTGGATTGAAGGATGCAAATTATTGATCCTGGGTGTGTCTGTGAGAGTGTTGCCAATGGAAATTAGAGTCAGTGGGCTGGGAAAGGCAGATCCACCTTTAATCTGGGTGGGCACTATCTAATCAGCTGCCAGGGTAGCTACAATATAAAGCAGGCAGAAAAACATAAAAAGATTAGACTGGCCTAGCTTCCCAGCCTATATCTTTCTCCCGTGCTGGGTGCTTCCTGTCCTCAAACATCAGACTCCAAGTTCTTCAGTTTTGAGACTCAAACTGGCTCTCCTTTCTCCTCAGCTTGCAGATGGCCTATTGTGGGACCTTGTGATCATGTGAGCTAATACTTAGTAAACTCCCCTTTATATATATATATCTATCCTATTAGTTCTGTCTCTCTAGAGAACCCTAATACAATGACTTAAACACTTTTTAAAAAATTAGTACAAATTCATGGGGTTACAGGCATAGATTGCATATTCGTCAAGGCAAGGCTTTTAAGGTATCTATCACCCAAATAATGTGCATTGTACCCATTAACTTTCTTTCTCATCATCTGCACCCCCCAACCCCTCTCCCTTCCAAGTCTCCATTGTCTGTCATTCTACTCACTATGTCCATGTGTACACATTTTTTAGCAGCCATGTATGAGTGAGAACATGAGGTTTTTGACTTTCTGTGCTTGGCTTGTTTCAGTTAAGATAATGACCTCCAGTTCCATCCATGTTGCTGCAAAATACATGATTTTATTCTTTATGGCTAAATAGTGTAATATATATATATATATATAATTTTCTTTATCCATACATCTATTGATGGACATTTAGATTTATTTCATATCTTTGCTATTGTGAATAGTGCTGTGATGATCATACAAGTACAGATATCTTTTTGATATATTGATTTACTTCCCTTGGATAGATAGTAGTGGAATTGCTGGATTGAATGGTAATTCTATTTTTAGGTTTTTGAGAAATCTCCATACTATTTTCCATAGAGATTGTACTAATATACATTTCTATCAAAAGTGTATGAGTTCCCTTTTCTCCATGTCTTGTCAACTCTTTGTTTTTTGTTTTTTTTTAATAATAGCTGGGATAAGACGACATCTCATTGTGGGTTTACTTTGCATTTCTGAGCATTTTTTCATATATCTGTTACCCATATATATGTCTTCTTTTGAAAAATATCTATTCATATCCTTTGGCCACTTTTTTTTATGAAGCAGGGTCTCATTCTGTCACCCAGGCTTTGAGTGCATTGGCATGATTTCAGCTCACTGGAACCTCTGCTTCCCAGGCTCAAGTGATCCTCCCACCTCAGCCTCTTCAGTAGCTGAGACCACAGGCATATGCCACCACATCTGGCTAATTTTTATTTATTTATTTATTTTGTGAAGAAGGGGTTTTACTGTGTTGCCCATGCTGGTCTTGAACTCCTGGGCTCAAGCAACCTACCTGCCTTGGCCTCCCAAAGTGCTGGGATTACAGGCATGAGCCACTGTGCTCAGCTTTTGCCTGCTTTTTAATGGGGTTATTTGTTTTTGTTTTGGTTGAGTTGTTTGAGTTCCTTATATATTTTGGACATTAGTTTACTGTCAGATAAATATTTGCAAATATTTTCTCCCATTCTACAGTTGTTTTTTTTTTTTTTTGAGATGGAGTCTCGCTCTGTCGCCCAGACTGGAGTGCAGTGGCGCAATCTTAGCTCACTGCAACCTCCATCTCATGGGTTCAAGTGATTCTCTGGCCTCAGCCTCCCAAGTAGCCAGGACTATAGGCCTGTGACATCATGCCCAGCTAATTTTTTTTATTTTTTTAGTAGAGAAGGGGTTTCACCGTGTTAGCCAGGATGGTCTCGGTCTCCTGACTTTGTGATCTGCCCACCTCAGCCTCCCACAGTGTTGGGATTACAGGCGTGAGCCACCGTGCCTGGCCCCCATTCTACACTTTTTTTTTCTCCACTCTGTGGATTGTTTCTTTTTCTGTGCAGAAGCTTTTTAGTTTAACGAAGTCCTATTTGTCTATTTTGTTTTTTGTTGCCTGTGTTTTGATGCATGACCTAAACATGTTTGAAGGTTACAAACCAACTTATGTTGTAGAATGTCCCTCAATTTGGCTTTATCTGATATTTCCTTGTGGCTAAATTCAGCAGGAATATCACACAAGTGAGCTGTATTCCTCTTATCAGATACTCTCAGGTGGTGTATAATTTCAATTTGTCCCGTTACTGACAATGCTCACTTTCCTCACTTGGTTCAGGTGGTATCTTCTAGGCTTCTTTACTATAATTTCCTTTGGTAATTAGTAAGTGTTTTGTAGGGAGGTAACTATGAAAATATGTAAATATTGTATTGCCCATTAACTAATTAATTAATATCAATGTATTAGTCAGCTTAGGGTTACCATAAAAAACCCATAGATGTTCCCGATCTGGTAGAGTAGCATCTGGTTGGTGGTGACCATCTAATACCAGCCAGGGACAAAGCAACCCCTTGTTTATCCCAGCTTGGCTTTTGGTCTGTTCCCATGCTTGGTTCATGCCTTGGACACATGGAAGAAGGAAAAAAAAATACCATAGAGTGGATGGCTTAAACAACAAAAATTAAGTTTCTCACAGTTCTGGTATCTGGAAAGTTCAAGATCAAAGTCCAGCCTGGTTTGGTTTCTGGTGAGGGCTCTCTTCCTTGCTTGTAGATGGCAGTCTTCTTGGTGTGTCCTCAGATGGCAGAGAGAGAGAGGTCTCTTTTTTTATAAAGCCCCTCCTTTATGACTTCATTTAACCTTAATTACTTCATAAAGGCCCTATTCCCAAATACATATCTACAAAGACATTGGGAGTTAGGCTTTCAACATATGACTTGTGGGAGAATACAATTCAGTCCATTAGTATGGACTCCAAGTTTTCTATCTTATTTGATTGGTTATTATCTATTGATTTCAATAATTATTTTGATGCTTCAATTATCACTTGTTTAGCTGGTGGGACCCATTTAAAACCAGCTTGGCTCACCTTGTATTTTCCCTGCATCAGCCCTGAAGTCAGCCATTTCTCCAAGCAGATTGTTTCCTTTCAATGGGGGAATGGTATTTAGAAGCCACGATCTTAGTACTAGGTGTTTGCATTGTTATTGAGATCTTGCTGCTCCCAGGCCCTCTCAGGGAGAAAGGGAACACACACACACACACACACACACACACACACACACACACACACACATATAAACACACAAAGATATTCAGGTTTAAGTATTGCTATGGTTTGAATGTATCCCCCCAAAAGTTTGTTAGAAACTTAATCCCCAGTGCAACAGTGTTGGGAGGTGGTGCCTAATAAGAGGTAATTAGGTCATGAGGGTGAAGCCCTACATGTATGGATTAAGGCCATTTTTGAAGGAGTGGGTTGGTTATTGTGGGAGTGGGTTTCTGAAAAAAAGATGAGTTTGGACGATCTTCTTTCTCTGCCTTGTGTGCTCATGTCCATCTTCCACTCACGTTATCATGCAGAAAGAAGACCTTAGCCAGATGACAGTGCCATGCTCTTGGACTTTCCAGCCTCCAGAATCATGAGCCAAATAACCTTCTATTATTTGTAAATTACCCAGTTTGTGGTATTCTGTTATAGCAGCAGAAAATAGACTAAGTCAAGTATCTATCTATCTATCTACCTAATCTACCTACCCCCTCTATGTACTGAAAACCTTGACTTCACATTGTGAACAAAAGTTCTCTGAAAATGAGTTTGGAAGAAAGAGACTTTATTCCAGAGAACAAATTGCAAACTGGAGAGATGGCAGCCTTCATTGTAAAATGAAGGTGCATTCCAAAGAACAAAGAGAGGACTCAGGTATTATAGCAAAAGTTTCTCTGCCCAGGTTCCCAGTCAAGTCTATTTATGCAAATGAAGTATGGAAAAACTTAGTTCTGATTGGTCAGTGCAGCTGAGTTCTGATTGGTCAATACCACTGAACCCTGATTGGTTCATACAACTAAACCCTGAGTGGGAGACAGGTGATCTCTGATTGGTTGATTTCCAAACCCCAACAGAAATTTCTGTCAGTTGTTTCTTTCAAACTACCTAGGGGGGATATTTCTGGATGCAGTTTATCCTGGCACTCACAAAAGGAACTGGTTTGGCTTGATCATAGAAAGGAAGTTCCTATGATAGTTTTTGTTGTTTTTTTGGGATGGAGTCTCACTCTTGTCACCCAGGCTGCAGGCTGGAGTGTAGTGGCACGATCTTGGCACTGCAACCTCTGCCTCCTTTGTTCAAGTGATTCTACTGCCTCACCCTCCTGAGTAGCTGGGATTACAGGTGGGCGCCACCACACCCAGCTAACTTTTGTATTTTTTTAAGTAGAGACGGGGTTTTATCATGTTGGCCAGGCTGGTTTTGAGCTCCTGACCTCAATTGATCCACCTACCTCGGCCTCCCAAAGTGTTGGGATTACAGGCATGAGCCACCGCACCCTGCGGATAGTTTTAAAACATCTTTCTGAGAACACAGAGTATAAGACTGTTCTTAATGTGGTTTGGATCTGTGTCCCCACCCAAATCTCACGTTGAATTTTAATCCTCAGTGTTGGAGGAAGGACCTGGTGGGAGGTGGTTGAATCACAGGGGCAGATTTCTCTCTTTTTGTTCTCATGATAGTGAGTGAGTTGAAACCGGGTAATGGGCAGAGGTTGGAACAATTTGGAGGGCTCAGAAGAAGACAGGAAAATGAAAGTTTGGAACTTCTGAAAGACTTGTTGAATGGTTGTGACCAAATGCTGGTAGTGTTATGGACAGTGAAGTCCAGGCTGAGGAGGTCTCAGATGGGGATGAAGAACTTAATGGAAATTGGAGCAAAGGTGACTTTTATTATACTTTAGCAAAGAGGTTAGAGGCATTGTGTCTCTGCTCTAGAGATCTGTGAAACTTTGAGCTTGGGAGTGATGATTGAGGCCATCTGGTGGAAGAAATTTCTATGCAACAAAGCATTCAAGATGTGGCCTGGCTGCTTCTAGCAGCCTATGCTTATATTCATGAGCAAAGAAATGACATAAAACTGGAACTGGAACTTATATTTAAAAGGGAAGCAGAGCATAAAAGTTTGGAAAATTTGCAGCCTGGCCATGTGGTAGAAAAGAAAACCCCATTTTCAGGGAAGGAATTCAAGTCAGCTACAGAAATTGGCTTAAGAGGAGCCAAATGTTAGTAACCAAGACAATTGGGAAAATGCCTTGAAACCATGACAGAGACCTTCAGAGCAGCCCCTCCCATCACAGGTCCAGAGGCCTAGAATGGAAAAATTGTTTCTTGGGCCAGGCCAAGGGCCCTGCTGCCCTGCACAACCTTGGAACAGTGCTCCCTGCACCCCAGCTGCTCCAGCTCCAGCTATGGTTAAAAGGGCTCCAGATATATCTCAGGCCACTGCTTCAGAGGGTGCAAGCCTTTAAGACTTGGCAGTTTCTTTGTGGTGCTAAGCCTGTGGGTGCGCAGAGGGAAAAAGTTGAGTCTTGGAAGCTTCCACCTAGATTTCAGAGAATTTATGGAAACACCTGGATGTCCAGGCAGAATTCTGATGCAGGGATGGAGCCCTCATGGAGAACCTCTACTAGGACAGTGTGGAGGGGAAATATGAGGTTGGAGCCCCCACATAGAGTTCCCACTGGGGTACTGCATAGTGGAGCTGTGAGAAGAGGGCCACTATCCTCCAGACACCAGAATCGTAGATCCATTGGCAGCTTGTACCATGTACCTGAAAAAGCTGCAGGCACTCAATGCCAGCCCTTGAGAGCAGCCATGGGAGCTGAGCCCTGCAAGCCAGAGGAGCAGTGCTGCCCAAGGCTTTGGGAGCCCACCCCTTGCATCAGTGTAGCCTACATGTGAGACATGGAGCCAAAGGAGATTATTTTGGGGCTTCAAGATTTAATGACTGCCCTACTGGATTTTGGACTTGCATGGGACCTGTAGCCCCTTTGTTTTGGTGATTTATCTCTTTTGGAATGGGTGTATTTATTCAATGTCTGTAGCCCCATTGTATCTTGGAAGTAACTAACTTGTCTTTGATTTTACAGGCTCACAGGTGGAAGGGACTTGCCTTGCCTCAGATGAGGCTTTGGACTGTGGACTCTTGAGTTAATGCTGAAATATGTTAAGATTTTGGGGGACTCTTGAGAAGTGATGATTGTATTTTGTAATGTGAGAAGAGCCTGAGATTTGGGAGGGGCCAAGTGCAGAATGATACAATTTGAATCTGTGTTCCTGCCCAATCTTACATAGAATTGTAATTCATAATGTTGGAGGAGGGGGCCTAATGAGAGGTGATTGGATCATGGGGGCAGATTTCCCCCTTGCTGTTCTCATGATAGT
This sequence comes from Homo sapiens, assembly GCF_000001405.40. Taxonomy (NCBI): domain Eukaryota; kingdom Metazoa; phylum Chordata; class Mammalia; order Primates; family Hominidae; genus Homo; species Homo sapiens. The sequence continues at coordinate 56,865,309 of NC_000012.12, forward strand.
GAGTGAGTTCCCATGAGATCTGGTGGTTTAAAGGTGTATAGCACCTCCCCCTTCACTCTTTTCTTCCTGCTCCTGCATGTAAGATGTGCCTACTTGTCCTTTGCATTCTGCCATGATTGTAAGTTTCCTGAGGCCTTCTCAGCCATACTTCCTGTAACTTTGAGCACCTCAGTTAGCCATGGGGAATTCATTTAGTCTGTTGGCCAGGGGCATACTTTGACATTTCACTCCCTTTGGTTGAAACCTGCCATAGGCAGCATTGACTACCAGTGTTATGTCTTTGTCCCATATTATTGTTGAAGTGATGTGGCTACCTGCTCTGGGTCTGTCTAGTCCCTTGGTGGGACTTCTGTGACTAAGAGCTCATAGCCAATTTGAACAGCCTGGGCCAGGCAAGGTAGAAAGTCAGGTAAGCACCTGTTAATTGTCTAAGAGTGTTCCTTGTTGGAGTTTGGCAGAGGCATCAGGAAATTAGGAGAATTCAGGGTGTAGTCCAGTCTACAGGTAAATAACAAGGATCTGAAAACAATGTACAGATCTACAATATAGTAACAGTTATATAGTTTTTCTTTGGAAACATAAGTTTTTCTTTTTACACTGATTTTATAGGAATCTTAAATTTAAAACCTTTTGAGTTTAGGAAGCCAAATGAAGGCAAACTTTAGATTTCACTTACAATCTTAGTGTCCTTGGGCATGCCTGGAAGTAGCAATTTTGACTCACTTACGGTAAGCCTGGGAACTCTTGAAGCCAGGCATTTTATGTACATTCTTAAATATGACATTTCAGTCAAAACCTTGATATTATAACTGAGAATTCCACTTGTATCCTGCTTATAGAGAGCATGTAAATAAAATAAGAATACTCAAAAATAGTTTCTAAATTTTGGAGATCTCAAGTAGGGAGAAAAAGCAAATGCTTCCACTTTTGTTAACGAAAGGATATTTTACCAAATTATTACAAACTATAAAAAATTATGAAGTAAATTTCCTTGAATCTGAAAAACAAAACATGTAAGACCAAGAATGCTCTAAATAAAAGTCATAAAACATTATCCTTATCAATTACTTAATTTCATGTAATCAATTTTACCTTGCTTGACACTGATCAGCAGTTCCATGAAAAGCAATTTTGGACTATAGCTGATTGACAACACATATCACTATATCTCAGAATTTTATCACATGAAATTTTGAAACACATTTTAATAACACATTTACACATGCAACTTAAAGAAAGTTAAAAATAATTTTTATTTGACAATGCTTCCTAATAATATCTAAAAGATTTAATTTAGGGCTTTGATCCCAGGAAACCTTCCAAAGATGTCACAAGCTTTAAAGTTCAAAGTATCTGATTCAATAGAATCAAAGTTCGCTGCAAGATGATAGTTATTCATTTAACCAGACTGACAATCAAAAGATGTCAAAAACAATAGAAAAAGTTACATGAATGTAAAAACCTTAACCCTTTTAAAGCTCAGTTTTCCTAAGTAATAAAAAACCTAATAAAGATAACTTGAAGCACAGGAAATTATCTTGGTAAAACAGAATCTTTGTTTCCTAGGCCAATTGCCCACAAGGCAAAGAAAAGAAAATCTCTTGCAATGTGATTGCTTTTTCTTTTGGTAAGTTCATTTAGATAACCTGAAAGTTAAACCTGATGAAAAGTGAACTGGCAGAACCAGAAAAATGTTACAGGAGTCAACAAAAAGGTTGAAGGAGAATGTTATCATCCCAACCAAGCAAAAACCATATCTTTTTAGGATAGAAAGAAGTAGAGCTGTATTTCCAACCTGAAACTAGAGAAAGAAGTTAGATAGATTCCAGGGAGAAATGTGGCAGAAATAGAAACTGTTTGTAATTGAGAGGATGGCTGTCAAAGAAACACATTTCAGAATTAATCAAAACCTCCTATAATTTTACTAAGAGCAAATCAACATTCTAAAGAAACCTTGCTATTCTAACACACGGGACAAAATCTGCATCAGTGTGTTTTTCACATCAAAGTTCAATCCCTAGTAAGACCCATAAATAATTTCCCTCCAATTGTAGACAAAGTGATGACACAGAAAATTTCCTCTATAAATGCTATTTTTATAAACCTTATCATGACTTACTCAGACCATTTATGATATGCTTGGACATTCTGCTTTTTCTTACACTTTCTCTTTCTTAAATAACCAATCATTTTACTCTAGGAGAAAAATTTGCCATACAACATTCTTTCTTATACAAAATAATCCTCTTCCTTTTCAACCTTCCTTACCAAAAATACATCATATACTTCTCATATGCTTACATATGGAATGGTCTTTTTCATCTCTAGTAGTTTAATCACACACATTAGTTATAATGTCAACTCTTAGAAACCCTAATTTTCAAAGAAAACCCAGGAAGTTATCAATTTTTCTTTTGAGACAGAGTCTCACTCTATCACCCAGGCTGGAGTGCAGTGGCACAATTTCAGCTCACCTCAACCTCTGCCTCCTGGGTTCAAGCTATTCTCATGTCTCAGCCTCCCAAGTAGCTGGGACTACAGGCACACACCACCACACCTGGCTAATTCTTATATTTTTAGGACAGATGGGGTTTTGCTGTGTTGGCCAGGGTAGTCTCAAACTCCTGACCTCAGGTGATCCACCTGCTTTGGCCTCCCAAAGTGCTGGGATTACAGACATGAGCCACCACACCCAGCTAGAAGTTATCAACTCTTAACCACCAATCACATACCAAAAATCCATGATACACATTTTACAATTTCCAGAGACATAGGCTTTCTAACAAAACAACTCTTTAATATGAAACAGGACATTTCTACTAACAGATTCAAATAACTTTTGTTTTTCTTGGAAATAAGAAGCCAGCAGTATATGAGCCTATACTTACATTCAACAACAAATATCTCAGCATTATATTTTATCTGTAAATGACCTAGACATTCAATGAACATCCATCATTTAATTTAGCTTAACTAAACTCTTAGGGTATACTTACCAAAGAGATTTAAAAAACCTTCCCAAGTAAACATATTACAAAACATAAACCATTATCAAAAGTTAATTTACAAAATTTATCCTGTCCACATTCACCAAATCCATTCACTCTCAAAGAATTATGCCTAGAAAATTTCCAGAGACATCAAACAAATCTAGCCATTATCCCAAGCTGTTTCTGTCAACCAATTGTACATTACTGCCTTCCAGGCAAATATTATAAAAGCAAGAACTCTAAAGTTAAATACAAGCACATTTTGCTGATAACTCAGAAGATGCAGCAATTTCCATCAAAACAACAATTTTTTTAAAATTATTTAACAATTATTTAACAATATTAGTCTAGTCCCATCTGCCAAAAGATGACTAAATCACATTAACTTGAAAAGCATTTCAGATTATTTGCTTAATCTATGAGTATTCTTTTTTTTTTCTTAAGAGATGGGCTCTCACTGTCACCCAGGCTGGAGTGCAGTGGCCCAATCATAGCTGACTGCAGCCTCAAAGTCCTGGCCAACACAGCAAAACCCCATCTGTCCTAAAAATACAAGAATTAGCCAGGTGTGGTGGTGTGTGCCTGTAGTCCCAGCTACTTGGGAGGCTGAGACACGAGAATAGCTTGAACCCAGGAGGCAGAGGTTGAGGTGAGCCGAGTGATCCTCCCACCCCAGCCTCCTGAGGAGCTTGGATTACAGGCATAAGCCATTGCACCTGGTGAGTACTCATTTATTTATAAAACAATTTGGAATTATAGACAATATATGAATAGATATGTAAACATATATATACACAAAAATACAGACACAAATAAAGATCTTATAGCTTTTGTTTTAAAACTTAGCTATGAGTTAAGTAAAACTGATTAGTTTAAAAAAACAATTTGATTCCAACTGCATTTCTGTAAATGGAACAGGTTGAAATTTATCTGTTCCACATGGCTGAAGCCTTTACCGAGCTTTAAAGAAAACAAGGTAGGAAATTTATACCTCAAGCACAGAAAGAATTTAAGCTTTTTCAAGAAGTCTGGGTGTGTTAGAAGAGGATTAAAATGGATATCAATGTAACATACAATTGCAGGAATTTCTCACAGGATTTTACAAGAAAACACACAGACAAGTTCAGAAAAAATTTAGAAATGTTTCCAAAATAACCAGCTGAAAGAGTGAAAGAGGCAGGAGAAAGTGAAGGATAAAGGACAGGTGGCAAAAAGATTTTCTGAAAGAAAGACTGGAAGAAGACAAGAAGACAGGAAGAGTGGCAGAAAGGGGAATGAAGACAGGAAGAGTGGCAGAAAGGGGAGTCTAGTGGAAGAAGTTTCTTCCAGAGGGTTTTTTGCAGTTTTAGTTTCAGGCTTAAAGCTCTAATCTCTCTTTCTATTTCATTAAGGCATTCACTCAATTTGGAATTATTTTCTCTCTCTCTCTCTCTCTCTCTCTCTCTCTCTCTCTCTCTCTGTCTTTCTGAGACAAGGTCTCACTCTGTCACCCAGGCTGGAGTGCAGTGGTGCAATCTCAGCTCATTGCAGCCTCCGCCTCCCTGGTTCAAGTGATTCTCATGCTTCAGCCTCCCAAGTAGCTGGGACTACAGGTGTGCGCCACCACGCCCAGCTAAGTTTTGTGTTTTCAGTAGAGATGGGGTTTCACCATGTTGCCCGGGCTGGTCTCAAACTCCTGACCTCAAGTGATCCACCCACCTTGTCCTCCCAAAGTGCTGGGATTACAGGCATGAGCCATCACATCCAGCCTGGAATTATTTTCTCTTAAGGGAGGCAATGGTAGCCTTTTGATTCTGTTTAGAATTTTCTAAAGGACCAACCCAAATACCCATCAATGATAGACTGGATAAACAAAATGTGATACATATACACTATGGAATATTATGCAGCCATAAAAAGGAATGAGATCATGTCTTTGCAGGGACATGGATGAAGTTGGAAACCATCATCCTCAGCAAACTAACACAGGAATATAGAAAACCAAATACCATATATTCTCATTCATAAGTGAGAGTTGATCAATGAAAACACATGAACACAGGGAGGGGAACAACACACACTGGGGCCTGTTGGGGGGTGGGGGCAAGTGGAGAGAGAGCATCAGGACAAATAGCTAATACATGTGGGGCTTAAAACGTAAATGATGGGTTGATAAATGCAGCAAACCATCATGGCACATGTATACCTATATAACAAACGTGCATTTTCTGCACATGTATCCCAGAACTGAAAGTAAAATAAAATAAAATAACTTTCAAAAGGGCCAGTTGCAGTGCAGAGAGCCCCTAGTCCTGGGAAACAAGGTGTAGCCACCCCCTTGCCTGTCATGTAATGCACATTCCTGGGAAACCTGGTGCTAAACCATTTGTAGATAACTTGCTTCAAAAAAAAAAAAAAAAAAAGGCCAATTGGGAAAAAAAGACTCCCTGTCTGCAGCCATACCACCTTGAATGTGACAGATCTCATCTGAAAAAAAAACTTTCCATTATCTCTGGCAGTTTTGGTGTTTTCTATTCCAATTGTGCACACAGGAACATTTGAATTTCAAAAGAGCTCCATTTCTGCCAAAGAAGTTTAGGATTATCCTAGGTAATTTTTTCCAGAGACTTAGCCAATTGTAACTCCCTGGATTATAATTTTTGCTTATAAAGCCAGCTGGAGTGCTGAAAAGTGGCTGATCAGCAGAGAAAATTTAAAATACAAGCTACCCATTGCACTGACTTAACAAAGACATCCCTTCCCTTCCAGTGTCCTTAGCGTGAATGTCTCCACAAAACTTTTGCACTGACCTGACAAATGCATCCTTTCAAGTGCAGTAGAAGTCCATGCATCCTGGCAAAACTGAAGTGTAAGCATACCCCATGAAGTATGAATGTACCCTACAAAGTGCAAGCATATCCCGCAAATGGGTACCTTGTGGAGCCAGATGAACAGGCTTCCTGAAGAAAATTAAGTCTGTGAGACCTTAGCCAAAGCATGGGAATTCAAGAGGACTTACTGAAGGCCACCCCCCTACTCACCTCCCATCCTGAAGACAACTGAGGCCAAGAAGACAACTGAGTCCAAGGGGCTCTTGCAGGCCCTAATGTATTGGTTTAGGATGATGCAGGGAGGAGAGTTGTAGTTTGCTTCAAATCCCACTTCTGATGCCAAGAATGTGAATGAAAGTTCTCTGAAAAAGGGAGTGCCAGGGTGGTCCCATGGGCCTCCTCTGGCAGTGCTGGGCTTGAGGGCCTGAGCAAGGCACTGCCCTCACGGAGCGGCCAGGCTCTCCTTAGGGATGGCTTTGGGCGGAAGCTCTTGAGAACTCCTCTCAATCTGGCTTGGGGCTTGCCCTCACTCTCCTCATCTCCTGCCTCTGTCCCAGTCACAGCCCTGTGCCTGCCACGGAGAAGACGGAGCTGATCCTAGAAGGCCAAGCTGGCTGAGCTGGCCAGATGGTACGACTACATCACTACCTGGGTGAAGGCTGTGACAGAGCAGGGCACCAAGCTGTTCAATGAGGAGCTCAACCTGCTTTCAGTGGCCTACACATACATGGTCAGGGGATCACAGGTCTGCCTAGAGGGTCACCTTGAGCATTGAGCAGAAAACTGTTACCTCCGACAAGAAGTTGCAGCTGATTAAGGGCTATCAGGAGAAAGTAGAGTCTGAGCTGAGATCCATCTGTACCACAGTCCTGGAATTGCTGGATGAGTATTTAATAGCTGATGCAACTAATCCAGAGAGTAAGGTCTTCTAATTGAAAATGAAGGGAGATTACTTCCTGTACCTTGCCGAAGTTGCAAGTGGTGATGATTGAAAACAAGATAGATAATTCCCAAGGAGCTTACCAAGAAGTATTTGATATAAGCAAGAAAGAGAGTCAACTCACCCACCCAATCTACCTGGGGCTTGCTCTTAACTTTTCTGTATTTTACTGTGAGACCCTTAATAATGCAGAGCTCACCTGCATGCTGAATAAAACAGATACACTGCAGAACTTGATACACGGAATGAAGATTCATACAAAGACAGCACCCTTATCTGCTTAGAGACAACCTAACACTATGGATATCAGACAGTGCAAGGAAGAATGTGATGCAGTAGAAGGGGCTGAAAACTAAATGCATAAAGAGTGTCATCCTTCCTCCCTTCAAGAAACCTTTTTATGCATCTCCTTTCCTTATTCCACTTGAATTTCCTATAGCAAAGAAACCCATTCATGTGCTTGGAATTAACTGTTTATAGCTTTTTCACACTGCATCTTTGGGAAAATGCCATTCCCTGATTTGTGTTTGTCTTGGCCTTCCTGATGTGCAGTTACTGCTGTAGAAAAGCATTCATAGCTTAATTTCATATAAACTTAAGTACCTTCCAAATGCTTATGTAGAGGACTAAAAAATGTATCTGGTATTTAAGTAATCTGAACCAGTTTTGCAAATGACTGTGTTTTGTATTACTGTGGAGATATAAAAATGTAGTTAATTATAATTTAAAGAATGTTCTGCCAAGACCAGCTCAGTTGTGGAGACCCTAACCCAGAGGTGCTAGAGGAATTAAAGACACGCACACAGAAATATAGTGTGTGGAGTGGGAAATCAGGGGACTGACAGCCTTCAGAGCTGAGAGCCATGAACAGAGATTTACCCACATATTTATTGACAGCAAGCCAGTGATAAACATTGTTTCTATAGAATATAGATTAACTAAAAGTATTCCTTATGGGAAACAAAAGGGATGGGCTGAAACAAAGGGATGGGCTCTGGCAAGTTATCTGCAGCAGAAACATGTCCTTAAGGCACAGATTTCTCATGCTATTGTTTGTGGTTCAGGAATGCCTTTAAGCAGTTTTCTGCCCTGAGTGGGCCAGGTGTTCCTTGCCCTCATTCTGGTAAACCCACGGCCTTCAGCGTGGGCATTATGGCCATCACGAACATGTCACAGTGCTGCAGAGATTTTGTTTATGGCCAGTTTTGGGGCCAGTTTATGGCCAGATTTGGGGGCCTATCCCCAGCAGTGTTCGATGTAACGTCTTAATTTCTACATTCCCTCCCTTACTCTTTGGGGGTTTCTTCTCAATAATCAACTTTTCCATGCTCTTAATGTATTCTTTTTAGTAGAAATCCAGAAATATCAGATTGAATGGAAAAGCGCTTGCCATTTCTGGGTTGAGGTGTCACAAATTGAAATGTCTCCTATATCACATATTATGGAGGTCATGTGAATCTGTGGAAAGAGTAAATAAGAGTTTCCTTATTCACTCTTCATATGCTGCTGTTTAAGTTGGCAGCTTTCCTTCCCAATAAAAATTCATTTACACTTCCTGCCTTTATAGTTCTGGTATCTACTTTACTATGTAATAGAAGTAGCATGTTGCTGCCAGAATACTAGCATTTCTTTTGGCAAACTGAAGTACATGTCACTTCTTAACACACTAGAAAGGGGAAACAAAGCACACAAGTCCAAGTCTAAAACTTTAGTACATTTCTATGCAGATTTGTGTATATGTAAGGAGGTGTCCTGTTTGTCTAGTGATTGTTATTTAGTTGGACAACTATTGTGTGTTGCTCGTCATTGACTGAAGTCCCAAAAAAGTCTTGTGAAAATGTTATGCCCTATGTAACAGCAGAATAACATAAAATAAAATTACATTAAAAGTGATGGCAGAACCACAATTACTATTGCACCAACCTAATATAAACCATTTACTATGGCTTTGTAACAATTGCATATTCCTATATTAAGGGACAGGTGAATTTACTACTTTCTAAAGTTTATTGATAATTCCCTTTTGTGTAAAATGTGGTAGTGATACCTATATTTCTGCATCATGATATACTTGTCTAGGGATGCCTGGACATGTATAAGATTGGACTGCATTTCTTAGAATGTTTTACTATAGATCAGTCTCCTGGGCTATCTCTTCCTCAGACATAAATGATATCTGGTTAAGTGTTATGTGAAATAAAGTGAACATTTTAAAACTTTAAAAAAAGTTATCTGAAAAGGAATTTGGAGGAAAGTAACTTTATTCCAGTAAACAGTTTCCAAGCTGGGTCCAGCCTTCAGTGTAAAATGAAGGTGCATTCCAGAGAGCAGAGAGAGGTTTCGGTTTTATAGCAAAAGTTCCTTTCCAGGTTCTCAATCAGGTCTGTTCATGCAAATGAAAGATTGAAACTTCCTTAGTTCGGACTCACTGGGGCAGCTAAGCCCTGATTGGTTGATACAGCTGAGCCTTGATTGGCTGTGGCAGGTTATCTCTGATTGGTTTATTTCCAAGCCCCAAACCAGAAGTCTCTGTCAGGTGTTTCTTTAAAATGGCCGATGGGGGTGATTGCTGGCCCCTATTTGTCTTAATAGCAACAGGAACTGGTTTAGCTTGATTATAGGAATGGAGGTCCTATGATATTTTTACAACATCTTCTGAGAACAGAGAGTACATGACTTTTCCCAAATCCAGCCATGGCCACTTGGCTCTGTTTTAAATTTGAGCACCTCAGTTGCCCTGAGGAGTTTATCTTGTCTGTGGGCCAATGGTATGCTTTAACATGGATACCTTCAATGCCAATTCAAAATCTCAGGGTTCATTCCAGTTTTCTCCTGTGATATTGTGAAATATATATTTGACCTTCATCCCCATCTCCTGACATATAGCTCCTAAAATCCTTGGAATCTCTAGAGCGATAAGAGTGTCTTTTGTATGCTAATGAGATGACTGGTGGCTGGGGCCCTAGTTTCAGAGGGAGGCTGGTTGCCAGGGAAACCAACCATGTAGATTAGAGGGTTGGAAATTTCAGTCCATCCCCCCACCCCCTCAACCTCTGGGGAGCAGAGAGTGGCTGAAGGTTGAGTTGATAATCCAATGGCCAATGCTTTAATTAATTGTGTCTACATAATGAGGCTTCCATTAAAAACCCAAAGAACCCAAAAGGACTGAGTTCTGGAAGCGTCCAGATAACTGAATACATGGAGTTGCCTGGAGGGAGTTCTGGGGAGGGCATGGAAGCTTTGTTCCCTTCCTACTAGCCTCATTCCATGTGCCTCTCCCATCTGGCTGTTCATGTGTATCCTTTGTCATATCCTTAATAATAAATGGGTAAATTAAGTGTTTTCCTGAGTTCTGTGAGCCATCCTAGTAACAATCAAGCCTGAGGAGGGGAGAGTGGGAACCCCAGTTTATAGCTGATCTGTCAGAATTATATGTGACAACCTATTATAATTGGTATCAGCAGCTGGAATAATCTTATGGGACTGAGCCCTCAACCTATGGAATCTGACATTATTTCCAGGTAGGTAGTATTAGAATTGAATTGAATTAGAGGACACCCAGCTGTATCCTTTGGAGACTCTGCTGGAGAATTGGTTGTTGATGGTGTGAAAGGAAAATATCTTGGGTCCCCAAAATCACTAAAGGGAAGAGTCAAGCTGGGAACTGCTTAGGGCAAACCTGCCTCCCATTCTATTCAAAGTCATCCCTCTCCTCACTGAGGTAAATGCATATCTGATTGCTGCCTTTGGAGAGGCTAATCAGAAACTCCAAATAATTATACCATTTGTCTCTTATCTACCTATGACCTGGAAGTCCCCTCCCCACTTTGAGTTGTCCAGCCTTTCCAGGCCAAACCAATGTTCATCTTACGAGTGTTGATTGATGTCTCATATCTCCTTAAAAAGTATAAAGCCAAAGTGTGCTCTGACCACCTTGGGCACATGTCATCAGGACCTCCTGAGGCTGTGTCACAGGCACATGTCCTCAACTTTGGCAAAATAAACTTTCTAAATTAACTGAAACCTGTCTCACATTTTCAGGGTTCACTGTGGGGAAAAATCCTCACACATCACATCTGTGGCCACAGAAGTATTCTATGTTGATTAAGTAGTGAGAGAGAGTGGTTGTTTCCTCTGTATATTCTTACATTTATCTTTCCATATTTCTTAATCCCTTCCCAGTGAGCACTCTTATTTTCATTTCCTTAGTAGATTTACTTATTGTTCAAAACTCTTGCCATTGCCCTTTTTTTTTTTTTTTTTTTTTTTTAGATGGAGTGTTGCTCTGTCACCCAAGCTGGAGTGCAGTGGCGCAATCTCAGCTCACTGAAACCTCTGCCTCCCACGTTCAAACAATTCTTCTCCCAAGTAGCTGGGATTACAGGTGTCTGCCACCATGCCCGGCTAATTTTTGCATTATTAGTAGAGATGGGCTTTCCCAATGTTGGCCAGTCTGGTCTCAAACTCCCGACCTCAAGTGATCCACCTGCCTTGGCCTCCCAAAGCGCAGGAATTACAGGCACGAGCCACCATGCCTGGCCCACCATTGCCCCTCTTATGTACATATTTCCTTCATGCCCCACTTGGGCTCCAACACTTCATCCCAAGCAGCCTTCCTTCGTGGACTCCCTCTTCAACCTTCTTGTGCTCTGACACTTCCTTCTGGTCATTGTGGTTCCTATCATGCACTGCAACCTCCCTTCAACATGTGTGCTTACCTTGTTTTTGAATTGAACTACTCAGGAATGGACTGGTAGAGGAGAAGAAAAGATAATCTTGCTTTTTAGAAGTTTTTTTTTTATCACTAACTTAAAAATCACAATATTTTAAACTTATCTTTAAAATTGGAATATTACAGATAAAACCAAAGGGTCTTTTGATCATTATCCCTAATTCTGCTCTGCTTACTGTTTCTCAGGAAGTAACTCGCTGTTACTAGTTTGATGTGTATCCTTCTAACCTTTAAAAATATAATTTTATATTTATATGTATGTTCCCAAGGAAAAGATATACATATTAATCTTTTAAATTTTATTCTCCAGTTTAGGAAAAGCCATCGAGGCTAGAACATTTAGAATATGATGCAAAGTCTCTTCCTTGAACAAGGCTTACTTGGAGCATGAGTCAGGATTATTTTGGTTGCTGGTGACAGAAATCCAACTGAAAGTGGCTTAGACAAAAAGAGACTGTATTGGCTAATATAATTGGGAAGTTCAAGGTACAGGAACACCAGGAAAACAGCAAGGACACAAACCACATACTAGTGTGCATCTAGGTCAGCAGTCAGTGCAGCTCCACTTAGAGCAGTGGGAGTGAAAATAGCAGAAGTAGCAAGATATCCACCTCCTGACATTATGTAATACATGAAAGTAGAATGAGATAAACATCTGTCAAGGAGAAATTTTTGTAAATTCTAGCTAGTATCCCACACATCAAGTTTGCTGAATTGCACATTGTGCAATTCTAGGTGGCAATTCAAAGGACAAATCCCAGCTTTGTCCTGGGACGTTTTAATACAGCCAGGATGAAGAACAGTGGATGAAACTCTAAAGGTTCAACATCTTAGTATGCAGTATTGTGTTCAAAGAGAAAACATTTACAGAAGAAACTACCCAGATAGATTCAGGGCCTTAAACTGTGTCATTAGTACACTGCCTCTCTCCATCTCATGGTTCCATTCTCATTGTGTTGATGTCATTCTCAGTCAAGCTGTCTCCTTGACATGGTCAGGATGGCCAGTAGTCAAGCCTACATTCTATCAGCATTGCAAGTTTCATAATAATTTTAGCACAAACCCCAGGATTGACTCTCATTGGCCTGGCTTGGGTCATAATGTTGCAGGAATTAGTAGGACAAGAGAGACCTTGGGGTGTATACAGGAAGATCTTTATTGAGTACACTCAGACCCAGCAGACTTATCCAAAAACTGAGCCTAGAACAAAGACAGCACTTAATTTTTATACACACTTCAAAAAGGGGGCATGCTAGCTTGAAGCAGGCTTACCATGGTGCAAAAGCAAGGATACAGAGGCAGAACAAAGACAGTTAATCAAATTGTGACAGGCTCATAACTCAGGATTACACAAGACCATTGCTATGCAGCCCAGATGTTTGTTATCTGGGTTTGCCCTAGTGCCTAGCATTCCATGACCTTCACTATGGCACCCAGATGGCTGTATCTCACCCCTGCTCAGATGGTTTAGGGTGTTCACTATACCACTTAGATAAAACAGAATACTTGAATTTACTAGTTACAGAGAACAGGAATCTATAAACTCATACCATAAGAGAAAGGAAAATTTGTTTTTCTCCTCCCTATGTTGAGGGAGTGCTGGGAGAGTCTTCAGGGCACATTAGATAGTATTATCAAGACTTTTCCTGGGTCTGGGCTGTGCCTGTTTCTGCCTCTGGGACAAGTCAGCCTAATACAGGAAAGCTTATTTCTCTTTTTAATTTTATTTCTCTTTCTTTCTTTAATTTCCCACCTCAATAACTCATTCATGAACCAATCACTGTGCATGGAGGGTAGAAATTAATACCCATTTTCTCCTTTTTATAGTAGCAAAAGGAATTTTCAGTGTTGGGAAAGAAATAATTTTTGCCCTCTCCCTCTCCCTCTCCCTCTTCCTCTCCTTCTCCCTCTCCCTCTCCCTCTCCCTCTTCCTCTCCTTCTCCCTCTCCCTCTCCCTCTCCCTCTCCCTCATCCCCGTCTCCTGCTTTCCACGGTCTCCCTCTGTTGCTGAGGCTGGACTGTACTGCCACAATCTCGGCTCACTGCAACCTCCCTGCCTGATTCTCCTGTCTCAGCCTGCCGAGTGCCTGTGATTCCAGGCGCGCGCCGCCATGCCTGACTGGTTTTTGTATTTTTTGGTGGAGAGGGGGTTTCGCCGTGTTGGCCGGGCTGGTCTCCAGCTCCTGACCTCGAGTGATCTGCCCACCTCAGCCTCCCGAGGTGCAGGGATTGCAGACGGAGTCTTGCTCACTCAGTGCTCAATGTTGCCCAGGCTGGAGTGCAGTGGCGTGATCTCAGCTCGCTGCAACCTCCACCTCCCAGCTGCCTGCCTTGGCCTCCCAAAGTGCTGAGATTGCAGCCTCTGCCCAGCTGCCACCCCGTCTAGGAAGTGAGGAGCATCTCTGCCTGGCCACCCATTGTCTGGGATGTGAGGAGCCCCTCTGCCCGGCTGCCCAGTCTGGGAAGTGAGGAGCGCCTCTTCCCGGCCATCATCCCGTCTAGGAAGTGAGGAGGGTCTCTGCCTGGCCGCCCATCGTCTGGGATGTGGGGAGCGCCTCTGCCCGGCCGCCCCGTCTGGGAGGTGAGGAGCATCTCTACCCAGCCACCACCCTGTCTGGGAGGTGAGGAGCGCCTCTGCCCGGCTGCGACCCTGTCTGGGAACTCAGGAGTGCCTCTGCCCGGCCACCCCATCTGAGAAATGAAGAGCCCCTCCACCCAGCAGCCGCCCCATCTGGGAAGTGAGGAGCATCTCCGCCCGGCCGCCCCATCTGGGAGGTGGGGGGCACCGCGGTCCGGCAGCTGCCCCGTCTGGGAGGTTGGGGGGGCGCCCCCGCCCCACAGCCACCCCGTCTGGGAGGTGGGAGGCCCCTCTGCCTGGCTGCCACATCTGGGAAGTGAGGAGCCCCTCTGCCCAGCCGCCACCCCATCTGGGAGGTGTACCCAACAGCTCATTGAGAATGGGCCATGATAACGATGGCAGTTTTGTTGAATAGAAAAGGGGGAAATGTGGGGAAAAGAAAGAGAGATCAGATTGTTACTGTGTCTGTGTAGAAAGAAGTAGACATAGGAGACTCCATTTTGTTCTGTACTAAGAACAGTTCTTCTGCCTTGGGATGCTGTTAATCTATAACCTTACCCCCAACCCTGTGCTCTCTGAAGCATGTGCTGTGTCAACTCAGGGTTAAATGGATTAAGGGCCGTGCAAGATATGCTTTGTTAAACAGATGCTTGAAGGCAGCATGCTCGTTAAGAGTCATCACCACTCCCTAATCTCAAGTACCCAGGGACACAAACACTGCAGAAGGCTGCAGGGTCCTCTGCCTAGGAAAACCAGAGACCTTTGTTCACATGTTTATCTGCTGACCTTCTCTCCACTATTGTCCTATGACCCTGCCAAATCCCCCTCTCCGAGAAACACCCAAGAATGATCAATAAATACTAAAAAAATAAAAAAAAAATAGTTTTCTAGCCTCTCTTCCATCTGGATGTGGACTTATGACTAAAATCTGGCTAATGATATGCTGGCAAAAAATTTGTTCAGCTTACAACTCACAGCCCTAAAAGAAAGGAGTATGTGCTCCTTGTTCCTATTTTTCCTTTTCTCTTGGTTGGAATTAAAACTTGGTAATGAGCCATATTGGAACATGTGAATAAGAACAACACCTAAAGATGGTAAAGCAAGGTATAAGGAGTCAGGGCTTTAGACACTGGGAAGCTACCATGCCACCTTGGCCTGCTTCTGCTCAAACTGCTGCTGCAAGAGAGAAATAACCATTATGACTAAACTAAAAGGAATCAGCTAAAATAATCCAAAGTGGTATCCTCTGTGGAGTGGGAAATAGAAGGAAATAGGAGGGAAGCTCCTGTGGGTTTTCATAACAGCCCTTGTAACTATTTGGTTGTCTGTGTGCCCATATACTGTTTGTAAAAATAAAAACCACAATTTGAAAAGGAATGAGATAGAGAGAAGGATTCTCTTCTTTCTCTAAGTAGTCTTCTGTTGCAAACACCTAAGGTTGTGGTTTAGGGGAAATATCAAAAGTATAAAGAAGAAAATAAAAACCACAGGCATCTGACTACCCAAAGATAATTGCTGTTAAGTGTTCAGCTAAGACTCAGTATATTTCCTCCCAGTCAAATATTTAACCCAGCACATTTCTGTTGCATCTCAAGATTCAATTGAATGGAATAAACACAAGCTGGTCACTGAGTGCAAATAACATAAGAGATAAGACACAGTTCTTGTCCTTTAATTCTGTTGTGGGTTAGACTTACACTGTTAGAAGCAAAAGCAACATGGGGCTTTGATTGCTTCAAGAAATCACCTGCCTAATTTCCTTCTTATTAACAAATAAACACTGTACTTACTGAGTTTAATCCTTGCAGCACCAGAAGTTCTAAAAAGAGAAGAAACTTTGCAAGGCCAGTAATATGCCTTCAAAATTATAGGCATTCCAGGCTAGACAGGAATTTACTAAATTTAATTATTATTGTATACCTACTACAAGAGCTCACAGGCCTTCACTTTGGCTGACCTGACTGAGAGTGACATTGTTATCCTTGGTGTAGCTTCAATGTAAAGCCTGGGGCACTACAGTTGCCTGATGACCCCAAGTGGTTAATTTCTTTTGGCTTTATTATCCCAATAAGAAAAATTAAATTCTGTATACCTTAAGCCCAGTTCAGATCATGAAAACTATAATTCCTTTTCTTATACCAATCTGATGAAGAAAAAAATTTAAACAAGACAAACAGGTGAAAAAATGCTTTGCATCAGAGCTGTTTGTTGAGCTGCAGGGTCTTGAATCCACTTGCTCTGCAGTTACAATTCTGTGTGGAGGTGGGAGACATCAGTGTCACACGGTGGTTCAGCACATGTCACTGGAGCCTGACTGCCCAGGTTAGAACCTCAGCTTTCATCTCACTTGGTTCCTTATCCGTAGAATTGACATGTTAAAAATAGCAAATGATTGTTACAGAAGATTAAATGAGTTAGTATTTACAATGCACTTATTCCAGTGACTGGCATTTAATATGGGCTATGTAAACATTTCTTGAATAATAAAAATAAATCCTGTCTGAATGAATTCAAATAAAAGGCTTGGCCATTGCTATTCATAAAAAATTATAGACTTAAGAATTAGCTGACAAATCTTAATTTATTTATTTGTATTTTTTTAGACAAGGCCTCTTGCTCTGTCACCCAGGCTGGAGTTCAGTGGTGCTATCATGGCTCATTGCAGCCTCCATCTCTTGGGCTCAAGGGATTCTCCTGCTTCAGCCTCCTAAGTAGCTGGGACTACAAGTGTGTGCCACCACATCTATTGGGGGAACCAGCCCCCAATATTTCAATGTAGGTTCTTTTCTATTTTCCCTAAGTGTCAGCCAGTCTGACAAATAAAGAGTGCAAAGAGAGAAATTTTACAGCTGGGCCTCCTCGGGTGCCATCACATATTGGTAGGACCATGATGGTGACCTCAAGCCACAAAACCAGCAAGTTTTTATTAGGGATTTTAGAAGGAGAAGGAGTGTATGAATAGGGAGTGGGTCACAGAGATCACATGCTTCAAAAGGCAATAAAAGATCACAAGGCAAATGGCAGAGCAGGATCACAAGGCAAGAGCGAAATTAGAATTACTGATGAGTATCCATGTCCTGCTGAGCATGCATTGTCTTGATAAACATTTTAACAGGAAACAGGGTTCAAGAGCAGACAACTGGTCTGACTAGAATTCACCATCCTGGAATTTCCCAATCCTAGCAAGCCTGAGGGCACTGCAGGAGACCAGGGCATATTTCATCCCTTATCTTCAACTGCATAAGACGGACACTCCCAGAGCGGCCATTTATAGACCTCCACCTGGGAATGCATTCCTTCCCCAAGGTTATTCCTTGCTGGGAAAAGAATTCAGCAATATTTTTCCTATTCACTTTCTGCAAGAAGAGAAATATGTCTCTGTTCTTCCCGGCCCTGCAGGCAGTCAGACCTTATGGTTATCTCCCTTGTTCCCTGAAAAGTGCTGTTATCCTGTTCTTTTTCAGGGTGCCCAGATTTCATATTGTTCAAACACACATGTTTTACAAACAATTTGTACAGTTAACGCAATCATCACAGGGTCCTGAGGTGACATACATCCTCAGCTTATGAAGATGACAGGATTAAGAGATTAAAGACAGGCATAGGAAATTATAAGAGTATTGACTGTGGAAGTGATAAATGTCCATGAAATCTTCACAATTTATGTTCAGAGATTGCAGTAAAGACAGGTGTAAGAAATTATAAAAGTATTAATTTTGGGAACTAATAAATGTCCATTAAATCTTCACAACTTATGTTCTGCCACAGCTTCAGCCGGTCCCTCTGTTTGGGGTCCCTGACTTCCTGCAACACACATCCAGCTAAGTTTTTATTATTTGTAGAGGTTAAGTTTCACTATGTTGCTCAGGCTGGTCCCAAACTCCTGGGCTCAAGTGATCCTCCTACCTCAGTGTCCCAAAGTGCTTGGATTACAGGCATGAGCCACTGCATTTGGCCCCTTACATTCTTTATGTCAGCTCCTTAACAAGCTGGTTGGTTTTCTCTTTCTCATGTAATTCATGAAAAATAAGATATCCCACAATTATTATTAGACAATAGATATTCTATCACCTAGTAATAATATAATAGTAAACACGTCTCACTTTCTATATATCAGATGCAGTTTTAATTATGTGCCTCATCTCATTTAATCTTTACAATAACCCATTTTACAGTTAAGGAAACTAAGGCATGCAGAAATTAATTTACTTGCCCAAGGTTACGCAGTTTGTATGTGATAGATCCTGGGATCAGTCCTAGGCAAGCTGGCTCCAGAGTCCATGTGCTTCCCCACCCATGACACTGGGCTGCCCCCAAAGAGCATGCCATGTCAGGAATAACACACAACTTTGACTGCTACTGATCCTTATGTCTCTGCTCTAGCTATAGCCCTGTTATTCACCAAGCCTCATCAAGGCTCATTACTTCCCATATGATAGAAAACAATTGCCAACTTCTTTCATATTTGAACTTTTCTTTCCACTTCCATCAAAATTTGTTTTATCCCATAGAAAAAACAGAATCTGCTGATTCTGAATTCTATATCCACCATATCCACAGTCAAAGTTTGCCTGAAGAAAACTCAGCTAATGGTCAGAAGGTCAACTGGCCAATTTAGACCCCATCCAGGGAGCTCTACTTGGAGAAAGAGCTCACAGGCAATGTCTGTATTTTAGCTTTGCAGGTCCTCACATTCAATTCCAACCATTACCCCAGGAGATCAAGCTCTGAAAGGAAGTTGATTTACAAACCCAGAACCCAATTTACAAGAGAAGCTACTGCTAGGTGGAAAACCTACGTAGGGCATAATCATGGGCCACTAACTTATTCTGAGTGAGATCAAGGACACTGAGAGCACCTATTAGAGATCAGAAGGTTGTTTCATGAGGCCAGGTTTACAGCCAAAGAAATCTGATGTTTTTAAAGAATATTTCTATCAAGTTCCTGGAATGAACTGCCTCTCTTCACTCTAGTAGTATGGGGTCCTGAGAGCCAGCAGCAGCTGTTGAGGCCAGAACAGCCTCTCTCTTGCACAGGGCAGCAGGCCACCAGGCATGGTCCTTCTCTTTGGCTACCTTCTCCTAGGATCCAGGAAACCCATCACCCCTGGTAGACCCTCTTCTACTCTCACTTGCTGCAGTGTATGGAGTACATGCATGGAATGTGCACACATTATATTCCAGGCCTGCTTTCTTGGAGACATGCCTCGCCCTGATGAAATTCTGAAGTGTCCCATGACACCTTAGTGAGACATTTGCAAATCATCTCTTGGGTAAAGGTTCTTCTAAGATGACTCATCTTGCATTTGAGTGACATTATTTCTAAAATTATTCCAAATTCTGAGCTCATCTCCTGACTTACAGCCAGTAGCTACATTATGCATCAACTAGGGATTTAACATTATAAGTGAAGTGATAATATATGATTGTGGTGGTTTGCACAAGAGGGGAGAGAGTAAGAAGGAAAGGAAGGAGTTAAACCAGTTAAACCTAGTTAAGTGCCAGTGATTATTTATTCAAGTAAATTTAATACTTTGTACTTATCTTGCTTTACTTGTCTTGGCCAGAAAAATATTTAAAAACCCTCTTGTCACTAGAATGACCTTAGAATTACGACCCTAGACTCAGACATAGACTTGACAGAATACAAAAAGATGACATTTGAATATCAGTAAGAATTGTCTCATTACAGATAGAAAGAATAGGAAAATAATTCAGCTTAGAATATAACTGGAAAGGATCCATTGGATCCAGTCAGTTGGTGAAGCAACCTGAATGAGAGTTGCAGGCTTACATCATGATATGGTTTGGATTTTTGTCTCTGCCCAAATCTCATGTTGAATTGTAATCCCCAATGTTGAAGGAGGGGCCTGGTGAGAGATGATTGGATCATAAGGGTAGATTTCCACCTTGCTATTCTTGTGACAGTAAGTTCTCATGAGATCTAGTTGTTTAAAAATGTGTAGCACCTATCCCTTTTCCCTATCCTTCCTTCTCCAGCCATGTAAGATGTGCCTGCTTCCCCTCTCATGATTATAAGTTTCCTGAGATCTCCTCAGCCATGCTTCCTATACAGCCTGCAGAACTGTGAGTGAACTAAACCTCTTTTCTTGATAAATTATCCATTCTCAGGTAGTTCTTTATAGCAATGTGAGAATGGACTAATATGGAAATTGGTACCAGGAGTAGGGCATTGCTATAAATATACCTGAAGTAGGGCATTGTTATAAATATACCCGAAAATGTGAAAGAAACTTTGGAACTAGGTAATGAGCAGAGGTTGTACACTTTGGAGGGCTCAGAAGAAGACAGGAAGATGAGGGAAAGTTTGGAACTTCCTAAAGACTTGTTAAATGGTTGTGGCCAAAATGCTGATAGTGATATGAACAATGAATTCCAGGCTGAGGAGGTCTCAGATGGACATTAGGAACTTATTGGGAACTGGAGTAAAGGTCACTCTTGCTATGCTTTAGGAAAGAGACTGGCAGCCTTGTGCCCCTGATCTAAGGATCTGTGGAAATTTGAACTTGACAGTAATAATTTAGGGTAGCTGGCAGAAGAAATTTCTAAGTAGCAAAGCATTTGAGATTTGGCCTAGCTGCTTCTAACAGTGTATGGTCCTCCATGTGTGCAAAGAGATGATCTGAAACTGGAACTTATATTTAAAAGGGGAGCAGAATATAAATGTTTAGAAAATTTTCAGTCTGACCATGTGGTAGAAAATAAAAACCTATTTTCTGGGGGAGGAATTCAAGTTGGCTGTAGATATTTTCATAAATAAAGAGGAACCAAATGTTAATAGCCAAGACAATGGGGAAAATGTATCAGAAGGCATCAGAGACTTTTGTGGCAGCACCTTCCATCAGATGCCTGGAGATCTAGGATGGAAGAATGGCTTTGTGGACTGGACCCAGGGCCCTGATGTCCTGCACAACCTTGGGACACTGCTCCCTGCATCCCAGCCACGTCAGCTTCAGCCATGGCTAAAAGGGCCCCAGATAAGTCTCAGGCTGCTGCTCCAGAGGGTGCAAGCCATTAAGCCTTGGCAGCTCCTATGTGGTGTTAAGCCTGCAGGTGTGCAGAGGGCAAAAGTTGAGGCTTGGGATCCTCTGTCTAGATTTCAGAGGATGTATGGAAACACCTGGATGATCAGGCAGAAGTCTGATGCAGGGGTGGAGCCCTCATGGAGAACTTTTACTAGGGCAGTGCAGAAGGGAAATATGGGGTTGGAACTCTCACACAGAGTCCCCACTGGGGCACTGCGTAGTGGAGCTGTGAGAAGACGGTCACCATCCTCCAGACCCTAGAATGATAGATACACTGACAACTTGTACTGTGCACCTGGAAAAGCTGTAGGCACTCAACACCAGCCCATGAAATCAGTTGAGGGAGATGTACCCTGTAGAGCCACAGAGGTGGCACTGCCCAAGGCCTTGGGAGCCCACCCTTTGCATCAATGTAGCCTACATGTGAGACATGGAGTCAAAGGAGATTATTTTGGAGCTTTAACATTTAATGACTGCCCTTCTGGGTTTTGGACTTGCATGGGGCCTGTAGTCCCTTTGTTTTGGCTGATTTTTCCCTTTTGGAATGAGTGTACTTACCCAATGCCTGTAGCCCCATTATATCTTGGAAGTGACTAACTTGTTTTTTATTTTACAGGGTCATAGGTGGAAGGGACTTGCCTGGTCTCATATGAGACTTTTGGTTGTGAACTTTTGAGTTAATGCTGAAACGAGTTAAGACTTTGGTGGGCTGTTGAGAAGAGATGATTGCATTTTGCAATGTGAGAAAGACACGAGATTTGGGAGTGGCCAAGGGCCGAATGATATGGTTTGTATCTGTGTCCCTGCCCAAATCTCATGTCCAATTGTAATACATAATATTGGTGGAGGGGCCTGGTGGGAGGTGATTGGATAATGGGAACAGATTTCACCCTTGCTGTTCTCATGATAGTGAGTGAGTTCTCATGAGATCTGTTTAAAAGTGTGTAGCACCTCCCCCTTCATCCTCTTCCTCCTTCTCTGGCCATGTAAGATGTGCCTGTTTCCCCTTCACCTTCTGCTGTGATTGTAAGTTTTCTGAGACCTCCCTGGACCATGCTTCTTGTACAGTCTGCAGAACTCTGAGTCAATTAAACCTCTTTTCTTTATAAATAACCCAGTCTCAGGTAGTTCTTTATAGCAACATGAGAATGGACTAATACAGACTGGATGTGCGAATTAGGGGCACCCACTATAAGGCGGGGGTAGTGGGTTGTGTGAGGCATCCCCATGCAGCATAGGGGCATTTAAAAGGGCTTCTAATAAATGTTCCCCATCATTGTGAGAAAATTCTTGCTATATGTCTACAGCTATAAATATTCTTATCCCAATCAAAATCTCAGGTTTATATCCAAGTTCAGCCACTTTAAAAGGCAATGTCAAATTATTTGGAATGAAATAATTTTCTCTTTATTGGGTAAATGTCTGAGGAGATTTATAATAGAGTATAGAAATGGTAATGTATAGAGACAGTCAAGTAAACCAAACCCTGAATTATTATTTTGAATTAAATTTGGAAATGATTTATACAGTATTTTAAGTATTTAAAAATAAAAGAGAATGTGGCATATTATGAACAATTTCACATAATAGATTATCAAACACATTTGCTTTCTAATTCCAATTTTTAAATGTATAATGAGTATTCAATTAGATTTGTGATTTTAAGATAAAAGAAAATTGTGCTATATTATAAATCATATTAGAAAGTTTAAGATAACATGGCTTTGCCATATTTATATGTTGTATTACTTGATTTATAAGGCTTATTTAGGGTTTATCAGTCATACAATTGATAATTGTATTTATTTATTTTCTTTTGTTTACAATTCTATTAAAGACATACTTTAAAAGAAAATTAAATATGTTAAATTTATGAACACAGTTTATGTTTTTAAAGTGAGTTTAATTAACACAATGAAATATTAATTTAAGTTCCCCTTAAGAAATTGATAACATTGGGGTGGAGCCCACCACAGCTCAACGAGACCTCCCTGCCTCTGTAGACTCCACCTCTGGGGGTAGGGCATAGCTGAACAAAAGGCAGCAGAAACTTCTGCAGACTTAAACTTCCCTGTCTGACAGCACTGAAGAGAGAGCAGTGGTTCACCCAGCACAGTGTTTGAGCTCTGAGAACAGACAGACTGCCTCCTCAAGTGGGTCCCTGACCCCCGTGTAGCCTAACTGGGAGACACCTCCCAGTAGGGGCCGACTGACACCTCATACAAGCAGGTGCCTCTCTGAGACAAAGCTTCCAGAGGAAGGATTAGACAGCAATATTTGCTGTTCTGCAATATTTGCCATTCTTCAGCCTCTGCTGGTGATACACAGGCAAACAGGGTCCGGAGTGGACCTCCGAAAAACTCCAAAAGACCTGCAGCTGACGGACCTTTTAGAAGGGAAACTAACAAACAGAAAGGAATAGTACCAACATCAACAAAAAGGACATCCGCACCAAAAACCCATCTGTAGGTCACCAACATCAAAGACCAAAGGTAGATAAAACCATGAAGATGGGGAGAAACCAGAGCAGAAAAGCTGAAAATTCTAAAAGCCAGAGGGACTCTTCTCCTTCAAAGTACCACAGCTCCTCGCCAGCAATGGAACAAGGCTGGATGGAGAATGACTTTGATGAGTTGACAGAAGTAGGCTTCTGAAGGTCGGTAATAACAAACTTCTCCGAGCTAAAGGAGGATGTTCAAATCCATCACAAGGAAGCTAAAAACTGAAAAAAGATTAGACAAATGACTAACTAGAATAAACAGTGTAGAGAAGACCTTAAATGACCTGATGAAGCTGAAAACCATGGCACAAGAACTATGTGATGCATGCACAAGCTTTAGTAGCCGATTCAATCAAGTGGAAGAAAGCGTATCAGTGATTGAAGATCAAATGAATGAAATGAAGCGAGAAGAGAAGCTTAGAGAAAAAAGAATAAGAAGAAATGAACAAAGCCTCCAAGAAATATGGGACTATGTGAAAGGACCAAATCTACATTTGATTGGTGTACCTGAAAGTGACAGGAAGAAGGGAACCAAGCTGGAAAACACTCTTCAGGATATTATCCAGGAGAACTTCCCCAACCTAGCAAGGCAGGCCAACATTCAAATTCAGGAAATACAGAGAACACCACAAAGATACTCCTTGAGAAGAGCAACCCCAAGACACATAATTGTAAGATTCACCAAGGTTGAAATGAAGGAAAAAACGTTAAGGGCAGCCAGAGAGAAAGGTTGGGTTACCCACAAAGGGAAGCCCATCAGACTAACAGCAGATCTCTCCACAGAAACTCTACAAGCCAGAAGAGAGCGGGGACCAATATTCAACATTCTTAAAGAAAAGAATTTTCAACCCAGAATTTCATATCCAGCCAAACTAAGCTTCATAAGTGAAGGAGAAATAAAATCCTTTACAGACAAGCAAATGCTGAGAGATTTTGTCACCACCAGGCCTGCCTTACAAGAGCTCCTGAAGGAAGCACTAAACATGGAAAGGAACAACTGGTACCAGCCACTGCAAAAACATGCCAAATTGTAAAGGCCATCAATGCTAGGAAGAAACTGCATCAACTAATGGGCATAATAACCAGCTAACATCATAATGACATGATCAAATTCACACATAACAATATTAACCTTAAATGTAAATGGGCTAAAAGCCCCAATTAAAAGACACAGACAGGAGATTGGATTAAAAAATCAAGACTCATCAGTTTGCTGTATTCAGGAGATCCATCTCATGTGCAGAGACACACATGGGCTCAAAATAGAGGGATGGAGGAAGATCTACCAAGCAAACGAAAAGCAAAAAAAAAAAAAAAAAAACCAAAAAAAAAACAGGGGTTGCAATCCTAGTCTCTGATAAAACAGACTTTAAACCAACAAAGATCAAAAGAGACAAAGAAGGCCCTTACATAATGGTAAAGGGATCAATTCAACAAGAAGAGCTAACTATCCTAAATATATATGCACCCAATACAGGAGCACCCAGATTCATAAAGCAAGTCCTTAGAGACCTAAAAAGAGACTTAGACTCCAACACAATAATAACGGGAGACTTTAACACCCCACTGTCAAGATTAGACAGATCAACGAGACAGAAGGTTAACAAGGATATCCATGACTTGAACTCAGCTCTGCACCAAGCTGACCTAATAGACGTCTACAGAACTCTCCACCCCAAATCAACAGAATATACATTCCTCTCAGCACCACATCACACGTATTCCAAAATTGACAACATAGTCGGAAGCAAAGCACTCCTCGGCAAATGTAAAAGAACAGAAATCACAACAAACTGTCCCTCAGACCACAGTGCAATCAAATTAGAACTCAGGATTAAGAAACTTACTCAAAACCACTCAACTACATGGAAACTGAACAACCTGCTCCTGAATGACTACTGGCTAAAAAACGAAATGAAGGCAGAAATAAAGATGGTCTTTGAAACTGATGAGAACAAAAACACAATGTACCAGAATCTTTGGGACACATTTAAAGCAGTATGTAGAGGGAAATTTATAGCACAAAATGCCCACAAGAGAAAGCAGGAAAGATCTAAAATCAACATCCTAACATCACAATCAAAAGAACTAGACAAGCAAGAGCAAACAAATGGAAAAGCTTGCAGAAGGCAGGAAATAACTAAGAGCAGAGCAGAACTGAAGGAGATAGAGACACAAAAACCCTTCAAAAAATCAATGAATCTAGGAGCTGGTTTTTTGAAAAGATCAACAAAATTGATAGACCGCTAGCAAGACTAATAAAGAAGAAAAGAGAGAAGAATCAAATAGACACAATAAAAATGAGAAAGGGGATATCAGCACTGATCCCACAGAAACACAAACTACCATCAGAGAATACTATAAACACCTCTACACAAATAAACTACAAAATCTAGAAGAAACGGATACATTCCAGGACACACATACCCTCCCAGACTAAACCAGGAAGAACTTGAATCCCTGAATAGACCAATAACAGACTCTGAAATTGAGGCAATAATTAACAGCCTATCAACCAAAAAAAAGTCCAGGACCAGATGGATTCACAGCCGAATTCTACCAGAGGAAGAAAGAGGAACTGGTACCATTCCTTATAAACCTATTCCAATCAATAGAAAAAGAGGTAATTCTCCCTAACTCATTTTATGAGGCCAGCATCATCCTGATACCAAAGCCTGGCAGAGACACAACAAAAAAAGAGAATTTTAGACCAATATCCCTGATGAACATTGATGTGAAAATCCTCAATAAAATACTGGCAAACCAAATCTAGCAGCACATCAAAAAGCTTATCCAACAAGACCAATTTGGCTTTATCCCTGAGATGCAAGTCTGGTTCAACATATGCAAATCAACAAACATAATCCATCACACAAACAGAACCAAACACAAAACCACATGATTATCTCAATAGATGCAGAAAAGGCCTTTGACAAAATTCAACAGCCCTTCATGCTAAAAACTCAATAAACAAGGTATTGATGGGATGTATTTCAAAATAATAAGAACTATTTATGACAAACCCACAGCCAATATCATACTGAATGGGCAAAAACTGGAAGCATTCCCTCTGAAAACTGGCACAAGGCAGGGACGCCCTCTCTCACCATTCCTTTTCAACACAGTGTTGGAAGTTCTGGCCAGGGCAATCAGGCAACAGAAAGAAATAAAGGGCATTCACCTAGGAAAAGAGGAAGTCAAATTGTCCCTGTTTGCAGACGACATGATTGTATATTTAGAAAAACCCATCGTCTCAGCCCAAAATCTCCTCAAGCTGATAAGCAAATTCAGCAAAGTCTCAGGATACAAAATCAATGTGCAAAAATAACAAGCATTCCTATATACCAATAACAGACAAACTGAGAGCCAAATCATAAGTGAACTCCCATTCACAATTGCTACAAAGGATTAAAATACCTAGGAATCCAACTTACAAGGGATGTGAAGGACCTCTTCAAGGAGAACTACAAACCACGGCTCAATGAAATAAAAGAGGATACAAACAAATGGAAGAACATTCCATGGTCATGAATAGGAAAAGTCAATATCATGACAATGGCCATACTGCCTAGGGTAATTTATAGATTCAATGCCATCCCCATCAAGCTACCAATGACTTTCTTCACAGAATTGGAAAAAACTACTTTAAAGTTCATATGGAACCAAAAAAGAGCCCACATTGCCAAGACAATCCTAAGCCAAAAGAACAAAGCTGGAGGCATCATGCTACCTGACTTCAAACTATACTACAAGGCTACAGTAACCAAAACAGCATGGTACTGGTACCAAAACAGACATATAGACCAATGGAGCAGAACAGAGCCCTTAGAAATAACACCACACATCTAAAACCATCTGATCTTTGACAAACCTGACAAAAACAAGAAATGGGGAAAGGATTCCCTATTTAATAAATGGTGCTGGGAAAACTGGCTAGCCATATGTAGAAAGCTGAAACTGGATCCCTTCCTTACACCTTATACAAAAATTAATTCAAGATGGATTAAAGACTTCAACGTTAGACCTAAAACCATAAAAACCCTAGAAGAAAACCTAGGCTATACTATTCAGTACATAGGCATGGGCAAGGACTCCATGACTAAAACACCAAAAGCAATGGCAACAAAAGCCAAAATTGACCAATGGTATCTAATTAAACTAAAGAGCTTCTGCACAGCAAAATAAACTATCATCAGTGTGAACAGGCAACCTACAGAATGGGAGAAAATTTTTGCAATCTATCCATTAGACAAAGGGCTAATATCCAGAATCTACAAAGAACTTAAACAAATTTACAAGAAAAAATCAAACAACCCCATCAAAAAGTGGGCAAAGGATATGAACAGACACTTCTCAAAAGAAGACATTTATGCAGTGAAGAGACACATGAAAAAATGCTTATCTTCACTGGCCATCAGAGAAATGCAAATCAAAACCACAATGAGATACCATCTCACACCAGTTAGAATGGCGATCATTAAAAAGTCAGGAAACAACAGGTGCTGGAGAGGATGTGGAGAAATAGGAACACTTTTACACTGTTGGTGGGACTGTAAACTAGTTCGACTGTTGTGGAAGACAGTGGCAATTCCTCAAGGATCTAGAACTAGAAATACCGTTTGACCCAGCCATCCCATTACTGGGTATATACCCAAAGGACTATAAATCATGCTACTATAAAGACACATGCACATGTATGTTTATTGCGGCACTATTCACAACAGCAAAGACTTGGAACCAACCCAAATGTCCATCAGTGATTGACTGCATTAAGAAAATGTGGCACATATAGACCATGGAATACTATACAGCCATAAAAAAGGATGAGTTCATGTCCTTTGTAGGGACATGGATGAAGCTGGAAACCATCATTCTCAGCAAACTATCGCAAGGATAGAAAACCAAACACCGCATGTTCTCATTCATAAGTGGGAATTGAACAATGAGAACACTTGGACACAGGATGGGGAACATCACACACTGGGGTCTATCGTGGGGTAGGGGGAGGGGGAGGGATACCATTAGGGGAGATACCTAATGTAAATGACGAGTTAATGGGTGCAGCACACCAACATGGCACATGTATACATATGTAACAAACCTGCACATTGTGCACATGTACCCTAGAACTTAAAGTACAATAAAAAAAAAAGAGTCAAAGTGAACAATATGGCAGCTCATATAGAAATCATGCTAGAATAAGAGCTTCTCAATCCTAATATGATTTAATTACTAAGTCTTGGTAGCATATGCATTGATGTATTTTTTGTCAGGTTTAAATTAAATGTTCACTATCAAAAAAAAGAAATTGATAATATTTGCTAAATTGTATAAATAAAATAAAATAGATTAAACAAATTATGAAAAAATATGTTTTTAGTTGTAAGTTTAACAAATCAAACATTAATTTTAATAATCAAAGTATCCCCAGAAAAGATTTTCCTACTCATAAATGTCCTGCTCAAGAACACACACATACATACATGCACACACTCAAAGCCTCACTTAACACCTATAATTACAAAATGGGCTTC
The DNA here is from genome assembly GCF_000001405.40 of Homo sapiens. Classification (NCBI taxonomy): domain Eukaryota; kingdom Metazoa; phylum Chordata; class Mammalia; order Primates; family Hominidae; genus Homo; species Homo sapiens. The sequence goes on from NC_000012.12 coordinate 56,894,438, forward strand.
CAGTCAGGGCGATTCTAGGCACTGATATAATTCCCATGGAAAACAAGGCATTTAAATTATTCAACAGAAAAATTAACAAAAGACTCAAATACTGACTTGGCTAAAAAGAAAAACATCAATAAACATATGAAAAGAAATTTTACCTCCCCAGCAATTAAAGAAATGCCAAGTAAAACAAAAATTACTTTAAAATAACCAAATGTCTTGTTTGCTTGTTTCTGTTATAAATAAGTGTCTAAGGCTGGCAAGAACTCAAGGACCTGGGTATTCAGACACTGATTGAGCGTTCTGAAGGTAACTTGGTAGCTCGTAAAATAATCTTAAAAACCACATAAAATATGCACACCCATTGGATCAGCATTTTTATTTTCAAAATTTTACTATATGAAAGGTAACAATAAAATAACCACTTAAACATTTAACTATCTTGCAGTGCTGTGAATGATCGCTAAATATTGGAAACAATCCAGCCAGCCAAGAATAGATAAGATGTGGCACAGTCATACAATAAAAACACTGTGATGTAAATACGATATAAAATATATTTAGCACTTAAATGTGTATTAAGAGAAAAAAGTATCATATGAACACTATGACACAGTATTTATTTATTTGTTTAATTAAAAAAATTTTTTGAGACAATCTTGCTCTGTCACCCAGGCAAGATCACAGTGTGTATAGTGGCAAGATCACAGCTCACAGCAGCCTTGACCTCCTGTGCTCAAACAATCCTCCCACCTCAGCCTCCTGAGTAGCTGAGACCACAGAGATTTGCCACCATGCCTGGCTAATTTTTTTTTTGTACTTTTTTTTTTTTTTTGTAGAGACGAGGTTTTGCCATGTTGCCCAGGCTGGTCTCAAACTCCTGGGCTCAAGTGATCCTCCCACCTTGGCCTCCTCCCAGAGTGCTTGGATTACAGGCATGAGCCACTGCACTCAGCCCTGTGATCCATTTTTAAACCATAGACATGCATCAAAAAAAGTCTGTATGTATGGTCACAAACATATTAATACTGGTTGTCTCTGAGTGGTAGAGATATTATCTCTACTAACTATATCTATTAGTACTAGTACTATACTATTATCTCTACTAATAATAATGAGACATATATGCTCATTATTATTTCCTCCTTCTTTCTTATCCATGTGTTCTGATGTCTTACAATGAGCATATGTTACTTATATAATGAGGAAAAATGATAAAAGGGCTTGTGTGTGTGTGTGTGTTTTCTTGTTTGCTCCTTTGTTTTAAGGTAAATGGTAACAAGGGAAAAACAGATGAGACTCCAGGGTCTATAACACGGGTGAGGTTTATTAAATGTATACTCAAGCACTCCTTTTAATATCTGCTCAGGAACAACATAAACAACATTGCTACAAGGGGAAAATATGCCTGACAAATACACATTTCCTTTAGGAAGCAAATACATATGTGACATTCTTTGATCCCACAAACATGAGCACTTCATAAGAGCCCAGCACTGTAGGGTCAAGAAGACACCACTATTTGCAGGTTAGAATGGGTCTGTAGTAAACAGTCCCCTTATGCCTGTGCCAGTTATGAACGGCTCAATCATTCACCTTTCATTTTCCCCAAATGAAATGAAAACCAACTTGACATCCCTTGCCCTCCTCCACCATCCTTACCTTGTGCACACATCATGCACACACACTACACACATGCACACCACACACACCACACCATACACAACACACACATGCACATCACACACACACCACATACACACATTACACCACACACACCACCACACACCACACCACACACACACACATCACATCATACACACCACACACATGCACACCACATACACCACACCACATGCACCACACACATGCACCACACACACACCACACACACACAACACACATACCACACACACAACACTCATCACACATACACCACACACACTATACCACACACACCACACATGCACCAAACACACACATTACACACACCACATCACACACACACAACACACAGTCACTGCACACACACCCCACACACCCCCCCACACGCACCACATACACACCACACACAACACACACACAAACCACACCACACCACACACACACACCCCCCCAACACATGCACCACACACACACATTATTAGCTGTGTGGATGTCTCGACCTCGGGCACCCCCTCCTGCTCTCTGGAACATGTAAGAACCCCAGGCTTAAACTAGATGAAAGTGCTGTCCACCACCTTCCCTTCCCAGCAGGAGTGTTAAAAGAGAAGTTATTTATTCTAGAACTGGAAATTGGAAAACAGAGAATTTGGGTTGACTCTTTGAGCATATTGAAGACTTGCATATTTAGCCAACATGTATTCAGCCAATAGGTCATATTATTGTGGGATTTATCAGAATAGGACTTGTCATTATATTGGAGTTAGTGGCCATCAGTGTGTTTGGCTTAAGCTTGCAGGTGGCATCTGGACACCTGGAGTGAGCTGTGGAATGGGTCTACCTTACTTACTGTAGGTTTCTGCCTAGTCCCAGTTAGAAGCAGGGGTTCTTCCAGGAAAACATGTTAGTAAGAGAGAGAAATGAATATAACCAGACGCAGTAACAAGTGTGGGGATACGAAACAGTATGTGTCCCTTGCTGTCTGTCCCTAGAGACAGATCTGGTTAACTTCAATCAATAACATTTATAAGTAAGTGCAACCTATAGAAGCACAATGGAAACCTTCTTCAACCACGTGGAAAAAAGACCTATGAGAGAAGTGCATTGTAAGCCTGAGAGAGCTATTGGGGTAGATTGCAAGCCCACTAGCTCTATTCCTAAACGTTACCTTGGCACTTTAGGTAGAATCTTTCTCATTTTAGTGAGGACCTCAGCTTGCTTTCTATGGTACTGTCCATTCAAGAATCTATTCTAGTTAGCTTTGCATAAAAACTTGATTCACTTCCTATTAAAGGTGGAAGGCATCTGGGGACTTACACCCTCTCTTTTGCTAATAAAAAACCAAGAGAGCCTAGCAAGGTTAAGAAAATGCCCAACATCACAGATACACCATGGGATACTATGCAGCCATAAAAAGGAATGAGCTCATGTCCTTTGCAGGGACATGGATGAAGCTGGAAACCATCATCCTCAGCAAACTAACACAGGAACAGAAAACCAAACACCACATGTTCTTACTCATAAGTGGGAGTTGAACAATGAGAATACATGGACACAGGGAGGGGAGCATCACACACCAAGGCCTGTCAGGGCATGGGGGAAAGGTGAGGGAGAGCATTAGGACAAATACCTAATGCATGCAGGGCTTAAAACCTAGAAGACAGGTTGATAGTTGCAGCAAACCACCATGGCACGTATATACCTATGTAACAAACCTGCACATTCAGCACATGTATCCCAGAACTTAAAATTAAAAAAAAGAAACTTGCCCAACATCACACAGTTACTCAATAGTAGACCCAGGACTAGAATTTCAAGGTTATCTAGTCCAACCCCCATCAGGTACCTGAACTCTTGTAGAGAAGCCCAGCCAATTGGCTTGGCACCTCATGCTCAGAAGCTTCCAGGAATTTGGGGATTTTGTTTCTCAATTGCCAGGCCAAGGATCCCTTTTATTGCTACACATTTACCTTTGTAAACCTATCTGGCTAAAATAAATGTCAATATGAGCTGGAATTCCTGGAAGATAAAATGCCAAATTACATAGGTAGGGTGAGGCAAGGAGACAAAGTAGAGAAGGTGACCTAGAAGTAAGGTGAGTGGGTGAGAGGTTGAGTTAAACTTGCCTGGTCTTGAACATTTGTGAATAATGCACAGTGTAGGCCAGTTAGCTGCCTGCCTAGTTCTGACTCATTCCTTACTCTCAGTGCAGACATTACTTCTTCCAAGAAATCTTCTCTGACCTCCCAAGCCTAGACTAATTGCCTCTGCCTTGTATGAGTTCCTATGACAGCCTATTCTTCTCTTGCCATTATGCATATCATATGTTATTATAAATTCTTATTTATTTGTGTCTACTTCTTGACACTGAAAGTTGCTCTAGGGTGAGAACTGTGGCATGTTCACGATCATATCCCCAGGCCCTAGCACAGTGCTCACTTACAGTAGGTGCCCCAACACAAATCAGTTGAATAAATGAATAAGCTATTTCCCTTGATTTTTGGCACTTGGAGGAGAGTATCTTCAGCAAGGCCTTCATTGGGGTACCTCAGATATAGGTTACTGGTCTTACTGAAGCTGGAGTTGGATTGTTCTAGAAAGCAAATTTTCAATGTATCTGTGTGCATATTCAAGTATGTAAGATGCAGCAGGGAAGATGAGACAATGGGGAAGCCTAACCTGCTAGGGAGAAGCAGCCATCAAGGAATAAGACCTTAGGAAGCTGGCTTTCTTGGGATAAAACCAACCAGCTTTGAGGGACTTTTCCTTCACGGATCTGTCAAACTTAAAATAAAAATGTAGAGACAAATCTCTAAATATAATTTTTTGGTGTGGGAGAAAGGATTGCAATTCTGGGCATACATACAGACTGGATGGTCTTCAGTATGTCTGAAGGCCAAAGAGAAAGTTGGAGGTTTTATAAAAAACAGAAATGCTATGTATTGCTCCTTGAAAAAGTTCATGGGCACCTGGTAAATGTTCTGGTGAGCTGGAAACTTTTGATTGGTGAATGATGGTGGGTGGGGGCTGGGTGTAAAATTAATCTTCAAATTGCAGTAGGTCATTTCAGCAACTAATAGATAAAACTGGCTTCGGGTTACATCAGGCAGTTTCAGCAGCCAGGTTGGCAGATAATTACATTTTTTGGAGCAATGTTATGTGTGTCCAGAGTGCTTTTTCTTCCTGGCTTCTCAACTCTGTTTTAGTTAGGTATAACAAAAATGAAATTTTACAGATCAGGGCCCTGTTTGAGGTTCACAATCAGTTATTATGAATCAAAAGTCAAAACTATTTGCTTGGTTGCTGGCAGAAGATGGCCTACAGTTTTCTCCTTTTCTTTTAAAAATATTTATTTATTTATTTATTGTAAGAATCATTTTGACTTTTATTTTAGATTCAGGGGGTACATGTGCAGTTTGATACATGGGTATATGGCATGATGCTTATGCTGAGGTTTGGGGTATGATTGAACCTGTCACCCGGGAAGTGAGACCCAACATTTACTTTTTCAAGTATTGTCCCACTCTCTCCCTCCCCACTGTATTAGTCCCCTATTAGTCCCCAGGCACTATTGTTGACATACTTCATAAGTATCCAATGTTTAGCTCCCACTTATAAGTGAGAACATGCAGTATTTGATTTTCTGTTTTGTGTTAATTCACTTAGGATAATGGCCTCCAGCTCTATCCATGTTGCTGCAAAGGATATGATTTCATTCTCTTTTATGGCTGTGTAGTATTCCACAGTGTATATGTACCACATTTTCTTTACACAATCCACCATTGATGGGCACCTAGTGATGGCAGCAGCGGGCTATCTGGAGCAGCCACTGCCACTGTGCCAGCTACAGTGGGGAAGTGCAAGAAGTAGTGGCAGGAGTGGCTGCAGGAGCAGCAGTGGTGGTGGGGGGGACCCATGTGACCCGCATTTCCTGTGCCCCATGGGCTGCCAGTCATGCAGACCGGAGTGGGAACTTATGGTGCCTTTTCTGGGCCTGCCCATGGCCACATATGAATGAATCAGTGTGCACTTTCTCCCCTCTGAGGCCCACAAAAGCCCTGGGCTTGGCCTGAGGCAGAGCACACAATGGGATGACCAGCTGCAGAGAGGAGTTACCATCTCTGCTGATAGCTGAACACTTGTTGGGATGAGCAGTGCAGAGAGGGGTTACCCTCTCTGCTAGGAGCAGAAAACTCATCAGGACACCCTGGCTGCAAAAAGGAGCTGTCCCCTGTGGGTTTCCTCTGAGCTGTTCTATCTTTCAATAAAGCTCCTCTTTATCTGGCTCACCCTCCACTTGTCTGTGTACCTCATTCTTCCTGGTTGCAGGACAAGAACTTGGGACCCATTGAATGGCAAGGCTAAAAGATCTGTAACACAAACAAGGCTGAGACATGCCCCTTGCTTGGCATATGGTGGGCAAAGAGAAGGAGAGAAGAGCTGTGGCCCTTCAGGGAGCCCAGACCTGAGAGCTCCCTGAGCCAGGGCTGTGACTCCCTCTTTGGGACCCTGTAGTTCCTTGCGTCTCCAAGCTTCCAGGTGCTACCACATTCTCCAGTGCCAGCGAGGAAGCTGCTTGCAGTGTGCCTGGTCCAGCTGCAGCTTTGCAGAGAGCTGGTGCCCATGCAGCACCTGGAGCTCCCCACCCTGTGGCAGCAGCCAGTATGTCTGACTGCACAGTGGCCAGAACCCTCGCTCACTCACACATCACTCACCACTCCGTGCATGACTCACAGTTTCCCTTGAAGGCGTGGGATCCAGGCTGGTAGCATGAGCTGAGTGTAGTCTTCCAGGTCAAGTGGGCAGAATGAGTCCAGCAGGCCTGAGCAAAACTTGGACAAAGGTGCCACTGGCCACAGGTTTCTGGCCAGAAAAGTGACACCCCAAAGATTCTGTCACATTATGGGGGCTTGTCCAGGATCTGCAGAAGGGTGAGTAAAAGTGGACCTGCTCTTTCTGTCCTTTTTTCAGAGTCTCTAAATTCCACAATAGCCAAGATGAAAGAAAATACTGGGCCTCTGTCAACCAGTTAAATGTGACTAGCATGGCTGTTGAACTTAAGACACAGAGGACAGGCTTGCTGGGGAGGACAGTCAATCCCCTTTTACCCTTGGATATTGGGAATGTTGGCTTTGTTCCAACCTAGTTTTCCTTTATAGAGGTCTAGCTGTCACATGGGACTGGAAGGAGGCCCTGGGGAAACTGAGGGTATCTGGCTGAGGCTACACCTTGGTGTTATCCAAAGACCCCTGGACTAATTCTGGTCCCTGACCACCCATTAGAGTGTTAGAACTAGGACCTCCAGTCTTTCCTATTGTTCTTTCTTTCTTTCATGGCTGTCATGTTTCCTATCTCTTCTTTATATACAATGTTAAATGTTAAAGATGTTGCAAACCACAGAGATAATAGTACTGGGTAGAATGAGCATTTGGCTTAGTCATCAAAAGTATAAAATGGAAGATTAAGAGTAGCACAGATGAAGCAAAGTGGGCCTTGGTATCTGTACATAAATTTGTGGTGAAAATGTTCTTGTCATTTCCTTGTTTGAAAACTTAGTGCCAAGCATCTTGAGGCACAGAAAAGAAGTATGGCCTCAGGAAGGAAGTGTTAATTTCAATACTATCCTGCAGCTGGACTTTTTCTGTAAATGCAAGGGCAAATGGTCTGAGGTCCCATATGTTCAGGCCTTCTTTGCCTTGCAGGATAACCTGAACCTTTGCCAATGTTGCAGGATTGATTCAGCCCTCCTAGCAGTTGTCTCAGGAGAGGCTACAATGAGCAATCCCAGGGAAATAGGGAAGAAAACTCCAGAGGTAACTCCAGAGGTGCCTCCATCGGGGGAATCACCTCCTCCCCTCCTCTCTATCCAGGTTCTCTCTCAAGCTTGCCCCAGCCTAGAAATCCTTGCTCTAGGCAGGTCTTTGTCTCACTCCTGTCCCTACAACAGATGCCTGGTGGATATGGCCCCATTAAGTTCAAGGTCCCCTTTTCTCTACAGGACTTAAGGTAAATTAAGGGGGATCTTGGCAAGTTTTCTGATGGTGCTGACAGGCATATAGAGGCTTTCCAGAACTTAACCCAAGTATTTGAGCTCTCCAGGAGGGATGTCATGTTACTTCTGAATCAAAGCCTGACCACCACTGAAAAGCCAGCCATGCTGCAAGCAGCAGAGAATTTTGGGGATGAACTTTATCTTTTATATAGGGTCAGGAAGGGGGAGGAGCCTTATCTGATTGAAAGAATAGCAGTGCCATTGTAGGATCCTAAATGGTATCTCAATGATGAAATGAGAGAATGGAGGAGAAAACACTTTCAGGTGTGCATACTGGAGTGCTTGTGAGGGACTGGAACCAGGCCTCTTGATTTCACTGGGCTATCCATGGTAGACCAGAGATTGGGTGGGAGTCCCTTGGAGTGTTGGGAGGGGACTTGTTAAAGCATATCTCTCTGTCTCCTGATTCAGTCAAGAGACAACTGGTCCTAGGGGATGAGTTTATCACAGAGGCAGCCCTTGATATTAGGAGGGGACTGTGGAAATGAGCTGTTGGACCAGACGGTACTTTGGAGGGCCTCCTGGGAGTAGCCACCTTGGTCTTTGCAGTGGGAACCAGGAGGAAGTCCAGAAAAGTGAGGGGAGGTACAGGAAAAAGGCAGAGGTTCTAATAACTGCCTTGTGGGCTCATGGACCCCAGAGTCCCTGAGATACATCTGTTGACTGCTGCAAATGTGGCAGGCCCAGGCACTTTAGGAGGGACTGTCTGGACAGCAGGGGGAGGCCACCTCAATCCTGTCCTGTTTGTGATGGGGATCATGGGAGGGTGGACTGTTCCTTTAAACACCAGTCACCAGGTCCAAGGATGGTCTCCCAAATGGTCCAGCAGGACTGATGGGTCCTGGGGCTCCTGTCACTGGCTCCAGTGGTTCAGACTGCCATTGCCACCCTGGAGACCCAGATGACTCTGGGGGTCAAGGGAAGGAGGGTGGACCTCCTTCTGGACTCTGGAGCAGGACTTTCAGTTCTCCTTTCCAATCTAGGCCCCACTTCTCTCTTGACATGACCGTGAGGGGCATCTCAGGTTTCATTCCTCTACAATGTCAGGAGCCAACATAGTCCTATGAATACAGGGAGCTTTTCTATGTGAGGGGTTAGTTTTTTTTCCTTTTGGGAAGCACCTTATTAGGTCAATTCCTGGGATTCCCTTTCTCCCCCTTGTTTGAGGAAGACCTGGTCCCACAGCTTCACCTGCTTATGATAGGGAAGCAACAGAGGAGCAGCCCCAGCCAGTTGTGGGCTGCAATTTGGTGAGGGCCACCTGGGACTAATTTAATGGATCTGTACACTCTCCTGAGGCATTTATTTGTCCCAAGCTTCAGTTTGAAGCCCTGGAATGGAACACTAGACCTGAGGCAGATGACAACAGGAGTCAAGGGGCACAGTGCAGGTGAGCATGACTAATTCCTGCTGATCAGGCCCTCCTGCTTTGTGGATGTAGGTCATGCTCACGTCATAAGGTCTAGGGAACCCAAAGGTTAGTGACAGCAGGAGGATAGGGTGGCACATAGCTAAGTGCAAATATTCCTACCCACTAGGCCTCCCTGCTACATGGGTGAAGGTTGCACTTGCACCCATGGGATGACACTTGCAAAGGCCACTGGGACTTGGGGATAGAAGGTCAGAAGAAGAAAAAGTGATGCCTTTTTTTTCTCTCCATCATGTACCCTGGCTATTCTCTGGAAAGAGAGAGGAACAAAGGGATGCCATTTCCCCTCTTTCCAGATGGGTAAGGAACCATTTTCAGCCTGCACTCTTCTTGAGTGCATCATAAATCACTGGAACTCCTTTGAACCTCAGACTATGGAGAAAGAAAAAAATCTTTTTTATTTTTTCTTTCTCTGTCTTCCCTTCACAGGTGGGTAATTGCATCTCTGTACTAAAAGACACTCCCTTTGGATGCATCCCCTAAACTGGGAAAAGTTTAATTTCCCCAAACCTTAAACGTCTTGGCAATCTCTTGAGGAGGGACAACTTTCCTTTATCTGTTACCCTTCATAAAACTCCAGGGTAAATAGGGCTCCATGGCTAACGGGAAGGGAACCCAGAAGTCTGACATGCTGGCAAAAGGGTAAAAGTTCTTACCAGTTGGACTTATGTCTTCTCTCTTTCTGTGCAAACTGGTTGCAGGAATGGTAAAAAACCACTGTATTCTCTGCCTTTCCATGAGTTCAAAAACCAGAAGTACTGGCCATTTGGCATGGCTAAGGTTGGGTAGTAAGATATTTAAAAGGACTTCTTAAAAAAGAAATGCTATGGTTAAAAGACTGCTTACTTAAAGATGGATATCCAAGCTATAGGTATATTTAAAAGGCCTTTATGTCTTTTTTCTTAGTGGATCTTGTTTGTTTTTCTGGAAAAGGTTTTTTCTTCTCAGTTGACTGAATTATTTTTCTCCATTTTTGTCTGGCCACTCTTAATGCACATACCAGGGTCTCCAAGATAGCATCTGGTGGCCTGGGACTCCCTTGGAAAAGCAGATGAGGTGCCACTGACCCATTTTGGGAAAAACTCTCTTTACCCCATGGAACCCCAGGGATTAAGGGTGGATGAATCCCTCTCAAAATCTGTTTTTATCATCCTGCTATACCTATTTATTAGGCCTTAGAAATTGCATATTTTTACCCCATCAAAAAGTGGGCAAAGGATATGAACAGACACTTCTCAAAAGAAGACATTTATGTGGCCAAAAAACATATGAAAAAAAGCTCAACATCACTGATCATCAGAGAAACACAAATCAAAACCACAGTGAGATACCATCTCACACCAGTTAGAATGGTGATTATTAAAAAGCCGGGAGGCTGGGTGTGGTGGCTCATGCCTGTAATCCCAACACTCTGGGAGGCCGAGGTGGGCAGATCACCTGAGGTCAGAAGTTCGAGACCAGCCTGGCCAACATGATAAAACCCCATCTGTACTAAAAATACAAAGATTAGCTAGGCATGGTGGTGGGCACCTGTAATTCCAGCTACTCATGAGGCTGAGGCAGAAGAATCACTTGATCCCAGGAGGCAGAGGTTGCAGTGAGCTGAGATCACACCACTGCACTCCAGCCTGGGTGACAGAGCAAGACTTCATGTCAAAAAAAGAAAAAAAAAAAGGTCAGGAAACAATAGATGCTGGCAAGGCTGTGGAGGAAAAGGAATGCTTTTACACTGTTGGTGGGAGTGTAAATTAGTTCAACCATTGTGCAAGACAGTCTGGTGATTCCTCAAAGATCTAGAGCCAGAAATACCATTTGACCTAGCAATCCCATTACTGGGTATATAACCAAAGAATTATAAATCATTCTACTATAAAAACACATGTACACGTATGTGTATTGCAGCACTATTTACAATAGCAAAGACATAGAACCAACCCAAATGCCCATCAATGATAGACTGGATAAAGAAAATATGGTACATATATGCCATGGAATACTACACAGCCATAAAGAATGAGATCATGTTCTTTGCAGGGACATGGATGAAGCTGGAAGCCACCATCCTGAGCAAATTAACATAGGGACAGAAAACCAAATACTGCATGTTCTCACTCATCTGTGGGAGTTGAACATTCAGAACACATGGACACAGAGGGGAACAACACACACCAGGGCCAGTGGGGGGGTTGCGGGTGAGGGGAGGGAACTTAGAGGACAGGTCAATAGGTGCAGTAACCACCATGGCACACGTATACCTATGTAACAAACCTGCACTTTCTGCACATGTATCTCTTTTTTTTTTTAGAAGAAATAAAGAAAAAGAAAAAAAAAACAATTAGTAAGGAGAAATCTTCAAAGCCAATAGTATGAAGGTATGACTTTTTGATGAGGAAAGTCATGAATAAAAAAGAAAAAGAAATTGCATGTTTTCCTAGTCCTGGTTCTTGAAGGGCTCCACCCTGAGGCCAGTAATCCAGTTAGAAGATTGGCAAATGAAAAGTTATACAACTACCGGATCTCTGTCTGTCTGTGTAATTATACATGTGTTATGTGTGTGATATTTACACAAAAGAGCACTAATTGACTGGCTTAGGGAAAAATAAGTGCTTAGATAAAATATTCTTAAGAAAAATAGATGCCTTAATGCCTTTAATTCAACATGTAATTGAGACTACTGAAAATAGATTTATATGCAAGGTGTATAGGAAGAGTAAAATGTGGTTTTGGTAAAAGAAACCACATGGCATGGGAATGTAAATCTATACCTAAGTTTAGAGAGTTAAAGGATTGTTTAAAAGCTAAAGGTTTGAACAAATTGTGGAAGGTTTATAAAAATTAATCTTGTAAAAGAAATTCATATTGACCAAACTCAAAAGGATATAATATGGTTTTTCCATAAAGTGAACATTGGAATAAAAGCACAACAAGGTTTTCTTGAGGCACTGACCTGCTCTTTAACAAAAATTTGTAAAGGATTATAAAAGGCTTATAAGAATCTTGGCTGGGTGCAGTGGCTCACACCTGTAATCCCTGTACTTTGGGAGGCCAAGGCAGGTGGATCACCTGAGGTTAGCAGGTCAGGACTTTGAGATAAGCCTGGCCAACATAGCAAAACCCCGTCTTTACTAAAAATACACATGGTGGCACATGCCTGTAATTCCAGCTACTCAGGAGGCTGAAGCAGGAGAATCACTTGACCCCAGGAGGTGGAGGTTGTAGTGAGCTGAAATCAAGATCTTGCCACTGCACACCCGCCTGGGTGACAGAGGGAAACTCTATCTCAAAAAAAAAAAGGGTTTATAAGAATCTCAACTCATGGTCAAACCGATTAAGATTGGATGGATTTGTCTGTAAGGTTTCATTAAAAAATTGAGGTTGACTAATGCAAGGGTAAAATTTGGTTTTCTGTCTCTTGAACAAGATTTTCATGTAATGAAAAATTTTGGTTTGTCTTGTGAATAAACTACTGAAAAAAAAGGGAAGGACAAGAGACTGGTTGTTTGGAAAACTAGGTCTTCCCCCTTAATGAGTAAAGGTTTATTCCTTTTTAAAATTTGAGTCATCATTTTGACTAAATGGACGACTTATGGTAACCTGAAATTCTGTTAAGCATTTTAAGCCTTTAACATATATTTGATAGGCTTCCCAAAATCAAATTTCAGCTTCAAAATTGTCTTTTCTAACCCCAAACTTTTGGATGCTACAGAGGTCCCCTGGAGCATCCAAAGGAGAGGTAATTGGGATTATTTGACATATTTAGTTACATAAGATTGTCAAAATAAACTAGTGTTTGATCTTCAGGTTATATTTTAGTGAATAATGTTAATCTATGTTTGAAAATTACATGGCATTTCTAAAATCCTGATGTCTGAGTATGTCTTATCAATCATTATTAAGGTTATTGTGTTGGGTTATTGTAAACCACAGATGTGACCAAATTTCTTTGTCAATTTTGTTTTTGACTGTAAGTACCCTAGGACATTTTGATATTCACAGACATTTGTTGTCTTGTTTTGATCCTATTCAAAGACAGATTATAATCCTTCAGCGCAGGTTTCTGATAACTTTGGAGATTGCAAAAAAGAGTTGACTGGGTGGACTGAACTAGTGGAAGACTAAGGTAATCTTTCTTGACTTTTTGTTTGGGATATTGCTAATACTTTATTTTGTTTTTCAGAGTTAGGGAAGCTTTTATTTTGAGTTATTTGAAGCTTTTGACAGTTGTGGAGGTGAACTGCCCAATGATTTCTGACTGCAGCTCAGAAGAGACAAGAGGGACAGGCCATCAAACTCTAAGTAGTCATAGAACTGGAGCCTCAGGCGATGATTCCCTTTTTCACCAGGGACCCTTTGATAGGCCTCTGAGAGAGATCCGGCTGCTGTTTCCCCCAAACAATGTCTCCTGTCAGCATGAAGCAGTTGAGATCAGTCATCATCCTTATCCTAATGGCAGTTAGATGTACCTTTTCAGAGGGGGATTGATGGCAGTGGCAGTCTGCCTAGAGTGGACACTGCCACTGTGCTGGCTACAGCGGGGAGGTGGGAGCATGGCAGCAGGAGCAGCTGTAGCAGCAGCAGTGGTGGTGAGGGGACCCCTGTTGCCCACATCCCTGAGGCAACCGACTGTACCACTCCCACTCTCACATGGCCAAGTGGGATCTGCTCACAGCCCAGAGCCTCTGCTGCTCTGGACCCTGGCCCCATGTTGCCACTCTCACCTGCTGCTGCCATGAGGAGGGCATGGGGAGGAGGTGGACATTCCCTGGAGCCCGCTGCCCTCGGGCCAGGATGAGTCACCTGCTGGTGGGGGAGCAGTATGGTCAGGCAGAGAGGGTCCCTGAAGCAGAGCTGGGTTTGGGATGGTGCCACACTTGCAAATGAAGTGCAGAGGCCTGGTCCAGGACATAGAGCTGGGCCTCGCTATAGGGGCCCATGGCAGGAAGTGGGTGCGGCACCCACTTCAGGAACCCAGTCAGTGGCACAGCCACTGCCTGAGGGTGCTGTGTTCCTGAGCCTTGGGAGGATGCTTTGCATGGAGCTGCCCAGGGCCATGTCCCTGTGGTCTGCCCTCCATTGGGGTGACTGCTGAGCCTGACACTTCCAAGGACCAGGCCCAGGGCCCTCAATCTGCTCCCGGAGGCAGACCCCTGGGCAGGGCTGCAAGCCAGACAAGGGGGAGCTCTGGGCTGCCCCTGAGTTCTGGGGACAAGTGGGAGCCCCTCTCCTTCTCAGTTGGTGGGTCAGGAGCTCTCAGGTGCAGCTGCAGCTGTCCTGCCACCACTGTGGAACCAGGCATTTTTGCACTCTTGGGGCCCAGGAAGGCTCCCTTAGCCCTGCAGGCTCGGGGTGTCTGCTCCTGCTGCTTGGCCTCTCCTTGCTCCCTGTGCCTGCTCCAATCTTGGAGCAAGATTGGGGTTGAGCCTGGGTGCTGTGTCCCTGCCTTAGAGATAAGTGAAATTTGGAACTTGAGAGAGATGATTTAGGGTATCTGGTAGAAGAAATTTCTAAGCAGCAAAGCATTCAAGAGGAGGCAGAGCATAGAAGTTTGAAAAATGTTCAGCCTGATAATGCAGTAGAAAATAAAAACCCATTTTCTGGGGAGAAATTCAAGCTGGCAGCAGAAATTTGCATAAATAACGAGGAGCCAAATGCTAATCACCAAGACAATGGGGAAAATGTCTTCAGGGCATGTCAGAGAACTTCGTGGCAGCCCCTCCCATCATAGGCTCAGAGGCCTAGGAGGGAAAATGGTTTCCTGGGCCAGGTCCAGGGCCCCGCTGCTGTACATAGCCTCAGAACTGATTCCCTGCATCCCAGCCACTCTAGCTGTGGCTAAAAAGGGCCAAGGTACAGCTTAGGCCATGGCTTCAGACGGTGCAAGCCCCAAGCCTTGGCAGCTTCCATGTGGTGTTAGTCCTGAAGATGCACAAAAGTCAAGAAACGAGGTTTGGGAACCTCCACCTAGATTTCAGAGGATGTATGGAAATGCCTGGATATCCAGGCAGAAGTTTGCTGCAAGGGTGGAGACCTCATGGAGAACCTCTGCTAGGGCAGTGTGGAAGGGAAATGTGGGGTGGAAGCCCCCACATAGAGCACTGCCTAGTGGAGCTGTGAGAAGAGGGCCACCATCCTCCAGACCCCAGAATGGTAGATTCACCAACAGCTTGCACCATGTGCCTGGAAAAGCTGCAGACACTCAATGCCAGTGGTGAAAGCAGTAGGTAAGGGGGCTATACTCTGCAAAGCCACAGGGGCAGAGCTGCCTAAGGCTGTGGGAGCCCACCTCTTGCATTAGCATGACCTGGATTTGAGACATGGAGTCAAAGGAGATCATTTTGGCACTTTAAGGCTCATAGGTGGAAGGGACTTGCCTTGTCTCAGATGAGACTTTGGACTTGAACTTTTGGGTTAGTACAGGAACGAGTTAAGACTTTGGGGGACTGTTGGGAAGGCATGATTGTATTTTGAAATGTGAAGACATGAGATTTGGAAGAGAATGGCAGCAGAATGATATAGTTTGGCTGCGCCCCCACCCAAATCTCATCTTGAATTGTAATCCCCATAATCCCCATGTGTCATGGGAGGGACCCAGTGAGAGTTAATTTAATCATGGGGGCAGTTTTCCCCATGCTGTTTAATATGGTTTGGCTGTGTCCCCACCCAAAGCTCATCTTGAACTCTAACTCCCACAATTCCCATGTGTCATGGGAGGGACCCAGTGGAAGGTAATTGAATCATGGGGGGCAGGTCTTTATCATGCTATTCTCATAATAGTGAATAGCCTCATGAGATCTGATGATTTTAAGAAGAGGACTTCCACTGCCCAGGCTCTCTCTCTTTACCTGCTGCCATCCATGTAAGATGTGACTTGCTTCTCCTTGCCTTCTGCCATGATTGTGAGGCCTCCCCAACCATGTGGAAATGTAAGTCCATTAGGCCGTTTTTCCTGTATAAATTACCCAGTCTCTGGTATGTCCTTATCAGCAACATGAAAATGGACTAATATGGTAAATTGGTACCAGTAGAGTGGGGTGCTGCTGAAAAGATACTTGAAAATGTGAAAGTGACTTTGGAACTGGGTAGCACTTTGGATGAAAAAAATATTTTATTATGGGATTATGTGATAGGTGCACAATTGTATAAATTTAGTAAAAATTATCAAACTGCATACTTACAAAAAGTTCAATGAATGAATTTAATAAATTATACTTCAATAAAAAAAAAACCAAGCACAAACAAACAGGAAGGATCTCTCATCTACAAAGGAAGCAATGCAAAGACCAAAGCTGATCATAAAAATGTCTCCAAACTCTCCTCAATTCTCTGCTGTTAAGAGAGTCCCAGGTACATTTAGAAGAGAAGAATTACTAGAGTCTGAAAGTTTAATCTACTCCTCCTAGCAAAATTCCAACTACTTGACCCATTCATTCAGAAATTCAATCATTAAACCTGTCTAACACCAAAGAAAGAAGATCCTGTTGCTGAAGATCCACCAAAAGAATTGATTTACTCTGTGTGGTGGAGACTGCCAGCTGTCCCACAATACATAATTTTCTTCTTCTTTCGTATTAATAAAATGTTTAGCTGAATGTATGGCTGCTCAGAATGAGAAACAGAGTTTCAGCCTTTCTTGCAGCTAGGTGTGACAATGTGACTAAATTCTGGCCAATGTATGTGACCACAGTGAGGTATGCAAAACATCCATGTTTTGCTCTTAAAGGGCGGAGGCCTGCCTCCCTTTCCCCATTCCTGCTGGCTGGAGCCATCTTGGATGATAAGATGGCAGAGCAAAAACACAGAAGGAGTCTGGGCCCCTGACAACTTAATAAAGACCAAATACCATATCATTCCAGGTTTTTCTATGAGAAAGAAAGAAAAGTCTGTTGTGTGTAATCTACTGTTAGTTTTGGTGTCTGTGACATGCAGCAGAGGCAACATCTTACAATAAGAATACAATCTACTGAGACTAATTTATCAATCCAGGAGCCATTGAGTGTGGGCAGTTGTGGGCAGTGAGTGTCAGAAAGTGTGGCCTGAATAACTGCCCACACTCAATGGCAGAAAGATTAACCATTCAGAAAGATTGGAAGAATAGGAAGGAAGATGCGAAGGAGAGAGAAAGGAAGGAAGGCAGAAAGGGGAGAGAGAGAAAGAGAGAGACTGACTGACATTTCTATCCAGCCCTGATGGCTGTAGCATTTTTCTGCTGAGCAACAAGGAGCCCAGCATCAACCTAGAGAAGATGGCTGTGAATGGCAAACCTCTCTTTCTTCACGTAGGGAACAGAACCCAATGTGAGAAATTCCAGGAACTACTGAAGCTATTCTGCTAGTGGGATGGGGAGGCTCTTTTGTGTTCCTGGTTCTAGATCTGAGCCCAAAGCTCATGAAAAATCTCCTGTGAATAGGGTGTGAAGAATTACAGGACAGGCCACTGGGATGTCAAAGGATGACCCTAAGAGACTGTCTGGAGAGGAGAGGAAGAAAGTTTCTTGCAGATGGAAAATGCAAAAGGCAGGAAATTATTCTGAATTTAGTTTGCTCCAAACTATGCCAATGGTGGAGAAGAAAGGGTGTAAACGTACATGGGCAAAGTCAAATCAACAGAGAGGAAGATGGGGGCTGGGCATGGTGGCTCAGGCTTATAATTCCAGCACTTTGGGAGGCCATGGCAGGAGAGCTGCTTTAGCCCAGGAGTTCAAGTCCAGCTTGGGTGATGTAGTGAGACCTCATCTCTACCATAAAAATTTAAACATCAGCCAGGTGTGGTGGTGTGTGCCTGTAGTCCCAGCGACTCAGGAGGCTGAGGTGGGAGGATCGTTTGAGCCTGGGAGGTAGAGGTTGTAGTGAGCTGAGATGGTGCCACTGCAGCAGAACATAATCCTGTCTCAAAAATAAATAAATACAAAAATAAATAAAATAATAGAGACAAAGATTGTAGTGGGTAGTCCCTGGGACTCAGACAAACCCTTACCCTGTGAAAATGCAGTGAAAGATTGAAAAAGGGCTTAGAAATTGGAAGATAAGGAACTACCCATTCCCACAGGTTTATAGGAGAGGACACCTGCAGGAACTAAGCAGGCAGAAAAACACTTTTCATCAGGAACAGGCATCTAGAAGCACACATTGGAAATCTATGATGAGAATTTCCAAGTAAAATAAAGGCACAGAAAAGTGTCATAAATTGAAGATGAAGAAGAAACTGATCAAATATACCCCCTCTAAATACTGTTAACAGCAAACAAAGGTCCTATACTCTTGCTTGAGCAAATTGCTAGAAGGGTTCAAAACAGCTACAACTCTAGAAGAATTCTAGAAGTAATTCTTCCCTTCTAAAACAGTTGCTGCCTCCAAGAATTTAAAGAGTGTCAGGCTTGAAGGGGCCCACAGCCTTGGTGAGCTTGAAATGCAGCCTTTTACTTACTTAAAAAACACTAATACCTGTTAGTGAATACTGCTGCAATAAACATACGTGTGCATGTGTCTTTACAGCAGCATGATTTATAATCCTTTGGGTATATACCCAATAATGGGATGGCTGGGTCAAATGGTATTTCTAGTTCTAGATCCCTGAGGAATCGCCACACTGACTTCCACAATGGTTGAACTAGTTTACAGTCCCACCAACAGTGTAAAAGTGTTCCTATTTCTCCACATCCTCTCCAGCACCTGTTGTTTCCTGACTTTTTAATGATCGCCATTCTAACTGGTGTGAGATGGCATCTCCTTGCGGTTTTGATTTGCATTTCTCTGATGGCCAGTGATGATGAGCATTTTTTAATGTGTCTTTTGGATGCATAAATGTCTTCTTTTGAGAAGTGTCTGTTCATATCCTTCGCCCACTTTCTGATGGGGTTGTTTGTTTTTTTCTTGTAAATTTGTTTGAGTTCTTTATAGTTATTGCGGCACTATTCACAATAGCAAGGACTTGGAACCAACCCAAATGTTCAACAATGATAGACTGGATTAAGAAAATGTGGCACATATACACCATGGAATACTATGCAGACATAAAAAATGATGAGTTCATGTCCTTTGTAGGGACATGGATGAAACTGGAAACCATCATTCTCAGCAAACTATTGCAAGGACAAAAAACCAAACACCACATGTTCTCACTCATAGGTGGGAATTGAACAATGAGAACACATGGACACGGGAAGGGGAACATCACACACCAGGGCCTGTTGTGGAGTGGGGGGAGCGGGGGGGAATAGCATTAGGAGGTATACCTAATGTAAATGACGAGTTAATGGGTGCAGCACACCAACATGGCACATGTATACATATGTAACAAACCTGCACGTTGTGCACTTGTACCCTAAAACTTAAAGTATAATTTTAAAAAAAACACTAATACATGTTAGTTGTAGAAATATTGGAAATAAAATTTTAAAATAAGAATTTTTCTCATTTTTATTGTTCAAGAAAAACACTTACTGGTGAGTTTTGTTATATAACTTTCTAGGTTTTTTTTTTTTTTTTTGAGACAGAGTCTTGCTCTGTCGGCCAGTCTGGAGTGCAGTGGCACAATCTCGGCTCACTGCAGCCTCAGCCTCCTGGACTCAAGCAATTCTCCTGCCTCAGCCTCCTGAGCAGCTGGGATTACAGGCGTGTGCCACTACGCACAGCTAATTTTTGTATTTTTAGTAGAGACAGGGTTTCACCATATTGGCCAGGCTGCTCTCGAACTCCTGACCTCAAGTAACCTGCCCACCTTGGCCTCCCAAAGTGCTGGGATTATGGGTGTGAGCCACCATGCCTGGCCCCTTCTAGTTTTATAAATTATGTATTTATAATTGTATTATTAATATGTTTATATTATAGAAACTATATTATAAATATTATTTAAATACAATATCAATATTAAATACAATAATATTTATATTATTTAAATTATATTTAATAATATGTAATAATATTTAAAAGTTAACATTTATATTTAATATTTACTTAAATATTATTTAAATACAATAATATTTATATGATATTTAAATACAATCATATTTATAATATAAATATTTAAATACAATAATATTTAGACTATTATATTTAAATACAATAATATTTAGAATATTATATTTAAATACAATATTTATAACATAAAATGATAATATAGTCAACTGACCTTTATCTTGCTGGTCTATAATAGCATTCATGTACCTATCTACCTCTGTCTCTGGGAAATACTCTTACTATGTGGTTTAAATAGAAGATGTCATCATCTTAGAGATCCCACCTACCCCAACCTCCATTAGTTGATCAAGGAATGAGCATCTGACCAAAGCTAAGCTGTTAATAGAACCTTGGACTCCTGGCTACAGTCAGTTGATTCAGGGACTTGTTACAGGCCAGGTTGGGTTCATTCTGCCCATGCATGGTAAATAAATCTTCATGACACAGGTTTTGCAAGAGAGAAAAGATTCGTTCGCAAGGCCACTGAGTGAGGAGGCAGGAGAACAGCTCTCAAATCTGCCTCCTTGAAGATAATGCTTGGGGATATTTACGGGTTAGGGAAATGGGGTGGTCTAAATATGGGGAAAGATGATTGGCAGTAAGGAAAAATGAAGTAACAGATCCATCCTGCGCAGGCATAGTCAGAATTCATGGCATTTCATAGAATATATATACAGAAAATGAAAACATTAGCATGATCTGAGGGTGAGTTTTGGGCCCCCCAATGTCAAAAGGCCACCTGCACAGACCCCGTTGAGGGACAGTAGTCTCAACCAGTTTGAACTGGACAAGAGCTGGCCCAGGTTCCTGAAAAACAACTAAAGTGACTATTACCATGGTGACCTATGAATGCTATCAAATAGTCAGTAAAGGTTAAGATTCAGCATCCAGCAACAGCCTTCAGCTATACTGGGGCCTTCAGGTTCACGGATAAAGGAAGAAAGAATAACAAAAAGCAAGGGACCAAAAGTAAGCAGGGCAGGCAGACCTGATCAAATTGCAAACTAAGCCCTTGGTTTCAGATTGTCACCTGCCAGGTTTTTTGTTTGTTTGTTTTTTGTTTTTGGGACAGGGTCTCACTCTGTTGCCGAGACTGGAATGCAGGGATGTGATCTTGGCTTACTGCAGCCTCAAACTCCTGGGCTCAGGTGATCCTCCCACCTCAGCCTCCTGAGTAGCTGGAACTACAGGTGCATGCCACCACTACACCCAGTTAATTTTTATATTTTTTGTAGAGTAGGGATTTTGCCATGTTGCCCAGGCTGGTCTTCAACTCCTGAGCTCAAGCAATCTGTCTGCCTCAGTCTCCCAAAGTGCTGGTATTACAGGTGTGAGCCACCTGTAATCCCACCTGCGCCTGGCCACCTGCCAAGTATTTTTGAAGGTCGGCTCCAATGACAGCCAGTTCTAACTTCGGTCTGTTGAGAAAGCTAGGAGACGTGTGGCTGGGAACCACCCAAGGATGTGTCGCTATGAAGAGGAAACTAATCTCAGACCCCTAATCAGGGCCCATAATTAGGGCCAAATTATGGGGCCAGCTAGGGCTCACCCATCACCTGTCTCTCAAGAGAAAAGGTGACAGAGCCACATGCAAGGATTTCTCCTTCACTTCAGTAAAAAGAGAAATTCAGATCTTTCCTTACTTGGCAAAATTAAAAAGAAGAGTTGGCATTTCTCTCTTTATACACAATGCCCTCTCATAGTTCACCTAAGTAAAGTCTCAATTCTGCCTTCAAAAATTGTCCACTTGTAGTGCATTTTCATCTCCCAGTTGAAGCTCGTCCTTGACTGTTAAATATGCACACCCAATTTTTTCATTCCTCCCCCCTCATGTTCCATGTCAGAAATTCTAAAAGGAAGTTTTTAAAAAATTTTTTAATTTTTTTTTAAGATGAAGACTTGCTCTGTTGCCCAGGCTGGATGCAGTGATGTAATCATAGCTCACTGCAGCCTTGACCTCCTGGCCTAAAGTGACCCGCCCACCTCAGCCTCCTGAGTAACTAGGACTACAGGTATGTGCCACTCTGCCCAGCTAATTAAAAAAAAAAAAAAATTACTTTTTGTAGAGACAAGGGTCTCACTATGTTGCCCAGGCTGATCTCAAACTCCCGGCCTCAAGTACTACTCCCACCTCAGCCTCCCAAAGCACTAGGTTTACAGGTGTTAATCATCATGCTTGGCTTCAAAGGAACACCTTGTTGTTCTGTTAAAAAGTTTAGCCTAAAGCTCCTCCTTACATATATTAAGTCTGGGATACAGTTTTCTCTGTATAATGAACTGTAACCTAATTGGCTGTGAAAACAGACTGTACCAATCACTGAGTTTCAGTCAATCAAAGGAGGCCAACTGTTCAAACTGTTCAAATAAGGCAAATGCCCACTGAGCTATTACCATTCTGGCTGTTTCTGTACCTCACTTCATTTTCTGTACATCACTTTCCTTTTTCTCTCCGTAACTTTTCTTCCAGGATTGAAGTCTCTCTGAACCTATTTTGGTTCCAGGGTTGCCTGATTCTCAAATTGTTCTTTGCTCAATCAAACTCTGTTCAATGTAATTTGGCTCAGATTTTTCTTCTAACAGCTCCAAGTTTGGCATTAAAATCCTCTGTTTCCATTTGCTCTGGTGTAGAGGCAGTATTTACACTGCTCCTGTATAAGAACATGCCAAACATGCTAGCCAGGCAGGAGCTCAATGATCCCCATGTTCCTCTGAATTCTTCTTTCCTCTCACTTGCGCTTACTATTTCTTTTCTTTTCTTTCTTTTTTTTTTCTTTTGAGACATGGTCTTACCCTCTTGCCCAAGCTAGAGTGCAGTGGCATGATCATGGCTCACTGCAGTCTCAACCTCCTGGGCTCAAGCAATGCTCCCACCTCAGCCTCCCAGGTAGCTGGGACTATAGGTGCTCGCCACTATGACTGGATAACTTTTTATATTTTTTTGTAGAGATGGGGGTCTTGCCATGTTGCCCAGGCTGGTCTGGCACTCCTGGGCTCAAGTGATCTGTCCATGTGCAGGCATGAGCCACTGCACCCAGCTCTCCTCACCTTTTGTTTGAGGTTCACTGGAGACCGGGGAACTTTCTGAGATTCTGAAATTTCTGAGAAAGGCAGGCATGTCCCGCAGGAAAGGAAGAAGCCCCTGGAGGACAGAGGCCCCTGTCTTCACGGGGAACAAATTGGAGGAGAGGCCCCCAAATAAGGCAAGTTAGGAGAGGTTTCAGAAAGTTCTTGGAAACAGAAGCAAGCCACATTACAGCTGCTGGCCAGAAAACCCTGCTGCAAATGCATGTGTACAGAGATGCTCCCCAGGATGAAATAAAGCAATGACAAACAATTAAATAATAGCATTACAGAACTCAAAGAATCTGCTCTGCCAGATGCTTATAGGCTATGTATTATAATCACCCTCTCTGGGCCTCAGTTTCCTCTCATTAAAACTGGAGTAATAACACCTTTCAGGATTGTTATGAAAATTAAGGTGCTGAAACAACAGATGCTGGTAAGGCTGTGGAGAAATCGGAACAATTTTACATTGTTGGTAAGAGTGTAAATTAGTTCAACCATTGTGGAAGACAGTGTAAGACAGTGTGGCGATTCCTCAAGGATCCAGAACCAGAAATAGCATTTGACCCAGCAATCCCATTCCTGGGTATATACCCAAAGGATGATAAATCATTCTACTATAAAGACACATGCACACATATGTTTACTGCACCACTACTTAACAATAGCAAAGACTTGGAACCAACCCAAATGCCCATCAATGATAGACTGGATAAAGAAAATGTGGCACGTATGCGCAATGGAATACTATGCAGCCATAAAAAATGAGATCATGTCCTTACACGTTATACAAAAATTAATTCAAGATGGATTAAAGACTTACATGTTAGACATAAAACCATAAAAACCCTAGAAGAAAACCTAGGCATTACCATTCAGGACAGAGGCATGGGCAAGGACTTCATGTCTAAAACACCAAAAGCAATGGCAACAAAAGCCAAAATTGACAAATGGGATCGAATTAAACTAAAGAGCTTCTGCACAGCAAAAGAAACTACCATCAGAGTGAACGGGCAATCTACAAAATGGGAGAAAATTTTCGCAACCTACTCATCTGACAAAGGGCTAATATCCAGAATCTACAATGAACTCAAACAAATTTACAAGAAAAAAACAAACAACCCCATCAAAAAGTGGGTGAAGGATATGAACAGACACTTCTCAAAAGAAGACATTTATGCATCCAAAAGACACATTAAAAAATGCTCATCATCACTGGCCATCAGAGAAATGCAAATCAAAACCACAGTGAGATACCATCTCACACCAGTTAGAATGGCGATCATTAACAAGTCAGGAAACAACAGGTGCTGGAGAGGATGTGGAGAAATAGGAACACTTTTACACTGTTGGTGGGACTGTAAACTAGTTCAACCATTGTGGAAGTCAGTGTGGCGATTCCTCAGGGATCTAGAACTAGAAATACCATTTGAGCCAGCCATCCCATTACTGGGTATATACCCAAAGGATTATAAATCATGCTGCTGTAAAGACACATGCACACTTATATTTATTGCGGCACTATTCACAATAGCAAAGACTTGGAACCAACCCAAATGTCCAACAACGATAGACTGGATTAAGAAAATGTGGCACATATACACCATGGAATACTATGCAGCCATAAAAAATGAAGAGTTCATGTCCTTTGTAGGGACATGGATGAAACTGGAAACCATCATTCTCAGCAAACTACCGCAAGGACAAAAAACCAAACACCACATGTTCTCACTCATAGGTGGGAATTGAACAATGAGAACACATGGACACAGGAAGGGGAACATCACACTTCGGGGACTGTTGTGGGGTGGGGGGAGGGGAGAGGGATAGCATTGGGAGATATACCTAATGCTAGATGGCGAGTTGGTGGGTGCAGCACACCAACATGGCACATGTATACATATGTAACAAGCCTGCACGTTGTGCACGTGTACCCTAAAACTTAAAGTATAATAATAATAAAATTT
Source organism: Homo sapiens (assembly GCF_000001405.40). Classification (NCBI taxonomy): domain Eukaryota; kingdom Metazoa; phylum Chordata; class Mammalia; order Primates; family Hominidae; genus Homo; species Homo sapiens. Next base: position 56,919,551 of record NC_000012.12, read on the forward strand.
TAAAAAAATGAGATCATGTCCTTTGCAGGGACATGGATGAAGCTGGAAGCCATCATTATCAGCAAACTAACACAGGAAGAGAAAACCAAACACTGCATGTTCTCACTCATAAGTGGGAGTTGAACAATGAGAACACATGGACACAGGGAGGGGAACATCACACATTGGGGCCTGTCTGAGGGTAAGGGGCTAGGGGAGGGAGAGCATTAGGACAAATACCTAATGTATGCAGGGCTTAAAACCTGGATGATGGGTTAATAGGTACAGCAAACCACCATGGCACATGTATACCTATGTAACAAACCTGCAGGTTCTGCACATGTATCACAGAACTTAAAGTAAAATAAAAAATTAAAAAAAAGAAAATTAAAGTGCTTAGAACAGTGTCTGGCATGTGGTGAGCACTCTGGAAGTGCTTGCTATTGTAGCATGTGGCGAACCGCACTCTGACTCTGCCATTTATTAGCAGTGTAATCTTGTGCAAATTACTTTACCTCTGTGAGCCTCAGTTTCCTCCTCTATAACATAGGAGTAACCTCACAGGACTTGTTGCAGAGATTAAATAAAATTGAATGGATAATATGTGGGAAATTCTAAGCGCAGTGCTTGGACTGAATAAATGTCCAATAAATGCCAGTTATTTTTATTTCTATTATTTTATTGTCACACTTCTCTTATCAGGTCTAGACTTGCACCTCTTCAATCCAGTTCTTCCAATTCATTCCCCAATGGCAGCAAAAGTGGTCTTTTTAAAAAGTAAGCAGTCTCAAAATGAATCTATAGTGACAGAAACACATCAGTGGTTGTCTGGAACCAGGGTGGAGAGGAGGGATGATTAACTGCAGACAGGTACAAGGGAACTTTCTAGGATGAGAAAAATGTTTTATATTTTGACTGGTGGTGGTTGTACAGGTGTAAACATGTGACAAGACTCATCAGATGGTACACTTAGATGGATGCATTTCTTTTTATGCAAACTTTACCTCATTAATGTTGATTAGAAAAAAAGGTAAGCAGCCTCCCTGGTCATCTATTACATTGTTATATTTTCTCTTCTCCATGGCACTTATCAGTATATAAAATTATTTCATTCACTTTTTATATGTCTATTGGCCAACCCCTCCCTCCGTTAGAATGTAAACTCTTTGAGGGCAAGGACTCTGTCTTATACCCCACTATAACTCTAGAATCTGGAACCACATTTAGCACATAGTAGGAGCCTGATAAATTCTTCTTGACAGACTGACTAATGATTAAAGTCCATCAATGGTTCTACCTCCAAATTATATATTGACTTCATCTATTAGCATCATTTCTGCTAACACCATTTCAGCTTAGGGCACTATCATCTCTTGCCTGGATTATGCAATGGCCTCCTTTCTTCCACCATTGCTTCTTCATTTCAGTCTCCACAGAGCCCCCCAGTGATCTTTTAAAAATATAGATCAGATCACATTACTCCCCTACTTTAAAAATGGAGATAAAAATGATTAAGAAGCTGAATAAATGAACAAGAAAAGGCAATTCAAAACTCCAGGAAAATACAAAAGTTATATAAGAAAGGTGATGGTTCTAATATGAAATCAACCAAAATGTAACTCTGGAGCATATATGAATCTCAGCTCATAAGTTCAAAAAATACCTCAGCTATTAATGATGAGGTGGAGAGATGGCCCTCAGACCAAAAAATTAAGTCTTCTATCTTCTAAAGGTTACCACTTTAGTGTCTGCTGTTCCAGTCTACATGCCCTTTATATCTAGCAAATTTCTACTACCTTCCTGCCATGGTGGGACACATGAGTCTCCTGTGAGGTCATCTGAAGTCGAATCTGCCTAAACATACAATGTAGCTGTGACTCTCTTGAGTCTTGTCACCTCCCCATGGTGTGCCCCCAAGGTGCTCTAGAAAGTGGGCCCTGGTCCCTCCTGTCCTGGGAACCCCAAACATCAACTTCTTATCTCATCAGAGTGAATCTCTTTGTCATAGGGGAAAGTCTCTTTTTCTCTGAGTCATTTGGTACACCCATAAGTCACATTCTGTTTTACTTCTTTCCCACAACTCTATAATTTTTCTAAATATATCAGGGTTGGGGGAAACTAAAGCTGGAAAAAGTGCAGGAAATTTATGTGTTTTATCCCATCAAACATCTCACCCTAGGTAAAGAAGTACCAAATTGGCTATCTATTTGAATGGAAGAAGGGGAAATAAAAAAAAACAGGGAGGAATGAAAAAGTGTAAATTATTATCTCAAAATATTACCTAGCCAGTTTCCCCTTAGTAAATTTTTGTGTCTTCAGAAAATTTATTTTTGACCTTTGTTCAACCCTCTCAACAGCATAATGTCTGAGTTTTGCATTTTCCAAGGTAGTAGACATTGTGACTGATTTCCCAACATCCCATCTGTCCCGTGATTAATCTAAGCAATTCATGGCAATTTACCTCTTTGCCAGGGGTGGACAAGCCTAAACCAATTTGGGCCAATGAGATTCAAGGAGACACATGATGAGGGCTCTAAGAAAGAAACTTCTTCAATGTTGAATGCTGTGGAAAGGCAGGCTCTTTCTTCTTCTCTAAGTTGTGAATGAGGAAATGTAGAGTTCCCTTTGCCTGGCAGTCACACCACAGCAACAAAGGGTAAAGATAAAACTGTGGGCAGCGGAGCAAAGAAGTAGAAAGAGCCTACAGCCTCAATGCCATCATTCAGCCACTGGGCCCTGCCCTCACTCTTCATTGTCTAAGCCAGTGTGAGTTGGTTTTTCTGTTACTTGTTGAATGCATTCTATCTGATTTAGAATTTGGTGCCAGGAATAGAAGTGCTGCAAACAACAAACTGTAGTGAGTTGCACAGTAGCTCCCTAAAGATATATCTATAAGCTAACCCCTGGAACCCGTGAGTGTTACCTTATTTGGAGTCTTTGCAGATGTACCTGGATTATATTTTATTATTTTCAGATGTTGAAGAGACCCAAATTAAAGATATTTTAGTTAAAAAAATCACATTTGACCTTTATTACATGACCATTTATCAAGATAAAAAAAAAAGTCTCTTCCACAGAACTTCATATGACCCAGGAGTTTAAGTCTTTTTTTAAAAAAAATTAGTTCAATGACTTATTTGACAGTGTTACTAATTTGAGAAATTGATTTTCCTATAACTGAAAAATAATCCTGGTCTGGGAGTCTGAATGCCTCATTTCTATCCTTGTCTTAGTTACTAAACTGGGGGCTTGGGTAGGTCACTTCCCCCTCTGAGTGTTAAGTTACTTATTCTATGGAATTATTGGTGGCTCCAAGTTGCTCGGGTGCATCAGAATCATATAGGTCCTTGTTATAAACACATATTTCTGGACCTTATCTCAGTCCTACTGAATCAGATTTTCTAATATTGGCACAGGAGTCTGTATTTTTTAATTGACTGGGTGATACAAGGTACAGCCAAGCTTGTGAAGTATTGGATGAAGACCTCCAGGGTCCTTCATAGCTCTAAAAATTTGTATTCTGATTTCTATTCCTTCTATCGCTGTTTGTCCTAACTCAGCTACTAGATATTGTGCTAAAACAAAGCAAAGCAAAACACAAAATAAACAATAAAAAACCAAGACCATGATTTAATCATCTTTATATTCCCCCAGCACCTACAAAGTGCCCGGTAGGTAGTAGGCACTCAATAAATATTTGAAAAATTAATGGTGATTAAATAAATGAATGTTATTTCATGTGGATCCCAATAACCTATAGATAGAAGAATCTAAAAAGAAAGAAAATATTTTAAACTTTTGTCTGATTTAATCTTGCACTCCCTATCTGCCCTACCGCATACTTCAGTAATGGGTTATGTGAATGAAGTTATGCATATTGAGGGACCCATTAGGAAGGTGGTTAGATTCTCCTGGAGGCAAGATTATCCCACAGTATTTCTCAGTGGCAGTGATAACTGAAAGGGGCTCATGATTCCACAGGAGCTGGTTTTCTTCTCCATGACTTTTCCAGGACCAGAAAAAGCTGTATCCTGATTGGGTGACAGACGTCCTTGGAGCTATTGCTGCAGATCGCTGAACCTGCAAAGACCACCTCAGGTTTCTGTGGGGTCCCAGAGGGTGGGAAGAGGCATTCACCTTCTGTTAGAAGTTACTGGTAAATTCGACAGCAGTGGGTGTCAGCTGAGCCAAGCTTCCTTTGCAGCCAATGCCCCCAGGATAACCGATACCACCTTTTGTGACCCCACGGTCCTTCCTTCCTCCCCCACTTCTAGGCTCCACTGACCCATTGATCCTCCCCAGTTTAGACACTGTCCGCTGGCCTTGGAAGGTACCGGCTTAGGATGAAATCTGTCACAGGGGTGGGCAACTTAGCCAGAGGGATGTAGAGGAGTTTGGCATCCAGGCCAGGGTTGTAGCGGATGCGAGGGCTCCGGGAAACAATAGCATGCTCCATGCTGTTGATGACATCTCTGACTCTGGGCTCTGCCACCTGCATTATGTTTTTTAACTTGTCAGTATCTGTTTGAGGGCAGAGAGGGGAAAAAGGCTCTGTTATTCTTCATAAAAGATGGCTTCTTCCGAATTCCATCCAAGTTCCCTTTCCATCAGATCCCTGATCTAACATTTCAGGCAGGTCCGCCACACCCTCCAGGTGGTCCCTTATACAAACACACATTTATAAGACTATTATAAATAATCTTAGCCTGGCCAACATGGTGAAACCCCATCTCTACTAAAAATATAAAAATCAGCTGGGCTTGGTGGCACATGCCTGTAATCCCAGCTACTCGGGAGGCTGAGGTATGGGAACCACTTGAACCCAGGAGGCTGAGGTTTCAGTAAGCCGAGGTCACACCACTGCACTCCAGCCTGGGAAACAGAATGACACGCTGTCTCAAAATAAATAAATAAATAAATAAATAAACAAATAGTCTTATTTATCTTTCTGAATTCAACAATTGTGCATTGAAGTCCTACTATTGCATTAGACTGGTGATGAGAAGAACTGTGCACATTCTCCTTATAACTGTGCCGCTTATTAGTTATATGACTTTGAGCTTAAACTTTTATTGTCTATAAAATGGAGATAATACTATCTTTCCTAAAGTTTGGGCATAGTGGCTCAGGCCTGTAATCCCAGTACTTTGGGATGCCAAGCCAGGCCAATCACCTGAGGTCAGGAGTTTGAGACCAGCCTGGCCAACATGGTGACACCTTGTCTCTACTAAAAATACAAAAATTAGGTGAGCGTGGTGGCGCGTGCCTATAATCGCAGCTACTCAGGAGGCTGAGGCATGACAATCACTTGAACTCAGGAGTGGGAGGTTGCAGTGACCCAAGATCGCGCCACTGCATTCCAGCCTGGGCAACAGAGTGAGACTCCATCTCAAAAAATATCTGTCCTGGAGAATAACAAAGATGATTAACAGCAGGGTAGACACTGGGGGAGTACAGAAGAGCAAACATGATGGGAAAACAGCCCTTTTTTTTTTCTTCTATGTACTTCCTAGAGTTCCCACATTTAAACAAAAACATGCAGGAGAAAATATTATTTAAAAATAGTAATACTGCCCCTACCTCAGTCATAAGGCCACTGTCACTCAAATAATCTAAGGCATAGACAAGCACCTCGTGGGGCCCTCACAAATGTGAGGAGTTGTTCTGTTTGCATTGACCCACAGGGGTGGAGATGGGGACAGAGCACCCAAATAGTACAAGTCTGCCAAAGTTCATGACATAAATGGGAGAAGGGCCACACCACACACCCACCAGGCCCTCATCTGCATCCTCACCCCAGGACAGGGGGATTCATGCTTCATTGAGAGCCCTGAGGACTCCAGGGAAAATGATGCTTCAAAGTCAGACTGCCCTGATAAGGTATGAAAACTTGAAAATGGAGAGGAAGCCAAAGCTGCCCTGACTTTGAGAATGGTCCAGGCAGGCAAGGAATTCACCCGCTTGGGGCCAGGACCCTTGTGGGTGGTTGGTGAGAATGGGGCAGCATCACTTCAGTCCCCTTCACCCCAGACTCCGAGAAACTCCATTTTCTGTTTCCTGGAAAGAAAACTGATGCAGGGGAAAAGCCAAACTATATTTTGGGATCTCAACAAGAGCCACACTAACTCAAAGCCAGACTGTCCATAAAGCAGTAATGTCTTAGGAAGCCACACCCTGACCTCTGACCGTAGAGCTGGCACAGAGGCCACCAGCAGCAGGGCTGAGGGTCGAAGGAATCGTTCAGGATGCCCAGGAGGCTCTCTCTGCCCCCTCGGCGCCAGGGAAAGCTTTGTGGGCTGAGGATGTGGAGCAAGCTGACATGGTGAGATGGGCTGGGGACTGGGTTCTGAGAGGTGGGGAGGGCTTGCACAGGCAGTGGGGTGGGAGAAGTTACCCCAGACATGGGGAATGGTATGAGGCACTTGCTTTCATTGTTTTCTCAAATAGATATTAGCTGCCATTCAGTGCTGGGCACCCTGCTAGGCATGGAGTAGGATGGGAGACGGAAGGACCCATCCAGCTTTGTCACTCTCCTTCACAGTGAGGAAGGACATAGGCTTTGGAGCTGGGCACCTGGGAAAATGTTTTTGTTATTGGGAGAATTAAGCAGGACAAAATCTATAAAGTATCAGGCCTGGTCCTAGGGGTTACAAGCCAGGGGCCTGTTTGGTCAGTCACAGCAACTGGCTGAGTTTGTACCCAGCGATGCTCTAGGACTACTCCTAAATATCTCTTCTGTCTGTCACATAGCCACCCCCCACCACCAGAACCATCAGGACTTACAACTTCATGTCTTTATCGTTCCTTCACTGGGTTTCTGCAGTAGTCCCCCAGGTGGACTTTTTATCCTTCCCACGGTGACACAAATCTGATCCTTCATTTCAGAGCCATTTACAAGGCTCTCTAATGCCTTTAGGATAAGAGCCATGCTCCCTACTATAGCAATCAAAGCATTTCATGATCTGACTCCTAATCTCTCCCCTCCTCAATCATCACCCACAGCACTCCTGCCAGACTATAATGGCAATGGCAAAGGTTTGTTCAGCTCTTACTGTAGCAGAGCTGAGTACTTTGCATTTCTGTTTAATTCTCCTAACAATCCATGAGAGAGGAATTGTACTTTATAAATGGATAAACAAGTTTGGAGAGCTATACAACATGATTAGAGGGACTGCTGGAATACAAGCCTGAATCTGCACTGCCTCCAAAAGCATACAATGCTATGTCAGGTCACTAAAACGTTGCTCACACCCTTCCTCTTGTGTGAAACATCCGCCATCTCTTTCCCTTTTGGTGTACTCCTATTCATCCTTCAAAACTCACTAAGGCATTAACTGTCACCTCTGTAAGGCTTCTGTGACAGCAGAATGAAGTCTGCATTGCTGCTTTGTTTTGTATGCATGTCCATTATAGCAAGATTCTTCATGTGGTGGTGTATTTGCTTTCACATCTTCCCTGCTAGTTTCCTGGAGAGTGTCTCATCTCTGAATCCCAATAAACACTGGGCAACTGAAGCAAAAATTCTAGTATAACCACTTGGGAAAACGTTTATCTAAATGTAGTTGACCACTGCCTGAAAATTTTCCTCTGAAATTATGGTGTGGACTACAGGTGAATTGGCCTAAGATATTTTATAAACCCAATCCTTACTATTCTTTAGTACAATACTAGCTTTTGGACAAGGTTTTCGGAGGAGTTTGCCTTTATACATATTCTTTCATGGACCACACTAAAGATGCTACAAGCTCTCTTCACCCTGAGTGCTTACTTAGAAAATGACTTTGTGAGGTTTCCAGACACTGGCTGAACCCATTTCACCCCAGCCTCCAAGCAGCTCCACAAATAATTTGAACTACTCTTTGCTAAGAATGATCACACAGAGGATAAATATTCTTCCCCACACATGCTAACATCTTCTCTCCTTGTTCCCAACAGCTGCAGATTTCCCTCTGGGGACCTATGCCTCCCCCACACTGTGTCCATTGGTCTGGGCAGAGCACACAGCCCAGCCTGAGCCAATCACACCTTCACATTCCCCTGGGCGCAGTGATTGGTTTAGGGTTGGGTGCATCTTGTGGTCCCCCATGACGCGGTCACCATAAGGTCCTCCAAGTCGGAGTGTACATTAGGACTTTTGGGAGAGGTACTGGAAATAACTCTCCTATTTTCCCAGCAGACCTCACCCTAGGTGGAGGTGAAGAGAGGCTGCAGCAATGTGGCTCCCACAGGGGAGAGAGCTTAGAGACTGGAGTCAGTGCAAAAGAAGCAGAGCCAAGAAATGGGTGGAACCAGGTCCTAGCAACATCATTTGCAGTCTGGGTCAGGTTGTACCTGAAGCTTATCTTGCTCAACTTTTTAGTCAGGTGAGGCAAGAAATTCCTTTTCTGCTTAAATAATTTGCATTGGATCTTCTGTCACTGAGTAAGTCCCAACTAGTGTAAATCCTTAGACATTTTCTTCTCACAGAATCCTAACATGTCTAGCACTAAAAGATGAATTTATCTAAGGAGTACTCCAAACATTTTTCCCTGAGACTTCCCTAAATCAATGAATGAAGACACCTCCATTCACCATGTTCTTCAAGCTGTAAAGCTAACACTCACCCTTGATAGCTTCCTCTCCCTCACCCCTTAATCCTCAGTGTGCTTTGATGCTCTAATTTATTCCGTATACCCCAGCTACCTCCCATTGCTTCCCACCTGCTGGTTTCTTTAAAGTTCCTCAAATGGAGTTTTCTGCCTCAGAGCCTTCCTGCAGAAAAAAAGTCCCTACGCATCCCCTCTTTCCCCTTCCCAGCAACACCTAACTCTTATTCCTCCTCAAAGTCAACTCAGAAGCTCTCCCCTTCACCATAGTCTGAATTGGGACCGCAACTTCCTGCTCCATTCTTCTTTCACAACCCTGTTTCTCCTCTGTAGCACTTATCCACATCTACCATAAACACATGTGTTTTGATTTATGTTTGTCTCCCCTACTGGGCCATAAGCTACAGGCAGTGAAGGGCAGGCATACTGCTGTGTCCGCTCCAGCTCTCCAGCCCCACACAGGCTTGGGACATGGCAGCCTTGCATGCTTTGTATTACTGATTCAAAACAAAAACAAAAAACAAAAATGCAATAAAGTGTGTATGTATTAAGTGAAAAAAATGGCTGACTTGGCTTTGTGCTCTGTTGACGTACGACATCCAGCAGACAACTTTCGTGGCAGAAAGTTTTGGGGCAGCAGGGTAAACAGCTGCCGTGTCCCACCTCTACCCTCCAAAAACACCTATGATTCACAGGAGACCCTCAGCTCAGGGAAAGAAAGAGAGTTGCCTAGAGACCCTCCCTTTTAAATCCCCATGTGCTCATTTTCTTCTTTATTAACAAGCACTCAGAATGTGCAAAGTACTTCACACATACTAACCCTCATAACAACCCCATGAGGGAGGCACTATCTTTAGCTCCATTTTGTAAATAAGAAAACTGAGGCATGGGAAAACTAGGTAATAGGTCCAAAGTCTCCTAGCTGGTAAGTAGTAGAGCCAGGATTTGAACCCAGGCAGTCCGGCTCCAGCAGCCATGCCCTTGATCTCTTTGCTGTATTTATCTCAGTGCATTTTCACCTGATTCCCCTGCATCATGATGCTGTGGGGGCAGGTGCCAGGAGTGGGCTGAATTGCCCTTAACTCCCCGGGCTGCTCCAGAAGTGATGATTCTGCCACTTGCTCTCTATTCTCAAACCCCAGCTGTGCCACTATGTGACCTTGGGTCCTGAACTCCTCTGCATTTTGTCTCACCATCTGTAAACGGAAAGCCAGCTAATGACCCCAAGACCCACTCGCCCCCCTCAGAGACCCCTCTCCTGCCCCAGGAACTTACAGATGCGGAAATAATCCTCTCCGTAGCTGTCCCGGGTCTCCTGAGGCAGCCTCTCCCAAAGCTTTCGCATGCGTGACTCCAGGTTCTCCTTGCCGAGAATGGCTGTCCGATAGTTCCCTGGCTCAATGATGCAGACTTTCACCCCAAAGTAGTAGAGCTCACGCCTGGGAAAGAAGAGTTGCAGTCAGTCTGGGCCCCAAGATGACAATCATCACGGAGAGTCACCTCTGGATGGGCTGGTCTTTCAGGAACCTAGAGATGCTTCTCTCACCCCTGTACTTGGCCCTGGCATTGCCTTTGTGCAAATAAGCCCTTCCTTAGGGACTCAGCCCTTTCCAAAACTGGCCCAACAGTCTCTGGGCAATTTGCATTAGGCACAACCAGCGGGAAGAAGTCAATAGAGAATCTAGGCCAAAGCCTTGCCTCCCACCAGGTCCCTCCCATTAGCAACCCCTCACTCAACACCCACACGGTGAATGGTGTGGATATACACAAGGCCTGCACGCTCCTCTAAGGACCTCCCAGAGGGGACCTGTGCCTCCAGGCCTGTCTGTCTGTTTGGGGGACTCTCCCTCCTCTCACAGGCCCAAACAGGGTTTCACTCACCCTGGTGCCGCTCAAGGGAAGGCCCACCTGATGCCTTGTATTTCCACCCTACCTCTTCTCCTCATCCCTGCTCTTGGTCCTTGGAGAAAGCACCTTGAGGTCTAACCTTCCTTCTGCTATTGTGTTAGCTTCCTGTCTGCGGAATTCCCCTGCCCACATGCTGTCACTCCCAACCCTCTCTAATCTCTGGGATTTTCACCCAGAATTGTTCAGTACCAGGGCCCAGTTACCTTATGCTGTCAGAGAAGGCCTCAACGCCAAACTTGGAGACGCAGTAGCCACCACCAATGACAGCCACACGACCACCAGAGCTGGACATGTTGACAACCCTGCCCCGGGCTCTCTTGACCATGGGCAGCATGTGAAGGGTCACTTCGATCAGTCCCACCAGGTTCACATTAATCACCTTCACAAAGTCATCCTTGGTCAGCCATTCGTTGGGACCACTGGGCAGGCCCACACCAGCATTGTTCACCAGGGCCCAGAGGCCTGGGGGTGAGATGAACCACACAGAAATCATCAGTGGGCCTGGGAAAGAACCAAGTTCTGCTCCCCACCGGCTCAGTGCCCTCAAGGATGGTTGAGCAGGTGCACAAGACATAACTCGGTCAGGCTATAACATAAAAGGAAGGTGTGTCTTTTACTAACTCGTTTTCCCTGAAGGGACACTTTTTCCTGATTCACATAAAGTCTGCCGGCTAGCTGGCGCTCTGTACTAGCTACAATCGAGGTGTTAGGTGACAGCATTTCAGCTATCAGCTTTGGGATAAGAGTTTCATTTTCATACCAATGAATTAATGTTTAGATCCCTTCCCCATCATACTTCTCCCTCTCTATTCACTTAAGTATAACCAACTGCATTTCACATACTACCAAAATCAATCCATTCATTCATTCATCTTCACACATTTATTCATGCATTTATCTAGTCTGTGACAATTACAGGGTGAAGGAGGCCAGGTGCAGTGACTCACACTTGTAATCACAACCCTTTGAGAGGCTGAGGTGGGAGGATCACTTGAGGCCAGGAGTTTGAGACCAGCCTGAGCAACAGAGTAAGACCCCTGTCTCTACAAAAAAAGAAAAAAAATTAGTCAGGCGTGGTGGTATGTGCCTGTAGTTCTAGCTACTTGGGAGGCTGAGGTGGGAGAATCACTTGAGCCCGGGTTACAGGTTACCTTGTTCGAGGTTACAGTGAGCTATAATGGTGCCATTGCACTCCAGCCTGGGTGACAGAGTGAGACTCTGTCTCTAAAAATAAAATGAAATAAAACGATATAAAATAAAATAAAGTAAAATACAGGGCAAAGGAGACATAAAATGAACAACACAGCATCTTATCCCTCAAGGAACTCACAAGCCTAGAAGGAAATAATAATATTTATAAATAAATATATAAAATATTTAAATAAAATAATTATGGAAAATGTGATGAGGACTATCCTTGAGATATTTCAATTAGGTTGGTACAAATGGAAAGAAATAATGCTAAGTGTTGTCATTCAACTCTGCAGGGGCCCAGGGTTGAAGAGCTTCAGGTCCAGTCCTGGTTTTACCTCCAGCCTTGAACAAGTCACTTCCCTCTCTGGGCCTCAGGCTCTTCATCAGATTAGACTAAAACAGTTGTTTCCAGGCTGTATTTTGCAAGCCTTCTAGGGGGAGGAAAATGCAGGAGAAGCTCTCCTTTCATTTGTTTTACATATTGGGGTTCTACTGTAAACCCCTCTAAACACTCCTCAAGGACCCCTTCCAGCTCCTTCATGCAAGGATTCCCCAAGTCCTACTGCCTGGTGATTCGCACCACAGCCCCAGCCTCAGCAGCCCCAAGATACTCTGCAGGCGCATCCCACTGTCTCCTGAGGGCAGGTCTCAACACAAACATAAATCCTAGTCCACCCCTCCCTCTAGGGCTGGGGTCCCCACCCAAGCCATGCCCCTACCCAGTCTCCCTGCCTTTCTCCATTCAGGAGCAATGAGAAAGCATGAAAGAACTTCCTCTCCCATCCCCCTACCCACCCCAGTTCCCAGTGTTTCTTAGACCAGGATATTGCCAAGTGGCTTAGGCAAAATAATGGTCCCCCAAAGATGTCCCCATCCTCATTATCTCTGGAACCTGTGAATCTGCTGGATTACATGGGAAAGGGGAATTAAGGTTGCAGGTGGAATGGAGGTTGCTAATTAATTGTCCTTAAAGTTAGGGAGGAAGCTAACACGGGAAATTATCCTGGATTAACCTGGTGAGCCCAATATAATCACAAGTCCTAAGTGGAAAGAGGCAGAAACCGGAGAATCAGAGAGCTTGAGAAAAGTGTGAAAAAGACTGGGCCCAACCTTGCGGGCCTTGAAGATGGAGGTAGCAGGCCAGGAGCCAGGGGATGCCAGCTGCCTCTGGAAGCTGGAAAAGTCGATGAGACGGATTCTCCTCTACAGCCTCTAGAAGGAACACAGCTCTGCTGACTTTGATTTTAGATCAGTGAGGCCTATTTTAGACATTACTCCTCCACAACTACAAGATAATATGTTTGTATTGTCTTCAGACCCCACAGTTGTGTTATTTGTTACAATAGCAACAGGAAACTCACATGCTAAGTGAGGTATTAAGGCAAGTGGCTCAAGGCTGAATGTAGGGAACTGGCTGAGACAGCCTGCTGAAGACAGAGGCTCACTCTTGCTGAATTATTAATTAATTAGCTCACTCAAATCTATTTATTCAGTACCTTACTAGGTGCCAGACATTATTCTAGGTACTAAGGATGTACAGTAAATAAAAGGGACAAAAATCCTTGTCCCCAGGAAGCTTTATTCTAGCAGAGGAAACAGACAATAAATAAGTAAAATCTATTGTACATTGACTAGTGATAAGTGCTAAGGAGAAGAATCAAGCAGGGAGTTACTGTCTAGATCCCCCTGGCTCCAGGGCTCTGTTGCCCTGACCTGCGCATGGGCTCCAGACTAGTTCCTTTAGGAGGGAGGACTTCCTCTAGTCTGCTGCTTCTGCAACTCAGCCATCCTGTTCCTCCTGTTCCTGGGCCCACACCCTGTGTGCTGGAAGTGCATGAGGCAGGTCCCCACACAGTCCTGGGCCAGCCCCAGTCCACAGCTTCCTTTCCCAATAGGAGCAGCCACTGTGACATACATACTTGCCCTGAAGTCAAATCAACACCCACCATGATGTCAAGAAGAGACCAGATCTCTTTCTCCCCTGCCTGACATAGTCAAGGAGACAAACTGCACCCACTCATGGGATCCAGCCTCCTGTCTCATTCCCCCTCCCCCATCCTGATCCCAACAAGAAATGTGTTTGTATTTCCCCAGGAGCTGATGGTTAGGACTGCTGAAACATCAGAGAGGCACATCCTTTTTTTTTCTTTTTTTTCTTTTTGAGAGGGATTCTTGCTCTGTCACGAGGCTGGAGTGCAGTGGCGCAATCTTGGCTCACTGCAACCTCCGCCTCCCGGGTTCAAGTGATTCTCCTGCCTCAGCCTCCTGAGTAGCTGGGACTACAGGCACGTGCCACCACACCCAGGTAATTTTTATACTTTTTAGTAGAGATGGGGTTTCACCATGTTGGCCGGGATGGTCTCGATCTCTTGACCTCATGATCCTCCCACTTCGGCCTTCCAAAGTGCTGGGCTCATAGGCGTGAGCCACCACGCCCAGCCAGGCACGTCCATTTTTAGAGGTTTGGACACACAGAACACATCTTCCCCCCTCGCTTCCTATTGAGACCTCTTTCCCGTTTCTCTGAGTTTCCAGGACAGAAAACTTCCTTGGGAAATCACCCCTTCATGTGAACAGGCCAAACCATGCAGTGGCTTCCAATCAGATTGAGGCAGGGGCCTTTCCCTACATCACCCCTCCCACCCAATCTGGACATCAGGGTCTCTGATACTGTCAGATGCTTCGGGAGAGAGGAAGAGGAAGAAGGAGAAACCAAGAAAGCCAAAGAATGTAATTCGCCCCACCTTGTTCGCCCACTTTGTCCCTCACCCACTGGGCCGCCGCCTTGATGCTTTCGCTCTTGGTGACATCCAGTAGGGTGGTCTGCAGCCGATAGGAGGTATCCCGCTGAAGTTTCTGGGATCCCTCCTCAGTGAAGCAAGCAGCCAGCACCTGCATGCCCCGATCAACCAGCTGTTTGGCCAGCAGGTTCCCGAAGCCAGAGTCACAGCCTGTGATGAAGACGTACTTCTCTGAGAGGTTGCCAACCAGATTGCAGTTCTTGAACCAGCGATACATAAATGAGAGGTCTGTGAGGGCCGCCATAGGGCAAGGGGAATGTGATGGCCAAGAGGGACTGGGCTCAGGAGACAGCAGGGAAGAAGCTGGTCCTCTGAGCCCTAGCAGGCAGTCTGCAGGAAACCACCTGGAAGAAGAACTCTCCTTCCTCCCACAGCTTGCAACAAATCTAGGTCCCTGGGTGAGCCACGCTGTAATTTTTATAGGTGGATGCATCACCACAGCAATTAGCCCAGATGCAAGAAATTCAAGTCCAACCTGAAGCCTTGTCACCTCTGACAGCCCTGGTAGCTGCCTCCCTCTCTCCCCCTGCCCTGATGGGTAAAGCTGCCAAGAATTGGAAATAATCCACTTGTAATGTTGGTGATGAGTGGTGGCTCACCCAGGCGGTGTAAGGCAGGCAAATGAAAGATGAGGACTCACCCCAGACAGCTCCCCTAGAAATCCTGTCCCCACCCTGCCCCCAACCCAGCCTGGGGATTTTGGTCTCCAGGGATCAAAATCATTTGTCGTGAGTGCAGGTATGTAAATAAGTTTATTTTCAGGGAAAATACTCAAGACAAATTTATTAATGTAAAACAAACAACATTGGTTCTGTACCTTCCAAACCCCAAGAGAAACAAGTCGCAGGTCATCAGCTCTCTGGAATTCTTAGGTAAGTCTCCATCATGAGAGAGGATGAAAAGCAATGGATTTCTCCTAGGGTGGATGTACCTCCATTGTCCTGAGGCTAGAGGCAGCAGGGCCCTCCTATAGGGGAGGCTGGCATGTGAAGCTTAGCCACCAGAAAGCAGAAAGACCTGGGGGACTCAGGCCTGACACCCTGTGGGGGTCATACTCAGGTCACCAGTAAGCAGCCCTGGGCAAGATGATGAGGAGGGATCATGAGTTCACTGGGCAGCTGAGGGAATTGTCTGGGCAGAGGCCTTGACTGTAAGAGGGGATGAGATATAGGAGGAGCAGAGAACTGGGGCCAGAGACATAGAAAATTCTCAGGGTCGGGACTTGGAGGAGAAACAGAGATTCTAGGCAATTTAGCAAATAATTTACAGAAAGCTAAGAGGTAAGGTGGTAAAGGAAAGGAAATAAGGAAACCAGAGGTGTGAGTAGTGAGGGGCCACACCCAGAATTGCATAAGATGCAGGGAATGATGCTGGAGCCTCTGTGGTTCTTTGGATCAACATCTAGGGTCACCATTCCTTGGGATGAGCCTGGTCCTAGCTCACACCTTCATGGCTTAGCGAGTCTGACACAGAAATGGGACCACAAAGTTCTCTAGTGTGAAGGGACAAAGGATGTATCTCTGTGATCCACCATTTGCCAAGTCTGACCAGCGTGGAATCACATAAAGCAGGTGTCACCCTGGGAAAGCCCCGCAGGGTTTGGCCGTTCCTTAACAAAGTAGGGGAGGGGGCCAGATTATGAACCCACCCCCAAAGAGCAGACCTAAAGCTTATAGGGGATGGAGGTGGGAAATGGTAGAAAGCAAACCACACCTACTTCATAACCAACCTGAGGCAGAGCACCTCCTATGCGGGATCTGGGAACAATCTCCCAGTCTCTGTCTGCCTCCTGGGTGAATGAACAGAGAAGTCTTGGCTGAAACAGGTCAGACCATGTCACTCAAGACTGAGCAGGTCCGGGGCATTGGGTATCCCAGTCCTTGAGGACACAGGTGAGGTCCAGGAGTTGGGTCTGACTTAGCATAAGGATAACTCAGAACTGCCCCAGCACAGGCCTGGGCCTGACTCAGCACCTCCTGGGCCTCTATGCTGGCAGTGTTCCCCTGGCCTCAAACTAAACACACAGTCCATGAGGGTGGGGGGTGTGAGGGAGGTAGGACCACATAGAAGGCTCTTCTTCCCAGGGCTAGAAATGCCTCCCTCTCTCAGATGACAGCATTCCTTGCCAAGCTGGCCCCTAAGGTCTGATAGGTCAGGTTGGTAGCTGCACTCCCCATCCCCACCCCATGCACACAGGTATCTCAGAGGAGAGGAGCCCTCTCCTCTGCCAGGCCATTTCCCTCCAGTGGGAGAGCATAGACTGCTGAGGTCCAAGACACACCCTGATGAGGTAGACAGGAGGAAGAGCAGGTGTGGGCTCACCCACCCCCAGTTGCTCAAGACCTTCCACAAGTGTGGATTCTTCAGGTTGACAGGTGGGCCATGAAGCTCAGAGCCCAAGGAAGTGGGATGCCATTATCTGTGATTGGGTCTCCCTTCCTAAGCAGCAAAATGTGGTTCTTTCCTCCTAATATCACCAGAGTCCTGAATAACGTCCCAGAAAAAAACTAGAACAGAGGTGAGGGAAGTGAGGTACATGACCCTGAACTTGAGAGCTCCCTCCCACCACTCTATTTCTCACCCCATGAAACAGCACCCCTCCCAAGTGCAATGATGTTAAAGTGAGGGCCGGTCACTGAGTGCTACAAAGAGGTCGCTACAAAGTGCTACAAAGAGGCCTGCCAGTGCCTTTGTGACATGTCATTGCTTCCTTGTCCCTCTGTGCACTCCTGTGACCCCAGGCTACTTGATTCACTCCTGGAAAGGAAACAATTGCCCCTCACCTTGGTGGCAGAAAGGGCTGAGACAGGGCAGGGATAATCCAACTTCTCTCTTCAATTTCCTCCTGAGTTCATCCCTCTTATCCCCAGATCCCCATGAAGGCACCTGCCTCCTCCTCCCTCTTGTTCACAGCCCATGCTCCCCTCAGACTAGAAGGCAACTTGCTGCACATGGCTGCACTTTTTAGCTTTTGCTCTAGAACTAAAGTAACCAGATGGTTTTTTGAGGGTCATGGTTTCAAGAGGGTCAAACATTGGTTCCTGTGTCCTCTGTCCGAATCCCTATTGAGAACACCACTGCCAGCCAATGGTTTTAAGAGGGTCAAACATTGGTTCCTGTGTCCTCTGTCAGAATCCCTATCGAGAACACCACTGCCAGCCAATGCCCCCAGAGCTGGCACCTGAGGTCTAGGGGTCAGGCTGATGGCTGCCCTGTCGCCCCACACCTTATCCACAGGTATATTCAGAGGAGCCCCCATCCACTTCCTCCAGGCCATTTCCATCATGGAGAGAGTGTAATAGACTGGCCAGGTTGATGCACACCTGGGGAAGAAGCAGGAGGCAGAGAAGGTGTGGGCTGTGGATCCTTCCCCTCCTCACACGCTCCCATTGTGTAGACTCCTCAGAATTGGCCAAGAGACTCAAAGGCAACAGGACACCTATGAGCGTTACTGGGTCCCAATCTTTAGAAGAACACCTTGGTTCTTTCCTCCTATGTTGCCAGTCCTGAGTGATATCTCAGTGGAATTCTGTGGAGGGCATGAGGAAGAAGCTGGGATAGGCATCCAAATGGCAAGAGTGCTCCCTCCCACCACACCATTACTCTCCCCAAGACACATCACCTCACCCAGATCACCCAGCTCCACCCAACCATGCACCCCAGTCTTGGATTCACAGGGGCTTAGCCAGCCTTGGAGAGCCCCAGTTGAGCGTGACGTCCATAGGAAGGTAGGCATGTCGCTCATGGGGAGGTAGAGAAGATTGGTGTCTCAGCCAGCTGAGTAGTGAGCGCTCCATGCAGTGGGTCAACAAGGATAGATTCGTACTGCATTTTGCCCAAAGCCTTCTAGATGCTTTTCTGATGCATGTTAAGGATGAGGAAAGATCCTTAAAGTACTAGCACATCCCTTCCCTCCCATTTAGAGCTCTGAATTAGGAGGACAGTGTCTAAGAATTCCAGGCCCCCCAAATGATATGCCTCAAGTCTAATCCATCCATATTCCCCAGAGAGTGCCCCAACCTTCACCCAAGGAACATCCGTTTCACTCTAAGCCCCCTCTGCCTCTCTTTTTGAGATATCTGGACTCATAAATGGAAGGTCTCTACTAACAGCCTAAGAATATGAAAATCAGCTATCTCTAAACCCAGCTGCCCATGAGCCCACTGGTAGCCACTGTCTCTGACTTTAGTTTCCTCTTCAAAATAATGAGGGATTCAGATGAGGCAGTGGTCCCAATTATAGAAAGCTTGGATGCTTCCTTTAGGTGAACAGTTGACCACATGGCACCCTGGGAATGGGGATAAATGTCCTCACTTTTTTGGGGAGGCAGAGTTTGGAGGACAGATTCTCATACTGTTGGAGGCACTAATGATGGACCCAGACTTCTAGACAAGGATTTCTTTATCTCCCCACTGTCCACAGCTCACTCACGGGATATCAGAAACTTCTCCCCATACGTCTCCTTGACCTCGGGGCTGGCCTAGTCCGACAGCTCCTTGAGGTTCTGTAAATGCCTCTCAGAGCCGGCCATACTGGTCCTGAAGTGACCAGGTTCAATCACAGACACCTTCACTCCAAAGTGGGAGAGCTCCCTCCTGCATGGCAGACATGCAGAAGGGCAAGGACTTAAGAAATTTTGGGAGGCAAAATACAAAAAACAAAGAAACCCAATACAAACCCAGCATGCAACGACAGTGGGAGATGCAAGAAAGCTTGGAGAGTTGGGAAGGGCAGCAGATAGCAGATAAAAGTTATGATGGTGGCCTTGCCTCTCTCTGGGGTTTCCATATTTTACATACCAAAGCTTACTAGCCCTAAGTCCTACCAATTCAAGAGCAAGGCAGCATCTCAGTGCTATCACCTCCTATGCCCCTCACATCCAATGGATCACCAGAATTCCCACATTCTACCTCCTCTGCAGTCCTCAGTCCCCTCCCTTCTTCTCCTGCCCCAGGAATCTCCCTGGCCTCTGAGCTGGGTGATGGCAGCTGTCCTCTAAGGAGCGTCCCTCTGCCTTCAGTCTGGCTCCCCACACTCACAGCCACTGGGCTCCCTGCAGTAAGTGGGTGTCTAGAAGCCGATTAGACCAAAGAGCTCCCCTGAGCAAATCCCTTCTTTGGGGGTTCCACTGCCAACAGCATGAGGCACAGCTCCTGTCCAGGGCCTCCACGAGCCCATATGAACCCACCTGCCCAGCCTCCTCCACAGGCCTGGCCCTGTGCTTCACCTCATGAGGACCCCACAGCACAGGCAGGCAGCTGAGGCTCCCCCTAGGTCTGGGCTGAAGACAAAAGTCATTCCCCCATTTCTGTTCAAGGCTGCCAGGTGGGGATCCTCAATCTCCAGCTCAGATCCCACTGCCAGGACCCTCCCCAGCTTAGGAGGCTGCCATGGCCACCAGGGCTGACTGGGTCACAACCCCTATGAGAACTGGCAACAATGGTTCTGGCTCTCTTGCTCCTCTCTCAGGTGTCAGAGCTTTTAGGTCAGGGCCAAAACCCTGTTGTTGTCCTAGGCTGAGTTTATTGGGTACTCTTCCAAGGGCCACAAGAGTATATTGTATGGACTCAGATGCTCTCCCCATGCCTCCAGGACCCAACAAATATCTCTCCAAGGGAGAGAGACAGAGACAGGAAAACAGGAAGACAGGAATGGGGTAAGACAGAGAAACCAAGGGGAAAGGACAGAAGAGAAAGGAAAATGGAAGGAAAGAATAAGAAAAACACATAAATAATTGCTTTCTGCATCCTGGTTAAGAGAGATACACTTAAATCCTAAGACTGGGGGAAGTTAGAGAGCAGGCCTGCACTGGGCATCAGGGGACAAGCTGTGCTACAACCTGCATCAATGTCAAGGCAATATCTGTCCTGGAAGAAAAGGTCACCTTGTGTACCTGGGAGTCCCAAAGCTCACTGTGGACTGAATGGCCAGAGCAGGAGGGGAGGAAGGAAAGAGGTCTCATGCCACACAGGTGTCCAGACTGCACTCTCTGCCCCAGGAAGTACCACCTTTTCCTCCCACCATCTCATAAGGCCACCTCTGCCCTATCCCCATAGGGTCCAGCAAGCTTTGGGGAAGACTCTACAGAAGACATAGGGGAGCAAACTAATAGCATGAAAGATCTGGAGCAGTCAGAGCTACAGAACTACGGACTCCAGGCCAGCAGGGGCAGGGGTGTGAGTGGGTGAGGGCTGGGGGGTACAGGAGACGGAGACTGACCCTAGGAATATTGGAAAAACAATAAGGCCTGCAATGGTGGCCCTTCCCCTACTCAGAAACCTTTCCTGGACTTGAAGGAATGAGGATTCTTTGATTCAATAGTTGTACTTTTCTTGAATAGCACTGCTAAGCCTGTCAACAAACCTTGGTAGAGAATCGCTACTGAGATGTTATTTATGCCAGGAAAAGTGGGTAACAAACTTCGGCATTCAACAATATAGAATCCCTTTAACAAATTATGGCCTCTCCACATGCTGGAATATGGAGACCTTGATTGTTATGTTGGGGAAGAAACTTGATGATGAAAATGCTGACCCCAGAATGTGTAAAGTAGAGGGAAATTAACCCTGGAGGCTGGGATTAGGGGGAATGTTGTTTCACTCTCATCCTCTTCTATGATTTCTCCAATGAGAAATCCTATCTTATCCTCCTATCTATCCAATCTTATCCTCTTCTATAATTTCTTCATGTTTTCCATTTACAATCAGAACAAAGCAATCAATGATCTCCCTTTCCCCAAAAGGAACAGGATTCATCACTCGGTGTTTGATGTGAAGTCCCTTCAGCTCTCCAAGCCCCAGTGTCCTCGTGAATCAAGCGGAGATCATCTTAAAGCCCTCAACAGGGACAAGTGTGAAGGAACCAGTAAGAGAATGCTGAGATCAGAAGCCTGGATCCTGCCCAGCCCCATCCCCGATGGTCTCATGCCAACCGTCAGGACCCAACGTTATCCAGAGACTGGGCTCTAACCACAGCCTGGACTCCTCTAACCCTGGGCCCAGCCACAACCACTCTAGGACTTCTGCTTTGGAAAGCAGAAAGCTCAAGCCCCCGAAAATAAAAGTCCTGGAAATGTTCCCAGTTAGCAGACACTAGGTCTCCCCTAGTGACACAGAGAGAAGAGAAACAAACAGGCACTAGGAGGGATTGAGGTGGTCCCTCTGTCCCCCACACACTCCTTCACCCACTGGGCAGCTGCAGCAATGCTCTCTGTCTTGGTGATGTCCATGGTCACCGTCTCCAGCCTGTCTGAAGTCTGGCCCCTCAGCTGCTTGGTCCCCTTCTCTGTCCTACATGCAGCTCCCGCAAGCCTGTGCATTCAGTTGTCTGGCCAGTAGCTTCCTGAAGCGTGAGTCACAGCTCATGATGAACACTATGTGTCTCTCAGCTGGCTCACCACCTGCCTCTCCCAGTATGAGCACAGAAGGTAGTACAGGCCCTGGAGGACCACCAGGTAGAGCCACATGGCTTTGCAGAGGACAGACCCAGGTAGGCTGGGGTGAAATGAGAGTCTGGCCTCTGTTCAGACAGGAGGATTTAAGAACACAGAGGGCTGAGGTAGGCAGAGAAGCCCTCAGGCATTTTGGCAGAAAGTCTTCACTTTCCTCCCTGATCACTGTCTTTCTGCAACATTTTTTTTTATCCTGGCTTCATCTCTCTACTATTTTGAACTGCCTTTGCAAGTACTCATGCATGCAGTTGCAAACCCCAAGTCCTGCCCAGTAGGAAACTACTATGACTCAGCAATGCTTCCCTAGTCCACAAATTTCTCTCTGCATTGCTGTGCCCACACAGATGTTTATGTGGGTGCAAACGTGTATTGACACAGGCTTACACACAGCAGCCCCCACACACTCTCCATAGCAAACACACCCCTCTGCTCTAAGTACAAGGGTCAGAACTGTCTCTACAAAGCTGCTGTACTGACACTTCTGGTCCATGACCTTCTGAGCACAGAAAGACCTTATTGGGAAGCTACATATGGTTTCCAGCCACATTAGGTGGAAATCCCTCTCTGAGCCTGAGATTCCTCATCCCGCTCAGCACCCAGAATCAATCACTCCTCAGAAAACTGGGTCATGGTCAGGCTGTCTAGGATGAGAAGGAGAAGCCGAAAGAGTGGACAGGAACAGATCGTCTCCTGCTATAATAGTTTTTTGGGGCAGAAGGAGTGAAGGATCCCATGGGGGCACTGTGGAAGTCCTTCCATTCCCCCTCCCAGCAGCCCTGGGTGTTTCCTTCCTGTGGGTTCCAAGTCTCCATTCCTTTCCCTGCCACTGGAGGAGGGGGTGTGTTGGGATATGGTGGAGGACCTGAGAGATGGCACAGGAAAAGTGCAATGACTTTTAAGTGAGGGTCAGTCACTGAGGGCCACAGAAGGCACAGGTGAGGGGGAGAGGACTCAGTTGTCCCAGGGAAGGGACCTGGGGCCTGTCAGTGCCTATTGACATCTCCTTGCTGGCTCGTCCTTAGGTCTATTTCTGTGACCTGAGGTTACTCCAGCATCCATGGAAAGAAAACAATTCCTCCTCATCTCGGTGGCAAGAATGGCTGGGAGAAGGCAGGGATAACTTTCCTCTTCAAATCCATTCTCAGGTCATGCCTCTCATCCCTGGCCTCCAGGAAGGCACCTGCCTCTTCCTGCCACTGCTCTCTAAGGCCACCCAAAATGTGGAAGCTACTTTGGAACTGGGTAACAGGCAAAGGTTGGAACAGTTTGGAGGGCTCAGAAGAAGACAGGAAAATGTGGGAAAATTTGGAACTTTCTAGAGACTTGTTGAATGGCTTTGACCAAAATGCTGATAATGACATTGACAATGAAATCCAGGCTGAGGTTCTCTCAGATGGAGATGAGGAACTTGTTGGGAACTGGAGCAAAGGTGATTCATTACATTTTAGCAGAGAGACTGGCAGTATTTTGCCCCTGCCCTAGAGATCTGTGGAACTCTGAACTTGAGAGAGATGATTTAGGGTATCTGGCAGAAGAAATTTCTAAGCAGCAAAGCATTCAAGAGGTGATTTGGGTGCTGTTAAGGCATTCAGTTTTAAAAGAGAAAAAGATCATAAAAGTTCACAAAATTTGCAGCCTGACAATGCAATAGAAAAGAAAATCTCATTTTCTGAGGAGAAATCCAAGCTGGCTACAGAAATTTGCCTAAGGAAGAAGAAGCCAAATGTTAATCCCCAAGACAATGGGGAAAATGTCTCCAGGGCATGTCAGAGGTCTTCACGGAAGCCTCTCCCATCATAGGCCAGGAGGCCTAGGAGGAAAAAGTGGTCTCATGGGCCAGGCCCAGGGTCCCCGTGCTGTATGCAGCCTAGGGACTTGGTGCCCTGTATCCCAGCTGCTGCAGCCACAGCTGAAAGGGGCCAATGTAGAGCTCAGGCTGTGGCTTCAGAGGGTGCAAGCCTCAAGCCTTGGCAGCTTCCACATGGTGTTGAGCCTGCCAGTGCACAGAAGTCAAGAATTGGGGTTTGGGTACCTTTGCCTAGATTTCACAGCATGTATGCAAATGCCTGGATGTCCAGGCAGAAGTTTGCTGCAGGGGCAGGTCTCTCATGGAGAACCTCTGCTAGGACAGTGTGGAAGGGAAATGTGGGGTGCTGGGGCACTGCTTAGCAGAGCTGTGAGAAGAGGGCCACCATCCTCCAGACCCCAGAATGGTAGATCCACTGAGAGCTTGCAGTGTGCACCTGGAAAAGCCAGACAATCAACACCAGCCTAGATTACTTTTCTATGTCTGTAAAAAATGTCGTTGGTATTTTGATAATGATTTCATTGAATCTGTACATTGTTTTGGGTAGTATGGCCATTTTAATAATATTGTGTTGATTCTTCCAATCCATGAACATGGCTATTTTTCCAGTTTTTGGTGTCCTCTTCAATGTTTCTCCTCAGTGTTTTATAGTTTTCATTATAGAGATCTTTCACTTCTTTGATTAAGTTAATTCATACGTATTCAGTTTTATTTGTGGCTATTGTAAATGGGATTACTTTTTAAATTTCTTTTTCATGTTGTTCGTTGTTGGCATATAGAAATGCTACTGATTTTTTATGCTGATTTTGCATCTTACAACTTTACTGAATTTGTTTATAAGTTCTTATAGTTTCCTTGTGGAGTCTTTAGGGTTTTCCAAATATACGATGATATCGTCTACAAACAAAAATAATTTGCCTTCTTCCTTTTTAATTTGGATGCCCTTTATATCTTATTCTTGTCTAATTGCTTTAGCTAGGACTTCCAGTACAATGTTGAATAATAGTAGTGATGGTGGCCATCCTTGTCATGTTCCAGATCTTAGAAGAAAGGCTTTCAGTTTTTCCCCATTCAGTATGATACTAGCTGTTGGCCTGTTGTATATGGCTTTTATTATCTTGAGATTAGTGTGTTCCTTCTATCCCCAGTTTTTTGAGGGTTTTTATCATGACTAGATGTTGAATTGTATCAAATGCTTTTCAATATTGATTGAAATGATCATGTGGCTTTTATGCTTCATTCTGTTGATATGATATATTATATTGATTGATTTGGTATGTTGAATTATCCTTTCATGCAAGGGATAAATCCTATTCATCATGATGAACTATCTTTCTAATGTATTGTTGAATTTGGTTTGCTAGTATTTTGTTGAGAATTTTTGCATCAAAATTTATAAGAGATATTGGCCCATAGTCTTTTTCTGATGTGACTTTGTCTGGTTTTGGTATCAGTGTAATGCTGGCCACATAGAATGAGTTTGAAAGTATTCCCTCCTCATCTATTTTTTGGAATAGTTTGAGTATGATTGGTGTTAGTTATTCTTGAAATGTTTGGTAGAATTCAGCAGTGAGGCCATCAGGTCCCAGGCTTTTCTTTACTGGCAGACATTTTATTGCAGCTTCAATCTCATTACTTGTTATTGGTTTTAAATAATAAGGTTTTAAATTGCTTTCTGGCTCAATCTCAGTAGGTTGTATGCATCTAGGCATTTGTCTATTTATTCTAGATTTTCCAATTTATTTGCATATAATTGCTCCTAGTAGCCACTAGTGATCCTTTGAATTTCTGCAGTACCAGTTGTAATGTCTCCTTTTCCATTTCTGACTTTATTTATTTGGATCTTCTTCTATTTTTTTTGTATTTTTGCTTAGTCTGATTAAAGATTTGTCAATTTTGTTTAACTTTAAAATTGCAACTTTTTGTTTCATTGATCTTATGTTAAGTTTTTTTTTATTTCAATTTCATTTGTTTCTGCTCTGATCTTTATTATTTCTTTTCTTCGACTAATTTTGAGTTTGGTTTGCTCTTGCTTTTCTAGTTCTTTAAGATACATTGTTAGATTATTCATTTGAAGTTTTCCTTTTTTTTTCTTGATGTAGGCACTTATAGCGATAAATTTCCCTCTTAGTTCTGCTTTTGTTGTATCACATAGGTTTTGGTATGCTGGGTTTCTATTATCATTTGTTTTTAGAAATTTTTCAATTTTCTTCTTAATTTCTTCATTGACCCACACTGGTCTCTCAGGAGCATATTTTAAAATTTCTATGTATTTGTGTAGTTTCCAAAATTATTATTCTTATTTCCAGTTTCATTCTATTGTGGTCAGAGAAGATGTTTGATATTATTTCATTTTTTTCAATGTTTTAAGACTTCTTTTGTGATCTAACATGGGGTCTATCTTTGAGAATGATCCATGTGCTGAGGAAAAGAATGTGTATTCTGCAGCCATTGGAAGAGATGTTCTGTAAATATCTATTGGATCCATTTGGTCTACAGTGCAGATTCATTCTGATGTTTCCCTGTTGATTCTTCTGTCTGGAAGATCTGTCCAATGCTGAAAGTGGAGTGTTGGAGTCTCCAGCTATTATTGCATTGGGACCTATTTCTCTCTTTAACTCTAATAGTATTCCCTTTATCTATCTGGGTGCTTCTGTGTTGGGTGCATATATTACATATTTAAAATTATTCTTTTATCCTCTTGCTGAATTGACCCCTTTACCATTATATAGTGACCTTCTTTGAAATCTATTTTATCTGAGATAAAACTCCTGCTCTTTTTGGTTTCCATTGGCAAGAAATATCTTTTTCCATCCCTTTATTTTCAGTCTATGTTTGTCTTCATAGGTGAAGTGTTTCTTCTGCAGGCAACAGATCAATGGGTCTTGGTTTTTCATCCATTCAGCCAGTCTATGTCTTTTGATTGGTCAGTCTAGGATACTTACATTCAATGTTATTATTGATGGGTAAGGACTTACTCCTACCATTTTGTTATTTGTTTTCTGGTTGTTTTATGAACTTCCTTTCCTTCTTTCTTTCCTTCTTGTTTTTTTCTAGTGAAGATGTTCTTCTCTGGAGATATGATTTAGTTTCTTGCTTTTTATTTTTTGTGCATCCATCGTATGTTTTTTGGCTTGAGATTACCATGAGGCTTGCAAATACTATCTTATAACCCATTATTTTAACCTGATAACAACTTAACATTATTTGCATAAACAAACAAGCTCAAAGAAAATTAATAAAAACTCTACACCTTAACTTTGTTCCCCAACTTTTTAACTTTTTGTTGTTTCTGTTTATAGCTTATTGTACTGACTATGTCTTGAAAAGTTGTTTCAGTTACTTTTTTTGATTAGTTCATCATTTAATCTTTCTACTTAGCATAAGAGTAGTTTACACACCACAGTTACAATGTCATAATATTCTGTGTTTTTCTGGGTACTTGCTACTACCGGTGAGGTTTGTACCTTCAGGTACTATGTATTGCTCATTAATGTCCTTTTCTTTCTTACTAAAGTACTCCCTTTAGCACTTCTTGTACAATGGTACAAGCTTTTGTTTGTCCAGGAATGTCTTTCTTTCTCCTTTACGCTTGAAGGACATTTTCACCACATATACTATTATACTATTATAGGCTAAAAGATTTTTTCTTTAGCACTTTAAATATATTATGCCACTCTCTCCTGGCCTGTAAGGTTTCCACTGAAAATCTGGTGCCAGATGTGTTGGAGCTCCATTGTATGTTATTCATTTCTTTCCTCTTGCTGCTTTTAGGGTCCTTTCTCTACCCTTGGCCTTTGGGAGTTTGATTACTATCTTTGGGTTAAATCTGCTTGGTGTTCTATTACCTTCCTGTACTTCCATACTGATATCTTTCTCTAGGTTTGGGAAGTCCTCTGTTATTATCCCTTTGAATAAACTTTCTACCCCATATTCTCTTTCTCTACCTCCTCATTAAGGCCCATAACTCTTAGAATCGCCCTTTTAAGTCTGTTTTCTAGATCCTGAAGGCATGCTTCATTGCTTTTTATTATTTTTTCTTTTATCTCCTCTATGTGTTTTCAACTGGCCTGTCTTCAGGTTCACTAATTCTTTCTTCTGCTTTATCAATTCTGCTGTTAAGGGACTCTGATGCATTCTTGAATATGCCAATTGCATTTTTCAGCTCCAGAATTTCTGTATGATTCTTTTTAATTATTTCAAACTCTTTGTTAAAATTTTCTGATAGAATTCTAAATTTCTTCTCTATATTACCTTGAATTTCCTTGAGTTTCCTCAACACAGCTATTTTAAATTTTCTGTTTGAAAGGCCCCATATCTGTTTCTCCAGGATTGGTCCCTGGTCCCTTATTTAGTTCATTTGGCATGGCCGTGTTTTCCTGCATGGTTTTGATGCTAGTAGATGTTCTTTGGTATCTGGGCATTGAAGAGTTATGTATTTATTGTAGTCTTCACTGTCTGGGCTTATTTGTAGTCATCCTTCTTGTAAGACTTACCAAATATTTGGAAAGACTTCAGTGTTGTGATCTAATCCGTATCTGCTCTAGGGGGCACCCCACACCCAGTAATTCTATGGTTCTTGCAGAACCTCGTAGATGTACCACCCTGATGTTTGGGACAAGATCTGAGAGAATTCTCTGGATTATCAGGCAGAGACTCTTGTTCTCTTCCCTTACTTTCTCCCATACATACAGAGTAACTCTGTGTGTGTTTGTTCTGAGATAGCTAAAGCTGGGGGTGGAGTGACACAAGCACCCCTGTGTCACCACCACTATGACTGCATTGGGTCAGACGTGAAGCCACCACAGTGCTGGGTCTCACTCAAGGCCTGTTGTAAGGCCCTGGCTACTGCCTATGTTTGCTCAAGCCCAAGGGCTCTACAATCAGCAGATAACAAAGCTAGTTAGGCCTGTGTCCTTCTGTCAGAGCAGTGATGTCCCCCAGTCTCCGTGTGGTTCCAGAAGTGCTGTGCAGGAATCAAGGACTAGAGTCAAAAACCTTAGAAATGTACCTGGTGTCCTGTTGGATTGCAGCTGAGCTGGCACTCACTCCACACAACAAATCCTTCCTGCTTTTCTCTTCCTTGTCCAAAGACAGAGGAGCCTGACCTCATAGTCACCACCACCCCAAGCCACATGGAGTACCGCTAGACTCCCATCAATATTCCCTTAAAGCCCAAGATCTCTTAAGTCAGCTTGTGGTGAATGCTGCCTGGCCTGGGACACACCATTCATGTCAGTGGGCTCCCCATTGGCCCAGGGTGGGTCCAGAAAGTGCCATCCAAGAGTCAAGTCCTGGAATCACAAACCACAATAGTCTGCTTGGTGCTCCACTCCACTGTGGCCATGCTGGCACCTAAGGTGCAAGACAAAGTCTCCTTTACTTTTCCTTCCACTTTTCTCAAACAGAAGGTGTCTCTCTCCATAGCCACCACAGCTGGGAATGTCCTGAGTCTCACCTGAAGCCAGCAAGTCTCAGAGGCTCACCCAAGGTCCTCAGTGTAGTAACTGCCCATCAGTGCTGGTTATTTGGGGCCCAAGGTCTCCTCAGATAGAAGGTGATGAATGCTGCCAGCACTGGGTCCTTTCTTTGAAAGCACTGGGTTGCCTTCTGGCCCAGGGTCTGTCTAGAAATGTCATATGGGAGCTAGGGATTGAAATGAGGGCCTCCTGACTCTGATCATTGCCCTATCTTGCTGTGGCTGAGCTGGTATCCAAGATGCATGATAAAATCCTCCCCACTCTTCTTCTCTCTCCTCTCCTCAAGTGGAAGAAAGGGGTCTCCTTTGGAACATCAAGCTGTGCAGCCTGGGGTTAGGGGAGGGGTGATACAAACATTCCCCTTTGCTGCCCCAGCTTGCGTCTCAATATGTCATGTGTCCCCCTAATCCAGTGCCTCTGGGCCTAGTTCTGCACTACCCCTAGCCTATGAGGGGCAGTCCTTATGGCCTAGACTGCCTTTCAAGTTTACTTGGAGACACAGAGCATTGTAGCCCTTGGTGGCGAGGTTTGCGGGCACTCAAGTTAGGTTTGCTGTGATCAGAGACTCCCCTGTGGCACTAGGCCTCACCTATGAGTTGCAGTTCTTATGGCCTAGACTGCCATGTAAGTTTATTTGGAGACATGGAGCATTGTAGCCCTTGGTATCGAGGTTTGTGGGCACTCAGGACTGCTGGGATCGGTGATTCCCCTGTAGCTAGGGCTGGTTTAAATGCTCCCTCCATGGATGGGCATCAGCTGACTTTGGTCTGGTTTTTCTTCCTGCTCTAACAGGATAGCACTGAGTTCAGTGCCTCACAATTGCTGTGTTCTCCCTCCCGCAGCACCCAGAGATGCTCTCAGCACTGTGCCTCCACTGCCAGGGTTTGGAGAGCGGTAGGGTCTGTGATTCACGACTGTTTTTTTCTATCTCTTCAGTGCCTCTTTCAGCAATATGAGGTTAAAACCAGGTTAAAGAGTTATCATCACCTGATTATTGGTTCTTATGAAGGTGTTTTTTGATACGGAGACAATTGTTAACTTGGTGTCTTGGTGTGGGGTGGGGAAGAGAGAATGATCCGTGAAGCCTTCTACTCTGCCATTTATCTCCACCTGCTCCTCACTGTGTGTGTTTCATTTGCTTGTTTGTTTTATTTTGTTTTTTTTTTTTTGAGATGGGGGTCTCACTCTATCACCCAGGTTGGAGTGCAGTTGCACAATCTCAGCTCACTGCAACCTTCGTCTCCCAGGCTCAAGTGATCCACTTACCTCAGCCTCCCAAGTAGCTGTAACACAGGCATACACCAACACACCCAGCTAATTTTTTGTATTTTTAATAGAGACCGGGTTTCACCATATTGCCCAGGCTGGTCCCTAACTCCTGAGCTCAGGTAATCAACCCACCTCAGCCTACCAAAGTGCTAGGATTACGGGCATGAGTCACCATGCCTCATTGCGTGTTTTAAATTCAGTGGCCCTGCAACATCTGACCTCAATCTCTGTTTCTACAATAAATACTGATTTGTTAAACAACATGGGGCTTCCTAAAGGCTCCATATCCTAGACCTAGACTTTTATCCTGAAGAAAGAAAAATGAGAATCCTGGGGAGTTACCTCCCAACTACAATTTGTGTTGAGTCCAGGATTCTACACCCCTTTCCCCTAATGCTTTCTGTGTTGAGTCCACACTTGCGACATCATCAGAAAACTGAAGACATTGAGGATGAGGACCAGGTCATTCAAGGGAATTTCTCTCCAGTACACAGCAGGGGCTCAACAAAGGGAGAGAAAATATGAAAGATGAGTCCAGCAGTGACTCTCACTCCCTGTCACTGGAGGGGTGGGTGTGTTGGGATATGGTGGGGGACCTGAGGGATGACACAGGGAAAGTGCAATGACTTTAAAGTGAGGGTCCGTCACTAAGGGACACAGAGAGGGCACGGGTGAGGGGAGGAGGCTTCAGTTGCCCCAGGGAAGGGATCTGAGGCCTGCCTGTCAATATGGCTGTTGAGGTCGCCTTGCTGTCTTGTCCTTGGGTCTATTTCTGTGACCACAGGCTACTCCAGAACCCCCTGGAAAGAAAACAATTGCCCCTCACCTTGGTGGCAACAAGGGCTGGGAGAGGGCAGGGATAGTCCAACTTCTCTCTTCAAATCCATTCTCAGGCCATGCCTCTCATCCCCTGATATTCAGGAAGGTACCTGCCTCTTCCTGCCACTGCTCCCCAAGGCCACCCAAATCTAGGGAAAGGACATCTTCAGGAGTGAAAGTGTAAAAACTCTTGACACCCTCTTGTGTAAGTCACTCCATTACTCCCTCCCAGCAGCTTGGGAGTTCCCATCCCCATTTTCCTTTTTCCCCTTTCTTTGCCTCTAAGATCAGACTTCCCCATTGGGATCTTGTTCTCCTTCTAGCAGAAAATTCAATATTAGGAGGAGATCTATTCCTGTTCACTCTTTTCTGCCTTTGACTTCTAGTCCTAGGGAGGCTGACAGTGACCTGACTTTCTGGATGGAGTGACTCTGGGTGCTGAGCAAAGGTGGGAACCCAGACTCAGAGAGGGATTGCAATCTCATGTGTCTGGAATCCAAGTGGAGCTTCACAAGAACATTCAAATCACTGCACATGGGTGAAACTATCAACTTTTTCAACATCAAAAGAGTCAAAGGAAGTCCATGCTTTCAAGACAAATCAAAAACTGATTTATTTGTCCTCTGCACAGATCCTTACTTAGGACACCACCTCCCAGCCACTGCTTCTGGGATGACTCCTGAGGCCTATGGGGCCGCATAATGGTTCCAGTCCCAACACCACGTGTACAGGGATCTTCAGAGGAGGGGTGCCCTCACATCCTCCAGGCCATTTCCACCCCGTGGGAGGGTGTAGACTGGCCCAGAATTAACACACAGCCTGATAAGGAAGCAGGAGGTAATGGCATGGGCTGAGGCTCCTTCCACCTGCTCACACCCACCCCAGTTGTTAGCCCAAGGATGGCCCTAGAGGCTTGGACCCTTGAGTGGCCACCCACGGTGACAATGCACCCAGGAGCACTATTTGGTCCCTGTTTCTCAGCTGCGTAACTTGAAACTTTCCTACCAACATCTCCAGAGAGCAGAATTATCTCCCAGGAGAATCATGGCCAGGAGGTAATGAAGGAGGTGGGATTGGTGCCCTACTGACCGGACGGCTCCCTCCCTCCACTTTATATCTCTCCCAAGGATACACCACCCCTCATAGCACACCCCAAATCCATGCAACCATGCATCCAACCTTAGCTTCATAGAGCCTTGGCCGGGCTTGGAGAGACCCAGTACATAATGGCATCCACCAGGAAGGTGGGCATGTAGCTCATGGGGAGGTAGAGAAGCTTGGCATCCCAGCCAGCTGAGTAGCGAGTACGGGGGTGGCAGGCAATCAGCGCATGCTCCATGCAGTTGGTCACCAACGACAGATCCTGTGTGCACTTCTGCTCCATTTGTTCAGCTGATTTCTTATCTGTTAAGAATCAGAAACAATCCATGTATATTTCCACCTCTAACCGCTCCTGCTTTGGATTCAACTTAGAGTGGAAAGGGTCTAAGAACTCATGCCACCCCACAACCCCCAGTCAAGCAATGCCTCAAATCTCTTTTATCCAAATTCCCTGAGCTGGAGCCCATCCATGTGAAAGTAGCAAGTGTCTCACACTAAGTCATGTCTGTCTCTCTTTGGGAATATCTGGACTGCATAAATGATGGTCTCCACCCACAGTAGAAGTCTCAGCACATAAAAACAAGCTGTCTCTAATGCCAGCTTGTGATCAGCCACCAATGTCTTCCCTTTCTGGCTTCCCTTTGTTCCTCAGTAACGATGGGTTCAGATAGACACTGGTCCCAAGTTCTGAGAAGCCTGGACACTTGCTTTTCATGACCAGTTGACCACACAGCACCCATCATGGAAATGGGGCTAAAGGTCTCCACTCTGTGGGGAAGGGAGAGCCTGGGGATCAAACTCTAATGCCCTTCAGACACCAATGGTAGACCAAGGATTCCACACGAGGGTTTGCTTCTCTCCCCACTGTCCACAGCTTACTCACAGTCTGCAACAAACTTCTCGCCATAGGCCTCCTTGACCTCTGGACTGGACCGGTCCCAAATCTCCAGGAAGCTCTTTAAGAATCTCTCCTTACTGGTCACAGCAGTCTTGAAATAGCCAGGTTCAATCATAGCCACCTTCACCCCAAAGTAGGAGAGTTCCCTCCTGCAAGACAGAGAAGCAGAGGGGAAAAACTTCGGGGGTCTTGGAAGGTAAAACACAAACAATAAAAGTAAAACTATGATATCACAACATATGAGGACAATGGGTAAAATAGAAAGCTTGGAATATTTAATTTCCAGCAATCAAGGGGTCATAATTATCATGGTGGCATTCCCTCTGTATGGAGTTTCCATATTTTACACACCTGAGCTTACTAGCCCTAAATCCTACCAATTCCAAAGCAAGGCAGCACCTTAGTGCTGTCTCCTCCTATGTCCCTCACATCCAGTGGATCACCAGAATTCCCACATTTTGCCTCCTCTCCAGTCCTCAGTCCCCTCCCTCGTTTTCCTGCCCCAGGAATCTCCCTGGCCTCTGAGCTGGGTGATGGCAGCTGTCCTCTAAGAAGCATCTGTCTTCAGTCTGGCTCCCCACACTTACAACCACTGGGCTTCCTGCAGTCAGTGGGAGTCTAGAAGCTGACTGGACCAAGGAGCTCCCCTGAGCAAATCCCTTTTCTGGAGGGGGTTCCACTGCCAACAGCATAAGCCACAACTCCTGTCCAGGGCCCACAGGCCCTCAAGGAGCCCACCTATGACCACCTGCCCAGCATCCCCCACCAGGCTTGGCCTTGACCTTCACCACAAGAGGATTCTGCAGTACATGCAGGTGGCTAATGCTCACTCTGGGCCTGGGCTGATGGCATTCCTTCATCTAGGAGCCTTTCCCAGTCTTCCTTACCAGGCTGCCAGGTGGAGTTCTCAATCCCCAGCTTGAGTTTTCAATCCCCAGCTCAGATGGAATCTCCAGGACTCTCCTCAACTCAGGTGGGTACCATGGCCAGCAAGGTTGACTTGGTCACCAACCTTATAAGCATTGGCACTTGATTCTATATCTCTTGTCCCTCTCCCAGGTATCAAGTTTTAAGTCACAGACAAAACCTTGTTGTTAAGGATGGATTTTTGGCCACTTGGACAAGGGCCTAAAGTGTCTGTTGTGTGGACTCAGATGCTCTACCCATCGTCAAAGGGGCTCTGGATATGAATTCTGCTGGGAAAGACCATCTCCTGCATGCTGTCTTTGGGCCCCAGAGAGCCATGAAGGAATGGCCTCAGGGCTTGAAGCATTTCTCTCCCTAGAGAGGAAGAGCCCCAGAGCCAGGCACCCATCTCCTGGTGTGGAAATATCTTTCCCTGTTTCTGACTCAGTGAGTGCTCTTGCGTCTGCATGAGCTTGTGTGTGTCCGCGGCCCTAAGGCATGCCCCAGGTTTACAAGTATTTCAGATTCCTGGGAGGAGGGGTTGGGGTCCTTCTACTACAGCAAGAGAGGGGTGTTAGCAAGCCACATGCCCAGTGTCAGCTGCTGGGAGAGCCTCCCTGGCTAGGGGACCAACACACACTGCTGTAGCTGATCTTTCTCTGCTCCTTCTCTAGGGTGCAAAGCATTCTTCCATCCAGCACTGACTGCCTGGTCTGCCTTTGTGGCTCCAATACCAAGGTGCAATGGGAAGAAGTGTTTAGGGTCCTTCCCTGGGATTAGTCATTGATACACAGTGTTCCCCTGTCCTGGGCTTGGTAACCTCAGTACTGTGTTCCTCTTGGTAGGATCTGAAGCCAAAGATCCAGGTCCAATTCTGCCTCTGGCAGTTTCTGACCAAGAGATCCATCCAGGGAAGAGGTATCGTTCAAGAAACTCTCTGACCTGGGGCCCCTCCTGTCGCCCAGCACTCAGGAAGGTGCTTCCCAGTGAATGGCCAGCCCAATCCAGAAAGAGGAAGATGAGGGTGTCACACATGAAGACAGAGAGTGATCTCATGAAAGGAACTTACAGGCTGGGATTCAAGGAACTCCCTGGAAAAGACTTCCCCACAAGGACAGGAGCAGGAAGACTAGGGTGGGCCCCATCCCAGACCCATACCTGAGGGAGTCAGAGAAGGCTTCCACGCCATACTTGGAGATGCAGTAGCCTCCACCAAAAAGTGACACCCGGCCCATGACACTGGAGACGTTGACCACACGGCCCCTGGCCCTCCTCACTAAGGGCAGCAGGCTCAGAGTCACATCAATCACCCCCAACAAGTTCACGTCCAGTATGGTCACGAAGTCCTGCTTGGTGAGCAACTCATTGGGAGCCGTGGGCAAGGAGATGCCAGCATTATTCACCAGGCCCCAGAGTCCTGGGACAGTGGGAAGATGAGAGAGCATCACTGTGTTGTGCCTGTGCAGGTGGACAGAGTTAGGGTGCAAATCACATCCCAATAAAGTGAGGGCAGACTGACAGGTGTGGGATGGGGAGGAGGGTATAACAAACACCACAGTATCACAGGGGTGGGGGCTGAGCATTCAGCAGCTGGTGGGCCACAAAACCCAGGTCTTTCTCCATTTACTCTTCATGGACCAGCCTACTGCCTGAAAGACAATAAGCTATTACCCCTATTTAAGGACTGCATGAAATCATGTTAAAGAACTATTGTCCATGCATTAGTCTGGAAACATGAAGACCAATGTTTGGTTAGTTAAACATGAATGTTGCAGACATTACAGACATACAGCTGCATTTTCAGGTGTGCTAACACCTTATATAGTGATTGTCCAGCAACTATCTGTTGATGGAATAAGAGACAAGAAAGAGGGAGAGTGAGGGAGACAGGAAAGAGAGAAAGAGACAGACCTGAAATCCTAGGCTTGGGGGAACTTGGGAAACATCCTGTTTCCCAAGTGTTTGAACTCAGGGCACTGGTCTTGAAACATCCTGCATCAGTAACATTTTTATAGAAAGCACAGGGGAATTCCAATGCACAGGCTTTGGGAAGAAAGCAAGGTTGCGTCACCCCACTCAGTACACAGACTCCACCCTCTGCCCCAGAAAATGTCACCCTCTCCTCCTACTGCATCAGAAGCCCACTCTTCATCCTTCCCTTTAGTCCCAAGTTCACCCAGCTCTGGGAAAATCTCTCTGGAAGATGCAAATACACAATCCCCAGGACTTCAAGTCAATAGAGTTTTCAACCCACAGAGCTAGGGGGCAGGAGCACAGGGTCCCTTGAGTCCAGGCAGGGGGTGGCAGTTGTTGATCTGGAAGGGTTGGCCCAGGCATATGAACCTGTCCCCTGCTCAATAACAGGCCCTGCCCTGATGCAAATGCAGATTCCTCCACCCAGACATCTCATTTTTAAGAATCCAATCAATACTCACACTTACAGAGACGTTGGCAAATAAAAGTCCACCAAGATGACATTTATGATGAATAAAAAGCAGGAAGGAATTTCATATCCAACCACTCAGTATGGATTACATAGGTAAGGCTATTGGAAGGATACAGTATTCTAAATAATTAAATATAATTTTATAAAAACAGTCATTATGGTGGAAAAGTGTTCATCTTCTCCAGAGAATTTAAGGTGACTGAAACTAAGAACAAAATATAAAATCCTAATTTTGTATAATTGTAAAAAGGACTTATGTGTGGATGACAATTTCAGGGAAACTTGTTTTCATCTTTATTCTTTTCAGTGTTTTCCACAAAGATCATATTCTGATTTATTGTTACATAAAATAAATCCATGTTTCTTTCTTCCTCTATAATAAGACAGATGAATTAGTGTAGTGAAAAGAAGAAAGAAAGAAAAAGTAACCCCTTACTAGTTCTGCCTTCCTTAAGCAGTCCTTAAGCTGATACTCTCCTCTGAAGATGGAGATGATCGTAGCTCTCAGTGGACGCTGATGGGCCCTAGCAAAAACAAGGTAAAGTGCTGGGAACATAAGCCTGGCTCCAGCACAGGCACAGCCTCCGTGCACACTTGCAGCCCTGTGCTCCCTTCTCAACGATGCTCCAGCAAGTCTCCAGATCTCTAACCCAGGCTCTTAGCATCAAACAACACATGACTTCTGCTTAGACAGGAGGGAGAGGATAGAGAGGAATTCTGGAGAGAAAATCTCATCAGGGCAAACTCTCCCCAAGACTAGACACCTCCAATGTCGGGAGAGGTTAAGGATTGAAAAGAGATGGGGTTCAGGCAGCCTGTTAAGTGAGAAATATTAGAAAGCTACTGTTACTTCAACCTGGAAAGACACTGTAGGAATCTTCCCAGGGAGCAGACAGGAGGTGGTCCCTTCACACAGAGGGAAGACACAGACAGACTTGACAAACCTGGGTGGTTACCTTTGTCTCTCACGCACTCCTTCACCCACTGGGCGGCTGCAGCAACGCTCTCTGTCTTGGTAACATCCAGGGTCACCGTCTCCAGCCTGTCTGAAGTCTGGCCCCTCAGCTGCTCGGCTCCTTTCTCCGTCAGACATGCAGCCAGCACCCGCAAGCCTCGTGCATCCAGCTGTCTGGCCAGCAGTTTCCCGAAGCCAGAGTCACAGCCCGTGATGAACACATACTTATCTCTCAGGTGGCTCAGCACCTGCCTCTCCCGGTACCAGTGCAGAAGGTAGTACAGGCCCACGAAAACCGCCAGGTAGAGCCACATGGCTTTGCAGAGGACAGACACAGACAGGCTGTGGGGGAAACCAGAGTCTGGCCTCTGTTCAGACAGGAGGATTTAAGAACACAGAGGGCTGTGGTAGGCAGGGAAGCCCTCAGGCATTTTGGCAGGGAATCCTCACTTTCCTCCCTGATGACTGCCTTTCTGCAACATATTTATTCTGGCCCCACCTCTCTGCTCTTTGAACTGCTTTTGCAGTACTCATGCACACCTTTGCACACCTCAAGTCCTGCCCAGTAGGAAGATACTATCTTCCTACTGGGCAATGTGCCCCTAGTCTCCTGATTTCTCTCTGCCTTGCTATGCCCACTACATGCATGCTGTGTCCATGAAGGAGCACACACATATATTCACACAGGAACATACACAGAACTCACACAGGCTTACACACAGCTGCCCACACACACTCTCCATGGCAAACACACCCCTCTGCTCTAAGTACAGGGGTCAAAACTGTCTCTACAAAGCTCCGATACCAACACTCCTGGTCCATGACCTTCTGAACATAGAAAGGCCTTATTGGGTAGCTACCCATGGTTTCCAGGCACATTAGGTGGAAATCCCTCTCTGAGCCTGAGTTTCCTCATCCTGCTCCGCACCCCAGAATCAATCACTCCTCTGAAAACTAGGGCACGGTCAGGCTGTCTAGGATGAGAAGGAGAAGGCAAAGAGTGAGCAGGAACAGGTTCCCTCCTGCTATAATAGTTTTTTGGGGCAGAAGGATTGCAGGATCCCACAGGGAGAATCCAACCTCAGAGGTAAAGAAAGCAGGGAGAGGATGGGCAAATAGGAACAGCTCCGGTCTGCAGCTCCCAGTGTGACTGATGCAGAAAATGGGTGATTTCTGCATTTCCAGCTGAGGTACCTGGTTCATCTCACTGGGACTGGTTGGACAGTGCGTGCAGCCCACAGAGGGTGAGCCGAAGCAAGGCAGGGCATTGCCTTACCCAGGAAGTGTAAGAGGTCAGGGGATTTCCCTTTCCTAGACAAGGGAAGCCGTGACAGACTGTACCTGGAAAAACAAGACACTCCTGCTCAAATACTGCACTTTTCCAATGGTCTTAGCAAATGGCACACCAGGAGATTATATCCTGTGCCTGGTTTGGTGGGTCCCATTCCCACAGAGCTTTGCTCACTGCTAGTGCAGTAGTCTGAGATCAACCTGCAAGGCAGCAGCCTGGCAGGAGGAGGGTTGCTCACCATTGCTGAGGCTTGAGTAGGAAAGCAAAGCAGCTGGGCAGCTCAAACTGGGCGAAGCCCACTGCAGCAAGGCAAGGCTTTCTGCCTCTATAGACTCCACCTCTGGGAGCAGTGCATAACTGAACAAAAGGCAGCAGAAACCTCTGCAGACTTAAACATCCCTGTCTGACAGCACTGAAGAGAGCAGTGGTTCTCCCAGCATGGTGTTTGAGCTCTTAGAACAGACAGACTGCCTTCTCAAATGGGTCCCTGAACCCTGTGTAGACTAACTGGGAGACACCTCCCAGTAGGGGCCGACTGACATCTCATACAGGTGGGTGCCCCTCTGGGACGAAGTTTCCAGAGGAAGGATCAGGCAACAATATTTGCTGTTCTGCAATATTTGCTGTTCTGCAGCCTCTGCTGGTGATACCCAGGCAAACAGGGACTGGAGTGGACCTCCAGCAAACTCCAACAGACCTGCAGCTGAGGAAACTGTTTGAAGGAAAACTAACAAACAGAAAGAAATAGCTCAAAATCAACAAAAAGGACATCCACACCAAAACCCCATCTGTAGGTCGCCAACATCAAACACCAAAGGTAGATAAAACCACAAAGATGGGGAGATACCAGAGCAGAAAATCTGAAAATTCAAAAAACCAGAGTGCCTCTTCTCCTCCAAAGGATCACAGCTCCTTGCCAGCAACAGAAAAAAGCTGGATGAAGAATGACTTTGATGAGTTGACAGAAGTAGGCTTCAGAAGGTCAGAGTAACAAAATTCTCTGAGCTAAAGGAGGATGTTGGAACCCATCACAAGGAAGCTAACAGTCTTGAAAAAAAGATTAGATGAATGGCTAACTAGAATAAACAGTGTAGATAAGTCCTTAAATGACCTGATGGAGCCGAAAACCATGGCATGAGAACTACAGGATGCATGCATAAGCTTCAATAGCCAATTTGCTCAAGTGGAAGAAAGAATATCAGTGATTGGAGATCAAATTAATGAAATAAAGTGAGAAGAGAAGTTTGGAGAAAAAAGAGAAAAAGAAGTGAACAAAGCCTCCAAGAAATATGGAACTATGTGAAAAAACCAAACCTACGTTTGACTGCTGTACCTGAAAGTGACGGGCAGAATGAAACCAAGTTGGAAAATACTCTTCAGGTTATTATCCAGGAGAACTTCCCCAATCTAGCAAGGCAGGCCAACATTCAAATTTGGGAAATACAGAGAACACCACAAAGATACTCTTCAAGAAGAGGAACCCTAAGACATATAATTGTCATATTCACGAAGGTTGAAATGAAGGAAAAAATGTTAAGGGCAGCCAGAGAGAAAGGTCAGGTTACCTACAAAGGGAAGCCCATCAAACTAACAGTGGATCTCTCAGCAGAAACTCTACAAGCCAGAAGAGAGTGGGGGCCAATGTTCAACATTCTTAGAGAAAAGAATTTTCAACTCAGAATTTCATATCCAGCCAAACTAAGCTTCATAAGTGAAGGAGAAATAAAATTCTTTACAGACAAACTAATGCTGAGAGATTTTGTCACCGCCAGGCCTGCCTTACAAGAGCTCCTGAAGGAAGCACTAAACATGGAAAGAAACAACCAGTACCAGCCACTGCAAAAACATGCCAAATTGTAAAGACCATTGATGCTAGGAAGAAACTGCATCAACTAACGAGCAAAATAACCAGCTAACATCATAATGACAGGATCAAATTCACACATAACAATATTAACCTTAAATGTAAAAGGGCTAAATGCCCCAATTAAAAGACACAGACTGGCAAATTAGATAAAGAATCAAGACCCATCAGTGTGCTGTATTCAGGAAACCCATCTCACATGCAGAGACACACATAGGCTCAAAATAAAGGGATGGAGGAAGATCCACCAAGCAAATAGAAAGCAAAAAAAGAAAAAAAAAGCAGGGATTGCAATCCTACTCTCTGATAACACAGATTTTAAACCACCAAAGATCAAAAGAGACAAAGAAGGCCATTACATAACAGTAAAGGGATCAATTCAACAAGAAGAGCTAACTATCCTAAATATATATGTACCCAATACAGGAGCACCCAGATTCATAAAGCAAGTCCTTAGAAACCTACAAAGAGACTTAGACTCCCCAATAATAATGGGAGATTTTAACACTCCACTGTCAATATTAGACAGATCAATGAGACAGAAGGTTAAAAAGGATATCCAGGACTTGAACTCAGCTCTGCACCAAGCGGACCTAATAGACATCTACAGAACTCTCCACCCCAAATCAACAGAATATACATTCTTCTCAGCACCACATCACACTTATTCCAAAATTGACCACATAGTTGGAAGTAAAGCACTCCTCACCAAATGTAAAAGAACAGAAATCACAACAAACTGTCTCTCAGACCACACTGCAATCAAATTAGAACTCAGGACTAAGAAACTCACTCAAAACCACACAACGACATGGAAACTAAACAACCTGCTTCTGAATCACTACTGGGTACATAACGAAATGAAGGCAGAAATAAAGATGTTCTTTGAAACCAATGAGAACAAAGACACAATGTACCAGAATCTCTGGGACACATTTACAGCAGTGTGTAGAAGGAAATTTATAGCACTAAATGCCCACAAGAGAAAGCAGGAAAGACAAGAAATCGACACCCTAACATCACAATGAAAAGAACTAGAGAAGCGAGAACAAACAAATTCAAAAGCTAACAGAAGGCAAGAAATAACTAAGAGCAGAACTGAAGGAGATAGAGACACAGAAAACCCTTCAAAAAATCAATGAATCCAGGAGCTGGTTTTTTGAAAAGGTCAAAAAAAATGGATAGACCACTAGCAAGACTAATAAAGAAGAAAAGAGAGAAGAATCAAATAGACACAATAAAAAATGATAAAGGGGATTTCACCACTGATCCCACAGAAATACAAACTACCATCAGAGAATACTATAAATACCTCTATACAAATAAACCAGAAAATCTAGAAGAAATGGATAAATTCCTGGACACATACACCCTCCCAAGACTAAACCAGAAAGAAGTGGAATCTCTGAATAGACCAATAACAGGCTCTGAAATTGAGGCAATAATTAATAGCCTATCAACCAAAAAAAGTCCTGGACCAGATGGATTCACAGCCCAATTCTACTAGAGGTACAAAGAGGAGCTGGTACCATCCCTTCTGAAATTATTCCAATGAATAGAAAAAGAAGTAATCCTCCCTAACTCATTTTATGAGGCCAGCATCATCCTGATACCAAAGCCTGGCAGAGACACAACAACAAAAAAGAGAATTTTAGACCAATATCCCTGATGAATATCGATGCAAAAATCCTCAATAAAATACTGGCAAACCAAATCCAGCAGCACATCAAAAAGCTTATCCACCATGATCAAGCTGGCTTCATCCCTGGGATGCAAGGCTGGTTCAACATACACAAATCAATACACATAATCCATCACATAAACAGAACCAATGACAAAAACCACATGATTATCTCAATAGATGCAGAAAAGGCCTTTGACAAAATTCAACAGCACTTCATGCTAAAAACTCCCAACAAACTAGGTATTGATGAAACATATCTCAAAATAATAAGAGCGATTTATGACAAATCCACAGCCAATATCATACTGAATGGGCAAAAACTGGAAGCCTTCCCTTTGAAAACTGGTACAAGACAGGATGCCCTCTCTCACCTCTCCTATTCAACATAGTGTTGGAAGTTCTGGCCAGGGCAATCAGGCAAGAGGAAGAAATAAAGGGCATCCAATTAGGAAAAGAGGAAGTCAAATTGTCCCTGTTTGCAGATGACATGATTGTATATTTAGAAAACCCCATCGTCAGCCCAAAACGTCCTTAAACTGATAAGCAACTTCAGGAAAGTCTCAGGATACAAAATCAATGTGCAAAAATCTCAAGCATTCCTATACGCCAATAGCAGGCAAACAGAGAGCCCAATCATGAGTAAACTCCCATTTACAATTACTTCAAAGAGAATAAAATACCTAGGAATCCAACTTACAAGGGATGTGAAGGACTTCTTCAAGAAGAACAACAAACCACTGCTCAATGAAATAAAAGAGGACACAAACAAAGGAAGAACATTCCATGGTCATGGATATGAAAAATCAATATCATGAAAATGGCCAGCTCTCCCTCTCCCTCTCCCTCTCCGTCTCCCTCTCCCCACGGTCTCCCTCTCCCTCTCTTTCCACTGTCTCCCTCTGATGCCGAGCGGAAGCTGGACTGTACTGCTGCCATCTCGGCTCACTGCAACCTCCCTGCCTGATTCTCCTGCCTCAGCCTGCCCAGTGCCTGCGATTGCAGGCGCGCGCCGCCACGCCTGACTGGTTTTTGTATTTTTTTGGTGGAGACGGGGTTTCACTGTGTTGGCCGGGCTGGTCTCCAGCTCCTAACCGCGAGTGATCCGCCAGCCTCGGCCTCCCAAGGTGCCGGGATTGCAGACGGAGTCTAGTTCACTCAGTGCTCAATGGTGCCCAGGCTGGAGTGCAGTGGCGTGATCTCGGCTCGCTACAACCTCCACCTCCCAGCCGCCTGCCTTGGCCTCCCAAAGTGCTGAGATTGCAGCCTCTGCCCGGCCACCACCCCATCTGGGAAGTGAGGAGCGTCTCTGCCTGGCCGCCCATAGTCTGGGACGTGAGGAGCCCCTCTGCCTGGCTGCCCAGTCTGGAAAGTGAGGAGCGTCTCTGCCCAGCCGCCATCCCATCTAGGAAGTGAGGAGCCCCTCTTCCCGGCCGCCATCCCATCTAGGAAGTGAGGAGCGTCTCTGCCCGGCCGCCCATCGTCTGAGATGTGGGGAGCGCCTCTGCCCTGCCGCCCCGTCTGGGATGTGAGGAGCGCCTCTACCCGGCCGCAACCCCGTCTGGGAGGTGAGGAGCGTCTCTGCCCGGCCGCCCCGTCTGAGAAGTGAGGAGACCCTCCGCCTGGCAACCGCCCCGTCTGAGAAGTGAGGAGCCCCTCCGCCTGGCAGCCACCCTGTCTGAGAAGTGAGGAGCCCCTCCGCCTGGCAGCCACCCTGTCTGGGAAGTGAGGAGCGTCTCCGCCTGGCAGCCACCCCGACCGGGAGGGAGGTGGGGGTCAGCCCCCGCCAGGCCAGCCGCCCCGTCCAGGAGGGAGGTGGGGGGGTCAGCCCCCCGCCCGGCCAGCCGCCCCGTCCGGGAGGGAGGTGGGGGGGTCAGCCCCCCGCCCAGCCAGCCGCCCCGTCTGGGAGGGAGGTGGGGGGGTCAGCCCCCCGCCCGGCCAGCCGCCCCATCTGGGAGGTGAGGGGTGCCTCTGCCTGGCCGCCCCTACTGGGAAGTGAGGAGCCCCTCTGCCCGGCCACCACCCCGTCTGGGAGGTGTACCCAACAGCTCATTGGGAACGGGCCATGATGACAATGGCGGTTTTGTGGAATGGAAAGTGGGGAAAGGTGGGGAAAAGATTGAGAAATCGGATGGTTGCCATGTCTGTGTAGAAAGAGGTAGACATGGGAGACTTTTCATTTT
Source organism: Homo sapiens (assembly GCF_000001405.40). NCBI lineage: Eukaryota > Metazoa > Chordata > Mammalia > Primates > Hominidae > Homo > Homo sapiens. The sequence continues at coordinate 56,964,168 of NC_000012.12, forward strand.
GTTCTGTACTAAGAAAAATTCTTATCCTGTTGATCTGTGACCTTACCCCCAACCCTGTGCTCTCTGAAACATGTGCTGTGTCCACTCAGGGTTAAATGGATTAAGGGCCGTGCAAGATGTGCTTTGTTAAACAGATGCTTGAAGGCAGCATGCAAATCAAAACCACTATGAGATATCATCTCACACCAGTTAGAATGGCAATCATTAAAAAGTCAGGAAACAACAGGTGCTGGAGAGGATGTGGAGAAATAGGAACACTTTTACACTGTTGGTGGGACTGTAAACTAGTTCAACCATTGTGGAAGTCAGTGTGGCGATTCCTCAGGGATCTAGAACTAGAAATACCATTTGACCCAGCCATCCCATTACTGGGTATATACCCAAATGACTATAAATCATGCTGCTATAAAGACACATGCACATGTATGTTTATTGCGGCACTATTCACAATAGCAAAGACTTGGAACCAACCCAAATGTCCAACAATGATAGACTGGATTAAGAAAATGTGGCAATATACACCATGGAATACTATGCAGCCATAAAAAATGATGAGTTCATGTCCTTTGTAGGGACATGGATGAAATTGGAAACCATCATTCTCAGTAAACTATCACAAGAACAAAAAACCAAACACTGCATATTCTCACTCATAGGTGGGAATTGAACAATGAGATCACATGGACACAGGAAGGGGAATATCACACTCTGGGGACTGTGGTGGGGTCGGGGGAGCGGGGAGGGATAGCATTGGGAGATATACCTAATGCTAGATGACACGTTAGTGGGTGCAGCGCACCAGTATGGCACATGTATACATATGTAACTAACCTGCACAATGTGCACATGTACCCTAAAACTTAAAGTATGATTAAAAAAAGAAAAAATAAAAAAAAAAAATAAATAAAAAAAAAAAAGAGTCATCACCACTCCCAAATCTCAAGTACCCAGGGACACAAACACTGCGGAAGGCCGCAGGGTCCTCTGCCTAGGAAAACCAGAGACCTTTGTTCACTTGTTTATCTGCTGACCTTCCCTCCACTATTGTCCTATGACCCTGCCAAATCCCCCTCTGCGAGAAACACCCAAGAATGATCAATAAAAATAAATAAATAAATAAATAAAATAAAATAAAATAAAAAAAGAAAAGAAAAATAAATAAATAAATAAATTAGAAATCAATAAAAAAAATAATAATGTACTAGAATTATACATGAGGAGAGATGCACGGTGCATGAACAGAACCTTCCTATACATTTTGTGCAACTTCCTGCCAACCTCTAATTACTCTGAAATAAAAAAGATTTCTCAAAAAAAAAAAAAAGAAAATGGCCATACTGCCCAAGGTAATTTATAGATTCAATGCCATACCCATCAAGCTACCAATGACTTTCTTCAGAGAATTGGAAAAAACTGCTTTAAAGTTCATATGGAACCCAAAAAAGAGCCTGTATTGCCATGACAATCCTAAGCAAAAAGAACAAGGCTGGAGGCATCATGCTACCTGACTTCAAACTATACTACAAGGCTACAGTAACCAAAACAGCATGGTACTGGTACCAAAACAGATATATAGACCAATGGAACAGAACAGAGGCCTCAGAAATAACACCACACATCTACAACCATCTGATCTTTGACAAACCTGACAAAAACAAGAAATGGGAAAGGATTCCCTATGTAATAAATGGTGCTGGGAAAACTGGCTAGCCATAAGTAGAAAGCTGAAACTGGATCCCTTCCTTACACCTGATACGAAAATTAATTCAAGATGGATTAAAGATTTAAATGTTAGACCTGAAACCATAAAAACCCTACAAGAGAGGGGTGGAGCCAAGATGGCCGAATAGGAACAGCTCCAATCTACAGCTCCCAGCATCAGCGACGCAGAAAACGGGTGATTTCTGCATTTCCAACTGAGGTACTGGGTTCATCTCACTGGGGAGTGCTGGACTGTGGGTGCAGGACAGTGGGTGCAGCACACCGTGCATAAGCCGAAGCAGGGCAAGGCATCACCTCACCCGGGAAGTGCAAGGGGTCAGGAAATTCCCTTTCCTAGTCAAAGAAAAAGGTGACAGACGGCATCTGGAAAATCGGGTCACTCCCACCCTAACAGTGCGCTTTTCCAACGGACTTAACAAATGGCACACCAGGAGATTATATCCCACACCTGGTTTGGAGGGTCCTACGCCCATGGAGCCTCACTCATTGCTAGCACAGCAGTCTGAGATCAAACTGAAAGGCGGCAGCAAGGCTGGGGGATGGGCGCCCGCCATTGCTCAGGCTTGAGTAGGTAAACAAAGCAGCTGGGAAGCTTGAAATGGGTGGAGCTCACCACAGCTCAAGGAGGCCTGCCTGCCTCTGTAGGCTCCACCTCTGGGGGCAGGGCACAGACAAACAAAAGACAGCAATAACCTCTGCAGACTTAAATGTCCCTCTCTGACAGCTTTGAAGAGAGTAGTGGTTCTCCCAGCACACAGCTTGAGATCTGAGAACGGGCAGACTGCCTCCTCAATTGGGTCCCTGACTCCCGAGTAGCCTAACTGGGAGGCACCCCCCAATAGGGGCGGACTGACACCTCACACAGCCGGGTACTCCTCTGAGACAAAACTTCCAGAGGAATGATCAGGCAGCAGCATTTGCGGTTCACCAATATCCGCTGTTCTGCAGTGACCACTGCTGATACCCAGGCAAACAGGGTCTGGAGTGGACCTCCAGTAAACTCCAACAGACCTGCAGCTGAGGGTCCTGACTGTTAGAAGGAAAACTAACAAACAGAAAGGACATCCATACCAAAAACCCATCTGTACGTCTCCATCATCAAAGACCAAATGTAGGTAAAACCACAAAGATGGGGAAAAAACAGAGCAGAAAAACCAGAAAATCTAAAAATCAGAGCACCTGATTTCTATTTGGACAACCTTTTTTAAAGTGTCCTTGTAGACCACACTGGAAGCAAGCCCTAGTAGGCATTTGATTTGCCCAGCCTTTCCGTGTTTCAGAGCCTTCAAAGTCCACTTGCCTGAGTGCCATGACTAAAGTGGTGGCCTTTTTCTTATCTCATTTGTCCCACTCCTCCTGCCCCTCCTGATCTCTATTATAAAAAACAGAGATTGCCAAGTTCAATAGGGTTTCTAAGTTTTGCTCCAGGCCTAAGGTGGACTTTTGAAGTTTTTTTCTAATGTCTGTAGCTGACTGAGTGATAAATTTATCCTTTAAGATTAGTTGGCCTTCAATAGAGTCAGGTGATAGAGAGGTATGCTTTCTCAATGCCTCCCTTAGTCTCTCTAGAAAGGCAATAGGATTTTCTTCCTTTCCCTCTTATAGTGGACAGCATTGAATAATTTATAGTCTTCTTCCTAGTTTTCCTTAGTTCTTCTAGCATGCAAGTTAGCAAATGTCTGTGGCACCAATCTCCATGTTCTGATTCTGTGTCCCAGTGAGGGTCTACACTGGAAACTGCCTGCTGGCCTGTGGGGAATCATTCTGTTTCCTCTGTTGTCATCCTATCATTGACCTGACTGAGATACCAGAGATTGCTGAACTCTCGGGCTGCAGTTATGGCGGCACCTCTCTTATTTGGGGTTAGTGTCTGATTTAGCAGTAACATTATATCTCTCCATGTCAGATCAAAGGATTATCCTAACCCTTGTAAAACATCAATATAGCCATCAGGGTTATCTGAGAATTTACCTAGGTCTATTTTAATTTTGCTTCAAGTCTGAGAGAGAAAAAGGTACATACACTCTGGCTGGGCCAAATTCTCCATCTCCCACAGCTTGGAGGGGGCATAATCGGGGAACATTGGCATTCTTTTGTTCATTGTTTACCCCTTTGTCTATCTCCTTTTGGTCCGTTTGGGTTGAAGGGGGTCCTTATTAGTTGGGAAGGAGTCAGGGGATGCAGGGGTAGGGAGATAGACTCTGAGGGCTTCCTGTAGGGCATAAATCACACTTTTTTACATAATTGCGAGTTGTCTCTTAATGAAAAGAAAGTTTGTACATATGGCACTTCACTCCATTTCCCTTCTTTTCCACAAAAGAGGTCTAGCTGTAAGATGGTGTTATAATTTATACTTTCCTAGGAGGCCAGGTTTCTCCCCCTTGAAGAGGATATCGCGGCCAGGTGGTAGTGCAGAAGAATATAAGCTGTTTCTTTGTTAGCGTCTGAGGGCCAAATTGGTCCCGATTCTCCAGAATACATCTTAGGGGCATTTTTGCCTTGGGGGGAACATTTCCCATCTGAAAAAAGAACACAGGGATGCCAGCACCCCTAGTCATTTTCTGGTAAGCATTAGTCATAGAGCGTCCTGTATGGTCCTAATGCTTATTTCTTTCCAGGGTGTGTAACCACCCATGGACCTCTGCTTATCGGATTAGTTATGCTCACCGATTTAGCAGTCCTGCACCTGTTTACCCACCTTTCTTTGAAGGGGGCCTGCCCCTCCACACGTGTGGGTATTTCTCATCAGGTGGAGATGAGAGACTGAGAAAAGAAGTAAGACACAGAGAAAAAGTATAGAGAAAGAACAGTGGGCCCAGGGGACCGGCACACTCAGCATGTGAGGACCCACACCGGTGCTGGTCTCTGAGTTCTCTCAGTATTTATCGATCACTATTTTCACTATCTCGGCACAGGGAGTGTGGCAGGAGAACAGGGTGATGGTGGGGAGAAGGTCAGCAGGAAAACATATGAGCAAAGGAATCTGCATCATAAATAAATTCAAGGGAAGGTAGTGTACCCAGATGTGCATGTAGGCTAGATTTATGTTTCTCTTTATCCAAACATCTCAGTGTAGCAAAGAGTAACAGAGCAGTATCACCACCAGCATATCTCGCCTCCAGCCATAGGGCAGTTTTCTCCTATCTTGGAATAGAATGAATGGTCGGCTTTACACGGAGACTTTCCATTCCCAGGGACATGTGGGAAACAGAGGCTTTCCTCTTATCTCAACCGCAAAGAGGCCTTCCTCTTTTACTAATCCTCCTCAGCACAGACCCTTTATGGGTGTTGGCCGAGGGGATGGTAAGGTCTTTCCCTTCCCATGAGGCTAAGGGTCCTGACTGTTACAAAGAAAACTAACAAACAGAAAGGATATCCACACCAAAACCCCATCTGTACGTCACCATCATCAAAGACCAAAGGTAAATAAAACCACAAAGACAGGGAGAAACCATAGTAGAAAAGCTGAAAATTCTAAAAATCACAGTGCCTCTTCTCCTCCAAAGGAACGCAGCTCCTCGCCAGTAATGGAACAAAGCTGGACAGAGAATGACTTTGACGAGTTGAGAGAAGAAGGCTTCAGATGATCAGTAATAAAAAAACTTCTCCAAGCTAAAGGAGGATGTTTGAACCCATCACAAAGAAGCTAAAAACCTGGAAAAAAAATTAGACGAATAGCTAACTAGAATAAACAGTGTACAGAAGACCTTAAATGACCTGATGGAGCTGAAAACCATGGCAAGAGAACTAGGTGACGCATGCACAAGCTTCAGTCACCGATTCAATCAAGTGGAAGAAAGGGTATCAGTGATTGAAGATCAAGTGAATGAAATGAAGAAGAGAAGTTTAGAGAAAAAAGAGTAAAAAGAAATGAACAAAGACTCCAAGAAATATGGGACTATGTGAAAAGACCAAATCTACATCTGATTGGTGTACCTGAAAGTGACAGGGAGAATGGAACCAAGTTGGAAAACACTCTGCAGGATATTATCCAGGAGAACTTCCCCAACCTAGCAAGGCAGGCCAACATTCAAATTCAGGAAATACAGAGAATGCCACAAAGATACTCCTCGAGAAGAGCAACTCCAAGACACATAATTGTCAGATTCACCAAGGTTGAAATGAAGGAAAAAATGTTAAGGGCAGCCAGAGAGAAAGGTCAGGTTACCCACAAAGGGAAGTCCATCAGACTAACAGTGGATCTCTTGGGAGAAACTCTACAACCAAAAGAGAATGGGGGCCAATATTCAACCTTCTTAAAGAAAAGAATTTTCAACCCAGAATTTCATATCCAGCCAAACTAAGCTTCATAAGTGAAGGAGAAATAAAATCCTTTACAGACACACTAATGCTGAGAGATTTTGTCACCACCAGGCCTGCCTTACAAGAGCTCCTGAAGGAAGCAGTAAACATGGAAAGGAACAACTGGTACCAGCCACTGCAAAAACATGCCAAATTGTAAAGACCATTGATGCTAGGAAGAAACTGCATCAACTAATGGGCAAAATAACCAGCTAACATCATAATAACAGCATCAAATTCACACATAACAATATTAACCTTAAATGTAAATGGGCTAAATGCTCCAATTAAAAGACACAGACTGGTAAATTGGATAAAGAGTCAAGACCCATCAGTGTGCTGTATTGAGGAGACCCATCTCACTTGCAGAGACACATATAGGCTCAAAATAAAGGGATGGAGGAAGATCTACCAAGCAAATGGAAAACAAAAAAAGCAGGGGTTGCAATCCTAGTCTCTGATAAAACCGACTTTAAACCAACAAAGATCAAAAGAGACAAAGAATGCCCTTACATAATGGTAAAGGGATCAATTCAACAAGAAGAGCTAACTATCCTAAATATATATGCACCCAATACAGGAGCACCCAGGTTCATAAAGCAAGTCCTTAGTGACCTACAAAGAGACTTAGACTCCCACACAACAATAACGGGAGACTTTAACATCCCACTGTCAACAGTAGACAGATCATTGAGACAGAAAGTTAACAAGGCTATCCAGGAATTGAACTCAGCTCTGCACCAAGCAGACCTAATAGACATCTACAGAACTCTCCATCCCAAATCAACAGAATATACATTCTTCTCAGCACCATATCACACTTATTCCAAATCTGACCACATAGTTGGAAGTAAAGCAGTTCTCAGAAATGTAAAAGAACAGAAATTATAACAAACTGTCTCTCAGACCACAGTGCAATCAAACTAGAACTCAGGATTAAGAAACTCACTCAAAACCACTCAACTACATGGTAACTGAACAATCTGCTCCTGAACGACTACTGGCTACATAACAAAATAAAGGCAGAAATAAAGATGTTCTTTGAAGCCAATGAGAACAAAGACACAACATACCAGAATCTCTGAGACACATTTAAAGCAGTGTGTAGAAGGAAACTTATAGCACTAAATGCCCACAAGAGAAAGCAGGAAAGATCTAAAATTGACACCCTAACATCACAGTTAAAAGAACTAGAGAAGCAAGAGCAAACACATTCAAAAGCTAGCAGAAGGCAAGAAATAACTAAGAGCAGAGTAGAACTCAAGGAGATAGAGAATCAAAAAACACTTCAAAAAATCAATAAACCCAGGAGCTGGTTTTTTATAAAGATCAACAAAATTGATAGACCACTAGCAAGACTAATAAAGAAGAAAAGAGAGAAGAATCAAATAGACTCAATAAAAAATGATAAAGGGGATATCATCACTGATCCCACAGAAATAAAAACTATCATCAGAGAATACTATAAACAACCCCATGCAAATAAACTAGAAAATCTAGAAGAAATGGATAAATTCCTGGACACATACACCCTCCCAAGACTAAACCAGGAAGAAGTTGAATCCCTGAATAGACCAATAACAGGCTCCGAAATTGAGGCAATAATTAATAGCCTATCAACCAAAAAAAGTCCAGGACCAGATGGATTCATAGCCCAATTCTACCAGAGGTACAAAGAGGAGCTGGTACCACTCCTTCTGAAACTATTCCAATCAACAGAAAAAGAGTGAATCCTCCCTAACTCATTTTATGAGGCCAGCATCAACCTGATACCAAAGCCTGGCAGAGACACAACAAAAAAAGAGAATTTTAGACCAATATCCCTGATGAATATCAATGCAAAAATCATCAATAAAATACTGGCAAACCAAATCCAGCAGCACAACAAAAGCCAACCATGATCAAGTTGGTTTCATCCCTGGGATGCAAGGCTGATTCTACATATGCAAATCAATAAACATAATCCATCATATAAACAGAACCAAAGATAAAAACCACATGATTATCTCAATAGATGCAGAAAAGGCCTTTGACAAAATTCAACAGCACTTCATGCTAAAAACTCTCAATAAACTAGGTATTGATGGGACATACCTCAAAATAATCAGAGCTGTTTATGACAAACCCACAGCCAGTATCATACTCAATGGGCAAAAACTGGAAGCATTCCCTTTGAAAACTGGCACAAGACAGGGATGCCCTCTCTCACCACTCCTATTCAACATAGTGTTGGAAGTTCTGGCCAGGGCAATCAGGCAGGAGAAAGAAATAAAGGGCATTCAATTAGGAAAAGAGGAAGTCAAATTGTCCCTGTTTGCAGATGACATGATTGTATATTTAGAAAACCCCATCGTCTCAGCCCAAAATTTCCTTAAGCTGATAAGCAAATTCAGCAAAGTCTCAGGATATAAAATCAATGTGCAAAAATCTCAAGCATTCCTACACGCTAATAACAGACAAACAGAGAGCCAAATCATCAGTGAACTCCCATTCACAATTGCTACAAAGAGAATAAAATACCTAGGAATCCAACTTACAAGGGATGTGAAGGACCTCTTCAAGGAGAACTACAAACCACTGCTCAATGAAATAAAAGAGGACACAAATAAATGGAAGAACATTCCATGTTCATGGAGAGGAAAAATCAATATCGTGAAAATGGCCATACTGCCCAGGGTAATTTATAGATTCAATGCCATACCCATCAAGCTACCAATTACTTTCTTCAGAGAATTGGAAAAAACTACTTTAAAGTTCATGTGGAACCAAAAAAGAGCCCACATTGCCAAGACAATCCTAAGCCAAAAGAACAAACCTGGAGGCATCATGCTACCTGACTTCAAACTATACTACAAGGCTACAGTGACCAAAACAGCATGGTACTTGTACCAAAACAAATATATAGACCAATGGAATAGAACAGAGCCCTCAGAAATAATACTACACATCTACAACCATCTGATCTTTGGCAAACCTGACAAAAACAAGAAATGGGGAAAGGATTCCCTATTTAATAAATGGTGCTGGGAAAACTGGCTAGCCATATGTAGAAAGCTGAAACTGGATCCCTTCCTTATACCTTATACAAAAATTAATTCAAGATGGATTAAAGACTTAAATGTTAGACCTAAAACCATAAAAATCCTACAAGAAAACCTAGGCAATACCATTCAGGACATAGGCATGGGCAAGGACTTCATGACTAAAATACCAAAAGCAATGGCAACAAAAGCCAAAATTGACAAATGGGATCTAATTAAACTAAAGAGCTTCTGCACAGCAAAGGAAACTACCATCAGAGTAAACAGGCAACCTACAGAATGGGAGAAAATTTTTACAATCTACCCATCTGACAAAGGGGTAATATCCAGAATCTACAAAGAACTTAAAACAAATTTACAAGAAAAAATCAAACAACCCCATCAAAAAGTGGGCAAAAGATATGAACAGACACTTCTCAAAAGAAGACATTTATGCAGCCAACAGACACATGAAAAAATGCTCATCACTGGCCATCAGAGAAATGTAAATCAAACCACAAGGAGATACCATCTCACACCAGTTAGAATGGCAATCATTAAGGCCAGGCACGGTGGCTCAAGCCTGTAATCCCAGCCCTTTGGGAGGCCAAGGCAGGTGGATCACGAGGTCAGGAGATTGAGACCATCCTGGCTAACACGGTGAAACCCCATCTCTACTAAAAACACAAAAAATTAGCCGGGCACAGTGGCGGGCCCCTGTAGTCCCAGCTACTCAAGAGGCTGAGGCAGGAGAATGGCGTGAACCCGGGAGGCGGAGCTTGCAGTGAGCTGAGATCGTGCCACTGCACTCCAACCTGGGTGACAGAGCGAGACTCCATCTCAAAAAAAAAAAAAAAAGAAAAGAATGGCAATCATTAAAAAGTCAGGAAACAACAGGTGCTGAAGAGGATGTGGAGAAATAGGAACACTTTTACACTGTTGGTGGGACTGTAAACTAGTTCAACCATTATGGAAGACAGTGTGGCAATTCCTCAAGGATCTAGAACTAGAAATACTATTTGACCCAGCCATCCCATTACTGGGTATATACCCAATGGATTACAAATCATGCTGCTATAAAGATACATGCACACGTATGTTTATTGTGGCACTATTCACAATAGCAAAGACTTGGAACCAACCCAAATGTCCACCAATGATAGACTGGATTAAGAAAATGTGGCACATATACACCATGGAACACTATGCGGCCATAAAAAAGGATGAGTTCATGTCCTGTATAGGGACATGGATGAAGATGGAAACCATCATTCTGAGCAAACTATTGCAAGGACAGAAAACCAACCACTGCATGTTCTCACTCATAGGTGGTAATTGAACAATGAGAACACTTGGACACAGGATGGGGAACATCACACACCAGGGCCTGTCGTGGGGTTGGGGGAGGGGGGAGGGATAGCGTTAGGAGATATACCTAATGTAAATGACGAGTTAATGGGTGCAGCATACCAACATGGCTCATGTATACATATGTAACAAGCCTGCATGTTGTGCACATGTACCCTAGTACTTCAAGTATAATAAAAAAAAAAAATTCAATTTTCTTCTTAATTTCTTCATTGACCCACTGATCATTCAGAAGCATATTTAAAAATTTTTATGTATTTGTTTAGTTTCCCAAATTCTTGTCATTTCTAGTTTTATTCTATTGTGGTCAGAGAAGATGCTTGATAGTATTTCAATTTTTTGAATATTTTAAGATTTGTATTATGATCTAACATGTGATCTAACACTGAGAATGATCCATGTGCTGAGGAAAAGAATGTGTATTCTGCAGCCATTGGATGAAATGTTCTGTAAATATCTACTAGATTCACTTGGTCTACTGTGAAGATTAAGTCTGATGTTTCTTTGTTGATTTTTTTGTCTGAAAGATCTGTCCAATGCTGAAAGTGGAGTGCAGAAGTCTCCAACTATTATTGCATTGAGGCCTATCTCTCTCTTTAGCTCTAATAATATTCTCTTTATATATATATGGGTGCTCCTGTGTTGGGAGCATACATTACATATTTAAAGTGGTTACTATATCCTCTTGCTGAATTGACCCCATTTACCATTATATAGTGACCTTCTTGGAAAGAAAACCTTTTCTTCTTATCGTTTTTGTTTTGAAATCTATTTTATCTGTGATAGAACTTTTGCTCCTTTTTGGTTTCCATTGGCATGAAGTATCTTTTTCCATCCCTTATTTTCAGTCCGTGTATGTCTTTATAGGTGAAGTGTGTCTTTTGTAGGCAACGGATCAATGGCTCTTGTTTTTTCATCCATTCAGTCAGTCTATGTCTTTTGATTGGAGAGTTTAGTTTACATTCAATATCATTATTGATAAGTAAGGACTTACTCCTGCCATCTTGCTATTTATCTTCTGGGTGTTTTATGATCTTCTTTACCTTCTTTCTTTCCTTCTAGTCTTCCTCTAGTGAAGGTGATTTTCTCTAGAGATGTGATTTAGTTTCTTGCTTTTTACTTTTTGTGTATCCATTGTATGTTTTTTGGTTTGAGGTAACCATGAGGCTTGCAAATACTATCTTATAACTTATTATTTTAACCTGATAACAATTTAACACTATTTGAATAAACAAACAAGCACAAAGAAAATAAAAACTCTGCACCTTAACTTCATTCTCTGACTTTTAAACTTTTTATTGTTTCTATTTATATCATATTGTACTATGTCTTAAAAAGTTGTAGTTTTTTTTTTGATCATTTCATCATTTAGTTTTTCTAATTAGGATAAGAGTAGTTTACACAGAACAGTTACAATGTTACAATATTCTGTGTTTTTCTATGTACTTACAATTACTGGTGAGGTCTGTACCTTCAGGTATTATGTATTGCTAATTAATGTCCTTTTCTTTCTGACTGAAGTACTCCCTTTAGCATTTCTGGTACAGCAGTTCTGGTCTTGATGAAATCCCGCAGCTTCTGTTTGTCTGGGAAAGTCTTTTTCCTTTATGCTTGAAGGATATTTTCACCAGATATACTATTATCGGGTAAAAGTTTTTTCCTTTAGCACTTTAAATATATCAGGCCACTCTCCCCTGGCCTGTAAGGTTTTCACTGGAAAGTCTGCTGCCAGACATATTGGAGCTCCATTGTACATCATTTATTTCTTTCCTCTTGCTGCTTTTAGGGTCCTTTCTTTATGCTTGACCTTTAGGAGTTTGATTATTAAATGCCTTCAGGTGGTCTTCTTTGGGTTAAATCTGCTTGGTGTTCCATTACCTTCTTGTACTTGGATATTAATATCTTTCTCTAGGTTTGGGAAGTCCTCTGCTATTATCCCTTTGAATAAACCTTCTACCCCTATCCCTTTCTCTACCTTCTCATTAAGGCCAATAACTCTTAGATTTGCCCTTCTAAGTTTATTTTCTAGATCCTGAGGGCATGCTTCATTGTTTTGTGTGTGTGTTTTTTTTTATTTCCTCTATATGTTTTCAACTGGCCTGTCTTCAAGCTCACTAATTCTTCTGACTGATCAATTCTGCTGTTAAGGAACTCTGATGTGAACAGACACTTCTCAAAAGAAGACATTTATGCAGCCAATAAACATATGAAAAAAAGCTCATCATCACTGGTCATTAGAGAAATGCAAATCTAAACCACAATAAGATACCATCTCAGGCCAGTTAGAAAGGCGATCATTAAAAAGTAAGGAAACAACAGATGCTGGAGAGGATGTGGAGAAATAGGAATGCTTTTACACTGTTTGTGGGAATGTAAATTAGTTCAACCATTGTAAAAGACAGTGTGGCAATTCCTCAAGGGTCTGGAATGAAAAATAACATTTGAACCTGCAATCCCATTACTGGGTATATACCCAAAGGATTATAAATCAGTCTACTATAAAGACACATGCACACGTATGTTTATTACTGCACTATTTACAATAGCAAAGACTTGGAACCAACCCAAATGTCCATCAATGATAGACTGGATAAAGAAAACGTGGCACATGGCTGGGCACAGTGGCTCCTGCCTGTAAACCCAACACTTTGGGAGGCTGAGGTGGGCGGATTACGAGGTCAGGAGATCGAGACCATCCTGGCTAACACAGTGAAACCCCGTCTCTACTAAAAATACAAAAAATTAGCTGGGCGTGGTGGTGGGCGCCTGTAGTCCCAGCTATTCGGAAGGCTGAGGCAGGAGAATGGCATGAACCCAGGAGGCAGAGCTTGCAGTGAGCTGAGATCATGCCACTGTACTCCAGCCTGGGCGACAGAGCCAGATTCTGTCACAAAAAAAAAAGAAAAGAAAAAAAAAAGAAAAGAAAATGTGGCACATATACACCATGGAATACTATACAGCCATAAAAAAGAATGAGTTAATGTCCTTTGCAGGGACATGGATGACACTAGAAACTATCATTCTCAGCAAACTAACACGGGAACAGAAAACCAAACACCACATATTCTCACTCATAAGTGGGAGTTGAACAATGAGAACACATGGACACAGGGAGGGAAACATCACACATCATGGCCTGTCAGGGGGTGGGGGGCTAGGGGAGGCGTAGCATTAGGACAATACCTCATGCATGTGGGGCTTAAAACCTAGATGATGGGTTGATGCGTGCAGCAAACCACCATGGCACGTGTATACCTATGTAACAAGCCTGCACATTATTCACACACATCCCAGAACTTAAAGCAAAATAAAAAATAAAAATAAAAAAAGAACTCTGCTGCATTCTTGAATATGCCAATTGCATTTTTCAGCTCCAGAATTTCTGCTTGACTCTTTTTAATTATTTCAATCTTTTTATTAAATTTATCTGATAGAATTCTAAATTTCTTCTCTGTGTTATCTTGAATTTCTTTGAGTTTCCTCAACACAGGTATTTTGAATTCTTTGTCTGAAAGGTCACATATCTGTTTCTCCAGGATTGGTCCCTGGTCCCTTATTTAGTTCATTTGGTGAGGTCAAGTTTTCCTTCATGGTGTTGATGTTAGTAGATGTTCTTCAGTGTCTGGGAATTGAAGACTTAGGTATTTATTGTAGTCTTCACTGTCTGGGCTTATTTGTAACTGTCATTCTTGGGAAGGCTTACCAAATATTTGAAAATACTTAGGTGTTGTGATCCAAGTTGTATCTGCTTTAGGGGACACCCCACGCCTAGTAATGCTATGGTTCTTGCAGACTGGTAGAGGTACCACCTTGATAGTCTTGGACAAGATCTGAGAGAATTCTCTGGAATACCAGTCTCATTCTCTTCCCTGACTTTCTCCCAAACATACAGAATCTCTCTCTCTGTTCTGAGCCATCTAAAGCTGGGGGTGGAGTGACACAAGCACCCCTGTGTCACCACCACTATGACTGCATTGCATCAGACTTGAAGCCAGCACAGTGCTGGGTCTCGCCCAAGGCCTGCTGTACCCGGTCCCTGGCTACTACCTGTGTTTGCTCAAGGCCCTAGGGCTCTGCAGTCAGCAAGTAGCAAAGTCAGTTAGGCCTGTGCCCTTCCCTTCAGGATGGTGAGGTACCCCATACCCCATATGGGTCCAGAAGTGCTGTGCAGGAGTCAAGGACTAGAGTCAAAAACCTTAGAAGTGTACCTGATATTCTACTAAATTGTAGCTGAGTGGGCACTCAAACCACAAGACACAGTCCTTCCCACTCTTCCCTTCCTTTTCCAAAGGCAGAGGAGCCTCAACCTGCAGCCACCACCACCCCAGGCCACAGGGAGTACTGCCAGACAACTATCGATGTTCCCTTAAGGCCCAACATCTCTTCAATCAGCTTGTGGTGAATGCTGCCTGGCCTGGAACTCACCCTGCAGGTCAGCAGGCTTCCCAATGGCCCAGGGTATGTCCAGAAAATGTCATCCAAGAGTCAAGTCCCAGAATCAGGAACCACAATAGCCCACTTGGTGCTCTACCCCACTGTGGTCTTGCTGGCACCTAAGGTGTAAGACAAAGTCCCTTTACTTTTCTCTCTGCTTTACTCAAGCAGGAGTCTCTCTCCATAGCCAACATAGCTGGCAATGTCCCGAGTCTCACCTGAAGCCATCAAGGTTCAGAGGCTCACCCAAGGCCTTTGATTAGCACCTAGGAATTACTGGTTATTCAGGGCCCAAGTTCTCTTCAGATAGCAGGTGATGAATGCTGTTAGCATTGGGTCCTTTCCCTTCTGGCCCAGGGTCTGTCTAGTAATGTCATATGGGAGCTAGGACTTGAAACAGGGGCCTCATGACTCTGATCATTGCCCTATCTTGCTGTAGCTGAGCTGGTATCCAAGATGCAAGACAAAACCCTTCCCACTCTTCCCTCTCCTCTGCTCAAGTAGAAAAAAGGGGTCTCCTTTGGAGCCTCAGGTTGTGCAGACTGGAGTTAGGGGAGGGGTGATGCCGACATTCCCTTGGCTGCCCCAGCTGGTGTCTCAGTATGTCACATGTCCCCCTAATCCACTGTCTCTGGGCCTAGTTCTGCACTAGGCCTCACCTAGGAGTTGCGGTCCTTATGACATAGACTGCCTTTCAGGTTTACTTGGAGACACAGAATGTTGTAGCCCTTGGTGGCGAGGTTCATGGGCACTCAAGTTAGGACTGCTGGGATCAGCGATTCCCCTGTGGCTAGGGGTGGTTTAAATGCTCCCTCCCCAGGCAGGCATCAGCTGAGTTTGGTGTGGTTTTCCTCTCTGCTCTAACAGGACAGCCCTGAGGTCAGTGCCTCACAATTACTGTGTTCTCCCTCCCCCAGCACTCAGAGGCACTCTCAGCACCATGCCTCTGCAGCCAGGGTTTGGGGAGGGACAGTGTCTGTGACTCATGACTGTTTTTTTCTATCTCTTCAGTGCCTCTTTTAGCAATATGAAATTAAAACCAGGTAAAATGAGTGCTCACCTGATTGTTCGTTCTATGAAGGTGTTCTTTTCTGTGTAGATAGTTGTTAACTTGTTGTCCTGGTAGGGGTGGGGAGTGGAGAAGGATTTGTGAAGCCTTCTATTCCACCATCTTTCTCCATCCTCTCCTCATTGCATGTCTTTTGTTTGTTTGGGGTTTTTTTCTTCGTTTGTTTTTGAGACAGAGTATCATTCTGCCACCCAGGCTAGAGTGCAGTGGCGCCATCTTGGCTTACTGCAACCTCTGCCTCCCAGGCTCAAGTGATCTTCCTACCTCAACCTTTTGAGTAGCTGAACTACAGGCATGCACCAACATGCCCAGCTAATTTTTGCATTTCTGATAGAGTTTGGGTTTCGCCATGTTGCCCAGGCTGGTCTTGAATGCCCGAGCTCAGATAATTCACCCGCTTTGGCCTACCAAAGTGCTAGGATTACAGGTGTCAGCTACCACACCCAGCCTCATTACGTGTTTTAAATTCGGTGGCCCTGCAACATCTGACCTCACTACCTGTTTTTACACTGAACATGATTTGTTCAATGACACAGGGCTCTCTAAAGGCTCCATATCCTGGACTTTTAACCTGAAATCAGTAAAATGAGAAACCAGAGACGGTACCCTGTAACTACAATTTGTACTGAGCCCAGGAATCTGTACCCCTTTCTCCTAATGCTTTCTCTGTTGAGTTCACACTTGCAACATCATCAGAACACCGAAGACACTGAGGATGAGGACTAGGTAATTCAAGATAATTTCTCTCCAGCACACAGCAGGGGCTCAACAAAGGGAGGGAAAACAAGAAAGATGAGTCCAGACGTGACTTTCACTCCCTGCCACTGGAGGAGGGGGTGTGTTGGGATATGGTGGGGGACCTTGAGGGATGGCAACAGGGAAAGTGCAATGACTTTAAAGTAAGGGCCGGTCACTGAGGGCCACAGAGAGGGCACAGGTGAGGGGAGGAGGCTTCAGTTGCCCCAGGGAAGGGACCTGGGGCCTGCCAGTGCCTTATTGACATCTCCTTGCTGGCTTGTCCTTAGGTCTATTTCTGTGACAGGGGTAACCTATTTCTCTCCCCATGATACATCGCCCCTTATGGCATACCCCAAATCCATGAAAACATGCACCTGAGTCTTGGCTTCACAGGCCCTTGGCCAGCCTTGGAGAACCTAGTGGAGCATGGCATCCGCCAGGAAGGTAGACATGTAGGTCATGGGGAGGTAGAGAAGCTTGGTGTCCCAGCCAGCTGTGTAGCAAGTGCAGGGGTGGCAGGCGGTCAGCACATGCTCCATGCAGTCAGTCACCAATGATAGATTTGTATTGCATTTTGACCAAAGGCTCCTAGGTGCTTTTCTGAGGCCTGTTCAGAATGAGAAAACATCCTTAATGTACTAGCACATCCCTCCCCTCCCATTTAGAGCTCTGAATTGGAAGGAGAGTGTCTAAGAATCCCTGGGCCCCTCAATGATATGCCTCAAGTCTAATCCACCCATATTCCCCAGGGAGTGCCCCAACCCTCACTGCAGCAAAACCTGTTCCACACTAAGCCCCCTCTGCCTCTCTTCCTGAGATATCTGGACTGCATAAATTGAAGGTCTCTACTAACAGCCTAAGAACATGAAAATCAGCTGTCTCTAAACCCAGCTGCCCATGAGCCCACAGGTGTCCACCCTCTCTGGCTTTAGTTTCCTCTTCAAAATAACGAGAGGTTCAGATTAGCCAGTGGTTTCAATTATAGGAGCTTCAATTCTTCTTTTAGGTGACCAGTTGACCACACAGCTAAATGGACTAAATGTCCTCACTTTGTTGGGGAGGCAGAGTTTGGAGGACAGATTCTCATACTGTTGGAGGCACTAATGATGGACCCAGACTTCTAGACAAGGATTTCTTTATCTCCCCACTGTCCACAGCTCACTCACGGGATATCAGAAACTTCTCCCCATACGTCTCCTTGACCTCGGGGCTGGCCTAGTCCGACAGCTCCTTGAGGTTCTGTAAATGCCTCTCAGAGCCGGCCATACTGGTCCTGAAGTGACCAGGTTCAATCACAGACACCTTCACTCCAAAGTGGGAGAGCTCCCTCCTGCATGGCAGACATGCAGAAGGGCAAGGACTTAAGAAATTTTGGGAGGCAAAATACAAAAAACAAAGAAACCCAATACAAACCCAGCATGCAACGACAGTGGGAGATGCAAGAAAGCTTGGAGAGTTGGGAAGGGCAGCAGATAGCAGATAAAAGTTATGATGGTGGCCTTGCCTCTCTCTGGGGTTTCCATATTTTACATACCAAAGCTTACTAGCCCTAAGTCCTACCAGTTCAAGAGCAAGGCAGCATCTCAGTGCTATCACCTCCTATGCCCCTCACATCCAATGGATCACCAGAATTCCCACATTCTACCTCCTCTGCAGTCCTCAGTCCCCTCCCTTCTTCTCCTGCCCCAGGAATCTCCCTGGCCTCTGAGCTGGGTGATGGCAGCTGTCCTCTAAGGAGCGTCCCTCTGCCTTCAGTCTGGCTCCCCACACTCACAGCCACTGGGCTCCCTGCAGTAAGTGGGTGTCTAGAAGCCGATTAGACCAAAGAGCTCCCCTGAGCAAATCCCTTTTTTGGGGGTTCCACTGCCAACAGTATGAGGCACAGCTCCTGTCCAGGGCCTCCACGAGCCCATATGCGCCCACCTGCCCAGCCTCCTCCACAGGCCTGGCCCTGTGCTTCACCTCATGAGGACCCCACAGCACAGGCAGGCAGCTGAGGCTCCCCCTAGGCCTGGGCTGAAGACAAAAGTCATTCCCCCATTTCTGTCCAAGGCTGCCAGGTGGGGATCCTCAATCTCCAGCTCAGACCCCATCTCCAGGAGCTTCCCCAATCCAGGAGGCTGCCATGGCCACCAGGGCTGACTGGGTCACAACCCCTTTGAGAACTGGCAACAATGGTTCTGGCTCTCTTGCTCCTCTCTCAGGTGTCAGAGCTTTTAGGTCAGGGCCAAAACCCTGTTGCTGTCCTGGGCTGAGTTTATTGGGCACTCATCCAAGGGCCTAAAAAGTCTGTTGTATGGACTAAGATGCTCACCCCATGTCTCCTAGGCTCCCTGCAACTGCATGTCACAGTGGCTTCATTCTGGGCTCTGGAGCCAAACATGTCAGTTCCAGTCTGCCTCAGACATTTTCTGCCTATGGGACCCCCTCAATAGGGTCAAAGGTGAGTTACAGGAACTGTTTGGTCTGGGGCCCCTCCCTCCCCAGAACATGGAGAAGCTGTTCCCAAGAAGTGGCTGGCTAAATCCATAAGGGCAACAGCACACACAGGATGAGAGAGAGGGATCTCAATAAGGGGCCTCTAAGGCTACAATTACATAAAACTACTGCAAATGGTTCCCACAGAAGAACAGGTGCAGGAGGATGAGGGAGGGCCCTGTCCCAGGCCAATACCAGAGGGAGTCGGAGAAGGCCTCCACGCTGTACTTGGAGATGCAGTAGCCTGCACCAAAAAGTGAAACCCGGCCTGCGATGCTGGAGAGGTTGACCATGCAGCCCCTGGCCTTCCTCATTAGGGCAGCAGGATCAGAGTCACATCAATCATCCCCAACAGGTTCATGTCCAGTTCCATCACAAAGTTGGTCACTTTGTGACCAACAGGTCACAAAGTCCTGTTCCATCAACTACTCATTGCAGCTGGAGGGCAGGCAGATGCCAGAGTTATTCACCAGGCCCCAGAGTCCTGGGATGGCCAGAAGATGAGAGCATCACTCTTGTGTTTGTGCAGGTGGACACAGTTAGGGTGCAAGTTCATTTTCTAGTTCAATGTATTTATTGAGTCAACAAGTGTGCTACATGGAATAAGGGAAAGGAGTGGAGGAGAGGAAACAAGGATGGGGAGGCTTCAGAGTTTCAAGGTTTGCACCCATTTCAAGGTATTGGGGGGTGAGGGGTGGTCCTTCCCATCTCTGCTCCTAGTGCCTGGCACCCAGCATGCAGTAAAGCCAATGCTGTGAAGTGCATGGACAGAACTTGAGAAAACAGAATGAGGGTCCAACAAATATCTCTCCAGGGGAGAGAGACAGAGACAGGAAATAGGAAGACAGGAATGGGCTAAGACAGAGAAACCAAGGGGAAAGGACAGAAGAGAAAAAGAAAAAGGAAAGAATAAGAAAAACACATGAGTAATTACTTTCTGCATCCTGTTTAGGAGAGATACACTTAAATCCTAAGACTAGGGGAAGTTAGAGAGCAGGCCTGCACTGGGCATCAGGGGACAAGCTGTGCTACAACCTGCATCAATGTCAAGGCAATATCTGTCCTGGAAGAAAAGGTCACCTTGTGTACCTGGGAATCCCAAAGCTCACTGTGGACTGAATGGCCAGAGCAGGAGGGGAGGAGGGAAAGAGGTCTCATGCCACACAGGTGTCCAGACTGCACTCTCTGCCCCAGGAAGTACCACCTTTTCCTCCCACCATCTCATAAGGCCACCTCTGCCCTATCCCCATAGGGTCCAGCAAGCTTTGGGGAAGACTCTACAGAAGACATAGGGGAGCAAACTAATAGCATGAAAGATCTGGAGTAGTCAGAGCTACAGAACTACGGACTCCAGGCCAGCAGGGGCAGGGGTGTGAGTGGGTGAGGGCTGGGGGGTACAGGAGACGGAGACTGACCCTAGGAATATTGGAAAAACAATAAGGCCTGCAATGGTGGCCCTTCCCCTACTCAGAAACCTTTCCTGGACTTGAAGGAATGAGGATTCTTTGATTCAATAGTTGTACTTTTCTTGAATAGCACTGCTAAGCCTGTCAACAAACCTTGGTAGAGAATCGCTACTGAGATGTTATTTATGCCAGGAAAAGTGGGTAACAAACTTCGGCATTCAACAATATAGAATCCCTTTAACAAATTATGGCCTCTCCACATGCTGGAATATGGAGACCTTGATTGTTATGTTGGGGAAGAAACTTGATGATGAAAATGCTGACCCCAGAATGTGTAAAGTAGAGGGAAATTAACCCTGGAGGCTGGGATTAGGGGGAATGTTGTTTCACTCTCATCCTCTTCTATGATTTCTCCAATGAGAAATCCTATCTTATCCTCCTATCTATCCAATCTTATCCTCTTCTATAATTTCTTCATGTTTTCCATTTACAATCAGAACAAAGCAATCAATGATCTCCCTTTCCCCAAAAGGAACAGGATTCATCACTCGGTGTTTGATGTGAAGTCCCTTCAGCTCTCCAAGCCCCAGTGTCCTCGTGAATCAAGCGGAGATCATCTTAAAGCCCTCAACAGGGACAAGTGTGAAGGAACCAGTAAGAGAATGCTGAGATCAGAAGCCTGGATCCTGCCCAGCCCCATCCCCGATGGTCTCATGCCAACCGTCAGGACCCAACGTTATCCAGAGACTGGGCTCTAACCACAGCCTGGACTCCTCTAACCCTGGGCCCAGCCACAACCACTCTAGGACTTCTGCTTTGGAAAACAGAAAGCTCAAGCCCCCGAAAATAAAAGTCCTGGAAATGTTCCCAGTTAGCAGACACTAGGTCTCCCCTAGTGACACAGAGAGAAGAGAAACAAACAGGCACTAGGAGGGATTGAGGTGGTCCCTCTGTCCCCCACACACTCCTTCACCCACTGGGCAGCTGCAGCAATGCTCTCTGTCTTGGTGATGTCCATGGTCACCGTCTCCAGCCTGTCTGAAGTCTGGCCCCTCAGCTGCTTGGTCCCCTTCTCTGTCCTACATGCAGCTCCCGCAAGCCTGTGCATTCAGTTGTCTGGCCAGTAGCTTCCTGAAGCGTGAGTCACAGCTCATGATGAACACGTACTTGTCTCTCAGGTGACTCACCACCTGCCTCTCCCAGTACCAGTGCAGAAGGTAGTATAGGCCCAGGAGGACCGCCAGGTAGAGCCACATGGCTTTGCAGAGGACAGACCCAGACGGGCTGGGGTGAAGTGAGAGTCTGGCCTCTGTTCAGACAGGAGGACTTAAGAACACAGAGGGCTGAGGTAGGCAGGGAAGCCCTCAGGCATTTTGGCAGAAAGTCCTCACTTTCCTCTCTGATCACTGTCTTTCTGCACCATTTTTTATCCTGGCTTCATCTCTCTGCTCTTTCAACTGCCTTTGCAGGTGTTCATGCATGCAACTGCAAACCCCAAGCTCTGCCCAGTGAGTAGTTATCACTACTCAGCAATGCTTCCCTAGTCCACCAATGCCTCTCTGCCTTGCTGTGCCTACTCAGGTGTCCACACAGGGGCCCACACACACACACCATGAAACACACCACTCTGATCTACAAACAAGGGTCAGAACTTGTCTCTACATATCTTGTGATATGGTTTGGATATTTGTGCCACCAAAATTGCATGTTGAAATGCGTTCCCCAATATTGGAGGCAGGAGCTGGTGGGAGGTGTTGGGTCATGGTAGTGGATCCCTCATGGCTTGGTGCTGTCCTGGAGACACTGGAATGAGTTGTGATGGGATCTGGTTGTTTAAAAGTGTGGCACCTCCCCAGCTCTCTCTTTCTTGCTCCCACTTGCCATGTGACAAATCAGCTCCCCCTTTGACTTCTGCAGTGATTATAAGCTTCCTGATGCCTCACCAGGAGCCAAGCAGATGCATGCTTGTACAGCCTGCAGAACCATGAGCCAATTAAACCTGTTTTCTTTATAAATTACCCAGTCTCAGGTATTTATTATAGCAACACAAGAACGGCCTAACACACATTGTATACCAACACTCCTGGACCATGGTCTCCCAGAAAACAGACTTTACTGGGAAGCTACACATGGTTTCCAGGCACATTCAGTGGAAATCCTGCTCTGAGCCTGAGTTTCCTCATCCCACCCAGCATCCAGAATCAATCACTCCCCAGAAAAGTAGGGCACGATCAGGCTCTCTAGGATGAGAAGGAGAAGGCAAAAAAGTGAACAAGAGCAAGTCCCCTCCTGCTACAGTAGTTTTCTGGGGCAGAAAGATGTGGAACACCCACAGGGAGAGTCCAACCTCACAGGTAAAGAAAGGGGAAAGAAGGGAATGGAGCCTTGGAACCCACAGGAAGGAAGTACCCAGGGCTGCTGGGAAGGGGAATGGAATGACTTATGCAGGTGTCACAGGGCTCACCTGCTCACCTCCTGATATGCCCTGGGTGCTGGCTCCACTGCCCTCTGCCCTCCCCTGTCAGGGCCCACATCCAGGATCTGGACCCCTCAGACACTGAGAGGCTAAAAACATTGCTCATTTGAACAAGGACAATGAGGATGGTGGTCCAAAACCTTGCCCAAGCAGGGAAGGATATGAACCCTAGTAACTGTAAAGGTATTACTTCAGTTTGTATCAGGGTGTTGATGGACAGGAGGGATCTCCTTCTCAGGAGACTACAGAAAGGGGTACAGACTGGACCTCTGCTGTCCATGGAGGGTCCCTCGGTGTGAGGTCGAGGAAACTATTTCATAACTGGTGGGCAGGATGTAGAGGGGCAGGGAGCTGGGGGAGTAGGTGTGGGACAGAATAATCCAGGGTTTATTTGCACTGGGCCTCTCTCCCACTGTCCATGTTTGCCCAATTTCTGTCCCCTAATTGAAGGAAGAAGTGGAGATGGACTGGGAGGGGGAAGGAGAGGTTTCCTGCAGAAACCAGAGGCTAGCAAAGAGCCGCGCGCCCCCTGGTGGTTCTTCTCTAGCCCTGCAGTCACGACGTGGGCATCGGCCTGGGATCAGCCAAGGCTCTTCAGCTCATCCCAATGGCCACTCTCTCCAGCATCGGGGAGCCCCCATATCTCCCTGCACGGATCCTCCAAGAAGGAGGGAAACAGCAAGACTGCTGGCTGGTAAGAGACTGGACTACTGTTAATTAAGCAACATGGATGGTGCCTTGAGTGTGCTGCATACTAGAGGTTTGACAGACTCGGAGCCCCTTGAGGGCTCCGAGACTGAGTCCAGTCATTTTTGTATTTCCAGCCCCGGCAGTGCTAGCTTCTAGCAGAGATGAAGGAATGTTGAGGTAGCTGACACTGCAACATCTGGCTTCGCTTTCCATTTTCATCACTATTTCTTACATCATGCGACAATATGAGATTTCCTAAAGCCTCCATTTTTCTCATCTTTATAACGAGGGAGGAGAATCAAGATGACTTTGTCAAGTCCTCCCATCTCCAATTTCAGGGAGTCTAAGAATCCATATGCCTTTATTAAAATGGTGAAAACTTAGAAAGATGGGGTCTTGGGAAGCACTGGAGAATTTCTGACCAGCATACATTAGGTGCTCAACAAAAGTTAACAGAAACGGAAGAAATCTGGAACCAACAAGAGACTTACCACATCTACAGAGAGGCTGGGGGAGGGGTGCAGATCAGGAGATGGGAGAGTGAGGGAGAAACAGAAGCTGGGAGAGATAGGAGACCAAAGGAAGGGGGAAGGGTGGCGGCATGCGGGGAGGCTGCTAGTGCTGTAGGCGGCAGAGGGATATTAATAGTACCTGGGGCCCTTCCAGTCTCTTATCAGTCTTTTCAAGCTTCCTCTTCCTTAGACTGATGTCACACCCTCCCTTCTCACACTTGGGAAATCACAGAGGAAACAGTTGTCCTTCATCTAGTGAAAGATAGGGAATGGGAAGCAAAGACATTCACTTTCCCCTTTTCAAATCCCTCCGAGATCATCCTACAAATCCCTCAGCCTTCATGAAGGAGACACCTCCTTCCTCATGCAAGAAATTTCCTAGAATTCCCAGGGCTGAGTCAGCTCCACACAAGTGGATACCCAACATTGCTGTTTTTATCCTGACCCCAGTCTAGCAGAAGCTCTCCAAGGGTCATTTTTTTTTAAAGCTTTTGGACATCATGGGCCCCTTCGAGAATCTAAGGAAGGTTATAAGCCCCCCACATAACACAACAATCAAAAACTTGCTTATACTTTTCATACAGTTCACACCTAAAACCATTAGCTGCATGGAATCCAGCTCAAGAATCCTTGTAATATGGGCTTATTGACCTACTAGCTGTGTGACTGGGGCAAGTTATTTAAAGTTTCTGTGCTTCAGTTTCCTTGTCGATGGTAGTACCCACTCCATGAAGTTGTTATGAGGATTAAATGAGGTGATATGGATAAAGCCCCTTACAACTGTGTCTAGCCAATGGTGCGTATTCAATAAACATCAGCTGTTACTATTACTACATTTCTCTGTGGTAATTCATAGTGACATTTGGGAATGTTCCCACCCTTCTATGTAAAAAACACAACCCAAGACAGCCAAATAAAAGAGGAGGCTCATGTTGATCTAATTCAGAGAGGAAAAAAATGGCTGGTGGTAATAGGACTAGAGAGGTCTCTCAGTGTCAATTCCACAAGATGGGATTCCTTTTTCCTTATCCCCATGAAGTGGAAAAGGAGCATGCTTGTATATATTATCTCATGTATCCCATATAATAACCTGTAAGGGAAGCATCATTATCCTCACTTTACATATTAAGAAACTGACATTAAACTCCTATCTCTCACCAGACACAAAAATCAACTCAAGATGGATTAAAGACTTACATATAAGACCCAAAACTATTATTAAATTATTAGAAGAAAATCTAGTATTGCAGGAAAAATCTACTATCTAGTATAAGGAAAAGTCTCCTGGACATTGGACTAGGCAAAGAATTTATGACTAAGATCTCAGAAGCACAGGCAACAAAAACAAAAATAAACAACTGGGACTTAACTAAACTAAAAAGCTCTGCACAACAAAAGAAATAAGCAACAGAATGAACAACCCGCAGAACTGGAGAAAATATTTGTAAACTATTCATCTGACAGGGGAGATATCCAAAATATACAAAGAACTCGAGCAAGAAAAAAAAAAACCCCACAAATAATCCCACTAAAATGTGGGCAAATGACATGAATAGACATTTTTCAAAAGAAGACATTTTTCAAAAGACATTTTTCAAATGGCCAACAGATATATGAAAAAATGCTCAACATCACTAATCATCAGAGGAATGCAAATAAAAACCATGACGCGATATCATCGTACCCCAGTCAGAATGGCTATTATTAAAAAGATAAAAAAAAAAACAGATGTTGGCAAGAATGTGGAGCACAGAGAACTCTTAGACATTGCTGGTGGGAATGTGAACTAGTACAACTTCTATGGAAAACAGTATGCAGATTTTTCAAAAAACTAAAAGTAGAACTGCCATTCGACCCAGCAATCCCACTACTGGGTATTTACTCAAAGGGGAAGAAATCAGTACATTAAAAAGACACCTGCACTAGTATGTTTATCACAGCCCTATTCACAATAGCAAAGACATGGAATCAACCTAAGTGTCCATCAACGAATAAAAGGATAAAGAAAATGTGGTATATATACACAATGGAATACTATTTGGCCATAAAAAGGAATGAAATTATGTCTTTTGCAGCAATGTGGATGGAACTGGAGATCATTATTTTAAGTAAAACAATCGAGGCACAGAAAATCAAATATTGCATGTTCTCACTCATAATGTGAGTGCTAAAAGATGTGTACACATGGATGTGGAGAGTGAAATGGTAAACAGTGAAAACTTGGAAGGAAGAGGGAATGGGAGAGGAGTGGATGATGAGAAATTAGTCAATGGGTACAATGCATGTTATGCTTGTGGTGGATACCCTAAAAGCCCTGGCTTGACCAACATGCAACCTATTCATGTAACAAAACTGCACATGTACCACATCAATCTGTACAAATAAATATTTAAAAACAAAAAACAAAAGAAAAGAAACTGAGATTCAGAAAGGTTAAGTGACCTGCCCAAGATCACACAGCTACCAAGTGGTGGAAAAAAGTGTCAAAAACAGGTCTGACTCAAAAACTGGTGTTATCTCCACAGTGTCTCGTGAAGGGCCGGTGAAGAGGGAAGAACTGAGCAGAGAGAGCCAAGGACAGGGTAGTGGGGCACAGGCTTTGAGGAGCCTGGAAAGCTCCTAATCTGGTACTTCTGGGCAAACCAGATTCCTCTCTAGCTTGGGGAAGCTGGTGGCAGGAGGGCAGAACAACCTCCACGACTAGACTTGGCTTCCTGACTCAGTGGCCTTCTGGAAGTTCACACTGTGGACGCGAGTGCAATTACTGCCAAATCCCTCAGCCTTAACCTGTCCACAAAGCACCTGCCTCCACCCCATAAGCCAGGCACGTGGGTTGATCCCTGGGACAGCCTGCCTCACCCCTTCTGCCAGGGTCCAAGCACAGCCCTTTGCCTAACCTGACCCTGGAAAGTCGTCTGCCTTTATCTCTGCCTCCCAATACCTCCTCCCTGGTACCTTCCTTCCTTTCTGATTGTTGATCGCAAAATCTTGTCTACACTTTTTTGGGGAAAAAAAGTGGGGCGGGGAGGAAAAAGAGTAAATTTCCAGGAATTGTTTCACTGCTGCTGTTTCTGCTGCATAGGGCAAAGCTGCTGGCCTGCTCCTTTTGCCCAGGTTGGCGAGGAGCCTGGCCTCCTGCTCCTCCCTCTTTCTCTTCCTCCCAGTCTCTCTCTTTCCAGCTGCACCCCACCCCCTAAAAAGCCCCACATGAAAACTGCAGAGCTATCACTTATTTCTTCCTGAGGGAGGAGCTTTCCCTCTGAGCCTCTGCCAGAAGGAACCACCATCACTTCCTCTTTCTACAAATACACATTGGGTGACAGGAATAGGTGGGAGAAGGCAGCAGGTAGAGGTGAGGCTGCAGGGGGGATGTCTCCATATGGGAAGGACAATTCAGAGACCCAGGAGACAGGAGCCACTAAAGGGCAGTCTTGTGAGGAACGGAAGTGGTCACAGATGTGGCCATCTGGAGAGGACAAAGACCAGACCAGGGCCTTCCTTGGAGGGTGCTTGATCTAGGACAGGCTTCATTTGCATGGGTCAAAAGCATGTAGTGGGAAGGGGAAATTCTCAGAAGGCTCCTTACTGAAGAAAAATATCAATGGGATAGAAACTAAGACCCTAAAGGGAGAGAATAAGAGCAAAACTAACTGAAAAATCGAAGTAAGCCACATTTCACACTGTCATGGTTCATCATGATGGTTTTTTGTTTTTGTTTTGTTTTGTTTTTTTGAGACAGAGTCTCACTCCACGGCCCAGGCTGGAGTGCAGTGGCGTGATCTCAGCTCACTGCAACCTCCGCCTCCTGGGTTCAAGAGATTCTCCTGCCTAAGCCTACTGTGTAGCTGGGATTACAGGCATGCACCACCACGCCTGGAATTTTTGCATTTTTAGTAGAGACAAGGTTTTACCATGTTGGCCAGGCTGGTCTCGAATTCCTGACCTCAGGTGATACACCTGTCTCAGCCTCCCAAAGTGCCAAGATTACAAGCATGAGCCACCTAGCCTAGCCCATTATTTTTTTTTTTTTTTTTTTTTTTTAGGAGATGGGATCTAGCTCTCTAGATCCCATCACCCAGGCTTCAGTGCAGCAGGGTGATCATGGCTCACTGCAGCCTTGAATTCCTAGTCTCAAGCGATCCTCCCACCTCGGCCTCCCAAATACAGACTGTACCACCACAACTGGCTATTTTATTTTTTGTAGAGATGGGGGTCTCATCTTGTTGCCCAGGCTGGTCTCAAACTCCTGGGCTCAAGCAGTCTTCCCACTTCGGCCTCCCAAAATGCTGGGATTACTGGTGTGAGCTACTGCACCGGCCATGATAGATTTTGTGATCTTGGAGTGATCTGATATGTAAGTGGAAGGTTTAAGAAAACTACAAAACTACAAAATGAAAAATATTCCCTTCCATGGAGATAAATGGTGCTGATGGTTGCACAGCAGTGTAAATGCACTTAGCGCCACTGAATTGTACACTTAAAAATGGTTAACGTGGTAAACCTTACATATATTTTACCATAATAAAAGAATCAGTGAGCAAACTTTTAAAAAATGTTCTCTTTGAGTGGATAAAGAAAATGTGGTGTGTGTGTGTGTATATATATATATATATATATGGGAATATTACTCAGCCATGAAAGGAAATGAAGTACGGATGCATGCTCCAAAGTGAATGAACCTTGAAAACATGCTAAGTGGAAAAAAAAAAACACAGACACTGAATGTCACATATGATATGGTTCCCTTTCTATTAAGTATCCAGAATAGGTAAATCCACAGGGACAGGAAGCAGAAGGTTGGTGGTGGGGGGAATAGGATTGACTGCTTAATGGTTATGGGGTTTTCTTTGCGGGTAATGAAGATGTTTAGCACGTAGACAGAGGTGGTGTTTGCACAATGTGCATGTCTAAATGCCATTAAATCACACATTTTAAAATGGTTAATTTTATGCTATGGGAATTTCACCTCGACTTAATATATACTCAATCCCGTCCAGCCGACACACCTTTGGCTCAGGCCTAGGCCACTCTGCCATCTGCCAAGTGTGGCTTGTGTAACAGACAACTTCTCTGGGCCTCAAAGAGGGTGAAGAAATCCATCCTCCCCACAGGGGTATCTCCAGAATCCAACGAGATGAAGTGAGGTGAAAGCGCTCTGAAGGGCAGGAAGCTCTGCTGACACAAAATGTTTACCCATAACACGTGGCTTAGAGTCCCTTACCCTCTAGCTTGGCGGGAGAGAGAAGTCTGCTCTCCCTACCCCACGCCCCATCCCCTGCTCATCCCCTGCCAGCCACCCACCACACCCTTCACGCAGAGAAGTATAGAGCCACAGGGGGAGGGCGCCATTCTCTCTCTCCCTCCCTACTCAGGAATCTCCCTGAAGCTTTGACAAAGCCCCCTTGACACCCCGCATTCAATCTTATTTTTATTTTTTTTTATTAACTCTGTCACCTAGGCTGGAGTGCAGTGACCTGATCTCAGCTCACTGCAACCTCCGCCTCCTGGGCTCAAGCGATTCTCCTGCCTCAGCCTCTCAAAATGCTGGAATTACAGGCGTGAGCCACCATGCCCAGCCATTCAATCTTTTCTTTCCCAGATTCTCACCTCCAATCACAAGATGAAGGCAGGGAGCTCACAGCCCTGTGAGGGGCTGGGGAGAATGGCAGGGGTGGGCCAGAGTTATTAAAAGCCCAACTGATGTTCAGATTTATTTTGACCCTCCCCTATACCCCCACATCCAATTTCACTCTAGTAGGAATCAAGACAGGGGAGAGAGGGATTCCAAGCTGACTTAGGGAGAGGAAAATACATACATACGTAAAGCATTTGCCACAGGCCCCACCTGAGCTAAGCACTTTCCCTCCCTCAACAGCTCCTTTAATTCTCAAAGCATCCCTTTTAGTAGATAATAGACCCCACTTTGCAGAGGAGAGCACTGAGGCTGAGGAAAGAGGTAAATTCATTCAGCGGGTGAGGGAGGAGCTGGGATTTTAATGCTGGCAGTATGACCTCCCCGCCACTGGCACACCGGGTCTTTTGCTGGGACATCCCCTGTAACCGGATTGGGGGAATGCAGGAAAAACCCCATCCCTCCCTACAGAGCCTCAGCAGTGACAGCTACTTCCCGGATGAGAAGGGCGGCCGTGAAGCCAGCAGGGAAGCCAGCCCCACAGCCAAGGGCCCCCCAGCCTCCTCACAGCTCCCCATAGCCTGGACCTGCCGGCCCTCCCTCCAGGACCGAGGGGCTCCCAAGGGAAACTCAGGTGAGTGTCGCCCTCTCCCAGGGAAGATGGGAATCAGGGCTTGGAGACAACTGGCTATCCTGCATGATCCACAGGTTTTCCTAGGGATGAATCAGATTGTGTGGTGTGCGTGTGTGTGTGTGTGTTCCACACTCACGGTCCAAATAACAAGACAGAAAAAGAGCAATAAAGATCTGTGCAAAAGGGCTGAGGAATGAAGTGCCAGGAGAGAGGTGGAGGTTGGAGACCACCTAGGAATGGTGGGTGTGGGGGGATTGAGGGGGTTGTTGAGGGGGAACTGGCTGGGGGTGGGGAGAAATGTTGGTGGACACCAACAGTCCTGGCCTCTTCCAGCTGAAACCCCTTAAGAAAGTATCTCTGCTCTTGGGTCAGAGCTAGCAAGTGAGTTGTGTATTATTTATTCACAGTTTGAAAGCTAAACTTCCCTTTCTTGCCTTAGCCCCAGAATCTTTCCCCAAAGCCCCCGACTCCCTCTGGCCTCTACCTTGAGGACACAAGGCTCTCGAGGTCTGCTTTCCCTTCCAACCCTCCCTTCATCCCAATAGGCGTGTGCTGGTCCCAATGTCAGTGAAACCCAGCTGGGGGCCTGGCCCCTCGGAGGGGGTCACCGCAGTGCCTACCAGTGACCTTGGAGAGATCCACAACTGGACCGAGCTGCTTGACCTCTTCAACCACACTTTGTCTGAGTGCCACGTGGAGCTCAGCCAGAGCACCAAGCGCGTGGTCCTCTTTGCCCTCTACCTGGCCATGTTTGTGGTTGGGCTGGTGGAGAACCTCCTGGTGATATGCGTCAACTGGCGCGGCTCAGGCCGGGCAGGGCTGATGAACCTCTACATCCTCAACATGGCCATCGCGGACCTGGGCATTGTCCTGTCTCTGCCCGTGTGGATGCTGGAGGTCACGCTGGACTACACCTGGCTCTGGGGCAGCTTCTCCTGCCGCTTCACTCACTACTTCTACTTTGTCAACATGTATAGCAGCATCTTCTTCCTGGTGTGCCTCAGTGTCGACCGCTATGTCACCCTCACCAGCGCCTCCCCCTCCTGGCAGCGTTACCAGCACCGAGTGCGGCGGGCCATGTGTGCAGGCATCTGGGTCCTCTCGGCCATCATCCCGCTGCCTGAGGTGGTCCACATCCAGCTGGTGGAGGGCCCTGAGCCCATGTGCCTCTTCATGGCACCTTTTGAAACGTACAGCACCTGGGCCCTGGCGGTGGCCCTGTCCACCACCATCCTGGGCTTCCTGCTGCCCTTCCCTCTCATCACAGTCTTCAATGTGCTGACAGCCTGCCGGCTGCGGCAGCCAGGACAACCCAAGAGCCGGCGCCACTGCCTGCTGCTGTGCGCCTACGTGGCCGTCTTTGTCATGTGCTGGCTGCCCTATCATGTGACCCTGCTGCTGCTCACACTGCATGGGACCCACATCTCCCTCCACTGCCACCTGGTCCACCTGCTCTACTTCTTCTATGATGTCATTGACTGCTTCTCCATGCTGCACTGTGTCATCAACCCCATCCTTTACAACTTTCTCAGCCCACACTTCCGGGGCCGGCTCCTGAATGCTGTAGTCCATTACCTTCCTAAGGACCAGACCAAGGCGGGCACATGCGCCTCCTCTTCCTCCTGTTCCACCCAGCATTCCATCATCATCACCAAGGGTGATAGCCAGCCTGCTGCAGCAGCCCCCCACCCTGAGCCAAGCCTGAGCTTTCAGGCACACCATTTGCTTCCAAATACTTCCCCCATCTCTCCCACTCAGCCTCTTACACCCAGCTGAGGTAGAGGCCAGACTCCTCCAACAGTGAAGGAAAAGGCACAGGTGAGAGTATAGGTGGGAGATTTGGGGGGATGTAGAGGGGAGGGTCAAAGCACTCGTGGTCAATTTTGAATCTATCTTAAAATACTGAGGTGTGGAGAGAGAGACAGGATCAGGAGCGATAGAGAGCAGGCCCTCAGTGTTGTACTATTTGTCTCGGTCCTTGTGTCTAAGGAGCAATGCAGAAAAAAAGGTGAAATAAATGGAAGAGATAGCCATGGACTCTGGATCTTTTAAAAATCTGCACTTCCAGCTGGGATTGGGAAGGGAGCTGAGGCTAAAGAGGTGCTCGGCAGAGGAAACTAGACACATTCATTTCATAAATCACTCTGGCTGGAAACAGTGAACTCTGCAGGAACCTCACAAAACTCCTTTTGCGTTTGTGAGCTTGTTGATCTTCCAGCTCACTATGCAGGTTATGGGGACAAGAGGCCAGAGGCCAAGGAACCAGGCGGCCCCAGCAGGACGTTCCCTAGCTGTGCATCCTATGCACAGCCATGATAAGTGAAGGCGGATGGGGATGGCAGGGGTGGGGGCGAAGCCAAGGTCTGAGACCTGCACCCTGCAGCTGGGTCAGCAGGATGGTATCTCCACCCGCGGCCATCCAGGAAACACAGCTCCATTTCCTTGCTGACACCCTCCCCTCCCCGTTGTCCATCCTGCTCCCTCCCCACAAGCAAGAGGAGTTGTCCCAGAGTCAGCTCCTCATAGCTGACCTCTTACCAGCTTCGGATCTAGGAAACTTCCAGACTTCTAGGGAGACACAGAGCTACCAGAAAGCCCAACCCACCCCCATCTCTTTCTCTCCAGATCATAGGAAAGTATCAAGGGATGTCATTCCGGGAGCAGCCCTTGGGACAGCCAGCAGCAGGTGCTGGCAGATGCTCTGTCCTTCACCCTCTGTCCCCGGCACCAGATGGGGAAGGCCACAGTGGAAACTTCTCAATTCCGTCACAGGGCAGAGCTCTGACACTGTTATAAGTCAGTTCTCCCTGGCCATGTCTTTTCCTAATTTTCCTGTCCCACAACTTAGGTTCCTTAACACTTGTTCTACAGATGAAACAAAAAAGTCCTCTGTTAACAAGTAGACCTTCTGGAAAAGGATCACTTATGTTTGGGAGACTAGGACCCTGTCCATGAAGAACTCTGAAGTAAAGGCCTAAGAACAGGATCTAGTTTCCGCCTTCCAATTCCACGTCCTTTGCCTCTTAATCCTGCCCGTGGTAAGGGGACTGGATGGAATCACTGATAGCCTCTTCACCATCTCCTCTGTCCTGCTTAAGTGCTCCATGTGTCTGGAATGTTTAACTTGGAGTAACTACTCACTGACTTGGAGACCACCTGTTCTACTTTGAGAAATCAGAACTGTTCTGTGGATGCACTGACAGCGTGCTCCAACTGCATATGCACCCAGGTTTGTCAGGAGCATGGAAGGAAACCTGCATCTCCCTGTTTACTGGGCCCAAACCTGAAAGGGTCTTAAGCTGCAGACAGCTTCTCAGTAGCACAGAGCTGAAGGCTTTTTGAACCAGGAGTCTGGGTTGTGGCTTGGGTCGCAGTAAGGGCTTAGCCTATCAATGCAGAATTCACATTGAAAAAGACTTTCCTCTCTTGTCCCAACACAAAAAAGCAAGCCAAGATCTGATGCCCATATCACTGCCTCCTCTGACTTGGGCTACAGGAGTTTCCTGAAGGAAACCAAATTTTACATCTCTGTCACATTCCAGATCACCTTAGAGGCCACGCTCCCAAGATTAGTTATCACCCTGGCAGTATGAATACTTCCCTAAGGCCTCCCATCCATGGAGGGGAAGAGTGGGAACCAGCTGTTACACTCAGCATCTACTGAGCACTGATGGGAGCCCTGCCTGGGCCATGTGCTGTGGGGCCAAATGGACATCACTCCCTAACTTCTTGAGGTCTGTCTCCTCTGTGGATTCACGCATGTATCAACCTCATTAAACTATGCCAAACTTTTGCCTCCTCCCTGTTTCAATCTGCCTCGCTCCACTCAAAGACACACCATGTCCCCGCAAATCAAATGGCATTGGCAAGACAAACTGTAGCCAAATCTCTCACTTAGTAACGTTAGTCCAACTAGACACGGGCAGGGACCCACCACTCTCTCTGGGCTGACGGAGGATCCTCTCAGGGATACCCCCTGAAAAGTTTGAGTCTTTGACTTAATTTCCCACTAAAAACAGGTCAACAAGTTAATCCTGGGGAATTCCAGCTACAGGAAAGGAAAATGTGCTACCTGAAAGAATTCTGGCATCTGCTGGGCAGAAATGTGCTGCTGAAAGGGTGATGAGCCCAGATATTCTGAACTCCAGGTATGAGCATATTCATAGTAGGTAGGAAGAGAACTCTCATTTCAAATTTCTTTTTTTATTCTAAATAAAAACCACACTTTGTGCTGAACAATGGAATATAAAAGAATCAGATGTACAATGATTTTAGACATCTACTATTTGGGGAAAAAAGTTTACAAAATATACAAAACTTTACAGCAATAGATAGTAAACACTTAAATATTAGGAGGTCAGTACTTATTAATTTAATGGAAGGAGTTAGACGTCAACAACTCTTCTCTGTTTCATAAGAGACTTTAGCTATTCAAGGTGGGGGCGGCGAGTGGATTGGACAGGGGAAGGGTTTTAAAGAAACATCAAAATCGAGTTTCATTTTCATTCTGATGTTAAGCTTATGATGCATAACCACATTGAAACTAATGCTGTGCACCCTGCCTCCTGACTCATTTGGTGCAGGATTTAGGGAAAAGAGTCCCAGATGGGTGCAGACCACCCCATAGAGCCCACTCCCATACCAATAAATACAGTGTCTATCTAGAATTTGCTTTGGAAGTTAAGCAGTCTTGGGCTTGGGGAAAGGGGCACAGAAGGAGGCCAGAGGAAGAAGAAAATTCAACACTAGCAAAAACCTGTCTAGGAAAAAGATATTTAAGCCCAAAGGTTTGGCCTGGAGACAAACAGGTACTCACAGATCAGAAAAGCAGAATATAAAAAAAAACTTTTACCCATCTCCTGGTTCTTAGGGGTCACCTGGGCCTGACCCTTATCCCACCTCCTTTCTTCCTAACTAGCCATGGACTACGGGAACTCCATGGAGTCATAAAATTTAGGACCAAATACTAAGGTTCAGCAGAGCTTCCTAGCGGGTGCTGTGGCATCAGTGAGTCACCCAGTGGGTCACTGGAGTGCCAGGATACTAATCTCTGCCTCTGGCCACATGGAGCCTCTGCTGTTTAACCCCGGGTGCCACACAAGTATTACCATTTTCCCCTCGGAAAACAAGTTGGGAATGGCCTCATATTTGGTTTAATGCTCTATGACCACCACCTTGAAATTTTTAATAATTTATGAATAAGAGGGCTCCACAAATGATGTAGCTGGTCCTGAGTACATACCAAGAAAATGGGAGAAGAGGATGTTCAAGGCTTAAACAGAACTTCAGAGTAACACAGAAGAGAGTAGTAAACTAGGTTCCAGGAGAGAGGGAGCAACAAAATCAAATGAACAGAAAGTCAAAACAATTAAAAATGCAAAATAAAATGAATACCTTCTACCAGGTATCCCAGGGTGCCCTCTGCCACAATATAGTGTTTCAAGCAAAACCATTCAGAAGAGGGTGAGCTGGAGGCAGAGGAAGCAGACATGACTTTGGTGGGGTGGGGGGAAACGGGAAGTTCAGGTGTGAATACAGGGGTCACCAACAGGGAGAGGGTTTGGTCAACAAATCTCATGAGCTACTGATCCTATGACGTATCTGACTGGGACCAACTGAGCCACCCTGATCAATCTGATCAGCCCCCGGGGGATCAGGGGATGCAGTTTTCTGTTTCGTGTTTCAAGGGCCAAGTTTCAAGGATCTGCTTTTTGGTTTACTGGCAAAAAGGGAAAACTTCACAGTTTCAGGTTAAGTACACAGACCACCCAGCATCCATGATGCCCTCTGTTAAGGAAAAAGGTTTCTCCAGCACATTTATCTGCTCTCAGCCACTCGGCTGGTTCCTGTAATTACCACCTCTCTCACACCAGCATTTCAAAAATCAGTCCTCACCAACAGTCTGGGAGGGATTGCTCATGCTTGAAAATGTAGCAGACACTTGACTGTAGTCTGTTACACATTTCCTTCTTAAATTCTAATGGTCAGTGTGAGTAAGAAAGGGAGAAGCCAGTCAGCAATGAAGAGTCTCAACACTGCTTTCCTGATGAGGATGTCCTCAGAGGACACTGAACAAGGTGGGTTTAGATGGTCAAAGGTGGACCTTTAAACTGGCCACTGTACAAGTCCCTTCATCTAATGGTCACCCCACCAGAGAGCCAGGCACTCCAACTCTGAGGCTTTATCAGTTCAGGGCTGGGGAGAAGCAGCAGGTCCAACAAGGATGGAGCTTTGGTTTGTCTGACATCTCAATATAAATAAAGACAGGAGGCTTCCAAACTGTGCAAATAGGTCATTCATGTCACTTGTTCCCCTCAACCCTGTCCCCAATCTACTCCATCACAGGAAGGAAGGGGGATGAAAGGCCTGGAATTTAACTGTCCCGAACTTTATAGAACATACACCCATGGCCTAAAGTGTTCCCTGGGTTTATTATGCTAGAGACAATCTGGAGAAGAAGAATTTGCTTAAGGGCTTGACATGTCTTCCCTTAGTTATACCCCTGGTTCTCCACATCTCTGGTCAAGGCTGTTCTCTGGAATATGGCTACTTGCTGGGGAGAAACTCATTTTCCTAAAGTCTCTTATACAAAAGAGATGCTGGGTAATGTGTATACAAAAACAAAAATAAATAAATATTAATGTCCAAAAAGGCTTTGTGAGTTAATGAAAACCACTTGCTTGTGAAACAGCCCGGGGTGTTGCTGAATCCCACCAGGGGCAGTGCCAGGGCTGAGGCCAGGGACTCCCAGAGCTCACCTGAGCAGGGTGAGGTAGTATGAGCTACTGAGGTGGCACCTCACAAGTATGCAAGATCGAGGGCCCTATCCCTCAAGACTTCTTTGGGCAAAGCCCCTTAGAAAACCAAGTAAGAGTGGAGCTAACCAGCTGCGTGGGCTGTGCCGGCACACTCTGCAGCCACCCACGGAGGGCCTGAACCAGCTGCCATCCAATAGCGCCCCCTGGAGGTGATGGCAACGACAGATCAGGATAAATTCCAGCAGGTCAAAGGTGAGCTGACAAAGCTCCGGCACTGTTAGCACAAAGTAAACAGGTTACCCGACTAGGACAGACAGTCAGAACGCACACCCTGCTACACACCACCAGTTACTCAGGTCCCTTTAATCCTGAAGGGCTCGCGGTCTGCCACTCCACCACTTCATGGAGTCAGCTCATCTACACCACGGGCCAAACACTTCTGGACGGGAGACCAGATATAAATTAAGGCAAGGCTGCTGCTGTCAGATACATCCCCACCTCTCCACCAAGACACTCATGGCCAACAGAAGTGGCCAAAACAGATGACTATATCAAAGTGGTTCCCTATCCTCTCTGCCCCACAGAAGGCCGGACGTCCCGGGCCATCACTCCATAAAATCCTGTTTCTTTGGAAATGAGGAGAAAAGAGAAACCTCTCCTGTCCATCCAGGCTGCCACTTCTGGTGGCACTGCAGGACACCCCTTCTGGCTGGCAGGGGTTCATCCCAAAGCTTTCTGACCTAAATAGAAAGCTCTGTGCCTAGTATGGATCTAGCTGCCAAAAGATTTTCACTGTTCAATCAGCAGATTAGGGCTGTAGATAAGCAGACACCAACATCCCTGATGTCTTGTCCCTGCTGAGGGCTGGAACCTGAGGGGACTGCCCTGCTGACCTGTCTTTTCTGAATGATCACATTCCCAAAATCTTTCTCATTGCTGGTCATCCCAGTTGGAGGCCTGCAGTAACACCCACAGTGAAAACCTCCCTTTACCTCCTCTGTTAAGTGAGGCTGTTGGTTGGATTCTTAGCAGCATAAAACCTATCAGTAAACTAAAACTAGAGAGGCTGGGGAAGGGGGTCTAGTGGACACCAACTGCTTGACTAGATCCCAAAACCAGCCTCAAAAGAATGAAAAACATAGCCCTGCATGGGCAAGAACAGGTATGGAGGTAAATGTGATAGGGCTGTTGCTTCTCAACAACAGTAACAGCTTATGTGCTATTTCTTCTTCTTTTCTTCTTTAAACACAACACAGAACAGAATTCCTACCAAGGCAAAATTATAACTTCAGCTGGGGAGGGACCAACACCTCTTAGATATCAGCATCCTGGCTGCTGCTTGGGAGCTCCCCGTGGCTCTGCCGGGACCCAGTCAACTGTCCGGGTTCTTATCCGCCTCTTTGGAATGGATGATGTACATGAAGGTCTGCTCGATGGTGAAGTCAGGGGGGAGGCTGCCTTTGTGCACACCAACATGTTTGCTCATGAGGTTAAGGGTGGAACTGTAGTGCCCACAGACTGTGCAGCGGTACATGAGGGCCCCCGAGTGTGTCTTTAGGTGGCACTTGATGGTCGAGCGGCCTCGAAAGAACTTGTGGCACACCTTACATTGGTATGGCTTCTCCCCCGTGTGGATCCGCCGGTGGTAGTTGAATTCGCTTGTGTGGGCAAATCTTTTGCCACAGACCTTGCAGCTATACTTGCTGTTCCCAGGTTGGCCCTGCAGCGCCAGCTCTTCACCCAGAAACTCCTCTGCTGGCAGCTTCCGCTTCTGGAGAGCTGGGTGCTGCAGCCCAAAACCAGGCCGTGCATCAAGGCCACTGTTGCATTTGTGCTGGCTGACGTGGTAGCGATAGGCAGCCTCTGACTTGAAGCTCTGGCTGCACAAGCGGCAGTGGAAGAGGGCGTCTTCCAGACTTTGGTGCACAGCCATGTGCTTCTCTAGAAGATGCCAGTCCACAAAGCTGTTCGCACAGACAGAACAGGAGAAGACTGAGATGCCGAGATGGGACAGCGTGTGCCACATGAGGCTGCAGAGGTTAAGGTGACGCTGGTCGCAGACACTGCAGGCCTGGCCCTTCAAGTTTAGATGGTCAAGGATGTGGCCCCGGACCACATGGAAATCTTTGGCCAATACTTTCCCACAGGCAGCGCATTTCAGCTCTGGGGAGGCTGCCCCTGAAAAGAGACCCAGCTTCCCTGGCAGGGGATCGTTGGGGTGGACAATGATGTTGTTCTCAAATATTCCATCCCGTCGGTGAAGGGTCAGCTGCCACTGGGTAAAGAACTTAGTTTCACACATGTCGCAGGAGAAAAGGAAAATACCAATGTGGGACAGGACATGAGTTACCCGGGAGTTTCGGTCCTGGAAGTGGGTCTCGCAGACCTTGCAGTTGCCCGTCAGCAGGTCCACATGGTCCCGAGCATGCTGCCGGATCAGTTGAATGTTGGGCTCTAGAACTTTCTTGCACACCTGGCAGGGCATGGCCTTATTCTCCCGATTGTCATTCTCTCCAAAAGCCAACTCATCCTCACTGTCATCACTCAGCTCAATCACCTCCTCAGTTGTGCCTATATCCTCAGCAGGGTCTTCAAACTGCAAGTCATCATCCCCCAGGTCCTCGAGCTGGAGCTCATCCATCTGCCCAAAGCCAGGATCTTTGGAGTGCTCACTATTGCTCAGACAGGAGTTGGTCCCAGTGGTAATGTCTACTGCATTGTCAGGGGTGAGGAAGCTGTTTTTACTGAAGTCTCCATTGCTTTGAACTTTGTATGGCTGGCAGGAGCTCGTGCTGGTCTGGATGCCCGTGCTGACAGTGCCTAGGAGTGGCTGGGTCATCATGCTAGGAATGGACGTGAAGGGAGCAGGGGTGTCATGGTCTTCTGTCTTTGGC
This sequence comes from Homo sapiens, assembly GCF_000001405.40. NCBI lineage: Eukaryota > Metazoa > Chordata > Mammalia > Primates > Hominidae > Homo > Homo sapiens. The sequence continues at coordinate 57,004,301 of NC_000012.12, forward strand.
GGTGGTGGGGGCGGTTGCGGCAGATGCAGGCTATGGTTAGCGTCACTGGCAACATTCTTCTCTTCCTCTTTATAGCTCCCTCCAGCATCACTGGGCAACACATAGTTTCTATCAGCACCAAGGTAGTCCCCACCACCTCGGAGTTCTCCAAGGGGATGGGCAGGTTCTGCCGAAGGACAACTCAGGGTACCAGAGTGGCTCTCACTGGTGCTGGTCAGGGGCTTGGCCCTGGCAGTGCTCTCCAGATCAGGAAAGGTAGAGTGACAGGCCTGGAGGAGGTCCTCCATACCCAGACGCTCAGCTACCTCGTAGATGACCCCAACATTGATCAGGTCTGTGAAGAGTTCTGAAGTGTAGACAAAGCTCAGAACCTTCTCAAAGTTGGCAGGGGTGATGAAGTCCACCACATAGGTCCTGGCAGCATCAAGCCCAGTATTCAGGAAGAGGTTCTGGAAGTAGCCAGCTGCACAGGCCAGCACAGCCTTGTGGGCCGGGAAGGAGCGGCTCCCCACCACAATGGTGACGTCGCACATGGTCTCTGAGAGCCGGCACTTGTTGAGTTCCTTCAGCAGGTTGTTGGGGTGGTTGGTGCTTTGCAGTTTGATCCTCATGCCCATCTTAGCAGCTCCTATGAAATTACCTCCTTATCAGCACAGTTAATCTGTGGATAGCAAGAGAAAAAGATGGATGGCCAAACACATCCGTGCAAAAGAGGGGCTATGCAGGAGAAAATACCATCACTCTGAATGCTTCCAAGCCCCAGGTAGGGATCAGGAGTAAACTGGCATGGAGAGTTCCTCCATTATGACAAGGCAATGACATCTCCCCCTGTATATACTCAAAGAGTTATGACAAAAACCAAAACGACTGATGACAATCTGATAGCTTGGTTTTAAGCTGGTGCCTAGAGACGAACCAGAGGCATTCCCTTGGACACAATCTTATACTTCATTACCAGAGCCACTGGATCAAATTTTTCTCCTATTAATTTCCTCCCAAATACAAGCTTTCCTAATTCATTGAGCATATTCTTTTCCCTCATGATGCCAAATACCATGCACATGCTTGAACACAACTATCAAAGCTCCACTAGCTACTGAGGAACATATAAGGTGGTTCCGTTTTTTAGCTTTGTCATTGCTGTGTCTTCAACCTCTCAATAATCTCCAAATAAATCTCACGTTCTTGAATCCCCATCTCTCTCTGCCTATACTACATACCCGCTCTCTGGCCTTTCGATAACCCAGAGCCCCTCCAGATATTGCTTTATCACAGTCCCTGTATTCTGTGAAGTTAAAACACTCAGAATGCACAGTAAGAAAAGTAGAACACAACTGTGGTAGTATTTAATATTACTTTAATATGTTGTATTCTTTTTCGCCACCCTTTTCGGGGTTTATATTTTGTTGTCCCTGCACTAACAGATTTACTTGATGCCGCAAGAAAGACTTCTAATTATACAGGTAAGACTCCTAGAGGCTTGTTCACTACCACTTTCTGCCCTTTCTGACTCCTGCACGACTAAGGAAGAAGAGCTACTTGCATCCCTGTTCAGTCTCACAACTCTGCCCAACACAGCCCCTTTCTCCATCTCTCCAGATTCTAACAACTCCCAACTTTTTCTGGGGCCCAGGAAGCGTCTAAGTATTGTGGGGTACCGGCCAAGCATCTCCCGGGCCCTGGTGGCCACCCCTGAACGATGGGCGGGTCGGAGCACTGGGCAGCCAGAGGAGAGGGTGGGAGAGGGGGAAGCTGGGAACTTCCAAGGACACCCCAACAATCCCCGGGCGCCGCGGTCTCCCCTCCGGAGTCGCATCTGGGAGGGAAGGGCGCTGCATCGGCTGGGGCGCTCCCTCTGGAGGCAACGAGCGCCTCAGTCCCTCCACAAACAGCGCGGGGCTCACCCGGGTGAGCCTGTTGGGGGCATGGGGCTGAATAAGGGGCCAAGCGAGGGGCGGCGGGGCCGGCCGGGGTCGGCGCGCGGGCGGGGAGGATGGGTCCGGCCGAAGGGAGCGGGCAAGAGGGACCCCAGCAAGAGCGAGATAAATGCCGGGCCGAAGGTCGGGCTTCGGCCAGGGGCAGCCCTCGGCCTGGCCGCGCTTACCCGGCTCTGCGGCGCCCCGAGCACCATCGCCGCCGCCGCTTCACACAAAGGCCCCGGCCCGCCGTGCCCGGCCCGACGAGGAGGCGGCGCCGCCGGCCGCGGCCAGACTCTCCATCCGCCGCGCGGCTCGCCGCGACGGCCCGGGCCGCCCCCGCCGCCCGGCCCGCAGCGCCCCCCGCCGTCCCGGAGGAGGCAGCGCCCCCCGCCGCCCGGCCGCAGCGCCCCCCGCCGCCCGGGAGGAGGCAGCGCCCCCCCACGGCGGGGCCGGGTCCAGGACCTGCGCGAGGGGTGCAGGGGCTTCCAAGTCCCCAGGCTGGCTTTTTCTAAGCGCCCATCCACTGTGCGCGGGACTTGGTGCCTGAAGAGTGAAAAACCCTATCCAAACTCTCTTCACCTCCCCTGTTCTACGCTCACAGTTCCAAAAGCTTCTCCTCAGAACATCTACTATGGGCATTTTACAAAATGTTGTAAGATTGTTTGATTACTATATATCTCCTCCACTAGGCTGTGGGCTTCCTGAAGGCAGGGATCTGTGGCTTTGCACACGGCCGCAGGTCCACACTGACCCTTACCACACTTCCTGGCACAATAAGTGCTTAATACATTAAGCCTGCTTGAATGAATGAAGGAGCACTTGAGGGCTAGACCGCTACTACTGGACCCTTCTGATAATCCACTGCTGTCCCTCCTTCCATCTAGGTGGCCAAATGAAGAAAGTCACCGGATCTCACTGTACTTTGGCACCCCAGGCCTGCTTCCTGAAGCCTGCCCTCCCCAACTCTGTGTAGAACTCGATCACTCTTCCTCCCCACCCTTCTCCCAAATCATCTTTTCAAATGCTTCTGCCCAAGAATTGTCATCAAACGAAAACCACCTACACTGCCTGCCCCACCCACCACCACCAAAGACATTAGAAGTCTTCGTCATGTCGCCCTCCCTCCCTCAGTACAGAGGAAGCTCTTAGGCTCCAAGACCCTTCAGTTTCATCCTCTCTCCCATCCCATCCCAGTCACTGCCTGAAAATAGCTTGCAGCCAAGGACAAACTCCCAGGACAGGCGCATGGTAGGATTCAGTAATTCCTTGATGGATAAGTGGAAAGGAAGGGACACACTGAATGTTGCCAACAGATCTAAGCCAGTTTGGCCATTCAGCAATTGTCCATTCTCTTGATGAATTTGGGAGATTGTGTGTCCTCCTTTCCACAACCTCATTAACTGGTGGCAGACTATACTGAAAGCAAGCACTATACCAAATGCTGCCAAACATGTAACATTTGTTAGCCAGGAGATACAAAAACAGCCATAGAACTGTTCTTATAGTTTGGGGATGAGGCATCTCACTTTACCATCTAGTGAAAGGGTCACTTAGAGGTTGACACAATGTTTCAGTGGCAGGCCCAGCTCTCACAGTTGTGCAAGGTGACTGAGTCTCCCTAAAGTGGAATATCACACAGCCAGCAGGTCCAGACCTCCAGCATGACTCTGGAGACAGAGGGCTGCTGGGCTTGCAAGGGCCTGGGCCTATACAGTCTTTCTAACCAACTGCCCCAGCCATCTCTGGAGGGTTGACCCCAATAAACTTCACATGAAAACAAATCATCCAAAAGACGCAGGTGAAAGTATATACCACTTATACTGAAGTCTTTTTAAAGTAAATCACCATATAGTCACAATAACAAACATATACAAAGTTAAATGGAGAAGAAAGGGCCAGGAATTTAGTCAAGGTCTTGTGGACCAGATCTCTTTAGGCATCAACTGTTTTACAACAGGAAAGGGAGGGTCAGGATCCCTTCACACATTCTTCAAGTACAAACACAGGAATCTAACTTAACATTTGTCTTCATTTTTTTCTGGAGTCCCCAGTACTGCAATTTTTGTCAGTCCCACTAGAGAGCAATCTTTCTGCACTTAATGTTCCTACTTGCAAAGCAATTGTCTCATCTCAGCCTATAAGCCTAACTCCCACCAAGTCTGAGCAGAACCAACTCTTGTAGCTTTCATGACCCAGAGAAAGCCCCTAGACTCTGCAAAAGTGTCCCCAGTTTTAAGCCCTATAGATAGATAATTTTGAAAAGTCAAAGAGATGACTCACTGGAAAAAGGGTCTAGGCTCTGGGGTGGGGGCATTCTTTGACCTCTGGCTATAAAGCTGACATAAGTAATACTAGGGTGAGTATTCCCTCCTTTCCCCGCCCCCCACTATACAGCTGTCATTCCAAAGTGGCCCCAAGTCAGGCTGTAGGAAGATAGAATTTTCACTAGAATGAAAGGACTGCAGGAAGTGGCCTCTGGCTCTGTGGCCCTGTCCTTACACTGCCTTGGGAAATCTATGTGTTGATGTTTTATCAGTGCAATTCAGGGGCATAACAAAGGCCCCTGTACCACGCTAAGATAAGGAGCCTGAGGATTTCACTGGCTGTTCCATTAGGGTACAGAACCCCCCTTAGGATGGCGGGTGATAGTTGACATCATAGATTAGTAAAAGACATCCATACCCATGCATACCACATGTAAGTGCCTTACACATTCTGGGGACTGTTAAGTCAGAGCTGCAGGAGCTGGTAACAGGCACTTTAGAGAGGAGTGGGAGATAAATGTTTTCCCTTTATAATAACTAAGGCAGCCAGTTAACGGTGAAGATATCTGCTCCTCTCTTTCTTGGCCTCGGTAGTAACTTCCCTGTCCACATCCCATCCTAGCTGGATCAAGTTCTGTTTGCTTGTCCACAGCCCTGCTAAACTGTAAACTCTGTGTATGAGTCATCATTTCATCCCCAGGATCTGTCACAGAACCCAGGCTCAGCATTTGGAGACAAAAAAATTGTATAGGGTCATAGATTTGTCCTCCTCTGTGGCTGGGTCTCCGGACAGCCTTGATCCCCACCTCCTTCTCTAATTAAGTAGGGTCAGATTCAGGAATGAATATCTCCCAGACCCATCCTAGTAATACAAGTCATTCTGAATATTTTTTTTCTTTTTCTTTTTCTTTTTTTATTGTTTTTTTTGTTTGTTTGTTTTGTTTTGAGACGGAGTTTTTTGCTCTTGTTGCCCAGGCTGGAGTGCAGTGGCGTGATCTCGGCTCACTGCAACCCCTGCCTCCTGGGTTCAAACGATTCTCCTGCCTCAGCCTCCCAAGTAGCTGGAATTACAGGCATGCGCCACCATGCCTGGCTAATTTTTGTATTTTTAGTAGAGAAGGGGTTTCACCATGTTGGTCAGGCTGGTCTCGACCTCCTGACCTCGTGATCCACCCGCCTCGGCCTCCCAAAGTGCTGGGATTACAGGCGTGAGCCACCGGGCCCGGCCTGTTTTTTCTTTATCTAAAACTGGTCTGTAAAAATCTTTGTGTGTTAGAAACCATCTTCCAAATTCGTGTATTTATTTTAATCACTAAATAAATCTGATACTCATCGTGCAAAGCACTGTGTAAGGCACTGTTCAGGAAATAGATATATACAAAAAGATATGTAAAGTTATTTACATTTAAATATGAAGTGTGTGTATCATAAGTATGTGTGTATTTACCATGTAGCTGGAGGAGTCAAGGAACAGAAAAACCCACCAACCAAACAAGTAAACACACACACCACATCATTCATATGCAAAAATCCTTTATTGTTGAGGAATAGAGAGAGACATTATATTTTTAATGTAGGACACTACAGGAACTCTAGGGTATTCTACAGTCAATGCCCATTGGGGTTGGGGATATTCACTATGCAGTTTCCACACCAGGGTCAGGTAGAAAAGATGGAGAAGGAGTCAAAGCACAAGAATGTTACAAGAACAGGGAAGAGAAAGGGTAACAGGAGCGTGCGCACCTGGGGATTGGGACAGGGAAAGAGGTCTTCCTAATGCAGTCCAGGAGTCCGGAAGTGGAGTACTGAGGACAAAAAACAAAACAAAACAAAAAAAAACACTGAAATCACATCTTATATCCTGTAAAAAAGTCCCACTGAAAACCTGCTGTGGCAGCAGGAGAGAAGGGGAGAGGCGTCTGTGAGAGAGGAAAGAACAAGTCTTGACCCTCAGCCTGCCCTCCAGGCTTTGGGCCTGAGGATGGAACTCTCCTAGCCGCAGGTACTTGCACCTTCCCAGCTGCCATATTTACATTACTCTACACACCTGTGTGCATGGCCAGTGGGGCCCATGTGGACCAAAGATGTAGGAACCAAGTTCATGCCATCCTAGCACCACCATGAGCCAGACACACACACAGCCCTGCCCAAGGTGCCCTACTATGAATGCTCCCCCTGCCTTATCCAGTTCCTCCTCTTCCCAGAAACCTCCCAGAGGAAGCACAGGCCCAGGGATTACTTACAGTTTCACATGAATGAAATCAGATGACACAATGATCTGTGTTGATCCATCTCATCTAATCTTTAAATGCCAGCTCCCAGAAACCTTATGTCCTATTCTGCCTGACACCTAACAGGTTGGGAATGCTCCCTCAATGGTAAGATTATGAAAGCTGCAATTATGGGTCCCTCTGAAAGAGCCTGGATGCACAAACAAGCATTAAAAGTAGATTTCCACAATGCACTTGTTTTTGCCATTTGTATAAAATACTATAGCAAAATTGCACTGTAATTATCTTTATGGCCAGTGCATAACGCTGGAGCAGAGTATGTCATCCAGATATAGCTGCTCGTATAATTATCTGGCCGTCGGCAGGACTGAAATAACCATCTAATGAGAGCAAAATGATACAGTAACTACCATGTAATCAGCAAGTTACAGTTATTATAGCTCTTTGTGCCCTCTCACCCAACACTAAATGGGGGGCCAGACTCAGTCTCTGGTCCCAGGAATTCATGCACAGGCAGCATCATCAAGCACCAGCTCCTTGGGTCTTGGGCGTGCCACCTTGAGACCAGTGAGTATGGGTAACAGGGACACAGAGAGAAAAGCAGGAGGCTCTCCATGATTACGAGCCTTCCCAATCTCTCTCCCTCTCCTTTTCACTCCCTCCACCCCAATTCTTTGGAAGCTAGTGAAAAGAAAGCCATTGGTGGAGCTGCTCTTGCTGTGTGTGGGAAGACAGTGTCAAGGCGGAAGGTTCGTGTTTTGACTAGACACTTCCCTGGGGGACTCTTACACTCGCATACCAAGTGAGGAATTTGTCAGCCCACTCAGGCCTGGGGTCCAGACAGAGCCAGTCAGGGGAAACATTAGGACATCCCCCATACCTCCCAAACTGGGACAATTATCATAAAATTGGCACACAGCACTGTGCACCCGGCACTGTTCTGAACACTTTACCTATACTCAATCCTCAAAACCACAACCCTGTGAGATACTATTATCACTTTCATTTTTCAGATGAGGAAACTGAAGCACAGGAGGATATGTACCTTGGCCAAAAAGATACAGATAGAGTGGCAGATCCAGGATTCACATTCAGGCCATTGTTCTTATTCATTATGCTAAAGAGAGATTCAGATATGGTTTCCTGCTAATCCCCATTAGATTTCAGAGTTCCTTGCATTTCTTCCTGAATCATCCTTGTGTATGACTACCTTCTGGGCCCCGTAACCCAGGATTCTGAGTGATTTGAAAGGCTCAGCCTGCCTGGGAGGCAAATGCTTGCCTGTGAATTGGTTGTGGTATTTGTAATTATCAGATAATAATTTCTCCATCTTTTTGCATAGATTACAAAAGAATGAAGTCCAAACAACAGAAATTGCCCATCGGGGAAGCCCCTCTCTCCTCATCTCCCAACACTCACTCCTGCTCAATAGTCAGCTGCCGTCCATGATCCAGAGGAAAGAGATGAAAGACGGGGGATGTGTACAAACACACGTGCCTCTAAGTGTCTTTGTGTTTGGCCGACAGTGTGCTGGGCATTGGCAGTGTATTTCAGGGCAAATCTATGAGCTTTAATACCTGTAGCATGGGAGGAAATGCACAGCTGGCAACCCCCACAGCCCCCTCCCCAGTCCCCTCTCCCCTCTCTAATGAACAATCCTTACCCTATTCTGCTCTCGGGGGATACTTGAGGATGCCAAAGCTGGGGACGTTCTCTTGATTCACATCCGTAGGAGAGTCTAGGGTAAAGCGAACAGTGTAAGTAAGAGGGATCTTTCTGAATGTGAACTACACCCTGATCCAACAGCAAAGGGCTGGCTATGACGGGCAGTGTTCAAAGACAGAGTTGGGAGACTGGGGTGGAAGCAGAGTCTCCCTATCCTTCCTCCCAGCTGCAACAGGACTACCTTATAAAGGTCTCTGCTCCTCTGTTCCCAGGGAAGACTTTCCTGTGGATCCAAGCTGATTGGGATGAAGGGGCCGAGGAACCCTCACTGAAGGTAAGAAAGGTCCTGTCTTTCCCTCTGGTGACAAATATGAGGCACGTGACTTCTGTCATACTCTGCCAGTACCCTAAGCCCTTCCACTGTACCTCCACACACTCCTACCTGGCTGGACGCTCCTCTTGCCCATAAGTCCCACAAAGAAGTCATGCATGTCACCTGCAGAAAAGGGCCAACATTGTCAGCAGTGATGATGAGAAAGTGAAGCATCTCCCCAGACATGGGTCAACACTTCTGAGACTGGGTTTCTGGTCTCTGTTCCTTTTTCTTGTCAAAGCATGACTCCTCACAGTTAGCAAGTGCCTCCCCTAAACCCACTCTCTCTGCTCACCTTTCCTTCCTCCACATTTCAAGAATTTTCTGCTCTAGCAGGTGCCTGATTTGGAATTTTCAGGGCCACGAAGAGATCCCCTTGTTTTCCAAGGACCAGCCAGCAGAGGGAGAGCCCACCATGCCCCTCACACCAGCTTCCTCCTAGTTCTGGATGGCCTCTCCCTTTCAGGAAAGGTTGGCTGAGCAGTGGGAGCTGGCATATTGTTTGTACCAGGTGAGAAGGGGCTGGACAAAATGGCCCCTGGGCCCAATGCCCCACAGAGCTCTGGGCAAGTGGCAAGAGATAGGGAGGGAGAAGAGGGTACTTACGTTTCTCGGGAGATGTTGATTCCTTAGGATCTGTGAAACCAAGAACAGATGTCTAAATGGGGAGTGAAGTTGGAAAGTGATGAGAGCGGGGTTCAGATCACAACCCTCACCGATTCACTAAGCTATCCCCCATCTCTCTCCCATCTGAAAGGATCTCCCAGGCCTCTTATCTTCAGAATCCTGCCCCTCATTCCCCTCTCCCCTAGGGCCGCCTCCTACCTGTGCTAGCCTGGCTCAGGGCTTTGAGCAATCCCTCCAGAGATGAGTGGCTTTTGAAGAGTCTCTGGAGCAGCTGGTAGAGATCTGGATCCCTCTAGGGAAGAAACAAAGAGGGGTGAGGCAGGAGGCTCCCACCCGGATCCACTCATCCTTTTCCCACAAGAAACAGCCTCTTCCTGAGCCCATCCTGAATCCGACACCCTATTTCTTTCAGAGTTTCCTCTGGTTCACACTGGACGAGAAGTAGGTGCTCCAGGAGTGACCTGTGGACCAACAGCAACACCAGCACTACACAGAGCCTGTTAGAAATGCAGACTCTTGTTCCTACCCCAGACCTCCTGAGACAGAATCTGCATTTTAAGCAGCCCCCCAGGTGATTCACATGCATGGTGAGATTGGAGGCACACATCTGCACCTGTGATTCCCCCACTCTGCACGATGTCCATGGATGTTTCTCTCCCTGTTTTCCACCACCTCTTTCTCTATTCTCCATGGCTTTCCGCCTCTAGTTTTCTCTCCCTCTCCCTTTTGGCCCTAGGTCTAGAATTCCAGGAAGGCAACATGCTCAGAAGGCACGTCTTCTTCTCTCCACAACTGAATCCCAAGTTCTAGAGCTGTTGCCCAGCACGGGCTCTTGATTGTCCCTGTGATTTTTTTTTTTTTTTTAGCAACTTGCGTACAGCAGGGTGGTGGGCACACACCACACAGCCAGTTAATTGCAGCTGCAGAGAGACAATAACAATGATCATGGCTGGAGATTTTCATCTCAAATCTCAAGTCTCAGCAGCGCCTCTCTTTCCAGAACCCAGGCATCCTTCGGCTGTTGTGCACACACAGAAGTGCATTTACACAGAACACACCCCCACACATACCAACCCAGTTGCCTAGGCACACCTATGTACTACCCTCTTCCTGCCCCAATTTCCCTCATCCTCACAGACTCTCAAGGAGAAGGGGTAGGATGGCAATCCCTCTCATTCATTGACCAAGAGGGGCAGAGGGGACATCTCATTGGCCAAGGTCTTGAAACAAGTTTGTCTCAGAAGAACTCAGATACTCTAACTATCCTGGGCTGGAACTTTGTGGCTCCAAACGGTGTCCAGCCCATACTTGGCACTCCCCTGGGTGTTTTTTTTTTTAACGGTTCTGGCCTTTTGGATATGGCACAACTGCTGCCACCTGCAAGGCTGCCCTGGTGATAACTCCCTTGGCCCAGCATGTGGTGTTCAGGCAGCCACTTTTCCCAAATTGTTGAATACTCTGCCCACCTCCTATAATGAGATGCTGAACAGATTTGAGCTGAAGAGGCAGTTAAACTTCACACATTGAATTTGTAATAAGTCCCACCCGCAATCATCTTAAAAGCATTTGTACCGATGTAATTGCTGTCATTTCAAAACCTTGAAAAGACTTCCTCCCTATCCTCCCCCTGTACCCCTACCCTGACAATTCCTATTCTTTTTCGTAAAGGAACTGTGGAAATCGAGGCTCAATCTGGTTTTTTTGCTGTTGTTGTTTTCCTATCCTGACTAAGCAGAGGATAGAGGCGGGCAAGGGAGAAAAGAGAAGAAGGAAGGGGTTGGGATCTTAGAAGCACCTGAGGTTACTGGGGGTGGATGAGCAAAAGATAAGGGAATTTATTTGCATTTTGAAAATAAAACAATACACATAACTGATAGGTAAAATAGCACACAAATAACCATTTGGGAAAGAAATTCTGACTGTTTCATACCATCCAGGAAATAGAAGAGATCTGTCCCTTGCAAAGGGACCTGAGGTAGACTATAGAGAGCCTTAGACCACCCTAGCTCACCCCTCACAGTACCATCCAATCACCAAGTCTCCCATCAATCAACCCACCAAACAACATATTTGTAGGGCACCTTTTATGTACAAGGTGTCAAAGACATGCAGAGATACAGAGACACAAACACACCTGGAGACAGTGGGAACATGAAAGGACCAGAGAAACAAAGAAATCCAAAGGGAGGCAAAATGCCCTCTGACGGACAACCCCCCCACCCCAGTTTCCTCACTACAGCTGTCCAGACAGGCAGAGTCCCAAGTTCCCGTGATGTCCCCAGTACTCTGCCAGGGGAGACTTACCTTGCTGCGGCCCCCGCCAGGAACCACCTCCTCCTGTGGCTCCTTACAGACAGCCCCAAAGCTCTGAGCTAGGCTGAAGGCCAGGATGGCTGTGAATAGCAGCATGATCCTCATGGTGCCTGGGAGAGCAAAGGGACAGGACTCAGGTAAAGGAGAGAAGAGGAAGATACAGCATGGGTGAAGACACAAGAGACATTCATTACCAGCAGCTTGGCTTGACCCTGCTTCCCCAGCCCCCAACTCCACTGTCCAAGCCCTGGTCTGGAGAGAGGGTGGAAAGTATTTCTGAGAAGGGGGTACAGCCCTTGGGCTTAGTTTCCCTGCTACCCCATCAGATATCTCCCCAGGAGATGTGCAATGCTATAGTGGTGCCAGGAGGACTCTAGCTCCCAAGAAAGATGATAGATTTGTAGGACATGGACTGGTCTGTTTCCTCAGTCAGCTGGAGGAGGGATCCTGGATGCTATTTTCCAGTACTAGATAATCCCAAGACTTAGGCAAAAACTTTCTGGTATGAAAGAATGAGTCTGTAGCCACAGGCTCCAAACACCAACCAGCTCTCGGCCCTACAGGTGCTTTGTGCTCACCTTCCCAGTCCCCTGCTCCCCTATCAGAGGCTGCCATCTGCTTTATTCCCTCCTGACGCTGGCTCCTGTCCCCTGGTGCCAGCTCTGGTCCATCCAGCATTCTCCCACTTGCCTACCTGTGGAGCAGCTCTGTGCCGGGGGCTGGGTGGTCTGGCAGGATCAAGGAACTGGCTAGGACCGCTGCCTGCTCCCCTCACACACTGGTGCTGCCGGTGCTCCTGCAAAGAGAGAAACCGAGTGGAGGGGATCTAGGAAGGCTGCAGTCACTCAGTCCCAGCTCCCTGATAAAGGCTCTGGGAGGGTCTAGGGGAGCTGAGGGGAGGGGCTGAGAGTCACCAATCCCAGGGTGGCTGGAGGGGAGGCGGGGAGGCTGTAGGGGGGAGGAGGATGCAGACAGTAGCCACACACCCAGACACACACATACCCCACAGACCCAGCAGTGAGACCATTTCCTAACAGCACCCGAGCTGGCTGCTGTGTATGGTTTGTGTACAGTTTGACACTGCTGGGGCTTAGAGGACAATACTCCAAAATGAAGGCCTCAATAGCCGCCTCAGAAGCAGAAGTTTTTCTCTGACCCTCTCTTGTCCTCTTGTCACTCGGTTCCATTCTCCCCCAAGACCAGCTATAAAAACCAGAACCCCTTTGCCCCAAAGCCAGCCATAAAACCTAAAATTACTCTATGTAAAAACTGGCCAAAAAAATTATCTGACCGGCCGAGTGCAGTGGCTCACGCTTGTAATCCCAGCACTTTGGGAGGCCGAGGCGGGCGGATCACGAGGTCAAGAGATCGAGACCATCCTGGCCAACATGGTGAAACGCTGTCTCTACTAAAAATACAAAAATTAGCTGGTCATGGTGGCGCGTGCCTGTAATCCTAGCTACTCGGGAGGCTGAGCCGAGATTGCACCACTGCACTCCAGCCTGGTGGCAGAGCAAGACTCCATCTAAAAAAAAAAAAAAATTCAGAAAAGATGACACTCACCCCTTTTTTGGGGTCTCCTACTTTCGTTGTGGAGTTTCACGAGTCATGGGCAGATTCTTCTCAGGTCTAAAGCTCTGCTCTCTTCTACACTACATTACCTAATCTCTTTGGTTTTTGAGGATGCCAAAAATAAATTACTTTGTATTATTTAAAAAACTAGACATATAGCTAGTCATATATAATAACTAGATAAAAAATACAGTTTTAGAGATGACTTATGACAGTTATTCACAACAAAGTATTACTACTATACAGGGCTACTTATTTCTTCGTGCATTTAAATTTTTAAAAACATGGTCTGGGGCACCTAAAGACAATGAAAGCACTCACCATTGAGGATGAAACTCCCATTAAAAATAGGCTAAGCACGCCAGGCATGGTGGCTCACGCCTGTAATCCCAGCACTTTGGGAGGCCGAGGCGGGCGGATCACTTGGGGTCAGAAGTTCGAGACCAGCCTGGCCAACATGTTGAAACCCCATCTCTACTAAAAATACAAAAAATTAGCTGAGCATAGTGGCTGGTGCCTGTAATCTCAGCTACTTGGGAGGCTGAGGCAGGAGAATCGCTTGAACCCACGAGACAGAGATTGCATTGAGCCGAGATCACGCCATTGCACTCCAGCCTGGGCAACAGAGCAAGACTCCACCTCAAAAAAAAAAAAAAAAAAAAGACTAAGCACAGAGTGGGCTAATCGGCACTGGGCTGCCTGCCAGCCTTGGGGGAGCATCTTTACAGTGGGGCACTCGATAAAAATGCCACACATCTCGTCCCATGACATTTCCCTCTTTTGGGGGGCCTAGGATTCAATATAAAAATGAGATCCTTGATTAGGGGGGTTCTGTATTCTGCCTTCCAGCTATGCCTGCTTTACCCATTTAAATATGAGGCCCTAAAACCTATGTTTTCTTCCCCCTTTTTATTAAAGGGCTCCACCCTAAAGGCAATAATCTAATTAAAAAACAAGCTAGTTAAAAAGCCCAAAATACAACTTCCTAAAAAAAAAAAAAAAAAAAAAAGGCCGGGCACAGTGGCTCACGCCTGTAATCCTAGCACTTTGGGAGGCCGAGGCAGGTGGATCACAAGGTCAGGAATTTGAGACCAGCCTGACCAACAAGGTGAAACCCTGTCTGTACTAAAAATACAAAAATTAGCTGGGCGTGGTGGCACACCCCTGTAATCCCAGCTACTCAGGAGGCTAAGGCAGGAGAATGGCTTGAACCCAGGGGGCGGAGGTTTCAGTGAGCCAAGGTCACGCCACTGCACTCCAGCCTGTTGACAGAGAGACTCCAGCTCAAAAAAAAAAAAAAAAAAAAAAAAAAAAATCTGACCTACGTTATTTGACTTAGGTCATAAAACCTCCATTCCAGAGAGGGTCCTGCCCCACACCAGAAGGAAGGAATGAGAGAGGCTAGGAGGAATCTCAACAGACAGGCCTTGCTGGGTTTCCCCACTCAGTCTGTTAACATTAGATCGTGCCCTTTCTGTCCAGTCATATTTCTACACAGCTGTCCATACTTTGTTAAACCTAAACATAAAAATAGACAATTTCCCCTATAGCTTCAAGGCTTCATTCTAAAGGCTCCCATTCGTATTTAATAAATTTGTATGCCTTTTTCCCTATTAATCTGCTTCATGTCAGTGATTTTCACTGAAACTTTAGGGGGCCAAGACCACAGTTTGGCATCACAAATAAGACCACCAAAGCTATTGTGCTTTTCTGGAAGCCACAGAGAAGGAAATACAGGAACCTGGCAAGCCAGCAGAGGAGTGAGAATTTCCTGCCAGACTCCCAGTTTTCCAGTTTTCCTCTCTCTGTGGACTCTGGATGAGTGGACAGTAAAAATCATTGTTTCCCTTTTCCTTTCCAAATGTAAGATTAATGAGAGAACAGGTTTTGTGTGTGACTAACCTTGGTATAGTGAGTCTGATATATTTTTTAGTACTTTGTGGTATAAGTATTCATAGTTTGACCCCATTCCCTTCAGAAATAGCTTTTGTTGTTGTTGTTGCCATTTTCCTTTCAGAAATAGCTTTTTTGTTGTTGCCGTTTTCCTTCGTTTTTGTCTTGTCTTTTGGTGTTCTGTCATAAGGAGGGGTACCCTAGGGTAGAACAGGCCTGCAACCCACTGTTTGAACTGGCCCTGCAAACTGGTCAGTTTCGTGGTTCTGGTTATGCTGACTTCTGTTATGACAAACTTTGCTGCCAGTCCCTGAAATAAAAACAGGGTGAGAGGTTTCCCTCTTGTCTCATGTCCTTGAGAGCATGACGTGACTAGATGGGGATATTCCCGCTTGGTCTCCACCATCCAAAGGATGTGATTTTTCAGGTAACATCACAGCCAGTATGAAAAGATTGGGAGCCCAACACATGTATTTTCAAACATTCCAAGCTCCTAGGGGAGTTTTGTCTTACAAGGTCTCATCCCTCCTGGGCTTCTGTTTTCTTTGACATAAAGAAAACTTTGGATTAAGTTGCTATTGGAATTAAATACCCCATTAAAAATTCTAATTGTCAATGGCCAAAAGATAAATCCTTTAGACTAAAATTCCTAAATTTAAAAAAATTACTTGTTCTAAAGAATTGATAGATCAAATTAAAAGGACACATAATAGTGTCACAGCTATCCTTAACAATTGTCTTGATTAAATTAAAGCACAAAAACCTGACCTAAAACAATTACACTCAAACTGCCACTTTGGATTCCATACAAAATTAACAATGGAGGCTGCTCCATTTTACAGTTTAATAATTAAAATTCCCACCGTGGCTTAGGGTTTCCTTCCTAATCAGAAATCAGTCCTTTTCGGCTTAATATTTATGTGACTTTTAAAATATCAGCATTTGTCCCAACTAAAATCTGGTAACAAGAGATTTAAGGTGAGTCGCAGTGGCTCACACCTGTAATCCTATCACTTGGGAGGCCGAGACAGGCAGATCACTTTAGCCCAGAAGTTGCCCGGACTTGAGACCAGCCTGGGTAACAGGGCGAAACCCCATCTCTACAAAAAGTTTTAAAGGAGGAGAGAGACAAATTTAAAAGAATTTTTGTTAAAGAGCTCCATGGTTAGAAGTCAGCTTAATTAAAAGCTAATATTCAAGCTATGTGTATATTTTTAAAGCCTTCTGTGTTTTCTCTTTAAATCCTATTTTAAAAAATTTTGTTCAGTAGACTAAAATCTTTTTTTTAAAATGTGTTTGATGTCTCTATTCACTTCCTTTCTTAAAAACTATCCTCCCATTTACTTTTACTCCACCCTATTCCTCCTTCCTCTTTGCCATCTTCAATACCACATTTTTAAAAAATCTAGAAAAGACTTCTAATGACTCAGACTCCTTAAAAAACTCAGAAAAGGCCAGGTGCAGTGGCTCATGCCTGTTATCCCAGCACTTTGGGAGGCCAAGGCGAGCGGATCACCTGAGGTTGGGAGTTCGAGATCAGCCTGGCCAGCATGGTGAAACTCGGTCTCTACTAAAAATACAAAAATTAGCTGGGCGTGGTGGCACACAGCTGTAATCCCCACTACTCAGGAGGTTGAGGTGGGAGAATCACTTGAAGCCGGGAGGCAGAGGTTGCAGTGAGCGGAGATCGTGCCACTGCACTCCAGCCTGGGCGACAGAGCGAGACTCTGGGTGACAGAGCAAGACTCCGTCTCAAAACAAAAACAACAACAAAAATTCCATTTGTAAAGGCATCTCCCTCTCTACACCCAAACCTCCAAAACCTTTTAGAATAGAAAAGACAATGGCTTAAAATTTAGATAACTTTACCTTTATTTAGATCTAAATTCTATGCCTTTGAAATATACATTTTCTACCTTATTTCATCTAAAAGTCATGTCTTAGAGATACAAGTTTAGAGTTGCCTAGTTAATAATTAAGACATAAAACAGATAATTTAAAAATTGATAGTCTGAAGTTGGGGAAAACTACCTAGAAACTGACAAATAAAAAATCTGGTCTGGCGTAGTGCCTCATGCCTGTAATTCCAACACTTTGGGAGGTCAAGTTAGGAAAATTTCTTGAGCCCAGGAGTTCAAGACCAGCCTGGGCAAGATGGTAAAACTCCCCATATCTACAAAAAATACACGAATTAGCCAGGCATGGTGGCACGCGCCTGTAGTCCCAGCTAGCCAGTCAGGTAGAAGGATTGCTTGAGCCTTGGAGGTCAAGGCTGCAGTGAGCTGTGATGGCACCACTGCACTCCAGCCTAGATGACAGAAGGAGAACCTGTCTCATTAAAAAAAAAAAAAAAAAAAAAAGTATAAATCTATAAGCTCTACTTCTGTTTATGTGTCTATATATTTATATGTGCCTGTGTATGTAATGTTCCATTATCAAAATATATAAAAGAGCTCTAATTAATTCAGTTAAAAAAATGCTTAAATCAAATATTTTATTAAAAAATAAAAACTTTAACTCAAATGTCTGTTTAATTCACATTACTTTGTAAACCAAAAGTAAAATCCTAAAGCTCCCTAACCATCCGAATGGACCACTCCTCACAGCCAAGGGTGTTCTAAAATTAACCTGAAAACTAGGTCAGGCCATGATGGGAAGGGGGAACCAGACCCTCCTCCCTTCTGGAATTAATGATAGAACAGACGTAGTCTGATAAGAAACATACATTCATTTATTCATATATTTTTATTTATTTATTTTTTGAGACAAAAATGCCTCTTACTAAATAACTGATTACTCATATCATATAGAGGCCTGGCTTTGGTGGAAGCCCATCTGCAACACACTGCCTAAAATTAGACACAACTAATAACTATTTAACTAGACTGGCCTATTCTCAGGACTAAGAGACTAGTTCCATGGCTTATAAGACAATTCACCAACTCAATTTCTGGACTATAAAATTTCTTTAAAATTTTTCACACCGAGGAATGCTGGGGCTCAGAAGACAATACCCTAAAATGAAGGCCTCAGTAGCAGCCTCAGAAGCAGAAGTTTTTCTCTGACCCTCTCCTGTCCTCCTGTTGCTGGGTCCCATTCTCCCCCAAGGCCAGCTATAAAAACCAGGACCTCTTTTCCCCAAAGCCAGCCATAAAACCTAAAATTACTGTATGTAAAAACTGGCCATAAAAAATTATCTGACCTACCTTATTTAACTTAGGTCCTAAGATCTCCCCATTCCAGAGAGGGTCCTGCCCCATACCCAGAAGGAAGGAATGAGAGAGGCCAGGAGGAATCTCAACAGGCCTTCCTGGGTTTCCCCACTCAGTCTGTTAACATTAGAGCATGCCCTTCTGTCCAGTCATATTTCTACACAGCTGTCCATACTTTGTAAAACATAAACATAAAATTGGCGATTTCAGGCTGGGGGCGGTGGCTCATGCCTATAATCCCAGCACTCTGGGAGGCCAAGGCGGGCGGATCACAAGGTCAGGAGTTCCAGACCAGCCTGGCCAGCATGGTGAAACCCTGTCTCTACTAAAAAATACAAAAAATTAGCCGGGCATGGTGGTGCGTGCCTGTAGTCACAGCTGCTCAGGAGGATGAGGCAGGAGAATTGCTTGAACCCAGCAGGCGGAGGTTGCAGTGAGCCGAGATCATGCCACTGCACTCTAGCCTGGCAGACACAGTGAGACTCCATCTCCAAAAAAAATAAATAAATAACTGGCAATTTCCCCTATATCTTTGGGTCTTCATTCTAAAGGTGCTCATATATACATATTAAATAAATTTATCTACCTTTTCTCCTATAAATCAATTACTCTCATGTCAGTGATTTTCAGCAAACTTTTAGGAGGCCAAGTGTCTTGGCCCTCACAACACCAATTCCCATGCCTGAGTCCAGCTCAGTAGATGTGGACCCTGGGCCTCTTTCCCCACCTTGTTCATCCACCAGCTCCTTGCCCTTTAACCTTCAGGCCTGACTTCTGGGCTAAAACAGTTTCAGGCAGGCGCCCCTCCCCACCCAGGACAACCAGACTCAGGCCCCTGAAGGTTAGAAGGTCAGTTTAGCATCCCCTCCAGTCCTCTCCTTTCCCCCTCCCAGAGGGAGCTGCGCCATTACATTGGTCCTCAAGAGTGTCACACCCCTCCTCTGCTTGGGCAAAGAAAGCTCCAGTGTCGGCCTTCCTCCACTCCTCACCAGTGGTCATGATGCCTCTCCCACCTCAATCCTTCTTGAACCCTGAATCAGCTGGACTTAGCTTCATTCTTCTAGAGTTCTTTTACACCTCCTGATGTAATCTCACAGAGGATGAACAGAACTCGATAGCTGTGCCACCCCTGCCCCCTCCCCGGCCTTGATTTTTTTTTTTTTTTTTTTTTTTGGAGACAGAGTCTCACACTGTTGCCCAGGTTGGAGTGCAATGGTTCAATCTCGGCTCACCGCAACCTCTGCCTCCCGGGTTCATGCAATTCTTCTGCCTCAGCCTCCCAAGTAGCTGGGATTACAGGTGCACACCACCATACCTGGCTAATTTTTTTGTATTTTTAGTAGAGACGGGGTTTCACTATGTTGGCCAGACTGGTCTCGAACTCCTGACCTCATGGTCTGCCCGCCTCAGCCTCCCAAAGTGTTGGGATTACAGGCATGAGCCACTGCCCCTGGCCTTGATCTCTTAATTGCTTCCCTTTTTCCTCAGAGTTACATTTTCCCCACTCTAATCTGTCTCCCTGCAGTTCAGGCATCTTCTTCTCTGACCTTTCAAGCCTCTTGTTCACACCACACACAGATGAGGGAGATTATCTGCTTATTTCTCACCCAAGGGAGAGAGCTCCAGGGGAGAGTCAGAACCAGGATCAGAGCCGAGAGCCAGAGCCAGATGCTGCTGCTGAATGAGACAGCGGAGATGCAAAAGCAAAGCCAGAGCCATCCGTCAGCCCAGTATTTGTAATGGGTGCAGGGTTTGAATGTTTGCAGGGTGCTTTGGCATGGAGCAGTCCATCTGGTTTTCATCACCATGACCATGTAAGTAGGAAATATTCTGATTTTCCAGATGAGAAAACAGGCTCAGAAGGTTCAGTCACTTGCTCCAGTACATATGGCTACTAATCAGTGAAGAACAGCCTCAAATCCAGGTTTGTCTCACCCCAGGTCTCCCACTCTTTTTACTGCACTGGCATAAACTTTGACCTGTGAGGGAACAGTTAACTGTCCCAGACGGAATGGGTGGCCCCCCTCTCCAAGAGACTTGAAGATTTGGGACCTTCTACTCTTCTACATTTTGAGTTTGGGAGAGAACCGTATCTTTATCTCATATTTACTACAAAAACAATCTGTGCAACAAAGCATTCCCCAATCACCCTATTTAAAATTATCACCACCCCAAAATTCCATATACCTCACTCCCATTTTTCCCTTCATGAACTTATTACATCCACTATGCTAAGTATTTTACTTATTGTCTTTCTATCACCACTCCCACCCAGGAATATAAGTGTCATGATGGCAAAAATTTTTGTCTGTTTTGTTTGCTACTGTATCCCTCACTTTATAATGTTTGACATATAATAGGTGCTCAATAAAAATGTATTTACAAGGCTGGACATGGTGGCTCATGCCCATACTCCCAGCACTTTAGGAGGGCGAGGTGGGAGAATTGCTTGAAGCCAGAAGTTCGAGACCAGTCTGAGCAACATAGCAAGTAAGACCCCATCTCTACAAAAACATTTTTAAAAATTAGCCAGGCATGGTGGTGCATGCCTGTGGCCCCAGCTATCCCAGAGGCTGAGGCAGGAGGATCACTTGAGCCCAGGAGGTTGAGGCTGCAGTGAGCTATAATTGCATTGCTACACTCCAGCCTGGGCAACAAAGTAAGACTCTGTCTCTTAAAAGAAGAAAAAATGTTATTTACAAAATGAACAAGGAAGCCAGAGCCAAGTTTCTTGTATCACAGTCAAAAACATGGATCCACCATGGAACCTCTCAAGTGCTGCTGGGGTCCTGAAATGTTTGTCTCCCACCCCATCCGAGAACTTAGACTGTACTGACAGAAGTCACTGGCTACACAGGGACCCGTGTTCATCCCAAAGTGAGGACAGCAGCTGGGTCTCAAGGCCTCTTTATTACACGAGATGCTAATGGGACTCATTAAAAGCTTCTCATTACCCAGCTAATTACAGGGCTGTGTGGGCAAAGAACATGGGCCAGAACCCAGGGTTGGGAGCATTTGGTAGG
The DNA here is from genome assembly GCF_000001405.40 of Homo sapiens. Classification (NCBI taxonomy): domain Eukaryota; kingdom Metazoa; phylum Chordata; class Mammalia; order Primates; family Hominidae; genus Homo; species Homo sapiens. The sequence goes on from NC_000012.12 coordinate 57,025,393, forward strand.
ATGAGGAGAGAAGTGGGAAGCTGTTTACATGCAAATGGCATGACTGGTTCATTCCTGTGAGGAGCCCAGGTGCTGTTCCTAATTGGTTCCATCCATCTCCCTCCTCCTCCTCTCCTAACCCCACCAATCTGGAGCTGAAGGCCCAAGCTGGGCAGGCTGGAGGGAGTTGGGTGTGTAAGAGGAGGAGGTGTTAAGCCAAGAGCTGAGGACTAAAAGCCTCCTGGGTCCAATCTCTGCATCCACCCCTCTCCCCCACCAACCCACCCATCCCTGCTCCCAAGCCCTGGCACCAGGGAAGCAGGGCTTCAGCAAAGGTACACCATAAATAATGTCCTTTGATGATGCAGCATCTCAAAGAGGATGGCAGGAGCCAAGGATGGTGGGGGAGCCGGGGCGGGGGGTGCGGGGAACAAGGGGATGGCAGGGAGAGTTGATCACCCCTTGATCTCTGGGATTAGCAAAGACTTGAAAGAGCTAATGCTAGGCTATGTTGGAGAGGTGATGAGAGAGGGAGGTATTGGAGGGCTAGGACAGCCTGGGCTTCATTTTGCCTACAAATCATATGGAAATGACATGTAAAGTGGGTGTTGCAGCTATAGAGTCCCCAAGTGTTTTTTCTTGAACACCCACCCTTTATTTGAGCCACATCTCAGATGATGTCCCTGGCCTAGAGGAGCAGGGTACTTGGAGTCCAGGGTCCTTAGCAGCTCCTCCCCTGCAACTTCCCCTCTTTGCTGCTATGATGGGTTAGGGATGAGGCCAGGAAAAGGTGTGTACAGTTGTGCTGTGTTGAGACAGGTTAGTCAGCAATTCACTGAGGGCCAGAGGTGGAAGCAGACCCTCTAGCTTGTACACACAAGATGGCCTGAATATATCCACCACATGCACAACTTGTGGACTCTCGCAAAATCCCAGAGGGGTACTGGCAAGGGGAGAGCAGGGCTAGGGTCATATGTGACACTGGGTGGAGATGCCAATGAAGAGTGGAAGGATGACAGCATTCTATGTCCTGCCATGTCCTGCAGCCAGGAGACAACTGGAGAAAACCCCACAGAGCAAGGAACAAGAGGCCCTCAGAGCCTGAGGAAGAAAAATGGACTAAGCCAGGAGGACTGAGCTAGAGCTGGTTTAAGCTGTGAGATGCTAGAATGGCTCCTCATGGGGTTAGGGGAATCCAGGATGGCTTGTGCCCCTCAGAGGCTGAAACAACCCAGACTCTCAGAGCGCTGAACTGGCTGAAGGGAGAGGGCTGGGAGAGAAGAGGCAGGGCTGGGGAGGGGAGGACTGGTAGCAGAACTCCAGCTTCTCCCACAGTGATGGAGCCAATTCCAACCCTGTAACACAGGTGGGGAAACTGAGTCCCTATTTGTTTCAGGGGATGAAAACACACACTCCTAGGCTCCAGAAAAGAGAGGCAGAGACAGGAAAGAAGAGGAGGAAGAGAGTGACAGAAGAGTAAAGGAGGAGGGGAGTGCCTGCCCTTCCTTGAACTCCAGTCCATCTACATGATGGGCACAGTGAGGACAGGGGTGAGGGCCCTAGCCCTTCCCCTCTCCCATCACCCCCAGCCCAGGGAGCTGACAGTGCCTTCAGCCCTGTGAAGGGAAATGCAGGATAGGGAGCGGCAGCTGCATGTTCTCCTGAAATTGCTTCTGAAAATGACCAGACACTTCACTGGGAAAGTGACGACAATTTGGGCCCTGGGAGCAGGAGATGAGATGGAGAGCGGGGGCGATGAGGCGCAGGTCACCACCCCACTCTCGGCCAGATAGGCTCTTCTCGGCCTGATTCTGAGAAGTCAAGGATGGGGGGAGCTGTTGGGGGCGGGAGAAGGCTGGCCAGAGCCTGAGCTACCCCTATTCTGAACAGAGCCACCCTCCTCCCAAACAAGGCAGGCTCTAGCCCCTCACCCGCCTGAAAACAGATGATTCCCCAGGTTCTATCTCAGCTCAAAGCAGGGTGTGCCAGAAGCACGTGGCTTGTGCTCAGACAGCAGATTAATCTGCAGGCAGGAAGAGAAGTTAATCAGTTCTCCCTGGCCAGCATGATAGCCGGCCGTGAGCTGCCTGCAGATGGAAGTCAGGTGGAGGGAGACCCCAGCCCCAAGGCATAGTGAGTTAAGGGAAGGAAGCGGGAAGAGGTAGGCAAGGTAGAGATCTTGAGAAGAGGAAGAGACAGCCAGAGACAAAAACAAAGGCAGACCCTGCTAAGCTCTCACAGACCACAGATCTAAATTTTACTGTGACTACATGAGCAGCTTGTTCCCCAAAGGTAGAGGCCAGACAGAAGGTAGAGACAAGACAGACAAGACAGAATCTATGAGAAAATAGATATGAGGGGGAGTAGGAAAATATTTAAAGCATTTTACAAAATATTACATATTGATATTAGTCAGAGCTCACAGAAACAGGGACAATGAGATGGTGTGAGATAGTTGGGAGGGTGAGAAAAAGATAATGACAATGACGCAGGAAAAATAAAGGAAGAGGAGAGGAAAGGGCCAGGTTACAGGGATGGGAGGGTCTTGATGAGGGAGCCTCATCAAGTGAGTGATGTGAAGTGCCACCTGCTGCAGGCCCCAGCTGTGGGACAGAGACGAGCAAGATAACTGTTGGCAGCAGTTTGGCATCTCGGGTGTGTGAGAAGGAAGGGGGTGTCGGGGAGGCTGGTGTGATGGAGCCCTGTGCTGTGTGTGGGAGTAGAAGGGGTGATGGCGTTCCCAAGTACAGGAGACCCTGCATTCCCCAGCACCCCAGCATACATAAGCCCTCCAGCCTTGGGCTGCTTTTCAGGCTAAATCGCCAAAGGACCCCAGTTTCTGCCAAGACAGGGATGCTCACTTCTTTCCTCCAGGGACACACTTAATGAATCAGTCCACTGGCCACCTGCGACCTGAGCCCCATCCTTAACTCCCCCCGCAGCCCCTCCACCCACCGCAGTCTCTCTAAACACCCCCCCAGAGCTCAGCCGGTCAAGGAGCCCGGAGACAATTTTCCTTCTTTTCCTTTCTTATTACCTCACTAGCTGGCTCCAAGGAGCTTGAGGAGGAAAAAGGGCATGGGGGCAGGGGTCTAAGTACACCTGGGTGAAAAGATAGGGGGAACAAGGACCCACCCACCCTGACTGAACCTTTCCAAGCCACATGTTTTATTAGTGTGCAGAGAGGCTGCGGGTTGGAGGAAGCTACTTTTGGAGGAGAGAACAAGAAGGGTTTGGGACAAGGGTCCTCTTCAAGGGTAGTTTAATCCCCAAGCCATGCGCCACGATCAGAGGGGTTAGAGATCCTCCCACACAGGAGGGCAGAGGGGGATTAGTGCTGGTTCAGGAGGAAGCAACTGCCATCTCTGCATGGTGCCCCCTCCTCACTGCACAGTCACCTCCAAGCAATGACTCCCCTTTTTTTTGTAGCGTAGCTTGCTGTTGTCACCACCTGCAGGGCCCTGGACGACCTTGACAGCCACACTGTTCTCCTTGAACCTCACTGAGAACCTGGAGAGGGAACAGAAAACCAAGTCTAGTGCCCATCCCCTCACCCCGACTCCCGCATTTCCATGATGGCCCCCCCATCATGCGAGTCAGAGGACTTGAGGCCCCAGAGAACCTGGGTGGGGGCCTGAGAAACACCTCCAAGCCCCGGCCTGCACTGCCCTACATGCTTCGCTTTCTGATCCTGGTCACGATGACCATCAGCCTGGCCATCTACCGTAAGCCGCCCCTCACCCCCAGTTCATGGCCTCACTTCTCAGTCACGGTGACTGTAAGCTGCCTCTGCGTGGCATCCAGCACAGCCCGGTACATTTTGGTCAGCAGTTCAATCACATGCTCGCTGACCAGCAGGAAGTCCCCCTTGGAGCCCACCGATGACATCTTAGGAAGAGGGAAAAATAGCAGGAAAGGGATTCATTTTTTCTCTTCAGGAGCACCTGAGGGACATCAAAGGCCCAGAGCGAAAGGTCTGGTCCCCATCACCTCCAGCCTGCCCCAGCCCTGGGATGCATACCACCTTCTCCAGTCCAAGGCTTGCCCCACCCAGCTCTGATACCTCACTCAGATGCAAGCTAAAGAGCCCATCCTTGAGGCTGGTGACTGACACCCCAGCCACATTGTCTAGCCCAATGACAATTTTGGCCTGGGACTTCTTGGTGTCTGTGAGAATCACATGGCCCTTGGTCAGGAGGAGAATCCGAGAAGAAGTCTAGGGACGGAACAGGCAAGGGTGAGGAAAGGCAGGATTAATTGCCCCCACTCCACCTGGCAGGGCGCAAACACAGCCTGCCATCTGCTCTCCAGATGCCAGCCCACAGCTCTGCACTAGCTGCGGGAGGAGTTCAGCCTGCAGGCCCTTACCTTGCCATTGCCACGATTGACCTTCTTCACGGCCTCTGCCATCAGAACAGGCCCCTCCTCCCCGCCTTTCAGCTTCTGCAGCTTGGGGTTCCCTTGCAGCCCAATGTAGTCACCACAGAATGGAATGGGGACACTGAGAACACATGGGAGGTGTGCAGCGCGACAAGGCCCAGAGGCCTCTTCCCCACCCCCAGAGTTCCCATCCTAGTCCTCCCGGGCCCTTCCCCCACATCCACGTATCCTCTGTCAGTGTCCACAGAGCACAGTCCAGGACCAAGACATCAGCACCACCTGGGGAGTTGTTAGAAAGGCAAATTTTGGTCCTCACCCCAAGACCTGCTGGATCAGAGACTCTGAGGAGGGACACAGCACCTGGGGGTGACAATCCTGCCAGGTGATTCTAAGGCACGCTCAAGTTTGAGAACTGCTGCGTGATGGAACTGGCTGTGCAGGGTCTGGGAGGCCCTCACCTCTGGGGATATGAAGCCTTCTTGCCCTTGAACAGTTCACTGGCACAGAGCTTTTCCCTCAGGATCTCTACCTGCTTCGGGGACAGCTGATCCCGGAACCTCTTGCACTGTGAGGAAGGAGGGACAGGAGCTAAAATCATAGAGTGGGAGGGCAGGGCTGGGGAGGGAGGTGAGAAATATTGACTAGAAGACACTAGGAGAGGAGAGAGACTGAGGAAAAAGGACAGGCACTAGACACCTCAGGGAGAGGCCGGGGCTGGAGGACCATTGAGGAGGAGTGCGAGAACTGAGGGAGGCTAGGGGAGGGAATGGACACCATCAAATAAAAGCACCAGGAGGGCTCTATGCTCAGCTCTCAGGGCAAGGCTTAGTCCCAGACAGGTGCTCAATAAGCATTTCCTGAATAAAAGAACAAATTACTTTATGCTAAGTGAAATAAGCCAGACACAAAAGGACAAATATGATTCCCACTTATATGAGGCACTTGGAAAAGTGAAATTCATAGAAACAGAAAGTAGATTATAAGATATCAGGGGCTAGGGGAATGGGAGAATAGGGGGTTATTGCTTAATGGGTACAGAGTTTCAGTTTGGGGTGATGAAAAACGCATATGGAGATGGATGGCAGTGATGGCTGCAGAACAACATGAATGTCGCTCATGCCACTGAACTATACACTTAAACACCGTTAAAATGGTAGATTGTATGTTATGTATATTTTACCACAATTTTTTTAATGGGAAAAAAATAGAAGAGGGAGGCAAAAGAGGAAAATCAGGGGGAGGGAAAAAAAAGACGAAATGAGAGGAGGGGTGCCTGGGCTCCACTTGCCTTCCACTGGTAGAAGAGCTGCTGCAGCTCCTGATTTGCTGTGCTGAGGCACTTGTAGGGGGCGGCTGGCCATGTCTTGTCTAAGACGTTTGTGGATGGCAAATTGTTCTTCAGCCCCAGTAGGAATTTCTGTACCTAGTTTGGGACCAGGGGGATTGGGAGTGGAGTGATAAGAAACACTTCCTGACAGGCAAACTGGCACCCAGATCCTGCCACTTCAAAGGAGGAAGTTAACCCACAGTGAGAAGCAAGGGGTGGAGCTGAAGAGATGGAAGGGAGTCACCTCTTGGATCTTTTTCAGCAAGAGGTGCAGGCTTGAGGCCGGGAGGTAAGAGCATGAATAGGAGACTGGAGGGAGAGAACGATTAGTTCCAACCAAAGACCTGCTACCCAGGGCAGTGAGGTAAGAGGAACCAATATGAAAGCTGGTCTCAAAGTTTTGCTCCTGTAGCTTTCTATTCCTTCTGTTCACAATTGCCTACAGGTGGCAGCCACTGTCTGTGTCAGCTGTTGGCTAGGTACCAAATTTCCCCTCCTCTCAAATCAGTCAAGTCCAAACATGTCAGCCTCCATTCAAAGGAAGAAGGAGCAAATAAAGGAGCAAAGGAGAAAGAGCAAATGAATTCAGGGAGACAATGAAGAGGCCCAGAGCTTCAGAGCCCCCATTCCTCTCTTAAGCTGAGGGATCCAGACCCTCGAACAACAAAGAGAGGCTGTAAGCAAATGTGTCTCATGTCTGAATGAGCAATAGTCAGGGTCCTAACCACGGTCAAAAATCCAATCAGCGGAGGTCAGTTACAATTTGCTCCAGCCTCTGTCCAAGATCCCATGCTCTTCCTCCTTCTCTCTGGCCTTTCCCAGGGTTTCACTGGAAGTGCTTTTCTCTCCTGGGTTTCCTCCCTGACACTTAAGAGCCCAGCCTCATGTCGCAGGACCCCTGCATTCCCTGGGCACACCACCCGGACAGGACTCTTTCCCATGCCCCTACCCAGCCCATGCATGATCACTGTGTGCCTTAGCTCTCGATGCTCTCTTGACTCAACTCTGCCAACCTGGGAGATCAGCTCAAAGCCCTCCCTGATTCCCCAAGCCCCGGATTGCCTCTCCTTTCTTTGAAGCCCCATAGCAATTTGCCTACACTCGTCTTTGTACTACAGTTATTTGCATGGAAAACAGCTCCCTTTTCTAGACACTGAGTCCTTATAAGGCAGGATCCCAGGTCTCACATTTTTTTTCACTAGTCAACATTTATTGAGTGTCTACTTAGTGCCTGGAACTGTTCTAGGTACTGGGACATAACAGTGAACAAAGTCTTCATTTTCACTGGACTTACATTCTACTGTAGGGTGGAGAAGGGGACCAACTACACAAGCAAATAAATATATAGTGTGATGTCAGATAATGGCATCTGCTGTGATGCAAAGAAGTAGACCCTGAGGCAGGAATGAGTGGCAGCATATTCCAGAGACATTAAAAAGCCAGGGTGAGCAAAAATTAGCTGGGCATGGTGGCGCATGCCTGTAATCCCAGCTACTCTAGAGGTTGAGACAGGAGAATCGCTTGAACCCGGGAGGTGGAGGTTGCAGTGAGCCAAGATCGCACCACTGCACTCCAGCTTGGGTGACAGAGCAAGACTGTCTAAAAAAGAAGAAAAAAAAAGGGTGGCCAGAATCACTTGAGCAGGAAGAGAGAGGATCAGAGAGTAGGTCGGGGCAGATCATGATGGGCCTTGTAGGCTGTGGTAAGGAGTGAAATGGAACACCATTGGAGAATTTATACAGAAGAATAGCATAATATGATGTTTTAAAAATTCAATATAGCTTATTATTTTGAAAGTTTTTTTAACTTACAGAAAAGTTGAAAAAAGATACAATTAACATCTGTATACTGTATGTTCCTCATCTAAATGCACCAACTGATAATGTTAACACCTTGCACTATCTGTGTGCTCTGACACACACACATATGTGTGCATATAAATACATGCATATACACATTTACACAAATCCTTGCTACCCTACCATCCTAAAGTAGGTTATAGATATCATGACATTTTACCCTAAAATGTCAGCATGCCTCTCCCAAGAACTGGAACATTCTCTTACACAATCATAACTCCATCACCACACCTAAGAAAATCAACATCACTAATCCAACAGCGATCCACTCTCAGATTTCTCTACATGTCCTTTATAAACTTCTAAACATGTCCTTTGAAGCTTTATTTTTCCTTTTCCAGGATCCAATCAAGCTTCATCCATGGCAACTGACTCTTTAGTCTGCCCCAATCTAGAACAAGGATTCTTAAGTTTTTGTTTTTGCCTCTTTTTTTGAGACAGGGTTTTGCTCTGTCGCCCAGGCTGGAGTGCAGTGCCACCATCACAGCTCACTGCAGCCTTGCCCGCCTCCTGGGCTCAAGCGATCCTCCCACCTCAGCCTTCCAAGTAGCTGGGACTACAGGTATGAGCCACCACACCCACCTAATTTTTAAATTTTTTTTGTAGAGTCTAGGTCTCACTATGTTGCCCAGACTGGTCACAAATTCCTGGGCTCAAGCAATATTCCCGCCTCAGCCTCCCAAAGTGCTAGGATTACAGGAGTGAGTCACCTTGCCTGGCCAAGGTTTTACATCCCATAGAGCACCTAGCAACCTGTTTGTTTATGGCACAGAATTACTGAAGATATAAAAAATGACTTGATTTTTGGCACTTCCAAATGTCTGGAATTTTTATGAAAAAGTTTTACTAAGATATCAGGTTAAAAAATTTAAATAGAAAGAGGCAGAATACATAGTATATTGCTGTTAACTGCAGGAACTATCCAAGCTCATTGTAGCTTCCACTGCAGGTCTAGTGGGTTTGGTGGGTTTGGGATCTGGGCCTGTGAAGGCCTCCAAGACTGGAGTCCCCAGTCCCTAGTCTGATTTTATTTATTAATAATTCAACAAACATGCCTAAGCATCTGTCATAATCCCCTTTGTTCCAATTAATGTGGAGCCTCTGAAGGCTTTCTTCTTTTTATTGTTTGTTCTAGAACTAGAAAGTTCTGCCCTTTCCTATGCAGCCCTCCTGCCCCCAGGTCTGCCTAGGGCCATGGGTTGCCCAAGCCTCTATTGATGAGGGGCAGTCTTAGGCAGTGGTTAAAAGCTCTAGAGTCAAATAGTTTGTAACCCAGCTTTACCACTTACAGCTGTGGAACCCCCGGCAAGTTATTTAACCTCTCTGAGCCTTGGCTTTTTAACTACAAAATGGGAGAAAGAAAAGAGCCTACCTCACAGGGTTATTGAAAGTATTAGAGTTAATGCATGTAAAGAGCTTAATGCATAGTAGATGTTCAAAAGATAATGGGTAAGGCCGGGTGCAGTGGCTCACACCTGTAATCCTAGCACTTTGGGAGGCCAAGGCGAGTGAATCACTTGAGCTCAGGAGTTTGAGACCAGCCTGGGCAACATGGTGAAACCACATCTTTACCAAAAATATAAAAAATTAGCCAGGCGTGGTGGCATGTGCCTGTGGTCTCAGCTACTGGGAAGGCCGAGGCTGAAGGATGGCTTGAGCCCGGGAGATGGAGGTTGCAGTGAGCCGAGATCATGCTTGCTGCATTCCAGCCTGGGCGAGAGAGCAAGATTCCATCTCAAAAAAGAAATAGGCTGGGCGCAGTGGCTCACACCTGTAATCCTAGCACTTTGGGAGGCCGAGATGGGCGGGTCACTTGAGGTCAGGAGTTCAAGACCAGCCTGGCCAACATGGTGAAACTCTGTCTCTACTAAAAATACAAAAATTAGCTGGGCATGGTGGCGCATGCCTGTAATCCCAGCTCAGGAGGCTGAGGCAGGATAATCACTTGAACCTGGGAGGCGGAGGTTGCAGTGAGCTGAGATCGCGCCATTGTACTCCAGCCTGGGTGACAAGAGTGAAACTCTGTCTCAAAAAATAAATAAATAAATAAATAAAAATTAAAAAAATGAGAATGGATACTAGCATTAGTTACAGTCAAGGCAGTGGCAAACTGGAATACTCAGAAACACTGGGGGAATCAGTGCCCAGTGCCCGCAGGCTTCTGTGGGGGTGTGATTTATTGAGACCCTGGTCTAAACCCAGCAGCTTCTGGGTTGACAATTAGTAGCTGCCTGACAATACACAGATGAAAGAAAAGGAAGAAGAAGGGCAGTCAGGAGATAACAGCAAAATCAGATTACAGGTCTCAGGTGTGTAGCAAGAAGCATGTATGGTGGGAAGGCAGACACTCTGGCACCAGCACAAGAGGTGATCAGGCAACTGAAGAGACCTGGAAGATGGAACTTCCCTGGGAAGGGGAAGAGGACGAGCAAATGAAGGCTCAGGAAGGCAAAAAAGAGGTCCAGAGCTTCAGAGCCCCCATTCCTCTCTTGAGCTGAGGGATCCAGACTCTCAAACAACAAAGAGGGGCTGCAAGCAAACATGTCTTATGTCTGAATGAGCACAGTCAGGGTCCTAACTATGGTCAAAAACCCAATCAGCGGAGGTCAATTACCAATTTGCTCCAGCCTCTGTCCAAGATCCCATGCTCTTCCTCCTTCTCTCTGGCCTTTCCCAAGGTTTCATTGGAAGTGCTTCTCCCTCCCTGGTTTCCTCCCTGACACTTCTCAGAAGCACTATTGCTATCTGACTGAAGTCTCCAGAAGTTACTCTTCTCTGTCCCTGTTTTTCTCCCCCTGGGAGCTGTCTGTAAGTTTGAATATGTAGGCCTTCCAGGTGGGTCTTCCCATCCAGCCTGACCCACGTCCTCCAGAATTAGGATAGGTCCTTCCTGAGATTTACTTTCTGACTTGCTGACAATAGTTTCAGAGGAAGTAGAAGGAAGATACAATTCGCCTACTCTCACCCCAACCCTAAAATGGATCTTGGGAGGTTGAGCTAGTTAATGTGTGGATCACTCTACTCTTCAATGAGGCTTAGCCTCTTCAACAGTTGTTAAACATCCAGCCCCAGGATCTTCACAAGGCTATTTGACCATAGACCAGATGGTGGGTGTGCTGAGACCCCTTCCTGCCACAAGGTTGCCTGGATTGTCCACTCATGCCAAAATGCTATCTGATTCTGCCCCCGAGTCCAAGGCACTGGGGCCTGGTCCCTGCAGGTAGCTGCCCTCTTCTCCTAGGACTTAAGTACATGCAGACTGAGGAAACTCTTGGGGGAAAGCTTTGGGTTGCCTCTTCTCAAACCCCTCTCCCAAACCTGTGCCTCCCTGCTCCATCCCTAACATCCACCCTAACCCCTACCACTTACCATGCTCTTGTAGATGAAATCTGCCAAGGTGAGGGCAGCCTCTGACCGGAAATATTTGCGATAATTCTTTCGGGCCTGGCAGAAAAGTACAAGAAAGGAGCCAAAGTGAAGATAGGCAGATTCTAGAAGAGGTTGTACTATTTTTCAACCACGCAAAGACCTGAGTAAGATAAAGAGCTGAGACTGTAGCTGGAAGTTGGAAGTAAAATCAGACAAGTTGGCAGTGAGGACACTTAGAGCAGAAGGCAAAGTTCTGCTGCCAAGTTAGGCATCTACCCACCCAGACACCTCTACAGGTCTCCCCTACAGGCCTCTCACTCCCAGACACCCACCCACACATGGACCGGCTGATACACAGAGGTGCGGCCTGGGTGCAGGCAGGACTAGCTCTCTGCTGCTCTAGCCAGCAGGTGACACAATCCAGGAGAAACAATGTGAGGAAACCTCTCTTCCACTCTCCATTACCTTCCACCCTCTCACAAAAGCCTGGATCAATAACACGGATGCCTTTATCTTCCCATAGCATTTCTTTTGCTGTAGAAAACATAGGAGTTGTTAGAAAAATGGCACCTCCTGAGCCACCTTCCATCTTCCCTATTAGAGTGAACAGAGTGGGACTTTGGGGATGACCGTACCATGTTTCCCCGAAACCAAGAGGAGATGAGGATCTGACTCTTTCGCATCAGTTGGTAGTGGGTGCGGCAGCGCCAGCCTCGGTAAATCTTCTGTATGAGTGTGGCCAGCTGCTGGAGTCTCAGGCGCCTCTGTTCTTCGAGGTAGAAAAGCTGTGGAGAGGTGGAAGGGGGTGACAGAGAGACTGGCTCAGGGGAACAGTGCTGTCCTCTCCTATACCCCACAGTACTGAGGCTTCCCAGCCAGGCCTTATTTGATCATTCCTTTGTCTTCTTAGTTTGCTCATTTATTCATTCAGTAAACAAGTATCTACTTAACTCTAACTTTGTAGCAGGCAGTAAGCTAGAAGTTGATCACCCCAACCCTCAAGGGCTCTGCCTCAGGCAAAGGCACTTAGAGCCATGCAGCACCAAGCTCCCCAGGCTCAGGGCAGTGTAGGAACCCAAGAGTTCAATTCCCAGGGATACGGTTCCTGCAGACAGGAAGCTTCCCATCCACTGGACAGTGATCCATTCCAGGTTATACACGCTCCCTCCCCCTCCAGCCTTTCTCAGGTGGGCTCTTCCACCTTCTACCCTCACCAAATGCTAATGCACTCTCTAACTCACAGTCTTGGGGCTTCTAATGAAGATCTTTGTCTTGCCAAAGGCCAGCTCCCCCGAGGACATGCTCAGCTCCCCCAGGACCTTCTCAACACCTTCCCTATGGAAGCAAATGACAGAAAGCTGCAGAGGGGTATCTCAGGAGAAAGTCCTCTTCCACCTTTCCCCTAATCCTTTCAGCCTCCAAGAAGTGATCATTCAATTCATTTCTCAAAGTATCCATTCACCCAGCTTCAGCAGATGTGCACTGCACCTCCAGGTCTCTTCCCCCAGAGATGTTTCCTGCACTGCCCTTTCCTGATGCCCAGTCTCCCCATGGGGTCTTACCGGTCTCCCCCATTCCAGTGAGGCCAGGTGCTCCGGCTCAGCAATCGGTACCTTTCCAGGAAGGGCCCATAACCCTGGCGGTGGGCATAGCCTGCCCGTCGCACCCGTACGTTCTCCAGCAGTCCCAGGTACCGAGCCTGGGTTGCCACCAGGTCTGAAGAGAACTGACCTCGCTGCTGATGCTCATTGGGCTTTATGCACCTGGTGGGAGGTGGGGTAAGGCACAGCCTTCAGGAGCTGACATCATTGCCAGTGTAACCCATCATATTCCCCTATGCTGCACACGGTGCACTTCACTGAAAAGTTTCAAAGAAAGTAGACACACTGGCCTCCCCAGTTTCACTCACTTCTATGTATTCCCTATCGAATCTGATGCTCTCCCCCTGTGGGACTCTCAGCTCCTTATCTGACTGTTTTCTGTGAGGAAAGGACCTCTGACATCCTTATTCCAGAAGCACCCCCACATGGACGTGTTCTACAGCGCATGGACCCTGCACGTGCCATCACATATGTAGCATGTTCCCCTGCATGCCAGCATGTCACCTGATGTAGTTGGGGCTCTTGGAATACAGATTCTTCATGAGGATGGCCACAGAACTCTTGAACTGGGCCCCAGCAGTCGGGGGGCGTTTGAGAGATGCCTGCTTAGGATTGCCCTCAGGAAACAAGGACCGAAGGAGGGGGTGCTGGGCCTTCCACATGGCCTGCAACAGGTCTCGGAAGAGTAGGTCATTATTCTTGTCAATAAAGCTGGTCACGTTGTATGTCACCTGTAAAGGAGCAGCTATTGGTTTGGAGACCCCACAACCTTGTCCCAGCACTTGGCCCTCCCAGTCTCATTGTGAAGTATTCCAGACTCTCACCTTCCCCGGGTTCCTCCCCCATTGACTTCAGTCTGGGCCTGAGCCCTAATCTCTGCCCTCCAGCCCTGCCATTTCACCTTGCCCGCATAGTGGCAGATGCGGAAGCAGCTGAGGCCCATGGTGTGGTCATACTGACGCTGGGCATTCTGGGTGACTTTGCTCTCGTAGTGGCCATGCTTGGAGAAGAGCTGGTTCAGCTTTGCTAGGAAAGTGGAGTCACTGACCACCCCAGGCCGCAGGCACTCCTCATCCAACATGGCCAGGATACCTCGCTGATTCTGGGCCGGGGGAACAAAAGAAGCCCAACCTAAATCTGGTCCTCCGAGATGTCCACGTTCTCATTGCTGCCCCCTTTCTCCACTCTTATCTTCTGCCCTCTTTACTGTCCCTACCAAGTGGGGAATCAGGGAGAGAGACAGGGGAAGGATGTTCAGGCAGTCTGGAAGGGGAAGTCCCACAGATAAGAGAATGACAACTCACATGCTCAATGAGCTTACAAATGATGCCATTATCAAAGTAGTCCACCTTTGTCCACGGTATGCCCTGGTCAGGGGAGACAACAAATTACAGGGAACACGTCCAAGACAAGCCTCCAGAGACCTCACCAGATCTAGCCTTTCACCCACCCAACAAAGGACATCAGAAAGCCCCATAGTTCACAGGGGTCCTTGGTATGATTTCTATTTATGTCCCCATCCCTCCAAGGTTGGTGGAGAATTTGTGGGGTGGGTAGACAGACACACGGAAGGAATTGGAGCAGCTGTGAGAGAGGGTGAGACAATGCAGAGATCCCTGTAGGTGGTGTAGGGTGGAGAGGGAAGTGTAACATGTTGAGTGAAGATTAGGATAGAGATTTCCTGTGTGGGAGTGGGGAAGGATCCATGCGTATGTGCAACAGCGGCCACACTACTCTGTGCTCTATAAAACCACAGCACGTGAGAGTTTATCATCAAACAACAAGGCTAATTTGATACATCTTCAAAGATCTACATCAGTGATTCTCAAATTTGAGTGTGCAGCACAACCACCTGGAGGGCTGTTAAAATACAGATTTCTGGGTCCCACTCCCCAAGTTTCTGATTCAACAGGTCTGGGATGTGGGCCTGGAATCTGCATTTCCAACATGTTTCCAGGTGATTTTGATACTGCTGGTCCAGGACTACCCTTTAGGAACCACTTTATCTACATGAGACTTTGAGACTATATAATGTTTTGAAAAGCAAGAATGGTACAAAAGCAGAAGACCCAAAGATAATCGTTCTCTACTTTGGGGACTTGCTGGGCATCAGGCCTACAGACAGGATAGCTCCTGATCCCACCCAAGGGTCAGACGCTCCAGGCTGGGACATTCTCAGGTATGGCTGGGAAGCATAGGTCTTTCTTTCCTCCCTCTATCACAGGTCTTTAAAGAAAACAAAATTAAATTAAGTTGCCTCCCACTTCATCCCCCAAATACCTTCCCCAACCAGTTAAAGGAATTATGATATTCTTAAAATACTGTGTTGCTGTAAAAAAGCATCCTTACATACTGACATGGAAAGATCTCGTTACGTGATGACAATAAGGTACAGAACAGAGTGTATTTACTGCCATTTGTATAGATTTTGTGGGGAAATATATTTACAAATTTGCTTGCATATGCGTAAGGACTTCTGGAAGGAAGCCCATGTTGGTTGCCTCTGGGTGGGGAGGAGAACTAGGAGGCTAGGGGCAGAAGTAGGAGGGAAACTTTCCTTATATACTTTCTAAGCTTTTTGAATTTTGAAGCATGGGAATGTATTATGTATCTGATCATTTAAATCGTTAAAATTAAAACATACAAAACAACTAAAAAAACTTTTTCACACATTGTGACCACATTGCCTGAAATTCTGTTATAACCTATTCCTGAGAGCTCACAAGGGAACATCCCTGGGAGGGTTTTGATGAGTGAGACTCTCAGCCATTCACACTTTGAAGGTAATGAGCTCAATCAGAGAGCTTTTCTAACACTTAGCCATAGAAATTGGAGCCATGGGGTACTTCTGGTGAGGAAGTCTGGGATCATGGTGTTACAAGAAAGGACAGCAACTCTAGCTAGGGCCCGGGGGAGACCAAGGACTCTGAGATGTTAGAGAAGGGCATAGAAAGAGATGTGGTTGGGCCAAACCCAGAAGAAATGTCCTTTTTATATTTGGCTCACAGTCTGCCATAGGCCAAGCACAGCTGTCACTTCCCTCTTGTCAGGACTTTCCACACATGTACCCTGGGAGGCCAGGGAAATGAAGAATGGAGAGCAGAGGATTAGGGCTACTTGGTAATGCTGGAATGATCTACTATGCAAGGGAAACATTTTGTCCTCTGTGTTCACATCTGGGGACGATGTAGAGGAAATTGTGATCAAGGAGAAAGGAAGCTCTGGCATATGCCTAGAAGTTGTTTAAGAGGGGGAAGTAGAAAAGACTTGGTTTACTTCTCTCTTATATTCCTCTTGCTCTTCTTTCAGGGTCATCTCTATGAACACCTGCTGCAGCTTCTCATTGCAGTAGTTGATCACAAATTGCTCAAAGCTATTATCCTGAGAGAGGGAGCACAGGTTAGAGAGCTCACTCCAAGACTGTTTCTCCGTCTCAGTCCTACCTCCCCTCCCTCACATCCCCCCTGTGAGCCTGTCCACCTCTAATCCTAGGGGAGCAGGGTGCTGAGGTGAGGCACTCTCACCTCTAATATCTCAAAACCGTAGATATCAAGGACTCCCATTACCTTCTTCTTTTCCCCGATGCCCACCTGAAGAGGAGAGAAAGATAAATCTGAGGACAGGCCCCCTCTGCACACCAGGCCAGGTCCTTCTGGAGCGGATGGGGTTGGAGTAGGGGGCAAACAGAACTAGCAAGAGCTTTGCCAAACTGGAAAGGAATTGTTGTGATTTTACTCTCCCTCCTCCACACACTAGAGAACAAGCAAAGAGGGAGGAAAGGAGGAAAAGGAAGATACAGATAGATTCCAGGATGGTGCTCCGATGGTACCAGGTAGAAAGACAATAAAACCTCTCAGGACAATAACCATCTCTTATATTTGTAGAGCATTTTACAAAAGATTCCATGTCTTTATTTATCATAACCTTATAAGGTATTATTGTTCCCATTTTACAGATAACAAAGTCAAATTTCAGAAGGATAGGTACTTACCAAGCCTAGACTCAAATTCCTTCTTATTCTACTACCTTTCAGTAATAGCTTCTAAATAGATGGCACTTCCATGTGGATAATTTGTTAATAACAGCTTTACTGAATATAATTCACATACCATGTACAATTCAGTGGCTTTTTAGTATATTCAAAAGGTTGTACAACCATCACCACTATCTAATTTCAGAACATTTTCACCACCCCACAAAAGAAATCCTATACCCATTATTAGTCACTCCCCATACCCCTCTCCCCCCAGCCCTTGGCATTCATTGATCTACTTCCCATCTCTATGAATTTGCCTATTGTGGACATTTCATATGAATGGAATCAAACAAAATGTGGTCTTTTGTGACTACCTTCTTTCACTCAGCATAATGTTTTCCAGGCTCATCAATCTTGAAGCATGTATCAGTACTTCATTCTTTTTATGGACAAATAACATTCTTTTGTACAGATATACCACATTTTGTTTATCTCTTCATCAGTTGATGGACATTTGGGCTGTTTCTACTTTTTGGCTATTACAAATAAGGCTTCTGTGAACATTTGTGCACAAATTTTAGTGAGGACATCTAATTTCAGTTCTCTTGGGTATATACCTAGGAGTGGGAATTGTGGTATCATATGGTAACTATTTACATAATTTATCTGATCCTTATTAAACCCTGTGAAGCAGGTAGGAATGCATTAGTGTTTCTTAAATAGTTTTTTATTTAACTTATTTTTTTTCATAAAATATAGAGTTGGGGTCTCACTATATTGCCCAGACTGGTCTTGAACTACTGAGCTCAAGTGATCCTCCCACCTCAGCCTCCCAAAGTCCTGGGATTACAGGCATGGACCACCACACCCAGCATATTAGTGTTTCTTAGTGGGCATTTCCAAATCAGGACACTGAGGCCCAGAACCTTTGTGAAATTGAAAGTCCACATGACTTTTTACTTAATTGAAAGTCCACATGACTTTGAATTAAGTAAGTAGATGATATATCCAGATTGTCTAACTCAAAAGCCAGTGATGTTTCCATGACAACACACTGTTAGAAGGAACTGTACCCTCCCCATCATCCTCCCTACTCTGCTCATCTCAGAAACCAAGATATAGGGCTGGTGACAGGGCAGGAAGGTGAGGCAGACAGGAGAGCATGGAGAAAGCAGAGCGGCCACTTGCCTTGATGCTCTCATTGATTCGATTCACTATCCAGTCAAAGAGGCGGCTGTAGATGTTCTTAGCCAGGGCGTCCCGAGCATACTGAGCCTGTGGGTGAGGCACAGCTGATTAGGGTGGCATCACAGAACAGGGTCGAAACAGCCCCCTCCACTCCAGTGAGCTCCTTACCTGCATAACATTCAGTGCAGTGACCACCTTTTCCTTGGCTGTTTCCATGGTCCTCGAGCACAAAGCTCTCTCTACTTCTTCTGAATTCAAGCCCACCATCTCCCCAATCTCCCGAACACCTGGGATAATGAGAAAGTACAGCATGTCCTTAGAGGCAGCTTTCTCTCAGGGGAGGGAGTGCAATCTGATAAGTGAAACTGCCTGAGACACTGGTGTCCTGGGGTCTCACTGGAGAAGTCATTGCAGCCAACCCAGAACATGGCCCTGGAGGAATCTCAGGGAGTTGGGGGACAGAAGAAAGGGGATCTGGGCATTTTGCATGTATCATCTACTTTAATATGAGAATCTCCTGAATTAGGTGTGATTATCCCCATTCTGCAGAAGAATCAACTCAGACTCAGAGAATTTCCAGACCTAGATATATCAAATTTCAAAAGCTCATTCCAATATGCTTCATCGGGAGTTCTCAGTGAGTCTGTTTAGGGGAGAACTCAGGAGTGGGCTGAGTGGGACTGCATCAGGGTGAGATCAATTATGCTAGAGATGGTAGAAGGACACGACTTGTAGTAGGAAATTCAGGGTCTGGGTAGGAGCTCCAGCAGGCTGGGATGCAGACCTCTCCCATCACGGATGCCACTTGCTGGTATCCCACTGGCCTGGAACTCATCAGCCACCAACACGTTCCCCAGCTTTAGCACCATGGATGTCACCTCTAGCACTTGTCGAATCTCCTCCTCCGAGAACCCAATCACTGCCATTGCACTCTTAGGCAGAAAGCAGAAATCAAAAGCTGAACTGTTGGTGCCAGTCCAATGCGAATAGAGGATGACCTAAGGGCCCAAGCCTGCCTCACCCTGGGCACCCACCTGTACAGCCCTGAAGCTGGAGGCGTCGTCCATGCCATCCACTCTGGATACTTCATGATTCAGATAGGCATAGCCAGTTGTATCCCGCTCAAGCTTCAGGGCCTCTGGGAGGGCCAGTGTTGGGGAAGATGGTTAGTACCCAGGCTCTCTGGAGCCCTCCAGCCTTGACACCTCACAGCCCTTGCCCTAATGGATTCATTCACTTATCCAAAGGAGTCATTTTTGTTTTGGGTTCTTCCCCTGCCTCCTTTGTTTTGGGATCATTAATTCCTGTGATGATAGACTAATTTTTGTTGTTGTTGAGACAGGGTCTCACTCTGTCACACAGGCTGGAGGGCAGTGGTGCGATCTCAGCTCACTGCAAGCACCACCTCCCAGGTTCAAGTGATTCTCATGCCTCAGCCTCCTGTGTAGCTGGGACTATGGGTGCATGCCACCACGCCTGGCTAATTTTGGTATTTTTAGTAGAGATGGGGTTTCTCTATGTTGGCCAGGCTGGTCTTGACTCCTGCACTCAAGCAATCCACCCGCCTCGGCCTCTCAAAGTGCTGGGATTACAGGCATGAGTCACTCGGCCTAACAGACTAAATTTTTAAGTATACTTTTAAGTAGTGTTTAGGGTTTTGATGCTCATATTGATTGGGTTTTCCCCCAACTTTTATGAAACAAAACCCTCATTTTACTCTTCTCCCTACCCTCAGGGTTCTAAACAATAAAAATAAACAAGCAACCCTTCCATCCTACGCAGGTGCCTCTGGACGGTGAAGGTAAGGGGAGAAGGGTAAGCGCATATCTCCTGCCTGCCCCCAGCCTCAACTCTTGGCGTGGGTTGCTCATTCATTGTTTGAACACCAAACACCAATAAAGTGGCAGGTAGCATGTTCCCTGACCCTGACACCTCTTCTGAAAAGTTTTCTCTGATGCTGAGGGCCTGAGCCAAATGGCTGTCTTGCATTCCCCACTGGTGAATCTATATCCCAGCCCATATCATATGGGCTAGGTTTTGTTTTTTTCTGTCTCTCCCATAAATGAGCAACTTGTGGGTTGGGACTGTGTTTCTCATCTCCATATTCTGTGTGCCTTTCTGGCATGCAGGAAATTTTCTCTTTTTAATAAATGAATCAAGTGAATGATCAAAGCTGTTTCCCTAGGATGGGAGGGATTCGGTTAATCATGGAGTTTGAGGGATGTCAATTATCTGGTATGCAAATGATCTGAGAATCAGGGAGTATCCCTCAAACTATAGTCTAATGGCAGCTCCCCCAGCACACAAAGTTTGAAACAAGGGCCTGCTAAGGAGGGTATCTGGAGGGAGAATGAGTCAGAATGTCTGGGGATGATGATACCTGGGAGACCTCATCTAGAGTTGATTTAAACCAATAGATGACAGACCAACCAGAACAAGACACTAATGCCCATGATGCAGACAAGTTGAACATAACCAAAACTATTAAGCCAGGAAAGAGCATGAGATCTGCAGGGGTTCCTGAAGATCACAGAGATCTCCAAGAGTGGAAAAGGAGATAGCACAGGTCTATCATAGAATCACCAGAAACCAAAGAGACATTCTTAGGGGCCAGACACCCACGGTGCTCACAGCCAGAGAGGAGATTGGGAGGCAAACTCCAGTAGGGCTTAAAGTCCACCAGACACTCCAGTGATGCCCACCCAGAGCCACTTCAGGCCAGTCCAGCATCCAGGCTGTGATGGACCCTTCCCCAGGCCAAGCCAAGGGGCTCTAGGTCTTCTGCTCTTATAGCCAGCTGCACAGGCCTGATGGCCCCGATCACACAATATTACAATGGATCTGCTCACACACCTCTTATCCCTAGAAGACTATAAGTTCTTCGAGGACAGGGTCATGTCTTACTCAACTCTGTATCCCTAGAGGCTAGCATAATATTTGATCATAGGTGTTCAAGAGATGTTGAATGAATGAATAAATGAATGAGTGAATGAATGAATGAAAAGAAAATCAGGAACAGGGTCCTAGGTAAGGCAGATGTAGACCCAGGACAGCTTCAACTAGAGTTCACTGAAAGTTCCTGAACACTTACAACATTCTGCCTGCTTCCCTGCTTTAATTAAATCCCCTTAAGTTGAAGGTAGGAAGGAAAGTAGATGGATATAAGTGTTTTATATTTGAAGCCAGCTCAGGGAAAGCAGAACCCAGGCAGGAAAGAGGAACGAGAACAGTGAAGAGGCAAGAAGGCATATCCCTGGCAATAAAACCCCAGAAAAGGAAGAGAACACAGGGGTAAAGGAATTTGTTCCCAACAATGAGTGGGTGAGGCTGAGAATGGGAAATGCAGCAAGGAAAATCTGGGAGGCTCAAGGGAAGAGGGCTGTAGGGGCCCAGAGGGAACAGGGGTTCTGGGACTGAATGGAGGTTGGGGACTTTGCCATGTGTCACTCATGAGGACACTTTCCCCATGCAGGCACATACTCAGCAGCTGTTCATCTGCTCCAGCCAGCAGCTGATAGAAGATGTGGAAGTTCCTTTCTCCTTTGAGCTGCTTCACTAATCGGGATTTCTCAAGCAGATCTGGCAGAGAATTAGAAAAATAATATCCTGAGGGCCTGGGAGATGCCGTAGCTTCTCCAGCCCTACTGGAGAATGCCCCCATCGCCGGCATTCCTAGTGGTTGGGAAGTCTCCTTGACGTCTAACATTCTGCCTTTCTACAGGAACAGATTAGCAGAAAGGGCCATGGGAGGCAGGTGGAAGACAGGTGAGTGGAATTGGGGAGACACGTACAGTTTGTGATGACACCACCGAGGGGGGATCCCTTGAAGTCAAATTCAATATCCATGTATTTTCCCTTCAGAGAGAGACCAGAGAGAGAGACTTAGCTTCTTCCTCTTCTCACCACCCTGCCTGGAAGGGGTCTGTGCCACATTCCTCCCTCTTAAGCCCCCACATCCTCTCTTCCCAGGTGGGGAGACATTTACTCACAAATCGGGAGGAATTGTTGTTGCGAATGGTCTTGGCATTGCCAAAAGCTACAGAGATGAGGAGGGGAGAAGTGAAACTCTAGAGAAGGGAAAGGAGGAAGGGCTTCCAGTCCTCATGACAATCTCAGATTTTTCTGGGTCGAACAAGAGAGGTGATTTTGCAGCACTGGGGAAGAGGGTCTAGGGCTCAGTGATTCTGGGGGTTAGATGGAGGGTGGAGAGGGCAGAGAGCAGAATTCTCACCCTCCAGCACTGGGTTAGACTGTAGCAGCTGCTCCTTCACAGAGTTCACCTGCTCTCCTTTCCCACAGACGGCAGCCACATAAGACATCACCAGCTTGCTGGCCTCTGTGCAGGCAAAACGCTCTCATGGGTCCCCACCCAGGACTAGCCCATCCCCCCACCTCCTTAACTTGCTTCACCCCAGTGCCTCACCACCCCTTGGAGTCAGAAAAAGTGGAAAGGAAGTTCTGTGGGGTGGAGGGTCAGGTCTAGGTCTGGCTTGCAAAGAGACAAGGAAGCAGTTCCAGAGGTGACTCCATGTGTTCCCCCAGCCAGGGGCCTCACCAGTCTTCCCTGATCCACTCTCGCCTGTGATGAGGATACACTGGTCTCGGTCCCTGTCCCTCAGTGACTGGTACGCCACATTTGCCAATGCGTAGCTTGTGGGGAGGAAGTGGGCAATGACTATTGTGAAACCAGTTCAAGACACCATCTTTCACTCAATCTCCAGCACGCAGGTTCATCCACTCTCTCTACTTGGAGCAGACTGGGCAAGATGTGACAGGCCTTGGAAGGGGCCTCCAGAAGGCCAGGGAAGGAAGGGGCAGCTGGAGAAGCCCCTTCAGGGGAAGGGACAAAGGAAATTAGGATGACTCAGTGTCAAGAAGCTGGGGCCCTGTCAGCCTTCCCTTGGTCCCCCTACTCACATATGGGGCTTCAGCTCATAGAAAGTATAGTCTTGATATTTGGCAATGAACTCTGGCCCATAGATGGGAAGCTGTTGATAGGGATTCACTGAGATCACCACATTCCCAATGTAGGTCTGGAGCCAGGAAGAAGGTGAAGGGAATGAGCTTGAGGGTGAGGTGGGAGCCTGTGACCTCTCCAGCCACATATCCACAGCCAGAGGCACCCATATGACACTCACATAAATCTCCTTGTTTTCATAGCGAAGCTGAAGATTCTTGAGCAGTGACTCCTCCACCAAGGGTTCCAGGAGGACAAGATCCTCCACCCCCACAGAACCTTCCAGGAGAGGCATGTCCAGAGGGGCCACTGATCCTGGGAATAAGAGGCACAGTTTGCTGATGTCCACTCAGCTTTAGGGGCCAGTAACTGTTTGAGGGGAGGATGGCAGAAGGACCAAAAGAGCCTTCCTCTCTTCCTACCCTGGCCCTAAAGAGAGCCCCCAACCTAGGAGAGGCCTCTGGACCAGCCCAAGCTAATAGGGAGGCTGAAACTCTCAGCAGGAGGTGGGGGAGATCCTCTGCTGCCTGGGTTACAGTTGGTGGGGGTGGGGCAGGGGTGGAACAGGAACACCTTCCTCTGACCACCAGGGGAAGGCAGGCACCCAGTGGGCTACAACTGGGGGAGCAGAGTTGTGACTGAAGGAGAGAGGGCTGAGGAGGAAAGTGTAAGCAAAGACTTGTGCTGCCGCCAGGTACAGAAAGCCCTCTCTCTCCTACAATGGGCCCTGGCCAGGGTCCAGACTCCCCATCTACCCCCAGTGCTTCTTCTCAACACCTTACCTCTCACAGCCCCTATTAAAGACACCCAACCTACCCATAACCATTTCAGAAGTTCTTCCAAAGGTCTCTCCTTCCCTGTCATTGCTACAGTGAGCTTCATTTTTAAAATGGGAACTTGACAAGGCAGAATTATAGAGGATAGAGGCAGGATTCCTCCATAAGAGATTGGAATTTCCCAAAGAAAATGAAAGTGGGGTTTGCTTCCCCAACAAACAGGCAGTTGTCAGGACCTCTGGATGTGCTACATGTCTGTCTCTATTTTTCCATCTCTAGCTTTTACACCCACTCCTGTAAACTTCTGGCATGGACTTTGCCCCAGAGGGACACACCTAGCTTCTTGCGGGAGTGGGCAAGGAGGAGCACAGTTGGAACTACAGGGAGGGTGGTGGGGCTTGGCCCCCATGCAGTAGGCACATGGCAGGTGTTCCCTAAGGAGGAAACCTGGCCCTCCTCAGTCTTTCCTGTGAGACTGAGTAGGCAGAGTGGCCAGGCACAGGACAGGATTATTAGTACAATGGTCAAGGCCACTCCTGAACAGGAATGAAAGAGACACATCCTCCTATGCTATTGCATCTCTGAACCCGGGTGGAGGAGCGGAGGAAGGAGGAACGGAAGTGGGGCAAGAAGGGGCACAGGCTTCCTTCTCCCTTCACTTGGCTTTCCCCAAGCTCTAGGAAAAGAGAGCACTTGTCACTTACCAGAAGGACACAACTGAGGAAGCAATAAGAATATCAATAATAGCAGTCTCTAGGAATCATGCAGCGTTTACCACGAACTGGGCAGGGCTCTAAGCACTGTACATACACTAATTCATTTAGTGCTTACAATATCCCCATGAAGTAGATACTATTTTTGTATTTTCTAGATTTTACAAAAAGCTAAGTCTTTTAACTAACTTGGCAGGGAAGGGTGAGAAGCAGAAGGTGGGTTGGGAGCAGTCATCTTCTTTGGATTTGGATTTGAAGGGAGTGGGAATGTGACTGGTTGAGGGTGGGGAAGGGAAAAAGGCAAGAGGCCCCAGATGGGGCGCCCCAAGGTGTTAAAGAGAAGCAGTGACAGGTCAAGGCAGGACTCACCCAACACTGGAACTAGGGTATAACTTCACTGTCCTTGGAGAATGGTGGATGAAATCTCAATTTGACAGGAATGGGGCATAAGAGTCCTGGCCCCAGGATGGAGAGGTGGCTTAATGGGAGCTGTCCATGGTGCAAGGAAGCTGGGAAAAAGGCTGCCCTCCTCTTGCCAGTGTCCACTCTTCTGATTTTCCCTTTTGCTGCCTCTTCCAGCCCAGGCTCCCTGTGCCAGTCAAACCAGGAGAGGCCGGAGATGGCTGATCAGCACAAAGTCCAGACTGTTCCTGCTGAGGGTGTGGCTCACTTAACCCTTCACAGGCCTGAAGCCCCAGAGGGAGACACTCAAGCTCCCTCTAGGTAGGAAAGGGTATCTGGCTGGCGTTAGCTGAGAGGCTTAACTAAAGGAGGGTTCTTGCTCCATTGTCTCCCAAATTTGGAAATGAAAGCTGGAAGAATGGAATTTATAGCCAAGGAAAATATTTCCCAAAGAGAAGTCAGGAATTTTGTCAAGGACAGGTAGGGCCAAGTGCGGTTGCTCATGCCTATACTCCCAGCACTTTGGGAGGCCAAGGCGGGAGGATCACTTGAGCCCAGGAGTTCGAGACCAGCCTAGGCAACATGGCGAGACACGTCTTTACAAAGAGTGTCTTCCTAGCAAAAAAACAGTACCTCCCTCATACCTACTCTTCCTATCTTATCGGGAGTCAGGGGATGTTAATGAGATTACTTGGAGAGCTAAGCAGACAAAATCCCCAAATTCTTCTCCACTTCCCTTCCCCCATGAATCAGACCCTATCATAGAGACCCAAAGATTAAAGTGATTAGTAATAATACCTCACATGTGTATAGATGTCCCAGTTTCATTGAACTCCCCCTTGCATTGCCTCACTGAATAGCACCACCCCGAGGAAGGCAATACAGATACTCCATTAAAATGGAAAACTAGGAACAAACACCAGACTCAGAGAGGTTACACAATGTGCCCACAGTTCCATGCTAGTGCATGGCAGAACCAGGAACAGAATGCAGCTCCCTAAGTTTGCCAAAAGTTGCAGCCCAAGTTCTGAAGTTTCTAATTTTAATTCGTCAGCACTAGGATACTGAGTAAGACCCTGAGCTAATGTAATAGCTCCCTCTGATAGATAAGAAGTACCCCTTCATCCAGCCAGGAAAATTCCTAAAAACAGCAAGCCCCCTCTGCCTACCATCCTCTCTCCCAGGCATGCAGAAAGAACAAATTAGGTAATTATAGACACTTAACTGAAGAGAGACTTGATTCTCCAACTCTCAGCTATGGCTGCTTGGTGCAAGGTCCAAACTCTATGGCTCTCACAGAAGCACTCTGCGTAAGCCTGGCACATCAGCAGTTCTATTATCAACCTGCCTTTACATAATTTATTGATCTACTACATATATTTGAAGGTGGAGGGGGGCAAGGAAAAGAGAGAAAGCTGAGTGGAAGTGACATCAAAACATAATGCTATGTGTAGGTGGAGCAGTATCCATGTCCTAGAGGCAGAAGTGACAAATATCACCTATTTACCAGTGGAGGAAACAGATCTAGAGTGAGAAAACCACTTTTCCAGGGTCACACCACTGCAAACCTGGCAGAGCTGGCACCAAAACCCAAGTCTCATGTTCTCTAGGCCAGGAATCTGCAGCCATCTGGGGTTTACCTGCATGTCCACCCATTCAGTCAACTGAGTGCCTACTATGTGCTTACTCACGAGAAAAGTGACTCTAAAATGAGATGGCACTCTCAGGTGTAAGAACAATGACATGAACATCACAGCTAGGGCAACCAACTGTACTGATCCGCCTGTGGGACACAGTGGGGTTCTCTGGACATGGGAATTTGAGTGTTAAAACTAGGAAAGTCCCAGGCAAACTGGAGCCAGTGGGTCAGCCTAAATTAACAAGATATGAAATACACATCCAAGTCAGCTGGGATTTTCTAATCTCCTGCTTTCTAGGCAAAACTGAAGCAACCAGAGCGTATTAGTCTTCCTCTACTTTGACTCCTAAATCACCTTCCTTTTTCCCCCATTAACATTTCTAGACCATGGAAGGGGCAAGAGGGAACTTTTTGGGGTTACAGAAATGGTCTATATCCTGATTGTGGTAGTGGTTATACAACTGTCTCCATTTGTCAAAACTCAGCAAATTTGTACACTTAAAACTGGCAAATTATATTGTTATGTAAATCGTACTTCAATAAAACTGGCAAAAAAAAAAAAAAAATTCTAGGCTGGGTGCAGTGGCTCACGCCTGTAATCCTAACACTTTGAGAGGCTGAGCCGGGCCGATCACTTCAGGCCAAGAGCTCGAAACCAGCCTGGCCAACATGGTGAAACCCCGTCTCTACTAAAAATACAAAAAAGATTAGCCCGGGCATGGTGGCGGGTGCCTGTAATCCCAGCTACTCAGGAGACTAAGGCAGGAGAATCGCTTGAACCCGGGTGGTGGAGGTTGCAGTGAGCCGAGATCACGCCATTGTACTCCAGCCTGGACAACAAGAGCAAAACTCCGTCTCAAAAAAAAAAAAAAAAAATTCCAAATCATTTGGTGCTGATTTCTGACAAATTGGGAAGGCAGCAATCTGATTAAGCCAATTCACTCATTAATCTTCCCACAGGTACTAACTTTTAAAAAGATGTTACACAATAAAAAGGCAGCTATTTTCAGATATGGTGAGGAAGACATTTGGTGGTAGAGGGTCTTCTCGGCTCTCATAAACTATCTGGTACTAATAACATTTATCATACTTAGACTGGACTAAGATGTGCCAGGCAACAAGCTAAGTGCTTTACATCATTGCTATTCAAAATGAGGTCCACAGACCAGCACCATCTGATCAACTGGGAGCTTACCAGAAATCCAGAATCTTTGGAAGGCTGAATTGGGAGGTCTGCTTGAACCCAAGAGTTCCAGGCTGCACTGAGCTATGAGTGTGCCACTGCACTCCACTCCAGCCTGGGCAACAGAGCAAGATCCTGTCTCTTAAAAAAAAAAATAAATGCAGATTCTTGGGCACCACTGAAGATTTAGTGAATCAGAATCTGCATTTTAACAAGATCCCCAGGTGATTCCCATGCACTTTAAAGTTGGAGAACTGCTTTACCCAACTTACCATGTTTTTTTTTAAATTATACTTTAAATTCTAGGGTACATGTGCACAACATGCAGGTTACATATGTATACATGTGCCATGTTGGTGTGGTGCACCCAGTAACTCATCATTTAACATTAGGTATATCTCCAAATGCTATCCCTCCCCCCTCCCCACATCCCACAACAGGCCCCAATGTGTGATGTTCCCCTTCCTGTGTCCATGTGTTCTCATTGTTCAATTCCCACCTATCAGTGAGAACATGCAGTGTTTGGTTTTTTGTCCTTGCGATCGTTCGCTGAGAATGATGGTTTCCAGCTTCATCCATGTCCCTACAAAGGACATAAACTCATCATTTTTTATGGCTGCATAGTATTCCATGGTGTATATGTGTCACATTTTCTTAATCCAGTCTATCATTGTTGGACATTTGGGTTGATTCCAAGTCTTTGCTATTGTGTATAGTGCCGCAATAAACATACATGTGCATGTGTCTTTATAGCAGCATGATTTATAATCCTTTGGGTATATACCCAGTAATGGGATTGCTGGGTCAAATGGTATTTCTAGTTCTAGATCCCTGAGGAATCGCCACACTGACTTCCACAATGGTTGAACTAGTTTACAGTCCCATCAACGGTGTAAAAGTGTTCCTATTTCTCCACATCCTCTCCAGCACCTGCTGTTTCCTGACTTGTTAATGATCGCCATTCTAACTGGTGTGAGATGGTATCTCATTGTGGTTTTGATTTGTATTTCTCTGGTGGCCAGGAGGGATTAAAGACTTAAATGTTAGACCTAAAACCATAAAAACCCTAGAATAAAACCTAGGCAATACCATTCAGGACATAGGCATGGGCAAGGACTTCATGTCTAAAACACCAAAAGCAATGGCAACAAAAGCCAAAATTGACAAATGGGATCGAATAAAACTAAAGAGCTTCTGCACAGCAAAAGAAACTACCATCCGAGTGAACAGGCAACCTACAGAATGGGAGAAAATTCTTGCAATCTACTCATCTGACAAAGGGCTAATATCCAGAATCTACAATGAACTCCAACAAATTAACAAGAAAAAAACAAACAACCCCATCAAAGAGTGGGCGAAAGATATGAACAGACACTTCTCAAAAGAAGACATTTATGCAGCCAAAACTTACACATGAAAAAATGCTCATCACTTACCATGTTTTTTTATCCTCACTATAACTCTATGATGTACATCTAGCAATTATGCTTTAAGTTTTTATTAGTTCAACCATTAACGATCACCTATGTCTCTTATTTACCTAGTGGTAGTTATGGAAGGAAGAGGAGAAAAGATGTCATTAGTGTACATTAACATAAATTTACTTATGTTCTACATCCTGTTTTCTTCCTACTTTGCCAACTTTCTGTCTTAAAAAAAATAGACAATGGATTTCCATGTAGTCCAAATAACTGAGATGAACTTTGGGAGGCTGAGGTGGGCAGATCACCTGAGGTCAGGAGTTCAAGACCAGCATGGCCAACATGGTGAAACCCCATCTCTACTTAAAAAATACAAAAAGCCGGGCATGGTGGTGGGGGCCTGTAATCCCAGCTACTAAGGAGACTGAGGCAGGGAGAATTGCTTTAACCCAGGAGGCGGAGGTTACAGTGAGCCAAGATCCCGCCTCTGCACTCCAGCCTGGGTGACAGAGTGAAACTCCATCTCAAAAAACAAAACAAAACAAATAATAATGATAATAAATAGGCAGGGTGCAGTGGCTCATGCCTGTAATCCCAGCACTTTGGGAGGCCAAGGCGGGCAGATCATTTGAGATCAGGAGTTCAAGACCAGCCTGGCCAACGTGGTGAAACCCCATCTCTACTAAAACTACAAAAATTATCAGGGTGTGGTGGCAGGTGCCTGTAATCCAGCTACTCGGGAGGCTGAGGCAGGAGAATCACTTGAACCCGGGAAGCAGAGATTGCAGTGAGCCGAGATCATGCCACTGCACTCCAGCCTGGGCAACAGGAAGAGACTGTCTCAAATAATAATAATAATAATTAATTAATGAGATGAAAAAACATAGGTACAGAGTTAATATGAATATTACAAAGGATTCCCAGAGCAAAGAAGGTAGCCAATACATAAAATGAAAGGTACCAGACTCCTATGGTAGAAGCTGGGCCTAGACATAATTTAAGTTTTTATTCAATACACATAAGGCTCACTACAGCCCTACTCTCTCTTCCACCCTATACAGAGCTCTTGGTAGGGATCCCATAGCTGGAGCCATAGGTCTTCTCCCCATCCCAATGGACAAACAAAAGAGATACTTTATGCCATAAAAAAAAAAAAAGAACTAAAATATAATCAGAGTAGTTCCTTGGGCCAAGAATAACCTGTATTTTGCTTTTCTATGAGACAGCATGGTAGTACAACCTGCTGCTCCTGCAAGAATACCCCTTAGAGATTTTGCATCCTGGGAAATCATCCAGTCCAAGGATGAAAGTAGACCAGTACAGACTCGGGACAGGAAGGGGTGGCTAAGAAAAAAAGGGAAATCAGTGGCATGCAAAACCATCTCATTAGAAAGATGAAACTGAGGAGTAAATTGCTGATTACCTGAAAACAAGAAATCCAAACAAGAAAATATTATGTTCATTAAGAAAGACCACAATATATCTATAAAACTTTTATTAAAATTGGAATTAGAAACTATACCAAAAACTTTAAAAATACATTAAGACATTGTTCTTTTTTCTTACAGAAAAGAGGGTGAAAATAAGACCCATGGCAAAGAGCCATCCCTGATAATTTTGTTCCTTTCAAACATTCATGAACATTTAAATAAAATTACAAATATTTAAATAACCCTAAGGTATTACCCACAGGCTAAAACTTGCCAGTAATTCCTTAGCCCTGCTATTTCAATATCAATTCCACAAACATGGAAAATTATGGTAACTGCAGGCTGTAACAGTTTCTAATATTCACATTATGAACTATTTGTTATGTTGTCATAAGAATGTGCTCATGCTATAGGCAAATTCAGAGGTGATTTCACCATTTTCAAATTATCATCAAGAGTGTGAAAGAGGAAGATGACACACACGTGGGATGGTGTGGAAATCCAAAGCCCCACATTTTGGGAGTCTGTGACCACTCCCATCTGCCACTAAAGCTACGAGTTGGTGTTGGCATGAATCTGCTTTGTTTATTCCCAGCAGGCTCTGGCTCGTGTCACATAAGGCACCAACATCCTTTTCAAGGTAGTAACCATCTAGAATCAACTCAATTGTAACCTGAATTCATAAGCTTAAGTCACCAAAAGACATCACTGGGTCATAATTATATAGGTTCCCCTAAAAAAATAAAAAAAAAATCAATTTCTGCTATGTAGAAAAAGAAACAAAAGGTTTAGGTGCCTTTGCCTTGTGCAATGGATATTTCATATGTTTATTAATTGGTTTCAGTTAATATGTAATATGAAGGCATGATAAATGTGTCAAACTGTTCTCTTGTTTCAGATACAATTCTTGGCATTTCAATATAGGTTATTATCTCATATGTCAGACTTGAGTCCAGAGAATACTAGAAGGACATTTAATTTCCTTTCCTCCTCCTTCCTTTCACTACTCAATTCAAAGAAAAGTTATGAGTACACAGCTAGGAACCATTTTTACGTAGGCATCCATCTGAGCCCATCTTGTTTTTTTTTTCTAAAACAACAAAAAGACTAAGGACAATTACATAATGCATTCCCAAGCCTTTTATGGATATCAGGGCCTGGGGGGACTATCTGGCCTATTTGGGTTCTTTCATTCACCAAAATTCTATTATACATGCCAAGGGTTAAAGGGAACACCATCAGTCAAGAGACGGCTGGGCCCTAGAATGGAATCTATTAGCATAAAATGGAACAGTGGGACCCAAAGAGCTATCAGCAAAATTCCCTTTGTAACAGACGTAAAAATCATGAATTTGAGGGGAAAAATAAACTAGTTTTGGTGGGATGCAGTGGCTAACAGGAATTACTTATTAGAAGGTAATGAAGTTGCTAAATTTTCCTTGTTTTTGATCCCTGTGTTCTGTTGGTCTCTTGAAGCAATCTGAGTGGGAAAGGAAAGTGAAAGAAATGTTTTATGCCAGCTGCCTCTTGTATTCCCATTAATGGGAGTCTCTACATTAATGCTCTACATAATTTGGTCAGACTGATGAGAGGCAATAGATTTCCAATGCTGATGAGATCCAGAGCCCTGGAGCCCATTTATGGCTTGACATTCACCCAGCAAGACGCTGACGTGGCAGCAAACACGGCTCCAATGTCCAGCTTACCTCATAGTTATCCCTTCAATCCTTCTTGATGAGATTGGTCTGAGAGATGAGACTGTACTGAAATCACAAGAGCTATAACTGCCAGAGAAAAATTAAATGGGGTCTTCAAGTAGTGACTGAGCCAGCAAACTAAGTGGCCAAGAGGGAGACAAGAGCAGCTCCTAAAGAAGGTTGAAGTCAAGCAATCTCCGGAACACAGAGGATCTGAAGCATCTGGGCAGAGCCACAGGCAGGCAGGGCAAGGACACACAGCACACCAGAGCAGCACCGTCCTTCACTGTGTGAGAGCAACTCTCAGGCTGCAGAACCAATTGCCATCTCCACTGCCTACAGCTCAGGTCTCCAACTACCAGATAGGGAGTAAAAAACAGTTTGATTTTATTCACCTCAAGTCTAAACACGGTGGAAAAAAAACTGGTCTAGAGATGGAAACTATATTTCATGGGGGTTTATTAAACAGAGAAAGAGGAGAATCTTTCACAATTTCACAGTGCTTTCTCATTGAAATAAAGACATGATCAGGAAAAGTCACCCTTATAGGCAAGCTATCACCTCCCTAAGTAGGGGAGGCACCAAAATCTCCAGAGAATCCTGAGACCACTTGCACGAGTTGAATTATTTTTTAAAATAAACTTATGCTTAAATATGCTAGGTCTCAATTTCTATAAATAAGGTAAAAAATAGTATATTTCAGAAGTTTTAATAGTTCTTTGTAGAGAGAGAACATTTTACCATGTACATAATTCACAAGGGTATAAAGGTTTCCCAATGTAAAGTTCCTTTTACCCTTCAACTGTAACCCATAGCATCTGCCCAAATACTGCTCATTTTTCACTTTCTACTATATGTCTCTTTCCTGCCAACTGAGGTAGTTGTCACTTAGGACAGTTTAAGGCTCTGGAAAACACTGGTGGAAATAATCAACTGCCCACCTGGAGGGCAGTCTCAGAGCTGACCCTTTGGAAGTCTGCAATGGAGCTAGGCCTTTCAAAATTACCACGCTAAATGGCTGGTCTAAAGGAGTCATTACGGCTTTTTAAAAAATCATCTGCCTTTTTCCATCATCTTGGTGAGCCAGTAAGTCTGGTGCTGTGCGCTTGCCATGACCATCTATCTTCCTGGCTAAGGTAATTACAGACTTTTCCAGGGTATAAGGGTGAAGACCACAAAGAAAAAGAACCAAGTAAATGACAGACACTTGAGAATTTGCTTCCTCACAGATGACATTGCTGGTTTATAAGGGGTACTTTGCAATGGCAAAAGAATCTGAAACTAATGCTACTGCAATAACAGGCAGCATACATCTCAGGTCAGAAACGCAATCATAAATAAGTGTAAGTTCATGGAAACTTGACAGCTGAATGAGCACCCAGAGGCATGAAGATAACCTGGAGCCTATTTCCTGGCAATGCAAATTGTGGCTGCTGCATAACTACAAATTGTGTATCAAGAAACTACATAGTTTCAAGGCTTAAAAATTACCCAGATTTGGGGGAGTATGGGTGGTGAGAAAAGGCTGAAAGGAATGGACAGAGCATGTAGACAAAGGAAGGGAAAGGAAAAGGAGACAGTTTCCTGATTTCATAGCAACTCAAAGATAACATGACCCAATGACAGGAAAATGGAGAACGTATAAAAAGCATCCAAATCCCCTAAACAAGATGACTTCTCCTAGCTAGCAGGAATAATGCTACTCTGAACATACATAGTTCACAGGTAAGGGAACTGACCCTTCCTGAAAGGGCAAAGGCAGGGTAAGGAAGAATGGGAAGAGAAGAATACAAATGTTTTTTAAGATGGAATTGAAAGTTGAATATAATAAAAAGCCCAGTACATCTCACCTGCAGAAGAGCCTACAGGCATGTTCCTAAAGGCAAATAGGACTTTCTATCATATGTATGAGAACTAAATCAAAGCTTAAAACAACAGCTCCTGGGGCTTTAATGGATAATCCATATTAATAAATATGTAGGGGCCTAGGGGGTGTGTCACTCTGGAGCACTTGCTGGTTCTGGAACATGAGTTTGTTATGTTTTTTAAAAGACATTCATTTAAAAAACAAAACAATAAAAATCTATTTTCCTCCCAAAACAGTTAAATCAATAATTATTCTAAAGTCACTGAAATAAAAGCTGGAGTGAAGGAGGCTCAGATTTGTGGATTTCTCTCTGGAAGTTGCAGCCTATAGTCTAAAAGCATTCCTGCACTTAACAACAGTTCTTACTTTGGAGAGCCAGCCAGTGACAGAAATGCCATGATTGAATCAACTTTCAAGAAGGAGCTAGAATGCCATGCTAGCTGTGGCCATCCAATTTCTCTGGAAACATAAAAGTGGGCTGTTAGCTTAACCAATGGGAAGTGAACTACCCAGCATTCACTACTTTATCCACTCTCCTTCCTCAGGGATCCCATAGAGACCTCCCATTTCCAAAGGGAGGCCTTTTTAGGCCTCTTATTTCAGTAGGAGAATTTCTACCCTATCTATCTCACTCTGTTTCAAAGGGTTGAAAGCAATTGCACAACACATGCAACATGGACCAAGGCACCAAGCCAGTCCACGTAAAGATAACTGACCACTACCTAGGTTAGAAAGTTGTTCTGTGTGATAGCAGGACACCGAGAATATGAGTCCTCCTCCTCAGAGGATGCTTCCTCATAGATTTCATCCTGGGCAATAATGCTCCCTAATCCATACTCCTGCTCATGGACAGAAACTTCATTTGGCGTGAGGTGGGAAGAGCCTTCCACAAAGTCAGCAAATCTGGAAAAGAGAAGATAATACTCGTTAGAAATATCCTTCTGTCCTTTCTGGTCTTCTTTCAAAATAAGAACAAATTAAAGCCCTCGATATGCTCGCAACTCAAATTATATTAAGTCTAGCCAACATCCTTGTCCTTACTCTGGCAGGTAAGTAGACTAAAGCATGAAGTTAAGGAGAAAAGGAAAGCTGGGATCATAGGCTAATACCCCTGCAACTCCATCCTGCTTAATAAGCACTTGCCTATCCTTTCTAATTATGAAAGTGCCAAGGTTCCTTTAGTCATCTGTAATCCTGATAAGAGAAGATTAAGGGGCATTACAGTTATTCACGTTTATGGCCCTGTAAACTTTATGCCATCATGATTCCAAATTGAAGCTTCACATACTCATTGGTACATTTGCCCCCAACTAAAAAGTGGGTAGGGGGGAACCCTACCAACTCAGACAGCAATGCAAAACTTTCAGAAGGGAAACTTAATATGGTACTGGAGTCTTCCCATCTTAATGCTACAATCAAAGCTAGAGTAGATAGTTCCCTGAGGAAACAGGTTACTGCTTAATGTGTGATTATATATCCACCCTTCTCTTGACTACTTGAAGATTAACAGGAAAACAAAGGTCACAAGTGCACGATTCTCTAGAAGTATGATCTCTGGTAGAACTCAAGGTCACAATTACCCTGATAGATGCTTGGTATATCTGGCCGAGTTTACCTTTTTGGAGACTGGATTCGAGAAACAGTCTTCCAAGCAGAGCAGTCTGGACTGTTACAAAATTCTCGGAGCTCCTCTAAAGCCTTTCGGGTTTCTACCTCTCCTTGTATCCGATATTCTTCTTCTGTCAGGAGACGAGGGGGAACAGGCTTTTCTGCTCCCTTACACACCTTTCTGTGCTCACCAAAATAACATTATGAATCATTAATCAGTAATCTATATCCATCCTTACTTCTAGCTCCCTTCAGTGGGCCAAGAATACAGCAGACAGCCTGAACATTAAGAGTCATCACTCCTAAAAATTCCATGGACATCTTTAGTTATAATGAACTCCTGATACATTAGACTATGAGTGACAATTCATAGGCGACAGAGCGAGACTCCATCTCAAAAAAAAAGTGATATAATTTGCACCACCTTGTGGTAACAGGAACACATGACATTTTACTAGACCTTTTTATTTTATATAAAATGACTAGAATAAAAATATAAAAATGCCTATAGAAAGTAAAAAATTATAGTCAATATTATTCACTAATGTGAACAAACTCACTTTATTTTCCAATAAATGATAAAATACTTACTTATTTTCTAGTAGATGGGAAAATAACAGAAAATCATGGTATAAGACTGTGGTTCTAGCCAGGCACAGTGGCTCACGCCTATAATCCCAGCACTTTGGGAGGCCAAGGCAGGCAGATCACCTGAGGTCAGGAGTTGGAGATCAACCTGACCAACACAGAGGAACCCCATCTCTACTAAAAATACAAAATTAGCCAGGCATGGTGGTGCATACCTGTAATCCCAGCTATTCGGGAGGCTGAGGCAGGACAATCGCTTGAACCAGGGAGGCGGAGGTTGCAGTGAGCCGAGATCATGCCATTGCACTCCAGCCTGGGCAACAAGAGCAAAACTCCATCTCAAAAAAAAAAAAAAACAAAAAAAAACGCCGGGCAAGGTGGCTCACACCTGTAATCCCAGCACTTTGGGAGGCCAAGGTGGGCAGATCACAAGGTCAAGATTGAGACTATCCTGGCCAACATAGTGAAACGCCATCTCTACTATAAAAATGCAAAAATTAGCTGGGCATGGTGGCATGTACCTGTAACCCCAGCTACTCAGGAGGCTGAGGCAGGAGAATCGCTTAAACCCAGGAGGCAGAGGTTGCGGTGAGCTGAGATAGCACCACTGCACTCCAGCCTGGTGACAGAGCAAGACTCCATCTCAAAAAAAAAAGATTGTGGTCCAGTAACTTGGTTTCCCAAACTGAAAGCATCACCTTGACTATCTATAATAGACAACTTCAGGACCTAGTAACATTCCATATTTATTATGCAAGGTGACAAAACATGCTATGAATTACATCTTAAAATAAGACTAAGACCTCCAGAGCAATCTGAAAGCCACTGAGAAATAGTCTGAAATGGGCTGGGTGAGGTGGCTCACGCCTATAATCCTAGCACTTTGTGGGGCTGAGGTGGGCAAATCACCTGAGGTCAGGAGTTTGAGACCACCCTGGCCAACATGGTGAAACCACATCTCTATTAAAAATACAAAAATTAGCCAGGCATAGTGGCGCCCACCCGTAGTCCCAACTATTCGGGAGGCTGAGGCAGAAGAATCACTTGAACCCGGGAGGTGGAGGCTGCAGTGAGCCGAGATCACGCCATTGTGCTCCAGCCTGGGTGACAGAGAGAGACTCTGTCTCAAAAAAAAAATCTGAACCCAGGAGACCTCAATGAGCATACGGTATAAAAGCGATACAATTTGTGGCGGGGCGCAGTGGCTCATGTCTGTAATCCCAGCACTTTGTAATCCAAGCACTTTGGGAGCTCCTCAGCACTTTATGAACTCCTGACATTTGAGGTCAGGAGTTCAAGACCAGCCTGGTCAACATGGGGAACCCTACTAAAAATATAAAAATTAGCTGAATGTGGTGGCGCATGCCTGTAATCCCAGCTACTCAGGAGGCTGAGGCAGAAGAATCGTTTGAACCCGGGAGGTGGAGGTTGCAGTGAGCCGAGATCACGCCACTGCACTCCAGCCTGGGCGACAGAGCGAGACTCCATCTCAAAAAAACAGTGATAGAATTTGCACCACCTTGTGGTAACAGGAACACATGACATTTTACTAGACATTTTATATAAAATGACTAGAATAAAAATATAAAAATTCCTATAGAAAGTAAAAAAAAAAAAATAGACTCGGGAAGGAACAAAAGTGGAAGTACAATACAATGACTTTTCATTAACAAAGAAGCTCCCAGGTCAACACCTCTGTATCCTCTTGCTGCAACTGCATCCCACAATGTACCTGTCAATATTAAGTTACATTGCCTTTCAGTCACCTGCAGGTGATGTACAGCCACTGAATAGGGTGTTCCAGGTTCTTAGTACAAAGAGCAATGATGATAATGGCAAGGGCAATATGTGGTATCTGGATGCCAGAATACATGAAACACAGGCCCATCAGCTGCAAGGTCCAGGTCAGCAGGTTGATACTTCGTTCATTCTCCAAGGGCCCATACTTGTAACATACTGCAAAACTCATGAATCCAACTGTGAGGACATAACCTATGAGAAGAGTTATCAGAAGACATTCTTTTTCATCTATACTTGGTAAAAATAATTTGTGTGGGAAGCAGTAGTTAATTTACTATATAGCACCAATTGAACTAGGAAATCAGATTTTTACTTAATTTTTCACACTTTTTTCTTAGAATATATTTCTCTAAGTTTCTATCCTTTCTGCTGTCCCAAATTTATTTGGTTCAAACAGAACATTAAAGGTACATGTTGAACAACCCTGAAATAGACTATTTTAAAAAACCAATATACAGAAATCCAGATTAATCACCCTTCAAAGGATAACTCAAAGGTTACTATCTATATGACCAAGGATTTTTACTTTGTAAATAAAATCTACAGCAGTTCATTCAGAAATGAAGGAGAAAAAAATTAACTGCGGAGTCTTTTACTTAAGGTCCCCAAGTATATTTAAAATATGATTCCATTAATAAAGTCAACTTACAGCTTTTCAGAAAGATGTTTATTGTGTAAAGAAAGGTATATTTATAAATACCAATAAATGAACATCTTCGCCTTAACAGCACCATTCTAATTTAAGAGAAGGTGATAATTGTAGAGGGATTAGAAATAAGTGAAAAACTATGATTTTTAAAAGTTTAAAAAAATGACATGAACTATTAAATCCCATAAGCAGGCAAAATCTTTTCATGATCAAATTAACTGAAACAGCCTATAAACGTACAAAAGGAAAGCAAAACCGACAACACTTACTTAAAAGATACTGCCAGTAACACCTCCAGATCTCTTGTAAATTTTTAAAAACTAGTTGAATGAGGTACAGAGAAAAAGACCAGCCTCCCACCAGGATGACGTAAATGGGACTTTTCTAAGACAGAGAGTAGAAGTGAAAGCAAAAAGTTACAACAGGCTTTCCATACATAAAAGAAGCAAAATGGAACTATGATTTTTTTTTTAAAAAATTCAACCTACTCAAAATGCACAAAAAACACTTCTCTTAAAAAGATGTCCTTTATACTTAAAATGGTACAGTCTGCAACGAACACTGGGAAGATGAAATGCTAAATAACTTAAAAGCCTGGCTATATAATTAAAAAACAGGAAGCAGACTTTAATCCCCCTCTGAGCACAGGATTTTATATAAAAAGAAAGAATTTGTAATCAGGCTCCAAGTTTCATCGTGGAAAGTACCTTTCTGAATCAAGGAGAGTAGGATATTGACTCATCAGCCATCAATACACATTTTCAGTTTTCTAAGATTACCCAGGAAAACAGTCCTTCAGCTATCCAAATTCATTCTAGCTGCACATGAAGATTCTGATACTTACCTTAGGCATAAACTTAGATAGTATAAAAATGATGATTAGCAGAGAGGCCACAATTCCCACAGTCATCCCAGTAGAGTAGTAGAAAATTTGACTTCTGCAGGAAAAAAATGTATTTCATGACCATATGTATATATTTCATACATAGCACTGTTGAAACTAGGACAACTAACCCAGCCGAAAGATTTTAAAAGGTACAAGATTAGAGCAGTACAAGCATCAGAGACATTTCAAATTTGGTTCCAGACCACTGCAATAAACCAAATATTGCAATTGCAGTAAGTAAGTCACACAAATTTTTTGGTTTCCCACTGCATATAAAAATTGTTTACACTATATTATAGTATATTAAGTGTACAACAGCATTATGTCTTAAAAATATATATTCCTTAATTAAAAATACTTTGCTAAAACCTGCTAAAGATCATCTACGCCTTCAGTGAGTCATCATTTTTTTTGCTGGTGGAGGGTCTCACTTCCATGTTGATGGCTGTTGACTGATGAAGGCAGTGGTTTCTGAAGGCTGGAGTGGCTGTGGCAATTTCTTAAAATATAATGAAGTTTGCTGCATTGACTCATCCTTTCAATGAAGATTTCTCTAAAGCATGCAATACTGTCTGATAGCATTTTACCACAACTTCTTTCAAAACTGGAGTCAATCCTCCAACAGCATTAACCCTTAACAAGAGGATCACCCCTCCTTTGAAGCTAGGCACTGACTTCTCTCTCGCTATCAAAGTCCTCAATGGCATCTTCTTCTAGTATAAGGCTATTTTGTCTACACTGAGGAGCTCTTTAATTGTAGCCACTTTCAACAATGATGTTAGCTAGATCTTCTGAATAACTTGCTACAGCTTCTATATCAGTGCTTGGTTCATCTTTTTTTTTTTTTTTTTTGAGACAAAGTCTCACTCTGTTGCCCAAGCTGGGGTGCGATGGCGTCATCATGGCTCACTGCAGCCTTGATCTACTGGGCCCAGGTGATTCTCCCACCTCAGCCTCCCGAGTAGCTGGTACCATGACTTTTTTGTATTTTTTGTAAAGGCAGGGTTTCACCATGTTGCTCAGGCTGGTCTCGAACTCCCTGGGCTCAAGTGATCTGCCCGCCTCAGCCTCCCAAAGTGCTGGGACTACAGGCCTGAGCCACCACGCCTAGCCTACCTTGCACTTATGTAATAAGACAGCTTCTTTCCTTAAATCTCATGAACCAAGAACCTTCACTAGCTGTAAACTTTTCTTCTGAGGCTTCCTCACCTCTCACCCTTCACAGAATTGAAGACAGTTAGGGTCTTGCTCTGGATCAGCCTTTAGCTTTAAAAAAGTTGTATCTGGCCGGGCATGGTGGCTCAAGCCTGTAATCCCAGCACTTTGGGAGGCTGAGATGGGAGGATCACGAGGTCCGGAGATCGAGACCATCCTGGTTAACACGGTGAAACCCTGTCTCTACTAAAAATACAAAAAAATTAGCTGGGTGTGGTGGCAGGCGCCTATAGTCCCAGCTACTAGGGAGGCTGAGGCAGGAGAATGGCATGAACCTGGGAGGCGGAGCTTGCAGTGAGCCGAGATCACGCCACTGCACTCCAGCCTGGGCAAGAGAGCAAGACTCTGTCTCAAAAAAACAAACAAACAAACAAAAAAAGAGTTGTATCTGGTTTAATCTTCTCAACAGCCAACTAAAACTCTCTCCATATCAGCAATAAGGCTGTTTCACTTTCTTATCACTTGTGTGTTCCCTGGAGTAGCACTTTTAATTTCCTTCAAGAACTTTCCCTTTGCACTCACAACTTGGCTAACTGCTCAGGACAAGAGGTCTAGCTTTCGGTCTGTCTTGGCTTTTGCTGTTCTCACTAAGCATAATCAGAGAGATGTATGACTCTTCCTTTCAGTTGAAGACTCACAATCTACTCTAGGGTTATTAATTGGCCTAGTTTCAATATTGCTGTTTCTCAGGGAATAGGGAGGCCCAAGAAGAAGGGAGACGGGAATAACCAATTGGTTGAGTTGTTAGAACACCCATGACATTTATCGATGAAGTTCACTGTCTAATATGGTTTGGCTGTGTCCCCACCCAAATCTCATCTTGAATTGTAGCTCCCATCATTCCCACGTGTTGTAGGAGGGAACTGGTGGGAGATAATTGAATCATGGGGGCAGTTGCCCTCAT
Source organism: Homo sapiens (assembly GCF_000001405.40). NCBI lineage: Eukaryota > Metazoa > Chordata > Mammalia > Primates > Hominidae > Homo > Homo sapiens. The sequence goes on from NC_000012.12 coordinate 57,066,807, forward strand.
ACTGTTCTCATGGTAGTGAATAAGTCTCATGAGATCTGATGGTTTTATAAGGGGTTTCCACTTTCACTTGGTTCTCATTCTCTCTTGCCTGCTGCCATGTAAGATGTGCCTTTTGCATTCTGCCATGATTATGAGGCCTCCCCAGCCACCAGGAACTGTGAGTCCATTAAACTTCTTTTTCTTTATAAATTATCCAGTCTTGGGTATCTTTATCAACAGTATGAAAATGAACTAATAGGCTGGGCGCAGTGGCTCACGCCTGTAATCCCAGCACTTTGGGAGGCTGAGGCAGGCAGATCATGAGGTCAGGAGATCGAGACCATCCTGGCTAACACGGTGAAACCCGTCTCTACTAAAAATACAAAAAATTAGCTGCACGTGGTGGCAGGTGCCTGTAGTCCCAGCTACTCGGGAGGCTGAGGCAGGAGAATGGCATGAACCCGGAAGGTGGAGCTTGCAGTGAGCCGAGATCGCGTCACTACACTCCAGCCTGGGCGACAGAGCGAGACTCTGTCTCAAAAAAAAAAAAAAGAAAATGAACTAATATACTGTCTTACATGGACATGTGGTGCCCCAAAATAATTGCAACAGCAGCATCAAAGATCACTGATTATGGATCACCATAACAGTTATAATCATATGAAAAAGTTTGAAATATTATAATTACTAAAATGTGACACACAGACCCCAAGTGAGCACATGCTGTTGGGAAAACGGTGTGATAGATTTGCTTGACCCAGGGTTGCCACGAACCTTCAATTTGGAAAGAAATGCACTATCTGTGAACCACAAAAAAGTGAAGTACAATAAAGTGATGTGTGACTATATTTGCCCAAAACTTGAGGTCAGAGAACTGTAGAGACTGATGCTATGTAGTTACTGCCAGATTATGAAGATTAGGATTAAAGGTCTTCCCTCATGTATTTCCCAATAATCAGCCTTTACGTAATGTCCTATTCACATCCCCATCATCTCTCCCGACCTGAATATTATTATTTTGTCACCCAGGCTGGAGTGCAGTGGTGCAATCACGGATCACTGCAGCCTCAACCTCCTGGGCTCAAGTGATCCTCCTACCTCAGACTCCCAAGTAGCTGGGACTACTGGCATGCACAACCATGCCTGGCTAATTTTTGTATTTTTTTGTAGAGGCAGGGTCTCACTATGTTACCTAGGCTGGTCTCAAACTCTTGGGCTCAAGTTATCCTCCCCCTTCAGCCTCCCAAAGTGCTAGGATTACAGGGGTGAGCCACCACAACCAGCCCCCCATTCCAGATTTTTTCTACCAGTTATTCCTCCCTGTTTCTCTCAGCATCACCAAAATAACAACTTCCAGCAACCCCACTCCAGCCCAACTTCAAACTCCAATTGTTAATCTTGCATTCACTACTCCACAAATACTTTTTACTTGTATACAAACTTAATGTTGATTTTACCTTCATTCAATGTTTATTTAGTTACCTATATATTTTCTTCATATTTGTACATGTCAGTCTCACCTGTCTTAACTAGTAGGTTCCTAAAGGAAAAAATGAATAAACACTTGATTTTTTTTTTTTTTTTTAAACAGGGTCTCCCTCTGTGGCCCAGGTTGAAGTACAGTGGTGTGATCTTGGCTCACCGCAACCTCCGCCTCCAGGCTCAAGCGGTTCTCGTGCCTTAGCCTCTCGAGTAACTGGGATCACAGGCACATACCACCACGTCCAGCTAATTTTTGTATAGACAGGGTTTTGCCATGTTGCCCAGGCTGAGCTGTGATATTTGTTTCCTTTTTTTTGAGATGGAGTCTTGCTCTGTTGCCCAGGCTGGAGCACAGTGGCACGATCTCGGCTCACTGCAAGCTCCACCTCCTGGGTTCACGCCATTCTCCTGCCTCAGCCTCACAAGTAGCTGGGACTACAGGCGCCCGCCACCACGCCTGGCTAATTTTTTTGCATTTTCAGTAGAGATGGGGTTTCACCGTGTTAGCCAGGATGGTCTCGATCTCCTGACCTCATGATCCGCCAGCCTTGGCCTCCCAAAGTGCTGTGATTACAGGCGTGAGCCACCGTACCCAGAAGCTATTTGTTTCTTTACGTCTGAACAAAATGAAACTCATCAACCCATGGACCTGTAAAGATGACACCTTAACACATTACTTCTAGCAATAGAAAGGGTGATGATGTTCCATTTCATTGTATTGGCTAACTCCTATCAACCTAATGATGGGCCAACCTAATGTGGGAATTTCACTATTGTCAACATTGTTCAAATAAGAAAAAACAAAAATCATAATACACATTAAAGTATTTTTTTAAATATCCAAGCAGGCAACGGCCAAGCCATAAAGGTCCTGGAAATGGGAATGGCAGTACTTAATAGTTACTATAAAACGCAGGCAGGATAGGTATGAGCCGTTTCATTCTGCACACTAGCCTTGGAACCTACCTGCTCAGCAAGTCTCCACAAAAAAATAGCATAAGTCCAAGAAGGAAAACAAGAAAGAGTTTGGGATCAAATCCTGAAATAAATAAAGATTTTTGCTTAATAAGGGAACAAAACTGCTTAAGGTATTATAGAATAAAAGACAACGTTGGCACTATTGGTCAGCTACAGTAAAAATAAATGCAAACAGCCCACCTAAAAAGCATTTAAATTTCACCTAAAGCCTGGGCACCCTTCCAATGTATAATTAGGTCTCTGTCTAACCTGTATTTGCCTGAAGATCTTACTTTTACTTAGGCTACCTATGCTAAGGTTAAAAGAAACTCAAGCTTCGTTTTGGACAAAGCTAGACACAGTACCATCAGCAATTCATGCAATCACCCACAAGGGGTCTCTATCACTCTGGCTTTCAAGCTTTAAGTCACTCACAGTCATGGAACTCAGCAGATTTGCCCAGAACTGTGGGTCAGGGCCTTGTGTTGTTCTCTAACTGGCTGCTTTTCTTGCCCAACAATACCACCTACTTCCCTTTGCTACAGAACACTGTGCTGGAAAAGCCTACACGCAAATACCTCTCACTCAGGACCAGGGGGCCCTAGCAAAGGCCCCTTAGTGGCATACCAGATACTCCCACAGCTTTCACATTCAAGAGTTCTACGGGAGGCCCACAAACAGAACAGGAGCAGAAGGAATCAGTAACTGTAGAAGGAACGTCAAAAAACAAGCCAACCCTACGTAACCAAAGAACCCTAGGACAAATGGAAGGGCACAACCTATTTCATACTAAACCTAGAAACATTTCTACTACTTACAACATCCCAGGACCCTGTGTAGTAACCAAGGGGAAACAAAGTCAGAGAGAATTCAACAGGATCCATCTCCCCTGAAACTTTCTCAGTCATCTTCAGAAAAGAGAAAACTTCTCCCAGTTCCACTGAATAAGTTTTAAACTGCAGTGGTCTTCATCTTTATTTATGGTTCCATGAATACTCTTTTTACTTGTGAATGATTTTCAATTTTACCTTTCTTCAATTTTTATTAACCATTCACGTCTTTAAATGTAGGCATGTACACATCAGACAGTTACCTTTGTCTAGAAGTGTCCAGAAGGTAGAACACGTCTATCTGATTTACTCTAAGAGTATTTGGCATATATGCTCAGGGACATTAGCAGCACAATGTAATTGGGAATAAAAGAATAAAAGTCTTCACAGTTCCAGGTAAGGAGGTACTCAGAATTTCCTGAGGTGGAGTTTCAATTCTAGGCCTGTCTGATAGGGGTGAAGTCTCCATGAACTGTTTAGAGCAGTGGTATACTCAGGGTTATAATCAGAACCCAACTGGAGCTGTCTTAGGCTGACTTCTCAGTCTCACTAATTATACCCTTCAGAACTCAGTCCTTATCACTACAGAATCCATCAGAAAAACAGAGGTGAGACTTACTCCGGATCACAATGACACTGTACTTGGTGTCCTTCTCTATAATCTCAACTTTGAGGCAGGTTTTTGTGCTGTATAGACCCACGTTAACATAGGTGTCATTCAATTTCTCTTTTAAAAAGGAGGAAAAAAAGTTCCAGATACTAAACTGCTCTAGCTCCTTCAGTTTCTCCTCATTCTCCACCTGGGTGACTCGAACCAATCTGGAACTATTTACTCGGATCTGTAACACAAATAAAATCAGGATGAGAAAAAAGGAAGTAGGAATTTTAATTTTTCACAAATACAATTTTTTAAAAAACCCTCAGACTAACAACCAAATCAGTAATGGTGCCAGTTTTCCACAAAGCTTATCAGAAATATAGAAATACAGTGGCTAAAACATAATTGGGCAAATAACACTGCACATGTTACAGAGAGACAGCTGTTAGAATACCTTCTTGTTAACATGATCTGAATCTACTATTAGGGCAGAACATAGAGGGAAAAAAGACTTCCAAACTGAAAGAGTTATCAATACAGCTATTTATTAGAGATCACACAAAGCAAAGGTCTATAATATTAAGAAAATTGCCAGGCATAAACTGCCCCAGAAAACTAAAAATGTTTTCCGTAATGACAGGCTGAGTTCAATCCATTGTCACAAGCCACTGATTATGAGTAAATGTTGGTTATAATGTGCCCCAGATGGAGTATCACTTTTTTATCAGATAATTTTTTTTTTTGAGATGGAGTCTCGCTCTGTCGCCCAAGCTGGAGTGCAGTGACATGACTTCAGCTCACTGCAACCGCCACCTCCTGGATTCAAGCGATTCTTCTGCCTCAGCCTCCTGAGTAGCTGGGACTACAGGGTGTGCGCCACCATGCCCAGTTAATTTTTGTATTTTTAGTAGAGACGGGGTTTCACCATATTGGCCAGGCTGGTCTCGAACTCCTGACCTCAAGTGATTTGCCCGCCTCAGCCTCCCAAAGTGCTGAGATTACAGGCATGAGCCACTGCGCCCGGCTTGTCAGACATTTTTTTTAAAGAATTTTTTTTAAAAATCCACAAGTTGGCTGGGCATGGCCCCCAGCTACTCAAGAGGCAGAGGTTGCAGGGAGCCGAGGTCGTGCCACTGCACTCCAGCCTGGGTGACTGAGCGAGACTCCGTCTCAAAAAAAAAAAACAAATCCACAAGTCCACCCTTATGTTTTTGATGTGAACAACAAATGTCCTTATCAGTAACTATGCTTATAACAACTACGACATTTCTGAAAGGACCTATTTTGTACAATCACTGTTACAGCCAGACATTCCTGTTTGCCAGGTGACTTAACAGTGTTATGAAATAAATGAGACCAAAGTAATTCTTCAGCTCGGGGGTTTATGAAATATCTCATATAGAATCAGAATAGGAACAGTGGGGCAAAAGAGTTTACATCCTCACAGGCACATAACAGTTTCCAGCCCAAAGAAGGCATAAGGCCTTTAAAAAGAAAGAAGGGGGCTGGGTGCGATAGCTCATGCCTATAATCCCAACACCTTGGGAGGCCAAGGTGGGCAGATCACCTGAGGGCAGGAGTTTCAGACCAGCCTGGCCAACATGATGAAACCCCATCTCTACAAAAAATACAAAAAAATTGGTCAGGTGTGGTGGCGTATGCCTGTAATCCCAGCTACTTGGGAGGCTGAGGCAGGAGAATCGCTTGAACCCGGGAGGCAGAGATTGCAGTGAGCCAAGATGGTGCCACTGCACTCCAGCCTGGGCGACAGAGGGAGACTCTGCCTCAAAAAATAAAAAATAAAAATAAAAAAAGAAAGAGGGGTATGTGTGCGTGCACACACACATACTGCAAAATGAAGGACAAGAAAACAAAGCAGTTTCTTTGGGAAAAGGAGGGAGGAGGAAAGAAGTTTACCTTAGAATACCGTAATCTACTTGAGGGAGCAGAGAGGAATACAAAGTAGGCATAAATGCTTATTGATGAAAACACAACTCAGGATAATCTCAACCCTAACAAGATTGTTAACAACATTTTTTTTAAGCATGTGAAGGGGAAGAAAGTGTCAAAATACTCACTAATCACCAACAGAAATTTACAGAAGCTGCCACTGCCAGAGGATTCCAAGTTATTACCTGTATCCGTGTCCATATATCATGCCATTTTGGGATAAGCACATTTGTGTAACAGAATTGTTGGCTGGCACGCTTTTCACAAACTTGGGATTCCTGAAGCATGACCACATTTACATCAGTTTCAGCTTTATGCAAAGAAAGGAAACAAGAATTAAACATAACAAGCTAATAACTATAACTCATTTCATGAAAAAGATTAAACTAACCATTTTCCTAAACTTTGGGTTAAAACATTAGCCAGACTGAGAAATAAGAAAAAAAACTGAGAAGAAGGAAGAACTAAGGCAGAATCTTATTTCTGTCGTTTAATTATTTAAATATTACACAGTCATTCAGTCAGAAAAGTAATAATAAAAACTACTATTAAGTATCTATTTTTTTTTTTTTTTGAGACAGTCTCGCTCTTTTGCCCAGGCCGGACTGCAGTGGGGCTATCTTGGTTCACTGCAAGCTCCGCCCCCTGGGTTCACGCCATTCTCCTGCCTCAGCCTGTAGCTGGGACTACAGGCGCCCGCCACCGTGCCCGGCTAATTTTTTTTTTTGTATTAAGTATCTATTAAGACAGTATGCTGCCAGGCGCGGTGGCTCATGCCTGTAATCCCAGCACTTTGGGAGGCTGAGGTGGGCGGATGACCTGAGGTCAGAAGTTTGAGATCAGCCTGACCAATATGGAGAAACCCCCCCGTCTCTACTAAAATACAAAAACATTAGCCAGGCGTGGTGGCACATGCCTGTAATCCCAGCTACTCGAGAGGCTGAGGCAGGAGAATCACTTGAACTTGGGAGGCGGAGGTTGAGGTGAGCCGAGATCACGCCATTGCACCCCAGCCTGGGCAAAAAGAGCAAAACTCTGTCTCAAAAAAATAAAAAATAAATACATAAATAAAAGAGACAGTATGCTGTCTCATTTAATGCTCCCAACAATGCTATGAGGTAAGCACTCTCATAATCCCTATTTTATAAATGAGGAACTGATGTTTAAGAAAGATTAAGTAATTTGCTCCAAAATCACACAAATAGTAAATAGCCTATCTGAGATTCACCCCCAGGTCTGACTATGGTCTTAAACACTAGATATACTTCCTGTCCTATAAAGGAATAAAGTAAGCTAAACTACTCCATCTGTTGATTTTCTCTATCCCTTTCCTGAGTAGAACAGAATTGGCAGGTTTTTTATTTTATTTTTTTATTTTTTTTTTGAGACAGGGTCTGGCTCTGCTGCTCAGGCTGGAGTACAGTAATGTGATCATAGCTCATTGCAGCCTCAAACTCTTGGGCTCAAACAATCCTCCCACTTCAGCCTCCCAAGTAGCCAGGACTACAGGTATACACCACCACACCCAGCTAGTTTTTTTTTTTTTTAAAGAGACAAGGTCTTACTATGTTGCCCAGGCTGGTCTTGAACTCCTGGCCTAAAGCAATCCTCCCACATTGGCCTCCCAAAGCACCCACGCTGACCTCCCAAAGCACTGGGATTACAGATCTGCCACCATGCCCAGCCAGCATTTTTTTTTTTTTTTTTCAGACAGGGTCTCACTCTGTCACCCAGGCTGGAATACAGTGGTGCGATCTTGGCTCACTGCAACCTCTGCCTCCCAGGTTCCAGCGATTCTCCCACCTCAGCCTCCTGAGTAGCTGGCATTACAGGCATGAGCCAACTCAATTGGCTAACTTTTTTTGTGTGTGTGTATTTTTGTAGTAGAGATGGGGTTTCACCATGTTGGCCAGACTGATCTAGAACTCCTGGCCTCAACTGATCCACCCACCTCAGCCTCCCAAAGTGCTGGGATTACAGGCGTAAGCCACCACGCCCAGCCAGCAATATTTTTAATATATAGTACTTTTGGAGGATACTAAAAGATTTCAAGGTTGTTTCCTTCCAGCTGTTTTGTGTCACTTCAAATTTTAACAGCAGGCAATGATTACATGCAGTCCCTCTGATTTACCAAAACAGAAGATTCTCCTCTCAATTTGTATTTAATATCAGCTAATTCAAGATTTAAAAGTGACCACTGTCCAGCCGGGCATGGTGGCTCACACCTGAAATCCCAGCACTTGGGGAGGCCAAGGCAGACGGATCACTTGAGGTCAGGAGTTCAAAACCAGCCTGGCCAACATGGTGAAACCCCGTCTCTACTACAAATACAAAAAAATCAGCTGGGCATGGTGGCGGGCACCTGTAATCGCAGCTTCTTGGGAGGCTGAGGCAGAAGAATCGCTTGAACCTGGGAGGGGAGACTGCAGTGAGCCGAGATCGCGCCTCTGCACTCCAGCCTGGGTGACAGAGCAAGACTACGTCTCAAAAAAATAAATAAGGGGCTGGGCGCCGTGGCTCACACCTGTAATCCCACCACTTTGGGAGGCCGAGGCAGGTGGATCACCAGGTCAGCAGATTGAAACCATCCTGGCTAACAAGGTGAAACCCCATCTCTACTAAAAGCACAAAAAAAATTAGCTGGGTACGGTGGCGGGCGCCTGTAGTCCCAGCTACTTGGGAGGCTGAGGCAGGAGAATGGCATGAACCCGGGAAGTGGAGCTTGCAGTGAGCCAAGATCACACCACTGCACTCCAGCCTGGGCGACAGAGCAAGACTCCATTTCAATATAAATAAATAAATAAATAAATAAATAAATAAATAAATAAATAGTTGGGAGCCAAGATCACACCACTGCACTCCGGCCTGGGCGACAGAGCAAGACTCCATCTCAATATCAATAAATAAATAAATAAATAAATAAATAAATAAATAGTTGGGCCCAGGCGTGGTGGCTCACGCCTGTAGTCCCAGGACTTTGGGAAGCCAAGGTGAGGGGATTGCCTGACCTCAGGAGTTTGAGACCAGCCTGGCCAACATGATGAAACCCCATCTCTACAAAAAAAAAAAGAAAAAAAAATAAGGCCAGGCACGGTGGCTCACACCTGTAATCCCAGCACTTTGGGAGGCTGAGGCGGGCAGATCATTTGAGGTCAGGAGTTTGAGACCAGCCTGGCCAACATGGCGAAATCCCACTCTACTAAAAATACAAAAAAATTACCCGGGCATGGTGGCACACACCTGTAATCCCAGCACTTTGGGAGGCTGAGGCGGGCAGATCACTTGAGGTCAGGAGTTTGAGACCAGCCTGGCCAACATGGCGAAATCCCACTCTACTAAAAATACAAAAAAATTACCCGGGCATGGTGGCACACACCTGTAATCCCAGCTACTCGGGAGGGTGAGGTAGGAGAATCGCTTGAACCTAGGTGGCCGAGATGGCACCACTGCACTCCAGCCTGGGCAACAGAGCAAGACTCCATCTCAAAAAAATAAATAAATAAATAAATAAAAATGTATACACAAAGATGTTCACAAACTTACAACAATGAAAAACTAGAAATACCACAAATATCCAACCAACAGTACAAACCACCAATATCCAACCAAATGTTTAATCCACAACATTAATAATGATTTTTACCAGGCAGATGGCACGTGCCTGTAGTCCCAGCTACTTGGGGAGACCGAGGTGGGAAGTTACAGTGAGCTATGATTGTGCACTGCACTCTAGCCTGGGTGTCACAGCAAAACCACGTCACTAAAAAATAATAAATGAAGGCCAGGCATGGTGGCTCACGCCTGTAATCCCAGTACTTTGGTAGGCTGAGGCGGGCGGAACACCTGAGGTCAGGAGTTCGAGACCAACCTAGCCAACATGGTGAAACCCCATCTCTACTAAAAATACAAAATTAGCTGAGTGTGGCTGGGCGTGGTGGCTCACGCCTGTAATCCCAGCACTTTGGGAGGCTGAGGTGGGCAGATCACGAGGTCAGGAGTTTGAGACCAGCCTGGCCAGCCTGGTGAAACCCCGTCTGTACAAAAAATACAAAAAGTTAGCCAGGCATGGTGGCATGCGCCTATAATCCCAGCTACTCGGGAGGCAGAGGGAGAAGTGCTTGAACTCTGGAGGCTGAGGTTGCAGTGAGCCTAGATAGTGCCATTGCACTCCAGCCTAGGCAACGAGGGCGAAACTCTGTCTCAAAAAAAAAAAAATTAGCCGAGTGTGGTGGCACATGCCTGTAGTCCCAGCTACTTGGGAGGCTGAGATGGGAGAATGGCTTGAAACAGGAACCGAGATTGCACCACTGCACTCCAGCCTGGGCCAGACAGCAAGACTACATTCTGCGGGGCGGGGCGGGCGGGGGGTGGAGAAAAAAAATTAAATGAACATCTGCACATACATTGGAATGTAATACAAGTAAGACAACATTTACAAAGAATTTTAAGGCCGGGTGTGGAGGCTCATGCCTGTAATCCCAGCACTTTGGGAGGCCGAGGCGGGCGGATCACGAGGTCAGGAGATCAAGACCATCCTGGCTAACACGGTGAAACCCCCTCTCTACTAAAAATACAAAAAATTAGCCGGGCGTGGTGGTGGGCGCCTGTAGTCCCAGCTACTCGGGAGGCTGAGGCAGGAGAATGGCGTGAACCTGGGAGGCGGAGCTTGCAGTGAGCCGAGATCTGGCCACTGCACTCCAGCCTGCGCGAAAGAGGGAGACTCTGTTTAAAAAAAAAAAAAAAAAATTAGCCGGGCGTGGTGGCGGGCAAGTGTAATCCCAGCTACTCAGGAGGCTGAGGCAGGAGAATCATTTAAACCCAGGAGGCGGAGGTTGCAGTGAGCTGAGATTGCACCACTGCACTCCAGCCTGGGCAACAAGAGCAAAACTCCATCTCAAACAAACAAACAAACAAAAAAACAAAAAAAGAATTTTAAATTACTTGGGAAAATTATTGTACTACAAAATCAAACGAGAAAACTATCTCTGGTAACGACTGGCAGCCTCCAGGGAAGAGAACTAGAGTACTAACTGGATACAAATTATCAATTCATAAAAAATTAAAAATATGTGGAAAAAGATCAGAAGAAAGTGTGCTAAAATAGATTGCTTCTGAATGGATTAACAGTGTGGTTTCTGCCTGCTTCTTTATACTTAATTGTACCTTGCCAAATCATCTAAAATAAACATGCATTATTTGGCCGGTCACGGTGGCTCACACCTGTAATCCCAGCACTTTGGGAGGGCCAAGGCGGATGGATCACGAGGTCAGGAGTTCGAGACCACCCTGGCCAACATAGTGAAACCCCATTTCTACTAAAAATACAAAAATTAGCCGGGCGCGGTGGCGGGTGCCTGTAATCCCAGCTACTCCGGAGGCTGAAGCAGGAGAATTGCTTGAACCCAGGAGGCGGAGGTTGCAGTGAGCGAGATCGCACCACTGCACTCCAGCCTGAGTGACAGAGCTAGACTCCATCTCGCGGGCCGGGGGCGGTAAGGAATCAAGGTTTTACAAGAGCAGAAGATAGTAGAGATCACTGCATTTCTGTCAACTACATCCGTTCTGCCACCCGTGCCCTGCGTCCTGACAGAGCATACGCTCAGATGGTGTTTGCTGATTTGCCGAATGAATGAGATGGTCCCTTTCCCGCGGCTGCTCTGCCTGCCCAGAATGGTCCCCAGGTTTTCTCGCTTTTAACCAAGAAACTCAAGGCTTCTGCAACGAGACACAGCCCCCAGGACTGCTTCTCAACCAGTCTAGGCCTCCCTTCCTGTCTCCGCCAAAAGGCTTCAGGCTCCTCCCCACTCTGGAAGCTGCCCCAGCCCGCTTCAGGGCCCAGACCCTCAGTCCCGACGCCCACTAGCCTGCCAAGTTTCTTCCACCACACTACGCCGGCGGCCCTCGGTAGAGCCACCGCCCTTCTGCAGAGTAACGGCCCGCGCCCTCGGGACAATCCCTTTTCCAAAAATAACCCCCTCGGCACCTGCCCCCTTGGCAGCTGCTGCCCGGGCGGTACCTGTGCCGTAGACCAAGCAGCCGGAGAGGATCAAGAGTAGCCGCACTGTCCCACCGCCCCCGACTCCCGAGCCCCAGGGCCCGGGACCAACTGCCGGCGAGACCGCCACTTTCATTCCTCCCGCCATGGTTGCCTCAAGCCACCTCCTCCTCACGTGCCTTACCCCAGCAACTAACTCCGAACGGGCAACGACAGCAGCCTATCCTCTACGAAACCCGCCCCTATCAACCAATGGGATGGGCAGGGCTTCGAGCACCCAGCCCTCCAAGGGCCCTATGAGTCCCGCCCCTTAGCAACTGAAGAGAGAGGGCGGGAAAAGCAGCTTTCAGCCTATTGGAAAATGGGTTCTCACCCTAGCAGTGGCGACAGGAAGATCCCACCCCGCTAACAACATGCTTCCGTCTTCAGTTTATTTACAACTGGTGTGATTGATGGTAAGTTTAACCAATAGAAAATCGGAATGGGAGAGGCCTCCTTGACCAAACTCGGTATTTCCATAGAAGCTGTCTGAAGTTCCTTCCGTTTTCTTTCGGTTACTTTTTATCACGACCTTTCTGTTATGAGACGCCTACAATTGAGATCGCTTTATGAGTAGGACCCTGATAGGACGATTTTTAAAGTCGACTGACAAAAGTGTGGTTCTCCAAAGTCCTAAAGGATTTAAAATAGAAGTCACAAAAAAGTGTGTGTCAATATTTTATAAGCATAAACATTAGCTTTTAAAAATGTATTCATAGGATTTTTATTTTTGGAAGTAAAATTAATGTTAGGATTAAGAAAGATTCATTTATTCCTCTTATCATCTTGTGAGACAAATATAATTCTCTCCATTTAAGAAGCCAAAGCCAAGACAGCCACAGGAACCTGCCCAAGATTTCATAGTTCATCTGGTCTGTGATCCCAACCTAAATCCTACTGACTCCAAAGCCGGAGTTATTTATATGGATTAGCTGCTTCCCATTCAATGATTTAACACAGGGCCCAGCAGAGATCCAGGTGTTCAGAAACTGTTAGTAGAAATTGAAACTTTTTTTTTAAGAGGATCTGATGGTGATGGGTAGGAAAACTACAGATGATAGAGCCAAATGAATTGAGGAATTCAAGGAAGGGGGCATCTCCTGGGGAAGGTTCAAGCTTTCAAAACAAGAATTTTTTTTTTTAATGTTTTTAGAGACAGGGTCATTCTCTGACACCCAAGCTGGAGTGCAACAGCACCATCACAGCTCAGTGTAACCTTGAATTCCTGGACTTAAACCATCTTCCCACCTCAGCTTCCTAGATAGGTTGGGCTACAGGGATGCACCACCATGCCCAGCTATTTGTTTGTTTCATTGTTGTTGTTGTTGTTGTTGTTGTTATTGAGACAAGGTCTCCTTCTGTAACCCTTCTGGAATGCAGTGGTGTAACCACAGCTCACTGCAGCCTCGAACTCCCAGGATCAAATGATCCTCCCACTTCAATCTCCCAAGTAGCTGGGACTACAGGCATGAGCCACTATGTCTGGCTTAATTTTTTTTAATTACTTTTTGTAGAGACAATATCTTGCTATGTTGCCCAGGCTGACCTCAAACTCCTGGCCTCAAGTGATTATCCCACCTTGGCCTCCCAAATTACTGAAATTACAGGAGTAAGCTACTGCACCTGGTCTAAAACAAGGACCTTTTTAAAAGTCAAAATGGGCCGGGCATGGTGGCTCAGGTCTGTAATCCTAACACTTTGGGAGTCCGAGGCGGGTGGATCAACTGAGGTCAGGAGTTCGAGACCAGCCTGGCCAACATGGCAAAACCCCGTCTCTACTAAAAATACAAAAATTAGCCAGGCATGGTGGTAGGTGGCTGTAAGCCCAGCTACTCAGGAGGCTGAGGCAGGAGAATCCCTTGAACCCAGGAGGCGGAGGCTGCAGTGAGCCAAGATCGCCCCATTGCACTCCAGACTGGGTGACAGAGCAAGACTCTGTCTCAAAAGAGAAAAAAAAAAAAAGTCAAAATGGGCTGGGCATGGTGGCTCATGCCTGTAATCCCAGCACTTTTGGGAGGTTGAGGTGGGAGGATCACTTGAGGCCAGAAGTTCGAGACCAGCCTGGCCAACACAGCAAAACCCTATCTCTAATAAAAATACAAAAATTAGCCCAGCATGGTGGCAGGTTCCTGTAATCCCAGCTACTTAGGAGTCTGAGACAGAAGAATTGCTTGAGCCCAGGAGGCAGAGGTTGCAGTGAGCCGAGATCATGCCACTTCACTCCAGCCTGGGTGACAGAGCGAGCCTCTCTTGTCTCAAAAAAAAAAAAAAAAAGTCAAAATGGGGCTGAGCTATGGGCAAGAGAAGAGATTTCATTCTCAGAAGGAAAAGTCTAGGCCAACAGTGCTGATATGGTCATCCTGTATTTCACACACACACTCCCTCAGCTGACCTAGGGAAGTCAGCATCAATCATGTTGATACTATGTACCCTTGATAACATGAGATGAAAATGGCATTTTAACTCTGTGGTTTTCCTTCCCAAAACCCATAACACCACTCTAATCTTGAGAAAAACATTAGACAAATTCCAATAGAGGCATCCTACAAAATACCTGACCAGTACTCCTCAAAGCTGTCAAAGTCATCCAAACATCATTATGGGCTTTTTTGTTTTTGTTTTTTGAGACAGAGTTTCACTCTTGTTGAGCAGGCTGGAGTGCAATGGCACAAACTTGGCTCACCGCAACCTCCCCCTCCCAGGTTCAAGCGATTCTCCTGCCTCAGCCTCCCAAGTAGCTGGGATTACAGGTGTGTGCCACCCCGCCCAGCTAATTTCATATTTTTAGTAGAGATGGGGTTTCTCCATGTTGGTCAAGCTGGTCTTGAACTCCCGACCTCAGGTGATTTGCCCGCCTCGGCCTCCCGAAGTGCTGGGATTACAGGCATGAGCCACCATGCCCAGCCCATTATGTTTTTGAGAACTAAACATAATGTGGTGGTCTAGATGGGATCCTGGAACAGAAAAACACATTAGTTTAAAAAAACGAGGCTGGGCACGGTGGCTCATGCCTGTAATCCCAGCACTTTGGGAGGCTGAGGCGGGCGGATCATGAGGTCAGGAGATGGAGACCATCCTGGCTAACATGGTGAAACCCCGTCTCTACTAAAAATAAAAAAAATTAGTCGGGCGTGGTGGCAGGTACCTGTAGTCCCAGCTACTCAGGAGGCTGAGGCAGGAGAGTGGTGTGAACCTGGGAGGCGGAACTTGCAGTGAGCTGAGATCGCTCCACTGCACTCCAGCCTGGGCGACAGAGCAAGACTCCGTCTCAAAAAATAAGAAAACAAAAAAAAACACGGAGGCTGAGCATGGTGGCTCACGCCTGTAATCCCAGCACTTTGGGAGGCCAAGGCGGGCGAATCACGAGATCAGGAGTTCAAGACCAGCCTGGCCACCATAGTGAAACCCCGTCTCTACTAAAAATACAAAAATTAGCTGGGCGTATGGCGGGCACCTGTAAACCCAGCTACTCAGGAGGCTGAGGCAGGAGAATCACTTGAACCTGGGAGGCGGAGGTTGCAGCAGTGAGCCAAGATCAGTGCCACTGCACTCCAGCCCGGTGACAGAGTAAGACTCAGTCTAAACAACAACAACAACAACAAAAACTCAAAGGAAATCTGAATAAACTGTAGACTTTAGTTAATAATAATGTTTCAATACTGTTTCATTAATGGTGCTAAATGTACCATACTAATGTCAGATAATAATTGAGGAAATTGAATGTAGGGTATATAGGAATTCACCATATTATCTTTTCAATTTTTCTGTACATGTAATGTTTCTAAAAATAAAGTTGGCTAGCCTCAGTGGTTCACACCTGTGATCCCAGCACTTTAGGAGACCGGGTCTGAGGATGGCTTGAGCCCAGGAATTCAAGACCAGCCTGGGCAACATAGTAGGACTCTGTCTTTACAAAAATACAAAAATTAGCCAAGTGTGTTGGCACGTGCCTGTAGTCCCAGCTGCTCAGGAGGCTGAGATGGGACGATCACTTGAGTCTGGGAGGTTGAGCCTGCAGTGAGCCATGATCATGCCTCTGCACTCCACCCTGGGTGACAGAGTAAGACCTTGTTGCTAAAAAAATGAATAAATTGGGCAGGTGCAGTGGCTCATGCCTGTAATCCCAATGTCTTGGGAGGCCGAGGCAGGTGGATCACTTGAGCCTAGGAGTTTGAGACCAGCCTGGGCAACATAGTGAAACCCCGTCTCTACAAAGAATACAAAAAAAAAAAAAATTAGCCAGGTGTGGTGGCATGCACCTGTGGTCCCAGCTACTTGGGAGGTTGACGTGGGAGAATCACCTGAGCCTGGGAAGTCAAGACTGCAATGAGCTGTGATTGCACCACTGTGCAGCCTAGGTGACAGAGTGAGACCCTGTCTCAAAATAAATAAATAAAATAAAATAAAGGCTAATATATATGTATAGATATGTATATGTATTTTTTTATGTGTAGGTATATATACACATATATATACACATACTTCATTTTTTTTTATCAGGCCCCATTCTCATCATTCAGAGCTTGCTCTTTGGTTTTCACTAAAGCAAATCCAGGGGAACTAATTTCAGAAGATCACTGACCACTGACTATTAAAATATATAAATGAAGTGTATGGTAATGAGACTGGCTGTCCATAAACACATTACAACTTATCATCCAAATGAGTGCTGTCATTTCAAGATAGTCATTCAAGAAGCTTTTAGCTTTGTTTTAATGAGGACACTGCTCAAAACAACAAGAATCTCCTTCAGAGTCTATAACACACAATGCAATGAATATTCATTATCTGCAGGTGGATTGGATTTATGCAAATAGCCAAAAGAACTCAGGCCAACACTGATGAGTAAATGGGGTGGGAAATCTGGATGGTTAATGTGTTTCAAAATTTTTTGGATTTTTGAAAGATAGTATGGTGCATATACAAAATATAAAGCAACAATCCCAATGCATCAGGACAGCACCCAGTAATCAAACAAATTAATATTTCTGGAATGACACATATGACTTCATACTGTGGTAAGTGAAAGATGGAAAAGTGAAAACTATAAATAACCTTATGTAAGTTTAGGTCAGGTTCTGCCACAAAATAAATTCAGTTCAGATTAGGTTTTATTGTCAAATATGTTATGAAAAAGATTTTGTTTTTGTTTTTGAGACGGAGTTTTGCTTTTATCGCCCAGGCCAGAGTGCAATGGCGTGATCTCAGCTTGCTGCAACTTCTGCTTCCCAGGTTCAAGCGATTCTCATGCCTCCACCTCCCGAGTAGCTGGGATTACAGGCGCCCGCCACCACGCCCAGTTAATTTTTGTTTTCTTCTGTTTTGTTTTGTTTTGTTTTGTTTTGAGACCGAGTCTCACTCTGTCACCCAGGCTGGAGTGCGATGGCGCGATCTCGGCTCACTGCAACTTCTGCTTCCCAGGTTCAAGCGATTCTCGTGCCTCCACCTCCCGAGTAGCTGGGATTACAGGCATGCGCCACCACGCCCAGGTAATTTTTGTATTTTTAGTAGAGACGGGGTTTCGCTATGTTGGCCGGCTTGTCTTGGACTCCTGACCTCAGGTGATCCACCCACCTCAGCCTCCCAAAGTGCTGAGATTAAGGGCATAAACCACAGTACCCGGTCAAGCTTTTGGTTTTCATAATTTTTTTAAATTTAGGAATTGTGGATAAAGGATTTGCAGGCCACGAATATTTGATGAAGGCTATTCCAGAGTTTTGAGAAGGAACACTCCATTCCACATACTCAGTCACCCAAGCTAGGAGCCTGAGAGTCACCCTAAACCCTCATTCTCTCCTCTCAACCCCTCAGCCAATCAATCAAGTCCTGTCGATCTTATTTTCTATATTTTGAATCTGTTCTTTCCCCCCATGCCAGTGCCTTGCCATCTTTCAACTGAGAGGGTCCTTCAGTATTTTTCAAGCTGACCTTCCTACTGTTTTTGCAGCCATAAATCCTTCCTCCACTCTGCTCCTAAGTGCAGATCTGACCATGCCATGAGTCTTTGTTTCCAGAGTCTTTATGGTTCCAGTAACACCACAGGATGAAGTCCAACATCCTTAGTATGATCTAAAACTCAGAGGCAAAGACACAAATAACTATAATAATGTTATTCAATGTTTGTCACCAATCTGTAATGAAACAATTTCAGAAATTAAGTGTAAGCATTTAGAAAGTTTTATAGGAATTTGACAGAGAAATTTTATATTTATTGAATCTAACAAAATGGTAGTTTATTTTGTTTTTTGAATAATTCATTTTTAGTGCATTCTACAAAAGTAGTGGACAATAATAGATTGGAAATGTTTTAAAAATTGGTCCTTAACCATACTTTGAAAAGCACTGGTCCAAAATATTTTTAATGTAATGTACCTGTACACCTCCCTAGGCTCGTTTCTAACCAGCTCCACCCACCACCCAGCAATAATGAACAACCTTTTATAGTTTCTGAAACATATCACTCTGTTTCATACCTCCACCTCCATGGAAATGCACTTTCTGGCCTCTCTGACTTGACTTCCCTTCCTCCTAGAATTTTTGTTTTTGTTTTTGTTTTTTGTTTTTGAGACTCACTTTTTGCTCTGTGGTGCAGGGATGCAGTGGCGCCATCAAGGCTCACTGCAGCCTTCAACTTCTGGGCTCAAATGTTCCTCCCACCTCAGCCTCCTGAAGTGCTATGATTACAGGTGTGAGCCACCGCCCTGGCCACTCCTGGAAATCTCATACTGACTGCATCATCACCTCCTTTGGATGCCTGTCTAAACCAAGGCCCCTCACAACTCCAAGCAGAACAGATCACTCACCCTCTTATACTTCTGTCATTGTTGTACCCATATTATTGCACTATGTTGTAATTATTCGTTTATAGGTCTATTTCCCCTATTAGTCTGTGAGCTCCTTAAAGGCAGTGGTTAGGATTATCTGTCTTTCAGGAGTGAAACATTTCTTGTAAAATAACTAACTTGAAGGACAACATTCCTTAGATGATAAATTCTGCCATGTTACTGAAAGAGAAAAAAGGGATCATTACTTTATACTTTTCTATTACCAGCCAGGACTTCGGCCTACTACCTTTAGCATCTGAGTGTGAATTAATTTACCAGAATGGTGGACATTTTAGAAGGCCAAGGAGCCAGATTTGTGGGACTCACTGGAAACTTTACAAGGGAAAGAGATATGGAAAACAAATGTCTTCACTTAAACAGTTTTGCCCAGGCTCAGCCCCTTTGGGAGTAAAATCTGTGTCATGTGCCCTTTCAAAGTTGCACAGGCCTGTGAATAGGATCAATTTATTCATTTCAGAGGGTCCACCAGATAACAGGCCTATCCTGGAGAGGTCCTGGATTTCGGCTGAAACAAGCAACTATAATTGGAAATGTGTACAAAGAGCAATGAGGAGGCCACCGAGGGGTGGGAGGAATTAATTCTGCCTGGAGGAGTGGAAGGGGTCCAGGAAGGAGAGGGTGAGCCAAACCTTGCTGAGTGAGTCGGATCTGGCCCAGTGGAGACGTTGGGGGAGGAGTGAGCAGAGCAATCTGCTAGATGAAAATCTACACGTGCGCGTAGGGACGACAGTCTCTGCACTCCTCTTCCGCCCACTTTCCTCCCTTTCCTCGCAATCGTTTCCCCTTTTCTTGGAAAACTAGGACTGAGGATACTGTTTCCCTTCACGGAGGAGACCAGCACAGATAAAAGAATATTAATCCTTTTTATCACGAGATCAGTTCCTCTGGTCTGTCTTTGAGAGCACTGGGGATGGGGAGAGCAGGTGAGTCAGGCACAGAAGTGGTCCTTCTTTGAGTGAGCCAAGGGGACACAGGGGAGAACAGGTCCCATGCAGGAAACAAATGAAAATTTTTGTATTTGTCCCCACTCCCTTTTTGTCACCACTCCCCCCCCCCCACACACACACCTGTCTCTTTATGTTTTTCTATAGTTTCCCATGGTCTCCGTCTTTGTCTTTGCCTCTTTCCCTTTGCTACAGGCTGGAAATTCCTTGTTCTCAACGGAAGGGAGTAGGAGGGGAGTTGGGGGTGGCAGGAGTGGGCGGGAAGAACAGACATCTCGGCAGCTCTGGCTGCGGGCTGCGGGGGCGCTCTGGGCCTCTGGCGGGCCCTGACAAGTCAATGATTTTTTAAATAGGGGCTCATACACAAACCTAGAGAGAGAGAGGAACACAGATATACAAGTGGATATAAAGAAACATATAAATACATAATCTCGGGTACAGAGACACAAACTGGCAGTAGCGTCTTAAATATGCTTAGCATTCTACAATTTAGAGAGTTTTCCCGTACATTCTCTCATCCGAATCTCACGACAATCTTGAGAAACAAGGGCACAAAGACACAAACACCCGGTAGTTTCACTCTCACACACGGGTTCGCACCCGGACCCCCGCTGGCTCCCCTAGGGGAGTGGGCAGGCCCCTTCTGCGGAATTTCTCTTCCCTCGTCCCTCTCTGGCCGAGCACCCCCTCTCCCAGGACCCGGGAGCGGAGAGCTCAAAATCGGCTCCTCCCTCCCCCTCTTTCCCGGATCAGGACCGGGACCCGGGCGCCCCGCGCCCAGTAGGTTGCCGCTCACTTGCTCACGCCCTACTCCGCCTCCTCCTTGGGCGGGCGTCTCCCTCCAGATCCTAAGGCTCAGCGCCGCCCCAAGGGGGCCGGGGTGGGAGGGAGGGGGGCGCCTCGAGCAGAGGCTGCGTGGGCGGAGGATGTGCGTCACGGGGAGCGTGGGCTGGGGGAGGGAGGGGGCACGTGGAAACCCGGGGCCAGCGGCTGGCAGCCCGGGATCCAAAATAACCTGAGGTGGGGGGGGAGGGGTCGCCCACACCCCGTACGGGGTCGGGAGCGTCCCCAGGGGAGCCCGTCTAGCCGCACCCTCCAGTTGCGGGGCGGGGGACTGGGAGACGGGACTCTGCTCGTTCCCACCACCCCCACTGTGTTTGGCGCTTAATAGGTTGGAGAAGAGGACCTGAGCAACTGAAATCCTCCCACCAACAACGCGCTCCTTCTCCCCGGACCCCACAAGGCGGAAAGGTCTCCTCGCTAGGCCACATTGTAAAACCAGCCCCGGTCCACGGCCTCCACGCCCCGCCATGCCCCACCCCAGCCCCTCAGAAGTGCGGACAGAGAGGCGGGGCGGGGCTGAGATTCCGGACTAGGGGAAACCTCACCTGTGGCCAGTCCGCTCGCTTTCCCCGGCCCCCACCCCCCCTCCTTTCCCTGGGGCTTAGAGTCTATGGGCCGGGCCCTTAGAGCCCCCGCCTCCCCCAACAGCCCTCCCAGCCGTGGGCGGGAGTGCAATGCGAACCAGATGGGGCTAGGAGAAACCAAAGGGGGAGACGGTGGTGGGTTGCAGAGGCGGGGGCTAAGCTCCTTCAAGGCGCTCCTCCTTCCAGCTCCGCCGCAGGAAGTCACGTCGTAGGCTCCCGACCTCTTACTCATCTTCCACTAGACTCTCGGGCGAGGTCCCTAATAGACGGCCCCAGGAAGGGTATCGTCTTTGTCACACAAAATTCCCAGGCAGGGCCTCATCCTCAGCAAACAGAGGACAAGTGGAGGAATCCCTGCCTGACCTACGCGCTGACAAAAGCCGACGCGTCTAATCAACACGCGCACCTAAGTGGTGGCGTGCAGCATAACCCTCCCATTCCTGTTTCCCAAACTTTCCAGGCTAGCATGGAGGCCTGGGTTTCTGAGAGCGACCCCCTCAGATTATTCCATTGGGGCTGAGGAGGGGCGCGGGGATATCTAGGAGATCCCTGCAGAGCCCCACGCTCTCAGGCCCGCCTTAAGTGCACACTATACGGGAGTCAGATGCACGCACAGGAGAAGCCGCACAGCCCAGCCTTCGCTAACTTTTCCCGGCTCACTGCTAACATTCACACGTCCAGCACCACAAGGCCTGAGTATGGGCAACGGGCGTCCCCGTAGTTGTTTAGGCGCGTGTGCACGTCCGTGCGCTTCTGTGTCTTTGTGTACTTGTGCGTGGTTGTGAAACTCCTCTCTCAGCTCGGAGGGGTGGGGGAGAGAAGGAATGTCGCCGGCGGGGCGCTCACGTGGGTACGTGGGCGCCAAGAGGGCCGGCTGTGCATCCGGCGTGGGCGGCACAGAACGACCTCGCCCCGCCCGCTGGGTCCCCAAGCCCGCCCTGCACAGCCGGGCCTCGGTCACCTCGGTCCCCAATTCGGCGCCCCGGCTCTGAATCCCCGCCCCCGCCTCCTGCTCCACACCCCCTCCCCCCCCGTCTCCGCCTCTCCCAGTCTCTAAGCCGCGGCGTCTCCGCGGCCGAGAGGCCCCAGCGCCCGCCTCCCCGGCCCCCGCCCCCACCCCCGCCCCCGGCTCTGCCCACGCCCTCCGCCCGCCAGCCCGGCAGCCAGCGCAGCTCCGGGCCTCGCTCCCTGTGCGTCCTGCGGGGGCGGAGGCGCGGAGAGGCGGCAAGCGCAGCCGGGGAGGGTGGGGGGGCAGAGGCACAGACAGAGGCGCGGAGGCTCGGAGAGAGAAGACGTGGAGGGAGGGACAGAGCCTGGACAGCGGTGGACACGGCATCGTGCGCGGGGAAGAGGGCAGCACGCAGCAGGCGCCGAGCGCCGGGCACCGAGAAGGGCAGCCCGGGTGATCTCCGGCCGTCCATGCACAGAGCGCCTTCCCCCACAGCCGAGCAGCCGCCGGGCGGAGGGGACAGCGCCCGCCGGACCCTGCAGCCCAGACTCAAGTTAGTGGGCAAAGGGAGGCAGCGGGGAGTGGAGATGGGTGGAGCTGGACTTGGGAATGGGGTCCAGAGGGCGGAGGTCGAGGGGAGGACGTGGGGAAGCAGGACGGGGGTGGGGGGTGGAGACTGATGGAAAAGGGGGTGCGTCTTCGAATTAGGGGGCCCTGGGAGCAGGCAAGCATCTGATGAAGCTGGATATGAAAGAGTAGTACCCAAATCTCCATTCCTGGTTTACTCTGTGGGCTCCATCTGGCCTAAGAGCCCCCTGCAAAGAATGTGGGAGCCTCCAAGCACCAGGGGATGCCCTGGAGCTCGAGCTGGCAT
The DNA here is from genome assembly GCF_000001405.40 of Homo sapiens. Classification (NCBI taxonomy): domain Eukaryota; kingdom Metazoa; phylum Chordata; class Mammalia; order Primates; family Hominidae; genus Homo; species Homo sapiens. The sequence goes on from NC_000012.12 coordinate 57,089,676, forward strand.
CAGTGCGGAAGGTGGGGGGACGCTCAGTTGCCTCAGTCCCTCGTTGGCACGGAGCGCGCGGGCCCCCGGTGCCTTTGAGTTAAAGGAGCATCAGCGGGGGAAAGGGGGGGTGACGAGGGAGGCAGGGAGGCCTTAGGCGTTCCTTCCCATATCTGTCCCTTTATTCACAGAGCGGGGAGGGGAGTTTCAGTGTGCAGCCCCTTCATCAAGAGGCCTTGAGCCGCTCCCCCACTCCACTTGAAGATGCGGGTGGAAAATATGGGAGAGGAGAGTAGGCGGGAGCCCCTGGGCGGTTTTCGCCTACAGACGCTACCACTGTGGGAGTGTGTGTGGGCGGAACGGCCCCGGAGCAGAACAATTGCGCCCCTCCCCCTGCCACGGCCCCTGAGCTGAAGGAAAAGGCTGACCGAGGAAGTGGGGAGTGTCACTGCTAGGAGAGGGGCCACTGAGGAGCACTGGGCAGCCTGGAAGGGTGGAGAGGTTCTGAGGGGAGAGAGGAAGCGTGCGTTAAGAATGCTTAACCAGGCCGGGCGGGCCCGGTGGCTCAGGCCTGTAATCCCAGCACTTTGGGAGGCTGAGGCGGGTGGATCACGAGGTCAGGAATTCGAGCCCAGCCTGACCAACATGGTGAAACCCCGTTTCTACTAAAAATACAAAAATTAGCCGGGCATGGTGGCGGGCGCCTGTAATCTCAGCTACTCAGGAGGCTGAGGCAGGAGAATCGCTTGAACCCGGGAGGCGGAGGTTGCAGTGACAGCGCCACTGCACTCCAGCCTGGGTGACAGAGCGAGACTCCGTCTCAAATAAATAAATAAATAAATAAATAAATAAATGCTTAACCCCTGGGAAAAGCTGAGCGGAGAAGAGTAAGGCACCACCTGGCTCACTGAGTGGGAAAGCCAGGGAAGGTGCCACACCCTCCCTTTTAGCCACCTGGGGCTGTGGCCCCTTCACAGGGAATGAAGCTGGCCAGCAGCGTCCACTGTGGGGGAGACTGGGCTCCTACATTCACTTTAGTATGGGTGACTTCACTTCAGTGTTGAGACTGCTGAGTGTTTAGAGGGGAAGGTGAGGATTGTGTTTTGGGGGAGAGGGAGGTCCAGCCATCCCAGGTCGGTGCTGGTCAGCCTCAGCGCTCAAGTTCTTCTTGCCCCAGACCAAAAAGATAAAAGCTGAAGATAAGGTTGTAAGACGCTTCGACTCCTACAGACACAGGCCACTGACTTTTGGGGCTTCGGGCCAGTCTAGGACGGCACTGGCTTGTCCATGCCTCTGAGCAGTGCCTGATTCTGAGAGTCTGTACTCAGACCTGGGCACTGGGCAGGATAGCATCCAAATGAGGGAGGGGAAGAAAAGCAGGCAGGAAAGAGGGAACAATTGTTAGTGTGGGTTGGTACCCAGTAGGGGGACTTGCACCGACTGCCTCTCTCTTGTGCCCCTCCTTCTCAGGCCCAGTGCCCGAGCCATGGCACTGCCTCGGACGCTGGGGGAGCTGCAGCTGTACCGGGTCCTGCAGCGCGCCAACCTCCTTTCCTACTATGAGACCTTCATCCAGCAGGGAGGGGACGACGTGCAGCAGCTGTGTGAGGCGGGTGAGGAGGAGTTTCTGGAGATCATGGCACTTGTGGGCATGGCCACCAAGCCCCTCCATGTCCGGCGCCTGCAGAAGGCACTGAGAGAGTGGGCCACCAATCCAGGGCTCTTCAGTCAACCAGTGCCTGCTGTTCCCGTCTCCAGCATCCCGCTCTTCAAGATCTCTGAGACTGCGGGTACCCGGAAAGGGAGCATGAGCAATGGGCATGGCAGCCCAGGGGAAAAGGCAGGCAGTGCCCGCAGTTTTAGCCCCAAGAGCCCCCTTGAACTTGGAGAGAAGCTATCACCACTGCCTGGGGGACCTGGGGCAGGGGACCCCCGGATCTGGCCAGGCCGGAGCACTCCAGAGTCGGACGTTGGGGCAGGAGGAGAAGAGGAGGCTGGCTCGCCCCCCTTCTCCCCCCCTGCAGGGGGAGGAGTCCCTGAGGGGACTGGGGCTGGGGGGCTGGCAGCAGGTGGGACTGGGGGTGGTCCAGACCGACTGGAGCCAGAGATGGTACGCATGGTGGTGGAAAGTGTGGAGAGGATCTTCCGGAGCTTCCCAAGGGGGGATGCTGGGGAGGTCACATCCCTGCTAAAGCTGAATAAGAAGCTGGCACGGAGCGTTGGGCACATCTTTGAGATGGATGATAATGACAGCCAGAAGGAAGAGGAGATCCGCAAATACAGCATCATCTATGGCCGTTTCGACTCTAAGCGGCGGGAGGGCAAGCAGCTCAGCCTGCACGAGGTGAGAACCCCCAGGCCTCCTAGGATTGCCCTTGACTTCCAGGTCTCCAGCCGCTTACCTCTGCGAGTTTCTACAGTCTCCGACTATCTTTCATTATCTCTTGACCAGGACCCCAGGCCCTGATCCCCTCCCCAACAGGCCCCTACCCCAGCGGCCGCAGTGCTTCCATCCTCAGCTGAGGGGGAAGCAGAGATACAGGCAGCACCGAGCTGTTCAGCTCCTTGTCACTCAGGACCCCACAGGAGAGGAGGAGGCCCCGGGCATTCCTAGGAAGCTGTGGGTGCTGACCTCTGTCTTCCCACCTCAGAAAGCTCCCATGTAGTGTCAAAACCAAAGCAAGCGTCTGATGGATGGGCCTCATTTGTCCAATGGTGAAGGGGTGTGAGGAGGTCTGGTGAGGCAGCGGGGAAGTTCGAATTCTGACTCTCCTGGCTGCCCTCCCTCCACAGCTCACCATCAACGAGGCTGCTGCCCAGTTCTGCATGAGGGACAACACGCTCTTATTACGGAGAGTGGAGCTCTTCTCTTTGTCCCGCCAAGTAGCCCGAGAGAGCACCTACTTGTCCTCCTTGAAGGGCTCCAGGTGAGACCCCTTCCCCAGGTCCTTCCTGGACTGGAATCCTGCTATGGAGTTAGATCATGTCCTAACCTTCAGCTCAGGCAGCTCTAGGCCTGCTTCCCGCCCACCTGGATGTCCTGCTTTTGGCCAAGTCAGCTTGTCTCAGGTCTGGTCTCTCCTCCCATCCATGTCGGGTCCCCCCAACCCCCTACAACAATAGTGCTTGAACTAGAGACTCTTTCTCGGCCAGCTTCTTGGCAAAGGTTTTAAATAACACATGCCTCTGGCTGGGTTCTGTGCTCTGCCAGTCGAGTGGCCCTCGTCAGCCTCATCCACTTTATTCTTACCCATCTTTTCAGGCTTCACCCTGAAGAACTGGGAGGCCCTCCACTGAAGAAGCTGAAACAAGAGGTATGTTTTCCGGGGTGCATATAGGGGCACTGGGCAGCCTTCCCCAATCCCCTCCCTTGGCAGGTCTTCATTTCCCCATGTTGGGCATCCACAGGTTGGAGAACAGAGTCACCCTGAAATCCAGCAGCCTCCCCCAGGCCCTGAGTCCTATGTACCCCCATACCGCCCCAGCCTGGAGGAGGACAGCGCCAGCCTGTCTGGGGAGAGTCTGGATGGACATTTGCAGGGTGAGTGTGCCTCAGAACACTTTTCTCTTCATTGAGGGTGGGGGAGTAGGGGAGGGGGTTGGGGGAGGAGTGAGCCAGGAGGCAGTGCCTGAAACAGGGTTGGGAGACCTGGCTGGAGGGGGGGCAGAAGGGCCTGTGGGCTGGCTATGTGGTTGAGGGTGGGGGTTCCATTGGCTGCAGCCCCTTACCTGACCAGTGCCCATGCCCACAGCTGTGGGGTCATGTCCAAGGCTGACGCCGCCCCCTGCTGACCTGCCTCTGGCATTGCCAGCCCATGGGCTATGGAGCCGACACATCCTGCAGCAGACACTGATGGACGAGGGGCTGCGGCTCGCCCGCCTCGTCTCCCACGACCGCGTGGGCCGCCTCAGCCCCTGTGTGCCTGCGAAGCCACCTCTCGCAGGTGAGGCAGCCAGCAGTGCTGTCCCCAAGCACCCCGGCCACTCAGGCCCCACACAGCAATTCTGGTGTCCTGGGGCCAGGTGGGAGGAAGAGGGATATAGTCGTCAGAGAGGGCAGTAGGATGGCTGGGCTCCAGCCAGCCAGGCCTTGGGGTGCAGAGAGGCAGACCCTGCCGAGCTGCTCCCACCATGGAAAGTCTGGTCCTAGTGTAGATCTGTGAAAGGGGAACTGGGGAATGGGGGGACAGAGAAAAGAGGATGAAGGAGCAGGAAGGAGGAGCATCAATAAGGGAAGCTCAGATGGCACTTCCACCAACCCAGGAGTGGGGAGCAGGCTAGGAGTTGTGGGTATGGGGATGGGGATGCCCAGCTTGGAAGCAGAGGAGCCCAAAGCAGTGATGCTTTGTGTGTGGAAGGGGGAAGAGGGAGTGGGCAGGCGGAGGGCCGGGCAGCCGCTGGGCTGAGAGTGACGCAGCAGACAAAGCCACCAACCCTGGCTTGGTATTTTTAAACTGTGCGTGGGTGGGAAGTGGGGGCGGGGACTGGAAGGGGGGCTCTTCTTGAGGGAGGAGCTCGGAGGCTGGCTTCCTGTTCTCCCTCTGATTTGGCTACCAAAAAACTTGGGGGGCCATGGTAGAGTGGCCTGGGAGGGGCCTGGGAGGGGGCCAGGGATGAGTGGGGGTGGCAGAGCTTGGGAAGGGGGGAGGGGAGAGGTCAGAGCCAAACCACCCCCGCAGCTCCTGACAGAACCAGAAATTCCAGCGCAACCGAGGAGGCGGGAGAGAAAGAGAGAGAGACAGACAGAGACAGAGCTACGCACAGCCAGGGAGGGGAGGGGGCTCACACACATGGGAATGGAACCCCCCATACACATGCAGTGGGCAGGAGGCAGTAATTCAATAAACCTAAACTGAGCCCATCTTCACAGCTTTCTTTGCCCCTGCTTCTGTTCCCAACCACCTCTGTCTGCAGCCAGTCACCCTGCAGTCTCCTAACTGCCCCCTTTTCCCTGCAGAGTTCGAGGAAGGGCTGCTGGACAGATGTCCTGCCCCAGGACCCCATCCCGCGCTGGTGGAGGGTCGCAGGAGCAGCGTGAAAGTGGAGGCTGAGGCCAGCCGGCAGTGAGGGTTGGACTGGTGTCTTCAGACCCAGGACCTCAGACTTCTGGCTCACACAGACCCCCACGCTCTCCATCCCCGGAATCTAGTCACAACCCTGGATCCTTCCTCTGCCCTTCTCCTGCCTCCCCACCTGCTCCATGGGCATAAGACTGTGGGGCTTCAAGCAATAACAAGCAGAGGCCTGGAGAGAGGACACAAGGAGGGTGCGTGGTGCCCTCACCCCTGCCCAGAGCGAGGGGGCAAGGACTCTGCCTCCAGGGCATCTGGGGTTTTCCCCTCCCTCACACAACACACTCCCATTCTCTTTAGGTTTGCACCAGTGGTGTGAGCAGTTGGACTCAGTTTGGACAAGGGGGAAAGGGGGACTTCCCTGGGAAGGTCCAGCTAAAAGTGGCAACATTTGCCCCCAGAATTGGGGGCCTGGGAACACTGGACCTGCTCCTTCTCCCCTCTCCTTCCCCGTTTTTGTGCTTCTGGTTTGTTTCTTTAATTAATTTAACAAGTGCTGCAGTTTGCCCTCCCATTCCCATCTATCCCCCAAGTCCTTTGCAATTTCTTCCCTGCCCTACATAGGGGCGGTGGGTGTGGGATCCCTTCACTGGCCCCCTCGGGAGGCCTGGGTTGGACTCAGGGTCTCCTCCAGCTGGGGGCTGGACCGCAGCACCTATCTGAGCAGTTAGAGCGTCTTTCTTTTCAGATTGTGTACAGTAGATTATTTATTTTGTTATTTTGGAATAAAATTTATTTTATGGCTTAGGATCTATGACCCCTGCCTTGAGAGGGAGAATGGGATAGGGGAGTGAAGGGAAGCTGGCGGTGGATGGGGCAACAGAAAAGATGCAGCAGGCAGGGCCCTCTCATACACTGGAGGGCCACATGGCCAGGCCTGGACCCAGACTCTCACCCTGGCTCCCAGGCAGCATTGGAGGTGTGGAGCCATACGTAGATGTCACAGCCACTTGGACCCACTTGGGCACAGTCAGACTCCAAATTCAGAGTATTTGGGGGTTAGCATATGTCAGAGAGGCCAGCACACTTGCTGCTGTCTTCTGTGCAGTGTCTCACCCTCCCAAATTTGTGTTGTCACGTAGGCAAAAGCAGATAGACACATGTTCTATGTGGTCATGCAACTAAGGTGCCAGCTATACATTTAACATATCCTAGGTACATACACGTTCACACAGCTATACACGAAGAATCTCAGCCCTTGTACTTTTGCATAGTCTCATACACGTATCAGAAGCCTCCACCTGGCTAACAGGAATTTGGGGCTTTGGGAGATTTTTTAATCAGGGCAAAACCTGTACTAGTAACCACATGTCCAGACCCCTCCTATGCTCCCACCCAGGGTCCCTTGAGCTGCTTCCCATTCCCCTAGGGCTGAGACCCAATATCCTCTATCCCTGGCCTCTAGTGTAAATGTGTCTGTATGTTCCTGCCTATCCGTCCTAGGCCCTGGGTCAGAATGGGCGGAGAAGCCTTCCATGCCCTAACCTGTGCTCTTACCCAGCCCCCCTCCTGCTCAGCCCCATCACCCTCAGAGAGCTCTGTATGTGTGTGTGCGTGCGTGTGCGCGCTGCAGGTGCAGGCATGTTGGGGTGTGTCTCAGAGCCTGAACTTCCCTTCCAGTCAGTGCTGGAAGGAGGTGGGCAGGGGAATGATAGAAAGGAAGGAGTGGATTGGCTCCACCCACTGTGCATTCTCCTGTTAGTCTTTTCCTCCTGACCCAGGAGTAGGTGGGGATAGGAGGGCACCCTCCCCATCTGCTGCTTGGCAGGGCATGAGCAAGTGTCCAGAGCAGGTCTGTGGGGGTAGTAGAAGAGCTGTCTCTTTGGGTTCTCCCTCCAGCTGGGATCACCAACTGGGGTTGGCCCTTAGGTCCATGTGGGACATTGAGATCCCAGATTGCCCATAGTGGGAGGGCTGCAGGAGGGGCTGTGCCCCCAAGGACCCTCCCCCCGACTCCCCTTGCCCCTCCAGGAGAAGCTTAGTGAGGTCCTGTTCAGTGGGAGGCAGCAGAGGAGGGAATATGTCTTCACCAATCCTGCAAGGAGATGGGAGAAGCAGTGGAGTAGGCATGGCGCCCACTCCCCTAGATGCCACCCAGCCTCCACTCCCAAGCTGCCACTCACCAAGTGCCCTGAGGAAACGCTGTCACTGGCTGGCTCAGGCAGCTGTCTTCCACCATGGTCACATCTGAGCAGAGCAGGGGGTCAGGGCTGGACACAGCATGCTCCTGAGGCTGGCACGGCAGCAGGCCCCTGCCAGGAACCAGCAATGGAAATAAGGAGAGCGGGGCAAGGCCAGGAAAGAAGAGGCACATGGGGTCAGGAGGGGCTTTGTCACTCACTGGGGGTGAGGCTGGTCAAAGGGCAGGCTCATCTGGCCCAGGCTGGGGGGCATCTGCAGGTGAGGCCTGGAAGTAGGGAGAGCACAGTTAGAGGAAGGCAGGCTAGGCAAATGCAGAGTGGTGCAAAGTCAGGACCACTGAGTGAGGAAACAAGCTCCAGCTCCTTATCCTGACTTAGTCATGGCCTGGGCAAGCTATTTCTATGCTCTGAGCTCAGTCTTCTCATCTGTAAAATGTGCGTGTTATGGGGGTGGATTAGCCAATTTCTAATGTTTCTTTGGACTCTGAACTTTGGTAGTTCTTAAGTCCCCAAGTCCTCACTCCCGCCTCACCTTCTGGGAAGGGAGATGTTGTGTCTTGACTAAGTTAATAAGCACCCGAGTGTCATACTTCGGGAAGAAAAATGTCTAGGCCATTTCAAGGCCAAAACAGATGAGTAAACAAAAACCAATACAGCAGAGAAGTGACAGTGGCTCTCAGGGGCAGGACAGAAAATAATAATAACAGTCATGCACCACATTAACGACATTTCTGTCAACTACAGACCACAGTGGTCCCATAAGATTATAATCAAGGCCAGGCAGAGTGACTCACGCCTGTAATCCTAACGCTTTGGGAGGCCGAGGTGGGAGGATCACTTAAGCCCAGGAGTTTGAGACCAGCTTGGGCAGTAAGTGAGACCTTGTCTGCAGAAAAATCTTAAAAAAGAATTAGCCGAGTGTCGTGGTGCACTACAGCAGGAGGATTGCTCGAGCCCAAGAGGCGGAGGTTGCAGGGAGCTAAGATCGCACCACTGCACTCCAGTGAGTGAGACCCTGTCTCAAAAAAAAAAAATTATAATCAAGCTGAAAATTCCTATCACACAAATATTTACCATTATGTTACTATTTCCTTATACTATTCAGAACAGTATCATGCTGCTCGGGTTTAAAGCTAGGATCAATAGGCTACACAATATAGCCTCAGTGTATAGTAGTCTATACCATCTAGGTTTGTGTAATTATACTCAATGGTATTCGCATAATTATGAAACTGCCAAAGACAGAAAATGCTCCTTCATTAAGTGATCCACGACTGGACTTACACAGCTTTTGCTATGAGCCATGCACTATGCTCAGCTTTTTAAGTGTTATGAACTCATTTAATCTCCACAATAATGCAGTGAGGTAGGTTATTATTATTAGCATTATTATCCCCCATTGTGCAGATAAGGCACCAAAGGCTAAGTAATTTGCCCCAAACCAGTAAGTGGTGGAGCTAGAATTCAAACCTAGGCAGTCCAGATCTTAACTACTACCCCCTCATTAGAGTGGACAGAAGAGAAGAAGACAGGCTGTTAGCATTTGCTGCTCCTTTCTCACAGAAGAGCCTCTTCTAACAATTCAAATGCCCACCCCCTTAGAGTGGGATGGTATCCCCATGAGGTTTTTCACTTACTCCTGGAAGGCTGACAACACGTTGACTGATTCTTCTGGGGAGAGGCCTTGATACGGGGGGATGGAGTGAGAGTGTGGTGGGTACACCTGGGGCCTGGGGAAAGAAAACAGACCCCCTGATGCCAGCCCTTCTCCTGGACACCACCACACCCTGCTTTTGAACAGGTGTCCCTCTCATGGAAAGGAAGATTCCCTGTTCAGCCCCCAGTGCCAGCTCTCCCAGCTGCCCATGCTAAGATTAGCCCATCTGCACAGACCACTCCCATTCCTGTCTTTCCAGCTCCTTACACCATATCTGGGCCAAGCTGCATGCTCATGGAGGAATCAGGGGCCATTCCAAGGTCATAAGAAGGCACCATGGTAGGCATCTGGAGCTCTGGGGTAGGAAGTGGTTGGTCCCTGGAGGAGGGAAGGAGGTACATGTGACTGACCAAGGGTTGATGCCACCCCTCCTTCCTGCAGATAAGCACTAAGCCCCTGACCTACCCACTGTCCATACCACCACACTCACCTTTCCACGGTCATCTTGATGGTAGCTGGGACATAACCCCTGCCATCCTTACCCATCTGTTCAGCTGTTGTGAGAAGGAAAAGACAGCCATGGAGTGCTCTGGGGTTAGGGAGGAAGGGAGGTGGAAAAGGTGGGCATGGATCATGGGGAAGTAAGAGAAGCACAGCTATGAAATAGGGAGTGACATCAGGATGACACGCGGGCAGGGAGAGGAGGGCAGCGGGGAGCAGGGAGGAAGTGGGTGACAGGAAGGAATCAGAGCTGCCAGTTCCAGCTCACGCTTGTAGTGGCTCCGGAAAGCCTCATCCTTGGGCTTCTTGGGATAGAGATTTTTGAGCTGAGCAAGATCCCGGATTCGGTCCCCCAGTGAGCGAATGGACAGGTCTTTGGCAGAGAATGGCTGGATGTTCTCTATCTGTGGAGAGCCTATGGTAGGAAGGAGACCCTGAGATCCCTCTGTCCGGACTTTCTTCCCCTTCCCCAACCCCTACCATAAGACCTGTTCTCACTCCACCAAGGCAAGGGAGAGAGGACCTAGGGTGGGGCTCCTGAGGGAGAGAGACCCACTAGTCTCCGTTCCCACAGAGCTCACAGTGAGAAGGTGAACATTTAGACCACAGAAGGAAGAAGAGAAGCTGGAAGAACTTCCTGAAGATCAGGATCGGCATCAGGAAGGTCAGGACATTTCATTCCCAGAAGAAACCCCAGAGGGCACAGGCACAGAGACAGAGGACTGGCTGGGGTGGCCTCACCATCCTGGCCCCGGATGACATGGGCAATGGTGATGCCCCCAATCTCTGAGTCGCTGAAGCGGAGGAGAAAGGTTCCGTCGGGCTCATTGAGAAGAAGGCTAGTAACGTACTGTTTGCTGATGAAGCCAATGATCAGCCTGGCCGGGATGAAGGAGAGGATGGGGCATGGGCAGTGAGTATGGAGGTGACTGGTGTATGGCTGCTCAGACTACCCAGGGTGGGGACTCACCGGTCAGACCAGTAGCTCCGGAGACAGCGTTTGGTGAGGTCCAGGACACCATCAAACCACTGCCAAAAGGTGAAGCCACGGCCCAGCAGGATCTCCTAGGGGGAGAGGGGGAAAGGTGTGAGCCGAGGGAGGGCCAGAGCTGGAGCCTGTTTAGGGCAGGCAGTGAGCTGTGAGTGCCCTCACGACAGAATCACAGGGCTGAGGATCAGACCGAACCTGAGACTCCATCAATGACAACGACCAATCCTAATGCTTACACGTGCCAGCCACTATTTCAAGCCTTTCCATATATTTATTTGCTCTTTACCAGGCTATGGAAGTAGGGATTATAATAATTCCATCTTACAGATGAAGAAATGGAAGTCCAAAAACGTCGAATGACTTGCCCAGGTCTACATAGCTGGTAAGAGGCAGAGCTAGGATTTAAACCCAGGCATTCTGGCCCTGGAGCCCCTCTTAACTACTATGCTACACCCTCTCCCTAAGGAGGTGTGGCAGAGGTGACGCCCAAAGGAAGGTAACCTGCTGGGTGTGACTGTCTTGCTCCCTTTAGCTAACACACCCTCTGGTCACATGAGCATTTCTTTCTTCTCTTTAAAGATTCTGTCTCACACAAAAGAAAGAAAAAGAGAGAAAGAGAAAGAGAAAGAAAGAAAGAAAGAAAGAAAGAAAGAAAGAAAGAAAGAAAGAAAGAAAGAAAGAAAGAGAAAGAAAGAAAGAAAGAAAGAAAGAAAGAAAGAAAGAAAGAAAGAAAAGAAAAAAAAACCAAAACATAAAATAACATAATATAACATAAAATAAAAGAGCAAGAGTCAGAAATATGTGGTTCTCTCCTAGCCATGGCACTCACCTGCTTTGGGAACTTGAACAAACTACATAACCCTCTGAGCATCAGATTCCTCATCTGTAAAATGGGGATAATAATAGTATCTACCTCAAAGAGATGTTGGGAGGATTAAGTGAGATAACATACATAAGGTGTTAAGCACAGCGCCTGGCATATAAGCTGTCAACACGTGGTAGCTGGTATTACTGCACATGTCCCTGTGGGATTTTGTTCAGTTTTTGCAACAGGAATTCTTTTTCTTTCTTTCTTTCTTTCTTTTTTTTTTTAGACAGAATCTCATTCTGTTGGCAGGCTGGAGTGCAGTGGCACAATCTTGGCTCGCTGCAACCTCTGCCTCCCAGGTTCAAGTGATTCTCCTGCCTCAGCCTCCCGAGTAGTTGGGACTACAGGCATGCGCCACCATGCCCAGGTAATTTTTGTATTTTTAGTAGAGACGGGGTTTCACCATGTTGGTCAGGATGGTCTCGATCTCTTGACCTTGTGATCCGCCCGCCTCAGCCTCCCAAAGTGCTGGGATTACAGGTGTGAGCCACCACACCTAGCCTTTTTTTTTTTTTTTTTTGATACAGAGTCTTGCCCAGGCTGGAGTGCAATGGTTTCATCTTCCCTGCAGCCTCTACCTCCTGGGTTCACCTCCTGCCTCAGCCGAGTAGCTGGGATTACAGACGCAAACGACCACTCCTGGCTATTTTTTTGTTTTTAGTAGAGACGGGGTTTTGCCATGTTGGCCAGGCTGGTCTCGAACTCCTGACCTCAGGTGATCTATCCGTCTCGGCCTCCCAAAGTGCTGGGATTACAGGCATGAACCACCATGCCTGGCCTTTTTTTTTTTTTTTTTTTGAGACAGAGTCTTGCTCTGTCACCCAGGCTTGAGTGCAGTGGTATGATCTCAGCTCACTGCAACCTCCACCTCCTGGGTTCAAGCAATTCTCCTGCGTCAGCCTCCCATGTAGCTGGGATTACAGGCATGTGCCACCGCAACTGGCTAATTTTTGTATTTTTAGTAGAGATGGAGTTTCACCATGTTGGCCAGGCTGGTCTCAAACTCCTGACCTCAGGTGATCCACCCACCCCGGCATGTCAAAGACTGGGATTACAGGCATGAGCCGCTGTGCCCGGCCAGGAACTATTTTTCCAACAGGTCAAAGTCACTTTGAATCAGAGCTCTGTTTACACACAACCTGGGTGAGTCATGCAAGTCACTGGTAAAGAGGAAGGACAGATGGCCCCCAGACCAAAACCTCAGGGATGTCAGAGAACGCATCTCCAGAGCCAACCCCCAGGCCTGGGGTTTTTCCTCCCTGGTCCATGACAGGCCTTCCTAAAGGACCTGAGGGGGCACTGTGGAGAATCCAGTGGAAGGTCCCTGCATGGAGGCTGAGCAGGCCCTGAGTGCCCCAGGGATGAAGAGCTTGGGGGTGGGAGGTCCAAAGGGCAGGAGAATGACCTTGTTGAACTGCGACCAGGACACAGAACGGTGCTGGAAGGCCTCCATACTGAGGCTGTTGTCATTGAAGATCTTCTGGGCCAGGAAGAGGAAGTGCTCTGGGAGCAGCCCCCGGTTGGTCCCCACCTCAGCCATGAACTTCAGGTTCAGAGTTTCACACATCTTCTCCCAGGGCACCCGCTCAGCCACCACAAAGGGCACGCGGTCCTGGGGAGAAGGGGGAAGAAGAGAGCACTGCAGGCTACCGTCTTGTTATTCCTCGGGCCGGCCTTCATCCCTCCCACCTGCCTGTGGCCTACCCCTCCACAGCCCCTGATATCGCTCACAAACATGCTGTTTTTTCTAGGTTACAGTGCTGTGGCCTGATAGTTGTTAAGACTGGGGTGAAAAGAGGTCAGAAGCACGAAAGCAGGCCCATGAGAAAGTGTTAAGGTCACACCCATTTAAACATGCCCACCACCCCATCAGCAGGCCTGCACCACTGCCCATGTTAGAACCCACCCTGCCCCTGTTCCCTCCAACTCCAGGACTTTCCTCACCATCTCAGAGAAGGCATTGTCCCACAGGATAGTGGCTTTGGCATTGTTGTCTTGGTTGCCATGGACGATGACCACCAGGGGCAGAGACAGGGCCTGAAGAGGGTGAGGACAGGGGTTTCTTTTCTTTCTTTCTTTCCTTTTTTTTTTTTTTTTTTTTTTTTTTTTTTTTTTTTTTTTTTTTTTTTTAGATAGTATCTCACTCTGTTGCCCAGGCTGGAGTGCAGTAGTGCAATCTCAGCTCACTGCAGCCTCAGCCTTCAGGGCTCAAGTGATCCTTCCACCTCAGCCTCCTGAATAGCTGGAACTACAGAAATGTACCACCTAATCCAGCTAATTATTTATTTATTTATTTTTGAGACAGAGTCTCGCTCTGTCACTCAGGCTGGAGTGCAGTGGCGCGATCTTGGCTCACTGCAAGCTCTCCCTCCCAGGTTCACGCCATTCTCCTGCTTCAGCCTCCCGAGTAGCTGGGACTCAGGCGCCCGCCACCATGCCTGGCTAATTTTTTGTATTTTTAGTAGATACGAGGTTTCACCGTGTTAGCCAGGATGGTCTCGATTTCCTGACCTCATGATCCGCCCGCCTTGGCCTCCCAAAGTGCTGGGATTACAGGCGTGAGCCACCATGCCCGGCCAATTTTTTATTTTTTGTAGAGATTGGATCTCCCTATGTAGCCCAGGCTGGTCTTAAACTTGCAGGCTCAAGCGATCCTCCTACCTTGGCCTCCCAAAGTGCTGAGTTGTTTTGTTTTGTTTTTGAGACATAGTCTTGCTCTGTCGCCCAGGCTGAAGGGCAGTGGCGCAATCTTGGCTCACTGCAACCTCCGCCTCCTGGGTTCAAGCGATTCTCCTGCTTAGCCTCCCGAGCAGCTGGGACTACAGGCCTGCACCACCACGCCCAGCTAATTTTTGTATTTTTAGTGGAGACGGGGTTTCACCATATTGGCCAGGCTGGTCTTGAACTCCTGACCTTGTGATCTACCCACCTCGGCCTCCCAAAGTGCTGGGATTACAGGCTTGAGCCACCATGCCCAGCCGGACAGGGGTTTCTTAGTGAAGCAAGAAGTTTCCTCAGGGGACTGGCTCTGAGCACTCAGAGAAGTTATTGGACTCACACATCATAATCAAAAAGCTCATGCCATGTTATTAAATGCGTTCTGAAGCTCAATCAGGGCCTCACCGTAGAGAAGTGGTTATTAGTCATCGCTATGGAACCAGACCTCCAGGTTTCAAATACCAGCTCCAACACTTAGCTGTGTGACTGGGACAAACTACTTAAACTCTCTGTCTCAATGTCCTTATCTATAAAATGAGGCTGATAATACTGCCTACCTCATAATGTTATTGTGAAAACCAGACGTGTGTGTGCTGGCACGCATGTGCGTATGTATCATTTAATAGAGTGCCCTGGTCTATAGGAAGTGCTTCCGAAGTGTTTGCTGCTATCCACTACCATTCCCTGCCCTGTGCACTCCATGCTCTTGCTCACCCCCACTCACCCGGGCCCCAGTGTGCATGAATCCCAGACACATGGGGTATGGGGCAGTCACAAGAGGTGAGGGTCCAGGGCCCTTGTGTGTGGCATTGGAGGAGGACTCGGGGTCCCAGATTGGGGCAGGGCTGGGCCACGGTTCACCTGGAGCTGGATGGGGAGTTTGCCGGGGCCAAGTGTGAAGCTGGCAGAGAAGAGCACAGCGCACTTCTCCTCTGTGACAGACTCAGTGCCCTTCCGCTCACACCGCTTGATCTTCTTGAGAAGCTGTGGGTGGGGTGAGGGAGAGCAAGGGCGAGGTCATGAGGACAGAGACCGCTCCTCCTGGGCTTCCTGACATCCTCTCCAAGGAGAGTCCCACAGTCTCCTAGTGGTGCCCCCCTCACTGCACCCCAAAGCCCCTCACCAGGTTCTTGAACAGGGCAGAGCAGCAGTTCCCAGGAATGCTGTTCTCCAAGGGCACAGTGTTGTTGATGATTTCTCCAGTGCTTTCTCTGCCAGGGGAGGTCAGAGTGTGAACGAGCTCATCTCACTGTCGTCAGGTGTGGCGAGTGCATGGGTGAGTGTAGACTACCCACTGTCACCAGCCCTAAATCTCCATGTCTCTGTTTGGGTTCTTAAGGGAGGAGTCCCCATCTTGGCCAAATCATGATGCCCCCACCCCATTCCAGCCCTAAATGGGTCCCTCCCTTTCCTCTGCCTTGACCATTCAGGGTCTCCACATCCCATGGCCCTCCCTCCCCATCCCTTGCTCTTTTCAGTGCCAGCCCTCCAGGCTGCCTCCATCACCCTAACAGCCCTTCTCCAACCCCAGGTCCAATCCCAGCTTACGCTCCAGCCCCAGGACCCTGAGGCACACTCAGCTCCCGCGCCTGCTTCTCTGTCACCATGTCGGCCCTGACCAGCGGAGGCTTGGCTGGGGCCCCCAGGAACCTCAAGCCCAACAGGAATCGAACTCCAGCCTGGAACTTGGTCTGAGTCTTCAGTACCTGGGGGGGCTGCTTCTCCACCAGGAAGCAACTGGGAGTGAGGAGGACACAAGGGGAGTTGGGGGCTAGGTCCCTGCTGGTGCCCTCCCCACAGCTCTAGCCCCCTTCTTTTCTTCCCGAGGTCTGTTCTAGGCCAGACTGGGAGCTCCCGGGGAATACCTGGTGACGAGGGTTCTCAGGACTTCATCCAGCCGGCCAGTCAGCGATGCCCGGGTCTTGGGCTCAAGCTCCCCACCAGCCGCCCCTACCTCCTGCTGTAGCTGGGAATAAATGTCCACCAGGCTTTCACACCTGGGGCCAGGACAGTGGTCAGGGGGCACAGGATTAAGGCTGCTTGCTCCGGCCCAGACCCCCTTCCCCTATACCCAGGGAGAAAGGCTATCATGTGTGGAGAAGTGGGGTGGGTAGTGGGTGTGGCTGCAAGGCACCTGGGCTGAAGGGGGTTCTGTGATCTGTTGGCCTAGGGTCTGGGTGGGAGGTTCATTCTCAGTGCCTACACCCCCTGTGGAAACCCAGCTGCCTCTCCCCCGACGGCTCTTGCACCCAGGACAACTGCCACCACTTACAGTGCTTTGTGGCAAATTGGAAAGTGTTCCCACCCAATAAACCAAATGGAAAAGCCCTCCTATTCCTCTAGGCATGGGGCTTGAGGAGAGAAGCCTGGGTTGGATGAGTCCCCGCTTGTGCCCCTCCACTAGGCCCACTTGTACAGGATGCGACCTGAACGACAGTGTGCACAGCCCCGCTGGAACTGGCTTTTATGCATCTTGGTCCACTCCAAGGCCCTCCCGCCTGGCTTCTTTCTCTCACCTGTAGGGCCTTCAGCAGGGTCAGCTGCCCACCCCCAGCTTGCCCCCTCTTCCCCATCAGCCCTAGCCCAACCTCTCCTGGAGTGGGGCCAGGCTCTCCTCAAACGGTGCGCCATTCCCTGCCAGCTGCTGCTGCCGTTTCCAAATCTGGATCCTCTTCAGCACTAGGGCTTTGGCTGCCTCTAGCTCTCCAGTGGTCTCCTGCAGTAGCATGGCCAGGGCCTATGGGCAGAGAGGGGCCTGAGCCAGGGCCTCACGCTGCCTCCACACCCAGCTCCTGGGATACGGCTCTTTTTCTCACTCCTCTGGCATTCCCTTGCCCTACTTCAGCCTGTGTCTTTCTGAGGTCTAGCTTCCATCCCTCCAGCTGCACTTTGACCAAGGTCTCCACCTGTCAGCCCATTACTCACCTCACTTGGCCCAGTCCCATTAGCAGGAGTTTCTATCAAGCTGTGCAGAGACACTGAGGGTTGGGGGCAGAAATCAAGGGTGCAGACAGATTAGAGGTTCAGATAAGGTTGAGATCCAAGAGGCAACCACTCCTACACACTCCCCAGAACCACCCTGGCCCCCACCTTGGCCAGCCTCAGCCCCCTTCTGCAGGGCTTCTCGGAGAAGGTGGATCTCCCCTACTCGGTGCTGCAGCCTCCGCAAGCCTGTCTTAAACTTGAGTTCTTCCTGCTTCCAGTGGAAAGGCATTGGCAAGTGGCGGAACTACACAGGAAGGACAGATGCCAAGAAGTGAAACACTCTGCTCATCCCTCTATACCTGGCCTCCACTCTCTGCTCTGCAGATAGCGTTTTCTTGTTCCCCTCTCCCCTTTGGCAGTTCTTCCTGACCTTTTGGAATATCGTGGAGATAAGACCTTGCTCCTAGCAGAATCAGCTCCTTATCCCTTGCTCTGTTCTCCCCGGCCTCTTACCTTCAGTCCCTCATAGAAAGATTCCCTGAGCTTGACTTGGGGTTCACTCTGACCCTAGGAACCTCCTTTGGTCATTCCTGGGCCTAGAACACTGAGCCTTTACTGAGGTTCAAATTCTTTCTAGTTTGTCATGGCTCAGGCCAAAGTCTCAGGGGATTGAGTTGGGGTGGGAGGTGGAATATCACAATACCTGTTCCATAACAGCTTTTTTCTCTCCTTGAAGTATTTGTCTGAAAGTGGCCACCAGCTTCAGGGGGTCCCTCTGATATATGCTCTACAGAAATGAGGGTGGTAAACAGTGAGCTTTGCTCTTACCCATGTCCTTCAATCCCTCCAATCCCCAGGCCTGCATTCACACATATACTATAAGGAAGCACAACTGTAGACTCCAGAAGTTTTTGTGCATTTGCATGCTTTTAAAATCTAATTTGCCTGCTAGCTAGCAGTTAACCACAGGAACACCAATTTGCTTCCAGCATCCAACCAATTTTCTTCCAGGGCCCAATGCTCAACCCAGTTCAACCTCAGCCCCACCCAGCCTTGTCCCCTCCCCTCCTGCCCCACCTCAAGGGTGCTGATGTGTTGCAAGATGGTGCTCCCCTCCCCCTGCTCTCCCACCGAGGCCTGAAGGTGCTGGACAGTGTCTGAAAGTAGGGCACTAGCCAAGTTGCAGCAGAAGGCGTCGGAGCCGACCAGGAACTCCCTGCAGGAAGATCAGGATGAGGCTACCTCAGGCCAGGGCTTCCTCAGCTCTCCTGACCCTTTACCCCACAGCCAAAAGCTCAGCAGTTCCTTTCTCGCTCCTTATTCTCCATCTAGGCCCTCTGTAGCTTTCACCCATGCGCCTTGTTTCCCAGTCTTCTAGCTGTTATGAGAAGTGCCTTTGTCCCAGCCCAAACCCCCCTCCTCTTCGGCTCAGCCTCCTAAGAGATGGGGTCTCCATCTGTCAACATTCATAGCCTGGTCTTGATGGGGCACAGACTCCCTGCTAAATCTAGGTCACTACACATGGAATAACAGGTCTCAAGTTCTGAATCCATGGGTGAGGGGAGAAAAATCTAAGGAGAAGGAAGATGAGTTAGGGAAGACTTGGGGGACCAGCAGGGAGCAGCCAGGACTCACCAGGGCTGGCTCTCCAGCCAGTCACCCAGAAGATGCCGCAGGTGTTGGGGAAAGTCGACATAGAGCCGCTGCACTTTTTCTGGGGGCATCTTGGAGACCAGACCCCACAGAGACATGATCTGGGACTTGGAGGTTGCCTGGAGGAGAAAAATAAGGCCACTCTGAGGGGTGCCCAAGAAACTTGGCCTATCTCCTGGGGCAGCCAGGGACCTCCCATAGATAGCCCTCCTAGGGACCGTCCCCACCACCACTCATGGCCAGACCACCTTAAACCAGGGGCATCCTGAGTCAATGCCTGAGATGGGGGTAACTCCTTCAGTGATAGACACAGGGGTGGGAAGAGCTGAGCTGTAGCCAGAGGGATGGGGAGGCAAAGGGAGACAGGGCAGTAGAGCGAGAGCTCTCTTAGAGTGGCAGAGGATTTAGTTGCAGCTCTAGACCTGGCTCTGGTTCTGTGGGCAAAGAGCCTTCCCTTTGTGGGCTTCGATCTTCTCATCTATAAAATATGAGTGTTAGATGAGTGGAAAACTTTCCAAACTTTTTAAAGCGGTAGGCAATGTCAGCTTTTAATCTGTGGAATCTCAATTACATAAAAGGTACGAAACCGAAGATGCCCTGTTGAAAGCAAGCATGGAAAGCCTGAAACTCGACTGCTTCTACTTCCCTCTCCCCACCTCCTGACGCCAAAGGCATCCCTAGACAAACCTCTCAAAATTCTAGGACTCCATGAGATAATTTGAAAACCACAAGGCTCGGCCAGGCGCAGTGGCTCATGCCTGTAATCCCAGCGCTTTGGGAGGCCGAGGCGGGCAGATCACGAGGTCAGGAGATCAAGACCATCCTGGCTAACACAGTGAAACCCCATCTCTACTAAAAATACAAAAACAAAATTAGCAGGGCGTGGTGGCGAGCGCCTGTAGTCCCAGCTACTGGGGAGGCTGAGGTGACAGAATGGCGTGAACCTGGGGGGCGGAGCTTGCAGTGAGCAGAGATCGAGCCACTGCACTCCAGCCTGGGCGACAGAGAGAGACTCTGCCTCAAAATAAATAAATAAATAAATGAAATAAAATAAAAATGAAAACCACAAGGCTAGATGATGAAGAGGATGGGAGAGTAATAACAGCTACTATTTGTTAAGCACTTACTGTGTATGAGGCATTACACTCAGTGTATTATCTCCTTCAGGCCTCACGACACTTTTTAAAATATATAATATCCCATTTTATAGATGAAGAAACTGAGGCTTAAGGAGTTTCTCTACTCTGCCCAAGGCCACTCAGTAAGTGAGTTTGGAAAGCAGGCTTTGAATCTGAGTGGGGATTAACCATCGCACTGTGTTGTTAGGATCCCTTCCAGGGGCAAATCTGATCATCCTAAGAAGTGGGGGAAGGTGGGAGGAGACTTGAAGGAGGAGAGGTGGAAAAGGAAAGTAGAGAGAACTAAGGAAGAGGATGGAAGAGACTGGAAAAAAGGCGGGTTTAGTAAGCTAGGAGGAAAGAGCCTAGAAGAGAGAGGAAGCTGGAGGGCTAGAAGGCAAAGATGAGAGACGAAAACAGGTAGAAAGGAGAGGAGGGGACAGGGAAGTAGAAGAGGGGGTTGCATCCCCATTTCCAGGTTCAGGGAGGACTGGGTAACCAGTGGTTTCCCAGGGGCCTCTCAGTTCACGTTTCTCATAATATCCCTCTCCCAGAGATGAGGGAGAGGATGGGATGACAACTCCCCAGGTCTCCCCAAACCCAGTAACCCCAAGTCCTCCTGTTGCACGTTCAGCCTCTCACCTCTCCCAGGCCTCTCAGAGGGATGGAAAATGGAGAGGTCCCTTCTCTGGACGTTTCTGCTCCAAGACCTTCATGCCCCTCTTTCCTCCAGTGCCCACTTACCCCAGCTCTTTTCTCCTCAAGGCAGAATCCTTACCCCTCCTGCTCAGGTTCCTCCAATAGGCCTTTCTCTAGCCCAAGAGAGAAAGGTCCTCTGGAGTGAGTGGGCACCGCTTTCCTCTGCATCCCCTTGCAGAGTGACCAGCCTCCTGGCATGGCCCTGGCTAGAAATATCCAACCCCTCTTCTTCCCCAGCCATCAGGAGGACACATTTCTCCCCACCCCAACCCATAACAAGGCTGGGTCGATTGGCTTGACCAGGACAGGGGCACCTTTTGTCTTCAGCCCCTTGAAGGGGAAGGGAGGGAGGAGCCACGGCGTGAGGGGCGGGGCCAGTGTTACCTCCCAAACTCAGAAGGGAAGCGCAAGGTCTGGGATCCTCGTCCGCCCGCTTGGTGGCCTAAACTCGCTTATCTCAACCCCTATCTGCCCGAGTCCTCTGATTGTGGGACCACAGGATCGAAAGTTAAAACAGCTTCTCTGAGTTGCCCAATGCGTGAATGTGGCGGTGGGGGCAGGCGGGGAGGTGGAGCCAGTTCAGCACGAGGAGGGTTAACTCGGCGCCGCCGCTGGGAAATCTCAGCGTCTACAGCAGCCAAGCGTGGAGCAGTTTTGAGGGGGAAATTCCCCCTCGTCTGGGCCACCATGAGGTCTACATCTGGGGCTTGCTCACGCCCCAGCCACACCCTTGAACAGGAACCTTTAGTGGAGGGCAGGATAGGGGTTTAACAAGGATCCACTGCCCTCTGGCATCAACCTTCCAGGGAGGGGCGGCCACTTCCCCCGACTCAGGGCAGAGGGGCACTCCTTCACCTCCTTTCCCTGACTTTCCATGGCCCTGGGGGTGCAGGGGTGAGGCTGTGAAAACGTGACCCATGGGGGAGGGGAGTACTGAGGCCTGGACCCTCCCAGATTCCTCCAGGAGTTCGAAACTGCTAAAACCCAGTGCCACCAGCCACCAACACTAGCTGAAACCATCTCTTGGGGACCATCCACCCAGCCAGGGGAGGATCCCGAGAGCTCCCCCCACGAATCCACCCCCATGCACTCATAGAGGCCCCCGCACCCACCTCGGAGGCAACCCCTCACCTCGGCAACCCCTCTGCTGTCTTCTCCCTTTCTCAGCGGGCACTTCCAGGCCCCATAGGTCTGTAGCTCTGTCCAGCGAGTTCAAGGCTGGCCCTGCTAGCACCTCCCCCCTTCCACCACCACCACCAAAAAGAAAAATAAGATAAAGCACACACATACATACACACACACACACACACACACACACACACTCCTCTCCCGTCCTCCCTCTTCAGTGTAAGCAGTGGCTGCCCCAGCCCGCTGTTTCCGGCTTCTCCTTCTACCCAGGTCCCTCCCTGGAGCTCTGACGACACAGAGAAGAGAAAGTGGGCTGGAGGAGGAAGAGGAAGAAAGTGGGGTGAATATGTGTGCCTCCTGTGCCGAGTGGGGGAACACGTGGGGGATCAGGACTGGGGTCCAGGCCTTGGAGCCAGGCTTGGGGGGAGGCTGACCCCCACTTACTCTGTCCCCCTCAAAAGCATCAGCTTTTCTCCAGAAAGTCACCCAATATCAAACAGAGATTTGCCACCCCTAACTGCCTGGCTCCCAAACTCAAACTCTGCCAAGGGCTGGGGTTTGGACCCACAAGGGACTGGGCTCCCCAGGGCCTCAGGAAAAGTAAATCCCTCTGGACTCTGCGCTCCCTCCAGTGGAGGACCCTAAAAAGCCGCCAGGGAGCTCGATGCCAGCCAACTCCTAGGTCCCCCTCCCTTCCGGCAGGGAACGCCTTAGAGGTCGGTCTCGTGACCACTGACGGGAGGGAGTGGGGGAGGGGAACCCTCAGCTCAGAATTCTGGAAGACTCTAGGAGTCCCTTGGACTGAAGCTGGTCTTTGCTCTCTCCTCACAGGGCACCCCTCCTGAGACTGTGGTGGGAACCAGCACAAGCCGGAGCTGCTGCCTGCAGATTCACAAGGGGCAAGTTTGAATACGAATCTGCTGTGTTCCTATCTGCCAAGTTCCTATATGTTTCTGGGGTAAACACTGAGACACGCCAAGAAACAAACACACACATGCACAACTTCCCTGACCACAAGACTACACACACACACACACACACACACACACACACGTGCAGGCAGGCTCACAAACAGAGCCCATTGCAATCACAACACCACACACACACACACACACACACACACACACACACACACACAGTCTTGCTCAACTTCTGAGTCATCAACATAACTAGTGGAGGGTTCTGCAGTTTTTGCTGGGGGAGGAGCTGGAGGAGACCAAGGGATCCAGAGAGGCCTTTACTCCCGGACACCTGAGAGCCCCGGTGTGTGGAAGAGGTGGTGTCTGAGGGGCGGTGGGAGGAAGTTTCTACTCCCCTCCTCCCTCCCATAGCAGGGGCTGGGCTGAGGGGCCAAAGCTAGGCCTATGCTGCCCCCTGGTGCCTGAATTGATTTCCAGAACCAGCTCCTCCTCCTCCATCCCTTGCTACCCCGCAGGTCTGTACATGAGTGCACGTGTGTGGACCCAGCCAGGCAGCAGAGGGTTTGAACACAGCAAAATATAGCAGTTAAAAGACTGGACTGTGGATACAGGCTGCTTGGGTTCAAATCCTGCTAATGCTGCTAACCACACAACCCTGAGCAATTTACTCTGTGATTCATTCTCGTCATCTGTAAAATGGAGCAAATAAGTCTTAACCCATAATGTGAGAATAAAATGCAGTAAAACATCTGAAGGCTTAGAACAATGCCTGACACACAGTAACTGTCAGGCACTATTTTTATGGTTCATAATAAACCAGGTATGAGGAAAGGAGAAGGGTCTCCATCCTACATAGAAGTCCCCAGATTTGGGGGTCATGTTACTGCCAAAAGGATATTGAGGGTGTATGTGCGTATGTGTTTGCTGTGTCTGCAGGACAGTGAATGGAAGAGAAGGGAGAGCAGGGGTGGAGGTGGCAGGCAGGGACTCTGTCCATTGGCTTGTCCAACAAGCCATGCTAGGATCAAGGTGTGTGCACATACGTGTTCACGGCACACGTGCTTTGTATGTGCTCCCGAGTGCCCACTCTGCCTGCAGACATCCACAGACAGTAGGTGAAGCCAGGTTTCACCATCTAAGGGTGTCAGAGCTACAAGTCCCCAAAGACTTGGAGAGGAGGAGGGAAAAGAGTAAATGTGATCTCTGACTTTGGCTCCTTTTAGGGGGTAGGAAGGCGAGGAGCAAGTACTGGTAGAAAAATAGTATATATTACTCCCTCTGTAACTGACTATACCAATGGGAACACTGTGATGTAAGGGGAAAAAACAGAATTTAGAGGCAAATCTGGCTTGGGTATGACTCCATTTAGGAGGTTCACAATCAGGTGTCAATCCCTCAAATGAGAATAATAGTTATACCTACTTCAACAGAGTCTAGGCTAGGGTAAAGTGCCTAGAGTATGAAATTTAAGGAGATACTCATCTTCAGATTGTACAATTGCAGGGTCTGTCAGACCTTCATTAATGACATCTGCACCTGCATGACTGTGAGGGTGACTGTATCACCCTCCCCTGGACCTTGACATCCCATTGAGTGGTGGTAAAGATTGCACAAGAGAGGCTCACGCCTGTAATCCCAGCACTTTGGGAGGCTGAGGCAGGCAGATCACAAGGTCAGGAGATTGAGACCATCCTGGCCAACATGGTGAAACCCCGTCTCTACTAAAAATACAAAAAATTAGTCGGGCGTGGTGGTGCGCGCCTGTAGTCCCAGCTACTCAGGAGGCTGAGGCAGGGAAATCACTTGAATCTGGAAGGCAGAGATTATAGTGAGCCGAGATCAAGCCACTGCACTCCAGCCTGGTGACAGAACAAGACTCCGTCACACACACACACACACACACACACACACACACACACACACACACGATTGCACAAGATAAAGCGTAAGGAAAAAATAACTTTATGTCTATGTACTGCTGGTTACAACCCAATAGTGAGTCACAAAATCGATTTGGTGAGTGTATCAGTTTGCTAGGGCTGCTGTAACAAAGTACTACATATTGCATGACTTAAACAACAGAAATCTCTCAAGATGCTGGAGGCTAGAAGTCCAAGATCAAGGTTAACCTGAGCAGGATTGATTGATTCCTTCTCAGGGATGTGAAGGAAGGCTCTATTCCAGGCCTCCCTCCTTGGCCATTTTCACGTTCACACACTGTTCTCTTTGTATGCAAGTCAGTCTCCAAGTTTCCCCTTTTTTCAAGGATACCAGTCATATTGCATTAGGCCCCATCCTAATGGCCTCATTTTAACTTAATTACCTCTGTAAAGACCCTATAAGGGGGTCCTTCAAAATAAGGTCACGTCCTGAAGTACTTGAGATTAGGACTTCAAGAGAATTTTTGAGGAACACAACTCAGCCCATAACAGCATCTTGATCAAGCACAATGGCTCACACCTGTAATCCCAATACTCTGGGAGGCTGAGGCAGGAGGATTGCTGGAGGCCAGGAGTTCGAGACCAGCCTGGGCAACATAGCAAGATCCCATCTCTACAAAAAAAATTTAAAACAAAATTAAAAACAAAACATAAAAAAAAACAGTGTCTTGACCTTCACTCTTTGAAACTGAAGTAAAGGCCAGGCGCAGAGGCTCATGCCTGTAATCCTAGCACTTTGGGAGGCCGAGGTGTGCGGATCATCTGAGGTTAGGAGTTCAAGACCAGCCTGGCCAACATGGTGAAGCCCCGTCTCTACTAAAAAATACAAAAAATTATCTGGGCACAGTGGCATGTGCCTGCAATCCCAGCTACCTGGGAAGCTGAAGCAGGAAAATCACTGGAATCCGGGAGGCAGAGGCTGCAGTGAGCTGAGATTACACCCCTGCACTCCAGCCTGGGCAACAGAGTGAGACTCCATCTCAAAAAATAAAAAATAAAGTGAATAAAATTAAAAAATAAAACTGAAGTAGAATAGAACAGTACAGAAAATATCAGAAGGCATCAAGCGAAGTAAGGATAAGTATTGTTTAATTAAACTTTTGTTTCAGCTTTATATATGTATCTGAATTCTTTTTTTTTTTTTTTTATTTGAGATGGAGTCTCCCTCTGTCGCCCAGGCTGGAGTACAGTGGCGGGATCTCGGCTCACTGCAACTTCTGCCTCCTGGGTTCAAGCAATTCTCCTGTCTCAGCTTCCCCAGTAGCTGGGACTACAGGCACATGCCATGACACCCAGCTAATTTTTGTATTTTTAGTAGAGACACCATATTGGTCAGGCTGCTCTCAAACTCTTGGCCTCAGGTGATCCACCCACCTCAGCCTCCCAAAGTGCTGGGATTACAGCCATGAGCCACCACTCCCGGCCCTATATGTATCTGAATTCTAAGTCATGATAAAACATACTTTTTAGTGCTGGTTGTGGGGAAAAAAAAAAAAAGCACAGCCATGCATGGTGGCTCACGCCTGTAATCCCAGCACTTTGGGAGGCCAAGGTGGGCAGATCACCTGAGGTAAGGAGTTCGAGATCAGCTTGGCCAACATGGTGAAACCCCGTCTCTAAAAATACAAAAATTAGCCAGGTGTGGTGGCACTGCCCTGTAGTCCCAGCTACTTGGGAGGCTGAGGCACGAGAATTGCTTAAACCCAGGAGGTGGAGGTTACAGTGAGCCAGGATCACACCACTGCACTCCAGCAACAGAGTGAGGGTTTGTCTCAAAAATAATAATAATAATAATAATAACAGAAGCACAATTTGGGTACTGGTGGCCACTACATATTCCTTTGTATTGCTTTTTAATTATTTTGTGGGTACATCTTTCTTCCTCAACAATAACACAAGTTCAAGGAGGGCAAGGACTCATATCATACTGTACACACTGCTGTGCAGCAGCTAGAAAAAACAACATGCATTCTTGGTGGTAAAGATATGAAGGGCTGCAATTAACTGAGTGTCTCCCATGTACTTGGTGCTGGGCTAAATGTTTTATACATACTCTCCTACGTAAGGACTAAACTGATTGATGGATTGATTGCTGGAGCTCAGTACATTTCACAGACAAGACAGTTCAAGAACACTGAATAGTGGACTGTGATTTGTGGAGGATGAGGGAAAGGAGGAGGAGGTCACAAAAGAATTGTGGGAAGCTGCTGAGGGCCCCTAGCCAGCTCTATCTCCCAGGCCTTCACTATTCTCCTCAAGTTTCCATCCATCTTCATACCAACTCATCATTTAATTAGAAAACACCTGTGCTCAAGGCCCCTCCCTTCTGCCTCTTCAGGCACTTGTTCAATTTATTATCCCCTTCATTCTTCAAATCTCCACCCTCCTGCTCTGTAGTTATGACAGCTCTATACTTTCAGCATAAAGCATGTTCGAATCCTTCTCTCTCTCCTCTCTCTCTCTCTCCTCTCTCTCTCTCTCTCATAGAACAGGGTCTCAATATGTTGTCCAGGCTCTCAAACTCCTGAACTCAAGTGATCTTCCTGCCTCGACCTCCCAAAGTTTCGGGATTACAGGCGTGAGCCACCGTGCCCAGCCTGAAATGAATCTTGAAGGGACATAAGAATTATTCAGGCAAAGAACAAGGAAAGCATTAAAGCAGGAAGAAGGTCTAGCATATGCAAAGGCATGGATACCTGTGGGAGCATGGTACCTTCTGGGAATGGGTAGTAATGGGCAATGCGGAGCATTAGAAGATTTAGACAGGTGAGTCATATGATAAGATTTAGTAGAGGGATCAGCCTAGCTGCAATGTGGAGGATGGATTTAAAAGATAAGTTCTGAAGCCAGGAGATCCATTCAGAAGGTTAATAACAACAGAGAGGGAGACGACACAGTTGAAGAGCAGAGGTGAAGCATTGTGGAATGGAGACTGGTTAGGAAGAAAAGTGAAGACATGAGGGGCCAGTGTCAAAGGAAAGAAAGGCAAGAAACTGGAAGTCTCAACAGACTTAAAGACCAGGCTTCCCGGGGGCAAGGGAAAGAAGAGCTGTAAGGCTAGGATGTTGCGGTCAGAATCTAGGGAGTGAGATTTCAGTCCAGCTCTCCTGCAAGGGTGTGATAAAGGTGGTGGCTATGAGAGTGAGTGGCTACAGCAACACAGAGGTAAGTCATTGGAGTCAAAGAGAACAAGGAACCAAGAGGCCAGGGTGTTGGCTGGACTACCTGCCGGAGCACTGAAACCATCTGGGTTTGTGGAAAACTTGAGGTGGACAGGAAGACAGTCAGCTGCTAAAGTCTTCACAGAAGGCCAGGCGTGGTGGCTCATGCCTGTAATCCCAGCACTCTGGGAGGCTGAGGTGGGCAGACTGCTTGAGGCCAGGAGTTTGAGACCAGCCTGGGCAACATGGTGAAATGCCGTCTCTCGAAAAAATACAAAAATTAGCCTGGTGTGGTGGTGCATGCCTATAGTTCCAGCCACTGGGGAGGCTGAGGTGGGAGGATCCCTGAGCCCAGGATGTCAAGGCTGCAGTGAGCCATAATTGCACCACTGCACTCCAGCCTGGGCAACAGAGTGAGAGCCTGTCTCAAAAAAATTAAAATAAAATAAAATAAACAAAGACTTCACGGATAAAGTGACCAGGACATCAGTGGATAACAGCAAAAATAATAACTAACACTTAGTGGGGCTTTATGTGTTACTTCAATTCTTACTCTAAAATTGAAGCACTGTACTTTTTATCCTACAATAATACTATGAGCTAGAACTATGTGCCCACTACAGTAGCTACTAACCACTTGTGGCTATTTCAATTTTAAAATTCAATGCCTCTGATGTATCAGCCACATTTCAAATGTGCAATAGCCATGTATGACTTGTGGCTACTATATTAAAACAGACACGGGGCATTTCCATCATCACAGAAAATTCTATTGGATAGTGCTGATAACCCTCATTTTACAAATGAGGAAACTGGCATGGAAAACTCAGCAACTTGCTCAAGGCTAAGGTGAGAGAGCTGGGATTCAAATCCAGTTAGTTTGGCACCAGAAATGTTGCCCTTAAGCCCTATGTTGCACATCCCAATGGAAGGTGAAATAGTTGGCTCTTAAAGGAAGAGGAATTTGATGTGACTACTGAGGCAAGCACTGGTGGTGCCTATTCAGCAGCCAAGCTTTTCTCCCTTGCTAGCAAAGTCTGGATTTCACACAGGTGTCCCCCTCCTATGTATTCACGGGGTGAATCTAATTGGCATAGCCAATCACAGTATTTCTATTCCCTTGGCCAGTGACCCAATCCTGGCCAATAGGACTTAGGGGGCTTCTGGGAAAGATTTTGTTCTTCTTCAGTGCCATGTTCACTTTTAGGATTGGAATAGCTGCAACCACGTTGCAACTGGGAGGGGAGATACCACCAACCAATGAGGATAAAGTATGAGTGTGAAGAGGTGGAAAACCTTTGATGAATCAACCAGCCCTGGACCTGCTATAAAACTCCTCATTGTTGAGCCTGCTTTAATTGGGTCTTCCATTACTTGCTGCTAAATGCATCCCTAACTAAGACCATGGTGAAGCTATATCGCCACAGGAAATGGAGACTCCAGGGTGGGCTGCCTGCCCATCCTCCCACTACCACCCGCCCTATACACTTGAGAGAATAAGCGATACCTCATTAAAGGAGGAATGTTCTCAAGGAAGGATCAGGTTCCAGACAAGCCAAGAGGGGCCAGGATAATGTGAGCCAGGGGTGGCCCCAGGCTTCAAGCAAGGAGATGGGTGGAGAGCAGTATAACAGTGTTAGGAGGAGGAAGGACTGGACTTAGTGGAGAAGGATGGATGCCAATCAAGGCCTGCCAAGGATGACAGGATGTGAGCAATGGTGGAGTCAGCTGATCTCAAGGCTTCAAATGGAGCCCTCAGGCTGTCAGAGGCTTACTGTGGCCAACCGACCTTTACTTCACAGAAGGACAAGTTAGCCATCCTGGTGAATGGGCAAAGTCAAGCAGCTCTGGATGGAGTCAGCTGTGGTCAGGATTGTGCCTCTGCAAGGAAATCTCAGTTCTCTAATTACTGTCTTGCCTCTCTCCCTTCCCCTGTGCAGCCAAGCATCTTGGGAAAATTATTCATATTCAGTCTTCTCTTCCTTACTTCCTCATTACACTGCCAGCTGGCTGCTGCCCCCACCAGTCATGAAACTGTCCTGGCCCATGTCACATACACCCTCCTAGGGGCCTTGAATGATGGCACATTCCTGTCTTTCTCTTGCTGGGCCTTTCAGCAGTACTCAACACTGTTAGCCATTCTTGAGTAAGTTCTCCCCCAACTACTTTTCATGATTCCTTTCTTGGTCTTCGGCCTACCTCTCTGCGTCCTCCCTCTCAGTCTCCTGTCTTCACGGGACACTCTTTCTGTGTGATCTCATCCACATCTGAGGCTCCACAGCCTGGGCAAGGCTATGTAGTATGGTGATTAAAACCTTGGCCGCTGGCAGACCACCTGTGTTCAAATCTCTGCCCTACCAGGTGGTTGCTTTGTAATACCCAAACTTCTATCAAGATGTGGATCATTACCCTCACCCCAACCCACAGGGGAAGCCACTGTTCTGATTTTTTTTTTTAAGTAGAGTAATATAGGATGTAGTTTTATGTCTGGCTTATTTTACGCAACATGTTTTGAGGTTCATCCATGTTGCTGCATGTATCCATAGTTCTTTCATTTTTCTTGCTGAGTAGTGTCCCATGGTGGATCTATACCACAGTTTGTTTATCCTTTTTCAAATGAAGGATACCTGAGCTATAGCCAGCTTTTGGCTACTGTGAAGAAAACTGCTATGAATATTCTGTGTTCAAGTCTGTGTGTGAACATATGCTTTCATTTCTCTTGGATAAATAACTAGGAATAGAATTGCTGAGTCACAGGGTAGGTGTATGTGTAGTTTTATAAGAAACTGCTACATATTGTTCCAAATTGATAGTACATTTTACATTCCCACTAATGATGTATGAGAGTTCCAGTTGCTCTGTATTCCCACTAACATTTGGTATTGTCAGTTTTTTAAAGTTTAATCATTTTGGTGAGTATTGAGAGGTATCACACTATGGATATAATTTCCTTTTTTTTTTTTTTTTTTTTGAGACGGAGTCTTGCTCTGTCACCCAGGCTGGAGTGCAGTGGCACGATCTCGGCTCACCGCAAGCTCCACCTCCTGGGTTCATGCCATTCTTCTGCCTCAGCCTCCCGAGTAGCTGGGACCACAGGCGCCCGCCACCACGCCCAGCTAATTTTTTGTATTTTTAGTAGAGACAGGGTTTCACCATGTTAGCCAGGATGGTCTAGATCTCTTGACCTTGTGATCCTCCTGCCTCGTCCTCCCAAAGTGCTGGGATTACAGGCGTGAGCCACCGTGCCTGGCATAATTTGCATTTTCTTAATAACTAAAGATGTTGAGTTCTTTTCTTTTTCTTTTTTCTTTTTATTTTTGAGACAGGGTCTCACTCTGTTGCCCAGGCTGGAGCACAGTGGCACAATCACTGCTCACTGCAGCCTCAACCTTCTAGGCTCAAGCAATCCTCCTGCCTCAGCCTTTTGAGTAGCTAGGACTGCAGGAATGCACCTCCATATCTAGATCATTTTTAAATTTTATTTATTTATTTATTTTGAGATGGAGTCTTGCTCTTGTTGCCCAGGCTGGAGTGCAATGGCACAATCTCAGCTCACTGCAACCTCTGCCTCCTGGGTTCAAGTGATTCTCCTGCCTCAACCTCCCAAGTAGCTGGGATTACAGGTGCCCACCACCATGCTCAGCTAATTTTTGTATTTTTAGTAGAGACAGGGTATGGCCACATTGGCCAGGCTGGTCTTGAACTCCTGACCTCGTGATCCGCCCGCCTCGGCCTTCCAAGGTGCTGGGATTACAGGCGTGAGTCACCACGCCCGGACTTTTTGTAGAGATGAGGTCTCGATATATTGCCTAGGCTGGTCTGAAACTGCTGACCTCAAGCGATCCTCCCACCTTGGCCTCCCAAAGTGCTGGGATTACAGGCGTGCACCACTGCACCTAGCCTCGAGTACCTTTCATATGCTTATTGTCCATTCATTGGGTTGTCATTTTATTACTATGTTATAGGAATTTTTAATATATCTCGCATTCCTCTGTCCCTTCTCAGATCAATGTTTTGTCTATCTATTTGGCTTACTTCCACATTTTCATAATAATGTCTTTTTTTTTTGAGTCAGGGTCTCACTGTCACTCAGGCTGGAGTGCAGTGGCACAATCAACTCACTGCAGCCTCTAACTCCTGGGCTCAAGCAATCCTCTCTTCTCAGCCTCTGGAGTAGCTGGGACTACAGGTGCACACCATCACACTCGGCTAATTTTTTAAATTTTTTGTAGTGACAGAGTCTAGCTTTGTTGGCCAGGCTGGTCTCAAACTCCTGGCCTCAAGCAGTTCTTCTATGTCAGCCTCCCAAAGTGCTGGGATTACTCCATAATGATGTCTTCTGACGAGCAAAAGTTTTCTATTTTGATGTTTCACTTATCAAGAAATTTATGTTATTGCTTTCTATAGCTTAAGAAGGGGTTGCTTTCCTCCAAATTATGAAGATATTCTGTGTTTTTGTCTAAAAGCTTTATGATTTTAGCATTTGTGGTTTAGGTCTATAATCAATCTTTTTTTTTAGACGGAGTCTCGCTCTGTCACCCAGGCTGGAGTGCAGTGGCGCGATCTCGGCTCACTCCACCCTCCACCTCCTGGGTTCAAGCAATTCTCCTGCCTCAGCCTCTTGAGTAGCTGGGATTACAGGTGCCCACCACCACACCCAGCTAATTTTTGTATTTTTATTTTTTTAATTAATTAATTTTTTTGACACAGAGTCTCGCTGTCACTCAGGCTGGAGTGCAGTGGTGTGATCTCAGCTCACTGCAACCTCCGCCTCTCAGGTTCAAGCGATTATCCTGCCTCAGCCTCCTGAGTAGCTAGGATTACAGGCATGCACCACCATGCCCAGCTAATTTTTGTATTTTTAGTAGAGACAGTGTTTTGCCATGTTGGCCAGGCTGGTCTTGAACTGAGCTCAGATGATCCACCCGCCTTGTCCTCCCAAAGTGCTGAGATTACAGGTGTGAGCCACCATGCCTGGCCTGTTAATTGTGTATTTTTAGTAGAAACAGAGTTTCACCATGTTGGGCAGGCTGGTCTTGAACTCCTGACCTCTGGTGATTCAACTGCTTCAGCCTCCCAAAGTGCTGGGATTACAGGTGTGAGCCACTGGGCCCAGCCTATAATCAATCTTGAATTAATTTTTGCATATGGTGTGAGGTAGGGGTCAAGGTTCATTTATTTCTCCCATATAGATATGAAGTTGTTCCATAACTATTTATTGAACAGACATTCCTTTCTCCACTGGCTGGCTTTGACATCTTTGCCAAAATCAAATGACCTTTACAGTGGGATCAGCCAGTTGGTGCAATACGAAGTCCCGCCTCTCATCCCCTCACAGAAACACAGATTTAACAATTTACTGATCAAAATACCTTTATGAGAAGTACAGAATCCGGTTGAGAAGTGTGGTACCCCAGACAAGTAGAGAGCTGAGAAAAGCTGCACTGAGATGGATCCTACATTCCTGGGTCTGGGAGTGGGCCTTTCCCAGAGATACCATCCTCCAGCAGTAAGAGACCTCCAATAGTCGGGTCTCAGACAGGTTCCAGCTAAGAGTAAAATCCCAGATCAATGGTGAAAAGGAGTTTAAGAATGGATGCTGAAGCCAGGCATGGTGGCATGTGTCTGTAGTCCCAGCTACTTGGGAAGTTGACAGGGGAAAATAGTTTAAGCCCAGGAGGTTGAGGCTGCAGTGAGCTATGATCATACCACTGCACTCCAGACTGGGCAACAGAGCAAAACTCTGTCTCAAAAAGAAAAACGAAGCCTGTGCCTAGTCAACATTGAAGCAAGAATGCAGAAGTTGCACAGGGTGAGATAGGGATGAGCAGGGTGGAGGGGTGGTAAACACAAAGGAATTGCAATAAGAAATCAAACAACTATCTGATTTTTTAAAATTATGTTGAGATATTTGGGGAAAATGATAGATGCATAGAAAACTAATCAAACGAAAAATAATTCCAAGATAAAAGTATATAAAAGTAACATTATAAAATAATAAACGCATATAGAATTTTTATTAAAAAATCAAATGATTGTGAGTCTATTTCTGGTTCTCTATTCTGCTCCATGGATCTGTTTGTCAATTCTCATGCTAGCACCACATAGTCTTGATTACTGTCACTTACAAGTCTTGAAATCAAGTAGCATAAATCCTCCAGCATTGATTCATTTATTTTTCTTTTTGAGACAGGGTTGCACTCTGTTACCCAGGCTGGAGTGCAGTGGCATGATCATGCAGTGATCAGGTTCACTGCAGCCTCAACCTCCTGAGCTCAAGCAATCCTCCCACCTTAGTCTCCTGAGTAGCTGGGCCTACAGATGCATGCCACCACAGCACTGGGATTTTTAAAAACTCTCCAGGTGATTCTAATGTGAGCCAAATTTTCTAGACTCAGATTTCTCTGTCACTATCTTCAGGCCTATACAGTTAACTGGTTAGTATACTAGATCCTACTTCTTTATTGTTTCTGAATCCTCTTCCTCTCCAGCTCCATCACTCATGCATTAAGGACTTCACCAATTTCTCAACTGGCTCTACACTACTTCTAGAAAAAAAATTCTAAGTCCTTACTGTGGCTAAAATCACGCTTTGTGATTAGGCTTTCTGATACTTCATCCAACACTCTCCCCTCAAAGTACCTTAAACTTCAGCTATGATACCATATTTGATGTTCTTCACATGTTTTAAACTTCTCATGCCTCCAATGCCTTTCCTGCCATCCAGCCTAAAACACCCTTTCCTTTTGTTATTGGTTGTCATTTTCTTCCTCTCATTCAACATTTAGCCTGGCATCATCTGCTGCTCTCTGTCTTGACCACCTTGTCTGGAAGAGGTATCCTTCCCATGTTCCCATGCCCTTCTGCACATGCCTTCATCACAGGTGTTAAGGAACTGACTGTATTGTCATTGTCTGTCTCTTGTTGAGCACCCAGCTAACCTGAAAGCTTCTTGAAGGCTGAGACTGTGTGTTTCCGTCTCTTATCCCTAGTGCCTAGCAATGTACTTGCTTATACGAGGTACCTAATATTTTTATTAAGTGAATGAAATCTGGGCTTGGATCTGCACCATTATTTGGGACAGATTCTTTAATCTCTCAGAACATTCTATTTTCTTATACACACTGGAAATAACACCCATGACAAAAGGTAGACTTAAGTGAGCTGATACTGTAAATAAAGTCCACTGCGTGGGCCTGGGACATGGTATGCGCTCAATAAATACTGGTCCTTTTCCCTCTCTCCGCCTGCCATCAGACCTTTCCGGGATA
Organism: Homo sapiens; assembly: GCF_000001405.40. Classification (NCBI taxonomy): domain Eukaryota; kingdom Metazoa; phylum Chordata; class Mammalia; order Primates; family Hominidae; genus Homo; species Homo sapiens. The sequence goes on from NC_000012.12 coordinate 57,124,418, forward strand.
CCCTTCCTACGCACACTTCCTTAACTGACCACTAGGTGGTGCTAGCCTCTGGCTTGACATTCAGTTCCAGAGCTACCCAATTAACGCCCCAGCCCAGGCCCTGCTATACTCAGAAAAGGCGGGTATTTTGTAATTTGCTGAGCGACCCGAAAAAAGAGATGCCCTTTACCCACACTAGCTTCTTTGCCCTCATCACCATTCCAGGTATCAATCATGAATTTCAGAGAATTCCTCCATGATTCCCTACTATTATGGTTATAATCTCAACCCAAGGATTTGAAGATGCCTCTTAAGAACAGATGTGGGGAGGAAGAGAAGGCACTGAGGCAGAGAGGATTAAACAATGAATGCTATAAGAGAAATAGAGGGAAGAAGATGCTTGAAGTCACATCCTGTTCCAGGAAAGGCAACTCTAGTCCTAACATTCCTTTCACCAATCAAGAGCCTCTCACGCTGGGTGGAAACGAAGAAGAAAAAGACATGGTCCCTGCCCTCAAGGAGTATATAGTCTAGTGGTGGATACAGAGCCCACAAAATAAAGTGCTAAACTCTGGATACTGAAGCTTTCCTGAATACAAGTTTGGAACAGGAGAGATAGGCAGAGCGAGAATAACAGGAGGGCTTTTCTGAGGAGGGTAGAGGAGCAGGGGAACTGTATCATTAATGGCTCAGATAGAAATATGCATTCTCAGCAGGGTGAGGTGGCTCACACCTGTAATCACAGCACTTTGGGAGGCCAAGGTGCATGGATCACCTGAGGTCAGGAGTTTAAGACCAGCCTGGCCAACATGGAGAAATCCCATCTCTACTAAAAACACAAAAATGAGCCAGGCATGGTGGTGGGTGCCTGTAATCTCAACTATTCGGGAGGCTGAGGCAGGAGAATCGCTTGAACCTGGGAGGTGGAGGTTGCAGTGAGCTGAGATCACACCACTGCACTCCAGCCTGGGCAACAAGAGTGCAACTCCATCTCAAAAAAAAAAAAGAAAGAAAGAAAGAAAGAAAGACATAAATATGCATTCTCTCACCTTACAGACATACCCTCAGCAGTTCACCTGCTGGAAATAACCCAAGTGCCCAACAATCCCAACAAACTGTGGAACATCCAAGCAAGGAGATTCCAAGTAGCCAAGATCAAAGGGTGAGCTAAATGCGTTCATACGGTATGGAAAGGGATCAAGCTAAGTTAATTGAAAAAAAGGCAAGTTACAGAACACTATATATCATATGAGTTTCTTTATAGTTTTAAAGGATATTCACTTATATTTGTATGTTACTGTTTTATTTATTTATTTATTTGAGACAGGGTCTCCCTCTGTTGCTCAGGCTGGAGTGCAGTGGCACGATCTCGGCTCACCACAACCTCCACCTCCTGGGTTCAAGCGATTCTCGTGCCTCAGCCTCCCCAGTAGCTGGGATTACAGGTATGCGTCACGATACGTGGCTCATTTTTGTATTTTTAGTAGATATGGGGTTCCGCCATGTTGGCCAGTGTGGTCTCGAACTCCTGAAAAGTGATCCTCCCACCTTCGTCTCCCAAAGTGTTGGGATTACAGGCATGAGCCACCACGCCTGGCCTGTATGTTACTGTTTTAAAAACTCTCCTGGCCGGGCACGGTGGCTCACGCCTGTAATCCCAGCACTTTGGGAGGCTGAGGAGGCCAGATCACGTGGTCAGAAGTTCGAGACCAGCCTAGCCAACATCGTGAAACCCCATCTCTACCAAAAATACAAAAAAAATTAGCTGGGTATAGTGGCGTGTGCCTGTAATCCCAGCTACTTGGGAGGTCAAGGCAGAAGAATCGCCGAACCCGGGAGGCAGAGGTTGTAGTGAGCCGAGATTAGGCCACTGCACTCCAACCTGGGCAACGGGGCAAGACTCCGTCTTGGGCGGGGGGGAAACCTCTGCTGGTAGGGGAGACCTGAAGAACTGTTAGTAGAAGTTACTCTGAGGGTGCAGCTGAAAAATGGGGGTGTGGAGAGCATCAAGTTTCCTTTTACTTTTTACCTTCCTGTACTTTTTTTAACCACTAGGTATTATCTTTTCTTTCTTTCTTTTTTTTTTAACAATATAAAGTTAATAAAAATACACATTCACATTCAGGAGACAGCAGGGGATGGGAGGTTGCAAGTGAGAAGTGCATGCTGACTGAGGCCAGGTTTTGGAAAGCCATGACTGAAGAGGAGTTCACATTTGACTGGTCTATAGACACCCACTAGAGGTTCCCCAGCAAGGAAGAGACACCGGGAAAGCAGTTTTTGGAAGATTCACCTGACAGATGGGTAGGGGGAGGGAGGAAAGCCCCTTCAAGCCCTCAGGCTACATGTGGTTGCTCCAGATACCGTTTTCCTCTCAAAGCTGTCAAGCTGTCTAAAGTCTGTTTCGACCTGATTTCACTTGGATCCCAATACTGGGAGGGGCCCTGGGAGGAACCTCGTAGGCATTTGGTGAGTCCGCATAGTGCGTCTCACATTGTGTTGGGCCATGGGAGCTGGATAAAAGGAGAAATAAGACCCCGTTCCTGCCTGGAGCAACTCTCTGGCAGTGGAAATGGAGGAAATCTGAGATATACTTCAGAGGAAAAAAATGACAAGCCTGGAGCACAGGCTGGCAAGATTGGATATAGGAAGGAAAGGCCCCCTTGAGTTGGCATAAAGTCTGAGGTTTCTAGCCCAGGAGACTAAAGGCAGGTGGCCACCGCGCTGAGCAAAGCCGGCTGGAAGAAGCTAAAGGTTGAGCTCACTGTCATTAGGAGGCAAGTCCTTCGTGCTGCTCCTGTTTCTGCCAAGGACAGACTGGAGTGGGGACTTTTCCGTAACTAGAACGTAAAAGGGGGAACAGTCCCTCCTCTCCAGCGTCAATTTTTGGCAGCCGACGTCGTCTGCCCCGCTCCTTGAACTCTGACATGCAGACACCTAGAAAGTCAGACACTAAGGTAACAGCCATAAAACGCCGCCCAGAAGGGGGCAGTGACCAAAAGCACGTTCACTGGCCCCTGGGAACCGCCTGGCGCCTGCCTTCTGCAAAGTATCATTCCCGTGTGGGCTGAGCCTGGGGACAAAGGTCCGGCGCTCAGCAGACACCTCCTTGGAACCCGAGGCCTGGAAACGAAGGTCCAGAGTCCCTCATCTTATTCCAAATCCTGGCGCTCGGAATCTAAAACCCTAACTTGATGGCAAGCCAGTCAGAAGGTATTAAAAAAAAAAAAAAAAAAAAAAACAGAAAAATAAATGAGCCCCGACTTCTTGGGCGAAAGGGGGTGGCCTTTCCTCAACCCCACCCGCTGGTGACTCACCTCCCTCCAAACCAGGGCCTGCCCCTCCCGCGCCTAGGGCTGGGCGAGCAGGGCGGGCGGGTACTAAGGTGGGCTCCATCCCCGAGCCCCACGCGGGCGGACAAGCTCCGGCGTGTCCCCTCGGGTGTCCCTGTTTACTCCGAGCCCGGGAGCGAGGTGGGGGCGGGTCCTCGCGGTCCCTCCCCAACCCCGCCCCCTCCTTCGCAGGCCCCAATCCCAGTCCGGTCTTCCAAAGTCTCCAAATCAAAGCTCAGCCTTTCCCTGCACCTTCCCCGCGGACTGGCGGTCCCTGTCCCCACCCCGGGCAGAGGAGGCACCTTCAGGGTTCCCCTAGAAAATCGAGCCTCGGCCCAGACCACTGAGTCCCGGACGCCCCCGGAGGGAGCCTGAAATCCTAGAGTATGACACTGAGTTTCAAAGGGGAGCCGCTCAGCTCTCCGCCCACTGCCCAATCCCACCCTCGACCCCTTCTGCTCTCTGGAGCACCAGGGAGGAGGGCCCAGCCAGGGGAGAGGGCGCCCCAGGCCCCAAACTAGCCAGCGAGTCCCCGGGACCCTCACTCTTGGACCGCTTTCCAGAACTCCGAACCCTGTCGCGGGTCCGCGTCGCCCTCCCCCGGGCAGCGCGTCAAATCGGCGCATGCGCACTCACTGGATTGCCGCGTAGCTCTTTCTCCCCCCACCCACCAACCTTTTTTCTTTCCCCGCCCCTTCCCTCCCTCCCTCCTCAACCCGTCCCCTCCCTCTCCCCCATCAGCCCCCCCCTCGGCACTTCAGTCCGGGGAACAGCGGTGCGAGCTCCAGGCCCATGCACTGAGGAGGCGGAAACAAGGGGAGCCCCCAGAGCTCCATCAAGCCCCCTCCAAAGGCTCCCCTACCCGGTCCACGCCCCCCACCCCCCCTCCCCGCCTCCTCCCAATTGTGCATTTTTGCAGCCGGAGGCGGCTCCGAGATGGGGCTGTGAGCTTCGCCCGGGGAGGGGGAAAGAGCAGCGAGGAGTGAAGCGGGGGGGTGGGGTGAAGGGTTTGGATTTCGGGGCAGGGGGCGCACCCCCGTCAGCAGGCCCTCCCCAAGGGGCTCGGAACTCTACCTCTTCACCCACGCCCCTGGTGCGCTTTGCCGAAGGAAAGAATAAGAACAGAGAAGGAGGAGGGGGAAAGGAGGAAAAGGGGGACCCCCCAACTGGGGGGGGTGAAGGAGAGAAGTAGCAGGACCAGAGGGGAAGGGGCTGCTGCTTGCATCAGCCCACACCATGCTGACCCCGCCGTTGCTCCTGCTGCTGCCCCTGCTCTCAGCTCTGGTCGCGGCGGCTATCGACGGTGAGTGAGATTCCGCGTCCCCCTTGGACCCCTGGGGGCACCCTCTCCCCAGCCCCCACTCCTGCATACGGATGGGGAAGGGAGACGCGGGAGGGGGTGCCTTTTGTTATCCCAGTCCAGCTGACACAGCAGCGGCCCGACTGGGGGCGGGGATGGGGTCCGATTTGGGGGATGGGGGCCCTGGGCAAATGATGCTTCCGGGGCCCCCCAGCACAAACAAAGACCAGAGGCCTGGGTAGAGAGAAGAGGGCTCCCCATTTTTCTGATCCTGGGGAGGAGAGGCCTTCTTTTCCTATCTCTGTTCGGGGAGGGCCTCCGCCTCCCCTACATCCTCACAACCCCCCACCCCCCATCTGAATTGTGAAGGAATCCGGATTTGCAATGTTCGGCTGCAAAAGGGGGTGGGGGTGGGGGGGGTGGCTTTTGCACTGGCCTCTGTAGCTCGAAAGGGGAGCCAGGCCAGGGGTACCCTGCCGGGCAGAGGGCAGGCAGGCCCGGGAAGGCTGTGGGTGGGGAGAGGGAGGGCCCCCTGCTTGGGCGTGGAATCGACCCCAGAGCCCCGGCTGGAGGCCTGGGTGCTGAAGTAGGCTCTTCCCCCTCTCAGGGCCTCTGTCAGTAGCCTGGGGTAGGGCTGTGTTGGGGGGCAGAGAGGGGGAGCTCGCCATACTATGTGACTTTGAATTTTCCTTCTTAATTCCTGGGAGCTTTGAGATGAAAAAACGTCAGATGTCATCACTGGGGAAGGGGACTGGAGAATGGCCTGGAATGCTGGGGTAGGAGGGTGGGGGAGGCTGCCTTCTTCCTGACTTCTGGCTTCATCACAGTTTGGATTGGAAGGAGAGTTGGAGGTTGGATGGGGATTATGGCTGTGCCCCCACACTCCTTTAGTAAATCTGTTTATTCCCTGCACCCCTCCAAGCCCAAAACCCCATACACACACACTTTGTATATTGCAGAGTTAGGCTTAGGCTAGAACTGCATCCTTTTGGGGAAATGGGGTGCCTCTCTTCCCTTTTTTTGTCAGCTGTTTTTTTCTCCTACTTGTGAGTCACTGGTTCAAGTCTTGCCCAAGCTTTAAGCATTAAGCTGGGGTCATGGGGTTGGGCTGGGCTAGGTCCCTGATTTGAGAAGGGGTGGGATCTCATCCCCTCCTGTCATCTTAGCCCTCTCATCCAAAGACAAAACTGGGCTGGATACCATCATACACCCCCTCCTCTGTCTTGCCAGATTGGGATTGGGAAAGTTTTTCTCTGAAACCAGATTATCTCCCTCCCTCTCCCTAACTTGCTTCAATTGGGGGAGGAGACTTACAGGGTCAGGAAGCAGCTGTGTCCCCAAAAAACATATTTAGTGTCCCTCAGTTGTGCCATCTTGGGGACTCTCTACCCCCCACCCCCACCCCACCAATTAGCTGCCCCGGAGGAGGAGAGGGGCTTTTCCTGAATATCCTCCAGATGCCGCACAGCCGGCTTCTGCCTATAACTCCTGTCATTATCATGTGTTTTTCTCTTGTTCTCAGCCCTGTGAGGTGAGAAGGGAAATCGAGGCAGGGAGATTGGGGTTGCAGCCGCTTCTGGGAGGAATAGAAAAAAAATTTGAGAGAGAGAGAGACCCATCAGGAGCCCCTTGAAGGAGGGTGGCTAGAGTTAGGCAGAAGCAAGAGGGTTTCTGTGGAGAGCAGGGAAGGTCAGGAAGGGACCCCAGATAGCATCACTCCCAGGGCTCTAAAGGAGTTCTATTTGCCACACCAAGTTAGTGGAAGAGAGAGACTGGACATGTTCTCCTTAACTATCTCCCTACCCTTTCTTAAAATGTTCACCCACGCCCCCTCTGTATCTCCAGCTCAGATCAAACTATCCAAAGCCCCAGGAGAGGACCCCTCCCCAAACACACACCAATATTTCTGCCTTGGGAGTGGGAATATAAATAATCAGCTCCACCCCACTCTTGGGTACAGGGTGGTGAGAAAGGGGAATTGCATAGAAATGTAAGTTCAACTCTATCCAGAGGCAGCCTAGGGGATCCCTTATCCCTAACCCCTGCCCTCTTGCCTCAGGGTCCATCAACATTGAACTTTCTTGTTTACTTTCCAGAGAATGGAGATGACCCAGCTCACCTGACTTAGTATGTTACCTTCCTCCTGCTATCACAGCCTTGCTGCTTTCTCTCCAGGGCAGCAATCCTAGGGGCTTTCCCACCTCTTCTGCTTTCTCTTCTATGCCTGAAACTGCCTCTGGGGTCCCCTGCCCTTTGGGGAGTAACGTCACTCCCCACTAGCGACAAAATTGAGTGTACCTGCTGCTGGAGAGGTTGCAGAAAGATGGGGTGGAGAATGGGACTATTGAGGGCCCTGCTGAGATTGGGGAACATTTTCTAGTGGGGAGGGCACCCCCAGACAAATACAGCTCACAGAATAAGGCTGACTTCCTCCCTCCCTTTTTCCTGACCTTCCTCCACACACCCCCTTGAGCCGGCATATTACCAGTTACTAGAGTAGGTACAGTGGAAGTGAGTTATGAAGCTGGGGTGTTAGCTTCCTGGATCCCTGAGAGAAAGTTCTAAACTCCTTTCTCCCTGATCAGACTCACATCCTAAACGTCTCCCTTTGCCTCGTTGTCTTTTAAAGCAAGAATGTGTAAGAAATTCATTTTGGGGTTGGAGGGATATTTTGATGTTTAGGGCTGCTTCACTAGACATCTTTTTCTTCTGATCTTGTTCTCTCTCCTCTCTTCATTTTCTCAACCACCCTTCCACCACTGAGCCTCCCAAAGGATGACAGCCCAGGTCCTGGCCAGAGTCAGTTCCTGTCCAGATGCCCCCATTCTTCAAAACCCCTTCCTTACCTTTTGGGAAGCCCTTCCTTACTCAAGTCTATCTCTCTTTCCTCCTGCTGCAGTGTGAGCCCTTGCACATCAGAACCCCCAAGCCTAGGTTTATTCCCGCCCAGTACTCTCTTCTCAGGGTCCTCCTCACTCCTCAGACTCTTTACCTTTCAGGTCCTCCAGCTCTGCGTGTGGGCTCATTGCTCTTGGGGCATCTGGGTGCAGCTGAATGGTACTGCAGGAAGGCCCCTGACTTGGTAGTGCTGGGTATGAGCGATAGAGAACCTGCCTCCCTCTTCTGTCCCAGATTTCAGCCTGGTTAGCAGGATCCTGCATTGTTTGGAGAAGGAAGCAGTTGGCTTTGGAGTGTTTCCGGTGCAATGGCCTCAGGCACCAATATAAACCCTCCCTGGGAAAGAGGTGAGGGGTATATGTGGAGAGTTGTCCCTCTTGCTCCCCTAGGGGAGATGAAAGCCTCTCCCTCTCCCACCAGGCCTTAGCTTCCCTGGCTGAAGAGCTCCATTTTCCTCCCTCCTTTCTACCCTCCTGACTCCAGGGGTGGTAGTGGTCCCTATTCTGGGTCTCCCTTGAGTCAGGCACTGCCTAGGGCCGAGACTCTGTCTCTCCAAGATAGGACAGATCTTGCTCCCACCCTACTCTAGGCTCAGCGGGGTAGTCATTCTCTGGGTTCATCCCAGGACAACTGTGTCATCCCCTTGGCAATCTCTGGACTGAGCCCCCTTCCTGGCTTTTCTGGCTGTCTGTCTGTCTTTCTGTCTGTCTGTCATTAGTGTGCGCTGTCTTGGCTTTTTAGAACCTCTCTGTCTCTCACCCTCTCAGTTCATCTCTTACTGCCGAACCTTTGTGACATTCTCTGCCCTGCTTTCTGCGTCTCTGTCACTTGTCTTATTTTTCTCTGCCTGTCTCCATTTACCCCCATCCAGGCCTCTTGGTATCCCAAAAGCTTCTTGGGAGCAAGAGTCTCTCTGGGCTTTCCCACTCACCCCCTGGCTCCCTCCCCTCTGTTTTGGCTATTTTTCCCCCTTCCTGGCCAGACCCAGTGTCCAGTTCAGCACCAAAAGTTTCCTCTCCACTTTCCTCCGACTTCCTCTTTCTTCTTCCCCCTCCACTAATTTGGGGAATGGGTTTTGGAGAGAATGTTTCTGGAAGAAAGGAACTTGATACCCTTTGTGGGCTAAGAGGGAGAAAGGAGGTATTTCAGAAGGAAGGAGGGAGGTTAGACTTCTGGCAGAACTTCCTCCTGACCAGGAGCCTAAGAACTGGAGAAAGATGTAAGGAGTGAGTCAAGAACTTGGAGCTTTTACTCTGGTGAGCATAAGCTGTGTGTGTGGCTGGGGTGGGGGGAGAAGGAGAGGAGGCTTAGAAATGCCTGGTGAGTGATATGGTGACCTCTGGAGGCCTTCTGGGGGTCTGGCTTTTATTTGTGGGGAAAGGAAAAGCTGGTGGGGGAGGTCACGGGTCAGGCTAATGTCCTGCTGCATCAATATTGACTCAGAATGGAAGCGGAGACCCTTCCCCTCCCCTGGCTGTCCAAGCCACCCTGTCTGTCTGTCTGTCCAGGCCGCAAAGCAGAGGCCCAGACTCAGGAATGACAAAAATGTGTCTGAGCCTCAGGAAAGAGCCACTGGGCAACACCCAAAATACAAAAAATTCAGTGAAAACCTCTCGGTTTGGGTTTGGGAGGCCCTTGCTGCCCCACCCCCATAAGGTCGAAAATTCAGATTCCTGCAGGCTCTGTCCCCGCGCCGCCCCCCCACCCCACCCCCCGCACCTTGAGCATCCTCCTCCCACTCTGTTCCCTTAGCTATATCATGTGGTTCCCTTTAGAGAACCCCCCTCTCACCTAGCTCAGAGGGGAGCCTATCTCTCCTTCTGCTGTGTCCACTCTTAAAAAGGGCCCCAAGAGTCCCTGTCATGCTTTTGCAGTCCCTGAGTCTCCTTGTCCTTTAAGAAGCACCTCTAAGGTCTTAGCTCTCTTCCTTGCTCTCGCTCCCTCAAGGGGGTATCAAAGGATGGGTTCCCCTCCTCTGGAGAAGACTCCTTCAGGGTTGGACTTCGCTGTCACCCTCTCTGGCCAGGCATTCTCACCCCACTTCCCCACCCCCAAGGTCCCAGAATGGGACACAGAATGACAGCCAAGGGTCAAGCAGGGCAGTGGGGTCTGTGTTGTGTCTGGACGCACACCCAACTCTACACCTCCTGCCCTGGCTCCAGCTTGGTGGCCCTGGGGACCGTGGCTGGGCTGGGTGCCTGGGTTTGGGGGGGTGGGGCAGGGTGTTGGCCAAGTTAGCATGGCAGTCACATTCATCTTCAGGCAAAGCCGAGAACAGACGGCCCCTGTGTCCTGGTGTTCTTCCTCCAAACTCGCTCTCTCTCCTTCCTCTCTAGATCTCTCCTTCTTCTTCTCCTGCCTGTCTTCCCCTTCTTCTGTCCCATTCTTGCTCCTCTCTGTCTCCCCTATGCCCTTCCCTCCTCTCTGAGGAGCCCTGAAGGCCACCCCTTAAAATCCTCTCCCCACTGCCAGGGCCAGAGAACGACAGCGTTCTCCCTGCAATTTCCCTTCCTTGTTTTTTGTTTTTGTTTTGTTTTGTTTTTGAGACACAGTCTCACTCCATCACCCAGACTGAAATGCAATGGCGTGATCTCTGCTCACTGCGACCTCCGCCTCCTGCTAATTTTTGTATTTTTAGTAGAGACAGGGTTTCACCATGTTGCCCAGGCTGGTCTCAAACTCTTGACCTCAAGTGATCCGCCCATCTCCGCCTCCACCTCCCAAAGTGCTGGTACTACAGACGGGAGCCACTGCGCCCATCTGGTTTCCTTTCTTTCTTTCTTTTTTTTTTCTTTTGAGATGGAATCTCGCTCTGTTGCCCAGGCTGGAGTGCAGTGGCGCGATCTCAGTTCACTGCAAGCTCCGCCTCCCCTGGTTCACGCCATTCTCCTGCCTCAGCCTCCTGAGTAGCTGGGACTACAGGCGCCTGCCACCACGCCCAGCTAATTTTTCATATTTTTAGTAGAGACGGGGTTTCACCGCGTTAGCCAGGATGGTCTCGATCTCCTGACATCATGATCTGCCTGCTTCGGCCTCCCAAAGTACTGGGATTACAGGCATGAGCCACCATGCCCGGCCTGGTTTCCTTTCTTAACCCGGCTGCATCCCATGACCTATGAGGAAACCACCTGCTCAGTTACCAGTCACCCTGTGCCTCAGCTCCCCCATGTGTGAGAGGGGGGCCGCAAGGGCACCCACCTCACAGGGTTATAGTATCTAAGTGAGTTAATAGTCACCGTATTTCCAATCAGTGGCTGGTGGTTAGCAAGGTGAAAAAGGTTAGCTCCCATCGGTCAGGGAGACCTCCGGGTTCTCTCATGCGGGCCAGGAGGCGGGGAAGGCCTTAGTTGCTTTTGACCTTAGGGCAATGTTGTTCTCTCATCTAAACTGCAGGCCACAAAGGTGGGTTTTCTGGGTGCTGGATTCAGACACAGAAGGCTCTGCTGAGGGGAGTGGGGTTGGCTTTCCCTCTAAGCAGATTATAAGGGTCCTACCCCGCTCCCAACTCAGCTCTCTCCCAGCTCTGAGTGAGGCTTCCCTTGGCTGTGTAGACTGTCCCAAAGTAGTTTATTTGTTTCTTTCTTCCCTCTCCCCCTGAAGGAAATCAAAGACAGGCCTCAGCCTTCTCGCTCCAGATTCCTGGGCCCTTCAACACCAGCCCTGACAGGAAGTTCTTTCACGTATCTCTCTGCAATCCTTGTGCTGGCCAGGCCCTCGGGAGATGTGGCCCCCTCCCCCGGTGCTGCTGTGGGATAGGGGCCTGGGCCCTCCTCTTCCTTTCACTTGTCCCATCCCCCATCCCCTCCCTGCAAGAGCACATCTGGTTTGTGAATCTCTCTCATTCCAGCTTTTGGAGTTTGCCAGCTGCTGTTTCCTCTGTGGAGTTCAGGCCAAAAATGGGGGTGGGGGACAGCGGGGGGGACTCAGTGAGGGCTAAAGGAGGGGGCACCATGGCTGGGATGTGGAATGGAGGGGAGGTTAGGTGACCACCCGGTGACCTCAGGCCGTGGCTGTGCGCTCTGCCCCTGGGAGGAGCAGGGCATGGACCAAGTCCCAGGTGGGTGGCACGGGGGTCTGTTTCTGGGCTCCAAACATCTCATCTGCCTCTGAGTCCCATTCCAGCCCCCCTCTTCCCCCTCAGCCGGCCACGGCTGGTCAGGGGAAGCGGACGGTTCTCCGGCATGCTAACTAGGCTGGCGGGCTGTGTTTCCCGGGAAGACCTCACAGCTGGCCCAGTGGGGCAATGAACTCAGCATTATCCACCTCCTCAAGGGGCCTTTATTCCAGGCTCAGGGTGGGGGCCAGGGGAGGGAGGCTGAAGGGGGAGCCTGGCTAGGCCATCCTTGATGTGTTTCCTGAACTCGGTCATTTTGGCCAGGGGCCTGAGTGCCGTCTCCCCTGCCAGCGGTGGGGGTTAGGAGGGAAGACATCTCAGTGAGGCTCCCATCAGACTCCCTCCCTCCTAAGAGCCCCCCCCCCCCGCCATTTTCCTTATACTTCTGTCTCTGCCCTGCATTTGCATTAGTTGGGTACAGCTGTCTTCTCAGGCGACTCTGGCTCCTGCAGGGCAGAGGGTCATCTCACCCTCCTTGGCACCCTGATGCCTAGTGCAGTGCCTGGCATAGAGCTGGCCTTCAGTGTGTGCCAGCAGAATAGAAATGTGATGGCACAGTCTGAGGAAAAGCCACGAAAGGCCAGGAGACTGGGAGCTCAGCCTTGGGTGGGGGAGAAGGGGTGGGTGACTGTTCCTCCTGTGGAGGATGTGGTGATAGAGGTTGGGAGGAGTGGGAATTCGGAGGACTGGTGTGGATTTCACTGGTTCAGAGCTTGGAGTCAGCTTAGCTGGTTTTGTCACTTGCCAGCTATTTGACCCTGGCCAAGTCACCTGGCTCAATTTCTTCATCTGTGAAATGGTGGTATTAGTTGTCCCTATTTGTCATACTGTGGAGGGAATTAAATATGATGATACATGGAAAAAACTGCTTTACCACAGTTCCTGGCACATACTGAGCCCACAATAAGAGTTAGTTGTCAGCCGGGTGCGGTGGCTCACGCCTGTAATCCCAGCACTTTGGGAGGCTGAGATGGATGTATCAGATGAGGTTGGGAGTTCGAGACCAGCCTGACCAACATGGAGAAACCCCGTCTCTACTAAAAATACAAAATTAGCCATGCGTGGTGGCGCATGCCTGTAATCCCAGCTACTCTGGAGGCTGAGGCAGAAGAATCACTTGAACCCGGGAGGCAGGGGTTGCAGTGAGCCAAGATCGTGCCATTGCACTCCAGCCTGGGCAACAAGAGCAAAACTCTGTCTCAAAAAAAAAAAAAAAACAACAGAGTTAGTTGTCACCATTCTTAATTCCTCCTTGGGGGATGAGGGAAGAGAATGGGGTAGGAGTGGAAGAAGCCTGATTGGGGTGGGAGGGTAGGGCCAAGAGGTCCTGAATATAGTAGCTAACTAGTTGGACTGGACTGAAACCAGTTCCTAGAGTTCATTTCAGCCATCCCCCTGCCTCTGCTCCCCAATTCTGATATCTTGAAAATCTTTAGGTGCTTCTTAACTCTAAGGATGTCTACTGAAAGTCTCCCTGAGGTCTAACCAAGGGAGGCTGTGTCTTTAGAGAATGGAGAGGACAAGGCAGGTGGATCACCTGAGGTCAGGAGTTTGAGACCAGCATGGCCAACATGGTGAAACCCCGTCTCTACTAAAAATACAAAAACTAGCTGGACATGGTGATGCATGTCTGTAGTTCCAGCCACTGGGGAGGCCGAGGCAGGAGAATCGCCTGGGCCCAGGAGGTGGAGGTTGCGGTGAGCTGAGATTGTGCCACTGCACTCCAGCCTGGGGGACAGAGTGAGACCTTGTCTCAAAAAAAAAAAAAATAGGGAATGGAAATGGAAGCAAGGCTCTCTACCCTGCCCATTCCTGCCCAGCCTTGCCCTCCTGTGCCTCTGCTAATACCATCTCCAACTACTACTGTGTGTGCCAAGGGCATCCCTCCCCACTGCTCCCATCTGGGGGCCTAGTGATTAGGGGTTGGGAAGGATGGGGTGATGGGTCAGGGGACCAGGAGTGTCCCAGAAGGCAGGGAAGCAGAGAGGTTAGATAAGACCAGCTCGGGGCCTCTAGTAGTAGGAGTTAGAGGAAGACAAAGAGAAAACATGTCAAGGCCTAAATGCACCCCCCTTCACCATCACTCTGTCATCAAAGCCAGGGGGTGCTGGTGTCTGATGAGAGTAACCAAGAATAGCAAAGGCTTTGACCCTGACTCCCAGGAACAGGCAGCCTAGAGGACTTGGAGGGGTGCAGTAAAATGTGCTTCTGGATCCTCCCCACCCCCACCGCAGATACACAGTGTCTAGGAACTACCCAAAGCCACCCCCTGACACCCCCAGGCACATAGACCATGGCTGAGGGTCTGGGCCAGATGGAGACTGATGCTAGGGAAGGAAGAGCAGTACTAGGGGACTTTGGGTTCACAGAGTTGGCCTCCATCCTTCATTTATATCCCCTTTTCTTTCCTTGCCCTAGCCCCTAAGACTTGCAGCCCCAAGCAGTTTGCCTGCAGAGATCAAATAACCTGTATCTCAAAGGGCTGGCGGTGCGACGGTGAGAGGGACTGCCCAGACGGATCTGACGAGGCCCCTGAGATTTGTAAGTACCTTTTCTGGATTCTTCTCCCCAAACCCTTAACTTATCCCTCTTCCTTTGGCAGATGTTTGGGAGGAGGACAGCTGATCCCTAGCCTGATGTGGACCTTGCTCAGTGATTGTATTTGTCCATGACACAGCTAAAACTGTCCTTTACACCCCTTCAAAATGCTTGGCATGGTGCCTGTTGGGCTTAGAAATGGCACCTCAGATTTCTCCCTCAAGTGCTGCACCCCAAGACAGTGTTCTCTGGGCTGACAGCTTTGCTAGAAGATGGCCCGGCCTCCCTTTCCTTCCAGCTCTTCCCTTATTCCACCTCTCAGCCTCCCTGACCCTTGATGATTGGCCCCAGGTCTTGTCGGATCCTCAGATCTTCCTCTGTCCTTTGGCTCCCAGGCCAGAGGCCACTGGCACTTGCTCAGCCCCATACCAGAAGCCCCACCCCTGTGCTCTTCCCGCTACCCCCGCCTTCCCCTGCCCCCAGTAAGTGGTGTAATCGGAGGCAGCTGTTTTAACTGGGAGAAAGGTCCCCGCCCAGCTTTTGCCCTGCCAAGGGAAGTGGAGAACTTGTTGGTGGGACCCCAGAGTCCTGGGTAGCTGGCACAGTCCTGGTGGCTCCACTTTTAGCCTCTCCCCTGCTTGGTTAATCTGGGCCAGGGTCAAAGCGCCCCTGCATTCCTAGGTCCGTCTCTGTTCTCTCTCTTGGGCTTTATCCTGCTCCAGTCCCATCTGGTGTCCTGTCCCCACACCCCCACCCGTAATTATCAGGGGTAATTTTAGGGCTGGAAAGGGAGCCACTAGTGGGCTCTGCCTCACCCCTACACTCTGCCCTGGAGGGTGGGGGCCAGGGGTATTCAGCAAGTATATCTACGGCATGGTGCTTCAGCCTGGAGTCTCTTCTTGTCTGGTGCCACCTGCACCCCCACACTTTTGACCCTGATGCTTGGGCGTTAGAAGTAAAGAAAGCCATGCAGAAGGGTCAGATCTGCCTCTTTTTGTTCATTCTTCCTTCAATTTGCTGTAAACCTCACCTTATATGCATTACCACTCTGTTCACACTCATACCCCCCGGACTCATAACATCACACACAGACCCACCTGGCACTGATGAGCCCACCTCCCACCCAAAGGCACAAACACATTCTCACAGTAACACAGAGTCACACTCAAATGTGGATGCAGAAACACACTCTATACTCAGAGAGATGTCCCCAGACACACATACCAACATAGAGACACACACACACAAACCCAGATTGATTCACATGGAAACTCACTGAGGCCAGATACACCAGCATACAGAAAGACACACAGATACACTCTCACTACCTACCGCTGCATGCTATACAGCCACACCATCAGTTGTGTAAGCAGACTCCCATCCAGGCACACATGGGTCATAGACACTGTCACTCACACACCGTGTCCAGGCTTGGGGGCCAATAGACAGTGGTCTCTCTATCTCATCCATCCTCTTGAGCAACAAAGGAAGTTGCAGAGATGATATGACCAGTTGGCCACAACCTTTTTTTTTTTCTTTTTTTGAAAGGTGGGATCTCACTATGTTGCCTTGGCTGATCTCAAACTCCTGACCTCAAGTGATCCTCCTGACACAGCTTCCCAGAGTTCTGGGACTATAGGCGTGAGCCACCATGCCTGGCCAGACCACAACCTTTGATTCTTCCCAAATCCTTCTATCAGGCTTGTTGCTGTGGGGTTGGAAGTCTAGAATAGTGCTGTCCAATAGAAATGTATTGCAAGCCACATGTGCTATTTTGAAATTTTCGAGTAGCCACTTAAAAAAGGTAAAAATGAACAGATGAAATGAATTTGAATATTTTATCCAATGGATCCAAAATATTATCACTTTAGTACAGTGTATTCATATAAAACCTTTAGAGATCTTTTGCATTTTTCTGACATTAAGTCATCAAAATCCAGTGTACATTTTATACTTACAGTTTGAACTTGCCGCCTTTCAAGTGCTTGATAGCCACATGTGACTGGGCTACGTATTGGGCAGTGAAGGTCTAGAAGATTTGGCACCACTCTTGGCCCTGGGTTCTGCAACCTGGGAGCTATGGGAAGGAGTTTTTCTTTATCATTGGAGTTTCTCTGCCATGGACCCTGCTTCCCTCAGCTCATCAAAACCTTTTTTTTTGTTTGTTTGTTTTGAGACAGATCTCGCTCTGTCGCCCACGCTGGAGTGCAGTGGTGCAATCTCAGCTCACTGCAACTTCTGCCTCCTGGGTTCAAGCGATTCTCCTGCCTCAGCCTCCCGAGTAGCTGGGACTACAGGTGCATGCCACCATGCCTGGCTAATTTTTTGCATTTTTAGTAGAGACGGGGTTTCACCATGTTGGCCAGGCTCATCTTGAACTCCTGACCTCAAGTGATCTGCCCGCCTCAGCCTCCCAAAGTGCTAGGATTATAGGTGTGAGCCATCACTCCCGGCATCATCAAAACCTTTTACTGACCTCAGTCGTCATCAAAAACCAGGCTGTCTTCAGCCTGTCTCCTGAGCATAGAATGTTGAGGCACTGGGGTCCATGGGAATGGGGCATTTGGAGGGTGGACTCTACTGAAGGCCTAGTTTCTACCTCCACCTGTTTGCCTACAGGTGTGTGGCTACTGTGGGGAATATTGTAAAAGAGTTCCAGGTGGAAGAGTCTAACTAGCCCCGAGGCCTCCTGAGATCTGAAACCCCAGTTTTATCTCCCCTCATCCCCAGTGAACAGCTGACCAGAGAGCCACCATAGCCAGCTTGTTCATGCCCACCCTTCTGTCTGCCCTCAGGTCCACAGAGTAAGGCCCAGCGATGCCAGCCAAACGAGCATAACTGCCTGGGTACTGAGCTGTGTGTTCCCATGTCCCGCCTCTGCAATGGGGTCCAGGACTGCATGGACGGCTCAGATGAGGGGCCCCACTGCCGAGGTAAGGACTTTTCCACTCTCTACTCTCCCGTCTGGATGCAGCATATTATCAGCCCACCTTCCGAGGACTGTCCTGGCACCTTCAGTGGGGATGAGGCCTTGTCCTGGTCCCCTGCCTAGATTTACCTTCAGAGAGCAGATGAAATTGATGTGCCCCTTGGGCCTGGAGCTTGGTCAGACAGCCCTGTGGGCCTCAGCCGTGGGCTGTAGCCTGGGCACTTCCCTCTGGCTATGTGTTCTTGGACTAGTCACTACCTCTCTCCAGGTGGCAGTTTTTCTTCTGTAAGATGAGAGATCAGTGTTTTCATACTTTTTTAAAAATAGTATGATCCTTTCTTCAAAAGGTTTTCTGCATGAAACCTGAGTGTGAACACAGGGAGGAGCAGAGGTGCTGTGACTAAAGCTTAGCCATCTAGTTTAGTCCACCTGCCGCCCCTACGGGTGCCCTAGAAGGCATCCCCCAGGAGCTGCAGATCTTTGAGGGGCCCTAAATCTGCCTTGGTCCCTCCCTCTCTGACAGTCTAGACTGTCTGAGGTGGTTGATAGGAAAGCCATCCAGGCCGAGGTGGGAACATTAGGATGACAAGTCAGACTGCTTCCAGCCTGTGGCTCAGGTCACCAGCTCTACAGTCTTTCCCCCAAAGGGCCCTGTGGGCCATGGAGAGTCCGGTCACAGCGTGAGCATTTAAGAGTCGTGTCCGGGGAGGCAGAGCCTCAAGCCTGCGTGTTAGGGAATAGTGGCTTCTCCCTTCTCTTTTCTTCGGGGTCTGGGCCCGGAGCAAGAGGCCAGCTTTGAGAGGCCATGAGCGTAGCCCTAGGGGAGGGGCTGTGCTTGGGTGTGGGGGCAGTGTCCTGTGCTGTGTGCCTGAGAAAACATCTGTCTGTGGGAGGAGACTCATCTGGATCCTGTTCACTAGGAGCAGGGAGGATGGAGCAAAGGAGTTTGTGGAAGATTTTTCTCCCTTTCTTTGGTTGATTTTGCATGTTTTCATCTGAAGCTCCTGGGACGGGATGCAGAATGCGGGCCTGGGGGCTGACTTAAATGACCACGCGCACCCCTTCCTCTCGTGTGGTGTGTGTTCAAGCTTACTTCCTTTTGAGTACCTTTACAGTCTCTAAAACAACAGAGAACTTCAAAAACCTCAGGTCTGAATTTCCTTCTCTGATATTACAGAAATCGGCCTCCTCATTCCCTCACCCTATATCCAGAAAAGTTACTCTTTTCTAGGTTTTCCAGAGCAAATGATATTTTCCCCCTCTGTGGAGAAAGGCTGGGCAGGCAGCATGAATGGCTCTCGGGTGGAAGTGGGGAGGAGAAAGAATCGCTGGGGCCTGGCCCCCCATCCCAACTCTTCCTGGCAGGCTTAGTGCCTCTAAACGTCTTAGCATCTTGGGCGGCTCTCTCTCCTAGGTGGGGGTGGAGTGGGAAGCCAGGGTGTGAGGCCGCTGGACAAAGGGGTCTTTGTGGCCAGGCTGCCTGGCCCCACGCAAGGCCATTAACTGGGTCGCTGGTCTGGGGGGGCAACTGCTCTCCCACCTCTCCCCCCTCCTGTCTCATTCCCTTCTGTCTCCCCTGTGGAAGTGGGTCAGTGGCAGGAGAAAGATTAGAAAAGAATCCAGAGGGGACCAGTTTTGCTCCTCCTTCCTGTCCTCTACCTGGGCCTTAGGCCTTCTCTCTGAGGCCTCTAGGGCTCCGGGGATGGGTTAGACAGGTGCTTCCAGGCCAGAGCTGGGATCCTGTGGGGACAGACACGATTCCATGCCCACTTTTCAGCCCCAGCTGAAGCCAACATTGTAATCCCCAGGCAGTGTAGATGAGAGGCATATCAAAGGGATAAGACTCACCATCCCCTCTTCCTGTTGACCCCAACAAAGTGCCAGAACCCCTCTCCATGGGGACAGAGGTAGCCCAGAACATCCAGAACAGAGACATGTGGGTTCTAAGCCATCACTGGCTGTGTGACCTTGGGCTTGTCTTATAGCCTCTCTGGGCTTCAGTTTCTTCACTTGTGAAATATGGTAGATGCTTCCTAAGGCCCTTCTGTCTCTGACACTGCAGCCCTTAGAAGTGGTTTCTGAAGGTTGACTGGGTTTAGGGGAAGGTTGTGGCCTGCGTGGAGCTGCCAGATCTGGCGGCCTGAATATGTGTCTCTCCTGCCCCCACACAGAGCTCCAAGGCAACTGCTCTCGCCTGGGCTGCCAGCACCATTGTGTCCCCACACTCGATGGGCCCACCTGCTACTGCAACAGCAGCTTTCAGCTTCAGGCAGATGGCAAGACCTGCAAAGGTATGTGAGTGCATGTGCCTGTGTGCATGTGTGTGTGCCAGTAGCCAGTTGAGGTGGGCAGGGAGGGGCAGAGAGGGGTAGGGGGCCTGGCTGGAATAAGAAACTAGAAGGAAGGTGCAAGAGAGGGGGTGCCACCACCCCAGGGCATGACTGTGAGCCCTAACCATTTGCTTCCACTAGACTTCTAAAAATTCACCTTAAAATTATAGTTTATATGTAAATTTTTCTGTTGTAAAAAATTAGAGCATTAACAGATAAAACCAAAGTCCCCTTTGACAAATCCCCCTCAATTCCGGTCCCCTTCCCATCTCCCTGGAGTTCAACTCTATTATCAGTTTGCTCTCTCTCTTTCAGGCCCTTTTTTGTGCATTTGTCTCTGGGTATTCACAGAAAATCTAATTGGAAGTACTGCTCAAGAGTACTGCGTGCTCTTTTTTACATAAACAATAGTATACTGTGTATATTATTTTCAATGTTTTTCACTCATCAGTATGTTCCACAATTTTTTTTTCTGTGTTAATATGTAAAGATCTACATCATTCTTTTAGAAACCACTATGACGTATGACTTTTACCACAGTTTACTTGGTCACCTCCCTGTTGATGAGTGAGATGTTCCCAATTTTTCACTGCTACAAGCAATGCAAACTTTTCTGTTTTAAATTTGCCTCCCTCGGGTCTTTGTGCAAATGCCACCTTCTCAGTGAAGCCGTCCCCCGACCCCTCTAAAACTGCATCCCTGCCATCTGCATTCTCTATCCCTGTTCTCTTTTCATTGCACTAGCACCTCTAATGTATACTTTATTTACTTTGTTTCATATGTTATTATAGTAACTATATTTCATTTATTATCTGAATATAAGTTTCATGAGGACAGCAATGTGGGTCTATTTTAAAGTTCACTGATGCACCCCTGGCACCTGACCCATAGTAGGGACTCAATAAATCTTCCCTGCGTGGATGAGTGATATGTACACGAGTGTTTCTCTAGAGTGGATTCCAAGACTGGACTTGCTGGGTGTTAAGGTTTGCACATTTCATGCTGTAATAGATTCTGCCGAACTGTCCTTCAAGGTAGCTGTAAGGATGGACATGTTGATCATGTCTGATGATCACCCACTTCGTTGCCCTTGTCACACTGGAAATGACCACATTCTTGCCCTTTCCTCGGCAGATTTTGATGAGTGCTCAGTGTACGGCACCTGCAGCCAGCTATGCACCAACACAGACGGCTCCTTCATATGTGGCTGTGTTGAAGGATACCTCCTGCAGCCGGATAACCGCTCCTGCAAGGCCAAGAACGGTGGGTGGGGTTGCCTCTGGCCACAGTGCTAACTAAGCCCCCTCAATGCTGTTCCCTGGTGGGTGGTGGCCTGAGAGGTGGTCCTAGAGCCCTGGCTGCACGGACTCTTCTCTTCCCCATTCCCAGAGCCAGTAGACCGGCCCCCTGTGCTGTTGATAGCCAACTCCCAGAACATCTTGGCCACGTACCTGAGTGGGGCCCAGGTGTCTACCATCACACCTACGAGCACGCGGCAGACCACAGCCATGGACTTCAGCTATGCCAACGAGACCGTATGCTGGGTGCATGTTGGGGACAGTGCTGCTCAGACGCAGCTCAAGTGTGCCCGCATGCCTGGCCTAAAGGGCTTCGTGGATGAGCACACCATCAACATCTCCCTCAGTCTGCACCGTGAGTCACCTGCTCTCAGCTTGGAGGGCTGGGGAGGGTAGGGGAGACAGGGAAGGTGGACCCTATCTTGAACAGAGGCCGGGAGTTACACAGGATGGTCCTGTCTGGGGCAGGAGAAGCAGGAGGCTGGATACAATGGTGTGTGTTTGAGGCAGGGG
Organism: Homo sapiens; assembly: GCF_000001405.40. Classification (NCBI taxonomy): domain Eukaryota; kingdom Metazoa; phylum Chordata; class Mammalia; order Primates; family Hominidae; genus Homo; species Homo sapiens. The sequence continues at coordinate 57,145,649 of NC_000012.12, forward strand.
CAGAGCCACCGGCACGCTCCCTCCCAGCTCTCTGAGCAAGTGTCTGGATGGCCCCTGCATTTCTGGCCAAGGGCTGAGGGGGCAGTGAATGGTCAATCTCCAGAGACCAGGGACTGTCCCTTCTCTGAGAGGGGAGTGTTGACTAGACTGCAGAGGGACTTTCCGGTGCAGTGGGAGCCAAGGCTAGGGAAAGAAGGAGCGGAAGCCTGAGGTGCCCTGTTAGGCTGCAGCTGAGGGTAAAGGAGCTGGGGCCCAGCTGCTCTGTCTCCATGGGCCATCGTTTCCCTCGGGGACCATTGCCAATGGACTCTCTGCTGCCATCGGGGGAGGGCAGTACTGAGGTTATTTCTCTGTGGCTTTGTGGCAGTGAATGAGGCTGGGAGAGGAGCGTGAGCCACATGAGATTTTAGAATATCCTGGATGCTTCCATTCAGGCTTCTCCCTAGGCTACACTTTTGCTATCCTAGTTGTGGAAGAAGGGGTGTCACAGAAAGGGGCACGAGCATAGCTGGGTGTAGACCCACTGCCGGGAACAGCCCTGCCCATCTCAGAGGCTGTTACACCAGCAACCTTAAAAGTCAACATCTGGCAGCATCACATTTCCAAAGAAATGCACCACAGGGCTGAGAGGAAGAATCTGGCCTGTGGTTGATCTGACCCCCTAAGGGAGATTAACTTGATCTGTAACTGTTTAGTAAACCAGAATTCCCATCTCTGCCTTGGTTTCCTAATCTGCATAATGGGTTTGAGCTTGTCTGTCTAGATCAGATTAACTGGAGTGAAAGCCAGTGGTAAAGGACAGCACACTTTGAAGTTGAGGATTGTGAACCTTGGGCCTCTCTAGAAGATCTTCAAGTTTCTTTATTTGGTTCTTGTGATGAAAAGAAAGATCCCAGGAGGTTACAAGGGATTCATTCTGGGAGAGAGAAAGGCCCCTCCCCGGGATGGTGGCGAGCAGGGGTTCCTCTGAGAGCCCTCACTCTCCGTGGCCTCAGCGTAAGGTTCACATTTCTGCCTTTGGCTCCTCCAGAGCATCCCTGATAGCGTCCTTGGGCTGCTGCTGTCCACAGCTCACCTGTGATCAGACATGTGTCCTCCTTGGGGTGCTGAGCTGGGGGCTGTCAAGCCTGGTTGGCTGAGCTCTTAACGAGTGGGCGACTCAGGGAACCCCATGGCTGATGGGGTGGGATTGGTGCTAGACCCTCTTGTGCAGCTGCCCTCCCCCTGTTCCTTGTCCACTGACCTACTCAACAGGCCTGTCTGGGCAGACAGCTTGTCAGTTTCCTCCCCAGCCCTGCATCTTGCCATACAGTGGGCTTCTGGGTAGGTGGCTATGGGGTGTCCTGGAGGTAACCTTCTCAACTTCTACTCTGGCCTCATCTCCTTATCTGACTTCCTCCCCAGGAGAAGCTGGTACCCCTCCCTTGGCAAACAGATTTGCCTTGCCTCCCAGTCTGCTAAACTCACTGGGCCTCTCAGGGGCAGAGTCCAGGAGGCTAGAAGAGTCCAAGGGGAAATGCTTGTGGGGTAAATGAGTGGGTTTCTCTCATCCCAGCTTCTGTCCCTTCCTCCCTGCCCTCCCCCTGCTCCACGTCCCTGCCGCCTGAATGTCTGGCTGTCACCCTGAGGATGGTTGTTTTGCTCTCTCCCACAAACTAATTATGGGTCCCAAACTGAGGACGTCAGTGTCTCTCCCCTAGCCCCTCCCCCAGTTTCTGGGTCATCCCCCTCCCCAGGAGATGCTGACTGGCCTGCCCTGGTGTGTAGGGTGGCTGGTCCCAGGCACTCACCTGCACAGTGGCTGCTGGCCTGTAATTAGCTCCCCAAGGAGGACGAAGAAGAAAGGCTGCAGCTTTCCCCTGCTTTCACTCTGCCCTCCAGGGCAGCCCTCCCTGCAAGCCTTCCATTCTGTGCTGTGACTGTGACCTCTGTTGGACCCCTGGGGCTGAGCCTCATGCAGCAGGGGTGCACACAGAGGGAGGAGTCTGACAATTGAGGGGTGTTCGAGCCAGCGAGGCCAGCCCGCTGGTGCAGGCAGAAGGGGGAGCCTGCCCCAGAGAAAACTCTGGAAGCAGAAATAGAATAGAAAGAAGGAAGGAGGCCAGGAAATGAGCCTGGTTCACATGTGTCCTGGGCCATGTGAGTCAGACCTGTTGTGGAGTCCTGAGAGCCCCCGAGGGCCCCCCTGAGGCCCTGCAGTGTGTGAACATTCCTCTTCAATGCCCCAGGGCTGCTGACCCTCCTGCCTCAGGCCCAGTGTTATCCCCCTGGATTGGGTGGGTCATCTCTTTTCCTCCCACCTGAGATTACCTCCCCCTCCCCTCTGCCGCTGGCCCAGTGGTTTGGGGAGGTCTATGAGGCTCGAATTCCAAGACCAGAGAACTCCATGGTGAGAGCCGGAAGAGAAGGCAAGACCCTTGGCCAGTACCAAGAGCAGCCCTGGCTTTCACTACTGCTTTCTCAAAGGGGCTATGCATTGATTTGATTTTAGATGGTACCTGGACAAGCTTTTTTTTTTTTTTTTTAACTGTTATAGTTACGTTTTTATTTGATATGCATTAGGAAACTCCTGTAACTAGCACATCAAATCTGTTACTTCAGCAATTGTTTAGCATGCAGCGAAATAAGAAAAGTAAGTTAATTGAAATAACTGGTAATAAACAGTAGCGCAAGCTGTACATAAGCATGGTAGACATTTTGAAAGTGATACACAAAAGACTAAAGTTCTGAAAATTGAGGCCCAGAGGGATCAACAGGCCTGATAGTCCCTTAGTCAGGAACCAGGCCTGCGCACTCTCACCCCCACCTCTGACCAGTCTCTCAGCTCCAGAGGCCTATGGAGCCTGTAACCCAGCTTTGTCCAGCCTCCTGCCAGGCTGCCCCTGGGCAGGCCTGGTGGTGCAGTCTACCGACCCCAGCCCAGCCCTGCATTTCCTAAGCTGAGCTCCTCTGATCTGTATTCCCTTCACCTTGGAGGATGCCACCACTGTAGAAAGAATGAGGCAGACTGCAAGATTGGGGTCCTGGGAACATGGGTGTGTATGGTGAGGGGAGGTTCTGAGGTTGTAAATAGAGGCCTTGAAGGAAATCGGGTTTGCTGAAGTCACTCAGGAGTTTGGACTGTGTGTGAAAGGATGGTCTGAAGGGGCTCTCAGAGGTCTCAGGGTTCCCCTCCCTGCACCATGCTGCATGGGGAAGAAGGAGGTGGCTGGGGAGCTCAGCAAAGGGCCCCTAGGCTGCAGGCAGCAAGGTTGCGAAATGGGTCCCAGGTCCAGCTGGCCAACTTCACTTTTCCCTTCCTCTCCCTTTCTTTTATTTATTTATTTTTTTAGTGTGTGTGTTTTCGAAATCACAACAGGAAATGGGGTAGTGATTTGTCTAGAGGGGAGGCAAAGAAGGGGCAGACAGCAGTCCCTCTGAGTCTAATGAACTGGCTGCTGCTGCTGGAAGGGGTGCTACCTCCCCACTGTGCTGGGCACCCCTGGACCCTCTCAGCCTCCCACCCTGCCTACAAAGCACTTCCAGACTTCACATGTGAAAGCTAACCATGCCCATCCTTGGCCTTTCTGACCCATGGGATGCCAGGCTGTTTGGGGAGGGGTGGCTCTAGCCACCCCACTCTTTGGCCTTAGGCCCCCTGCATCCTGGCACTTTTGCTTCCCATTCCTGTTCTGAGTTTCCTAATCATTTAACAGCTCACTCTTGCTCCTCCTCTCTCCTGGCCCGGGCCAGCCCTGTGTCTCCCGGCCCAGATCCAGCCCTGTCCTCTCCTCCCCCGCTGTCTCCTTGAAATTGCCTCTCCACCCAGACTGCTCCCAGCACTCCCCTTGCTGTTTTCAAGCCAAAGGAAGTAACTTAAGCAAGAGAGATGTGTTTTAGAGCCCGGCAAGGATTTCTCAATAGAGGGAAGACCCTAAGATGGGCTGAGTGGAATCCAGGCATCATCCCTGGGATCTAGGTCGAAATGCCTCTTGGGGACCTAAGCCAGGCAGGGGAAGGTAGCAGGACATAACCACAGGCTGGAATCACAGGCAGGAGCAGGAAGAGAGCCCAGGAGAACGAGGTGACACAACACGGCTAAGCTCCAGACTGGCTGGTGGAAGGAAGAGCTGAAGTCGGGACCCAGCAGGAAACAAGGAGCATGAGGCCACATCGTTTAGCAGAGCTTCTGCCAGGCTCGCCAGGAGGTCTCCTTCCCACCTTCGAAGTCCTCAGACTCTCCGCCATCTCTCCCAGGCCCAGGCGAGATCCCTGAGTAGGATTACTAGACAGACTGTCCTCTCCCACTGTCTTGGAGTGTCCCAAGGCCAGAGAGGCAGGATCCTGGCAGTAGAAGAGAGGGGGAAAATGATGTCCCAGCTCTAGAACAACAGACTCAGTCTTCAATAAATATTTGTTCAATGGATCAATACATGTGTGTCAGACGCCTGAGACAAAGACAAAAGGCAGCGCTCTCCTTACAGTATTTGCAGTCAGGTGAAGAGGCCATGATCAAAGAAGCTCCAGAGGCCTATGGAGCCTGTAACAGGAAAACTTCCTTCTTTTTTTTTTTTTTTTTTTTGAGATGGAGTCTCACTCTGTCGCCCAGGCTGGAGTGCAGTGATGCAATCTTGGCTCACTGCAAGCTCTGCCTCCCGGGTTCACGCCATTCTTCTGCCTCAGGCTCCCGAGTAGCTAGGACTACAGGTGCCCGCCACCACGCCTGGCTAATTTTTTGTGTTTTTAGTAGAGACAGAGTTTTACCATGTTAGCCAGGATGGTCTCGATCTCCTGGCCTCATGATCCACCTGCTTCAGCCTCCCAGAGTGCTGGGATTACAGGCGTGAGCCACTGAGCCTGGCCTTGAAAACTTCCTTCTAATAGGGCAAGCTTCCTTCTGGGAGCCTGAGCCGAGTCTTGACGAGTAGTAGGTGTTAGCCCCAAATGGCCCACCTGGAGGGCCCACCTAGAGTCAGGAGGCCACAGGGCTCTGGCTGGAGGCACAGAGGGCGACTTGGTGGAAAAGGTGGGAAAGGATGGGTTCAGGGAGGGGAGGACATGGTGGGAACCGCAGCCCCCATGTGGGGAGTGTTTATCATGCACCAGGCCTCATGCTAAGTGCAGTTAGTGTACCATCCAGTTTTACAAATGAGGAAACAGAGACTCAGAGGCATTAAGTAACTTGCTCATAGCCTCAGTTGGAAGGTGACAGAACCAGAATTCAAACTCAGGCTGTCAGTGTCTAGGGCCCAGTTGGACCCAGGGCAGAGCAGAATGATATGAGGAGAGGTGGGGAGGTTCCTGGAACAAGGGCCAGAATCTAGTGTGCTCCCTGGGGATGTGGATAGAGGTCCAGGGACCTCTTTGGATGTGTATACACTCTTGGGTGTGTAGATGTGTTGGGTGACATTTTCTCAGGACATAAAGGCTTCTTCCTTCCTTCCGATTTCCTTATTTTAGAGCAGGTGACTAGAATCCTGCAGCTGAAGCTAGAGTCTTTTTGGGCATGGGGTGGGTCCCATGTGTTTGGGAAAGCAGCCACCATGTATGGAAATGCCTCTTGAACAATGGGAATGATGGAGAAGTTGAGAAAAGCTGGAGTTGTAGTGAGTGCAGATGCTGAGCAGTGGGATGGGGTGCCAGGACACCAGGTCTATTCTGGGGCCTGGAACTGAAAGTCCTCTGTGCCATAATGGGCAGCTGTGGTCTCTCGTCTGACTCCTGCACCTCTTCCCTGCTTCCTAGCCTCCCTCTTCATGCTGGAATCCCCTGCCCCTCTGCCCCTAGACCACCCCCAACTCCTTCCACAACACAGCCTCCCTCTCTCCCCTTTGGTTTATTTGAGATTCTCCTGTCCTCAGGATTTTCGGCCTTTGGCCAGAGCCTCTTCAGAAGGTGCGCTCAGGTGGTTGGCCCTTAGAAGGCTGGGCGACAAGGGGACGGCTCCCCTCAGGGTTGGTGGAGCCAGAATGCTCAGGATCTCTGGGCTGAAGCCCAGGACTCCACCTGGACCCCAATTCATAAGACAGAGAGGGGTGGCCCAGATACTGCCTATAGGGCAGCCCTGGAGGCAAGGTTCCTCCTCTCCCTTTGAGCCCATCTCTCTACACTGGCCTTGGAGTGGTGGCCAAGTGTATGTGTGTGTGTGTGATTGTGCGTGCATTTGTGTGTGCATACGTGCGTATGTGCGTGTGTGTGTGGTGGGGCAGGCAGAGGAATCTGAACTTTAGGAGAGAGAAAAATAATGTGGTGCAGGGGGTTGGATAACAAAGGATTTTTGCTTGCAACTAATAGTCTCCAGCTGCAAAAATACCAAAGGGGAGGCCAGGCAGGCCGAGGACTCCAGTTCTTGCCAACTCCTCACCGGCCTGCTGAGTGGGGCCCTGCCTGGCCTTTGGGGAGGTGGAAGGGAGACCGGCCAAGGGTAAATATCTGAGAGCAGGGATGATCTCTCTGCCTTCCTTCCCGGAATTGGGAGGGAATCCAGGCCACATCCTGAGGCTGGGGGGGCTGATTGTGGAGCTGCACCTGGGATAGCGGCATCAGATCTCTGCAGGTTTCTTCCTTCTCTCTCTTGCCAAGAGAAGGGTGGATAGGGGGAGCAGGGGCAGGGTATTGCCAGCCCTAGGGCTGGGCAGTGACTCAGGGAAGCCTCAGGAAGTCGGAGAGAAGGCCGGCCGTAGCTGCGCCAGCTGGTGCTGGGAAAACAGCTTTCACTGATGAAGTTCATACACATGCCAGCAGCCCCCAGACCCCTGCCGTGCCCACCAAGTAAAGGGCACGCAGCCCTGTTTGACTTCCAGCCACCCTGCTGGCTGCCAGGGGATGCAGGCAGGTCCCTGCTTTGAGACTTCGATTTCCTTTGGAGGCAGCCCAGCAGCATTCATTTGAATCTGTTTTCTCTGTGGTTACAGCGTGTGGGGCAAAGAATTTGGTTGCCTTACCCCTGCACTAGGCCCTCTTCCTACAGGGCCTTGGCCTCCTCAAGCTACTCTTCCCCCTCTCTCCAATCTTGTGAGGATGGGACAGTACTGGGGGCCCAGAGGAAAGAGTGGCTGGGCTTGGGGATGCATGAATACTTACGGGGGTAATACCTCGTCTCTGTGGCCTTGTTCTCCAGGCATTGGGATGGGATTTAGCAGAGAGGACCTGAAGAAGAAACTAGTTTGATGAAGCCCTCAGTTGGCTCCTTCCCTTCCTGTCCTGTGACTCTGAGTCAGTGTCAGGGCCCAGCCAAGTTCCTTGAGAGCGGCGTTCCTGTTCTTTTTGCCCCCACCCCACCCTCACCCACTGTTAGGGAGCAGCCCCTGAATCCCTGTGGGGAGGAGGGGGAATTAGGGAGGGGTCAAGCAGAACAGCAAGTCATTATACCTGTAGCTGTGTGGGGGCAGAAGAATCCCTACTGGGTTGAGTATGGGTAATGGAGGATGAGTTTCAGCCCAAAGCAGGTAGCCCAAAGATTTCTTTACTTGTTGGGGAAACTGTTGGAGATGGAGTTCCAGGCAGGGGTCCCAGAAAGTCACTGCCTTAGGAGTTTCCCAGTTTGCAAGAGGCACCATCTCTGATGGTGGTAGTTGAAGGGGGTAGTGAGTAGATGGAAGGAAGCCAGTGGTCCTGGAGAGGAGGAGCCCAGAGGAGGCCAGCATGTGTCCCTGTCCCCAGACTTCCTGCCTCCTTGACTTCCGGCCACCCTTGCCCTGCCTCTCTTTCCTTTGGCTCTTCTTGGCTTCTTCCATCTCCTCCAGAACCATGCCTGAAACTGAGTCTAGGCAGCTGGGCTCCATCTCCTTCCCCCACTCCCATCATCCTTAAGCCCCATCTCTTTCTGAGCCATGCCTCAGTTTGCCCTGAGGATTCTTTCATGGCCCTCCTCCTAGACTCTCTCTCCTCCAGCCCTATGACTTATTCCCCACCTCTTCTGACCCTCCCCAGGACATGAGGACATTGAGCAATAAGGACATTGCAGGAACAGGGGACTGGGGCTGAGTAGAGGAAGTTTGGCCCATGTCACTGGTGCCCAACCTTTTGCCCCCATGGATCTTCCCTTTGGCATCTCTGTAGAGTTCATATTTTGAAATACTTTTCTCCCAAACTGGGTTTATTAGCGTGTACCCTGCTTTTCCACTTTAAAAATTTATGCCATATGTCCAGCTTCCAGTCAGTGCTTCTGGTTAGCATGAGATAACTAGATTTACTGTAGATGGTAGATAAAAGTCCAGTGAAAAGCAAAGATGTGTAATGTTTTGGTAGCCTCAGTGCTCTTATCCCAAGTAAAAGCAAAGTTAAAAAAAAAAAAAAACTGGACTGAGCTAGTGGACCTGTGCTCTCTACCTTTTGGTGCCCCAAGAAGATGGTCCCTTTTCAAGGATGGGCTAGAATTGGGAAGTCTGTCAGTCAACCAGCCAGCCAGCATTTACGCAAGCCCTCCTGTATATCCACTCTGAGCTAAGCATGGGGGTGTTGGGTGGGAGGGCGTCCAGAGAAGGTGGGCTTCCAGGTGTGGGTTCTCACCAGCAAAGGGTGGGCATCTCTGCAAGAGGGCCTACCCCACCCCATGGCTCTTTCATTCGTACTCTCCAGACGTGGAACAGATGGCCATCGACTGGCTGACAGGCAACTTCTACTTTGTGGATGACATCGATGATAGGATCTTTGTCTGCAACAGAAATGGGGACACATGTGTCACATTGCTAGACCTGGAACTCTACAACCCCAAGGGCATTGCCCTGGACCCTGCCATGGGGTGAGAGTGGCAGGCGGGGTTCTGGCCCTGGAAGGTGGGAGGCTGAGGCTACAGTGGTAAGGAGGGTGCCCAATGTCCAGACCCCATTTAACATGCATCTTCCCACAGGAAGGTGTTTTTCACTGACTATGGGCAGATCCCAAAGGTGGAACGCTGTGACATGGATGGGCAGAACCGCACCAAGCTCGTCGACAGCAAGATTGTGTTTCCTCATGGCATCACGCTGGACCTGGTCAGCCGCCTTGTCTACTGGGCAGATGCCTATCTGGACTATATTGAAGTGGTGGACTATGAGGGCAAGGGCCGCCAGACCATCATCCAGGGCATCCTGGTGAGGGAGCTACTGTCTGAGGTTTTGTGGGGGAACCATGATCCAGGGCCTTCTGGTGAGGGGGGAAGCCTCTGTAGGGGAACCGTTCTCTGAGTCTCCTGGTAAAGAGCGTGGATGCCCCAGGCCTCTAGTGGGAGTGGGGTGGGCTTGAATACTGCAGAGAAAGGACAAGATACGGGTTCCACTGTGATGGGAACAGTCATTTTAGAAACACCACTTCTGTTTACTTCCTGTTTCTCATTTGACCCTTATAATAACCCCTAGCTGATGAACAGGGAGGTGGTTCAGTTCCCTTTCAGCAGATGAAAAAGCAGGATCAAAGAGGTTAGGTGATTTGCCTGTGTTTACAAAGCCGGGTGATAGCACTGGAACTTGTTCTAGAAGCCTTGCTGGCTCAGAGGTGGCATCTCCATTGTGGGATAATTAGTGTGAGCAACCAGCCCAGTTTGCCTAGGACTGTCCCAGTTTTAGCCCTGAAAGTCTGGTAAGCCAGCAAACCCTTACCTTTGTCTTAGGCAAACTAGGACAGTTGGCCACCGCAGATAAGCTATGTGGGTAGTCAGGGGTGTTACAGGACTTGCTTGGGGCAAGTGTGTCCTCTTAGCCCTCATAACAGACTAAGAATGTCCTCTGTGGACAGAGTTTAGAGCCCATCTCTAATTCAGTCTAAAATCACTAAAGTGTCTAACGAGTGCCTAATTCTGTGAAGGACAGGGTTTCTGCCCTCAAGGGGTCTGAGTAGAGTGGGTGAGATAAGTCCACAAATCACTGTGCCAGACACGGATAGATAGCAGTGTCACGGAGGATGTATAGAAGGAGAAAACATCTCTGGTTAGAAGATTCCATAAATTCTTTAAAGACATGCTCTGTAGAGGATGAGTGGGATCTTGGTAAGCAAAAATCTTCAGAATAGGTTAGTCCAGCCAGAGGAGACAGGAGTAAAGCATTGAGTTAAAAAATGGTGGGGCCAGGCACGGTAGCCCACACCTGTAATCCCAGCACTTTGGGAGGCTGAGGCAGGAGAAGTGCTTGAGCCTCGGAGGTCGAGACCAGCCTGAGCAACATAGGGAAACCCCATCTCTACACAAAATTTGTTTTAATTAGCCAGGTGTGGTGGTATGTTCCTGTAGTCCCAACTACTCAGGAGGCTGAAGCAGGAGGGCCGCTTAAGCCCAGGAGGTGGAGACTGCAGTGAGCCGTGATCGTGCCATTGCACTTCAGCCTGGGTGACAGAGTGAGGTCCCGTCTCAAAATAAATAAATAAAAATTAAAAACTACAGGATGAATTGGGGAATGCAGGTCATGAAGTCTGGAGGAAGCTGAGGGGATCTCCAGGACAGAGGGAGGAACCCCTGTCATCTCATGCTGTCCATTCTTGCCTGCCCGTCTCAGATTGAGCACCTGTACGGCCTGACTGTGTTTGAGAATTATCTCTATGCCACCAACTCGGACAATGCCAATGCCCAGCAGAAGACGAGTGTGATCCGTGTGAACCGCTTTAACAGCACCGAGTACCAGGTTGTCACCCGGGTGGACAAGGGTGGTGCCCTCCACATCTACCACCAGAGGCGTCAGCCCCGAGGTGAGCAGGGCTCCATGGCCCCTCCAAAGCTGGCTTTACCCCATGATGGCTCTGGGACCTTGGGATCACAGCCCCTCTCTGGGCCCTCCTGTGGGGACCCTGGCTTCTTTCATGTCATGACCGATTCTCCTAGCCAGCCACTCGGGCTACCTGCCCTGGCCCCTCAGCTTCCCCTGCCAGCCCCCATCCACCCACTCAGCCTCCAGATCCCACTCTGTCCCTCCCATTCCCCTTGCCAGTCTGGAGCAGTAGCACCTGGCCATGGGCAACCCTGGAACTCTCTTCCCTGACTACTGAAGCCCCCACTCCAAGAGTTTGAAGGCTGGGTTGTTGGGGGGCAGAGGGTTTCCACCCCTGTGGCTTCCAAATCCTAAAATGGGATAGCAAGCACAAAGACCACAGCAGCAGGGGGTGTGGTCAGATTCAGGAAGCCTTCTCAAGGCCTGGCACAGGGGCTCTGAGGGGTCCTAACAGCTCTTCACCCTGCCCCCAGTGAGGAGCCATGCCTGTGAAAACGACCAGTATGGGAAGCCGGGTGGCTGCTCTGACATCTGCCTGCTGGCCAACAGCCACAAGGCGCGGACCTGCCGCTGCCGTTCCGGCTTCAGCCTGGGCAGTGACGGGAAGTCATGCAAGAGTGAGTGACAGGGAAGGGGGTGTGTGCCCATTGGGAGGCTGCGGGAGGGTTCCTCAGGTGTCCCCCACAGCCCGGCTGCCTCTGTCTGACATGCAGGGAGATGAAGGAAGTGTCCCAGAGTGTACCTGCTAGTGAGGGCAGAGATGGGACTTGAATCCATATTCGAAAAAAGTGCTTTTCTCACTCACCCACCGGACTCTGCAGAAAACTAAACTGATTCATTCAGCAAGTGTCTAGTGAGCAGTGAGCACTCACTACATGTTTGGCACTGTTCTGGTCATCAGGATTAAGCAGCGAACGAGATAGATGTTGTCCCTGGCCTCATGGAGCTTATAGTCTAGTTGGGGAAACAAATAAATGTAACTTTAGGTGGTAATAAGTGGTTATGAAGAAAATAAAACAGAGAATAGTCAGGCGTGGTGGCTTATGCCTGTAATCTCAGCACTTTGGGAGGCCGAGGCAGGCAGATCACTTGAGGTGAGGCGTTCCACACCAGGCTGGCCAACATGGTGAAACCCCGTCTCTACTGAAAATACAAAAATTAGCTGGGTGTGATGGTGCGTGCCTATAATCCCAGCTATTGGGGAGGCTGAGACAGGAGAATCACTTGAACCTGGGAGGTGGAGGTTGCAGTGAGCTGAGATGGCGCTACCACACTCCAGCCTGGATGACAGAGCGAGACTTCATCTCAAAAAATTAAAAATAAATGAATAAATAAAGCAGAGAATAGAGTTAATGAGGAGAGCAAGGGCCTCTCTGAGGATGTGGTGTTTGAGCCAAGCTCTCTGTGAAATGAAGAGGGCAACCATGTAACTCCCTGAGGGAGGAGCATGTCCGGCAGAGGAAATCAACAGTGCAAAGGCCCTGAGGCCAGTGTGAGTGTGGCAAGCCAGAGGAACAGCACGAAGGCCAGCGGGGCTGAGTGGTGTGAGGGCAGAGAAGGAGGCAGGGGTTGGATTTTATTATATCTGGGATAGGAAGCTCATAGTGACTTTTGAGAATGGAAGTGACATGATTGGATTCACATTTGTATAAAAGTCACGCTGCTACTGGGTGGGGGATGGGCAGTAGGGAAGTAGCCAGAAGACTTTCAGTGTAGTGGGCAAGAAGTGATGTGGTTTACACTAGGATGGCAGCAGAGGAAGTGGTAAACAGTGATGTGACTCCAACATATTTTGAAGGTACTCCTTTTATACCACTGATTTCATGACTGATCAGTGGGCACTTAGCTGAAAACCTGCTATTCTTCCCTCATTTCCTACCCTTGGAGTGCAGAGGTCAGACCCCAGGGTATTGCGGCCAGGACCCATCGTCCTGTATGTTAGCGTGTGCGTGGTCTGTCCATCTGACCCAGAGCCTCGCATCCCTAACGTCTCCTGACCCATCACAGCTAGGGCATTGCAGCCCCTTGGCCGCAGCCCCTGGGTGGGGATGATGGTCATGTGTGTGTCTGACTGTACCCTGGCTTGTGCCTGCTCTAGAGCCGGAGCATGAGCTGTTCCTCGTGTATGGCAAGGGCCGGCCAGGCATCATCCGGGGCATGGATATGGGGGCCAAGGTCCCGGATGAGCACATGATCCCCATTGAAAACCTCATGAACCCCCGAGCCCTGGACTTCCACGCTGAGACCGGCTTCATCTACTTTGCCGACACCACCAGCTACCTCATTGGCCGCCAGAAGATTGATGGCACTGAGCGGGAGACCATCCTGAAGGACGGTATGGGCTCCTAGGGATGTGGCCCATGGGGATGGAAGGGGGCTGGGGCCCAGGCATCTGTTTCTCGGTGCCCTCTCAGCAGGATGGTCCCCTGCTGACTGGCTGGCTGCACTGGTTGGCATGGAGATGAGGGGATAGACAGATTGACCCCTGTGTGACCCCCTTCTTGGCTGAGCCAAAGAGGCAGGGTTAGGATGGGTTAGGCAGCATGGGCCGTCCTTGCCAGCCCTTGGGAAAACTCAGGGTCTGTCTGCATTGGCTTAGAGCCCTGGAGCTGCACACAGCACACAGCCAGGGGACAACTGAGGTCTTGAATTGGAGACAGGCCTGCCAGATCAAAACAGGGCACACCCACATGTATGTGCGCACACAGGGTCTGTGCAGCTGACCTTGCAGTCGCCAAAAACTGCATGCTAATGTGTCCTGAGAAAATTGTGTTTTGTGAGTTGCATCCAGGTCTTCCCTCTGAGCTGCTTGGGCAGGTTCACAGTGCATTGTCTTTTTAATGTCTATGTGAAGGATTCTGAGCTGTACGAGTTCTGCCCCAAATCTGCACTTGGGCCTCAGGATCAGGCCGCCTCCCCATCAATCTGGTGGATGCCAGTTATAACCTTTGCCCTGCACCCCATCCACACTGTAGTTCAGAGAAAATCAACAGTCAGCAATCATATCACAAGACTTTGGGGAAATCAAAAGTAACTCATCAGGAAAAGATTAGGGGTCCCTATACCAAGGGAACTGCTATTTAAAGGACACTTGGAGTGAAGGCTTTGGCTAAGTGAAAAATCACTTCCTAATTTATTCATTTTGTTAGTTCAGGATTTTTAGGCCTAGGATATGATGTCACACTTGTGCCCAGAGCCACATGCCCGTTGTTTCAGCTCTCCATGCAGGCACGGGCCAGATGCCCTCACACGAGAGCCCACATCAGCCATGTAGTTTACCATCTGCCACGTGTGGTTTTGAGAGGCTAGCCCTGATACAAATGGCAGCACACAGGGCTTTCCCCTATTCCTTTTCCAGCCTCCTGTCCCTACCCCCACCCATCTGTCTAGGGCCCCAGAGGGTCCCTGCACCCCTCTGTAGCCCAGACTGCTCAAAGGTACCTGAGTCCGGGAGGGCCAGAGGCAGGCAGCTTTGAACTTCCTTTGAAGCTGTTCATCACTGGTCCCTCTTCCCCCAACAGGCATCCACAATGTGGAGGGTGTGGCCGTGGACTGGATGGGAGACAATCTGTACTGGACGGACGATGGGCCCAAAAAGACAATCAGCGTGGCCAGGCTGGAGAAAGCTGCTCAGACCCGCAAGACTTTAATCGAGGGCAAAATGACACACCCCAGGGCTATTGTGGTGGATCCACTCAATGGGTGAGTCCTCCCAGGCCTTGGGGTGGGAGGAGCTGGGAGTGTGTGGGCCTCAGATAACTGGAGGATGAAATGGACAGGGAAGCAGGGGAAGGCAGGTGAGGCGGGATACTTTAGCAGGAATGAGAGTCTGCAAGGGGAGAAGGAGTCCCTGTCTTCAGGGAAATGGGAGTGATTCCTTAAACATAGAAGAAATCTGATCCTGTCACTCCCAGTTCAGGGCCTTCCACCAGCTCCCCTTACCCTGAGAATGAGGCCCACGTTCTTGTCAGGCCTGCACAGCCCCACAGTGTCTGCCTGGCCCTTGTCTGACCTCATCTGCATCCCGCTTCCCACACTTGAAGTTCTGTCCCCACTGCCTGCTGTCTGTTTCTCAAACAAGCACCCCGGCTCCTCCTGCCTCAGGGCTTTTGCTCTTGGAGTTCCTCAGCCTGGAACTCCCAGATATTTGCCGGACTGGCTTCTTCTCTACATCAAGTCTCACTCATGCCACCTCCTCATGGTGGCCTTCTCCATCACTCCCCTGACACCCCCACCTGCAGCCCGGTCACTCTCCACCCCATCACCCTGCTTTATTTCCCTCCTGGCCTTTATCGCTCTCCATGTAACCTTGATTGACCTGTTTCTTGTGGGATGGGAGCTCCGTGGGAGCAGGGACCTTGGCTGCCTTGGTCTCCACTGCATCCATGAATGCCAAAACTGTGCCCAACTTACAGGCACTCAACAAATATTTGTTGAATGGAGTGAATGAATGAAATGTGTGGTCCAGTGATGAGCAGGACAGGAGACCCCTGTGAGGAGCTCTGGGACAGCACTCATGGATTGGGATCACAGGGGAGGCTGTTGATGGCGGGGGTGCCCAGGTGATGCTGACCAGTCGCTGCCCACAGGTGGATGTACTGGACAGACTGGGAGGAGGACCCCAAGGACAGTCGGCGTGGGCGGCTGGAGAGGGCGTGGATGGATGGCTCACACCGAGACATCTTTGTCACCTCCAAGACAGTGCTTTGGCCCAATGGGCTAAGCCTGGACATCCCGGCTGGGCGCCTCTACTGGGTGGATGCCTTCTACGACCGCATCGAGACGATACTGCTCAATGGCACAGACCGGAAGGTGGGCAGGCATGTGCCTGTGTGGGGGAATCTGTGTGTGTTGCTAGACCATGCTTGGGCGTGGATGAGGTTCTGTGTGAGTATGTGGGTATCTGTGTGTGTCCAGGCCTGTGTGCCTCTATAGATGTGTGCATCTATTTTTCTGTGCATCTATAGATGTGTACATCTGTGAGCTTGCATGTCTTATGTATTGTGTTGTTTGTTTGAGGATTGCCTCCATTTGCGTCTCTTTGTGTCTATTCGTGTTGTCTGTGAAGTTGACTGTCCATGTGCCAGTCTCTGCATACACACCATGTGCGCCTCCTCATGTGTGTGCATAGATACACGGCATGCCTTGGTGTGTGTCTGCACTCTCTGCAAGTGTGAGGGCCTAGGGACGGCATATCTCTACACTTGGTCATTTGGGTTGTCATGTGCTTCACGAGTCATGTACGTGTTCTAGTATATAAGGCCCTTCATGATATGGCCCCTGACCCCCTCTCTGGTCTCTTTTCTCCCCACTTCCTTCATCCCAACACTCTTTGAACAAGCAGCACTAGACAGCTTGCTCCTCCCAGCACACGTCACAGAGCATCTGCCCTCTGTGCCATTACTCATGCAGTTCATTCCACATGGAATGTTCACCCCAGCTCCTCTTCCCCTGGCAGACTGCTCAGGGGCTACCTCCCCTAGGATGTCATCTCCAGACCCCTCTTCACACTGGATCACCCGTATGTGCCCTATCTGAGACAGTGGGAAGCTCAAGGGCAGAGATCGTGTCGTTTTCACCTCTTACTACCTACTACAGCTCAGCCCCTAACAGATCCTGGTAAATGTTGAAGAAATGAATGGATGAATACTGCCCGTCTGCTCATTAGTGTGTGTGTGTGCGCGCACGCATATGAGTGTGTGTGTGTGTGTGTGCACGTATGTGTGCGTGTGTGTGTTTGGGGACTATGAATGAATAGGAATGAGCCCAGGAGAGGACCATATGGACAACCTCACCATCAGCATCCTTGCTGGATCACTCGATCACCCGCTGGCTTCAGGATCTACCATCCCACTGTGTGCAAAACTATCACTCTCTGGGGCTCCCAGGCTAATGGGGGAAACAAAGCAAAACCCATGCCCAGGACATAGACAAATGAATGTACAAAACAGTGATCTCACAGGCCTCCCTCAATTTTCTTCCAACTCCTTAGTAACATCCTCTCCATCCCTAGATTGTGTATGAAGGTCCTGAGCTGAACCACGCCTTTGGCCTGTGTCACCATGGCAACTACCTCTTCTGGACTGAGTATCGGAGTGGCAGTGTCTACCGCTTGGAACGGGGTGTAGGAGGCGCACCCCCCACTGTGACCCTTCTGCGCAGTGAGCGGCCCCCCATCTTTGAGATCCGAATGTATGATGCCCAGCAGCAGCAAGGTACCTCCTTGGGGCTGGGGGCAGCGTGGGACCTGGAAGGGGTGGTGGGACTTAGGCATTGATTTGAGACTTCCCTGGGAGTGAAGGCACTTCCCAGGGATCCTAGGCTCTGACTTTTGAGGATCCTGAGAAGAGAACTCCCCCAACACAATCTGATTCTCTGTTCCCCATTTCCCTTCCTGCCCCATGTCTGTGTCTCCTGTTCTTCAACATGATCTTCTTCCTCTCCATATTTCCTCTTTCTGTCCCCACATCTTAATGTGTCTCCTCCCCTATCCCTTCTCTGACCTCTCCTCACCTCTTCCTCCCTTTGCCTTTCCCCATGGCCCTTCCCCACAGTTGGCACCAACAAATGCCGGGTGAACAATGGCGGCTGCAGCAGCCTGTGCTTGGCCACCCCTGGGAGCCGCCAGTGCGCCTGTGCTGAGGACCAGGTGTTGGACGCAGACGGCGTCACTTGCTTGGGTATGAGGTGCCTGGCTGGGTGGGAGTGGGAAGCAGACCCCATCAGGAGGATGCCGAAGAGTGGGGAGGGGAGGATCCAGGGTCCCAGTCAGAGATTAAGGAGGCAATGAGGGGCCCTTAGGGGGCCAACAGGAAGCAAGGGAGGGGGAGAGCAAAGGCTCTGGGGGCTAGGAGGGAGTTTAGGGAAGATGGGAGGCTGGGAGGGACTTGTGAGGGGATGGCAATTAGGGGAAACTGAGTGAAGAATGGACAGCTATGGATGGAAGGAGGAAATTATCCTTCACTTCTTTTAAATGTATTTCTCCATTACTAAAGTAAAATAATAAATAGTTCCAAATATTGGAAATTACTTTGGGAGGCCAAGGCAGGCTGATCACTTGAGGTCAAGAGTTTAAGACCAGCCTGGTCAACAAGGCAAAACCCCATCTCTACTAAAAATACAAAAATTAGCCAAGCGTGGTGGCAGGTGCCTGTAATCCTAGCTACTCGGGAGGCTGAGGCAGGAGAATCACTTGAAGCCCGGAGGCAAAGGTTGCAGTGGGCCGAAATCATGCCACTGCACTCCAGCCTAGGCGACAGATGGAGACTCTGTCTCAAAAAAAAAAAAAATTAACATTAAAAAATACATATAATATATATGTTGGAAATTAGAGAGGAGAAAAAAGCCCAAATCCCACCAGTGAGCACCATATATTGTTAGCATTGTGGTAAAGTGAACACCATTCTTTTTTCCTCAGGGGGGTTATAATTGTTTTTTACATAGCTGTAATCATCTGTTTATAAAATGTCTTCTGCCCTTTTCGGTTCAAGTGTCACAGCATTTTCTGTGTTGTTATTGCATGATTTTAACAAGCCTTGTTTTTTATTCAAAATGGGTTGTGTTCATTGTAAAACGGAGTAAGTAAGGCCGGGCACAGTGGCTCACACCTGTAATCCCAGCACTTTGGGAGCCCAAGGCGGGTGAATCACTTGAGGTCAGGAGTTCGAGACCAGCCTGGCCAACATGGTGAAACCCCGTTTCTACTAAAAACACAAAAATTAGCCAGGCATGGTGTCACACGCCTGTAGTCCCAGCTATTTGGGAGGCTGAGGCAGGAGAATCGCTTGAACCTGGGAAGCGGAGGTTGCAGTGAGCCGAGATTGTGCCACTGCACTCCAGCCTGGCGACAGAGCAAGACATCATCTCAAAAAGCAAAACAAAACAATGAAATAAGTAAACAGTATAGAAAAACACAAAGGAGAAAGCCCAAATCATCCCAGATTCCACCACCTGTAGATAACCACTGTTACCATTTGGGGGAACCACCTCCCAAATGTTTCCCTATGATTTACTTTCACATAAATGGAGTCGTGCTGCACATACTGTTCTGTTTCCTGCTTTTGTCACTTGACAGTATGTAACGAGTACATAAGCAGCATTTTTAATGGCTAAAATATATTTCATTTGATAAATTTCACGTAATTTACTCAACCGTTTCTCTACTGTTGGATGTTTAGGTTGTTTCCAGTTTTTTGATATAATCACAACCCATGTTTGTTGAGCATGGACTGTGTGCTCAGCACTGTCATGGACATTTCCCTTGCAGTAATTTGTTTACCCCTAAAAACATCCTGGTGGGAAAAGTGGTTTTATTATCCCCATTTTACAGATGAAAAAACTGAGGCCCAAAGTTAGAGCAGGATTTAAACCCATGAAGTTTGACCCAGAGCCTGTTTTGTAATCATGCCTCTGCTATTTGTCACATCATCATGCCTGCCCATATTCTGGATGGTTTCCTTAGGATAGAATCCCGGAAGTGAAAATGGGTCAGTGCAGCCATAGTGTACACCTAGGAGGGAGTGGCTGGGGTCAGGAGAGGGCGTTGGCTGAGAGGGTTAAGGAATGGAGGGGCCAAGGTAATGGGAGGATCATCCACATGGAAGTTGAAGTCACCAAGAACTGAACCAGGAGTGATTTTGGAGAAAGTGCTGGTGAGCCAGGAGCTAAAAACCCTTACAGATGACAGGGTGCAGCCTGGGAGCCTTCCAGAAGTAGAGGTTGGTACAGAAGCATGATGTAAGGGGAAGAACAGTCCAGGGAACAGCAGTGAGGAGCAAGGAGGACACATACCAGCCTCCAGGTCCATGGTCCATGGGATACGGGAGGGGAAATCGCCACCCATGGGGCCATGGGAAGTTTCAGAGATTAGAGAGGGGTGGGAGATGAGTCAGACCAGGCAAGCGCCCAGCTGTGAGGTCTGGAGACCGGGCTCACACAGGAGCCTGCACTTGTGGAGGTTACCAAGGCACAGACAAAGGACGTCGTGATTTAGCTGCTAATGGGCCAAGACAGATAGTGATGGTGAGGCATACGTTCTGGGGACAGGATGGGTGGAGCCTGCGCGGATGTGGTGCCATCTTCACTTCTGCTGGTGGGACCGATGAAACTGTGAAATAAAAAGTCCAGGGACCGGGGCAGGGCCCTGGGGTTCCCGGAGATGACTTCCAAGGGGAAGTTCATGGAGAAGTCAGGGAAGGAGTGGGGAGAGCCTGTTCGGTGGTGACAGAGGTATAGAGGCCATGGGCTCTCTTGGACACCATTTGATTCTCAGGTCACACTGAAGTACAGTAAGCATTAAGTAGAGTAAACATCACTATTGTTGCTTGGGAAAGAATTGCAGTTTCCATCCAGATAATTTGTTTCATGAGGAATTTTGTACTAGAAAAAATTACTTTGTATTATTAAAAAATAGTAAAACAAACAAAAATGGTGCAAAGGGCTTAGTACTTGTCCCACGACCGGGGTCTGACTTTCCCCCTCACGATCCTGTGGTGCCCACAGCGAACCCATCCTACGTGCCTCCACCCCAGTGCCAGCCAGGCGAGTTTGCCTGTGCCAACAGCCGCTGCATCCAGGAGCGCTGGAAGTGTGACGGAGACAACGATTGCCTGGACAACAGTGATGAGGCCCCAGCCCTCTGCCGTGAGTCACACGCCCTGCCCCACCCTGTTGGATGGCAGGCCTGCAGGGCAGCTCGGCTCTGGCAGTGCCTATACTGGAGCGGGCAGGAAGCTGGGGGCACCCAACTTCTCGCTGACCCCTGACTCATTCCCTCCCCAGATCAGCACACCTGCCCCTCGGACCGATTCAAGTGCGAGAACAACCGGTGCATCCCCAACCGCTGGCTCTGCGACGGGGACAATGACTGTGGGAACAGTGAAGATGAGTCCAATGCCACTTGTTCAGGTGTGGAGCGGGGCTCAGATCACACGAGGCACCCCTCAGTCAAGGAGGCAGGGGAGACGAGGGGGCCAGGTTCAGTGGCTCATGCCTATAATCTCAGCACTTTGGGAGGCCAAGGTGAGAGGATCACTTGAGCCCAGGAGCTCAAGACCAGCCTGGCCAACATAGTGAGACCTCCCACTCTTTACAAAAAAAATTTAAAAAAACTGCCGGGCGTGGTGGCGTGCACCTCTAGTCCCAGCTACTTGAGAGGCTGAGGTGGGAGGATCACTTGAGCCTGGGAGGTTGAGGCTGCAGTGAGCCATGGTCATGCCACTGCTCTCCAGCCTAGACAACAGAGCGAGACCTGTCTCTAAAAATAAAATGAAAGGAGCAAAAGAATTTAGGGCAGAGGGGATGGAGCCCTGAGCAGGAGTGGGGTCTGCTATCCCCTTCCCAGCCTGGGAAACTGAGAGGGCTGAGCTTGCAGGGGACAGAGCATAGCTCTAGACTGGAGAGGAGGAACAAGGCAGGGTAGATCTCCTCCTGGGAGGATACCAGAGACCCCTTGAGAGAAAGAGTAAAGCATCCAGTGAGACCAGAGAGATGGTTTTGAATTCTCTAAGAGAAATGGTTTTGGATCCTTGGAAATAAGGGACACCAAAGGCAGAGAATAATAGGGAAGAAGAGGCAGTGAAGAGAGGGTCAGGACAATGAGTACTCACACCCATCCCTGCCCCCCAGCCCGCACCTGCCCCCCCAACCAGTTCTCCTGTGCCAGTGGCCGCTGCATCCCCATCTCCTGGACGTGTGATCTGGATGACGACTGTGGGGACCGCTCTGATGAGTCTGCTTCGTGTGGTAAGAGGGATGGGCAGAGGGAGTCAGGCTGGGCCTGGGGGAGGGGCATCCTGAGAGCATGCCAGTTGGGGGTGCCGGAGACACCTGCAACCCAGCACTTGGGTGGCCTTGAGTGAGTTAATCTCGGTGGCCTCTGTGAGAGGAGAGCCCCATCATCACAGCATTGTGTCTCAGCAAACTCATGCAGGAAAAGCACTCAGCACAGGTCCTGTGTCTGCTGACTCATGGGGATGAGTGAGTGGAGTTTCCAGCCGAGGCACTGCTGCGGGGCCTTCCCCACCCTTCCTGACTGGGCTAAGGGCTGCTGGTTATGGGAGGGCCGCTGCACTCACCTGCCCAGTACTGTGATGCTGTGTAATCGTGAAGGCCCTACTCAGCTACTCTTTCTTCCTCACAGCCTATCCCACCTGCTTCCCCCTGACTCAGTTTACCTGCAACAATGGCAGATGTATCAACATCAACTGGAGATGCGACAATGGTAAGAGCTTGCTCTCCTCACCTGCTGATTCCTAAGACAGCTAGAGGCTACAGCCAGGCCCTCCAGGGAAGGCAAAGGGCTTCAGAATCCAGCAGGGCCTCCCTCCAGGACACTGAATCCCTGCTGGGTTGCCTGGGAGAAAACAGGAGAAGTCAGAAATGCCTGGAGGGAGCCACGATGGACCAAGGGGAGACCATCACCTTTTAGTGTCATTCCTACCCCAGGCAGGGCCTGAGCTGCCCACCCTCTAGTAGGGCTCGGAGGCCAGGGAGAGATGAGTGAGATGGGCCAGAGAGGCAGAGCAAGGAGAAACCGGTGCCTGACTCCTTTCTCCTTGCAAACCCCCATTTCCTGGAGTCCTTGGTGCACCCCTCAGGCTCTGGGCTTCAGGCTCAGAAGCCCACCTGGCAGATAGCCATGGACCAGGTGATGTCAGCCTTGAGCCACCAGGGCTAGTATGTGTGTAAATGTGCGGGCAGGTGACTGCCGTGTGTGGTGTCTCAGGGCTCTGTTCTGTCTGTGTTGTGTTGTGACGTGCTGCCCCAGTGGTTCCTGTCCCAGCTGATGTGTGAGCGGATGTGTTGGGTCAGTGCCACGTTGCCCCTCACTTTTTCTGTGTCTCGCATGCCAATGGTTGCCCCGGCGGTTTCTGTGTTTCAGAGAAGGATTGTGGGGACGGCTCTGACGAACAGACCTGTCCTGAGCCTGCCGGTCAGTGCATAGAAGCACATGCACCATCACCCAGAGCTCAGCTGGCCCCAGCCCCCTGCAGGTTCTCCAGGCCCCTACTCCAGAGCTGCTAGGATATGAAGAAAAAGCAACAGAGAGGAGGGAGAGCAGAAAACAGAGGGAGAAAGCAAATAGTGGTCAGGAAAGAAGCAGAGACGGCAGAGGGAGCCTCTGAGGAAAGGAGATGACAGAGAGGTGGTGACAAAAAGCCCAAGATGCAAGGGGAGGAGAGAGTTAGAGAAGCAAATCCAGTTGGAAAAGAGGCAGGAACATAACCCAAACCCCAGTCTCCACCACATGTCCCATAAATACAGAGGGTCAAGTCAAGCAGCCCCCACCCAATGCTGAGAAAGCAGGAGCTTCCTTCAGCCAGCCTCAGCGAGCTTGGTCCAGAAGTGGCCCCCACTCTTGCCAGCCACAGGCAGGGCCCCTGTAAGCCAGGCACCCAGAGCATGGTATTCAGCAGTGCCAGCCTCAGGGCAGGCCTGTAAAGCTTGTCTCAAGCCGGCCACGCCTGCACCCCACCTACCTCTCTCCCTCCAAAACTAGAGAAACCCCTGCCTTTCCCCCAAAAGCAAGCAGACCCCTGTTCCCACACCTGCCAGAAAGGGGAAATGAAATGTTTAATGTTCCCTGCACCCAGCCTTTCTGAGCTTCAGTGAGGGGCCCTCCAGGAGCCTTCTCCTCCTCCTCATCCTGACCACGTGGGCCATGGTGCATGCTGCAGTCTATGCAGTTTCTGTGTCTTTTCTGTTTGTTATTTTCCCAGTGGGGGGGTTAGGGTGGGCTGAGGGTGGGTTCTGGGCAGGGGGCCCAAGCTGGGATCACAGAGAAGGCTGCTCCACCAACTCCCGCTTTGCCTCTCCCCTTCTTCCCCCACCGCCAGACAATGACTGTGGGGACAACAGTGACGAAGCCGGCTGCAGCCACTCCTGTTCTAGCACCCAGTTCAAGTGCAACAGCGGGCGTTGCATCCCCGAGCACTGGACCTGCGATGGGGACAATGACTGCGGAGACTACAGTGATGAGACACACGCCAACTGCACCAACCAGGGTGGGCACCAGGGGCCCGTGGGGTGGGGATGAGATCGAGCCCCCTGCATCAGACACCCAGCCTATCCATCTGTCTTTCAGACCCACGGTGTGTCGGCCACCATCTGGGAGCCAGAGGTAGCCTAGGCATGGCTCTTGTCCTTCAGGAGCTCCCGGTCCTGTGGGAGAGGGAGGTTGCCGAAAAATCATTGCCACACGCTGTTAATATCATGCGCTTTGCAGTTGGTGGCCTTGGGTTTGAGCTCCAGCTCTGCAGCTTATTATCTGGGTGGCCTTGAGCAAGTTACTTAATCTCCATGGGCCTCTGTGAGTTTCGTCTGCAAAGTGGGGTAATAATAGCACCAACATCACAGCGCTGATGTGGGAGTTTAGTGAGATCACGCACGAAAAGTGCTCAGCACACGGCCTGTGTTTGGTAAATAGTAGCTTGAGAAAAGGATGCTGCAGGCAGGGATGAATGAGCCTGAAGAGACAGAGGAGAGAGGGCCTGGCTCCACAAGGCTCCCAGTGCCCTGGCCTCTGGGGCCCAGCCTCGGGGGCGGTGGGGACCTAGTTTTCTGGAGGGATGGGCCCTCTCAAGGAATGCTGGCTTCCTAGCTCTGGAAGATGTGCAGATTTTTATGTGAAAACTACCAAATTTTTAACACTACAGTATTAGTTTCTCTCGTCTCACAGTTCTGGAGGCTGGAAGTCCCAGACCCAACTGTTGGCAGGGTGGGTTCCTTCTGAGGCCGTGTGGGAGATTCTGTCCCAGGCCTCTCCCCAGCCTCCGCGGTTTGCTGGCAATCTTTGCAGCTCCTTGGCTTGTCGAAGCTTGACCCGATCTCTGCCTTCATCTTCACACGGTGTCCTCCCTGTGGGCATGTCTGTCACCAGATCCCCATTTCCCCTTTCTGTGAGGACACCTGTCATATTGGATTAGGATACACCCTTATGACCTCATCTTAAGTTGACCATCTGCAAAGACACTATTTCCAAATAAAGTCATATTCACAGGTATTATGGGATAGGACTAATATCTTTTTAGGGAACACAATTCAAGCCATACCAACTGGCAGTTGATTTTAGAAGTTTTAAAAGGCTGGGTGCAGGCCAGGCATGGTGGCTCATGCCTATAATCCCAGCACTCTGGGAGGGTGAAGTGGGAGGATCACTTGAGGCCAGGGGTTCAAGACCAACCTGGTTAACATAGGGAGAACCCATCTTGAAAAAAGAAAAGAAAAAAAAAAAAGGCTGGGTGTGTTGACTCACACCTGTAATCCTATCACTTTGGGAGGCAAGGCAGGAGGATCACTTGTTTCCAGGAGTTTAAGACCAGCCTGGGCAACATAGTGAGACCCCTTTCTCTACAAAAAATAAACAAAATTAGCTGGGCATGGAGGCACATGCCTGTAGTCCCAGCTACTCAGAAGGCTGAGGTGAGAGGTTGAGCCCAGGAGGTTGAGGCTGCAGTGAGCTGTGAGCTCGCCACTGCACTCCAGCCTGGGTGACAGAATAAGACCTTGTCTCAAAAGAAAAAAAAAGTTTAAAAAAAACTACAGACCAAACTCTTCCTGCAGGCCTCATCTGACCCATGGACCACTAGATTACAGCCTCTGCCTTATAGAGTTAGGGCACATTCCCACCCTAGTAGGAGAAGACTGGACAGCGTTGAGTGCCCACCTTGAGCCCTGCCCTGAGAGGGAGGACAGAGAAGGCCACAGGAAGCTTGGGAAATAGTAATTGCGTCTCCAGGGCTATCTCTGTGAAGGGGAGGGTGAGGGGCACAGGTGATATCCCTTAGGGTTCTGAGAAGGGGCCTCTGGAGGCTGTGTGGTGTGGTGAGAAGAGCTCCCTGCCGCTCCCAGATAAGCTGGGCAAATTTGGACAAGTTGCTTCCCCTGAGCCTGGGCATCCTCCTTTATGAAATGAGCTGAGGTATGTGAGGCCTGGCGTGGAGGAGCAGGGTGTCACTATTGGTAGCAGTTGTTAACTATGGTATGAGCTGGATGGTCTGGGACCATTCAGGAGGAGTTGTGTTTAGACTGCAGGTAAATGGACAGGAGGGAGGGTCTTCCAGTGGGGATGGCATGGTCCGGAGAATGCTGTCGTCAAGACTTAGAGGGTGAAACTGAGCACTTCCGTAGGGTGACAGTGGGGCCAGGTGGAGCCGTTCAGACCGAGGGAAAGGCTCGTGCAGGGACAGTGGGGAATGAGGCTGTCCTCAAAGGGGGCAGATGATGACAGCAGGTGTAAATCGTGAGAGGCTTGATTTGGGAGGCACTGGGAACCTTTGAAGGATTTCCAAGCCGGAAGGTGCTGTGATGTAGGAGGTGATTTCGGAACACAGCCCTAGAGGAAGATTAGATTGAGAAGAGGTTCAGGGGCCCCAAGAAAGGAAAATCAGTTCAGAGACTGCTGCTGAAAGTCCCGGCATGAGATGAGAGCATCAGCTGGGTCCAGGGTAGGGAAGGGGGAGGAGCGGGGTGTCTGTGGCAGCATGAGTGTATGAGTGTGGGGCTCCACCAGGCAGTGCTCCTGCTCCTCTCCTGGCCTCCTGAGTCAGATCTCAGGACAGCAGCCAGAGTGATCCTGACAACATAAGTCAGATCATGCCCTGGCCCTGCCCTCCAGCCTGTACTGGCTCCCTGCACCCTTGGAACAAATGCCAAGCCCCTCTGCACGGCCTGCAGGGCCCCCACCCCTACCCCTCTGACCTGCATTCCTGCCCTCCCCTCCCCCTGCACTCTACTCCAGCTGTGGCGTTTTCTTTTTTCTTTTTTTTTTTTTTTGAGATGGAGTCTCCCTCTGTCGCTCAGGCTGGAGTACAGTGGCGTGATCTCGGCTCACTGCAAGCTCTGCCTCCCGGGCAGCTGTGGCGTTTTCTTTTCTTTCTTTTTTTTTTGAGATGGAGTCTCTCTGTCGCCCAGGCTGGAGTGCAGTGGCGCAATCTCAGCTCACTGCAAGCTCCGCCTCCCAGTTCACGCCATTCTCCTGCCTCAGCCTCCCAAGTAGCTGGGACTACAGGTGCCTGCCACCACGCCTGGCTAATTTTTTGTATTTTTAGTAGAGACAGGGTTTCACCATGTTAGCCAGGATGGTCTCGATCTCCCGACCTCGTGATCCGCCCGCCTTGGCATCCCAAAGTGCTGGGATTACAGGCGTGAGCCACCGCGCCTGGCCTGTGTGCTGTTTTCTGAAGTGCTGGCGTAGTCCTATCTCGGAGATGAGACTTTGCAGCGGCTGTTCCCCTTGCCTGGAGTGTGCCTCCAGGGATCCTCTGGGCTCACTCGCTCTTCATGCAGGCCTCTGCTCAGATTCCTTCTGCCCAGAGGTCTTCCCTGACCATCTTACCTGACAGATCACCCCCATCCCTCTCAGCTTCTACCCAGCTTTATCTCCATAGCTTTATCAATACCTGAAATTACAGTCTAGATTTATGGGTTATGTCTTGTCTCTCTTCCCCATTAGAACCTAAGCTCCATGAGGGTAGGGACTTTGTCTGGTTCAGTGCTGGCCCCAGGACAGCGCCTGGCACACAGGAGGCACTCAGTAAACATTTGTGGCATGAATGAATGAAATAGAGGCTAAGGAGGTGGGCATTTGGGCTCAGGCCTTAGCAAATTGCTTCTCCAGCTGAGATCTCCGGTGTCAATGGGGGGATTAGATGAGGTGATTGTGGGGCCCTTGGAGGTGTGATGCCTCCTGACTCTACTACTGAGTTGGTGCTTCCAAGGAGTGTCAGCAAAGCTTGGCAGACTCTCCAGGCCTGCCTCTGCTCATATCCCCAGGCTGGGCTTACCGGGGTGGCAGGGCACAGGGATGAGGAGGGCTGACCTGGGCAACCCCTCCCTCCTGAGGCCCTCCACTGTCCCTCTGCAGCCACGAGGCCCCCTGGTGGCTGCCACACTGATGAGTTCCAGTGCCGGCTGGATGGACTATGCATCCCCCTGCGGTGGCGCTGCGATGGGGACACTGACTGCATGGACTCCAGCGATGAGAAGAGCTGTGAGGGAGTGACCCACGTCTGCGATCCCAGTGTCAAGTTTGGCTGCAAGGACTCAGGTGAAGAGGATGGTTGGAGGGCGTCTGGAACAGCACAATGTGGGCAGGAGGAGACCGTGTTGAGAGCAGAGTAGCGGCAAAGGGGATGGCACTGTGCTGTGTGGAGTGGTGCTGGGGACAGTGCAAGGCAAAAGGCAGTCCAGAGGAAGCTTGTGTGTCATGGGTGGGGGAAGGCATGAAGGGCCAGAGCCTGCACAGAGGACCTGAGAAGCCAAAACCCTACCAGAGTTGAGCTTCAGCACCTCCTGCTGCAGATTCCTGCCTTGTTTGTTGCCTATGTGAATTTGACCCAAAAAGCCTCGGGGTTCCTCGTGGACCCCACAGCGTTGCAATCCTGACCCTATTAGAGAAGCCCACAGGGTCTGGAAGGAAGGGCAGGGGGAGCCCCAGTCCCCGGGCCTGGGCCCTCATAGTGCACCTGTCCCTCAGCTCGGTGCATCAGCAAAGCGTGGGTGTGTGATGGCGACAATGACTGTGAGGATAACTCGGACGAGGAGAACTGCGAGTCCCTGGCCTGCAGGCCACCCTCGCACCCTTGTGCCAACAACACCTCAGTCTGCCTGCCCCCTGACAAGCTGTGTGATGGC
This sequence comes from Homo sapiens, assembly GCF_000001405.40. Classification (NCBI taxonomy): domain Eukaryota; kingdom Metazoa; phylum Chordata; class Mammalia; order Primates; family Hominidae; genus Homo; species Homo sapiens. The sequence goes on from NC_000012.12 coordinate 57,173,938, forward strand.
AACGACGACTGTGGCGACGGCTCAGATGAGGGCGAGCTCTGCGGTGAGGCCTGGTCCCAGGAGAAGGGTAGGGAGGGTGGCTGGGTAGGAGTCTGGGCCAAGGACAGTCTTTGGGGGACCTGAGTCTAGGAGAGAGCAGCTCTGGCAGCCGGGCAGGCGAGCAGCACCCAGAGTGGTCACCAGCAGCCTGTGTGGACCTGGCGCTCCCCATGGCGCTGTGCTGAGTGAGCCACGCCATTAGAGCAGTTTATCCACAAGGCATCCCTGGGGGCCAGGTGCTCTGTTTTCTCCGTTTGACAGATGGGAGCACTGAGGCATGGAGGGGTTCCATAGTGGTCCCCCAGACTTGGGCCAAGGTAGTACAGCTCCTAAACTGCTGTGGAGACTCAGACCCCTTGCCCACATGCATACCACAGAGAGATGCGGAGTGCTCTTGTGGAGACAAAGGCACCAGGGTTGACTGCTGATGGTCAGGGCAGGCTTCCTGGAGGATGTGGGGATTGCATGGGGTTCCCAAGGACAGGCAGTACTTGCAGAGTGAGTGAGAAGGCATGGGGGCAGGCGCGGTGGCTCACACCTGTCATTCCAGCACTTTGGGAGGCTGAGGCGGGCAGATCACTTGAGCTCAGGAATTTGAGATCAGCCTGGCCAACATGGTGAAACCCTGTCTCTGCTAAAAATACAAAAATTAGCCGGACATGTCTGCAGTCCCAGCTACTTGGGAGGCAGAGGCAGGAGACTCGCTTGAACCTGGGAGGCGGAGGTTGCAGTGAGCCAACATCCTGCCACTGCACTCCAGCCTGGGCGACAGAGCAAGACCCCATCCCAAACAAACAAACAGGCAAGGGGAGGAGGGTGCCCATTCAAGACCAAAAGAGATGAGGTTGGGGGAGTCCAGGAGTCAGGGAGGACCATGTGGTGTGACTTGGGGATGAGGAGCAGAGCAGCCTTATCTGGTCCTCTTAGCCAGGCAGAGCCCCCAGTTCCTTGGAAGGGAGGAGTGGAAGATAAGGCCACAGGGACTGGCTGGGAGAACTGCCGACAGGCTATCAGTCAGGCTGGCAGTTTCCAGGGTGTGCCAGAGGACCAAGGGTGGTATAGGCCCTGCTGCACCCCACCCCAAACCCCTCCAAATCAGGAGAGATCAGCACAAGGGGACTGGACCTAAGGACCTCCCAGGGTCCCTCCCAGGGAGGCAAAAAGCTGGGGCCCCCGCCCTGGGCCCAAGAAGGCAGGAACATATCGAGACCAGACAGAGATATTGAGGGGTGCTCCCTGTGGGAAGGGGAGGTATGGTGCCAGCTGGTGGGTGCAAGGGTCCCAACTCTGGTCCTGAGGGAGCCCAGGAAGTCCTGGGCTGAAGCTCAGCCTGAAGCTCAGCAGGAATGGAGACGAATGGGGCCGTGGGCAGGGCACAAGGACTTGGTCCAGGCTGCCCAGGACTTGGGGCCCAGCAGGGCCGTGGTCTTGCCTCCTCTCAGCTTCTGACCCTGGGTCTGTTCCATGCCTGCCCCTCCCCTAGACCAGTGCTCTCTGAATAACGGTGGCTGCAGCCACAACTGCTCAGTGGCACCTGGCGAAGGCATTGTGTGTTCCTGCCCTCTGGGCATGGAGCTGGGGCCCGACAACCACACCTGCCAGATCCAGAGCTACTGTGCCAAGCATCTCAAATGCAGCCAAAAGTGCGACCAGAACAAGTTCAGCGTGAAGTGCTCCTGCTACGAGGGCTGGGTCCTGGAACCTGACGGCGAGAGCTGCCGCAGCCTGGGTGAGACAACAGTGAGGTGTGGTGGGGCAGGCCGAGGCAGGCCTCTGAGCTGCAGTGGGTTGGGCTTGGTGGCCAGGTGCCAAAGGCTGAGTTTTCCACCCTAGCCCCCAGTGCCCGGACCAGCAGAGACCTGCCTGCGCCAGGACGGGTGGCACACAGGCAGCTAGCCCCTTGCTGACCCCATCACATCCCTCCCATCCCAGACCCCTTCAAGCCGTTCATCATTTTCTCCAACCGCCATGAAATCCGGCGCATCGATCTTCACAAAGGAGACTACAGCGTCCTGGTGCCCGGCCTGCGCAACACCATCGCCCTGGACTTCCACCTCAGCCAGAGCGCCCTCTACTGGACCGACGTGGTGGAGGACAAGATCTACCGCGGGAAGCTGCTGGACAACGGAGGTGACCACCGATTGCTGCCAGGCAGGATGCACACAGGCGGAGCGCTCAGGCGCTAGGGGCCACAGGTCCCATCCAAGTGGCCCCAAAGCAGAGGCTTGGCTCCCCCATCCCCCACACTTCTGTTCATTGGGTTAGATTTTGCTGTGGGTCTCCATGCCTGACGCCCCGTAATTATCGTCAGCAGAACTGCCAGCCTGATAATTAACAAAATGATCAGCCTTACCTTTGAATGGCCTGGAGCTCTGCTCCCCAGATCTAGAATTGCAGGCTTGAAAGAAAAAAGCCACTTAGGAGTGGCGTACCTGAACGCTGCTTTCTGTCCCAGGCAGCGTGGTGCACCCCAGACTTCCTTCAGTCACACACAATAGTGAGTGCCCACTGTACACACTGGGCAGTGGGCATGCAGCAGTGATCAAAACAGGCTGTTTTCAGTTGTGTGGTCAAGGAAGGTCCCCTGAGAAGGTGACATCTGAGCAAAGGCTTCTAAGAGGCACATTTTACTAGAGAAGTTTGTATTGTTTGTAATAATACAAACTTGAATTTGAAACCATTACAAATGTCCATCAACGAGGGGGGAGGCTAAGTAAACTGTGATGATATCCACACTGTGCAACAGTCTCTAAAACAATGAGGCACACACATAATGTATTAGCATGGAAAAATCTTTATGGCAGTCACTTGAGCTCAAGCAGTTGAGGCTGCCGTGAGCCATGATCATGCCACTGCATCCAGCCTTGGTGACAGAAGACCCTGTCTCAAAAAAAAAAAAAAAGTTGGGGAGACAATAGGAGTCCTACTCTTGAATATGGGCACATCAGAAACTTTGGCAGAAGTGCCAGGGTTGAGGGTGGGTCATCGAGGGCTCCCAGGATTTCACACATTCATGCACAGCTCCCCAGGAGACGCTAACCTTTCACTGCCCTCTCTTCTCCAGCCCTGACTAGTTTCGAGGTGGTGATTCAGTATGGCCTGGCCACACCCGAGGGCCTGGCTGTAGACTGGATTGCAGGCAACATCTACTGGGTGGAGAGTAACCTGGATCAGATCGAGGTGGCCAAGCTGGATGGGACCCTCCGGACCACCCTGCTGGCCGGTGACATTGAGCACCCAAGGGCAATCGCACTGGATCCCCGGGATGGGTGAGGACCTTGCCCAGCCTTCTCCTGGCCCCATGGCCCCCCTGAAGTCCCATTCAGCCTGGCCAGGGACACCTTACTCCTCAGTGCCATCTGCCTCCTCCCACCCTCTACCTACGATCCCACCACAGTCGCTCCCTGAGGGCCCTGACTTTAGCCCTCCTGACCCCTCCCCACTCCCCAGGATCCTGTTTTGGACAGACTGGGATGCCAGCCTGCCCCGCATTGAGGCAGCCTCCATGAGTGGGGCTGGGCGCCGCACCGTGCACCGGGAGACCGGCTCTGGGGGCTGGCCCAACGGGCTCACCGTGGACTACCTGGAGAAGCGCATCCTTTGGATTGACGCCAGGTCAGCACCCTCTGTGCCCTGAGAAGGCCCAAGTCTGTGGCACCAGGACGGGGTGGGGAGGAACCTGTGGTGATGAGGGTGATGAGAAGGACCAAGGGATCTAGAACTAGGAACGGTGGCAAAGGACTGGGCACAGGAGGAGGAGGACGGAGGGGCGTGGGGAGGCCAGGGCCGAGGGGAGGGGGCAGGTAGAGGAGGCGGAAGCAGGGCCATCAGCTGTGGTTATTCACACTGTACCATCCTCTCCACTCACCTGTCCTCTCCACTCTGTTCCCTCTGCTGGGGCTGTGTCTGCCCAGAGGGAGGGGAAACTTCTTTCTAATTGGTCTGCCCAGGGAGGGTGCCTTTTTCTTTTCTTTTTTTTTTTTTTTTTTTGAGACAGAGTCTCGCTCCGTCGCCCAGGCTGGAGTGCAGTGGCGCGATCTCGGCTCACTGCAGGCTCCGCCCCCCGGGGTTCACGCTGAGGGTGCCTTTTTCTGACTTTCATCAAAGCCCTGAGTGCTGACAGCAGCCCTGGGGAGAAGTGACCGAAAGATTCCCTTGGGGCTTGGGAATCGGGGCCTGAGAGGTGAAACCTGGACCTGTTGGGTTCTCACACCTTGGTCCTTCTGTCTGTCTGCTCTGGCCAGCAAGGCTTAGGGGAGGGAATGGTCCCATGCTCTTCGCTGGGAGGGCTGTGGCCAGGGCCCAGAGGGTGGGCACCTGGGCAGAGCTCTGAGGGCTGAGATCCCAGCTGGCATCCTCATTCTGCTCCATCATGCTCTTAGGTCAGATGCCATTTACTCAGCCCGTTACGACGGCTCTGGCCACATGGAGGTGCTTCGGGGACACGAGTTCCTGTCGCACCCGTTTGCAGTGACGCTGTACGGGGGGGAGGTCTACTGGACTGACTGGCGAACAAACACACTGGCTAAGGCCAACAAGTGGACCGGCCACAATGTCACCGTGGTACAGAGGACCAACACCCAGCCCTTTGACCTGCAGGTGTACCACCCCTCCCGCCAGCCCATGGGTAAGGGGCTCGGGGCCTCGAGCAGCCGGAAGGGAGCCAGCAGCCTCTTTAGAAGCTGTAGAAGCTCTTAGGAGAGGAGAGGGCAGTGAGAACAGGAGCAAGTCTGTGCTGGGATGGCAGGGGTAGGCCGGCTGTTGACAGAGGCACTGTCTAGCAGCAGAGAAGGGTCTAGTAGTAGCGGCTGCTGGAACAGGGGGAGGAGAGTGGGCGAGGAAGGGGTGGTCCATGTAGGGAGCAGCAAGTCACAGGATGCTCTGGCTTCTTCTCTTCTCCACCCTGCCCCCAGCTCCCAATCCCTGTGAGGCCAATGGGGGCCAGGGCCCCTGCTCCCACCTGTGTCTCATCAACTACAACCGGACCGTGTCCTGCGCCTGCCCCCACCTCATGAAGCTCCACAAGGACAACACCACCTGCTATGGTAGGAGCCCCTCCCTCCAGAGCCAGTGAGCAACTGAGGCTGGAGGGAAGGCCGCAGGCCCCAGGATCCCGGTTGTCAGCTAAGGCAGAGTCCCAGTCGGGAGGGTCCCGATAGGAGAGGCTCCAGAGACAGCCACTGTGAGAAGGGGCTGCAGGTCTGCCAGGGGGGCTGCACCCAGCGGGGTATGTCCACGGAGCCAAGGGCCAGTAGCAAACAGACGGATCCAGAAGAAGGCAGGGCCTGAAACCGGATTGGTGGGAAGCACAGAGGCAGGGACTGCCTTCAGTGACCAGCCCATGCCCCACAGAGTTTAAGAAGTTCCTGCTGTACGCACGTCAGATGGAGATCCGAGGTGTGGACCTGGATGCTCCCTACTACAACTACATCATCTCCTTCACGGTGCCCGACATCGACAACGTCACAGTGCTAGACTACGATGCCCGCGAGCAGCGTGTGTACTGGTCTGACGTGCGGACACAGGCCATCAAGCGGGCCTTCATCAACGGCACAGGCGTGGAGACAGTCGTCTCTGCAGGTTCTTCCTGGCCCTGGATGCCCACCAGTGGACATGGGCACCTCCACCCGCCCCTTGCTCCCAACCCTGGTCTACTTGGTCCGAGTGGTCCTTCTCCCAGTCCTGTTCCCCCTCAGTGCTCCAGCCTGGTTTCCTGATCCCTTTTCTCCAGAAGGCACACTGGCTCCCCTCCTGACCCACTGCCCTGCAGACACCCAACAACTGACTCCCTACTTGTGCCCCCAGACTTGCCAAATGCCCACGGGCTGGCTGTGGACTGGGTCTCCCGAAACCTGTTCTGGACAAGCTATGACACCAATAAGAAGCAGATCAATGTGGCCCGGCTGGATGGCTCCTTCAAGAACGCAGTGGTGCAGGGCCTGGAGCAGCCCCATGGCCTTGTCGTCCACCCTCTGCGTGGGTCAGTCTAGGGCCCAGGGCCGGGGAGCATGGGGTGTGGGGCTGGGAAGAAGAGGACCCTGACCTTTCCCTCTTGGCACCCTCCCCCCAGGAAGCTCTACTGGACCGATGGTGACAACATCAGCATGGCCAACATGGATGGCAGCAATCGCACCCTGCTCTTCAGTGGCCAGAAGGGCCCCGTGGGTACGAGCTTCCCTGCCCACCCCCACAGCCCCTCCCTAATTCCTTGACCAGCAGGTGCTTGCAGGGTCCTTCAGTTGCCCCTCAGCCTCCCCAGAGCCCTAGCTTAGTGCCTGTTCTCACCATCTGCTCCCTTCCCTGGATCCCCAGCCCTGGGCCAGACTCCCCGGCAGTGACTCCCCCTTTTCCAGGCCTGGCTATTGACTTCCCTGAAAGCAAACTCTACTGGATCAGCTCCGGGAACCATACCATCAACCGCTGCAACCTGGATGGGAGTGGGCTGGAGGTCATCGATGCCATGCGGAGCCAGCTGGGCAAGGCCACCGCCCTGGCCATCATGGGTGAGGGCTGCTGGGCGAAGCAGAGATGACGCAGAGCAGGCCAGGCCAGACCTACTGGGAGACAGGGGCTGGCTTGGGGCAGTCTCTCACCATGTGGGGCGGGCCTGATGACTTAGGGCCAATGGGCCCTTCAGGAGAGCTGGGTGTGGGGCCTTCCCAAGGGTCTCATCCCCTCCTGCTGCCCCAGGGGACAAGCTGTGGTGGGCTGATCAGGTGTCGGAAAAGATGGGCACATGCAGCAAGGCTGACGGCTCGGGCTCCGTGGTCCTTCGGAACAGCACCACCCTGGTGATGCACATGAAGGTCTATGACGAGAGCATCCAGCTGGGTAGGTGCGAGGCCGGGCGGCCGCTGGGGGCTCAGGGGCAACAGGGGAGCCGTCCAGAGCTGCAGGCTGCAGGGCCATGGGGCAAGGGAGTAAGTGGGTTAGGCTGTACCCACCACCCAAAGGGGCTCCTTGTTTCCTTACCACAAAGGCGCCTTGTAGGCTCCCAGCAGCCCTGTTCACAAGGCCAGGGGCCCAGGAGGACAGAAAACCTGAGAGCTGGGTAGGGTGGTGACCCCCATTAGGTCCAGGGTAGTCAGTGACCATCCTGTTTCTGAGCAGCCCAAGCCTGACCCTGAGGTCCCAAGGAGGGCCACCTAACCCTTTCCCTCTGCCTCCCACCTGCCCCCAGACCATAAGGGCACCAACCCCTGCAGTGTCAACAACGGTGACTGCTCCCAGCTCTGCCTGCCCACGTCAGAGACGACCCGCTCCTGCATGTGCACAGCCGGCTATAGCCTCCGGAGTGGCCAGCAGGCCTGCGAGGGTCAGTGCCTGGCTTTCCTCCCAGCCTTGTCCCAGCTCCCCAACCCTGACCCCTCCTACCCTACAGCCCCACCTTCCTCTTCTTACCTTGGGGACAAGACTACATTCGTCGTGTAGGGGACACTGGACTATGAAGTGGCTATGACTCTCCAGTGCCTCCAGTAGGATTTTGGAAAAATAGATGTCAGCAGGCAGATCGGGGCAGCTGCATGGAAGAGGCATGCTCTGAGCTGGGTTTTCTAGGACAAGTAGGATTTGGATGCATTGTTCAAAGGAGAGGGAACTATACACAAGGCAAGGTGTGTGCAGGAGCCCCAGCCAAGAGTGGTGGGCAAAGTGTGGGGAAGTCCTGGAGATAAGGCTGTGAGCTAGGCGGGGCTCCTGTGTTCTGAGCCAGGAGTGCCTGGAAAGTGATGTTTGGGGAAGATCAACCTGGCCGCAATGGTGGTGGGGAAGAAACAGAGGCGGTTAAACCAGTTAGGAGGCCATTAGGAGTAATCAGAGTGTGAGATGATGGGCCTGGGCTGGGCTCAGTAAGGGTTGAAGAAAAGAAATGAAACCCAGACGCATTTCACAAGAACCTGCTAACTGATTTATGAGCTTGCTGGGGGACAGCATTTCCCAAAAGTGCATTCCTAGGAGCCTCCCTCTTTGATGTGGGTAGATTTTACCAAAAGAAACTCTGAGTTGAACAAAGTTTAAAAGTGTTTTGTGCTGCAGAACTTCTCAGAGCCTTGAATATGTTTATGTGTGCCAAGAATTTTTCAAGCGTTTGGGGTTTTCCAAAACTCACTTGACCATTCATTTTTTTTTCACTGAGTCTGAGCAACCAGGGACCATGTGGGGATTCACTTTGGGATGTGCTGTATCAAAGGGATAAAGGCAAGGGAGGATTCTGAGGTGCATGGGTAGTGGTGCCTCAAGACATGGGAAAACTGGGCCAGGCGCAGTGGCTCAAGCCTGTAATCCCAGCACTTTGGGAGGCTGAGGCCGGCCGATCACTTGAGGTCAGAAGTTTGAGACTAGCTTGGCCAACATGGCAAAACTCCGTCTCTACTAAAACCACAAAAATTAGCTGGGCGTGGTGGTGGGCACCTGTAATCCCAGCTACTCAGAAGACCTAGGCAGGAGAATCACTTGAACCGGGAAGGTTCAAGGGTTGCAGTGGGCCAATATTGTGCCACTGAACTCCAGCCTGGGCGACAGATCAGGACTCCATCTCAATTAAAAAAAAAAAAAAAAAAGAGCCAGGTGCGTGGCTCATGCCTGTGATCCCAGCACTTTGGGAGGCTAAAGAGGGCGGATTACCTTGAGGCCGGGGTTCAAGACCAGCCTGACCAACACGGAGAAACCCTGTCTCTACTAAAAATACAAAATTAGCCGGGCATGGTGGTGCATGCCTGTAATCCCAGCTACTCGGAAGGCTGAGGCAGGAGAATCACTTGAACCTGGGACGCGGAGGTTGTGGTGAGCCGAGATCGCGTCATTGTACTGCAGCCTGGGGAACAAGAGTGAAATTCCGTCTCAAAAAAAACAAACAAAGAAAAACAAAAGAAAAGAAAAGAAAAAGAAATGGGATAACTGGGAATGAGACTGGCTTCGGAGTGACCTTAGGGGGTTGAGTTTTTGATGTTGGAGAGAGGGTGTGGCATAGACCAGACAGAGGGAGGACAAAGAGGAAACTAGGATCAGGCTGAGCACCAAACTGGAAGTCTAGATTTTGGAGTCACCTAGTCCTGATTGTCTGGTCTGAACTCCCAGACTTTCCCTAAGGAACTTGCAGGGGTGCAGGGTTGGGTTGTGCTGGGTGGAGGCCGGCAGAGCACAGGGTGAGAAATCCGAGTCTCTGCTGCCCTCTCATGGTGGCTAGGGGTCCTGCAGGTGGTTCCCCAGAGCTACCAGCCAGGTGCGCTTCCTCCCGGCCCATGCTCTGGCCTCAGGCTAGGGTGTGTGTGCTGGGTGGAGGATAGGGATGATGGTGGGGGGGGATGATATCAAAGGAGAAGCAGAGAACAGTTGGAGGGTGACAGGAACCAAGTTTAAGGGAGTGTTGGCGATACCCATGCCTTAAGTTTCCTTGTCTTTCAGGCGTAGGTTCCTTTCTCCTGTACTCTGTGCATGAGGGAATCAGGGGAATTCCCCTGGATCCCAATGACAAGTCAGATGCCCTGGTCCCAGTGTCCGGGACCTCGCTGGCTGTCGGCATCGACTTCCACGCTGGTGAGCCATTTGGTGGCAGAGGGAGTTGGGCGTGGCGTAGGAGCTTTAGGGGTGGTGTGGTGTGCCCTGAGGGTCCAGTGAGAGGCTGCCTGAATTGGCCTGAGGTGGGGCACTTGCTACAGCTGCCACCCTGACTCCACCTCCCCTTCAAGCACCTGGCCCCTCCGGCACTCTCTCACCTCTGTCTTGAGCCTTGTGAGATTTTGACCCCTCACCTTACCCCTGCCTTATTGGGCATCCCCATGTCACCTCCTCCACCTCCAGAAAATGACACCATCTACTGGGTGGACATGGGCCTGAGCACGATCAGCCGGGCCAAGCGGGACCAGACGTGGCGTGAAGACGTGGTGACCAATGGCATTGGCCGTGTGGAGGGCATTGCAGTGGACTGGATCGCAGGTGAGCAGTGGGCAGGTTTGTGGGGCTTGGGGTGTGGCAGAGGACTGGGGGACGAAGTGAGAGGAGGAGTTGGCGGGAGCAGGAAGAGGAGCTGTAGGGGTGCCTGGGAGCTTGGAGACACCAGGTCCACCTGTCCTCACCTAACCTCCCTGAGCCCCACCAACTCCCTCCTTAGGCAACATCTACTGGACAGACCAGGGCTTTGATGTCATCGAGGTCGCCCGGCTCAATGGCTCCTTCCGCTACGTGGTGATCTCCCAGGGTCTAGACAAGCCCCGGGCCATCACCGTCCACCCGGAGAAAGGGTGAGGAGCTGGAAAGACTGGCCTTGTCATTCTGCCCATGGCCCATGCTGATGAGGCCCTGTCTCCTCCAGGGTCTGAGGACTGACCCCCACTTCCACCCCCACCCTACAGGTACTTGTTCTGGACTGAGTGGGGTCAGTATCCGCGTATTGAGCGGTCTCGGCTAGATGGCACGGAGCGTGTGGTGCTGGTCAACGTCAGCATCAGCTGGCCCAACGGCATCTCAGTGGACTACCAGGTTCGCACGCCAACTTGGCCTTGGATCCGATGGTAGACCCCTGACCCAGGCTCCTGTTCCCTGTGATGAGCCCATTCTGGGAGGACTTGGAGCCCAGGGGAAGTCACAGGGTCTCCCAGCCCAGCCCTCCACCCAGAGTAGGACTCCTGCTACCACAGAGATGATGGGCAGGGGTCGCTCAGAAGTGGGGAGTGGGGGAGTGGAGAGATGCCTGGAGGTCACCTTATCAGCAGGGCAGTGGGCAGGAGTGTATGCAGGAGGCAGGAGTGAGTTAGGGGAGGCTGAACTGAGGGCCTCACTCTGGCCCAGGCACTCCCTGCTGCCCCAGACATGGGGCTGGCAGCGAGCTCAGCCCTGGAGGTGAGGTGGGTGCCTCTGGCCTGTAGGATGGGAAGCTGTACTGGTGCGATGCACGGACAGACAAGATTGAACGGATCGACCTGGAGACAGGTGAGAACCGCGAGGTGGTTCTGTCCAGCAACAACATGGACATGTTTTCAGTGTCTGTGTTTGAGGATTTCATCTACTGGAGTGACAGGTGAGGGCTTCTGTCCTGGCCTCCTCAGCTGATCTCTTCCTTCCCTCCTGCCTCCACTGATGCCCTGCTTGTGCCCTGTCCTTCCCTCAGGACTCATGCCAACGGCTCTATCAAGCGCGGGAGCAAAGACAATGCCACAGACTCCGTGCCCCTGCGAACCGGCATCGGCGTCCAGCTTAAAGACATCAAAGTCTTCAACCGGGACCGGCAGAAAGGTGAGGCTGGGGCTCTGGGCTGGGGTGGAGAGGTGAGGGGGACTCTGGCCTGGGAGAGTGCTCCCCAGGGAACCCAGTGTGAGAGGGCTGGGAGACAAGTTAGACCCATGGGGCAACTTCCGATGGCCCGAGAGACCCAGGGATGGGGAGGAAAGGCTGAGGTGCTCTGGGACAGATCTTGGCATTGGACTCTGGGCCCTGGAGGGTCATTCAAGCTGGGAATACCGAGGCAGAGGGCAGAGCTTTCGCCAAAGCCTGGATGACAAAGGCACCAGTGAGCCTTTCCCAAGGCAGGCCCTGCCCTCTGTACCCTCCCCTCCCCCAGGCACCAACGTGTGCGCGGTGGCCAATGGCGGGTGCCAGCAGCTGTGCCTGTACCGGGGCCGTGGGCAGCGGGCCTGCGCCTGTGCCCACGGGATGCTGGCTGAAGACGGAGCATCGTGCCGCGAGTATGCCGGCTACCTGCTCTACTCAGAGCGCACCATTCTCAAGAGTATCCACCTGTCGGATGAGCGCAACCTCAATGCGCCCGTGCAGCCCTTCGAGGACCCTGAGCACATGAAGAACGTCATCGCCCTGGCCTTTGACTACCGGGCAGGCACCTCTCCGGGCACCCCCAATCGCATCTTCTTCAGCGACATCCACTTTGGGAACATCCAACAGATCAACGACGATGGCTCCAGGAGGATCACCATTGTGGAAAGTGAGCCCAGACCCTAAGTCTTCCCAGGAAGTGGGACATGGGGCGGGGAGCAGCACAGACTCTTAGACCCCAGCCAGGCACTCTACCCTAGGTCTGAATCCCAGCAGCTACAACTCAGCTGAATCCAACTGCACCCCCGCAGTTACATGACTCCTGATTTGGAGTCAGCGTCAGCCCCCGACTTCCTCCCGCCACTGGTCCTAGTTCTGCCTTCAGAGCTGCACAGAACAAGCGAGAGGTCTCTGTGGAGCCCAACGCTCACAAACCCAGGCTGCAGACATGGGGCTGAGCTCCAGTCACTTGGGCTTTCAATAACTTGGGTCAGTTTCCTGCTCTTGCCAAGCCTGAGCCTTCTCATCTGCGTGGATGAGTGTCTCATCTGAGACAGGATTCCTCGAGCTGCTGCGCAGGAAGGCTTAGCTCAGTGATGCTGGGGACGGAGTGTGTGCTCTGGAAAGAGCAGTTACAGTGTCAGGGCTGTCATCACAGGACAGCCTTTCAGCTCTTTGAAAACTGCATCCTGCTACATTTTCTCTTCTTCAGCCTGGTTACCACCGGGTCCCTTGACTCATTCATTTGCTCATATATTCATTCAGCTGGTCCATAAAGACCTGCCAGGCACCGAACTAGGTGCTACGTATACAGACCTGTCCTTTCAGCCTTTTCTGGGACATTTTCTGCTGCACATAGTCCAGCCTGCATGTCTGTCTAAAAATGTAGCATCCGAAGCTAAACTCGGTACTCCATGCTCGTAGCTTGATCAGGAGAGACTGGCACATCAATCCCCAGACCCCTGGAAGGGATGTCCCCTCACCTCCGGCTGTCTGCAGACCATACCACAGCATGGCCCTTTGGCAGCCACCATCGCTTATAGCCACTAACACTCTAGTCTTTTCTCTTACACTGCTGTTCGGCTGTGTCTCTCACTGTGCCTTGGTTCTTTAACCTGAGTTTAAGATGTCTGCTTTATAAAATAATCAATCCAGCTCAGGGTCTTTTTAAGTAGGGGGCTCCCCAGTACAGCCCAAGCAGGATTTGATTTACAGAAATCTACATTGCACTCAGCTCAGCAGAACTGCAGCTCCAGGAAAGTGCAAACACACCAGAAAGCCCGATTGCCCTCAGTGGGAGAGGGTTGAGAGGTGACCACAGGTCATTTGAGTGAGGACAGCAGAGGTTGGGGGCACTGAGTCAGACCCTGGTGCCCCCGAGCCCTCTCTGCTGCACCTCTTGCACTCCCATACCCCACACTTCGCCTTCCAGCCAGGAGAGCACCTGCCCCAGGCTGTCCCCCACGGCTCCTGTGCAGGCTGCCCTCTGGGCCCTCCTGACAAATCGCTGCTCCTGTCTCTTCACAGACGTGGGCTCCGTGGAAGGCCTGGCCTATCACCGTGGCTGGGACACTCTCTATTGGACAAGCTACACGACATCCACCATCACGCGCCACACAGTGGACCAGACCCGCCCAGGGGCCTTCGAGCGTGAGACCGTCATCACTATGTCTGGAGATGACCACCCACGGGCCTTCGTTTTGGACGAGTGCCAGAAGTGAGCTGCTGCCTGGGGATGGGGGTAGCAGGGAGAGGTGGGACTCGGGGTGGCAGAAACTCCCCAGGCAGATCCAAGCGGGGGTGCAGGAGAGGCAGGCCCTCACTTGAGCTCCACCCTTCCCTGCTGTGTGATCTGGGGAGAGGTGCAAAAGCTTCCTAAGCTTCAGGTTCCTCTTCTGTGATACAAGCTGGCTAAGATTCCAGCTGCCTGCACCAAAGGGAGCATCAGGACTGTGGGGGACGCTCTGCCTTTGTGATTGATTCATTCATCAGAGCACCATGTTGGAGGCACAGGGTAGGGCCTCTAGCTCTGGGATCCAAAGCTTCAGGCAAAGAATGTTTGTCGAACCCTTCGTACAGAAGCCTAAGGCTGGGCCTACCAAGCCACCTAGCTGGGTTGAGAAGTCATACTTGTGGGAAGTAATGGTAACTGGCACAGGGCTGTATACGGGTGACCACAGGTGTCATGAAGGCAGTAGATTGGCCCAGAGCCTGGAACTGGAAAAGACAAGGAAGGCCAGCTCGGACAGGGGAAGTGCTTTGAGCAAAAGCCTGAAGAAAGGCAAATTCAAGGCAGGGAGGACAGAGGGGGACCTCTGCATGCCATAGAGCATAGGCAGGCCTGAGCCCAGCCAGGAAGTGAGGTCAGGGTGCGGAGGAGTTAGGAGCACAAGCCAGGACAGGTGGCAGAAAGCACCCGGGGGTGGGTGCTCCCCCTGGAGGGTTCACCCGCAGTCAGCCTGCTCTGTTCTCCCGCAGGGGCAGCCCTCATCCCGGCTGTTTGGGCCTCTAGTGAGCCACCCCCTCGCCTTAGGGATCCAGGCCCACATGTTAGCAACATTTTTTTCCCAATTCAGCAGTGCTTGGAATGTTTTTCAAAAGCTTTACTAGGAAACTAGTAAACACAACCCAAAGCAGCTGTATAGATACGTGAGTGTCCCGAACCCAGATTCCCCCCACCAGTCCCCCAATGTCAGTCACCTCCAACCTGGCTCAAGGACCCTCTGTTTCCTCCTGCCTCTGTCATCTGGCACATCTGCAGCTGATGATGAAGGTCCAGTCCCCCCTTCCATGACCCTCGGCTGCCTCACCTGTCTGGGGATGGCCTCAGAGCCTGTCCCTCATGAGTCTGGAGCTTCCCTGGAGGGTCCAGCAAGGCTGCCTGGCCCTCGTCCCAGAGGACGTGACCCCCTGGCTGCCCACCAAGCTCCTTTCTTATGAGGCCAGGGGATTCCATCACGCATTCAGCGAGTGGCTTTTGAGGGCAAAGAAGGTGCAGAGGACCCAGTGGGGAGCGCGAGGGGCGTCATGAAGAGCTTCGTGGCTGTGTGCTGAGGACTGGCCCCACCTGGAAGTCAGGGAACGTGTCCTTGAAGAGGCGGCATGTTAGCCAGCGTCTGAGGATGGCAGGAGTGGCTGGGTGGGAGCATGGTCCCAGTGCCCAGGAGAAAGAGCTGAGCTGGCAGGAGGGGCCCTCCCCCTGGCCACAAGGAGCAGGCACTTTCGGGGAATCAGAAGGAGCCAGTGTGGACCCCAGTGGAGAGGGCAGGGGCAAGTGGAGACTCCAACAACCCAGCCTCCTCCTGAGCCCTCCCCGCGTCAGCACTGGAGCACTGATGGCCCTGTAGAGCTCACAGTAGGATAGTTAGAAGGTCCGCCATGTTCCTGGACACTGAGCACCTACCCCAGGAAAGCCTCTCTCTCCCTCCTGCCCCATTCCTGGGAAGCAGGTTCACCCAGACCACAGTTGTGTCACATGGAGGAGTTTGTTGACGCCAGGAGGAAAACCACTTCTCACTGCAGGTGTGAGTAGTTTCACCTGAGGTGTAGGAGTTCCTGGTGGGGACTGACAGGCCAAGTCCAATCCTGACAAGCCAGGAAGATGACTGGCCACTGCCCCAGGATACCCATTTTCCCTTATGGAGGCTAGAAGGACACGCCGCCTCCCTCCCAACTTACATCCCGATTCCAGAGCCACCGCAAACCCCTGCTCTCCTCCAGGATGAGGCCCTTAAGATCAGAGCTTCTCACGAGCTCGCCGAGGCTCAGGGCAGCCAGTGTCTCCAGAGGGGCAGAGCAGCACCATTTTCCTACGTGAGCCCAGCAGAAGGCGGGATAGTTCAATGGTGCTGGAGACGCTGGGGGTGGGCAAGAAGGGTGTGACCTGGAGAGGTCTGAGGAGACAAGTTCACAGGCCAGAGGACAGATCTGTGGCCAGAATGGTGAGGGGCAGAGGTAGGAGGAGGCCAGAGGCACTGGGGTGGGGGCGGGGGCAGGTCCTGTTAGGGAACTGGAGAACGGAGCTGGCTTTTGTGTGGCTTGGTGGTCTCAGACTCCACTGTGCCTAAGGATCGCCTAGGAGCAAGAGAATGTGGAGTCCCCTGCCCCGCCCTGGGCCTAGCTGAGTGACAAGCTCTGGGACCGAGGACCCAGGGCTCACCATCCAATGCCGGTGGTCCAAGGACCACTCTGTCACACCCAGGGTAGTGCATGACCAGCCCTGAGGCCTTCCACAGCCCCCCTCCAGCCTCAGCACCACCCCACAAGGAGCACGGCATAATTGGGGGCTGGCTGTTCCCATTGCCTCCTTTACTGAGAGGAAACCAGGGCTCAGAGGGGCGACAGGCTCATTCAAAGTTGGAGCCGTTACGAGGCAGAACGGTGGCTCCAACCCCAAACATGCAAAGGCCTCAAAGTACGGAGAAGGGGACTCTTGAGAGCTGCTTGAGGATAGGACCCACATACCCCAGGACCTGGGACACATGCCACACTCAGCTCCACAAGGGCTTCCTGAATGATCTGGAAGACAGCCAGCCTCCCTGCACAGAAGAGAGCAGTTAAGAATAAACTCCTGGGAAATACTCACATAGTGTGTGCCATCTGTCCTTAAGATGGAGATTAACTTCTTCCACTCTCACATCCTGCGAGGCAGGTGGTGCTACCATCCCCACCTCATAGAGGAGGAAACTGAGGCACAGGGCAGTTGAGTAAGTTGCCTAAGGGCACCTAGCTGGTGGGTGGTGGAGCCAGGGCTGGAACCCCAGGGCCTGTCTCACTTGGCTGCACCGGCTCTCTTCTCAGCAAGTAGACGGTCACTGCCCAGATACTGCAATGTGAATATCTCACACTTGGCCCTCATCCCCTCACACTCAGCCACCTCGTGTGTGAACTGTCTGTGCAATAGTGGGGCCCTTCCTGGGCATTGGGGCACTGCTGGCCTCTATGGCTCTGGGGTGGCTTTGCCCTGGCAGGCTTCCAGGTTCCAGGTGCCTACGCGTCCTGGCCTGTGCCCTCTGTTGTGGATTCTCAGGCTTTGCCTCCTGATCTCTGGACCCTCTTCCCCCAGCCTCATGTTCTGGACCAACTGGAATGAGCAGCATCCCAGCATCATGCGGGCGGCGCTCTCGGGAGCCAATGTCCTGACCCTTATCGAGAAGGACATCCGTACCCCCAATGGCCTGGCCATCGACCACCGTGCCGAGAAGCTCTACTTCTCTGACGCCACCCTGGACAAGATCGAGCGGTGCGAGTATGACGGCTCCCACCGCTATGTGAGTCTGCGGGGTGGGTGAGCTGGCGGGCGGCTGAGGGGAGGCCAGGGCCAGGGTCAGCCGTCAACCAAGACCGTCCAGGCACAGACATGGTGGGAACAGCTGGGAGGAGGTGAGTGCCTCCAGGCCCCAGCCTCGGTCAACCCCACCCTGTCCAGCTTGCTCCTCATCAGCTAGACGAGGGAGATAGCAGGATGCCTCTGCGGGCCCTCATTCTGTAGCTGTCAGAGGCCAGGCCAGGCTGTGGTCCGGTGGAGACTGGGCAAGAGGCCTGAGCG
The DNA here is from genome assembly GCF_000001405.40 of Homo sapiens. Lineage (NCBI taxonomy): Eukaryota > Metazoa > Chordata > Mammalia > Primates > Hominidae > Homo > Homo sapiens. The sequence continues at coordinate 57,191,288 of NC_000012.12, forward strand.
ATGCTGTGACGGTGATGGTGCTGTCTCCACAGGTGATCCTAAAGTCAGAGCCTGTCCACCCCTTCGGGCTGGCCGTGTATGGGGAGCACATTTTCTGGACTGACTGGGTGCGGCGGGCAGTGCAGCGGGCCAACAAGCACGTGGGCAGCAACATGAAGCTGCTGCGCGTGGACATCCCCCAGCAGCCCATGGGCATCATCGCCGTGGCCAACGACACCAACAGCTGTGAGTGGGGCTGCCGCCAGCTGCCTCACCCTCCTGCCTGTCGTGCATGGACATACAAACACACACCCCACACACACATCGCACATACCACACGCACCCTACACATACCACACACACACATCCCACACATACTACACTACACACACCACACCACATACACACACCACACCCCTCCCACACACTCAACACATACACACCACACCATACACACCCCCCACACACCACATACACATACACCCCCAACACATACACACACATACACACCCCACATACACACACCACACATATCACATGCACACCCCACATATACCACACCACACACATACCACACACACACCACACACCACATACACACCACACATACCACACACACCCCACACATACCACATACACACACCACCACACACACTACACATACCACACACACACCACATACACACACCACATACACACACCACACATGACACATACACACCACACATAGGACACACATACACATGCCACACACCTACCACCCACAACACACATCACACACACACCACACAGCACACACACACACCACACACCACACGTACCACAAACATGCCACACACACACACACACATCTCACAGACATACTATAAACACCCCACACCCCACACACCACACCCCACACACACTTGCCTGGTCCTGCTCTCCCTGGGCCTCCATTACACAGACACACACAGCTGTACACACCTTTGGAACCGCAAAACCCCCAGTGCTCCTGTACCCCTTCCCACCAAGGCATCTACGCACACAGATGGACTCTGCACACGCCTGGCATCTCCTCCACGTTGCACACACACATTCATGTCACACCCGCCCCTCAGGGCTCATCCATGCCCTCGGTGCCCCTACCCTCACCCTGGTCACTCTCCTCACTTGGAGCCACACAGACAGCCGAGAGCCTGGGTGCACGTGCCCTCAGTGGGCACGAGTACATGCCCCAGCGCCCCCCACCACAGACCTGCAGCTTTCCCAGGTGTCTCCCATGCGCCCTGGGGCTCACTACTGCACCCGTGATCTCAGGGCCCTCAGACTCGAATCTCTCAGAAACACTCCTCAAAGCCCACGGTGCCCTGCCTAAAAGCACACACATCCTCAACGGCACACCTGCCGAAAACCCCATGCACCTGGCCCTCCCACAGCAGCCATCCCCATGCCCTCCCCACTGGCTGCAAGCCGCTGTGCCTGCCGTGACTGAGCAGAGGCTTGGGAGCTCCATGAAGTCAGTGAATGGGTGGGTGCACTCTGGGTGCATGCACAGCAGAGAACACTCTCCAGCCCTGCGCCCACCCTGTCCCTGCTCAGGTGAACTCTCTCCATGCCGAATCAACAACGGTGGCTGCCAGGACCTGTGTCTGCTCACTCACCAGGGCCATGTCAACTGCTCATGCCGAGGGGGCCGAATCCTCCAGGATGACCTCACCTGCCGAGGTGAGAGAGGCGGGGGGGAGGGGCTGGCGGGGAACCCAAGCACACACCAGGGATGGTGACCATCTCCCCTACATGCTCCAGCCCAGCCCCCCAAAGCCTTTTGCCAAGAAGACGCTGATGATGACCTCAGCTCCCCGGGGGAGGAGGCGTGGGCACTGGGGCCCACAGCGCTGGCTCAGAAAGCTCCCTCCACCTCCCTCCCCAGCGGTGAATTCCTCTTGCCGAGCACAAGATGAGTTTGAGTGTGCCAATGGCGAGTGCATCAACTTCAGCCTGACCTGCGACGGCGTCCCCCACTGCAAGGACAAGTCCGATGAGAAGCCATCCTACTGCAGTAAGGAGCCCCCTGCAGCCCCTGCCTCTTCCAGGCCCAGAGCCCAGGTCCTCCTCCCCCAGGCCCCTGCAGGATGGAGCAGGATCAGGACCCAGCTTCCTGACCATGAGTTTTGGGAGCTCATGAAGGGCAGAACCACTGTTAGCCTGGACTGGGCCTTTGGGTTTGGGGGTGGCCAGCTGGACACGTGCATGACGTCTCAGGGAGGCAGCCCTTTCCCTGTGCCTGTGGCTGACACGCAGCCTACTCCTCCATTTGCAGACTCCCGCCGCTGCAAGAAGACTTTCCGGCAGTGCAGCAATGGGCGCTGTGTGTCCAACATGCTGTGGTGCAACGGGGCCGACGACTGTGGGGATGGCTCTGACGAGATCCCTTGCAACAGTGAGTGAGGCGCACTGGCATAACCCATCTGTACCTCAGTTCCTGCCCCACCCCTCCCTGGCCAAGCTTTGTCCCTGGGCCCCGTGGTGTCTGGTTCAAGGCACTCTGTGACAGGCCAGGGCAGGTGCTGTGGGCCAGGAGCTCTGTCCTGCGTCCTTCTGGCCCCCACAGAGAAAACTCTGGCCTGACGATACGGGGCGGGCACTGTTCTAGAGACAGCCTGTGGTGTGGGCGAGTTCCGCTGCCGGGACGGGACCTGCATCGGGAACTCCAGCCGCTGCAACCAGTTTGTGGATTGTGAGGACGCCTCAGATGAGATGAACTGCAGTGAGTGACGCCCTTTGCTGGCACCTCCTGGGCTCCTCCCCATCGCTCACTGCATCTCCCGCCTTCAGGCCCTCCTGCACCTGCCCACATTCCTCTCTGCCTTCCCTCATCCCCGCTGACAGCCTCCATCTCCCTGAGGCCCTGTCCCCATCCCGCTCCTGCTCCTGGGCTCTCGTGGGGTTCCGAGAGGGGGCAGTGAGCAGATGGTGCAGACAGTGCCCCACCAGAAGGGCACCGTTCAACTTTTGGAAACACATGAAGGCTCCATAGGGCTGGCAGCTGCCCCAGTCGGGGGTGATCCAGGGGGAACCAGGTATCACCCTCACCCCTGCCCCCACCAGGTGCCACCGACTGCAGCAGCTACTTCCGCCTGGGCGTGAAGGGCGTGCTCTTCCAGCCCTGCGAGCGGACCTCACTCTGCTACGCACCCAGCTGGGTGTGTGATGGCGCCAATGACTGTGGGGACTACAGTGATGAGCGCGACTGCCCAGGTGGGCGGGGGCAGGTGTGTGGTGGGTGGTGGCCTGCGGTGAGCAGGGCCCTCACACCTGCCTCGCCCCCCAGGTGTGAAACGCCCCAGATGCCCTCTGAATTACTTCGCCTGCCCTAGTGGGCGCTGCATCCCCATGAGCTGGACGTGTGACAAAGAGGATGACTGTGAACATGGCGAGGACGAGACCCACTGCAGTGAGTGACCACTGCACCCACTCAGTGCTCCAAGAGCCTGCTGGGCCCCACTTCTTAGTCCCCCCCAGCAAATGCCCCCTTGGAAAAGGGCATCCAGAGCCTTCAACCCCCTGCCCCACACCCCAACTCTTGAGGTCAGACTCAGAGACTCTGCCTCTAGCTGCTGCTGAGCCCCCCCACAGAGGGGTGCTGTGGGCATCTCTCCTGTCCTTCCCATGGCATCAGCCTCCCCAGGTGGGTGACCCCCACCCTTCCCCATCTAACTGTGGCTTCTGACTGCCCCAGACAAGTTCTGCTCAGAGGCCCAGTTTGAGTGCCAGAACCATCGCTGCATCTCCAAGCAGTGGCTGTGTGACGGCAGCGATGACTGTGGGGATGGCTCAGACGAGGCTGCTCACTGTGGTAAGGAAGCTGGGATTGGGCCGGGGGAGGTGCCCCAGGGAGGGACAGACCCCACCCAACTCCACCCCACACACAGACACCCCTGCAGACGACGGCGAACCATCACCTCCACTGCTAGACCTGATCTACCCGCTCCTAAGTCTCTCAGTGGCCCTCTCTCCCCCTACAGAAGGCAAGACGTGCGGCCCCTCCTCCTTCTCCTGCCCTGGCACCCACGTGTGCGTCCCCGAGCGCTGGCTCTGTGACGGTGACAAAGACTGTGCTGATGGTGCAGACGAGAGCATCGCAGCTGGTTGCTGTGAGTGGCGGGGCCACGTGGAGCGGGTGGACAGCAAATGGCCACAGTCTCACTTTGCAGATGGGGAAGCCGGGGTGCAGGAGAGGAAATGCCTCAGCGGGGTCCACTGGGGGCGGAGCCATAGCTGTAGCCCAGGTGTCCAGACTCCTCATCCAGTGCCCTGCCCACTCTACCAGGAGAACCACAGGAGGTTAGAGTGAGGGACGGTCGGCCGCTGGCCAGGCAGGGCTGAAGGGCTGTGTCCACCTCTGTCCACAGTGTACAACAGCACTTGTGACGACCGTGAGTTCATGTGCCAGAACCGCCAGTGCATCCCCAAGCACTTCGTGTGTGACCACGACCGTGACTGTGCAGATGGCTCTGATGAGTCCCCCGAGTGTGGTGAGCCTTCGGCGGTGGTGGGAGGAGGCCCTGCCCTCTGCCGGGCCAGGGCATCAGCCTCACAGGTCCATTCCTCCCCCAGAGTACCCGACCTGCGGCCCCAGTGAGTTCCGCTGTGCCAATGGGCGCTGTCTGAGCTCCCGCCAGTGGGAGTGTGATGGCGAGAATGACTGCCACGACCAGAGTGACGAGGCTCCCAAGAACCCACACTGCACCAGCCAAGGTGGGCCCCAGACCTGGCTCCCCTCTGCCCCCTCCCCAGACTGCCTGAGACCCCGCTGACCTGCCGCCTCCGCCCCTCCGCAGAGCACAAGTGCAATGCCTCGTCACAGTTCCTGTGCAGCAGTGGGCGCTGTGTGGCTGAGGCACTGCTCTGCAACGGCCAGGATGACTGTGGCGACAGCTCGGACGAGCGTGGCTGCCACATCAATGAGTGTCTCAGCCGCAAGCTCAGTGGCTGCAGCCAGGACTGTGAGGACCTCAAGATCGGCTTCAAGGTATGCCCAGCCCTGGGGAGGAGCTTCCACACCCCAGACGTGCCAGGAACGCCTTTCTCCACTGCCTTATTCATTCATTCATCCCCTAGACAGTGGGGATACAGCAGTGAATGAGACAGAAATCTGCTTGGTTGGGGTCTGCCTCTATCTGGCAGGTAGAGAGCCAGCAGATTTGCTGACAGATGAGATATGCAGTGTGAGAGGAAGAGAGGAGTGAGGCATCAAGTAGGCAAGAGATACACAGGTCTGGAGTTCAAGGAGAGGCCCAGGCTGGAGAGGGAAGTCTGGGAGTTATCACCATAGAGATGCTATTTGAATCTGTGAGCCTGGATATGATTCCCAAGGGAGCAGTGTAGGTGGAGAAGAGAGGAGTCCAAAGTCTGAGCCCCGAGCTGAGCAACAGCCAGGAGCAGGGAAGTGAGGGGACCAGCAGAAGAGCCTGAGAAGGAGCAGCTGCTGAGGCAGGAGAACAGCCACGAGAAGAAAGCATTTCCATGGGGAGGGCACACGCAGCTCTGTCAAATGACACTCGGGGGCACACAGAAGGAGGCCTGCACTGTGGGCCAGCTGGGTGGGCTCAGTACCCATATGCTGCTGCCCCTAGTGAGGCCGGGTAGAGGGAATTGGAGTCTCTGAGCCAGGTCTCCAGGGTGGGAGGCCCAGACCCTGCCACATGCCCAGCCCAAGGCTCCCTGTGCCTGCAGTGCCGCTGTCGCCCTGGCTTCCGGCTGAAGGACGACGGCCGGACGTGTGCTGATGTGGACGAGTGCAGCACCACCTTCCCCTGCAGCCAGCGCTGCATCAACACTCATGGCAGCTATAAGTGTCTGTGTGTGGAGGGCTATGCACCCCGCGGCGGCGACCCCCACAGCTGCAAGGCTGTGACTGGTGAGATGCGCGCTTGGAGGGCATGAGGTGACCCAGGCTGTGTGGGACTGCCCGGGTGGCAGAGCTCCAGACAGGCAGGAGACCAGGGCCGCTAGAATGTGCCAGGAGCTGAGGCAAGATCCTCTGTCTGCAGACGAGGAACCGTTTCTGATCTTCGCCAACCGGTACTACCTGCGCAAGCTCAACCTGGACGGGTCCAACTACACGTTACTTAAGCAGGTACCAAACCCAGGCCCTCCTCCCCGCTGCCCATCTCCCAGACCCAGCACAGCCTCCCTTGCAAGTCTCCCCGCTTAGGTCCAACCATCCCTCCCCCAGATGCAAATGTGGCCCCTGTTGCCACAACCGACTTCTGCTGTCCTTCACTCCCCAAATCCAGGGCCTGAACAACGCCGTTGCCTTGGATTTTGACTACCGAGAGCAGATGATCTACTGGACAGATGTGACCACCCAGGGCAGCATGATCCGAAGGATGCACCTTAACGGGAGCAATGTGCAGGTGAGGCGGGCGGCCCTCGGCGACCAACACTGGCCCGCCTCAGATGACTGTTTTCAGATCGTCTCTCCTTCCCGCCCCACCAACCCAAATTGCTTCCTTCTCACTCCACTAGTCACTATATGACTGCTTGTTCTAGCTGCTCACTCTCCTCTGGGCCCAGACAGCAAGGACTGGGAGATTCCTCTTGCCCTTCCCCTCGCTGCCAGCCTCATGTCTCCTTAATCATCAGGAAGTTCCCTGTGAGGTCTGGCCAAGCACTGTGAGGCTTGGGGCGTGGTCCCATTCACCTAGAGCCCCCTCTCCTAGAGCCTCTGCTGACACCTACACAGTGTCAGGCCCAGGACTGGGCATTTTACTTCCATGGTTCTCCCACCAGAGCTGTCAGAGGGAGCTCTACCCCATTTTACACGAGGGGAGGCTGAGCCTCACAGAGGCTTGCAGGTCCTCCCCCAGGTCACCCAGAGCTCTCCCTCCCCTGCCCCTTCCTGCAGGTCCTACACCGTACAGGCCTCAGCAACCCCGATGGGCTGGCTGTGGACTGGGTGGGTGGCAACCTGTACTGGTGCGACAAAGGCCGGGACACCATCGAGGTGTCCAAGCTCAATGGGGCCTATCGGACGGTGCTGGTCAGCTCTGGCCTCCGTGAGCCCAGGGCTCTGGTGGTGGATGTGCAGAATGGGTATGTGGCTGAGGAGGGTTGGGGGAGCCCCTGAAAGCAGCATCCAAGCCCAGCCTCCCTGCAGGCCACTGGTGCGATGGGTTACGGGATCTCCCAGGGCTCACTGCCTACCCATCGCCAGGTACCTGTACTGGACAGACTGGGGTGACCATTCACTGATCGGCCGCATCGGCATGGATGGGTCCAGCCGCAGCGTCATCGTGGACACCAAGATCACATGGCCCAATGGCCTGACGCTGGACTATGTCACTGAGCGCATCTACTGGGCCGACGCCCGCGAGGACTACATTGAATTTGCCAGCCTGGATGGCTCCAATCGCCACGTTGGTCAGTGTGCCAGTGAGGCTGTCCAGGCACAGCAGACTCAGTGGGGATGGAGGTCTGAAGCGACAGGGGATCAAGTTTTGGGGGCAAGAGTGGACATAAAAAGCGGAGGATATGGCCTGAGGACACCACTCACTGGGGTGTGGGGTTCAGAGCACCCCGGGGGCTTCCCCAGCCTGGCCACCACCCAGCTCCCTTGGGAAGGAAGAGGAGAGGCCCTTCCCTTGTATACACAGTTCTGGAGGACTGGCCCCAAGGAGGGTGGGGGTGGGAGGCCTGCGATTGAGAACTGCAGTGCTCCCCACTTCCCGAGGGGAGCCATACACTGGCAGGGCAGGAACTTGCCATGAGGCAGTCTAGGTTTGAACTCCAGCTCTGACACTTGTTAGCTGTGAGACCATGGGGGGTCTGTACCATGAACCATCTGTAACTGGGGCTGACACCCACCTCTCAGGGTGGTGGTAGGGCTTGAGGAGGTGGAGTGGGCCGGCACCCTGTCCGAGCTCCGGCTGACTGGCACTGTGCCTGCCCCTTGGCCCTGCAGTGCTGAGCCAGGACATCCCGCACATCTTTGCACTGACCCTGTTTGAGGACTACGTCTACTGGACCGACTGGGAAACAAAGTCCATTAACCGAGCCCACAAGACCACGGGCACCAACAAAACGCTCCTCATCAGCACGCTGCACCGGCCCATGGACCTGCATGTCTTCCATGCCCTGCGCCAGCCAGACGGTGAGCAGGCAAGGGGTGGGAGCAGGCGAACGGTGAGCCAGGCACCGGGGTCCCTGGGAGTTCCTGCTCATCCCTTCTCTAGCATTGACCAAGCCCTCCTGGCCAGACACTGGGAGACTCCAGGAGGGTCTAGACAGGGGATGGTCTGGCTCCCGGGAGCTTCAGCCCGGCCTGGATCCAGCCCTGGAGTCTGGCAGCAGCAAGTCCCTGAGGCCAGTCAAGTGGGGGTCTGGGTGCCCAGCCCCCAGAAGGAAGGCAGGCCGGCCCCTGGGAGGGAAGCACAGAGGAGGTGGGGAGCTGGCCTTCAGGCCTGGCCTGATCCTGGGACCTTAGAATCCTCTCCTATCTCCAGCTTCAGCTCCCTCCTAAAAGAGGCAGGGTTCAGACCCACCCGCCTCTGTCCAGGATAGAGTGAGTGAGGCAGCCTTTGGTAGGCCAGAAAATGTCACCATATTTCACGACGTTTTCTCTGGCAGTGCCCAATCACCCCTGCAAGGTCAACAATGGTGGCTGCAGCAACCTGTGCCTGCTGTCCCCCGGGGGAGGGCACAAATGTGCCTGCCCCACCAACTTCTACCTGGGCAGCGATGGGCGCACCTGTGTGTCCAACTGCACGGCTAGCCAGGTGAGGCTGTCCCCCAGACCCCATCACCAGTGCCCGCTCCCCAACCCCCAAATCCTCCTTGGACCCCAACACCTGCTCTGTCCTAATGTCCTCATGCATCTGGTTTTCCCACACTAACACCCCCACATTTCTTGCCTACCTCTTGTCTCCCCACAGCAATACTTTTACCCCCGTCACCTCACACAGACACCTCCACACCCTAACCTTGACCCTCCTTGCCATGCTTCAGTGCTGCCTTCCCCACCCTATCCCACGCAGCCCCATACCTGGCCTTTCCGAACTCACCATAGCCCAACCTGCCCCATAACACCCTGACCCCTGCCTCAACTTCTTTGAAACATCCAAGCCCCTCAAAAGAAAGACTTCTGAGTCCCCCAGACCCCCACCAACCCCTCTTGCCCCCACCTGCCCTCCAGTTTGTATGCAAGAACGACAAGTGCATCCCCTTCTGGTGGAAGTGTGACACCGAGGACGACTGCGGGGACCACTCAGACGAGCCCCCGGACTGCCGTGAGTGCCTGCTGGGGGTGACAGGAGGGCCCCCAGCTGTGTCGGAGGCCTGACTCCTGAGGCTTTGAATGGCCACTGGAGAGGCTGGGGCTGTGGTGCCCTGCAAGTGGACCTGGCCGTGTCCACCCCAGCCGCTCTGACTCTGAGCCTCCCTCTCTGGCAGCTGAGTTCAAGTGCCGGCCCGGACAGTTCCAGTGCTCCACAGGTATCTGCACAAACCCTGCCTTCATCTGCGATGGCGACAATGACTGCCAGGACAACAGTGACGAGGCCAACTGTGGTAAGGCGCTGCCCGCCCACCCTCCCTCCTTCCCCAGCATCTTCCCTGCCCCAGGATTTGGGGCTTTCAAGTGCAGGGAAGTTGCAGCCCACGGCAGCTTGCTCTCCAGGCTGGATTCCTATGGCTCAAGCCTGTGTCCTCCCTGCTGAGGGATGGGCACCCTCTCCCTGCCCCTGAGTCCTCCCTTCGCCACGAATCACCTCCTCCTCCCTCCACAGACATCCACGTCTGCTTGCCCAGTCAGTTCAAATGCACCAACACCAACCGCTGTATTCCCGGCATCTTCCGCTGCAATGGGCAGGACAACTGCGGAGATGGGGAGGATGAGAGGGACTGCCGTGAGTGTCAGAGGTGGTGGTGGGCCGGTGGTGGGAGATGACACGGAAGCAGGGCAGGCAGAATCTCCCCACAGCTTTGAGAGGCTCTCAAATAACTTTAGTAGATGGGCAACACAAATTATATTGGGTGTAACTTGCTTTGCTCATAAAAATCATCATGCATGATATAGAGACATAGAGATCCAGAAAACAAAAAGCACCAAAACTGGGGATAAACTGTTCCTTCCTCCGAAGAAGTTGCTGGCAGGACCAAGGCCAGGGCTTGGAAGAGAGAGAAGACAGTGATGGTGAACTGGAGTGGCAGGTGTAAGGGAGGGCCCTCATTCTCTTGCCCACCCCACAGCCGAGGTGACCTGCGCCCCCAACCAGTTCCAGTGCTCCATTACCAAACGGTGCATCCCCCGGGTCTGGGTCTGCGACCGGGACAATGACTGTGTGGATGGCAGTGATGAGCCCGCCAACTGCAGTGAGTTGCCTGGCCTGGAGCCCAGCTTCCCTCCCCAGTGTCTGCTGCTCACACCACCCCGACGTGTGACCCCCTCAGTGGCTGCTCCCTCACTCTCCCCACCCTCCCGGCACACTCCTGGAAGGAGTCTCATCCTCACCCCATGCCCACCCGCTTGCAGCCCAGATGACCTGTGGTGTGGACGAGTTCCGCTGCAAGGATTCGGGCCGCTGCATCCCAGCGCGTTGGAAGTGTGACGGAGAGGATGACTGTGGGGATGGCTCGGATGAGCCCAAGGAAGAGTGTGGTGAGCCGAGACCCCACTCCAGGAGGAAGACAGTCTACCTGGGTGGGAGGCATGGCACCCCTGGCAGGTGGAGGGCTGGGGGCCGCCTGCTTACCGGTCTCAGCGTGGCCCTGCTGCTGGGCTTCCTGGGCCTGCTGTGGGGCTGGGGAAGGAGGCCTGGCTGGAGCTCACTTCCCCACATCCACCCGTGCCCCATGTCTCCCAGTTTCCCTATCCCTGCCCCTGCCCACGCCTCATCCACACATACCTGTGTGGAGTTTTCCCTGCCCACCCTATGGGATCTGTTCATCTCCTTCCCAAGGCAGCTGCCCACACACACACCCCCAACCATGTCTCCTGTCCCCAAACCTCCTTATAGACCCCACGTCTCAAAACACCGCCTGGGCTCCCCGCGGCTGACCCTTCCCAAGCTGGGATGCCCACCCTCCCTGCCAGGCCAGCCTGACCATGCCTGCTTGGACCCTAATGTCTGCCCCAGCCCTTTCCCTGACTGCCCTGACACTTGCCTCCTCCAGATGAACGCACCTGTGAGCCATACCAGTTCCGCTGCAAGAACAACCGCTGCGTGCCCGGCCGCTGGCAGTGCGACTACGACAACGATTGCGGTGACAACTCCGATGAAGAGAGCTGCAGTACGTCCCCACCCACCCAGCCCCGCATGAGCCCCTCCCAGGCCTGGCCCTTGTCTCGCGGCCCTCCTGCCACAGGCCGCGCCAGAGCTGGTGGCCACCTCCCAGGGTGGGGGCAGGAGCCGCCCTCCTCACCCATCCCACTCCATGTCGTGTATTTGAGTTTGTGCCATTTCACCTCATCTCATGTTTCTCTCCATTTTCACACTGTCCTCTCGGGGTTGCAGAGGTAGGTGTCTCTGATGTGCCCGTGCTCCCACCATACCCCCACCTCTGTCCCAGAGCCCCCCATCCCTGTGCTGTGCCTCTACCCATCATCCTTGATTGACCTCTCCCCAAACCCTGGTGCTTGTCTCAGTGGTCTTGCCCCCGCTCCCCTCCCCAAACACAGTCTGTTCTGAGGGCAAGGCCAGGGACCTGTGTCCTCTCTGGTGTCTGTCCCATGGGGTAAGTGCGAGCCCGCCTGTGCCCAGCTGTTCCATAGGAGCAGCCAGTGGGCTCTGCCAGGACTGGCTCGGCCTCTGGGTCAGTCAGCTGTGGCCTTCAGAGACACGGGGATGGGCCTTGGGCTCGGGACTGTGGCACTACTGAGGCCTGGAGTCCTTGTGCCCACCCTCCTGGGCCTGTCTCCCCCTGTCCTTCCCAGCCCCTCGGCCCTGCTCCGAGAGTGAGTTCTCCTGTGCCAACGGCCGCTGCATCGCGGGGCGCTGGAAATGCGATGGAGACCACGACTGCGCGGACGGCTCGGACGAGGTGGGCAGGGAGATGAGAAGGAAGCAGATGGCCTCAGAGGAGTTCAGGCAGGGCTTGGGGAGTGCCGAGAGGTGACCGGCTGCCTGTGCCCATGCCCACAGAAAGACTGCACCCCCCGCTGTGACATGGACCAGTTCCAGTGCAAGAGCGGCCACTGCATCCCCCTGCGCTGGCGCTGTGACGCAGACGCCGACTGCATGGACGGCAGCGACGAGGAGGCCTGCGGCACTGGCGGTGCGCCCCTTGGCTTGGTCTCCCTGGGTCCTCCCTCTGCTGCCCACCCCGCCACATGGCCCAGTCATTCACTCATTCTTTCTCTTCTGTATTCATTCTTCATGCAACAAATATTTATTAAGCATTTACCATGTACCAGGCACTGCCATAGGTGTTAGGGACGTAGTAGTAAACAAGACACAGGGCCCCTGAATACACATTTTTGTGCGGGTTGTGCCCAGCTCAATGCCCCCTAGTCTAGGGGACCAGTTGAGCTGAAATCCAGCAAACCCTGAGGGCTGTGCCCATCTAGGCCCCACCCCACAAGTCCCTCCGAGACAGTCTGCTGCCACAAGAAGAAAAGCCCTGCCTATTTTCCCTTCCTGGGGGCAGTGAGACAGTGCCTGTCCCTCGCTGACCTGCCTGGGCTCTGCAGTACAGAGGGGGCAGGTGAAGCCCGGGATGAGAAAAGACTGGGCCTTGGAGCGGAAATCCCAACTGTGCGGGCAGATGTCTTGGCTCTGCCTTGGTAGGCCAGGCACAGGGATGGGAACCCGGTCTTCCATTCCCAGCCCAGTGCTGTTCCCGCGTCCCCGCTGTGGAACTACACAGCCCAGTGCTGTTCCCACGTCCCCGCTGTGGAACTACACAGCACAGTGCCCTGCCACATACCAGAGAAGGAGTGCCCTCTGAACTCCTCCAGACACCCCTGAAAAATGGCCTCTTCTCCCCTAAATACCAGAGGGGGCAGTTTGGCCCCACCAAGTAGAAATTTAAGAGACCTGGTTCCAATTTGGCTGTGCCACTGCTTGCCTGGTGACCCCTCTGAGCCTGGAACCCCCACCTGTGGAGACAGGGGTCTGGGTGGGCTCATGGCTCATTCTATCTCTTGGCTCCCCCTGGCACCAGTGCGGACCTGCCCCCTGGACGAGTTCCAGTGCAACAACACCTTGTGCAAGCCGCTGGCCTGGAAGTGCGATGGCGAGGATGACTGTGGGGACAACTCAGATGAGAACCCCGAGGAGTGTGGTGAGATTTGGGGCGGGGCTCCCAGGCTTCCCAGTGGCCAGCAACCACCCCCACTCCCAAGACTAATTCTGGCTCTGTGTCCCCCTGGCTGCTGCAGCCCGGTTCGTGTGCCCTCCCAACCGGCCCTTCCGTTGCAAGAATGACCGCGTCTGTCTGTGGATCGGGCGCCAATGCGATGGCACGGACAACTGTGGGGATGGGACTGATGAAGAGGACTGTGGTGAGCAGGGGGCCGACGAGAGGCCTGCAGGGGACGGGTAGTGCACAGTGGGGTGAGTCTGGTCCTCGTGGGAGCTGCACTGGGGTTAGGGTTAACCAGGAGGACTCGCCCAGGAAGGGGAGGATCCATTGCTAGGAGCCTGGGGGCTTTTCGTTAGGAAAGAGAAGCCCCTGGGGAAGGCTCTGGGGGCTGCCTGATGCCTTAGGTCTTGGAGGTGGGGCTGGGAACCCAAATGTTTGACCTGCTCCCCCTGCAAGCCTTGTCACTTAGGAATTGGGAGCCACTGTTATCTATGGGGTTGCCGTGGGAGGAGGAGGCAGGGGAGAATACCCAGGGCCTAAAGCCTCTGCCCTCCTCAGAGCCCCCCACAGCCCACACCACCCACTGCAAAGACAAGAAGGAGTTTCTGTGCCGGAACCAGCGCTGCCTCTCCTCCTCCCTGCGCTGCAACATGTTCGATGACTGCGGGGACGGCTCTGACGAGGAGGACTGCAGCATCGGTGAGGCCCGGCAGCGGACCGGACGCTGGTGGGGAGTGGGGAGAGCCAAGCCCTGGCCTGGGGTGGCTCAAGGGAGGGCATCCACTCTCTGTCCCCCACAGACCCCAAGCTGACCAGCTGCGCCACCAATGCCAGCATCTGTGGGGACGAGGCACGCTGCGTGCGCACCGAGAAAGCGGCCTACTGTGCCTGCCGCTCGGGCTTCCACACCGTGCCCGGCCAGCCCGGATGCCAAGGTAGGAAAGCGGGGCAGAGCAGGGGTGGACACCCCAACTGTGGACTCTCATGACCCTCCCTGTAACCCTTAGACATCAACGAGTGCCTGCGCTTCGGCACCTGCTCCCAGCTCTGCAACAACACCAAGGGCGGCCACCTCTGCAGCTGCGCTCGGAACTTCATGAAGACGCACAACACCTGCAAGGCCGAAGGTGCCGGAGCCACCAGAGGGCAGAAAGGCTGGGTGGGGCAGGGCGACCAGGATATCAAACGGGGCCGACTTGGAATGGAATGTCTTCCTGCGGACATCTTGCCCAGACAAGAAGCCCCAGACTCATAGTTGCAGCTGCCTGAGCACAGTGCTGGCCCAGCAGTGGGGGCAGGTCCTGGGGCTGGCTGACTGAAGGAGTCTGGGGTGTGGCAGTGCTCTGAATTGCACACACACCTCCTCACCCACCACTGCCAGGACGAGAGTACACTCAGACACGCATTGCACACTCACAGTCATGGGGGCCTCACCTGCACATTCCCCACATGCTTTGATGCCCACCTTGCCTTCCACATGCCTGTACACAGACATTCACACACACCCCTGGCACACACACCCCCACCATGCACTCCCATGCACACCCTCGTGCTCCATGCCAAGCACACACACCCCATGTGCCTATGCACCCCCGAGCATGTGCCAGGCAGTTTGTAGCAGAGAGCGTGGTGATGCCATCCAGCAGCCGTGAGGAGGTGGAAGTCTCTGGGTCTGGAGGGGCAGGGACAGCTTTCTGACTGAAAGGAGCGGGTCACAGTGGATCAGCTCAGGGGAGGAGAGGAGGAGGTCCAGAGGCTGAGGTTGGAGCCTGCAACCCTGAGCAGGGAGGGTAAGCAGCAGCTTCTGGCCGGAGCAGATGGTCCTACCAGGAGATGGGACAGTGTTCATGTGAAAGGAGCTGAGCTGGGTGGGGTGCACACCTGCATCCCACAGCCCCAGCCCTGGCCTCTTGCTTCTCCAGGCTCTGAGTACCAGGTCCTGTACATCGCTGATGACAATGAGATCCGCAGCCTGTTCCCCGGCCACCCCCATTCGGCTTACGAGCAGGCATTCCAGGGTGACGAGAGTGTCCGCATTGATGCTATGGATGTCCATGTCAAGGCTGGCCGTGTCTATTGGACCAACTGGCACACGGGCACCATCTCCTACCGCAGCCTGCCACCTGCTGCGCCTCCTACCACTTCCAACCGCCACCGGCGACAGATTGACCGGGGTGTCACCCACCTCAACGTGAGTGCCCAACCTGGCGTGGATGGAGTGGAAGAGCTCCATAGAGCAGGCGGTTCAGAGCAGGATTTGAAAAGGGCAGTGCTGGCTAGGCGCAGTGGCTCACGCCTATAATCCCAGCACTTTGGGAGGCCAAGGCGGGCAGATCACCTGAGATCAGGAGTTTGAGACCAGCGTGGCAACATGGTGAAACCCTGTCTCTACTAAAAATACAAAAATTTGGCTGAGCGCGGTGGCTCATGCCTGTAATCCCAGCACTTTGGGAGGCAGAGGTGGGTGGATCACGAGGTCAGGAGATCCAGACCAACCTGGCTAACACAGTGAAACCCCGTCTCTATTAAAAAATACAAAAAAATTAGCCGGGCATGGTGGCGGGCGCCTGTAGTCCCAGCTACTTGGGAAGCTGGGGCAGGAGAATGGCATGAACCCGGGAGGCGGAGCTTGCAGTGAGCCGAGATCGCGCCACTGCACTCCAGCCTGGGCGAGAGAGTGAGACTCGGTCTCTAAATAAATAAATAAATAAATAAATAAATAAATAAATAAATAGAGACTCGGTCTCTAAATAAATAAATAAATAAATAAATAAAATAAAATAAAATAAAAATACAAAGATTAGCCAGGCGTGGTGGCGGGCGCCTGTAATCCCAGCTACTCAGGAGGCTGAAGCAGGAGAATCCTTTGAACCCAGAAGGTGGAAGTTGCAGTGAGCCGAGTGCCACTCGGTTGCAGTGGCACCAAGGTTGCAGAATAGCACTGCACTCCAGCCTGGATGATAGAGCGAGACTCCGTCTCAAAAAAAAAAAAAAGAAAAAGAAAACAAAAGGGCAGTGCGAGGGGCAAAGGTTGAGAGTGGGGCAGGGGGCAGTCTTAGGATTGTGTTCTGAGGCATGGCCAGCGGGAAGACAGAGCAGTGGGAATGGTCAGCAGCTGGCTGTGCTGCAGGCAGCCCAGGGCACAGGGCATGATGGGCAGGCAGACAGCCCTCCGGCACCAATCCCCCATCCTTGCCACTTCCCACTGTGTACGTCTTAGCTACCTCATTTAACCTCTTTGGGTTTCACTTTGTTTATCAATAAAATTAGGTGATCATCGCCATTGCACAGGCTTCAGGGAGGGCTCACCAGCCACGTGTGAGAGCTGCGAGTCTGGCGCATAAGCTCCATGCCGGTTGAATCTCTTTAAAGCCAGGGTCCTGGCTGTGAGCCTGGGGTGACGTTCCAGCAGGCTGGCAGAGTGGTGGCGGGGGGATAATGGCAGGAAGACAAAGCAGTGGCCCCTGAACCTGTGGCTTCCATTCAGATTTCAGGGCTGAAGATGCCCAGAGGCATCGCCATCGACTGGGTGGCCGGAAACGTGTACTGGACCGACTCGGGCCGAGATGTGATTGAGGTGGCGCAGATGAAGGGCGAGAACCGCAAGACGCTCATCTCGGGCATGATTGACGAGCCCCACGCCATTGTGGTGGACCCACTGAGGGGGTGGGCAAGGGCCCTGGGGGGAGGCCTCTGGGCTGGTGGTAGGAAGCCCCCGGGACAGGGTTGGGGGCTGCACCCACATGCGTGCCCTTCCCTCCCAGGCCAGCCTGAGGACAGAGTCCTTTTCAGTCCCTTGGGTCTTCTCGGCCACCCCTGCCTGGCCCTCCCCATGCTGCCTCTGCCCAGGGCCCCCAGCTGGGCCTGCTTGGGCAGGGATCTGACCTCTGCTTGGCCGGCTGTCATGCACAGCCACACTCTGCCCTGGGGAACAGCTCTGCCAGCGTCGGTGGCTCTGAATGAGCACACTGTGGTTTTAGAGGAAAAGCCCCTCAACCTGCTCAGAAGCAGACTCCCGCCTGCTTCTCTGTAGAAGGACAGAATGCCCTCCTCCCAGTCCCCAGCAGTCCCTGTCCCCAGACCAAGAAGCTGGTGTCCTGCCTGGGCCTGCCTCCTCTGGCCCTCCGGCCTGCCCACACTCACCCCTTCTCCCTCCCCAGGACCATGTACTGGTCAGACTGGGGCAACCACCCCAAGATTGAGACGGCAGCGATGGATGGGACGCTTCGGGAGACACTGGTGCAGGACAACATTCAGTGGCCCACAGGTTTGTGGGGCAGGGTGCAGGAGGGACGGGCATGGAGGGGGCCCGGCTCGCAGAGCCCAGCTGCTGCTGAAGTCACACAAAAGCAAGGGATGGGATGGGGCTTGGACTGGGGCAGGGCAGATTGGCCGTGGAGGCTTTTCCCGAAAGAGGTGACTGTGAGTGGCGTATGAACAGGGTGGAGCTGTCCCGGGCATGGAGGCAGTTCTTTCCACCCCGAGCCTGGGTTGGGGAGGCCAAGCTCTCACAGTGCTCTCTCTCTCCCCAGGCCTGGCCGTGGATTATCACAATGAGCGGCTGTACTGGGCAGACGCCAAGCTTTCAGTCATCGGCAGCATCCGGCTCAATGGCACGGACCCCATTGTGGCTGCTGACAGCAAACGAGGTCAGAGCCCGGCATAAGTCGCAGTCCCCAGCCCTGTCCCCAGCCTTGCCATCCTCCCTACTGAGCCAAAGGCCTCACTTCAATGCCTCCCATCCTTTGTCACTGACCCCCAGCAATGCTGCAGCGCCTTCCAGGCCTCTCCAGCTGGCCTCCCCCTGAACCAGCCCTGCAGGCCTGAGACCCACCCTGACCCTCTGGCCTACTTGTCCATTCATTGGTTGGGTTGCACGGAGGCAGCATAGGTACATTAGGAACGTAGCAAATTGGGGGAGAAGGAATAGAAGTCAGTCATGACTGACCCCAGAAGTCTGGGGGTGATGGGACCTTTTGCCAGTAGTGGCCACAGGAGGAGGAACCGGTGTGGGGAGAGAGAATTTGGTCTGGATGTGTTGAGTTTGAGGTGTCTGGGAACCACAGGTGCCAGTGTCGTGGACAGCATGGCCAGGGCCTGAGTGCCCCTCAGGTCCCCTCTGACTCCACCTCCTCCCCCAGGCCTAAGTCACCCCTTCAGCATCGACGTCTTTGAGGATTACATCTATGGTGTCACCTACATCAATAATCGTGTCTTCAAGATCCATAAGTTTGGCCACAGCCCCTTGGTCAACCTGACAGGGGGCCTGAGCCACGCCTCTGACGTGGTCCTTTACCATCAGCACAAGCAGCCCGAAGGTGGGGGCAGAGGGGAGCCTGGGCTGGGGAAGGGAGGCCTGTGGGCATTGAGTCTCCAAGCTGTGGCCCTGGGACCTGGTGGAGAGGGGGTCACCCTGGGCTCACAGGGCTCAGAGAAGGGTCCTGCTCAGCATCCTCCCCACCCCACCCATACCTGCAGTGACCAACCCATGTGACCGCAAGAAATGCGAGTGGCTCTGCCTGCTGAGCCCCAGTGGGCCTGTCTGCACCTGTCCCAATGGGAAGCGGCTGGACAACGGCACATGCGTGCCTGTGCCCTCTCCAACGCCCCCCCCAGATGGTATGCTTATGCCCTCCCAGTCCCAGCCATGCCTCAGGACCATCTCCTTCCTGTGGCTCCTGACTTCCCCTGACCTTGTTGCCTGTCCCTCTCCTCCTATTCCCCTGGCTCTGCCCCTTGACGGGCCCTTCCTGCAGCTCCCCGGCCTGGAACCTGTAACCTGCAGTGCTTCAACGGTGGCAGCTGTTTCCTCAATGCACGGAGGCAGCCCAAGTGCCGCTGCCAACCCCGCTACACGGGTGACAAGTGTGAACTGGACCAGTGCTGGGAGCACTGTCGCAATGGGGGCACCTGTGCTGCCTCCCCCTCTGGTATGCCCCCTCATCCCGCCACGCCTGCTCCTTGCCCCTGGGCCCCAGCCCCGCCACCCACCACCCCACCTCAGGCAAATGCCCAGCCCCTGCCTCGCCTCCAGCCTCCTTTCCACAACCCAGCATCCAGTCACTCCAGTCTCTGCTTCTCGCCCAGGTCCCCCCAGCCCATTCCTCTGCTATAGGGCCAGGTGGTCTCGAGGGCCACAGTCGCGCTCACACATCCTCTCCCACCAGGCATGCCCACGTGCCGGTGCCCCACGGGCTTCACGGGCCCCAAATGCACCCAGCAGGTGTGTGCGGGCTACTGTGCCAACAACAGCACCTGCACTGTCAACCAGGGCAACCAGCCCCAGTGCCGATGCCTACCCGGCTTCCTGGGCGACCGCTGCCAGTACCGTGAGTGAGCCATCCCTGGGCCCCAGGGCATGCGGGAGGGTGACGGGGGACCCCAGAGCATGGGGTGATGTTCAACCTGTGCCTGGGACCCACAGGGGCAAGTTCAGGAAAGAAGGCCTTATGCAGCTGAGCCAGGCCCAAGCTGCTGGCGCTTCCCCACAAAGGTGCTGGCACACTTCCCCTGAGGCAGTGCACCCCCTGCACCAAGATTATGCAAACAGAAAAGCTCTGTTCAACCTATGGAGAGCCCTCATGAGGGTGGGGCTTGAGGCACTTCTCTCCCTCCCCAACCACAGGGCAGTGCTCTGGCTACTGTGAGAACTTTGGCACATGCCAGATGGCTGCTGATGGCTCCCGACAATGCCGCTGCACTGCCTACTTTGAGGGATCGAGGTGTGAGGTGAACAAGTGCAGCCGCTGTCTCGAAGGGGCCTGTGTGGTCAACAAGCAGAGTGGGGATGTCACCTGCAAGTGAGTGGGGCCCTCCTCCACAGTTCCACCCAGCTGGGCCCCTGCCCTGTCCTAGCCCTGCCCTGCCCCTCCCTTCCTCAGCATCCCAGGCACGCCTCTGCCAGCCCCAGCCCCAGCCTCTGATTCCTTCCTGCAGCTGCACGGATGGCCGGGTGGCCCCCAGCTGTCTGACCTGCGTCGGCCACTGCAGCAATGGCGGCTCCTGTACCATGAACAGCAAAATGATGCCTGAGTGCCAGTGAGTTGGGCCCGGGCTTCACCCAGGCATAGATCATCGCTCCCTTCCCCAGATTTGAGCAGGAGGACCGTCAGGCCTCAGTGCCCACCCCCCGCCCTGTTTTCCTGGCAGCAGTGGCTATGGAGGTTATACCTACTCAGCCGTGTCCCTCCTTTCTGCAGGTGCCCACCCCACATGACAGGGCCCCGGTGTGAGGAGCACGTCTTCAGCCAGCAGCAGCCAGGACGTAGGTGGCAGGGGTTGGGGCAGGCAGGGCCACCGGGACCTAGAGCAGGGGGACCGTGTGCCTCCTGCTTCCCTGAGCCTTGGTGACTCAGTGTCCCACCTCTTCCCTCCAGATATAGCCTCCATCCTAATCCCTCTGCTGTTGCTGCTGCTGCTGGTTCTGGTGGCCGGAGTGGTATTCTGGTATAAGCGGCGAGTCCAAGGGTGAGTCACAGGGATTCTGGAACATTCTGGTCATTATTTTGCCATCCTAGCCTTCCCCCCCAATAATCTCTGTCTCCTTATACTCCTGCCTTTCCCCAGGGCTAAGGGCTTCCAGCACCAACGGATGACCAACGGGGCCATGAACGTGGAGATTGGAAACCCCACCTACAAGATGTACGAAGGCGGAGAGCCTGATGATGTGGGAGGCCTACTGGACGCTGACTTTGCCCTGGACCCTGACAAGGTGGGCTGGGAGGCGGGCAGGGTCGAGTGCCAAGAGGCCGTGGGTGGCCTAACCAAAGGTGTTGGGTTAGGTGAGGGACGGAGGTGGGGGTGGGGTAACCTGGGCTACAGGCCCAGCTCCTGAGCCCTACCTGAACCCTCTGTCACCCTGCAGCCCACCAACTTCACCAACCCCGTGTATGCCACACTCTACATGGGGGGCCATGGCAGTCGCCACTCCCTGGCCAGCACGGACGAGAAGCGAGAACTCCTGGGCCGGGGCCCTGAGGACGAGATAGGGGACCCCTTGGCATAGGGCCCTGCCCCGTCGGACTGCCCCCAGAAAGCCTCCTGCCCCCTGCCAGTGAAGTCCTTCAGTGAGCCCCTCCCCAGCCAGCCCTTCCCTGGCCCCGCCGGATGTATAAATGTAAAAATGAAGGAATTACATTTTATATGTGAGCGAGCAAGCCGGCAAGCGAGCACAGTATTATTTCTCCATCCCCTCCCTGCCTGCTCCTTGGCACCCCCATGCTGCCTTCAGGGAGACAGGCAGGGAGGGCTTGGGGCTGCACCTCCTACCCTCCCACCAGAACGCACCCCACTGGGAGAGCTGGTGGTGCAGCCTTCCCCTCCCTGTATAAGACACTTTGCCAAGGCTCTCCCCTCTCGCCCCATCCCTGCTTGCCCGCTCCCACAGCTTCCTGAGGGCTAATTCTGGGAAGGGAGAGTTCTTTGCTGCCCCTGTCTGGAAGACGTGGCTCTGGGTGAGGTAGGCGGGAAAGGATGGAGTGTTTTAGTTCTTGGGGGAGGCCACCCCAAACCCCAGCCCCAACTCCAGGGGCACCTATGAGATGGCCATGCTCAACCCCCCTCCCAGACAGGCCCTCCCTGTCTCCAGGGCCCCCACCGAGGTTCCCAGGGCTGGAGACTTCCTCTGGTAAACATTCCTCCAGCCTCCCCTCCCCTGGGGACGCCAAGGAGGTGGGCCACACCCAGGAAGGGAAAGCGGGCAGCCCCGTTTTGGGGACGTGAACGTTTTAATAATTTTTGCTGAATTCCTTTACAACTAAATAACACAGATATTGTTATAAATAAAATTGTAAAAAAAAAAAAAAAAAAAAAGGCCAAAAAAAAAAAAAAGAAAGAAAAAAAGCCGCTGGTGTCTGCCTGTGTGTGAGAGACGCTGGGAGCTGGGGCTGCGCTTTCCTGCTTCGGCCACCAGAGGGAGACCTGCCCCGTGCTGGAGGCAGGCTGGCGCGTGGTTTTTAGTGCCCTTCTCCCAGGGCCCTCCCCCTCTCCATCTTACTGTGCCCGGGAAGCGGGTGGCACTGGACTTGACATGGAAGATCTGCTTCTCCTGGCTGTGTGACCTTCAGCCATGACTTCGAGTCTCCAGATTTTGTGTTCCCTCTGGGTCTAGGACACTAACTCAGATCTGTTTCTCTGCATTCACTTCTACCAGACACCACCCCCCTACCCAAAATGATCACCCACAGTGAGAAGCCCCACTATAAGAAGTGAATACACTGAGGCTGCAAAGGTTTTCTCATCCTTCAGGGTCCTCCCATGCGGTTCTCTCTGCCTGAGTCTGCTCTTGAAGCACTGACGTCTCACTTTGTGGAGACTAATGAATCAAATGCGAAGTAAAATGCTGCATTCCAGAGCCAGGTGTCTCCTGCGGTAAAGGAGAGCTGGGAAGACCAGTTTGCCAGGCCCTCTAGGCCCCCAGCAGCTCCAGCTCACCAATCATTTCAGTCATTCCAGGGGGTAACAGGAAAAAACTGTCAATCAAAAGTGTCCAGGTCCATTTCAACCCCTGCCTAGAGGGGGAAACTTCTTGCAGAAAGTTGCACAGTTTACACTGCCCAGGACTAGAGAGGGTTTGAGTCCCAGTACAGCAAATATGAGCTCAGGAAGGGTGGCTGCAAATGTCTGAAGATCCCTTACCCAACTCCCAACCAGGAAGTGCTGCCTTTCATTCCTCCTCCCTCACTGGTTCAACTCCAGGAGATTCCTCCCAGGCTTCCTTCTGCCTTGGGGAAGCTACAAGTCTAGGCACCTGTGGAAAGAGGAGCCCTCCCCTTCCCTTCTTAGCCTTCAGAAGCTCTCTCCAACCTCATCCTCCAAGCCAACTCTGAGATCCTCCCCTGCCTTCAAAAGGGCCCTGGATGGGCAACTGCGGGGAAACAGAATCCGTGGTTGCCGAGTAGGAGGTCTGTGTCCCAATCTGGCCACCAGGTGGTGTCTGTACGCCTGGAGCACCGCCTATCCTGAAGCCCCACACAGCCCCCGCCTCAGCACTCATTATGCACCTGCGGGGGACCCCAGCCCAGTCTCTCGCTTCCTTCTCTCCGGCTATTTTGCCACACCCCTCCACCCTCTGCCAGCCAGCTCCCCTCCCTGCCCCAGCGCCTGCCTGCTCCCACCACCACCAGCCCCAACCCTGCCCCTCTGCCATCGGTGCATCTGGTGCCCCCCGGGAGCCACTGATCTCTGCCTGTCACCTCAAGATCCTGGGCAGAGCGACAAGGGACCCCCGCTGCAGCTTGGAAGGCATACCCCTCCAGTCAGCATCCCCCACTCCGCCTGTCAGGACCTGCTAGGAGAAGGTCCACCAGGAGGCAGTTTCTCAAACTACCCACCCGGGAGGCAGGTGGGAAGCCCTCACCTTGGCCTGAGAGATGGGAAGAACCAGGGACAGAGGCTGAGAACCAGGGACAGAAGCTGATACCGAATGAGAGGCAGAAACCCAGAGGCGGAGAGACAGGGGGACAGAGGCAAAGACCCAGAGACAGGGCGAGTAGTGTGCATGTGTGTGTTTGCACTTGTGTTTGTGCGAGCGCGCACACATGTGTGTGTGTAACTGGAGAGAGAACAGGTGGCCTGAGACTGTAGCTAAAGGAGGAGAGATGCAGTGGGTTCGGCCCCCAGAAGACCAGGACCCTGGTAATGGGCTTCTGTCCTGGACAGCCTACGCCTAGGTGTGCCCACTGTTCCCACCTACTACTGAAGCAGCCCCCGTGCCTGGAACGTGGGCTCAGGGTTCTGGCTCAAGGCCTTTTGGCCTTGAGCCTGAACATTTCTGCCCCTTCCTGCCTCTCTCCTCTCCACCCCCACCCCGGCACCCAGGTTCCTGCCTCCTGGCTTCTGCCTGTCTCCCTGGGTGTCTCTGAATCTGCCTCGTCCTCTCAGCACCGGTCCTTTTCCTGACTCGTGTGTGTGGCTGTCACGTCCCATATCTATCTGTCCATTTCTTTGTATGTGCCCCCACTTGTCTTCTGGGCTGCCAGTGACAGCATACACCTGTGTATGTCTCAGTGTGTGTGTCCACCTCTGTGGGTGTTTGCTCTCTGCCAAGACAAAGAGAGGGTGAGCGCACTGAGCAACTGTCTGGGTGTGCTCGTCTGGGTGCAGGTGTGCTCACCTCTGTTGCTGTGCTCCTCTGTGTGTTGGGGTGCCGCTAGGTGTGCGCCTGTCTCTGTATTTCGCTCTGTGTGCCCTGTCCCCGTGAAGGCATCTGCGTGCATCCCTGGGGTGGGCTCTCAAGGGATGTGTCTGTCTCTCAGTCTCTTTGCTTGTCCCTATCTCTGTCTAGGTGTTGGTCATACCACAACCTCAGCCACAGCCTCAGTGCATAGCAACAGCTGACAGCTGAAACCACCCGGGCAGGAGAGAGAGAGGCAGTGGGGAGGAGGGAACCGAGGAAGAAACAGAGAAGAGGATGGGGGCAGAGAGCTGGGGCTGGGGACAGAGACAAGGACAGAGATAGGGAATGGGGACAAGGATCTAGAAGAGCTGGTGGTGAAAGATGGGACGGCGGGAGGGGAGGAACAGAGACTGCACCAAGAGGCCAGGCAGGCGGCGCTGAGAGGGATTTCCTGCCCAGCCCCCATGCAGAGGCGCACTGGGCCTCGTGGGGGTCAGTGGTGGGGGCCAGGGGCAAAGGTGAACAGCCGGTCTAGCCGAGGGGTCCTGAGACCGCAGAGGTGCGGTGAGGCGGGGACGGGGCGGAGGGCGCCGTTTGTCAGCCCTATTGACAGACGTGATGGGGTTTCCGTCCGTGATCAATGATTCTCATCTCCGGGCCGAATGAGCCGCGGGGCGCCCATCCATCCCCGTCAGCATCGCGCGGCGGCAGCCGCCCGAGGCCCCGCCCGTCCCCACCTCGGCCCCTGCCCTGCGCCTGCCCCGACACACCTTGGCCCTGAACAGGGCAGAGGCCCGGGGCTTGGAGAGCGTCGTCCGGCTGGGCTCCGCGGCGCCCCCACTCCAGGTGCACGGGCCCGGAGCCCAGAGCCCCACGCCCTGCCCCGTTCCTCCTGGGCGCACAGACGCGGCCTCTCGGGGGACCAGTGCCTGAGCCCCTCGACCCCCTCCGCTTCGCACCTGGGCCAGGGGCGTGTCCGGGGCGTGCCGGTGTGAAAGTCACCTTCGGTGCCCCCAGCTGGGCGGGAGGGGGCGCGCGGGGCGCGGCCGGGATTGGAGCGCCGCGGAGCCCCGCCCCCCGCCCGCGGAGTCAGACCCAACTTTCTCCCCCGCCCGCGCCCCGCCCCCAGCGCCGGCTCCGCGCCTCGCGCCCAGTCCGCGGGCCGCGCCGCCGCTCCCGCCGCTCCCGCCGCTCCCGCCGCTCCCGCAGCCGCCCCGCCGCCCGCCCGGAGCCCCGCGTCCCTAGGCCTGGCTCCCGCCTGCCCGAGACCCGCCCAGCCTGCCCCGCTCAGCCGCCAGAGAAGATGCGGCTGCTCCCGGAATGGTTCCTCTTGCTCTTTGGCCCGTGGCTCCTTAGGAAGGTAAGAGTGGCAGGGCTGGGGCGCTAGCGCGGGCGCGGGGTTCCGGGACGCGAAGGTCCCAGTGTGCGAGGGGCTCCGTGCGCCCGCCCCGCCCCCAGCTCCGAGCGTCCCAACTTTGCGCGGCGCGGGGGAAGCGGACAGACAGACTGCCCGATTCAGGACGGGCACTCTCCTAGCGCAAGTTGGCTGAGGCTTGGAGAGGGTGCCGGGCGGAGGTCCCCCTTGCAGCCGACTTCAGGCGCGGCGGGGGAGGGGACGAAGCCCGACCCGCGAGTGCGCCAGACAGAGCGGGAGTGCGAGACAGACAGACAAGCCAGCAGGGTGTCAGCCTTGCCGTCTTTCCGCGCCAGTCTCGCTCGCCTGCCTCACTGTCTGTCTGTCCTTCCACCCCTCCACCCCCGCCTTCCCATTTCTCTTCTCTGCACTTGTCACCATGCCAGGTGGGCTCTGTGTCGGGAGCATCCATGGCCCGAGCACACACGCACACACGGACTCAGGCAGACACGGCTGAACTTGGCTACAGCCAGCCTCCCATCACATTTCCCACGGAGACACCATCTCCCCTGCACGACCTCACAGACACACCCCCCTCTCGTGCCCCACTGAAGGGGGAGGCTGTCTGGAAGGGGAGTCTCTCCTCCCATGCCCTCCCTGCCTCCAACCCCACTCCAAGGCCTCTTTCCCTGAGGCTCTCGGGCGAAGAGCCAGAGGCTAAGGGAGCTCAGACTTGATCTGCCTCCTTCCTGACTTGGAGGCTTCAACCTGCGAACATGCTGTGCTCATATGTGCTGGGTGGAGGGCGTGGGTCACCGTGTGCACCTGTGTGCATGTGTCCAGGGAAGCCAGGCTTGGTCCAGTACTGGGGCCGAGGGTACATGTGTATACTGGTGTGGTGTGTGGTGTTGGCTTTGCATGAGTGAGTGTCAGTGCCTGCCTCACAGTGCAGCCATCTGCCTATGCCCCTGGTGTGTGCCCGCAATGGGGGCCCAGGCCCCAGTCCCCCATTTTCCTTCTACCAGCCTCCCCTGCCTATGGCTTCCCTGTTTTCTGACCCCCAACTGTGACCTACCTAGTTTGGGGGCAGGCAGGTCATTCCCCAAACCCTCATTCTCTGTACCCTCAGCCCCTGTAGAGTCTAGAAGGGGTGTATTTCTTCCCCCAACACTTGGACCTCTGCCTGCTCAGCCAAATCACATTTGGCAAACCCCAGCAGGGCAGGGGCTGCCCCAGTGAAGCTAGCATTAGAGCTCCCTGGCCCTCCCAGCCCCACCTGGTGACCTTGAGGGGCTGCACGGTAGGCAGAGGAGCCCCTCCATGAAAACTGCTTCCACTAGCAGGAGCTTCTTAGGGACTTGCTGCCCAACTCTGTCCTTAGTGAACTGGAGGAGTGGGGGGGGTCTGTGCCCTACCACCCACCCACCCATGTGTGAAGGCCTGGGGTCAAGAGGTGGTAGGTATGGCATTCTCTTGCCCCTCCTTTCCACTTCCTCCCACCTCATCTCCACTCTCCCAGGCAAATAAACTCCCCTGTGGACAGATCTGGTTTAATTTCCTTTGCCCCCTGAGGGGGAATGAAACATCTGGTGGAGACTTGAGTGAGAGTGAGCGTGAGGATATGAGCAATGGGATCTATCTGAGTGTGTGTGTGTGAGCTGCAGCTGTGGGGCCTCCGTGTTGGAGTCAACAGGGAGAGTGGATCTGCTGGTTAGCCCAGCTTATGTGCATGTGAGAATGTGTTTACATGTGTACACACTGCGGGTGTGTGAATATGTATAACTGCACGGGGAGGTGTGGGTATATGAGTGTTTGTGTGTCCAAATACCTGTGTGTGCTTCTGTGCACTTGTGAGTGTGGCGTATGCACATGTATACCCCGGGGTTTCTGGTGCATCTGTGTGCTGGGGCCCATGTGTTGTCTGTATGAGTCTCTGGGGTTTGTGAGTGTGTTTCTGTGTGCTTGTGATTGTGAGTGCATTTGAGTGTGCTATGAGATTGTGAGCCTCAGGATGTGTTTATGTATCTGAGTGTGGCTTATGTGTGTGGGTGCTCAAGGGTGTCTTGGTGCCAGCACTGGGAGTGGGCAAAAGGTGAGGCTGATCCTGGGTAAGAGGTGGCTAGGGGACAGTTTACAGGGCAACTTTTTGGCAACCCTAACCATGAACGGCTGACACCTCTGCCTCTCCCGTCCTGCTTGCTCACCCTCCTCCAGGTTTCTCTCCCTTCCTCCTCACTCCAGGCTTCCCATTTCTCAGAGCCTGGGACTCCTGGCTTCCACTGCCTCTGGGGTTCTGGCCTCTCAGCCAGGGATTCTTGAGGATCTTTCTCATACAGTCTCTGACTCCTTTCCCTCTCTCTCTGTCTCCCCGACCCCTTGCCAAAGCAGCTGCCTACTGGGAGAAGCAGCAGGCGATCAATAGTCACTAATCACTAATCACTAATTACTAATTAGCTGGGGGAGGGCAGGGGCGGGGCCCTGTGGGACCTGCCAGCTCTATCCCGCCTCAGGAAAGGATTAGGTCTGATTCTCTTAGAGCTGGCTGGCCGAAGCCCCTCAGCCAGCTACCCCCTCCTGCCTCCACACCCTCCTCTAGCCCCCCAGCTAATCTCTGCCTGGGCCACTTAGGCACGCACAGCCTGGGCTAGGGCCCAGAGCTGCTGCCGGGGATTTGGGGGTAATCAGGGGCCGCAGCTGGGCCAGGGGGACAGGGGAGGGCCTGCTGTGACAGCTCCCTTGGGCCAGAGCCTGCAGTGGAAGCCTCACATTCCTAATAGGAGGGGCATGCGTCAGAAAGGAGAATTTAGAGTGTCAGGGTTGGGATGGGTAGAGGAGCTGGAGACCCAGGAGCGGGGTGACTGGCGAAGAGGTGAGGTAATAAGGACAGAAGCAAGGCAAAGAGGGGTCAGGGACGAGGTAATTGGAGAGAGACAACACAAACGTCTAAAGAAAACAGGTAAGTGGGGGGACCTCACAGGGGTCAGAGATGGAGTAATTGGCAAGGAGATGGGGAACTTTGGACCTAGCCCTGCAACTCAAGATGTGTGGGATCCGTGAGGGACAGGGCAACAGAGAGGGGGCAGGGTCATAGGAGAGGGTCCCAGGGCTCAGGCGCAGGAGGAGTCGCAGGGCGTGGGGTGGGAAGCAGCTGCCCAGTGGGGATGGGGAGCAGGGAGCGCTGCCTTGAGCGCTGGAAATTGGCGCGGCTCCCCCTCTCCCCCGCCTGCCCCTCCTCCACCTCCACCCCGCCCACTCCCCCTCCGGCTCCGGCTTCGGGAAATTACATCCCCGCTCCGCGGCTCCCCCCAACCCCCACCGCGCCCCGGAGCCGGCGCCTTTATAGGCACATTTATTGCAATAATAAAGTGAGGCGCGGGGCGGGGGGCGGGGGGGCAGTCGTTCCCGCGGGGACCGCGCTGGCTCCAGGAAGCAGGGAAATAAAATAAAATAAAATAAAATAAAATAAAAATTCAGATAACGGTGAGCCTTGCGCGGCAGGCCAAGAGAAGTCAGGCAGGCAGGGGTAGAGGGAGGGGGCGTCCAGCCCAAGGGCAGAGCCTACCCCACCCCACCAGCGGTCCCCGCCCCCTCATGCAGTGGTAGGGTCTGGAAAGAGGTGTCTTCGCTTCAACCTGCCTGGCCCCCTCCCACAGCCTGATCCTGCCTGGTCTTTGCCTTGCCCTCTGGCTCCTCTCCCATACCTGTCCTCAGCCCCTGTCTCTGTCCCCGTCTCCTGTGTCTTCCCTTGTCCCCCATTTCCCATTCCAGTCTCCCTTTGAGTCTTCCATCCCCATCTCCTGGGTCTCTGCATCCATCACTGTTTCTGCCCAGTAACCATCCCCATCCCCCATCTCTGTTTTGCCCCACCCTGACCCCATCCCTGCCTGTCCCCTGTGCTTATCCCTCATCCACCATTCCTGTCCCCATGCTGCTTCCTGGACTGTTCTGTAGCCCATCTTCATTTCTCTGGTCCTTACCCCATCCACATCTCTGTCTCTGCCCCACGCCTGGCCACCATTTCTATTCTGCTTCTCATCCCTGTCCCCAGGCCTATCCTCATTGTATCCTCATCCCTGTACTCTATATCTGTGCCTGCCAGTCCCCAATCCCAGTCCCCCTCCCTCTCTGTCTCAGTCCTCACCCCAGGCTGTCCTGTCCACCCCACCTCTCTCCTCACCCACATCTCTATCCCTCGTTCCCAGCCAGACTCCACCGGCCCCTATTGCAGCACCCCTGCCTCTTTCTAGGTGCAGGGGCTCAGGATGCTCTTTTCTCCCCTTCCCCAGCCCAGGCCTGGACTGTCCCTTCCTCCGGCCAGATCCTGGGAGCACCCTGCCTGACCCAGGTGGTAGGGGAAAAGCAACGGGCCAGCCTGGAGGCCCAGGGGAGGTGCACCCTGCAATGCGGCTGGGGGGCTGACAGCCTGATCCTCCCCCAATCCCAGCAGTGTCATCCCCAAAGAGCCACTCCCCGAAGTGGAGTTTGTTGCCCCCAGCAGCAGGAGGCCACCTCAACTCCCTGCAGGTGCGTGGGCCCGCTGCCTCGGGGGTAAAGCCCTCCTGGTGCAGCTCTCCCCGCTCCCCGAATGGGCCTGAAGGAGCCTGCTGAACCCCCCAGCTGCCGCGCACCTCCGCCCCGCCCCCGCGCCGACAGCAGCGCTAGCCTCTCCCCTCCGCAAATGTCACCGCGCCCAATTAGCTTAATTAAGCCAGCTCTGGAGCAAGGGGGACCCCTCCTCGGACAACATCCTGCTCCCACCCTCAGCCATGGAGGTGGGCGACAAGAGCTCTGGGCAGAGGAGCTCCTTACCACCTGCCTTCCCAACTCCCCCACCTCCCCCCATGTTGCTGGAGACAGACAACCTGAAGGACAGCAGGAGAGAACCACAGACAGAGGGAGAAAATCAGAATCATGGGAGGAGGAAATTTGAGACAGAGACAGTGAGAAAAGAGACTGAGAGACAAAAGAGACTGAGAGAATGGGGAGGGAGAGATGGAAAAACAGCACAAGAGAGGGAGAGAGAGCACGAGCAATCAAGGGAGCCAGAGGGAGGATCTTATTTTATTTTATTCCATGTTCCCATTTCTCGGCTCTCGTTTCCTCACAGACTCTCACCCCTCCCTGTCTGAACTCCCCTACAAGGTCGCTTCAGCCGTGCCCCCCCAACTCTTCCTTTTTATCTTGGCTGTCTACAGTAGTGGGTGGGGGCGGGACTGCCCAAAGCCAGGGGATTCGCCAGGATCAGAGAAGCACAGACGGCACTTTGTCTGAGATCAGAGATGGGGGTGACACCCTGGAACCTCTCCTTACCCTGCTGAACCTCCTCCCCTCCCCCTGCCCCTTACTTCTACCCCCTGCCCCTGTCTGGTAGAAGTCACTGGCCTGAATCACCCCAGCCAGGTTCTGACTGGGTACAAGACATAGGGGTGCTCTGGTCTGCTGGGAGGAGATGGCTTGGAGGCATTTGGGGTCATAACATCTGATGGCATGGGGATAGGGGGGACCTGGATGACTGGGCTTCTGGAAAGAACAGCGGTTGGGTGAGATTAGGGACCAGAGTTCAAATGGCCCACCCTTCAGCTTTCCCAGGAAACCTAACCTCCCTCCCCCAATGCCCTCTCTCAGATTCAGGCCCTGCCCTCTCCAAGCCCACTTCTGGGGCCTCTTCTCCCTCCCACTGTACCCTGGGACCCCTCCCTCCACCCTCTCTCAGGCCCACCCTCCAGGTGTTAGCTGCTGGCTTAAGCCTGTCTGTGGGAGTCAATCATTCTTGCTGCCCCCGCCCCCTCACCTGGGCTGAGAGGAGGGATGGA
The DNA here is from genome assembly GCF_000001405.40 of Homo sapiens. Taxonomy (NCBI): domain Eukaryota; kingdom Metazoa; phylum Chordata; class Mammalia; order Primates; family Hominidae; genus Homo; species Homo sapiens. The sequence continues at coordinate 57,222,834 of NC_000012.12, forward strand.
TGGGAGGGGGAATGAGGGGGGCGATAAATATGTATGACGAGCGGGTGGTGGCAGCATTAATAACCCGGGATCGCAGCGTGGCGGGGACGGGGACCAGGCGGTGGAGATTCTAGCCCAGCAGCTTGGCTCTGCTGTTCCTGTCCCCAGTGACACTGTGTGTGTACACATGGGTGTGGGCAAACAGAGGGGGGCACCCATGCTTCCTGGCCTCCTTACCTACCCACAGCACAGCCTGTGGGCCAGTGTAGGACACCTCCCCAGAGACCACTCAGATACAATTGACATGCATGTATGTCACCCCCATCGGAACACAGCAAGACCACACTTGTTCTATGACTACGGATACACCCCCTTTAGAAAGAGCTTGACACTTGGGCAGAGGATGACAGGGGCTCACACAGGAAAGGTGACACCTCCAGACAACCACATATAGCTACCCTCAGACCGCTATACACAGCCATATAGCCAACCCAGACACGTAACCACACCAGTCACACAGACACCACTCCACAAATTGACACACACACCCAGCCAATCCAGGCACATACACACAGTCACCGATTTACACAACAGACATGCAGCCACGACAAGCAGCCACACACACACAGGCTCCTCAGACTCATAACCATGGGCATCCAGATACACACCCACACAGCCACCACAGCCACACACACATGTACCGGCCACACACACACAACCATTTGGGGCTAACAGAGACACCAGAACCCCAGGCTGACACACATGGTACTGCCTCCCCCCATGGGACCTGTGCACAGTCAGGGCCACAGCACGCGGCGGTGGTGGCTAGCTCAGGCTGACTGACACACTCTGACATGCAGCTCCTCTCTTGCCTGCTCCCCTCGCTGGAGCGGCATCTCCATATTTCTTCCTCTTGCTTCCTGTCTCCTTCACTCCTGGCCACCCCCACTCACCCCTACCCCAGATAATTGATGGCCCGGGCCTGGCCCGGCCGCTCCTGCCTCTCGATCCATCTTGTCCTCGAGCCCATGCTGTCTCCAAGATCGGTGGCCACCTGAGACACATAGAACGGGTGGGAGCAGGAGGGGGCTCCTTAGCCCCCTTGGAGCCCAGGAAAAGAACGGCCAGGCGGCCTCCACCAGAGTGGAGCACTGGCGACTGGGAGGGATACCCAGGCTTTCCTCCTCTGCTCAACTGGTTCCCAGCACTCACTCCTTGCAGGCCAGTTGGGGCTGAGGCCCAGGTGGGGGCTCTGGTCTCTGAGGTCCTGGAGCCTCTTTCTTTTTCTTTTTCTTTTCCTTTCCTTTTTTCTTTTCTTTTCTTTTTTTTCTGAGAGGGAGTCTCGCTCTGTCGCCCAGGCTGGAGTGCAATGGTGCGATCTAGGCTTACTGCAACCTCCACCTACCAGGTTCAAGTGATTCTTCCACCTCAGCCTCCCCAATAGCTGGGACTACAGGCGCACCCCAGAACGCCCGCCTAATTTTAGTAGAGATTAGGTTTCTCCATGTTGGCCAGGCTGGTCTCGAACTGAACTCCTGACCTCAGGCAATCTGCCCACCTCAGCCCCCCAAAGTGCTGGGATTACAGGCGTGAGTCACCGCGTGTGCCGGGCGGGAGCCTCTTTCTTGATGCTGGATGTTAATGTGGTCACAGCCTCCCTGGCTCAGTTTGCTCAGAGTCCAGTCCCTCCCTGGCTCATTACTGGAACCAACCAGGTGCCGGGCCAGGAAAGATGAGCCAGGATCCAGAGCTCCACTCCCTACTCACCTTCACACTGGCTTTGGGTTTTTGGCCCTCATTGGAGCTCTGTGGGCCACATCAGGATTCTTGACGTCATTTCACAGATGTACAAACTGAGGCCCAGATCCATGAAGTGACTGGGCCAAGACTACATAGCTTGAAAGGGCTGCAGTTCTCCTCCAAGGCACGCTCCCTGCCCGCTGCGGGACTGCGTGATTCCATTTGGTCTCCTAGCGGCTGTGGAAAGGGACTGGCGTCGATAGGGCTCTGGCAGGATGGCGGGGGACAACCCCAGCGTCTCTCTCTCCTCTTTCTTCGTGCACAGGCCGTCAGTGCCCAGATACCAGAGTCCGGAAGGCCGCAGTACCTGGGGCTGCGCCCCGCCGCGGCCGGAGCGGGTGCCCCCGGCCAGCAGCTCCCAGAGCCAAGGTCTTCGGACGGCCTAGGCGTGGGCCGCGCCTGGAGCTGGGCCTGGCCGACCAACCACACGGGGGCGCTGGCCCGGGCAGGGGCAGCCGGGGCGTTGCCCGCGCAGCGCACCAAGAGGAAGCCGTCCATCAAGGCGGCGCGCGCCAAAAAGATCTTCGGCTGGGGGGACTTCTACTTTCGGGTGCATACCCTCAAGTTTTCGCTGCTGGTGACCGGCAAGATCGTGGACCATGTGAACGGTACCTTCAGTGTGTATTTCCGCCACAACTCGTCCAGCCTGGGCAACCTCAGTGTCAGCATCGTGCCGCCCTCCAAGCGTGTCGAGTTCGGAGGAGTCTGGCTGCCCGGGCCTGTCCCCCACCCTCTGCAGTCTACGCTCGCCCTGGAGGGGGTGCTTCCTGGGCTGGGGCCCCCGCTGGGGATGGCAGCAGCAGCGGCGGGGCCCGGGCTTGGGGGCTCCCTCGGGGGCGCACTGGCGGGGCCGCTTGGGGGCGCGTTGGGAGTGCCTGGGGCCAAAGAGTCACGCGCTTTCAATTGCCACGTGGAGTATGAGAAGACAAACCGCGCGCGCAAGCACCGACCGTGCCTGTACGACCCGTCGCAGGTGTGCTTCACCGAGCACACGCAGAGCCAGGCCGCCTGGCTCTGTGCCAAGCCCTTCAAAGTCATCTGTATCTTCGTCTCTTTCCTCAGCTTTGACTACAAACTGGTGCAGAAGGTGTGCCCAGACTATAACTTCCAGAGTGAGCACCCCTACTTCGGATAGCGCCCCTCCCCAGCCAGTCCTGAGCCTCCCGCCAAATCCCAGCCTCACTAGGTGGGACCCCCTTCCCAGTGTTCTGCCGCTCCTGTGGCCATGTCGCCCACTCCTTCCACTCTGGGGGCGGAGGGGAATGGCTTCTCGGGACCCTCAGCTAGCGTGGGTGCCCTTTTCCTTATGCGGAGTGCCCGCAAGGCTGGGGTAGCCCCCTCCAGTACACCCCAAAGTGAAAGGGATAAGAGTGCAGCCCCAGAATAGGCGGGGCTTGGAGGCGGTCCCAATGTCCCCTGGGTCCACAGTGGGTCCCCTTTTCACCCTTGGCGCTAGGCTGCGCACTCCCTTTCCCCGCAGCTTTAATAACTCCTGGCCTGGCACCCTCACCCCACCCTGACTTTCCCATCCCCCAGCGCTTGTCCTGCTTCACCCTACCCCGCCTAAGACTGTAAAGGCCTAAAAACCTCGGCCTGTCCTCCCACCATTCTGCCTGCCATATGCCTGTCCCCTTTTCCTCCAAACCCTATTAGGGTACCGGAAGCAGAACCCCTGGGCTGAGGCCCTGGCCCTGCCCCCGGCCCCTGCCCCTGCCCGCCCCCCTCCAGTCCAGGCAGTCGAGCTCCACCTGCCCTCTCCTGCTGCTTCCTCTCGGTGATATTTTTTCTACGCCAAAACAGACGGGAAAGGGAACAAAATAAAGTGAAATCCAATACACGCCTGTGTGAGACCTTTGTAGGGAATGGGGAGGTGGCGTGGGGCTTCTATGTGGTAGAGACCTGGCCAAGGCCTTCTCCCTCAGCGGCTCTTGGGGAAACCAAGACAAAGACTGACAGAGCTAGCACCTTGGAAGTCACCAAAGACCAGATCAAAGAGAGCTGAGGGTTACCCTCGGGGTAGGAGCCCCGCCTGAGGTTGGGATTCTCCTCCCTGAGGTGGGCGAAGGGAAGCTGCAGCAAGTGGGATGGAAATGAGACCTGAGTGGGGATCACCAGCGGACGATTTGGGGAAGGAGGTGTAAGACCTTGAATGGGATGGACAGGGACAGTGTAGGCAGAGCGCTGACAACCTGCTAAGCTCCACGGGGCCGGCGGGAGGTGGCAGGTTGGGAGGGAGGGGGAACGGTGTTCGCGGCATCTGGAGTCATCGATCTTCCTTTTCCTTCCTAATTTCGTGGGCGCTGAGTTTGCAGACGGAGGAGGTGGGGAGGGAGCTTTGGGATGAGGGGGTGGGGGAAGGGACCAGCGCGGGTTTGGAGGGCGGGGCCCGTGGCCGCTACTTGCCACTAGCAAACACAGCCCCCTTTAGCCAGCTGCCCACCCTCCCCCAACCCCTGCCTCCGGCTCCCTCCTGCAGCCGAGGCTGCTAATTTTATCCGCCCCCGACCCTGGCCTGGGCGTTAATTGGCTGCGGCTTCATTAGCGGTTCTCCGCTCAGCCGCCCCCTCCCCTTGGGGCCCCTGGCTGGAGGAGGGAGGGGGGGCGGTGCGGACAAGCTGAGGCACCGAGAAACTCCTCATCTTCGCCTTGAGTCCGGGGTCAGGGTGCCCACTGGGAGGGCAGTGTTCCCCAGGGGCTTGCCCACTGGCTCCAGCCTGAAACTGAGTCAGACACGGGGTCTGACCCAGACATATCTGGGAGTGAAAAGTCAGTAAGCAGAAAATAAATATCTGCTGGCTGGCTGGCTGAATAACCGGGTCAACTGAAAAGAGGAGGGAGATCAGGAATGGTTCTGGATCCGAGATTGGCCAAAAGCAGAAGAACCCGGAAGTCTCCTAACACCAGGCTTATTGCTGGAAACACCTGAGAAGAGCTGAGCCTAGAATGGCAGGGAAGGAGCTTCCGGCTAAGGGGAGATTTCTAAGGGCTGGTATGAGAACCAGGTGGGAACGGCTGGAATTAACAAATTCGCCCATCTGGGCCTTAGTTTCCCCACTTGTAAAGCTACAGTAAAATAGTGTGTGGTGGGGATTCTATGAGGCTTTTCCTGTGAACATGCTGCTGTGCTGGATAGTCCTCCCCTCTTCCTCTGCCTCCTCCTCTTCTTCCTCATACAGCTGGACATCTGAGAGCAGAGTTAGGTGTGTCTTCCTGTCATTGCACTTGTCACACTTTGTTACCTGTTCACCTCTTGGTATCCTAGCAGCCAGTGAGCTCTTCATGTATCTCCAGGGCTATGGAATGCCTGGCATAGAGTAACATTGCTACATAAGGCAATGATTCGCAAAACCACTGCTTAACAGGCTGGTCCAAGTGCAGTGATGTTTACTTGATCATAATCAGTTACATTATGATAATTGATCATAATCAGTTACAGGTTTCTTTGTTTCTTCTTCACTCCCACTGCTTCACTTGACTGGCCTTTAAAAAACAATTTTTTTGGCCTGGCGTGGTGGTTCACACCTGTAATCCCAGAACTTTGGGAGGCCAAGGCAGGCGGATCACCTGAGGTCAGGAGTTCAAGATCAGCCTGACCAACATGGTGAAACCCCGTCTCTACTAAAAAATATAAAAATTAGCTGGACGTGGTGGTGGGCGCCTGTAATCCCAGCTACTCAGGAGGCTGAGGCAGGGAGAATTGTTTGAACCCAGAGGCAGAGGTTGCAGTGAGTGAAGATCATGCCACTGCACTCCAGCCTGGGTGACAGAATGAGACTCCGTCTCAAAAACAAAAAACAAAAAAAATTTTTTTTGAAGACAGTCTTGCTCTCTTGCTCAGGCTGGAGTGCAGTGGCTTGATCATGGCTCACCTTGAACTCCCGGGCTCAAGTGACCCTCCTGCCTCAACCTTCCCAGTAGCTGGGACTGCATGCACATACCACCATGCCTAGGTAATTTAAAATTTTTCCTTTTGTAGAGATAGGGTCTCACTATGTTGACCAGGCTGGTTTAGAACTCCTGGCCTCAAGAGATTCTCCTGCCTTGGCCTCCCAAAGTGCTGGGATTACAGGCATGAGCCACCATGCCCAGCCAAAAATTTTTTTTTAATTAAAAAAAAAAACTTGGCTTATCAGAATCACTGAGGAGAGGTTTAGTTGTGTGACAGCATAAGTGGGCAAATGTCTACTCTTTGAGATCCATTGAATTAGAACCTCTGAAGACAGACCCCACACTCATATTTATATCATATTTTCTAACCCATTCTGATGCTGAGGTTTGGGAACCTACTCCTGGAGGGGTTGATGAATCCCATTCCCAAGGGTTTCTTCCGGATGAAGTCAGGCTAAAAGGAAGATCCCTTCCAGTCTCAAAGATCTATAGCCCTGGGGAAAAAAGGAGAGCCCACCGACTCCTGGGACATCAAGAGGTGGACAGGTAACAAAATGGGACAAGTGAACAACAGGAGGGGTGCCTTCCTCTGCTCCCAGATGTCTGAGGAGAAAGAGGAGATGCCATGTAGGAGGCAGGTCTGTGGGTCAGAGGAAGAGGGGAGGACAATCTGTCACAGCGCATGTTCACAGGAAAAGCCTCATTGAATCCTCACCACACAGTATTTTCTTGTGGCTTTACCAGGGAGGAAACTGAAGCCCACACAAGCTAATGCACTAGTCCCAGAGCCGGAACTTGAATTCAGGTCTTCCGACCCTTCTAAACCACGGTGCTTTCCAGTGTTCCATAGCTCTTTATCTTGTGTGGGGGTCTAGATCTCCTGGAGTCTAATAATGCTAGCTAGATATTCAGTAGGCACCCTATAAACGTTTGTCTTGACAACAAGCAGAGAGAAAACCCTGAAAAGCTTCAAGATAGTAAGGAGAGGGGGCGGCACTGGACCTCTGTTTTTGTTTTTTGTTTTTTTCCCCCCAGGCAAGGGCCTCTAACCCTGGGGCTACAGACGGGAATCATAAAGAAAAAAGCGGTGAGTGGGCGAACTACAATTCCCAAAAGGCCACAAAGGGGCCACCACTACGCATGCGTAGATCCCTCCCGTTAGCTTTGGCGCCTCAGCGAGCTCTTCTCGCGCATGCGTTCTCCGAACGGTCTTCTTCCGACAGCTTGCTGCCCTAGACCAGAGTTGGTGGCTGGACCTCCTGCGACTTCCGAGTTGCGATGCTGTACTTCTCTTTGTTTTGGGCGGCTCGGGTAAGAATGGGGCTCCAAACGCTGGGTAATCAGTGGAAAGGAAGCTCTTCTCCTACCTTAGTTCCTAGTCACAAACTCTGGGGTTCTCTTGGCTTTTCCATGCACGTGGATTGGGGCCTCAGGGAGCGGACGTGTAACTGGGGAATCCCCAAGACCCCTGGGCGCGCGTGGAGTTAACTGCGAGCCTGTCCTCATTCTGGCGATCAGACGCCCCAGGGCCTCGTGACCGCCCATTTCACGTGGCATTAGGGGAGAGGACAGCCCCGGATGCCCCGCGGACCCGGTGCTGGCAAATGAGCGGAGTTTTCGGCCTGGTCTCACAAGCTGAGCCTTTCCGGCCAGCTCTGAGCCCTGCAGATGATGCAACCGAGCTTCACTGCTTGCATCAGGCAGGGGTCCCGGCGGCAGTGAGGGCTGGAAGGAGGTGGAACGGGTAGGGGGCTAAGTAAGGGGAAAGGGTATTGGCTTACTCTCGGGCAGATCCCCACCCCCACCACTCCCACACAGCTCTTCCTCACGGACTGCTAAAGGTCTCCCCTCCCACCTGCATTGCTCTACAATCTGTGGCCTCAGCCCTTGCCAACTCTGCCTCTTCCCCCGCTGACTGGGGTATCAGTTTATGGTGCCCTGCAGGAAGACCCTCTTGTTCCTGTGGGTGGGAAGGTTCTGGAATCTCAGTTGCCCTCTCTGGAGTTGGGGAGACATAGGCTTTTGGAGGACAAGCTTTGCAGAGTGGTTCATGGAGTGAGGTGGTGGGAGATTTCTGAGGTGCGGTGCGGTGAATGGAGCAAATCAGAACCACCCCTTGGACGTTGATCTCAAGCTTGGCTCCAGAACTGGCTTTTGAAGGTGGAGGTGGGGGTAGTGAGAACTGAAACAGGCTGGCTGGACAACTGGCAGCTTGGTGTGGCCTTAGAAGCATGAGTGAGGGTGGCCGGGAGACGATTTGTCTGGACTGTTGTGATTTCACCCTGACTTTTCCTGCCTTCAGCCTCTGCAGAGATGTGGGCAGCTGGTCAGGATGGCCATTCGGGCTCAGCACAGCAACGCAGCCCAGACTCAGACTGGGGAAGCAAACAGGGGCTGGACAGGCCAGGAGAGCCTGTCGGACAGTGATCCTGAGATGTGGGAGTTGCTGCAGAGGGAGAAGGACAGGCAGTGTCGTGGCCTGGAGCTCATTGCCTCAGAGGTGGGACCTGGGGAGATGGGCAGGGGTTGGGCCACCATGGGTACAGGAAGTAACAAAGTTATCTTAACTGATATTTCTCCAAAACCCCCTTTCACACTCAGGACCTTTCTTTGGGCTTTATCTTCCTTTCTTATCTCCCTCAAGCAAAGGCAGTGCAAGTCCAGTTTATGGGGTTGGGACATTTAGGGAGCCTCCAGGGTCCCTACAGTTTCATCTGATCCCTTCCTTCCTTCCTCCTATGAGGAAGGAGGAGCCTAGAAGCACAAGTTTGAGTGGGTAGGTGGCATTGAGGGGCCACTGCTCATGGCAGATGGGTTTCTGAGAATGCTGCCTCTGGCTTTGCCCCAGGCCTGGTGCTGAGTGAATGGAGCTTTCTGCAGGGAGTACTCCCGCTTTCAGCTCTGGCTCTGGCAGGGAGGGACTGTGGGAGTCCAGGGGAAGGGGCTCAATACCTTCTGACATTGCCCCCCACCACCCCAGAACTTCTGCAGCCGAGCTGCGCTGGAGGCCCTGGGGTCCTGTCTGAACAACAAGTACTCGGAGGGTTATCCTGGCAAGAGGTGAGGGCTGGAGGGCAGTGTCAGGGATGGTGCTCCCAGTGGGGGAACCCACCTGTACCTTCCCAGTGTTCATTGAGGAGTGAACTTCCCAGTCCTTTGCTGATGGTTGAGAGTCCTTTCTCTGTGCCCTCATTACCCCTCTCCCACGGCAGATACTATGGGGGAGCAGAGGTGGTGGATGAAATTGAGCTGCTGTGCCAGCGCCGGGCCTTGGAAGCCTTTGACCTGGATCCTGCACAGTGGGGAGTCAATGTCCAGCCCTACTCCGGGTCCCCAGCCAACCTGGCCGTCTACACAGCCCTTCTGCAACCTCACGACCGGATCATGGGGCTGGACCTGCCCGATGGGGGCCAGTGAGTATGGATGGGCTGGCTGATGGTCTTGGCGGCAGGATTGGTGTGGGAAAGGAGTTATTTATTGAATACCTACTGTGGACCATACAGATGGAACAGGCCTTGCCCTGTCCTGCATGTCACAGTGGATGAGGAAGATAAGATCCCAGTTATAGTGCCTACCACAGAGTGGACAGAGCAGTGAGGCGGTGTGTCCTAGGACTGGTGTTCTGGGGACAGAGAACTGTGGAGTTGAAGGGAGTGGTTAAGTCCGGGGGTCCTTCCACCCAGGCCTTCTTACTTCCTCTCACTTCGCAGTCTCACCCACGGCTACATGTCTGACGTCAAGCGGATATCAGCCACGTCCATCTTCTTCGAGTCTATGCCCTATAAGCTCAACGTGAGTGCTCTAGGGTGTGGGGAGGGGCTCTTGGCCCTGGTGGTGGTCCTCCCCTGGAGAAGCTGAGGGCCTGGAGCGCCGGGCCGTCCTTAGGGTTAAGGAGGAGAGTGAGCTGCCCTGCTTCCTTCTCAGGGCTTTAGCTGTTTGTGTGTCTGTCCAGCCCAAAACTGGCCTCATTGACTACAACCAGCTGGCACTGACTGCTCGACTTTTCCGGCCACGGCTCATCATAGCTGGCACCAGCGCCTATGCTCGCCTCATTGACTACGCCCGCATGAGAGAGGTTGGTGGGGGGGGCTGGAGACTGGGCACCTCCCCAGGGGGTGGTGAGGAGGTGTGGGAGGAGGGCAGCCTTGGGCAGGCCTCTCCGGGCCCTCCCCAGGCTGAGGCCTTGCCTCTGTACCTGCCCAGGTGTGTGATGAAGTCAAAGCACACCTGCTGGCAGACATGGCCCACATCAGTGGCCTGGTGGCTGCCAAGGTGATTCCCTCGCCTTTCAAGCACGCGGACATCGTCACCACCACTACTCACAAGACTCTTCGAGGGGCCAGGTCAGGCTCCCTGAGGTCGGGCCTTGCCTTTCCCTGCCTTCAGGCCTATTCCTGGGGCACTGTTGGCCTGGACCTGAGAGGAATTCATTCCCACCTGCAGCCCTTAAGACTCCTGCCCAGTCTGTGAGAGTTCTCCTTCTCTTGCCCATGGTGGCCATGCCCTGGCAGGGGATTTGTGGATGGGATTGAGGGGCTGATTCCCTCTACCACTGGAATCCAGTGTACCAAGCCCACGTGAGCTGTGCCCTTGGGGCCCAGGTCCGCCAGCTTCCTCTGCCTTCTCTGTCCCTTGTCCTTCTTTTCAGCTTAGACTCTGACCATCCACCTCTCACACAGGTCAGGGCTCATCTTCTACCGGAAAGGGGTGAAGGCTGTGGACCCCAAGACTGGCCGGGAGATCCCTTACACATTTGAGGACCGAATCAACTTTGCCGTGTTCCCATCCCTGCAGGGGGGCCCCCACAATCATGCCATTGCTGCAGTAGCTGTGGCCCTAAAGCAGGTTGGGGATCCTGTCTTTGTAGGGTGTGGGGGGGCAATGGCCTGGAGGCTTAGACCCTGCACCTTGCTAACTGATGCTGGGGCTGATGGAAGGGAAATGCCAGGATGGAAGGAGTCAAGGCTGGGGTCACAGAGCTATGCTGAGGGTGCAGGGCCAGAGGGTAGTGCAGGGCTTGGGTCCAGGCCTAGGGTGACAGCTGCTACTGTCTCATCTCCAGGCCTGCACCCCCATGTTCCGGGAGTACTCCCTGCAGGTTCTGAAGAATGCTCGGGCCATGGCAGATGCCCTGCTAGAGCGAGGCTACTCACTGGTATCAGGTAAGCCAGCAGGTGATGGGTGAGGGCCTCTGTAGCTTCAGGCAGAGGCCCAGGACTCACCACTCCCCATTTCTTACCCACCTTAGGTGGTACTGACAACCACCTGGTGCTGGTGGACCTGCGGCCCAAGGGCCTGGATGGAGCTCGGGCTGAGCGGGTGCTAGAGCTTGTATCCATCACTGCCAACAAGAACACCTGTCCTGGAGACCGAAGTGCCATCACACCGGGCGGCCTGCGGCTTGGTGAGACCTGGGGTTTGAGGAGGGAAGGGGCTCCCATGCTGGATGACTGCCAGGTGACCTTGGGCTATGCTCATCCCTCCCCTTGTGCCTCGTTCCAGGGGCCCCAGCCTTAACTTCTCGACAGTTCCGTGAGGATGACTTCCGGAGAGTTGTGGACTTTATAGATGAAGGGGTCAACATTGGCTTAGAGGTGAAGAGCAAGACTGGTGAGTGAGCAAGAAGGAGCCCCGGGCCAGCCAGTTCCCACTCACTGTCTGCTCCCTCCCCCAGCTGATCTCACTGCCTTCCCTAGAGCTCTGACCACTTGTTTCCTCACCCTCTCTCTCTAGCCAAGCTCCAGGATTTCAAATCCTTCCTGCTTAAGGACTCAGAAACAAGTCAGCGTCTGGCCAACCTCAGGCAACGGGTGGAGCAGTTTGCCAGGGCCTTCCCCATGCCTGGTTTTGATGAGCATTGAAGGCACCTGGGAAATGAGGCCCACAGACTCAAAGTTACTCTCCTTCCCCCTACCTGGGCCAGTGAAATAGAAAGCCTTTCTATTTTTTGGTGCGGGAGGGAAGACCTCTCACTTAGGGCAAGAGCCAGGTATAGTCTCCCTTCCCAGAATTTGTAACTGAGAAGATCTTTTCTTTTTCCTTTTTTTGGTAACAAGACTTAGAAGGAGGGCCCAGGCACTTTCTGTTTGAACCCCTGTCATGATCACAGTGTCAGAGACGCGTCCTCTTTCTTGGGGAAGTTGAGGAGTGCCCTTCAGAGCCAGTAGCAGGCAGGGGTGGGTAGGCACCCTCCTTCCTGTTTTTATCTAATAAAATGCTAACCTGCCCTGAGTTTCCATTACTGTGGGTGGGGTTCCCCTGGGCCAAACAGTGATTTGTCTCCCTCAATGTGTACACCGCTCCGCTCCCACCACCGCTACCACAAGGACCCCCGGGGCTGCAGCCTCCTCTTTCTGTCTCTGATCAGAGCCGACACCAGACGTGATTAGCAGGCGCAGCAAATTCAATTTGTTAAATGAAATTGTATTTTGCCCACGGCTGCTTCTGTTTGATCCCTGGGGACAGAGGGGAGCAAGGGAGGGGAGTGGCAGGGGGAGGCCCAGGTGTGGGGCTGGAGGGGGTACTGGCGGCAGCGGGAGGCAGTAGGCTTGGGCAGGGGAGGAGTGCGCTGCGCCTCAGGAGGCAAAGGTGCCCCAGCCTGGGCAGGCCCTGGACCAGCCCAAGCTGAGCAGCGCCGCCCCTGGGCTGGCTCTCAGAGCCTGGGCTAACGTGGAGCCCGCCACGTCGCTTGGCACTCAGAGGCCCCTGCTTCTTGTTGGCTCACGTAGGCCACGCTCAACACGTAGCCTGTGCCACACCCTTCGAGGCCCGGGTAGGAGGGCAGAGGGGCTGGTCTGGGCTCTTGGTGGACCCCTGCTGGTGCTGCCTGCCTCCTCCTCCCCCACGTGGGACTCAAGCCAAGGGTCAGAGGCGCTTCCGCTGCTGGGAGCAAGGGAGGAGAGTAGGGGTGGAGCAGCCTCCCCTCTGCGTGGGAACCCGGCCTGTGTAAGCAGTAGCGGGACAGGGTGGCCGGAGTGATGCCTTGGGGCCTGCGGGGAGGAGTGGAAGAAGTGGATGGGCTGGCTGGCTGTGGCTTGCATGGCACTGGCAGCCCAGCCTGGCTTAGAAGTCTGGCCGGTCCTTCTTCAGCTTCTTATAGTCAGTGGAAACTGCAAGGAACTAAGAGGAGAGGGAAAGGGGGTTGCGCTGAGTACCCCAAGCCTCCCTTTGCTTCTAGTACGGGAGTTGTGGGTGCCAGGACCAGGAGATAAGAGGATGGGGGGCAACCCTAGAGCCATCGAGAGGTACCTTGTATTGGTCATTGGGGCTCAGGCGGTTCCAGGGCTCCGGGTTGTTCTTTCTGTCCCAGCTGTGGAGCAGGAGGGGGGAGGGTTAGGGTCTCCTCCCTGGGACCCAGAACTCTGTAACCCAATTTGACCCCCAAGCTCCACCCGGAGGCTCTGGCCCCACCCCAGTACCCCTGCCTCCTGCCCTGGGGGTCCCATTTCCCAGATACTGACAAAGGAACGGTCATATTAGCAGGTGCTGACAAGTGAGACAAGAAGCCTGTCACCATTGTCAGCATGGGGCTGCGTGACAAACTGACAACGGGGCCCAGGGACTCCCACTTGCTGCCTGCCACCCTAGGTTAACCCTAAGAGCAGAGTCGTGGGAATCAGACACAGATCCCAAGGGGCTGGGTTTCTGGTGATGTGCCGGGAATTATAAAGCCATGGGTGCGCCTTTCACTTCCGGACCCTCTCCGCGGCCGGGTGTGAAATCTCCGCCCCACACTGGTCCCCAATGCCACCCCCAGCAGCTCACCCGGCCACAACCCCAGTGCTCTGGTGAGGACTTAGAGGTACCCAAAAGCCCAAGCCCACCGCTGGCTGAGCGGCGTCGTCATGGCAACCCGGCCGGGAGAGGCGCGGGTTCCGCATTTCAGGGCGGGCCAAGCTGAGGAGTGAGCGGCCAGGTGGGCTGGAGGGGATACGGGGGTCTCCCAGGTCAGCAGTGGGCTCCAGCCCTGAGATGCCGGTCGGTACAGTCGAAGGTGCATGCAGCAGGGCACGGGATCCCCACTAGGGCCGCCTATTTCCACCCCATCTTGCCTCACCCAGGCCCCCGTGAGCATCCCAAGCCGTGCCTTTACCAGACGTCGGGGCTGCGAAGGGCGAGTCGCAGCAAGTAAAGCGCAGCGCTGCCCATGCCCAGGCAGATTAAGCCGATCATCGGGATGATCTGCGGGGAAGAGGGAGAGCACTTTTGGGGTCAGCCCTCTCCCCGCAGTTCCCAGTCACCCTTTACAAGCTTTTCTGCCCACCCCAACCCCACCCCGGGTCTGGTGCTCCCTCCCTGGAATCTCCTACAACCATATTTCCTGGCATGGTCTCCCTCACCCTACAGCGATCGTGTCCAAGGTAGTAGATTTGTGGGACACAGGGACGTTTCGGAGAGAGACTGGGGCAACCTTAGGGGAAGAATAGGAGCGCTGAGGGACCTGGGCACAAGGCAAGGCATTGGGGGATTTGGAGGGTGGGGCAGCAGGAGAGTTAGGAGTTAGAGGTTCTGAGGTTCTGAGGACTCACCCCCGGATGTCTTTTGATCTGCCGGTAGAAGCGGGCCCCAAGACTGGCTCCTGCCATATCGTTGTTTTCCCAGTCTGGTCCTCTGCAGTGGCTCTGTCCTCTCCCTCCTCCTGGGGTCCCGCCCCTGAGTGGGGAGGGATCAGCCCAGCCCAGAGCAGCTTAGCTTGGCCCAGCCCGTGCTTCTTTGGACTCACCCCACCCCAACTTAGCTCACTTTCTCCTCAATTCCAGGCCCAAAGCCTGTAGGGGAATTGTCTGGGAGCCAAGTGGTTTCTGCTCTCCGACTCTCTCCTCCAGATGTCTGCACCTGGACCAAGGGACACCATCATTCTTGGGGCTTCTGGCATCTGAGGGAAGGACCTCAGTGGCATAGGACCCCATAAGATGTGGGAGGAGGCATGGCCATGGGACAGGCACTTAGCAAAATGCATGTGTGGAATGTTCACAGGTGGGACCAGGAGGGGCTAAGGCCAGTGAGGGCATGTGCAGCACTTCCCTGACACCCTTAGAGCTGTCCAGGAGCGGGTCCTGAGAACCCTGGTTCTGTCCCCTCCACAGTGTAGTGGGGGAAGGAGGAAGACAGGCCCACACCGTAAAGCTCCCCCAGCCCCTCTTGTTCTGAGTGGTTTCTTCAGGTTGTGGTTGGACTGGAATTGCGGTTGGAGGCTGGAAGAACCAGGTGTATGTTAATCATGGCTCAGGATAGAATACGCCAGTTTATTTATTCTACCACAGTCATGGCAGTGAGGCTTGAGAGACTTGCTTGCTCTGCCTACCTGGGGTAGGGTAAAGGTGGGGCCGCCCAAGGAGGCCATCCACTTCCTCTGGCTGTGGGATGGATAGGAAGGGAATGGAGTGGGGGAAACAGGAAAGATCGGACAGATGCTGAAAGAGAACAAGACACAGACACAGAAATGCAAGCGATTCCCTCCTGTCCTCAACCATCTCAGGTGTGTGCTGTGCTGCTGGGGTGGGGAGGCTCACAGCCCCCGTCTCTGGGGAATTTGGGTCTTAGGGACGTAGGAACCGAGTCCTAATATCTCTCCCCACTCCCACGATAACCTCCACCACCCCCTCCCTCCTCGCAGCCGATCCTGCAGAGCACCTCCCCCTCCAGAGCCCGCCCTGTGGAGGGCGCGGGCGGGAGCGAGCTATGCACCCGTCTCTGGGATCGTCGGGGTACAGGGAGGGAGAGGGCGCTTTCTAGGGTCCGCCTCCCTTTCCTTCTCGCTGATACTTCCGCCGCCCCCTACTCTGACAAGCGCGGCTGTAATTAGGCTGCGGGGTCCCGGGCTCTCCGCCTCACTCCGGCGGATAATGAGATAAAGTGTCAGAGACACGGCGAGAACAAAGAGACAGAGACTCGCTGCGATGTGTGTGGGGGGGGCGGGGGAGCGGGGCTGACGGGCTGTTAGAGCCTCCAGCAGCCCAGCCCTCCCGAGAGCCCGCGCCTCCAGGGCCCAGGAAGGGAGGGCGTGTCCTGTCACCCGCGCACCCCAGCCCTCCAGTCTCTGGGACCAAAAAACAATCCCAGAGCTCAAACTCGAGCGGCCGCACAACTGGGCTGCACATCTGGTTCTCTGTGGCACAGCTGGGGAGCCAGGACGCCGGAAGGGGCGCCTGGTCCTTGCGCCTTTGCTCACAGGCCCTCGCCTGCTTCCTTGTGCCCTTTGTTCTGAGTTCCGGTGACCCCGGCCAGGTCCCAAATTCTCCGTCGCGCTCCTTTTCCAGAGCCGCCGCTGTCCCTCCGGCCTTGGGCCTCCGCCCCGCTCACCGAGATGCAACGTTACATTATTGCCTCCGCTCCGCCTCTCCGCCACTCTCTGACCCTTCTCCTGCTTCTGGTCCCTGTCTCTGTGAATTTATTTCTAAGCCCCCTTCCATCTTTGGTTCCCGTCTCTGGCTCGTGGCCCATGGGGCCGATCTGGAATACAGGACTCCTTGGGTTCCGGATCCCATCTCTCCTCGCTCCCCACACTTTCCCACCACGAGGACTCAGGCCACGCTGGCCCAGCGGGGTGAGGGACCGCAGGAGTCATTAGCCGCAGATTAGGCACGGCCCGGGATCCCGCTGGGACTGGACTCCAAGCGCTAACCCGCACCAGGATCCCAATCCGCGCGCTGGCTGCACAGAGGGTCAAAGGCAGCGGGACTCAGCGGATCGAGCGTGTTGCAGGGGCCGTGGGCTCGGGCGCCCCCTGGAGGCCGAGCGGCCCCCAAGCTCGGGGAAGAGGCCTTGGGCACCCCCTGTCGGGCAGTGTCGACCCTGCACTCCCGGCGTTCGGGCCGCTAAGTTGGTGCCTGGAGTGTCCGTCCACGCCCAGCCCGTCACTCCGCCACTCCCGCCTCCAAGACAGTGGGTCCTGCAGCCTCCACTCTTCTGGTGTGAGATGGGACCGGAGGGCGGAGAGGGGACGCGGAAGCTCCTATCTCTCCAGCCACAATCGGCACCCAGGGTTCAGGCGGGTTCCTCTTCTGGGGTTGGGCATCCTCAGATGCCTGGGGGCCGGGGAGGCGGGGGCTTCATCTCTGCTTCTGGGCTGCAGATTCGAGATTGCCCTAAGCCCTCTGACCCGGCCTGTCCTAGCCTCTGGCTGCCCTTCTTTCTGCCTCTTGTTCTTTCTGCCTTCTGTCTGCTTCCTGTCTCTGGGTATGTCCATCTCTCTCTTCCCTATTCTGGCTGTGTCTGTCTGCTCTCCCTCTTGCTGCCTTCCCTACCTGGCTTTGTCCCTCTGCATCGGTTTTTCTGTGTCTCTTTGTGTCTCGCTCCCTCCCTCCACATCTCTCCATCTCACTGTGTCTCTCTTTACTAATGCCTCTCTTTGTCTCTGTCTTTATCTCTGTCTCTCCCCAACCCCACTCCCCAGCTCTATTCCTATTCTCTGGGTTGCTGCCTCTGGGGACTGAAGCAGCCCAACAGGGCAGCCCGGAGACGCCTCGGGGCACTGCCCGGGGTCCTCATCCTGGTCACCTCCACATGCCCGTCAACTCCGCGCAGCGTTGATCTTCCCGCTGCGGCTGTGGGACGTGGAGGGGCGCCCGGAAAGGAAGACACAGGGCCCAGCATCTGCTCGGGAGCCCCGGGGCCCCTGACCCCCCTCTGCCATTATTAAGGGCGCCTGGTCCCGAGGCACCGAGATGATCATGATTGCATCAGCCAGACAGAAGCGGAGCCGGGAGCTGCGCGGTGAGCGAACGAGTGAGACAAAGCCGCCCGCGCCATCTGTTTATGCAAAGCGCTCTCCGCCGGGGACCCCGGCGTCCCGGCTCCTGGCCGGGCTTGGGGCAAGGGTCATAAGCCCATTCCCACCCGGCGCCCCCACCGCGCCTTGGCTTCCCCTCTCCTCAGCACCCAGAGGGCCGCTGGGCGAGCGGAACGGAAAGGGGGCGGGGGTGTTGATGTGATTGGAGCGGACGCGGCTGTTTCTTCAATAATGGATGGAGATGATGCGGATGGCGAAGCCGAGCTGGCCGGGAGAGGAGAGAGGAATAGAAATGGGGAAAGGAAGGAGTGGGGGCGGGAGACTCACCCCGGCGCGCGCACACACACACTCGCGCGCGCACGTGCGTCACACTGTCATTCGGATACACGCCGCCGCGCGGCTCACACCCAGGCACACGCCTACGCACTGTCACTGAGACACACATACCTGCAGGCGGAGACGCGATGGCAACACACACTCCCCGCTGGCTCTTCCTGATTTTCACACATACACAGACCTGCAGGCGGAGACGCACGGAAACGCCCCCACGCGGAGGCACACCCGGGCAAAATCACCCAGATGGGAGCTGGGGACGGGGAAGTGGACAAACCCGACAGATATAGACACACTCAGGGGCACAGACACACACCCGGGCACAGAGTCGGACACACCTGGGGCTCAGGTAGACACACCTCACATACCCAGGGAACAAACGGACACACACTAACCACACGCCGGAGATACAGACGTCCATAATTGCCAGGGGCACGGAGAGCCCACCCACACCCACTCAGAGGCTAGCACACCTTAGCATATGCAGGAGTTGCCATCTGTGCCCTGCGGGGTGGAATGTGGCAGGGAGGTCGTCAGGGTCTCCGGAGCAGGCCTTGTTAGCCTAGCAGTATGATGAGGTCTTGGTGACAGGAGGCGCCTGGGGCTGTGGACTAGGAGGCCCGTGCACCAGGGCTTAGCTGTCTGCAAGCTTCCTTGACTGGCCCCTAGGGCGGGTAGCGCCGACGTTGGGCTGCCCCTGAGCAGCAGACCGGGCGGACCCCACTGACCCAAATCGGGCAGTTTCGTGGAGGGAGAGCCTAAAGGGAACACTGGAGCTGCACCGAGAGATTCTCAGGATCCCCAACACTGCTGCTGGTGGGGTTTATAGAAAGGGTCACTCTGTACTCTGCCTTTTCCCCCCGTGCTGCCCAGTCTTCCAACTTCAAGGGGCACGTGTGTGTGTGTGTGCGCGCGCGCGCGCGCTGAGTAGAGTGGGCAGTGGAGGAGGTTGGGGTGCCGGTTGTCTTGTACCCCAGTACCGGCCCTTCCTCGGATCTGTTTTCAATTCAGTCTGCTCCTTGGCCCAGACTTATGACCTTTGCAGCATGCGGCAGTATCATCCATCACCCAGGCGCCGTTTAGGGGGATGGAGGGCGCTGGGAGCTCACATAGGGTCGCTGTCACGCCTGCCGCCCTCTCTGGGGACCTGCTCTCCGGCCCGCGGGCCAGGGCTTAAGAGTCTTGGTGAGTAATGACGGGAGGGTGTGACCGTGGGGCTCGATCGGGACACTGGGTCACATGTCCCCACCCCTGGTACCCTAGCACCCCTCCTTCTAGTTCAGCACAGCCTGTTTCCCCGCTTTTCCCGCCCCCCTTCTCTCGGGCCCTTTGCTTAATTTCCTATTAACTGCTGATAAATCCAATTAAACCGCCGCTCTAATTAGGGACAGCTGCCGGCTCAGTGAGGCTAGGGAGGGGGGCGCCCCCCGAGTGTTGGGGGAGAACAGCCGCTCTCCCTGCTTCTCGGCATCCGCACACCAGCATTGCCGCCCAATGAGCCAGTAAATTGGTTTTGCCTTAGCATTGGCGGGGGTCTCTCGAGGATCTCGGGGGGCTCTGATTTTGAGTCCCTCAGACCTTGATGAATAGAGACGACCCGAGCCCTCGCGGTCCCTCCCCTCATACATTCCTGGTAGGTGGATTTCAAGGAAGGATAAGGACAGAATGCTTGATTTGCGTGTGGTTGGTGTGTGTGTTTGCCTGTGATCTGTTCCTATTCCAGCTCAATCGCGATTAAAGGGGGGGGTCTTCTTTAATGACTCCGCCCCCACCCCCTCAGGCATCCGGGACCGTCAAGGGCAAAGGGAACAGAAAACTGAACCCGGTTCTGCAGAGTCTTCTTGTGTGCTTCCCTACCCCCATCACACCTCAGCCTTCTGGAAGGGGGGCGCGCCCGTCCCAGGCCTCCTCTTCCCCAGCCCAGCTGAGCCTCTGCCCTCCCCCCGCCAGCAGCAGATGGTGCCCGGGCTCCCGCTGCCAACCTTGCTAGGCGGTGCCAACCTCGGTCCTGGCAGACAACGGGCAGACGAGAAGAGGAGCTCCTGGCTGGCCAAGCCGACCCTCCCCCACCCGGCATCGAGCTCAAGACCCCCCCCACACACGCCTGCCCCACTCCAGCGACCACCCCAGCCTGCCTCTCACTGGGTCCGCTCTCAGGTCCCCAAACTCCTCGTCTCCTTCTGCTCCCTTCCCCACACCTTCCTGCTCCTCGCCACCTGCCGCCCTGACCAGGGCCGGCGTATTTGCATATTTGCATATGCAAATAATAACATTTGCATACGGTGCTCCGCAGGGGTGTCTCCGCGAGAGCCGGTTAGCTGTCTGCCCTCCGTTCTCACTCGGTACCTGTCGGAAAGGGTTAGGGCAGGGGCCGCGCGGGTGGGGTTAGGCCCCCGGCCTAGCTAGCTCGGTTCTCGGAGGACTTGAGGAAGTGTTGCCATGGAGACGGCACGCACCCCACCCCCTCCCAGGCCCAGGGTCTCGGGCTTGGTGTCTCTGGTTGTCTCCCCTTACCCACCCTCCACCCCCTCCCCATCCCTCGCTCTCCAACCGAGATCTTGCATCGCCCCCTGGCGGCCTAGCTCGGCGCCAAGCCAGATTCCGAAATGCAAGGGGCTGCCTGCGGCTAAATCGCCAAGAGCAAGGGGGGACTTACCCTACTACAAGATCCTGCTCCCAACCGCTGGGGCGCGGGGGCGGCGACTCCAGCCCTGCGCTCCCCTTTCTTTACTGACTACAGAGGCCTCACCTGGCGGGCGCACTTCCCACCTCCCGCCAACCTCAGCCCAGATGGGTCTCAGGTTACCCGATGGTAACGAGGCGGGACAGCTAGGGAGGATTCTCCACCCCTCCGCAGGCCCTCTCCTCAACCCCAGTTAAATAACAACTTTTCTAAGTTTTGTCAAAAGTTTAATAAATTCGCAACATTCGACAGTTCGCCCTCCCTCGCCCCCGCCCCCCGCCCCAGTCCCTGGCTCCTCCTAGTAGATACGCGTTTTTTTCCAGCTCTTGCAAGCGGGGCCTGAAAGGTTTCGGGTCCGGGCTGCTCTGGGCAGCAGGTATCCGAGGCCCCAGGCTGGGGAAGGGGGCGAGAACCAGTCCCTTCCCGGAAGCCCCGTCGCGCTCAGGCGGGCCTTCCTACCCCTCCTCTCCCAGCAGTCCCGTTGCTTTCGCCCCCCTCCCCAAACTCCACTGGGCCCGCCCAGAATGGGGTGTGGGTGTCTCCCGCTTGCAGGCGCCCGCACGCCTAAATTTCCTCTAGAAAGTCGGTGGGAAACAGCCCCACCTTGCGGCCGGTGTAGACCTTGACGTAGCCGCCCGCTTCGTCTCCTTTCTGCACCACGATCTAGAAGATTAAAGGATCAGAAGTAGGAGAGGAATCAAAGGAAAAGGTAGGAGAGGACAGCAGGGGAGCCGGGGTTTACAGGGGCTCACCCTAGTCTTATTAATGGTTAAGCTCTCCAAGGAGTGTGGTGGGCTAGGGAGCATTCAGGCCTGGGATTGGGTTGGGGCAACAGCCTACCTGGTCCTTCTTGAGAGTGATCTGCCCTATCTCGCGGTTCCCCACGAAGGATCTCGTCACGCGGTGCACACGTTCTCCAGCCCGGACCCGAATGATGAAGTTTGGAGGGAAAAATCCGACCTTCTCCCCGATTTTCCCCTAGGGAAGATAGTAGGGAGAGTCCATCTCTCAATGTCGGGTTCTGGACTCAACCCACACTCCACCCTAGCCCTAGCCATTTCTCTCACCCGCCACCATTCTTCATTGGAGTCATCAATGACTGTGATCTTCTCTCCTGGCCTGGGAGGGGAAGGGAGGGGCCTCACTCACATAGCAGGTCCCCTGCTGTGCCCCGGGTCCAGCATCAATAGGCTCCAAGCCCTGAGTCCCCCCTTTTCCTTTCCCTTGGGGGAACCCAGCTCTTTCCTCTTCACTCCGCAGTACCAGCCCCCTGCCCCAAGGCCTCTCACGGGAAATCCAGATCGTCCTTCTCCAGGGCTTTGAACCGATAGAGAGCCACAAAGTAATGAGACTGCTGGAAGCCAGGCTGCTTGTGCTGGGGGTGCAAGGGAATGATGAGTCTTAGGGCTCCTCTACCCCACACTGAGGGGCAGGATTCCAAGGCAGGGACATTCACCACACACTCTACACTCCAACTCTCTTCTAGGTCCCTGAACTGAGAGAAGTGTTTTGGTCGTGGGTGGGTGTGCAAGTTGATGGAGAGTGTGGGTCAGAAGTGATGGGAAGCCTAGGAGTTAAAGAGTGAGCTTCTGCCAGGGCCATGAGTAGTGGTGTCAGAGCTGGGTTGGGGAGAGAACTGGGTTCCTTGCAGGGAGGAAGGATTCTTACCTTGTCATCAGGTGTCTTCTTCTCAGCCTTCTTATCCCCTTCAGGGTTTCCTGGGATAGGAAACACCAACAAATTGTCTGTCTCCTGGAGGGCAATTCTTATTCTCTTACCCTTTTGTGGAAGGGCCTCGTCTATCCAAAGCTGGCCTGCCCTTTGCTCCTCCACCCTCTGTTCCACAGCTGAGCCTCTGATCCTACTCCATCTCTGGATGGAGGTGGGTAACACTCACCATCCTGGGGTTTGCCTTCCTCTGGTCTGGCCGACTCTGGCTCCTCCTCCATCATGGCTGCTACAGGCTGGAGGGGGCACCAGAGTTAGGGAGACGCTGTCTTGGGAACACATGCCCTGGCTGTCTATAATCAGGTCAGAGAACTATAGAATAATGGGATCTCAGAGATCTCAGAGTTGGAAGAGGCCTTGGAGGAAATATCTAGTTCAGCCATCTGCCTAATGCAGGAACTTTTTTTTTTTTTTTGAGACGGGTCTCCCTCCGTCACCCAGGCTGGAGTGCAGTGGCGCAATCTTGGCTCAGTGCCAGCTCCGCCTCCAGGTTCACGCCATTCTCCTGCCACAGCCTCCTGAGTAGCTGGGACTACAGGCGCCTGCCACCACGCCCGGCTAATTTTTTGTATTTTTAGTAGAGACGGGGTTTCACCGTGTTAGCCAGGATGATCTCAATCTCCTGACCTCGTGATCCACCAGCCTCGGCCTCCCAAAGTGCTGGGATTACAGGCGTGACCCACTGTGCCCGGCCATGCAGGGACTTTCCCTAAAACATCCTATCAGGTGGGTCACCCACATTCTGCTTGAATGTAGCTAAATAACAGGGAATTCACTACCAGATTCCAGGTCCTTGACTATGCTGTCAGCCTTTAAAAATACTCCAGTGTGTAAGTAAAAAGTGAGCAGCATGGTCAGGCGCGGTGGCTTATGCTTGTAATCCCAGCACTTTGGGAGGCCGAGGTGGGCGGATCACCTGAGGTCGGGAGTTCGAGACCAGCCTGACCAACATGGAGAAATCTCCTCTCTACTAAAAATACAAAATTAGCCAGGCATGGTGGCACATGCCTGTAATCCCAGCTACTCGGGAGGCTGAGGCAGGATAATCGCTTGGACCCGGGAGGCAGAGTTTGCGGTGAGCCGAGATCGTGCCATTGCACTCCAGCCTGGGCAACAAGAGCGAAACTCTATCTCAAAAAAAAAAAAAAAAAAAAAAAGAGCAGCACAATTTTTATAATTCCCTTAAAAGAATATAACCCAAGAGTATGTTAGCCCTTCTGGAAGCAGCCATATCACATTGCTAGTGCCTTACAAGTCATTAATTCACTCCATAGAAATCCCTTATCTGTGTCCAACCTCCATATCAACAAGTTTGAGGCCAGATTTCTAGTTGTTTTTTGCAGTTGATTTTTTTGATCAGATATGTACATTTATCTTTTCTTTTCCCTTCCTTCCTTCCTTTCCTTCCTTCCTTCCTTTTTTTTTTTTCTTGACAGGGTCTCACTTTCTCCCCCAGGCTGGAGTGCAGTGGCTTACTGCAACCTCTGCCTCCCGGGTTCAAGCGATTCTCCTGCCTCAGCCTCCCAAGTAGCTGGGATTACAAGCGAGCACCACCACACCCGGATTTTTTATTTTTATTTTTGTATTTTTAGTAGAGACAGGGTTTCACCACGTTGGCCAGGCAGGTTTCGAACTCCTGACCTCAGGTAATCTGCCCACCTCGGCCTCCCAAAGTGCTGGGATTACAGGCGTGAGCCACCATGCCTGGCCGAGTTTTGTGCAATTTTAGGGGAAGACAATCCATTACTTCTGTCAGCTTTCCAAATGGGAAAATGACCTGCTCCATGGGATCTCTGGGAGGGACCTCGTGGGGAGGTACAGTGCTCACATTTTTCTTATCTGCCTGTCCCTTCTTCCGTTCCTTGTTTGCCATGATCACCCCAGTGCGCAGGGTTTCAAACACAGGATCATTGCGATTGGCAGCAGCTAATCGAATGGGAGGAGAAAGAAGACATTATTGGGAAGGCAGAGAAAGGCTTGGAGGAAAGGAAGGGAGAGGTGGGATTGAGTAGATGGATACCCATGTGTGTGTTGGGTGGCGGTGGGGGCGCCGCGGGGAAGATTAGGGAAGGGTCAGCTAGGCAATACCCAGGACACCAATCTATAAAGGACTTTAAAAACATCACTGGTGATGTAAAGTGAGGGAGGAAAGTATTTATTAGAACTCCTTCCAGGCAGAGCATTATATGATGTTTGAAACACAACTTTGCTTGCTTGGGAGCTGAGACATGCGCAGAATCACTATTCTCCTTCTAAGGAGAATGGGCCCTTAACTGCTGGCTTTTGTTCTGCTAAATGGCATGTGTAAGCTGAGGTGCTGCCACCAATAGGTTCTTCTTTTTCACCCATGCTCTTCACAGAGTTCAGCCTCTCCTCCAAATAAATGTTGAGCAAATTTGTCAATGAATATGTTTTTAAGGGTTGCCAAATTATTATTATTATTATTATTATTATTTTTTTTTTTTTTTTTTTTTTTGAGACGGAGTCTCGCTCTGTCACCCAGGCTGGAGTACAGTGGCACAATCTCGGCTCACTGCAAGCTCCGCCTCCCGGGTTCATGCCATTCTCCTGCCTCAGCCTCTCCGAGTAGCTGGGACTACAGGCGCCTGCCACCACGCCCGGCTAATTTTTGTGTGTTTTTAGTAGAGACGGGGTTTCACCGTGGTCTCGATCTCCTGACCTCGTGATCCACCCGCCTCGGCCTCCCAAAGTGCTGGGATTACAAACGTGAGCCACCGCGCCCGGCCTGGGTTGCCAAATTATGAACCTGCCCAGGGTGCCTGCAGCCTTTGGGTCTTGCCCCGAGTCTGATATGACTCTGTAGTAAGGATGAGGACAATCTAGAATCCTTGTTCTTGCTTAGAAATGATTTTGCACACAAAGAGCACAGATTCTGAAGCTAGCAACTGAAGATTCCAGTCTTGGCTCTACCTCTTGCTAACTGTATGTAGTTGCAACTAAATCGTATCTCCCTCTGCTGTAAAATGGGGATATTGCCTCTGCATCCAAATGGATATAAAAATGTGAGGTTGAGGGAGAATTATGGGAAACAGAAAGTTTCTGTTTCAGAATTTGGCTCCCAAAGCTAGAGATGGCATGAAACCATCTCTAGGCTTGCCCATTCCCTCATGTTCCATAAAGGGCACTTACAGAGATCTTTGACACAAGCGTACTGCTGGTTGCTGTAGAGTGGGGAACTATAGGCCCGATGGAAACCAGGTGGCTGTAGGATGGGATGAGAGGAAGCATTAGAGGTAGCAAAGTAAGGTCCAGAAGCCTATCTCTCCCAGGAGTGCTCACCCTTTCTCAGAAAAAGAGATGGGCTGAGAAAGAAAAAGCAGAGAAATGAATGGGATGGAGGAGAGACCAGCAAGGGGTAGCTGGCTGGTGACATGTCCCCTCTTTTTTTTTTTTTTTTTTTGAGACGGAGTCTCGCTCTGTCACCCAGGCTGGAGTGCAGTGGCACAATCTCGGCTCACTGCAAGCTCCGCCTCCCGAGTTTACGCCATTCTCCTGCCTCAGCCTCCTGAGTAGCTGGGACTACAGGCACCTGTCACCACGCCCGGCTAATTTTTTGTATTTAGAGACGGGGTTTCACTGTGTTAGCCAGGATGGTCTCGATCTCCTGACCTCGTGATCCGCCCACCTCAGCCTCCCAAAGTGCTGGGATTACAGGCGTGAGCCACCACGCGTGGCCATGTCCCCTCCTTGCTCTCCACAGCCTACTCACGATCTTGCCGAAGCATCTCTGCATTTCCACATAGGACTGACAGTGTTCATGGATGTTGGTTTTGCAGTTCTTACAGCGAAGCCCAAACTTGTTGTTGACTTGGGAAAGGGGGAGAAAATTCAGATAAGGTTCCAGATTGCCCTTTCCCTTTGTACCACTGCTGCTACTCTTAGGTTTCCTTTTCTGTCTGGGACCCTACTTGCTCAATCTCTAATAGCATTGCCTTACACCAACTCTAGCCACAGCCCATCTGCTACAAATACTCCTCTCCTATGCCCTCTCCCCAAACCTCTGCCTTCAATATCATACTCTCTTCACTTCCCTTCATGACTCACGAACAATCATCCGGGCACAGACATCACAGAACTTTGGCTTCTTGAAGAAGTGATCTTTGAATTTGTGGGGCTTATCGTTGACCAGCTTAGGAGGTTCTGGGGGTGGCTCCTCCTCCTCCTCTTCTTCCTCTTCCTCTTCCTCATAGATGTAGTAGATGGGCCCACCCCCAGCTCCCACTGCCTCCCCATTGGCCTGGGGCTCTGGGGGAAGTTCCATCTCCTTTGTCCCTGTAGAACCCTTCCTGAGTAACTGCTTTAGCCGCTGTAGCTGAGGGAGGGAGTGAAGAAAACCCAATGTTAAAAGGACTTGTCACCCTCTCTAGAGTAGGGGGGCGCTAGAGCAAACTAGACAGTTTTCTAGTTTCAGGCAAGGAATGTACCCCAGGATTAGGGGGGTATTGGTATTGGGGACTGCAGGTGCTGGCCAGCAAAAAATGAGTCACACACAAATGAGATCAATTTAAGCACTCTTCTTCAGCTGTAATGGCTTCCCAGCCCCCCACACCCAGTGGTCAGAGGCCCAGACTCACCCCACTTTGCCGAGTCTCTGCTGGGAAGGAGGGCTTAGGGGACTCCAGCACCTCCTTTTCTGTCATCCTGCAAGAGGTTGGACCCCACTATGAAATCTAATCCCTTTCATTCTTCTCTCCCTTTCTGTCCCTTGCAGTAGGGTGGTCCTCAAAGGGGAGGCTTTCGGAGAAATGTGATGAGAGATTTTGCTGTTGTTACTGTTGAGATGGGGTCTCACTCTGTCACCCAGGCTGGAGTGCAGTGGCGTGATCATGGCTCACTGCAGCCTCGACCTCCCAGCCTGAAGCGATCCCCCTACCTCAGCTTCCTGAGTAGCTGGAACACAAGGTGCACACTACCTGGCTACTTTTTTATTTTTTGTAGAGACATGGTCTTGCTTTGTTGCCTAGGCTGGTCCCGAACTAGCTCAAGCAATCTTCCTGTTTCAACCTCCCAAATTGTTGAGACAGGCGTGAGCCACTGCACTGGGCCAAATACAGATCCTTTGGCAGGTTTTATTAACAGATTTCATGGAGGTCTAGAAAAAAGCTTAACATGGCCGGGTGTGGTGGTGCATGCCTGTAATCCCAGCACTTTGGGAGGCTGAGGCAGGCGGATCACTAGAGATCAGGAGTTCAAGACTAGCCTGGCCAACATGGTGAAACCCCATCTCTACTAAATATATAAAAATTAGCCGGGTGTGGTGGCGGACGCCTGTAATCCCATCCACTCAGGAAGCTGAGGAAGGATAATCGCTTGAACCCGGGAGGCGGAGGTTGCAGTGAGCCGGGATTGTGCCACTGCCCTCCAGCCTGGGTGACAGAGCAAGACTTCGTCTCAAAAAAAAAAAAAAAAAAAAAAAAAAAGCCCAACAGACTAAAGAGCTTCCCAATTAGTTCCTCAAACTGATACTCATCCTTCCATCCTGAGGGGCGACCCCATAGTTTACAGCCCTTACACAGTGTTCAAAGCTGCGTGGTTTACGTCATTTTCCTATAGGTACTTTGTTTCTCCTGGAAATCTGTGGGCAACAGAGATGTGATGCATACCTTCCCAGATCTCCTCTCTTCAAGAGGTTTAATGTGTGTCCTCGTGTGCACACAAGGAAGGATGGACTGGAGACATTTGTCCTCCCCTACTTTTTTCTTGAGCCCTGGGGGCCCTGTGCCTAGTTCTGTCCCAGCCTGCCTCAGGGCTCAGCTATTTTAAGTTTTCAGGGTAATATGAGCCTTTCCTTCCCTTACTACTTCATTCCCTTCACCCCACCCCCACCCCCACCCCCCGCTTCAATCCAAACTCATCCTAGAGTAGAATAATAATTTTACGCCTAAAACCCAAAAGACTCACAGACAAGGAGAGAAATGAAGAAGCTGAGTAGATTATAGATCAGGGCAGCTGGGGTGAGCAGTCGTGGAAATCAAGAGGATGAAGAGGTAACTTACGTTCGGGATTCCCTAAGTCAGTCCACAGGCTGTAGAGGGAGCTGGGAGCCTCGAGGCCTTGATGGTGGTGCTGGGGAAAAACTGGTCCTCTTCCTTGGGGGCTAAGCCCCCCCAGTACCCCCTGTGTTCACACCAGCTACCCAGTCGCTATTTGTAGACCTCCTAGCCTCCTGCCTTGGTGTCAGGGCTGAAATGACAGGGCTGGAGGAAAGTGGACAGCTGAGAAACACAGCTGACACAGAGAAATTGGACACTGAGAGGTCTGGGGCAGGGCCGGACCCTAACTCCTCCCAACCCCCTAGAGCTGCTGTTCCTTGATTCTTCATCTAAGGCGAACAGGTGAATAATGGCTGAATTCAGGAAGGGACAGTTTCTGTTCATGCTCATTTAACATTTAAGGGGAGTTTATTTTTATTTTTCATTTATTTTTTGAGACAGGGTAAAAAAAGACTAATTTGAACTCATAGAGCTCTCCTATCAGCCATACTAGATGGCTTTTTTTTTTTTTTTTTTGAGACAGAGTCTTGCTCTTGTTGCCCAGGCTGGAGTGCAATGAAGCGATCCGGGCTCACTGCAACCTCCCAGGTTCAAGCGATTCTCCTGCCTCAGCCTCCTAAGTAGCTGGGATTACAGGCGCCCACCACCACGCCAAGGTAATTTTTGTATTTTTAGTACAGATGGGGTTTCACCATGTTGGCCAGGCTGGTCTCGAACCCCTGACCTCAGGTGATCCGCCTGCCTTGGCCTCCCAAAGTGCTAGGATTACAGGTGTGAGCCACCGTGCATGGCTAGATTGCTTTTTATCTGTAGGTGGTTGGAGGAGTACTTTGCTATCCTGTAAGAAAGTGAAGAATATGTAGTATTGCTTCATTCCCTCCAGCAGCTCCCAGAGACATCTCCCCACCCTCCTTCTTGTAAAATTTTGTCCTCAGACTGAAGGGAATTACCAGGGCTATTAAAAAGGGCCAGTTAACACTGGACAGAAGCATATAGCTGCCACATAAGGAATTTTTTAAATCATTTCTAAGTAATGTCCCCTTCCTCATGAGAACTGCAAACTCTTAAAGGTAGGATGGCCAACCCTCACACTTCCTAAACCCTTTTGATTCCCTGATTCCATCTCCCACCTTTGATGCCTCAGTATATAACTGATGGATCAAAGAGACAGATGCCATTCTCATCTCACAGGGGTGCACCCTTCTACTCTTTGGGCTGTGACATGGATGAAAGAGGAGATACTCCCATCTCAGGGGAGAGCAATTTAGAGGTGGCAATGCAGTGCTGCTCTATTCCTTGTATCTGTAAGAAATAAAGGACTGTGTTGGAGACTGGGTCAGGCAAGCTCCTGTAGGATCGTCGTTAGGGATACAGCTACTTGGACCCAAGAGATTTCCAGGGCAACGTGCTTTGTCATTCTCACCCACTACTTTTTTCTATTTAAGGGGGGAGTTTGAAAAGGGGGTGCAGGATGGTTCTGACTCTGCAGGTTCTTTAATGGCCCTGCTCTGACAGGCTGCAGAACAACAGGGCTTGCTTTGAGATGCTCTAAAGGAAAAGCTCCATCTTGCAGGCAAGATGACTTCTGCTCTTCGTCTTTTTTCAGCCACATAGGACAGGGACTGCTGAGCATGTTTGGATAATACAGCATCTTGGCACTGCGAGTTCAGTTGCTGTAGCTTTCATTGTAATAAAAATCTGCTTCTGTCCCTGACAGGTAAAACCCAATCCTCCAGCTTTAGGATTAAAGAAAGGCAGCCAGGCACGGTGGCTCACGCCTGTAATCACAGCACTTTGGAAGGCCGAGGCGGGTGGATCACAAGGTCAGGAGTTCGAGACCAGCCTGGCCAACATGGTGAAACCCCATGTCAACTAAAAATACAAAAATTAGCTGGGCACGATGGGGCACAGCTACTCAGGAGGCTGAGGCAGGAGAACTGCTTGAACTCGGGAGGTGGAGGTTGCAGTGAGCCGAGATATCGCGCCACTGCACTCCAGCCTGGGCAACAGGGCGAGACTCCATCTCAAAAAAAAAAAAAAAAGAAAGGCCCAAGTTCTCCATCCCTAAAGGGTTTTCAGAAGACGAGCTGGGCTGGGAGTGGTGGCTCATGCCTGTAATCCCAGCACTTTAGGAGGCCAAGGCGGGAGATCACTTGAGCCCAGGAGTTCAAGACCAGCCTGGGCAACATGGTAAAACCCTGTCTCTGCCAAAAATAGCAAAAAAAAAAAAAAAAAAGATTAGCCAGGCATGCTAGATCGCGCCTGTAATCCCAGCTACTCGGGAGACTGAGGCACAAGAATCGCTTGAACACGGGAGGCGGCTGCAGTCAGCTGAGATCTGCCACTGCACTCCAGCCTGGGTGACAGAGCAAGACCCTATCTCAAAACTCAACTACAAGGGCCCTAAATGAGTACACAGTACCACAGAATTAATAGTCTGGAAGGAAACCTAGAGGTCACCTACTAAGTCCAAGTCTCTTATTTTACTGATCTGGACACAGATCCAGAGTTGAGAAGTGATATGCTCGATGAACCACAGTGGCAGAACCGGGAGAGCCCAAAGCCATGGTCCCATTAGAGATCTAGCCATCTATCAGAACCGTGTACAGGGAAGAGGATGAGACAGAGGGAATGGTGTTAAAATAGTGTGCGTATGCTAGAGAAAGCCATCCCAACCCACGACAAACACCTCCAACAGCTGTAGGGCTATACCTACCCAGGGCCTCCAACCCTTTACCCATACCAGGGCGGCAACAGAGAAACAGTGACTGATGTCCAGTGACAGATTTTTTTTTTTATATTTAAAAACAAAACCAACCTCCCCCCAAATAACCCCCAAACAAACAAAAAAACAGATTAAATAAAATTTACAGTGAATATACCCAGCAAACATCTGTATGTGCAATTAAATACTGTGTCTGTTACTGCGGCACGAACCTCAAACAAACAATATACAAGTGTTCTGGGGGGGCCAGGGGAATCCCAAGTTTTAACTCTGTGGGGTCTAGGAAGACAAGATGGGGAAGTGAGAGAATGGGGCAATCAATTTTGTTTATCTTAATTCTGTCCATATAAATATATTCATAAAGACCAAAAAAGGAAAGGAAGCTTGGGATGTTAAGGTAATAGGAGGACAGTGTGGGACTTTCCCAATTCTACCTGACCAAAAAATGAGAAATTAATTTTATGATAGGAGAAGAGATTTAAAAAAATGATAGAAGAGGATGGAAGCCAGGCACAGTGGCTCACGCCTGTAATCCCAGCACTCTGGAAGGCCAAGGCAGGTGGATCACCTGAGGTCAGGAGTTTGAGGCCAGCCTGGCCAACATGGTGAAACTCCGTCTCTACTAAAAATACAAAAATTAGCCGGGCATGGTGGCGCGTGTCTGTAGTGCCAGCTACTTGGGAGGCTGAGGCAGGAGAATCACCTGAACCCAGGAGCTGGAGGTTGCAGTTAGCCAAGATCGTGCTACTGCACTCCAGCTGGGGTGACAAGAGCGAAACTCCGTCTCAAAAAAAAAAAAAAAAAAAAAAAGAAGAGGATGGGAAGAAGAGTGATGCAAGGGGGGTCAACCAGGGAAAAAGAGAGGACCCATGGCAGGGGAGCAAGAAGGAGTCCAATGCCAGTGTAGGTATCTGTGTTTCCATCTTCATCACTGTCTTAGGTTCCAGTTTAACATCAGTTTCCTTACTTCCTGCCTCTGTCCATGGTCTGTCAGGATCCTTCAACCCCCTCCACCCTGCCCTTGCTCCTTCTGTGACAGTCCCTTTCCCCTCCTCCATTTATTGGGAGCTGGCTCGCTCCAGGATCCTCAGGTCATAGTTCTTTTTGGCCATTCGAAGTTTGAAGCGACTCACGGAGTTGTTGAGACGAAGGGAGGCATTTTGGGCAGCCAGGGGGCTGGGGAACACAGCCACAATGGTGTACAAGGCAGCGAGGTCCGAGTGGCGGCCATTCTCAGCAGTCCCACTGTTGTCCCCCCCACCCCCTCCAGGCAGCCCCTGAGCATCCTTGAGCCACTGGATCTTGGCGCCAGACATGGCGAGCTGCGTGAAGAGTTTGTCCGCCTCAGTACGGGTGATGCCCTCAGGGAGATCTGTCACCTCCAGCACCCGCCCCAGGACTGGAAGGGGAGGAGAGAGGACATGGTTGTGAGAGGAATAGGACAGGAAGGACTTGACAGCAGCCCAGCAGAGAAGTGTCCAGCTGACTAAGTCTGTATACAATGTCTTCAAAAGCCTGGCCTTTCTCTCTTAGCCCTTTCTTCCCCTCCCCACCATCCCAGCTCTGATCAGGGCAACTAGGAGAAAAACAAATGAACCTTTCTATTCTCCTAGCCCAGAGATACAGGAAAGAAGGGACAGGGAATCAGAATCCTGGGTTTCTGAGCTAAGAACCTATACCTCAGTTCTCTCACAAGGTGCTACTGCTATGAAGAAAATGTGGCTTTTGCTAATGTTCTTTAACAATAATGTATCAATCTGAAATATGTTCCATAGTTCCCTTCCCACTCAGAGGCTGGCTCAAATAGATTCTTCCTTCTTATCATCTCAGGAAGTCAAGTTTCCCTTCCTTTCCTTGTTTAGGAAATTGCTCCAAATCCCAAGACAGATCTTGTTCACCTAGTGGGAGGCTTGTAGGACGAGAGTTTCTCCCCCATATTCTCTACCAATCTTCTCCTAAACTGGGTCTAGGACTACCAAAGGTAGATGTCGTAGATTAGGGACAGGACACTAATTAGAAAACTCTTTGTTAATAAGAGGCAACTCCCATAATTGTGTTATTCCCACTTTTTACCATGATCTTCCTCAGAATCTGAGATGGCTTGGTAGGGAGGACTGAGATACTTCACTTCTCCAGTTTCTGCTTGCTTTTGAGCACAAAGGGTCCCACTTCCACTCCCCATCCTAAGCTGGCTTTTCCCACCCATGCTGGACTGGTAATTAAGCGCTGGAAGGGTGGGCACCTTCTCTTGGGGATTCAGCATCCCGTGACTCACCAACATCTGCTGTCCCCAGGTCAGTGGAGGCAGATTTGAGTGCTTGTCTCTTGCCCCGGTTTCCATGCTTCAGTCCACTCTGTCCCTTCAACATTTGAAAGACGACTCTCATCCCATGTAAACAACATTGACTGCCTTGCATCAGAATGTCTGCCTGAGAGATTGTGGAGTAGCACCAACCCAGAGGACCCCACCCCACTAGGCAGTCAGGTTGGCCATGGAGCAGCGACTGAGAAACAAAGAGCCCCTCCCTCTTGGCATGGGGGTCGGGTGGGAGACATGAGTATAGGAGGTAGGGCAAGGCTCCTGCTTTGTTCATTCTGTGTTATTTCCCTTGTATACCCAGCTGGTTGAAGCTCAGACACAGGCACCCAAATAAGAAGAGGGGTCTGATGGCCCTACAGTTGCTGGTGGACACCCTTACCTGGTGCACCGTGTAAGTTGACTGGCCATGGAGCAAGGGAGGGCAGATGGACAGATTGTACTGTAATGGCTGGCCCAAAAGGGAGTAGCGCCCATCACCTAGGGAGTAAGAGCAATTGGTTTTCTGGGAGCTTAAGCTTCATAGTATGACTTTTATAAGACTTCAAGGGGCTTTGGAGACAGCAACAATGCATACTATTCCTAATTTTCTATGATGGAAATGCCCATGCGACTGGTATAAGAGTTGTTTCTCTTCCTAAATCCTTTGGCTCTCAACTGTGTCTCACAGATAAATGGGACTACTAGGTCCCATCATCCTTGAAGAAA
This sequence comes from Homo sapiens, assembly GCF_000001405.40. NCBI lineage: Eukaryota > Metazoa > Chordata > Mammalia > Primates > Hominidae > Homo > Homo sapiens. The sequence continues at coordinate 57,256,740 of NC_000012.12, forward strand.
GGCTCTATCCACTGTAGACAACAGTCCTATGAAAATGACCAGGGAAGAAACTTACAGACCCTTATGAATGTCTTTTATCTCTCTTTTTTTTTTTTTTTGAGACAGAGTTTCACTCGCCACCCAGGCTGGAGTGCAATGGCATGATCTCGGCTCACTGCAACCTCTGCCTCCTGGGAAGCGATTCTCCTGCTTCAGCCTCCCGAGTAGCTGGGATTACAAGCATGTGCCACCACGCCTGGCTAATTTTTTTTTGTATTTTTAGTAGAGATGGGGTTTCACCACGTTGGCCAGGCAGTCTTGAACTCCTGACCTCAGGTGATCCGCCTGCCCCGGGCTCCCAAAGTGCTGGGATTACAAGCGTTAGCCACTGCGCCCGGCTGTCTTTTATCTCTTATATAGATTCTCCCAACCCCTAAACCCAGGGTTCAAGTTTCTGACTCATGTGAGAGGCAGTATAAGCACAGTAGACAAGAGCATAGTCGTGGAGCCAGACTGCCTGGGTTAAAATAGTGGCTCTGTTACTGGAAATATGATCTAACGTTGGGTATTTTTTTCCCTCATTAATGTTGCTGGAAAGGTTAAACAAATATAAGACATGTAAAGCATTTATAGCAATGCCTGGTACATATTAAGTACCATTAAGTGTTACCTATTATTGATAAATATTACATTTCAGAGCACTTTAAAGTTTTTAAACTACATTCTCATTTTTATACTGCTTGTGACAGCTAAGGCAGAAAGCAGATAAAATTCCCATCTTATGTGTGATTAACCCCATTTTACAGACTAGGAAGTGAGGTCTACTTCTGAGTTTAAGTAACTTGTTGAACATCACAAAGCTAGTTAGTGGTGAGACTGGAACTTCTGAAACCAAATCTAGTGGTTCCTTTTCTAAGACCATACCGTTTCTTACAAAATCCCACATTCCCAGCCCTCAGACTTGGTACTGATATTAGGTTAAACTCTTTGGTCATTAGAAAGTTCAGTGAACTTATTTTCTCCAGCTCTTTTTACCTACTTGGTTGTAAGTACTAAGTATGTAAAGAAGGCTAAAGAAAGTTAAGCATGGACAGCACTAGAGAGGGGCAAGTGTCCAAGGCCTATACAGGGATGTTAAAGGAAGAGTTAACTCCCAGAATTGGATCATCTACACTGGTCCTCTGCCTGTTGTTACTCTTTCAATCTCTGCAATTGGGAATGGGATGTGAAAGGTGAATTCCATAGCAGCCAGCACTAATCTAACCCCCTACCCTGTGCTGGACCCCCAGGCCGGGGGAACTGTGTGAGGACAGGCAGGGGACTGAGTCCTGTGCAGACACTGCTGAGGCTGGTGACAGGAGAGGGTGCTGGAGACTGGGTAGGAGATGTGACAGGGCTGCTGCTCATTTGTGTGTTGGCCTGTGGAAAAGAGGAGCACACGTCACATAAACATCAAACATTACCCTCTGGATATTCCTATGGCTTGGCTTAAAATTCACCTCTCTCAGGAAATAAGTTTCTCTTGCTGAACTCTGCCAAAGTCAGACTCTTCCTTCAAACTGCAACCTCAGTCCTTAATTCATTTATGCTATTTTATTTATTTATTTATTTATTTATTTATTTATTTATTTATTTATTTTGAGATGGAGTCTTGCTCTATCACCCAGACAGGCTGGAGTGCAGTGGTGCAATCTTGGCTCACTGCAACCTACACCTCCTGGGTTCAAGCAATTCTCCTGCCTCAGCCTTCTGAGTAGCTGGGATTACAGGTGCCCACCATCACGCCTGGCTAATTTTTTTATTTTCAGTAGAGACGGGGTATCACCACGTTGGTCTCAAACTCCTGACCTCAAGTGATCCTCCCGCCTTGTCCTCCCAAAGTGCTGGGATTACCGGTGTGCGCCACCATGCCTGGCCCATTTATGTTATTTTAATATCCATTTCTGGCATATTGATTTAAGTATTCTCTGAGCATTTTCAAGTGTGTATCCCACCTGCCACCTTATATATTAGGTTCCTTAAAAGAGGATGCTGTCTACTTCCTGTGTTTCTCCCCAGAAAGTACCCAGGAAAAGACATGTAAAAGAGGCTGCTCAGTCAATAGCAAACATTGCGCCCCGGGAAGAATACGGTCATCTCCTTGCCAAGACAAGGCTGAGTGCTGCACTCACCTGGGGGCTGCTGTCAGGACTGTACAGGTCTCCAGGCTTCTGCCCCCGCTGGTCCATGCTGTAGTATTTACAATGACTCCACTGGACCATGGATGGGTTCTGAGGGGGCTGGGGTCCATTAGGGACATTCAGCTGCATGACCACTACACCTGGTCCAGAAGGTGACACTCCTGAAGGGCAGGAAGAAAGCAGTTGGTTACAAATTCCAACTGTATTTTTGCCTTCCAACTAGCCCTGAGTGGGAAAGCAGCAAATAAATCCACCCATTGCCTCAGGGTCACTCAAGCTACGTCTTGCCAGGAACCTGAGATGGCTGCTGATGTGGCTTCTGACTCCATCTTCTCAAACCAGTAGAAGTTTGAGTGGAAGGGATATGAGCCCCAGATGCCAGTGCTCCCCTGGCCTTCACCTGGTGAGGGGTACTTTGGTATGCTTGGCAGAAAACTACTCCATTCTGTCAACGCTGGCTATAACCAAATGCCCAGGTCAGATTGCTCAAATGTCTAGGCATGGTACGGGTCCAGGTCTGGGCCACAGGCCAGGGCTGCAGACACGTGCAGGCTTTTCTGGTAATGGCTATAGATAAGGCAGTGACCTCTGGTTGTTCTGGAGAAGATAAATCCACATAGTTTCACTATGCCAGACCCAGAAAGTACATCTTGGCCAAGAATGGGGTAAGCTGGGAAGCATTTTAAGCATTTAAGCATGGAGATGTATGTCATATTCAGGAACTGACAAATGATTCAAGGTGCTAAGACACAGGGGCCATATAGGGGAAGCAGTAGGAGATGAGACACGTTTATTTAACAAACTCTTATTGAACATTTGCTATGTGCTAGTTCCTATGTTGGGCACTGAGTGTACAAAAAACAAGGCTGTCCCTGCCCTGATAGAATGGACAGTCTATTAAAGAGTCAGACATTAAACAAATAGTTGGTGTCAGAGTTTGAAGCATATTCTGGTAAGATGTTTGGACTTTATCCTGTAGGTGTTGGGAGACCTATGCTTTGGAGAGCTAACTCAAACGGCCAAATGTAGGATAGCTAGGGAGAGAGACCAGCAGCAAGAAAGACCAGTCAGGAAGCTACTGAAGGTCGGGCACAGTGGCTCATGGCTGTAATCCCGGCACTTTGGGAAGCCGAGGCAGGTGGACTGATTGAGCCCAGGAGTTCAAGAGTAGCCTGGGAAACATGGTGAAACCCCATCTCTACAGAAAATACAAAAATGAGCTGGGCATGGTGGCAAGCACCTGTAGTCTCAGCAGCTCAGGAGGCTGAGGTGAGAGGATCACTTGAGCCTGGGAGGTCGAGGCTGCAGTGAGCCGTGATTATGCCATTGCACTCCAGACTGGGTGACAGAATGAGACCCTGCCTCAAAAAAAAAAAAAAAAAAAAAAGCCTGCTGAAACAGAATGAAGAGATTTGAAATTAGGGCAATGCCAGCAGGAATGGAGTGAAAGTCAGACCCTCTGAAGGTTACACTGACAGGTTCAGGTGACTGACTGAATGCGACTTTGAGGTTTTGGCACTGGCAACCATGGATAGACTCATCCTCCCACAGGGTGGGAGAAGGGAAAGCCTTAATAAGGAGGAACATTAAGACCTAAATCTTCATGGTGAAAAGCAAGGTAAAGAGTCAGGGTCAAGCAGTTTGATGGACAGTCCCTGCTGGGAGGGATGGGCTGGAGCTCTGCTTCCCCGCAAGGGATTGTCTAGAGTGAGGGTTTATTCCTGACCTCCCAGGCTATATTCCTGTTGAGGCTGAGTTCACACGTGGGTGGTGGTGGAGAAATGGGAAATTTGGGGTTACTAGCTTGAAAACCTGCTGCAATGCTGCTGTTTTCATGGCTCGATGCTCCAGGGCTGCCACTGCTGCTGTCATCAAATTGCTTCCTATGACGGGAAATGTTGCAGCCTCTGCCCTGGGCACCAGTCATGCTGGGAAGTGAGCGTGATTGTTTTTCTCAGGTAGTATCAGTCAAAAGAAAGGAAAAGAAATGGTGGGAGGTCTAAGAGAAGCTCAGGAGACAGCATCTGTCATATCATATTCCCCAGACCATTTGTACCCCTGACCCTCTAGGGTTCATCCAGTCAGAGAGCACAAATACTCAGTGCAACAGGCTCAGATATCCCCATCTCCTGCCAAGGTGGACAGAGTATTCATGGGCATAGGTTGTAGTAGGGCCATAGGAAAACTGCACAGTTGTGGAGTGTCATGCATTTAACAACTCTCCCCTTACTGTAGTTTTGCTGGGTATTTTATTTCCCCATCCTAAGAATCGCTCACCTGCTTCAACATCCTCTACCAACAAAATTGCAATTGACCTTATTCAAATACCTCATTGCTACTTGAGAGTCTAATGTAAAAATAATTAAATCTATTGTTTTTCTAGAAGGTATTCAAATACCTCATTGCTACCTGAGGGTCCAATGTAAGAATAATTAAATCTATTGTTTTTCTAGAAAGCAGCTCATAATCTGAGCCTAATGCCCTGGGCCAGGAAAGGTGGAGAAGGGGGTGAGTGTGTAGAAATAAGCATAAGCAAGGCAGTGGAAGCTCTAATACCAGCAGGTAGTCATAAGGAGCTATTAGGGAGGTCACAGGGAGAGGGAAAGAAAACAAAGTCCTCATATTATTATCTCTGCTCCCAACAAAAACAAAGCCAGGGTTTTTAGTTGCAGCCTCTGTCCTGAGCTCCTCCCCACACTGAGTCCTCCCCTGCTGGCCTGAAGCATTGTTCCTTCACTTAGCTGAGAACACAGAGCACTACTCCACTGATGAGCTGATTTTTATGCTTCTCTTCCTCGAGCCCAAAGCAGGTGGCATCTGTTAGCAGCTGAACTGTCACTACTTCTTAATAGACGTGGCAAAAAAAAAAAAAAAAAAAAACCCTCTGCCCAGTGACAGCACTTCCATATAATCAGGTTGGGGGAAGGAGCATGGGTTGGCAGCCAGTGGGAAGTGGGAGGGGGGGTTGAATAAGGAAATCAATTTCAGCTTGAAAGCTCTGAAAGGAGAGGGGACGTGTGAATGGCTTTTTAAGTGGCATCATTAAACCTGGGCAGAAAGGTCGATTGGGCACAGCAAACCGCATAAATACAAACAGATGACATTTATGTCTGGCAGAATTGTTTTTCATTTTTGTTTTTTTGTTTTTTTAAATCACTGAGGTAGAAGACTGATAGGCTTCTTACCACCAGAAATCACATCTATGGAAAGGAATTGTTTGGAGAAATAAAATCCACAGGCATCTTTCCCAAATTAAAAGATAGAATCCAATAATATCTTGGTATTTTTCCTTTTTTTGGTGGGGGAGTAGGATATCTTCACTAAATGGAAGACGAAAGAGCAGTCTCAGCTTTGGAAACCCCTCAGCTAAACAATGAGCCAGTAAATATGTGAGAGGCTATTTCTGTATGCATTTCACTCTGTCCATGCTGCTGTGTCACTGTGAGTTGGGAGTCTCTGTATAGGTATCACTGCCATTTCATGTCTGTGTGCATCTTCCCCAGACAAGCACCCCTGTAGAAACCTCAAGGGACCTGCAACCATCATTTTAATGGGAGAAGTCTTTCCTGGGGTTAGAGTTATGTCTCATACTATAGTGAAGGAATTAAAGTTCAGGCCTGGGGGTAAACAGGGCAACTACAAAAATGTATTAATAAACCAGAACAGTTGTTCCAGGAACAGCTAATCCTAATCCCTGCCTTTATTTTTGGAAAAGTGACCATGTTGCTACATGAGAGAAGGGCAGGCAACTGTCCTCTGAAGGTGACAGAGGGGCCCTTGTGGGTTATGCCTGCTGTCTATCTTTTCAGTATAGGGTAAACGAGGCACAAGAAGCACTTGTTTCCCTTTTTCCACCTCCTCTTAGATTTCCACAAACAGGGATTAAAGACCTATAAGATCGATATGGTGAATACAGTATTTTACATGATATGGGTAGAACACAAGATACCACTATCTAGGAAAAGTACAAGGGGTCAGTCAGAAGCCTAGGATCAACCAGGGTAACTAAGAACAAAGGAGATAAAACTGAGAAAATTCCAAAGAAGCAAGGAAAACAGACGATAAAGAGGGATTCTCCATTTCTTTTGACGTGGGAAGCCTACATTAATTATCTCTTTCTTCTAACCCTGGTCCAGATTTCTAGTGTTGCCAACTTCCAGAACTGTTGTTTTAGTTTACTTAAATTAACCTAGTATGACAGAGTAGGTAATGAAAAATTCTTTTCACTTGATTTGTTTATGGTTCAAAGATCTTGCATTTGAAGATGAATAGATGTAACCACAGTGACCCAATAGATATAAGGACATGCCACAAAGGATACACACAAAAATGCACATACAAGTATACCTACATGTACATGCAGGAGAAAAAATGCCCCGCAGTACCCAGCACCACCATAGGCTACAGTGCTTCTTGGAGCTGGTTTCTGCAATATCTATACCCCACTGGAAATTTTAAGGCCAAGTGCCCCTGGCAGACACTAGGAGAAACAGCCAGAGAGACCAATAACATAATAAAAGTTAAGGACTTTTGAATTAAAAACCTCAGCCTGTATGAAGGCGGAAGTCATTGCTCCTTTTTTTTTGTTTTGAGACAGTCTCGCTATGTTGCCCAGGCTGGAGTGCAGTGGCGCAATCTCGGCTCACTGCAACCTCTGCCTCCTGGGTTCAAGCAATTCTCATGCCTCAGCCTTCCAAGTAGCTGGGATTACAGATGTGCACCCCCATGCCCAGCTAATTTTTGTATTTTTAGTAGAGATGGGGTTTTGCCATGTTGGCCAGGCTGGCTGGTCTCGAACTCCTGGCCTCAAGTGATCCACCCTCCTTGGCCTTCCAAAGTGATGGGATTACAGGCATGAGACACCATGCCTGGCCTGGAAGTCATTGCTCCTTAAAGGTAAGAACTGATCATGTCTAATGAGTAAGATTAATTCTGGAATCTACTCCACAGCATCCAACATAGTGACGTACAAAAAATCTTCAAGTGAAAATATTCCATTTCTAAATAGGGAAAATTGACAAAATATCTCCCTCTCACCAGAAGAGGGCACTCTGACATTCCCACGATAGAGTGGAAAGGAGATGGTTGGAGGCTAAATTAAGACTTCCTGCCGAGGTGGGCAGATCATGAGGTCAGGAGATCAGGCCCATCCTGGCCAACATGGTGAACGCCGTCTCTACTAAAAATTTAAAAATTAGCCAGCTGTGGCGGCATGTGCCTGTAATCCCAGCTACTTGGGAGGCTGAGGCAGGAGAATTGCTTGAACCTGGGAGGCAGAGGCTGCAGTGAGCCGAGATCACGCCACTGCACTCCAGCCTGGGCGACAGAGAGAGACTCTGTCTCAAAAAAAAAAAAAAAGACTTCCTTCCCAGCTGGGCTGGGAAGCTGGCTCAACACCTGTAATCCTAGCACTTTGGGAGGCCGAGGCGGGCGGATCACCTGAGGTCAGGAGTTCAAGAACAGCCTGGCCAACATGATGAAACCCTGCCTCTACTAAAAAAAAAAAAAAAAAAAAATACAAAAATTAGCCAGGCATGGTGGCAGGCGCCTGTAGTCCCAGCTACTCAGGAGGCTGAGGGAGGAGAACTGCTTGAACCTGGGAGGTGGAGGTTGCAGTGAGCCGAGATTGCACCACTGCACTCCATCCTGGGTGACAGAGCAAGACTCTGTCTCAAAAAAAAGAAAAGAAAAGAAAAGAAAAAACAAAAGACTTCCTTCCAGATTTTTTTTTTTTTTTTTTGAGACAGGGTCTTGCTCTCCATGATGACAGGGTGACATCACCATGATGCAGTGGCACCATCATAGATCACTGCAGCCTCAAACACCTGGGCTCAAGTGATCCTCCTGCCTCAGCCTCTCAAGTAGCTGGGACGAACTAAAAGCACATGCCACCATGCCCAACTAATTTTTAAATTTTTTGTAGAGATAGGGTCTTGCTTTGTTGCCCATGCTTGTCTCGAACTCCTGGCTTCAAGAAATTCTCCTGCCTTGGCCTCCCAAAGTGCTGGGATTACAGGTGTGTACCACTGCACACAGTCCCCTAAAGTTTCTTTAACTGCAGTGTATTGCTATTTGAGGGTAGGGTGAAAGGGATACAAACAAGGGCAGCTGTACTTGCGTGTTAGGGGAATTCTTGGCAAAGGCAGTGAAAGGCTGCATGGCATAAACTTATTAACTTGGAATGGCTGGCCTCTCCAAAGAGGGCCCTTAGCTGTGTAACATGATGTCCATTTATTTTCCACTGGAGAGAAAGAAATTGAGTAAAAAAAAGTGTTGAAAATGTGTTGAAGACTCAGTATGGGATGCGGAAAGTCAAAAGACCCAAATTCAAGTTAGAGGATTGTGACTTTAGGCAAGTCATTTAATTTCTTTGAGTTTTAAATTTCCTCCTCACAAAGTTATGGTGAGAATTAAAATGTTACAATGTATGTGAGCACACAACAAAAGCTGCTAAACAAATCTAAGCTCTAAGTTAAAAAGCGTTTTATCAACTTCCCTCACCCTCCCAAGAGAAAAGAAATGCTGTCTATATGAAGGATAAGTACAGAAGACACAGGTCTTCTGTGTCTTCATTTCATGACCCAAAGGCATGTGAGTATAGTGCTAGATTCAGAAAACAAAAAAAAGAAAAAAAGAAAAGAAAAGAAAAGAAAAAGAAAAAAGAAAAACAAAGAAAACTAAGAATGCAGAGACATAGCTTTTCAGGGCTGAGGCAACCAATGTCATTTCTTTTTTTTTCCCCCTAGAGACAGGGTCCCACTCCCTATCTGGGTCCATCCAGGCTGGAGTGCAATGGCACGATGCCAGCTCCTTACAGCCTCAGCCTCCCAGGCTCAAGCGATTGTTCCCCTCAGACTCCTGAGCAGCTGTTACTACTGGGTGCGTCACCACTCTTGGCTTGTTTTTTTTTTTTTTTGAGATGGAGTCTCGCTTTGTCGCCCAGGCTGGAGTGCAGTGGCGCGATCTCGGCTCACTGCAAGCTCCGTCTCCCGGGTTCAAGCATTTCTTGTGCCTCAGCCTCCCAAGTAGCTGGGATTACAGATGCACGCCACCATGCCCAGCTAATTTTTGTATTTTTAATAGAAGTGGGGTTTCACCATGTTTGCCAGGCTGGTCTTGAACTCCTGACCTCAGGTGATCTGCCCGTCTTGGCCTCCCAAAGTGTTGGGATTACAGGCGTGAGCCTCCGCACCTGGCCATAATTTTTCTTTTTTTTTTTTTTTTTGAGACGGAGTCTTGCTCTGTTGCCCAGGCTGGAGTGCAGTGGCATGAGCTGCAACCTCTGCCTCCCAGGTTCAAGTGATTCTCGTGCCTCAGCCTCCTAAGTAGCCGGATGACAAGTGTGCACCACCATGCCTGGCTAATTTTTGTATTTTTAGTAGAGATGGGGTTTTACCATGTTGGCCAGGCTGGTCTCAAACTCCTGGGCTCAAGCGATCCACCCGCCTTGGCCTCCCAAAGTGCTGGGATTACAGGCATGAGCCACCATGCCTGGCCTTTTAAAAAAGTTTTTTTAGTAGAGTCAAAGTCTTGCTATGTTGCCCAGGCTGGTCTCAAACTCCTCAGCTCAAGTGATCCTCCTGCCTTGGCCTCCCAAAGTGTTGGGATTACAGGTGTGAGCCAGTGTGCCTGGCCCCAGTGTCATCTTGAGAGGTCAGCTTCAGTACCCTTGGAAAACACCAGCTAAGACTGTTTTTTCTTTGTGATGGAGTCACAGTGGGGACAGACCCAATACCTGAACTCTTTTTGCCCTTCCCAGCTCTAGAGCACAGGCCCTTCAGCAATGTTTGCTCTTGTCAGTGCCCAAGACCCACAGTTCCTTATCCTCTTACCTGAGTACTGCTGTGGCATCTGTGGTGGACTGCAGGGAGAGGGAGACTGAGGCATCTGGTACTGCTCAGAGCCAGGGGGTTGCAGAAACCCTACAGAAGGGCTGGGAAGACAGAGAAGAGAGGAGTGGTGAAGCAGTAGAGGGATGAACACAGCTCCTGGCAAACAGCTGCTGCTTCCTGGTCCTCCCCTATGGGAAGGAGAGGCAACTTCAAGCCATTCCCAGACCAATTTGCCATGCAATTTCTAAAATCACTCATCAGTTCAAAGTTAATTATATGTATTTGTACTTGATCATCTTTCAATTAGGAAGCTGCTAATCAGTGCTACAGATGGAATGTTAGTGACACATGCTCTTCCCAACACTGGAAACACCAGACACACATACATGCACATATGCACACACACAGATTCCAAGAAACACAACAGAAACACAGACAAAGAGAGTGTCACAGACACAGACACAGAGTGCTAGAAAGAGATGGGTAAAAAAAAAAAACACAAAAACTAAGGATTGCTAATTATTTTTGGCCTAAAAAAAAAGTCAGTTGGGTGCAGTGGCTTACGCCTGTAATCCCAGCACTTTGGGAGGCCAAGGCAGGTGGATCATGAGGTCAGGAGTTCGAGACCAACCTGGCCAACATGGCGAAACCCCGTCTCTACTAAAAATACAAAAATTAGCTGGGCATGGTGGCGCACACCTGTAGTCCCAGCTACTCAGGAGGCTGAGACAGGAGAATTGCTTGAACCCAGGAGGTAGAGGTTGCAGTGAGCTGAGATTGTCATTGTACTCCAGCCTGGGTAACAAGAGCAAGACTCCATCTCAAAAAGAAAAGAAAAGTCAAAAACAAATATAGTCACATAAAGACAAATAGAAAAAAATAACGCCACAAAACTCAAAACAACCTGGAGACATATATAGAAAAAGACAAAGGTAAATGCACATATACTGGGAGACAGGCATACAGAAACACGTGGAGTTGCCCAGACTCCAGTTCTTGTTCCACCTCTGCCTCTAACTAGCTATGTTAATTTAGGTAAATTTTTTAACAGCCCTAGCTGGAATTTCCTCATTTAAAAATGAGAGAAAAATAAAACAAGGGGAGTGGACTAGATGATTTCTAAGGTGCCTTCTACCACTAAAAATTCTATTCACTATGACCTATATTCAGTTATATATAAATAGATACAGAAATAGACACACCATCAGTTTCATTGATAAACAGAGGTACACGGAAAAATTTACACATCACAGTCCAAAAAAATTTCTTCTCTTAATGATGAGCAGTCTCTATCCTCTAGTTCTGAGTCCCATTCTTTTGAAAAATAAAAATGGAGGAAATCATAAATTATAAGTCTCTGAAGCAGGAATTTTTTTCTGCTGATAACCTCTTAGGCACATGTCAAATCAATAAGTGAAAAGGAGAATGAACTCCCTCATATTCTACCTGCTTTAGGGAACTACTGGGATCTTTACCCCTGCCTTTCTTAGGCCAGTGGAAACAAAACCATGATGCAACTGTTGCTGAAGGTCTATGGGAGATGTCCTGTCCTGGCTCTCTGGGAGTCCTCACCTCGTACCGTTCTGCTGAGCAGGTGGGATCATGCTATAGTACACTGGTACCCCCGCTGCTGGGAGGCCTCCTTGCACAGACTGGCTCACAGGGACCAGCATGGGTTGCTGGAAAGGCGGCTGGACCACATTTTGCGAGTCACTACCCACTGGAACCTGGGTGAGAAAGAGAAGAGAAAGAATCACATTCGCATTCACATTGAGCTCATGCAGAAACAGCCTAGTCATCACGAGATCAGGGCATTACAACTTCCTTCCCTACCTTAGATCCTCCTCCTGTTTTCCCCATCTGCCTAAAGAAAATGTTTCCAGAGCTGTCTCTATTTCTGCCTTCTTCAAATACCACCCTTGGGCATCTGACATAAAGAAAGGAGCCTGATTTCCTTTAGCCACTACTTTCCTGGGCATATACTCATTCCATGGCTGTATAAAGACCAAACAATTTAAAGATTCTTCTAAAACTCCATGGGCTTTCCGTTATAGGAAAAAAACCTAAAAATTCTAGGGGAAAGTAGACACTATTTTAGTATTGGAGTTTTTAGTATGGATGACCCTGGGAGGCTCTCCTTTTCCTCATGCCAAGGACTGGGGTGATCCTTCCCAATGCAGAATGCACCCACTTGGTAAGAAGGCAGTGGAGTGTACTGAACCACCAGGCCTTGCATCTGGCCCCCCATGCTGCTCCTCTGGCTGCTGAGCAGGCCCTGGTTCTGTGGCTGCTGGACCCCAATCATGCCTTGGTAAGCCGCCTGCTGCTGGTTAGGCATCATGGGCTGTAAACCTAGAGATGGGCAAGGCAGAAAATACATTAGTATGAATGTTTAGGAGGTCACACTCTATCTGTAATTTCCTTCTCCATTCTATTTTATCTTTCTTTTTCTGGAGAGCATAGGTCTGTTCTTAGGACCCTAATCATTCCTGCCCCTAGACCCACCTTCATTTTAATGGAGAAGGTACTTCTTTCTTTCCTGGTGTGCCCTTCCCTTATTCACTGCCTTCTTAAACCAGTGGTTTCTCTTACCAGGCTGCTGGGATGGCTGAGGCAGCTGCTGACCACGTTGGGGGCTATAGGCCACCGGGTGAGAGAGAGGTCGATATTGCTGGTTGGAGTTAGGATATTGTCCAGGGGGATAGTAAGAAACCTGGATCTATGGTGAGAGGAGACAGATGTGTGAGAAGTCCCTAAAATTCAGCCGCAACATCAGCATACTACTATAAATGCCTCAAGATTGATGGCCAGAAATATGTAAACGGAGATATTTTGGACCTGCAATTGCAGTAAAACAAGGATTTATGTTATATAGAAAGAAGACTTTCTGGCTAGAACAACTCTCAAGTGCAAGGTAGGGAGAGGTATTCCCTCTGGTCTGTCTAAACTGGAGGAATAAAGAAAGTATAATACTAGACAAACTGAATTAAGTGATTTAAGCTGGGAACTGGAGCTGCTCACCTGTTGAGGGGGCTGCATGTACCCCTGGGGTGGCAGAACTTGCTGAGTAGGTGGTGCATGGCTAGAGGTGGAATAGTTGGAAGTGGGGAGGGGCTGACCCGTGGAAGCCATGATGAAGCTAGTCTGCTGAGGGTGCTGGGAGATAAGTGGGGTCTGGAATAGAGCTGCAGATGGGTCAGCTGCTTCAGTAGAACCTTGGCGACTAAGGCTCATTTGTCCAAAGGGGTTGCTGAGGTCATCTGCCTGTTGAGAGAGTATAAGACACAGGATTGGGGCTGTATCAAACCTCATGTCTTTGGCTTCAACATAGACAGAGAGAAATAGCAATGCTTTTTACAACCTTCTTTAAAACAATGGGGGATAGTCCTACCTCTGTGCTGTGCTATGAATTGAATAGCTGTTGAAGTCCAACTCCAGAGCCAGTCTCTCTATCACATATGAGGTAACAATGGTGACCCTGATTATAATTGTGTGTTTTTTTGTTTTTTTGAGACACAGTCTCATTTTGTTGCCCAGCCTGGAGTGCAGTGGCTCAATCCCAGCTCACTGCAACCTCCGCCTCCCAGGTTTAAGCAATTCTCGTGCCTCAGCCTCCTGAGTAGCTGGGATTACAGGCTCCTGCCACCAAACCCGGCTAATTCTTATTTTGTTTTGTTTTGTTTTGTTTTGTTTTGTTTTGTTTTTTGTTTTTTTTGAGATGGAGTTTTGGTTCTTGTTGCCCAGGCTGTAGTGCAATGGTGCAGTCTCGGCTCACTGCAACCTCTGCCACCCAGGTTCAAGCAATTCTCCTGCCTCAGCCTCCCGAGTAGCTGGGATTACAGGCATGTGCCACCAAGCCCAGCTAATTTTTTTTGTATTTTTAGTAGAGTCGGGGTTTCACCATGTTGGCCAGGCTGGTCTCAAACTCCTGACCTCAGGTGGATCCACCTGCCTCAGCCTCCCAAAGTGTTTGGATTACAGGCGTGAGCCACCGCACCAGCCTTATTCTTGTATTTTTAGTAGAGACGGGATTTCACCATGTTGGCCAGGCTGGTCTTGAACTCCTGAACTCAAGTGATCAGCCCGCCTCAGCCTCCCAAAGTGCTGGGATTACAGGTGTGAGCCACCGCGCCTGGCCTATGATTGTTGTTAGGGTTAGTCCTTGGGAGATGGGAGCTATGACACAATTACTGTATATAGAAAAAACAGGACAAACTAGCGGCTTAACGAAAAAGATTAAAGAGTCTTTCCATTTCCTGTTTTCCTTATGCCCCCAACCATAAAAAGGCCCCTACATTGCCACAAATCCTGTTTTTATAATAAAGGACCCAGATAACACCTTGAGTGGATCATGGGTAGCTAGGTTCATGTGCCTTCACAGCTCTGCCTATGCAGCAGCAAGACTGGGGGCTCCCACTCCTGCTGCTTATCTCCTTACTCCCTCTGGAGGTCATTTCCACCTTTGTTCTCTGACACTAGCCTAGAATTCTCCTGCCCTTCAGAAACTACTTCCAATTCTCACCTCCAAAAGGAGGGCAGAGTGAGTGGCTAAGCTGGAGGATAAGACTGACTGGCCAGGCTGTAATTGCCTTCTCTCTCAGCTCTCTTTCCTAAGCAGCAAGGGTGATGGTGTTCCATCTCTCACTCATATGGTGATAGGTTAGAGTTTGTTAGCTTCCTTTTCCCTTCTGCTCCCTGGACAGTAATACACACACACACACACACACACACGCACACACAACTAGCAGAAACCAAAAGACAATGCTTTTCTGTAGTTTCATTCCATTTTCAAGGATCTGATCTTCAAGTTAGCTGTTTTGCTACTTATTGGGCAGGAATAGATGACAAGTGAACTGGACTGCAGATTATTTTGAACTCGATATTCCAGGACAATCAACATGGAAATAAGAGGTAGGAGGAGGGAGAGGATTCTAGAGAAAAAGTAGATGTTAAGACAGAGCAAAACAATTCAGGGCTCCTACAACTATGATGGAAGTTATCAACTATGAGGCAAATCAGATCTTCAAAGGATTTGTAGAGTACAAACGATTTAAACAGCATGTGCTACGCAATGGATGAGGATTTTTAAAATATAAACTGACATGGTAAAACAGGGGAACAGTTTAAGTTTTTGCCAGTGATACCAGAGAAGTCTGCAACTGCATTTTTTTTTTTTTTTGAGACGGAGTCTTGCTCTGTTGTCCAGGCTGGAGTGCAGTGGTGGTGCGATCTCGGCTCACTGCAACCTCAGCCTCTCAGGTTCAAGCGATTCTCCTGCCTCAGCCTCTCAAGTAGCTAGGACTACAGGTGTGTGCCACCACGCCCGGCCTGTGTTTTTATTTTTAAAGGAAATTATAGAGAACCATTCTGTATAGAAGAAACTAGGTTCCTCAGACATGCCTAGGGAGCAAATTAGATTTAGGATGTACATCGTAGAGATGAGGAGCCTAGGTTATACCAACATCCAATTTCATTCTCTGTCCTGAAACTTGGGGGAACACAGTGTTCCTCTGTCTTACATTTAAGCATCTTTTGATGTGCTGTGATGAGGCCATTAGCATGGAGTATAGTTCAGCCTGTGCTGGTCCCTCAAGAAGAAATAGCTTTCAATATGCCCTCCAAAAGCACAACATGCTTACAAGGCCATCACAGACTGACCCAGACATACCTACAGATACAGGCCACACATGAACAAGACAAAAAGGGGGAATGGAGTTTATACCATGTTGTACTGCTGGGGCGGAGAGACTGGCAGAAGGACTTGGGGACAGGAGCTTGGAGAGAACTGAACAGGCTGCGGAGAGGGCTGCAGAGCCGGGACTGGCTGTGGGCCAGCAGAGAGGCATGTGGAAAAGGGAAGAGAAAAGAGAGGTGGGAAGCGGGGGGTGGGGTGGGGGGGGGGTGCGGGCAGAGATGGGGAGGGAAAGGGAAGGAACAATAAGGTTAATAATCATAGAAGAAATTTCACATGAGTAGCACGACTGCTGAGCAGGTAGGTGACCAAGCCCGGGACAGCTTGAAGATTTAACATCTCTTTGACAAACAGGCAATCTCTCTTATCAGGGGAGACCTGCTGCACTCCCTTCCCCATTAGCCATTCAGAACTCTGCAGCTGTTGTGAGCAATCTGAGGACTCTCAGGGTCAGGGTCTGCTGTCTGATTCCAAATACAGCTTTTCCCAAAGCAGTTTTTCTGAACACACAATTCCTGGGGAGCATGATCATAACCCTCCTTGACTGCCCACTTGAGAAGAGATTCCTGTCTGCACTGCTGCACTGCTTCTGCAGGAAGGGTCATCCAAGGTCTGGCTCAGCTGCTCCTGATTTCACACCACAGCTCTCCTAGAGGAAATACTCATTCACAAGGATCATCTCCCTCCCAAGGGCAGAGAAGGAAAAAACACCCAAGATCATGCCTGCTTCTGGCTACTTCCTTCCACTCCATGATTGCTCCTCCAGGCTGTGACAGCAATATGAAAAATCCACCTCCACCCCCCAAGCAAACAGGAAGGATTTAGGAATAAAATATAAATAGCTTAGCTTTAGTTTTTGTCCCTTCAGTCCCCCTTCACTAGCCTCAAGCAGGAGGATTTGTTTACTAGGAACATAGAGTGTTCTAAATCAACTAGTGGGTAGTTATTATTTTTTCCTTCCCTTCTTCCCCTCCAGGCATTTTGATCACCTCATCAGTTCTCCAGTCATAGTCCCTGGTGGTAGGAGAGATGAGAGAAGGAGAGAGGCAAGGAAGGGGGGAAAATAACATTGGTATATATTATCTTATTACATACATTGTCTCATTACAGCCTCACACAAGAATCCTATAGGGAGATATAACTTGTATTTGCAAATAAAAAAGGCTCAGATAAATTAAATCACTCATCTAGGCTTACACAGTTAATATGGCAGAGCTGAGGTTGAAATCCAGTTCTGCCTGGCATAGGTTCTCTCCACCCCACTCTAGTAGTGGAGAGGAGGTGAAGGAAGAAGTCAAGGAGAATTATCCAAGCACCTGCCACAGGCTCCTCCCTCCACATTTAGAGCATTAAGATGTGTGGGGCCATGGTATCAATATCCTCTCCTGCCACACATCTCCAGAGTTTCTTTCACAGAAGGGACTAACAGTTCAGGAGGCAGAGTACAGGAATTAGAAGACTCTCCAAAGAGGAGAATACTCTGGAGGTCTCAATAATTAGGTAAAATTATTGAGAATCCACTGTGTGACCTGGAAGAGTTGCTGCTGTAGCCTTGAAAATAAACTCTTAGCTCTACTGGCACACCTATTTTCTGTCAGACAATGGCATTCCAAATATAACTGATGGACAAGATGTTCAGTATTAGCTGCTTATACTGGTGGCTTTCATACACATTTTCTATTATCCCAATTCTCTTCATTCTTTTGGAGGAGAGTCTATCTTGGTTCAGGCATATATATTCTGGGGAAAAAAGGACAGTAAAGTGGTTAAAAAAAAATGGCTGCCTGCAGTGGCTCACACCTGTAATCCCAACACTTTGGGAGGCTGAGGTGGGCAGACCACCTGAGTCGAGACCAGCCTGCCCAACACGGTGAAACCCCATTTCTACTAAAAATACAAAAATTAGCTGCGCATGGTGGCACATGCCTGTAGTCCCAGCTACTCAGGAGGCTGAGGCAGGAGAATCGCTTGAACCTGGGAGGCAGAGGTTGCAGTGAGCCGAGATCGCACCACCACTGCACTCCAGCCTGGGCAACAGAGCAAGACTCCGTCTCAAACAAAACAAAACAAAACAAAACAAAACTGTGCCTGTTTTCCCCACACTTGTAAGTTCTGACTAAAGAGTAAAGTGAGAAGAAGTGATGCTCCTCTTAGGCCTCCCCTAACTGGGGAAGGGCAGTGATACGGGCAGGGATAGCAGTGCTATTTTTTTAGTTACTCCACAGCTATCCTCAGCCATAGTTCTCTTCTTGAAGGGTGTAAAACTACAAAGCCAGGGAAGCTCTGAAAAACCATGAGGAAATTTATTTAAACAAAACTTAGGAATATACCTAACCAAGGAGTTGAAAGACCTCTACATGGAAAACTACAAAACACTGCTGAAAGAAATCATAGATGATACAAACAGATGGAAACACATCTCATGCTCATGGATGGGTAGAATCAATATTGTAAAAATGACCATACTGCCAAAAGCAATCTACAAATTCAATGCAATCCCCATCAAAATACCACCATCATTCTTCGCAGAATTACAAAAAAAAAATTCTAAAATTCATATGGAACAAAAAAAGAGCCCCCATAGCCAAAGCAAGACTAAGCAAAAAGAACAAATCTGGAGGCAACATACTACCTGATTTCAAAGTATACTATAAGGTTATAGTGACCAACACAGCATGGTACTGGTATAAAAATAGGCACATAGACCAATGGAACAGAATACAGAACCCAGAAATAAACCCAAATACTTACAGCCAACTGATCTTTGACAAAGCAAACAAAAACATAAAGTGGGGAAAGGACACCCTTTTCAACAAATGGTGCTGGGATAATTGGCTAGCCACATGTAGGAGAATGAAACTGGATCTTCATCTCTCACCTTATACAAAAATCAACTCAAGATGGATTAAGGACTTAAATCTAAGACCTGAAATTAAAAATTCTAGAAGATAATATATTGGAAAAACCCTTCTAGATGTTGGCTTAGGCAACGATTTCATGACCAAGAACCCAAAACCAAATGCAATAAAAACAAAGATAAATAGTTGGGACTTAATTAAACTAAAAAACGTTTGCATGGAAAAAAAAAAAAAAAAACAGCAGAGGAAACAGACAAACCACAAAGTGGGAGAAAATCTTCACAATCTGTACATCTGACAAAAGACTAATATCCAGAATCTACGACGAACTCAAATAAATCAGTAAGAAAAAAACAATCCCATCAAAAAGTGGGCTAAGGACATGAATAGACAATTCTCAAAAGAAGATATACAAATGGCCAACAAATATATGAAAAAATGCTCAACATCACTAATGATCAGGGAAATCCATATCAAAACCACAATGTGATACCACCTTACTCCTGCAAGAATGGTCATAATCAAAAAATCAAAAAACAGCAGATGTTGG
The DNA here is from genome assembly GCF_000001405.40 of Homo sapiens. Lineage (NCBI taxonomy): Eukaryota > Metazoa > Chordata > Mammalia > Primates > Hominidae > Homo > Homo sapiens. Next base: position 57,275,831 of record NC_000012.12, read on the forward strand.
CATGGATGCAGTGTCAGGGAACACTTCTACACTGCTGGTGGGAATGTAAAGTAGTACAGCCACTATGGAAAACAATGTGGAGATTCCTTAAAGAACTAAAAGTAGGGCCGGGCGCAGTGGCTCATGCCTGTAATCCCAGCACTTTGGGAGGCCAAGGCGGGCGGATCATGAGGTCAGAAGATCGAGACCATCCTGGCTAACATGGTGAAACCCCGTCTCTACTAAAAATACAAAAAATTAGCTGGGCGTGGTGGCGGTTGCCTGTAGTCCTAGCTACTCGGGAGGCTGAGGCACGAGAATGGCATGAACCCGGAGCTTGCAGTGAGTCAAGATCGTGCCACTGCACTCCAGCCTGGGCGACAGAGTGAGACTCCATCTAAAAAAAAAAAAAAAAAAAGAACTAAAAGTAGAACTACCATTTGATTCAGGAATCCCACAACTGGGTATCTACCCAGAGGAAAAAAAGTCATTATACAAAAAAGATACTTGCATGTGCATGTTTATAGCAGCACGATTCACAATTGCAAAATCATGGAACCAACCCAAATGCCCATCAATCAATGAGTGGGTAAAGAAACTGTGGTATATACACACAATGGAATACTATGCAGCCATAAAAAGGAATGAATTAACAGCATTTGCAGTGACCTGGATGAGATTGGAGACTATTATTCTAAGTGAAGTAACTCAGGAATGGAAAACCAAACATCGCATGTTCTCACTGATATGTGGGAGCTAAGCTATGAGGACGCAAAGGCATAAGAATGATAAAATGGGCCGGGCACAGCGGCTCACGCCTGTAATCCCAGCACTTTGGGAGGCCAAGGTGGGCGGATCATGAGGTCAGGAGTTTGAGACCAGCCTGACCTACATGGTGAAACCCCCATTTCTACTAAAAATACAAAAATTAGCTGGGCGTGGTGGTGCGTGCCTGTAATCCCAGCTACTCAGGAGGCTGAGGCAGGAGAACCGCTTGAACCCAGGAGGTGGAAGTTGCAGTGAGCCGAGAGTGCATCACTGCACTCCAACCTGGGTGACAGAGCGAGACTCCATCTCAAAAGAAAAAAAAAAAGAATGATAAAATGGACTTTGGAGACTTGAGGGGAAGAGTGGGAAGGGGGCAAGGGATAAAAGACTACAAATATGGTGCAGTGTATACTGCTCGGGAGATGGGTGCACCACAATCTCACAAATCACCTCTAAAGAGCTCACTCATGTAACCAAGTACTGCCTGTACTCCAATAACTTATGGAAAAATAAATAATGAACAAAAAAAAAAAAAAAAAAGACTGCCCTGAGGGATGTGGCTGCCACCTACTGGCAAATTCTGGGCTTGTTCACTGGCTCTTGATGACAAAAGGGGGCCCCGAGAACTCCTTTTCAAGAAGTCTACTTCATTTTAAGTAAATTGGGCAAAAGGGAGATCCTGGCCCTTTAATCCTCAGCCTCACCCCTGGTTTCACGAGCTTCACCGACACACAATTTGAAGGCCTGCTTGGACAGAGGAGCCCTGCCAGGAAGGGAAAGATCATAGTTTAGTCAGTACTGTTCCCAGACCTGGGGCAAGTGCCTTGTGTGACAGAGTTAAAGGTAACAACCCTTCCTCAAAGATTTTTTTTTTTTTTTTAGACAGAGTCTTGCTGTGTTGCCCAGGCTGGAGTGCAGTGGTGCAATCTCAGCTCACTGCAACCTCCACCTCCCAGGTTCAAGCAATTCTCATGCTTAGGAGGCTGATGACTCCCAAGAAGCTGGGATTACAGATGTGCACCACCACACCCAGCTAATTTCTGTATTTTTAGTAGAGACGTTGTTTCACCAGGTTGGCCAGGCTGGTCTCAAACTTCTGGCTTCAAGTAATCTGCCCTCCTCGGCCTCCCAAAGTGCTGGGATTACAGGCGTGAGCTACCGCACCCAGTCTCAAAGTTTTTCTTCTACAGGAAAAGCTTTAGAGTAAGCACAGTGGTGTTTGTGTGTGCACATGATCACTTCTTTAATCCTAGCACTGTTATGTACCATTAGAAACTGAACAATAATTATTCTCAGGCTCAGCAACTTTGGTCTAGGGAGCCCCCAGTGCTGAAGGCCAATCAGGGAAAAAGAAAGCAAAAGAAAGAAAGAAAATGGCAGTAGGAAGAGGAATAAAAAAATAAAGAGGAAGGGTGAAAAAGTGGAGAGGGAGAAAAAAGGAGATACATACAGTGAGATGGTGGGATAATTTTTAGCAGCTTCCATAAATGCTTCCAGGGCATCAAAACCTGGATAAATTCTTTCATTTGGAGTTAGTGATCACAATTAATCTCAAGAATGAATTTCTAAGAGAACAGGAATTGCTGCACCAAGTAGTGTTCCTTTACCCCCGAGCTATAGCACCTAACCTGGCACCACACTCCCCATAGGAGATAAGCCAATGCCAACGATCGACCAATTGACCCTCACAATCCAGTAGCAGGGACAGAACCTGAGTAGAAGATTGGGGTTTAGGGCCAGTCACTTGGACATTCTGTATAAATTTCAGTCCCAAATGGTTCTTTTATCTCTTTATTCCTCTCCCACTCTTGCCGTCTCGTCTGTTTCTAGGTATGAGATTATAGGTGGAAGATGCAGGCAGATGGGAGACTAAGAGGGAGAAAAGGGAGCAAGACTATTAAAATACACATTTTAGGGAAAAAAAAACCTAGAAAATATTAGGACCTTGGAAAAGCAAGTCATACACATAAAAAACACGGTAGCAGATGACAGAAGGAGAAGCATAGTTTACCCACTTACAGGTTTGAATTAAGACACAGACAGAGAAAAGTACACATACAAGGACACTATGCTTCAGTAGGGAGCAAGGTAAACTGAAGTGAACGAGACTTACTGGGGTAGATGGTGGTAGAACAAGAAAGTTAGGACTATAGAAAGAACTGACTTAGACTAAGATAGAGGACTGCAATGACTTGCATGCAAATTACATTTAGACACAAAGTAGGATTTCCTAGATCTTCACTGTTCTTTGTTTCAGCTTCATTTCACAATATTTGAGATAGGGCAATACTGGGCCATTCTGGGGTCTTTGCACTCTAGTTTCTAGTTCATGGGGTATTAGTGTTTGGGACTTGCTTCTTACACCTAGGGAAGAAATATATCTAAGGCCAAGCTGGACTAATAAGCAGAGGGATGAGGGAGCCTGGGAGGTAACATGAGAATGTAAACTACAGCAGAAAAGACTGCAGACACATGGGCTTTCCAGCTACCAGAGAATACTTCAGGATAAAGTATGGGGCTCTCCTCAAAAAGAGCTCTATTCGTGTGAGAAGGGAGTAAGTGAAGATCTCAGCACAGCTCTGCTCGGAGTATTAAGGTGACTTTTTTTTTTTTTTTTTTTTTTGAGACAGGGTCTTACTCTGTCGCCCAGGCTAGAGAGCAGTGGCGCGATCTCGGCTCGCCGCAACCTCCGCCTCATGGGTTCAAGCGATTCTCCTGCCTCAGCCTCCCTAGTAGCTGGGATTACAGGCACCCGCCACCATACGTGGCTAATTTTTGTATTTTTAGTAGGGACCGGGTTTCACCATGTTGGGCAGGCTGGTCTTGAACTCCTGACCTCAGGTGATTCACCCGCCTCAGCCTCCCAAAGTGCTGGGATTACAGGCTTGAGCAACCATGCCTGGCCTTAAGGTGACTTTTAAACATAGTCACCTTAATGACAATGGCCAGGCATGGTGGCTCATGCCTGTAATCTCAGCACTTTAGGAGGCCAAGGAGGGAGGATCACTTGAGCCCACAAGTTTGAGACCAGCCTAGGCAACATAAGCAAGACCCTATCTCAAAATAATAATAATAACAATACATTTTTTAAAAATTAAAAGAAAGAAATAAAACAGAATACTGAAGTTCTGGTTTAGAACAGGACTGATTCTTAGGCTAATGACCTTCCTGGTCTCCACAGATGCAAAACTTCACTTAAACTCTAGTTGGTACCAACATTTACCAGTCCAGCAACAGAAGGAGAAGGATACAGCCCTTTTGAGTCATGGAAAACAAAGACACATTTGGAGTCTTTGTGTTTCGTGGCATATGTATGGAAGGGGTCTTGAGTGTTATTTCTTTTTTCCGCAAACCCCAACACATAAATAGGTGTTTATGGGTCCACATAGTTGGTCAGATGATGGTGGAAGTTATAATCTTTTCAAGTTCCAATATATAGATGTAATGGAAAAAAATGCCTTGTTAATTACACATGGACATAGAGGGAGATGGGGTACAGTAGAAATGTGGTATGAAATAAAAGATTCTACTGACAATGTTCAGGAAGCAGAGGAAGAAATATAAAGCAAAAAACCCCCAAGCTGACTCAGTAGTTATTTGGCAAAACCTTTGCTCAAGGTTCTTCTTTCCCTACAACTAACAAATGAGAAATGGGGGAGAGAGTGGCATGTCTCCAAAAACTGATCCTTCCTGCCACCCACAGCACAAGAGACATGACGGTACATCTAAAGTTTGCTTGAATCAGAGTGGAGAGGACTCTGACACTGAGTGGTGACTCACCTGTGAGATCATGTGATTATTCAAGGGTGGCTGTTGCTGAGGCGTGGGTGGGAGAGCAGGAAGTTGCTGCTGCTGCTGCTGCTGTTGCTGCTGGGCAGTACAAGGGAGAAGCCCCCGGACAGACTGGGATGAGGTGACCTGGTTGCACACTTCTGGGGCACCTAGTGCCATACCTAAGGCAAAGAAGAAACCCACAAAAAGTTGTAAGCATAAGCCACGAACACATTATCCCTGGAAGCTTAGTCAGAGGGCTCTACTTTTTCTTTGCCTTTCCTCTTTATTCCCTTTTGTCCCCTCCCCCACTGTCTTTTGAAGATTCACAGATGAGCACAGATGCATTTCAGCTGCCTTGCTGATGCCAGTCCTCCTCTTTGCAGGCTTCTGCTCCCTAGGGACAGGAACCACCTTGACTGTCAAGTTTGGTTATGAAATTGAACAAAATGTGAGGCTGCTGAAGCACCTCCCCTGAAGTGTCTGGAATCTGTCCATCAAACTTAGATAGCTGAAAATATAAATGCTTACTTCCTGGGAAGGCACAGATTTTTGGTCTCTTAAGAGATCCGTCCTTTTGCTAGAGAGAGAGAGATCTGTCTTCTCTTTGCTTTCTTCTCAATTTGCAACATCTCTTATAAAAGTTGCTGAGGGCCGGGCGCAGTGGCTCATGCCTGTAATCCCAGCACTTTGCGAGGCTGAGGCGGGTGGATCACCTGAGGTCAGGAGTTTGAGACCAGCCTGGCCAACCAACATAGTGAAACTCCGTCTCTACTGAAAATATAAAAATTATCCGAGCTTGAGGGTGGGCGCCTGTAATCCCAGCTACCTGGGAGGCTGAGACAGGAGAATCGCTTGAACCCAGGAGGCAGAGGTTGCAGTGAGCTGAGATCGCGCCATGACACTCCAGCCTGGGCGACAAGAGCGAGACTCGGTCTCAAAAAAAAAAAAAAAAAAAATGTTGCTGAGAAAACTTCAAGCATACACATAACCTTTATCCAACTCATTTCCCCATTTCTAGGCTCTCCAAGGCATGAACTCATTCAACACAACATACTTTACTATGTGCCAAGCACTGTATAATGAACTAAAGACATAAAGATGAGTGAAACACAGTCCTTGCCCTTAACAGCACAGGAACTTTTTTCTTTTTTTGAGACAGGGTCTCACTCTGTCGCCCAGGCTGGAATGCAGTGGCACGATCTTGGCTCACTGCAACCTCCACCTCCCAGGTTCAAGCGATTCTTCTGCCTCAGCCTCCCAAGTAGCTGGGATTACAGGCACCCACCACCACGCCCAACTAATTTTGATGTCTTTGGTAGAGATGGGGTTTTGCCTTGTTGGCCAGGCTGGTTTCGAACTCCTGGCCTCAAGTGATCTGCCTGCCTCTGCCTCCCAGAGTGCTAGAATTACAGGTGTGAGCCACCATGCCCAGCCAACAGCACAGGAACTTCTGATGGGAGATAGACATCCACATGACAATTATAATCTGATAAGGATAAGGAATACATCAGTGATATCGACAAAGTTGCATGAAAGCAAAGATGAGGAAGCAAAAACTCCTGGGAGGGTCAGGAAAGGATTTAAAGAGGGGTCAGCAGGAAAGCTGGGGTTGAAGAATGACAGATGCTTATAAGACCAAGAGGAAACAAAGCTAATGCCATATTCAAGAAATGGTTGGTTGGGTGTGGTGGCTCATGCCTGTAATCCCAGCACTTTGGGAGGCTTAGGTGGGTGGATCACCTGACATCAGGAGTTTGAGACCAGCCTGGCCAACGTGGTGAAACCCCATCTCTACTAAAAATACAAAAAATTAGCCGGCCGTGGTGGCGGGTGCCTGTGATCACAGCTACTCGAAAGGCTGAGGCAGGAGAATCGCTTGAACCCGGGAGGCGGAGGTTGCAGTGAGCCGAGGTCGTGCCATTGCGTAACAAGAGCAAGACTCCATCTCAAAAAAAAAAAAAGGAAAGAAAGAAATGGTTGGAAAGAAGGAAAGATCTGGAAATTAGACAGCAATGGCAAACTGGAGTCAGGAAGTTATGCTATATTAAGTAATTTGGATTTTACTATTCAGGTGAGGATGCAGAAACGAACATTTTTAAAAGACTACTGATGAGTTTAGATCTGTTTTAGATTGGCAAACTGGCTCTAAAAAGGGCTAAGCAACCAGATGCAATGGCTCATGTCTGTAATCCCAGCTACTTGGGAGTCTGAGGTGGGAGGATCATCTGGGCCCAGGAGTTCAAGGCTGCAGTAAGCTGTGATGGTGCAACTGCAATCCAGCCTGGATAACAGCAAGACCCCGACTCTTGAAAAAGCAAAAAAAAAATCATAAAAAGAGCTGAGAATGGAGTAGAGATATCAGTTTGGGCGCCAGTGTCATAATTACATAAAAGAAAATAAAAGTGTGGATAAAGGCTGAGGCAGTGGGATTAGAAAGGAGGTAACAGAGAAGGGCAGCAGAGACCTAGGGGTCAGAGGCAAAATCTTCAGCACTACTGATGTCTTCTGAGGATAACTACAGAACTTCTGGGATGAGATTCAAGCAACTCTTCAAAGGGAGGAGGACGATGAAATAGAGGTCTAAATGCCCTTCTGCTAAGAGAGCAGCAGAAATAGATAGAGAAGGTTTTGTAGCAGGAGAGCTGATGGGTGGTTACAGAGCTTTCATGTGGAACATAGGAGTGTCTGCTCCTTTCCAGTGACTGAGCTCCAGAGAAGCAGCCATAGCAGCATCCCTCTAAATTCTAGCCTATTAGCTGGTATCAATTAATTACAAACTACTAAACTCTAAGGATTCCCTCTGCTCTACAAAGCCTCTACAATCTCAAGAGTCATAGAATGAAAGTGGCTATCATTTTCATCTTAGTATATAACTTGAGACCTGGGCTGATATGGATGTTCCACCTTACATGAAAATCAGAGAAAATAATCTAATCACAATCAATTCTTTTTTTTTTTCCAATCAGGCAGAAGGTTTGAAAGAAAATGAGGAGGACTAAATCCAAGCAAGGACAATGGATCCAAAATTCAAATGTCCCTTCCCCTGGCTGTATTAGGTTTCCAGGAAACTATACTGGGACAAATGTTTTATTGAAAGTAAATATGGGCTGGGCGTGGTGACTCACGCCTGTAATCCCAGCACTTTAGGAGGCTGAGGCAGGCAGATCACCTCAGGTCAGGAGTTTGAGACCAGCCTGACCAACATGGTGAGACCTCACCTCTACTAAAAATACAAAAATTAGTCAGGTGTGGTGGCGCATGCCTGTAATCCCAGCTATTCAAGCGGCTGAGGCAGGAGAATCACTTGAACCCGGGAGACAGAGGTTGCAGTGAGCTGAGATCACACCACTGCATTCCAGCCTGGGCAACAGAGGAGACTCTGTCTCAAAAAAAAAAGTAAATATCAGTGATGTTTCACAGGAGACAAGCAAGAAGGGATGGGTATGACATGGAAGAAAAGAAGCTGTAATACCTGGCCTGGAGATCCTTCCCGCACTGCCGCCTTTACTGCTGCCGATGCTGTCACCTCGGGTAAGGATAGAGATTCCACTGAAGCTGCTAGCTTTGGTGACAGGGGGTCGCATGCTCCGGACAGAGCCATCAGAGTCTGTGCTGCTCCAAGGGCGTGGCTCCAGGGATTTGAGTTCGCTGTCTGTGCTGCTCTGGCGGCTGCTTGAGGTGCGGCTCAGTCCTTCACGGTTCCCCCTGCAGAGACCATAGTGGTCAGAGCACCTCCCACCCACCACTTTAGCAGAAGGGCTAGGAGATAATTCATTTCTATTCTCTCAATAACAAAGAATGGGTAAGAATTAAAGGGAGGATGGACACTGACTTATTGTTAGTTGGCTGGCCAACTAAGAGTTGATGGGAGCAGACAGAACAAGATCCAGTACAGTAACAAAGAACACAGAGGCAAATCTGGAAGACAGTGCACTGGCAACTAATTTAATACATCAGACCAGAGGTGGATGGGAAACCATATACATGATGCTGAGATTGGCTGTGGTCTCTTCCCCACCCTCTGAGGGTAATCCCACACATGCAAGCAATAATGGGGAACAGAGGGGTACCAGTTCCTTCTGAAAGTTCTTAAAATAAAAGGACTCCTAGAAGTTGCTATTGCTAAAAGGCAGGAGCCAATGACATGGATAAAACCCACAATGGGTCTTCCACATAACACATGTCTAAGCCAGCAGAGGTGCTGCTTATGGCCACCCTTCCAGGAGTTGCAAGAAGAGTATAGTGAACTAAAGGGGCACTAACTATGGAAAACTCAGTTTGATAGTCTAGGATTGATCCAACCTGTTTTGTGGAAATTCCATGTTACTGTCTGCGAACAATTGGTTTCAGGATCTCTAAGGGCTAAAGTCTTCAGCAAATATGCTCTTGGGACTCAGGATGGCGAAGAGCAGGGGGGTTGACTGTGCCTAGTTGCCTTCATATTCATAATCCTATCTCCCTAAGCAAAACTATTAAGGAAAGGGGTTCTCCCTCTCTTATTTGGCTCTGTAAACAGCAGGGTTATCTTGATGTTATAATCACTGTCTATGATTATTAACAGCTGTATGCCTCAAGATAGCCAGGTTGGCCTGAAAACCCTGTCTTGTTGAGCTCTCACTGCTTCTTAATCATTAAGCAACCAAGAACCAGCAATTTTTCTTTCATACCCCACATCCCCAACAACTAATGACCTAAGGAAACCAAATGACAACAATTACAAAGATTTTGGTAGGTATACCGAGGAATAATTAAGCAAAAAATCATTGTAGTTTGGGCTCCCTTCTTTTTACCACCATCCCATCAAAAGCAAATAGGAAACCCCATTCCAATCCCACTGGTTCCAAAGGCACTAGGCTCAGAGTTATTTTAATAGAGAAAGGCATTTTTCTTAAGGGCATTAATATTAAAGAAAACACCTTTCTTTATTAGAATACCTACTCCAAAGGCACTGTAGGAAAAATGGGCAAAATACATGCTAGGGTCCTTCTTTTAGGTTTTAGTCAAGCCAATCACGATGAGCTAAGAATACACTGGCACAACTGGTTAGGAACATGCTAATTCTTCTCTGCAACCCCAAGACTGAGAGAGAGAGAGAGTGTGTGTGTGTGTGTGTGTGTGTGTGTAAGCACTTAAATGCTTCTATGTAGTTAGTGAATTAAAAAATATTCCTGTTTCTCCAAAGCTTTACCCCTTTCCTTTGGAATGCCAAAAGTAGAATGGGAAACAAGAAAGAAGTATAAGTTAGGTACTCTCCAGGAACAGAACCAGACCTGAAGTGAGAGACAACAGCTACATCTCAATGGACAAAGGCAAGTACACTAAGAGGAGTCAATAAAAATGAGTGTGTTTGTGGGGTAAGGGGATACAGCAGTGGCAATAGATGAGGCTGCTCATTAGACATTAGAGCTTGAATTTTGCAAGACAAGTCCTAAAGGCCTTTTCCACTGAAAAGGAAATCCTGCCATTTATTTTCTCTTGCTACTAGAGGTAGACAGTGAACAAGGCAACTTTAAACCAAATACCTTGAAAAGCTAGGGCCAAAATGGCAGCACTTCTATACTAATCCAGTTTCCCCAAGACAGTGATGACCAAACACTCAAAATGTAGACTGCCTGATGATCTGACTAACCTGGGTTAGTACACTACTCCCCTAAGACTTGGAGAATCTAAGTTGAGTCTTGGCAGGAAAAAGATCAATTTTCCCTCTCTACAAATAAAAATAATTAGGGAATGCTACCCAGATTCAATTTTGAGCACTGGATCGGGTTGTGTGTATGTTGGAGAGATGGAGGTAAAGGACAAAGAGCAGTCACACCTCATATTCATGTAAAATCAGAGCTGATTAGTTTTTACAAGCAGATTTAGTGCTGGTGAAAAGTCCAGCTTGTTGGGTCTGGGGAATGGGTAGAGATGCCTGTGGAAGAGGTGGCAATAAACATCAGTAAGGCCTCACTGTGGCTTATTTGTCAATGGAGCAGACTCTTCCAAAGAACTGGGGAGCTGCCATAGTTATTGTCAATGTGGATGATGGAGTTTGGTTTACAGGTATTTGTTTCACAAACATAAACTGGGCCAGAAAGGTGTAAGGCAATTAGAGAAGATCAGCTTCTAATCATTAGCGTTTTGGACTAGTATCCAAGTAGAGGAAGAAGTTATTCCCTTAAGTGCCCACGATGCTGCATTTTAGATGACCTACATCTTCAATCAAAGCTCAGTTGGAAAACCAGTAGCTTAAAAGGTCTGGTGAGGGCCAGGCGCGGTGGCTCACGCCTGTAATATGAGGACTTTGGGAGGCTGAGGTGGGTGGATCACCTGAGGTCAGGAGTTTGAGACCAGCCTCAACATGGAGAAACCCCGTCTCTACTAAAAACACAAAATTAGCCAGGTGTGGTGGTGCATGCCTGTAATCCCAGCTACTCGGGAGGCTGAGGCAGGAGAATTGCTTGAACCTGGGAGGCGGAGGTTGCGGTGAGCCGAGATCATGCCATTGCACTCCAGCCTGGGCAACAAGAGCGAAACTCCATCTCAGGGAAATAAAAAAAAAAGGTCTGGAGAGGAAAGGGCTGCACCTACTCAGTAGATCCTTCAAGCTATTATCTGCACAGTTTGATGTAGTCTGATGGTCCATAGCCCTAATAAGAGCATCATTCTAACCAGTGAATCTGGATTAGGGCTCCAAATGTAACACTACTAAGAGAGGAAGGGGTGACATCTGTAGAGAGCTGGTGTGGTGTAGCGAAGAGGACACTAAACTAAGAATCAGCTCCATTTTTGCTTCTATTAGCCATGTAAACTTGGGCTAGCCACTTAAATCTCTCTGCTTTTGTTTTCTTACATGTAATCCAGCTGACCAAATTAGGATGTTGAGAGAACTGAATCAGATAAAGTATACTCTGGTGACTGTAAAGCACTGTGCATTAATTCACACATAGGAGTTGGTTTAAAACTCCTATTTCTTACAGTTATCCTGGGATGATCTATGACCCCGAAGTGTAGACTGTGGAACAGGAATCCTGATTTTTTGTTTTTTGTTTTTAATGCAGGGGACTCTATCTATCTCTACTACCACCAACAATGCAAGGTCCTCTCTGCCTGGGGTTTTCAGATGAACCACAGGGCAGGACAGCCTAAGAAAAAAAGACTTGAGAGAGATGGAAAATCCTCTACCCCAAGAATGGGAAATCTCACTACCCCAATTTCCACAAGGTTTGGCTAGCTTTAGAAAGGACAACAGGGAAAGGACAACTACAGTAGTAGGAGTGAGATCTCAAATCCAAGTTAGTCAGACAGTCCTTATCAAGTGTAGTAGTCAATAAGAGAGAAACCCTTTGGAAAGGGGGTTAGAGCTGAATTCTAGTGTTAAATACTCAGGTTCTCAGTATTTTCTAGTTTTTCTATTGGTAAATTGGGAAGAATATACTTAAAATGAGTTGGTAACAGAATAGACACTATTCTCTTACCACTGCCTTGTATTATCCTCTGGGGTAGGATTGAGAGACTGAAATGAAAGGGAGGGTCTTATACCTGCTTTGTGGGGAAATGGAGGACACTGGGAACTGGGGAAGTTAATACAACAGGTTGCACCAGCATTCAGAGTAAGTAATGAACAATCGTATGAAGGACACACTTTAAGTCCATTCTAAGGCAGAGAGGTCCCTTAGGTCTTTTTTTTTTTTTTTTTTGAGACAGAGTCTTGCTCTGTTGCTCAGGCCGGATGGAGTGCAGTGGCGTGATCTCAGCTCACTGCAACCTCCGCCTCCTGGGTTCAAGCAATTCTCTGCCTCAGCCTCCCGAGAGGCACCCACCACCACGCCTGGCTAATTTTTGTATTTTTAGTAGAGACAAGGTTTCACCATCTTGGCCAGGCTGGTCTTGAACTCCTGACCTCGTGATCCACCCACCTCGGCCTCCCAATGTGCTGGGATTACAGGCGTGAGTCACCGCGCCTGGCCAGGTCCTTTCTGAGGTCATCTTACACATTACATTGCCTCAAGAGAAAACTACATACATAAAGGTGTCCGTATATGTCTCTCTCTCTCTCTCTCTATATATATATATGTATTATTTTTTCTTAAAGATATCTTTAAGAAAAAATATTCCTATGCTGGGTCAGGAATAATGTCTACACATCTTTTCCATAGATTCAGAAAAGGTTAGCCAGAAGACACCCATTCTTTTACCTTATCATAAATATGTTTGAATCTTTCAAAAATGCCCAATTCCAGCTAATTTCTGGGAGGAAGCTGTACCTATCCCAGACACACCTATTTGGTCCCCTTCACCACCTGTTTAGGACTCGAAATGAAATCAGCAACAATAAAAATAAAGTCATTGACCAGGAGCCATTTTTTTAAATGGGGAAAAATATCCAATGTTGCAAAAACCACAAATTTAATTATTCCACAAGCAGCCATGCATGGAGCAAACCCACTCTGCTGAAAAGATTACAGCAAAACAAAATAAAATTAAAAATAAAAAGGAGAGATATAGATCACACAGAGGTACCTAAAAATCTGCCTTCTCTTGTGAGAGCTAGAAGAAAAGGCTTCTTTGGAGAGTCTGTTGGTTAACATCAAAGAAAAGCATCATTACAGGATTATATTAACCTCACTGGCAAAGCTCAATGAGAAGCAGGGAACATGCTAAGTGGTACTAACCTGATGTCATTTAGATATCCGTTCTGGCCAGTCTAGGTGAGGGGGAGAAAACGGAAAATAACTTATAAGAAAACAGCATGGCATGACCGAAAAGGATGTCCATGATGCTATGAATACCCAAGGTCCTCAAACCAAAGCTCACCCCACCAACAGGGAGAGAGGGGCCAGGGACAGGATGACCCATACCCGCATACCCAATCTGACTTCTCACCTTTAATGAGAAAGAACATCTGGTGGTTTTAGCCTTTGGATAGGTGTTTAAAAAAAAGAGGCTGACAAAGGCAGGAGTGTGAAAAGGAGGAAGAGGAAAGTATTAACCTAATTATTATTTCCTTTTTAGCTCTGAATTTATTGGTAACTTGGGAATAATAACTGATGTCCTTGGTCCTAAAGAGTGTGTTCAAAGGAAGGGAAAAGGGAGACAAGAGAAAGAAACTTTGTTTTTGGAAATCATCCTCAATGGCTTTTCCATTTCTGTCTCCTACATTGGCCAAAATGAAAGACATTCTGACCTGAGACCCAAGGAGGGTGGGATATTGGGGAAGCAGTTACTTTTCAGGGCCTAGAAAAAATGAGAAAATTAAAAGCCTGAAACATTCCCTTTGGGGATCATTTCCTGACAAAGCCACTGAGCTGAGTGAAGTGAGCATTGTGGTGGATTCCCAAGCTTTAGGAAAAGGTACCAAGAGTGTCCAGCTGCTGAGCAGAGTGAGCTCCATGCAGAGCAGAGCCTATGCTGGGCAGCTTTTCCAATATACAGCTCAGGCTCCAGAGAAGGCTGCAGCAGCAGCATTTCCATCCAAACACCCTTCTTGCCACTTCCTTTCTTTTTGGCCTGCCTCCTGCTCCCACACCCAACCCCACAACTCCACCCCTAATCAGCTCCCTTTAGCCAGGCTCCTCTCCACATGGAATCTTTGGAGTATGATGGGCTTTGGCCATAGTTCCTTGTCTAGACTTTCTGAGATTCCTGATGCCTCTACCACAACAAGAGTTAGAAGTGCTGAAATCAAAGTGATAAATCTACAAGGATCTAACAAAGAATACATACATTAGTAGAGGCTTGAAGACTAGAAATCAGGAGAAAAAAAAAGAGAAGAGCTAACTTTGCCTTTGTTATGGTTGTAGGTAGATACAGTCCACTGTTGTACATAATTAGCTCTAATACCCTATTATAAATTGTCTGTGCTTTCAGAACATCTGTAGCTTTGCTAATGGCTATCATAGTGGGGCAGTCATTTTCCAGGTGTAAGTGAAGCAGAGGAACACATCACAGATAGTCAGCTAGGTTACGATGTCACTGGTACTTCTTAATCTAAAGAGCCCAGAGCAGAGCAAGCTATTGGGAGGTGGTTTACATTAGGGGGTTAAGAGCATAGACTCTGGAGCCAGGCTGAATTCAAATACTTAGCTCTTTTGCTAACTAGCAGTGTGAACTTAGGTGGCTGTTTAATCTTTATGAGCCTTAGTTCCTCTTTTATAAAATGGGGAAAATAATATAAACTACTTCATAGGCCTAGTATGAGGACTGAGTTCATCTATATCAAGTACTAAGAACAATGCCTAAAAGATAGTAAGTGCTATATAAGTGCTTGCTACTTTTTTTTATTTTTTTATTTTTTGAGATGGAGTTTTCCTCTTGTTGCCCAGGCTGGAGTGCAATGGCACGATCTTGGCTCACCACAACCTCTGCCTCCTGGGTTCAAGTGATTTCCTGCCTCAGCCCCCTGAGTAGCTGGGATTACAGGCATGTGCCACCATGCCTGGCTAATTTTGTATTTTTAGTAGAGACGGGGTTTCTCCATGATGGTCAGGTTGGTCTCGAACTCCCGAGCTCAGGTGATCCACCTGCCTCGGCCTCCCAGAGTGCTGGGATTACAGTCGTGACCCACAGTGCCCAACCAGTACTTGCTGCTATTAACCACCAACCTGTTCCGTACACAACTTAGGGGGTTATCACTGGCCACAGCCATGTACAAATGACATCTCTCCTCTCATTCCATCCAACTGGTTTGTAGGTAAAGGTAGAAAACCCTCTTTGGGCTATGGTTGAATAATTTGGAAGATGGACTTTTCTGACTCAGAATGGAAGTCTACATAATAGGAGGTAAGAAGATTCCTTCTTGGACTTTGGGCCAGAAAGTTTGCTGTATATCAGTTCCCAGTGAGGATCTCTGAGACAATGGCGCAAGTACATACAGTTGTTCAGTTTTTTAGTTGGAGACAGTATTTTTCTAAACTAATGATGATGATGAAAAAATATATATATATATATTCTCCCCCCTTGGTGAGAAAGGGGAGAATGGGGGAATGGGAGGAAAGTAGTGTTCATCTAAGTATATTGATTAAAACTGACCATCTTTTGCCAGGCACAGTGGGTCATGCCTATGATCCCAGCACTTTAGGAGGCTGTGGCGGAAGGATCACTTGAGCACAGGAGTTTGAGACCAGTCTGGGCAACATAGTGAGACCCCATCTCTACAAAAAATAAAAAAGTTAGCCAGGCGTGGTAATGCGTGCCTGTAATCCCAGCTACTCGGGAGGCTGAGGCAAGAGGATCGTTTGAGCCCAGGAAGTTGAAGCTGCAGTGAGCTGTGACTGTGCCATTGCACTGCAGCCTGGGTGACAAAGCGAAACCCTATCTAAAAAAAAAAAAACAAAAAAAAACAAAATAAAAAACAAAGAAAACCCTGACCATCTTTTGACAATGAAGGGAGACTGGCTTTCCCTCTTTTGTTACTCATGTGATTGTGAGATGGTGCTCATATCTGGATACTACATTTTCTGGAGATTTGTTTCCCTCTTGTACACCCACAACCTTTCCTGAATTTCTGCTATTCTTCTCTTCAATCTGGTAGGCAAAGGCAACCAGATACAGGGGTACCAAGTATATTTGATATAGTCCACACATTTAAGAGTAACATTGCCTAAACTGATTCATGTTGGCTTTTAGCCCTAGGAGCTAGTCCTGTTGTAGGAAGCAAGGTAAGAAATATAGGAAGAAAGAGACTTCCTTTTCAGGTAGAGACTGGAGAGAACAGTGGTACTCTCTGTGCATGTAGAATGTGGAGCTCATAGAGGATGGATGCCAGACCTGTGCTCTAACAATCACCAACATATCCTAAAAATGAGGCTGGTCAAACAAGATGAATGTACAGCCTGTGTGAACACTATGTCTTCCACTTAGAAGCAAAGATGCCTAAAATGGATAGAGGGAGTGAAAGAGGGTAAGCAGAAGGAGGGTTTTAGAGGCAAGATTCAGACCCTGCCAAAACCATTTCTATTTTCAGTCTAGGCAAATTTACCAAATTCAGCCACTCCAAGTTATAGTTCTCTTTGAATACCATATGGCAGAATGTATTGAAAACAATATAAGTGAAAATCTGCAGCTTCCCAATAAGCCACATTTAGTTTTAGAGATCAAATCTAGGGTTGGCTGATGTTGGTTAAAATAAAACAAACAAACAAACCCAAAAACATTTGTGGAGGGTTCATTCCATTCACAGTTCCAATGATTAAGAGCTAAAAGCTATGGGCTGACAACTCTCAGATGCTACACTTACCTCTCGGGCAAATATTCTCTCTCGGACCCTTTGATATTCCTCCTCTCTCTCTTCTATTGACTTGCTCCTCCTTCCATCCTGCAATGGAACTCTGATCTAGATCGATGAGCAGAATTAAGCTAGTTAAGTTCTCCTCGTACTGCAAGCTCACTGCACACCAGCAAGGAAGAGAAACCGGGAAAGTTTATAGTTGCCATCAAAAAAATGGAAAAAAAAAAGAATAAAATTTCCAGTCCTGGAGAAGTTTCACTGGGTACATCTGACCATGCAGTTTGGGAGATCAGGTTTTCTGGATGGCTGGGGACTCTCCAAATCCCCACCCCTCCCACCCCCGCAGTATCAAGAATAACAACTATTTATAAGGACTGGGTTGCTTCCCTCTAGTAATCAGGTAGCCTCCAGTCAGTAAGGATCGAGAAAATAGCCCTGGGAAAAGGAACAACACTGCTTTAGAGGGAAAGCAAAGGACAGAGGGAAGCTGGAACGGGAGAAGAAACAGGTGTTTAGCAGAGCTGAACAGTAGAGGAGGAGGTTTATAGAACTAGCACCTGGCATTATTCCTTATTTAGTCACTAATGCCATGGCCTGAAGACCCAAATCACACACAGCTCAGCAAAGAGGGCCTTGGAAATGAAATCCCAAGGGCGAAGCTAAACTCAAAGCCTAAGCATTTTTTTCCTGAACTTAACTATATTAACTGGAGGTGGGGAAGGGGAGAGACAAATTACAGAAATAAAGAAGAAAGAGAACAGAGCAATACAAAGAGAAAGAAAAGGAGAACAGATAGAAAGAGGGGCAGAGAAAGGAAGAGAAGTAAGGTACAGTGGAGGAAGGGGAGAGACAGAGAGATAGACAAGGAAAATAAGAAAATAGAGGATAGAGAAGAACCTTACATTCTCTAGAAAATGTAGTGAGGTAACCAGACGGGATGGCTGGGGAGATCACCACCTCTGAGTAGCCTACCATCTAAATCCTCATCATGATCTTTCCTCTCCTGGCCTGTAATTGGTGAACACTGTCCAGGGTAGGGTGTAATAGAGTGTCCTTATCCATCCTGCTCTTGAAGGCAAGGAGTTCTAAGGGAGAAAACTCATCAAATGAATATCACCAGATTATAAAAGATTCTGACTTCCAACCCAGAGGCTTTGAAAGCTTCACATGAAGCAACTAAGGAGATTGCTGCTCTAGGCTGGTCTTCCTGATCTTTACCAATCTCCAAAGGTAACCATAACTTCAAGAATATCAACCTTGCCTAGATTTAGTTCTCATTAGCTTCAAGAACCTAAATCCTACCAAATGTCCTCTTATAAATTCCATTCCAAGAAGACACAGGGCCTCAAGGAGCTATATTGTCCTCAGCCCCTAGGTAAATCAATGGCAAAGTAGAAAGAACATAATGGGCTTTGAGGTCAGGCAGAATCTCAGCTCTGCCACCTCCCAGTAATATAACTTTAGACAAGTAACTTAACATTTCTTAGCCTCAGTTTTCTTATATGTAAAGTGGGGATAATAACCCCCATCCTCATTGGGTTGTGAAGAGGATTAAAGGAAATAATGCATACAAATGTGTTTAGAACACAGCCTAGTTCAGGGAAAACACTCAATAAGATAGCAATTATTATGCTTGTTATTAACGTCACAGACAGAAAGTACACAGAAACAACCCTATTGGATCAAGCCTGAAGCTGAGAGATGAAAAGTTCACAATAGGGACAGACTCCACTTTGCCCCAATGTGCCTCTAGGCCTGAATAATTCCTGATCCACAGAAAAAGGGTTTGGGAAAATGGAGAAGGGCATCAGGATGGAAAGGCTCTTTCTCGTTTTTTAAATTTTGTCTTTTTGTATGTTTCTTTGTTTTCAATCAGTCCCAGTGTGTTTGTCCACAATAGATAATGGCACTTTTCTCAAAAGGACTCCCTCAAATACTCAAGCAGCAAGCAGGAAAGGTCCTGGTCTCAAGACCATACAATATCCCAAGAAAACTAATTTTGACACTAGAGGTAAGATATTATTATAGTTATTAATTAGCAAGATTAATGTAGGCTCTACTCAACCACGCTCTTCAAATCGAATCCCTTTTGGAGGCCAAGCAGAGGCAGGCTGGATCTAAATCTTCTTCTTAGCTAACCCGCAAATAATCACTTACTATCTAAAGGGTAGGCTTCAGGTCAAAGCAATAGCCAGGCCCATTTAAAGGGATGGGATAGGCTGTTCCCTTCTTATTCCCACAGCAGTGGATCACAAAGGGGATCTATCTGAGGTTCCCAGCATCAAATGTCAAATTAACTCACTCACCTTGGTGGAAGGAGTTGGAAAAAGATTAAGGAGTTTGCAGAAAGGGATCAGAAACACCTTTATAATTGGGTAAATTAGATCACAACTTTGCCAGTTCAAGGCTAGCCCTAAGCTAGGATAAGAGTTGAAGTGGGACAAAGTAGCTTTTTGTGGTTCCCAAAGAAATCCCTAACTATTAAAGGAAAAAAAAGAATGAAACCAACAGTTGGATCAAGGCTGAGGCAGGGATCAACCTTGCTTTATTCCAAATGATGTGGTGTTAGAAGTCAGTGGCAGACCCAAGGAGTTCCAGGCCAAATGAGATCACCTAGCAAACCTCAGCACCATGTCTCTCTAGGGCTAAGAGGGTGGCATCCAGTTCAACAAATAAACAGTTCTCAACATTAAGCCAAAGCCAACTCCGTATAGCTCAATACATTTCTCCGTACTAAGATATTTTGAGTTTTCTCCATCCCACAAAAATTCTTCTCCCTTCCCAGTTTCTCTTACTGCAAACTCTCTATATAGGCCCACCCCTTTCCATTCTTCACCTGGTTATCATCTCGGTCCATACTGGCATCATCTCTCTTGAGAATGAACCTCTGTTGAAATTCTGTATTCTTCTCATCCTTTATATGTTCTGAGAACCTCTGTTCAGGGCTGAGATTTGGAGAGAAATGTGAAAGGAAAGGAGGACAAAGACCGTTTTGTTAGGAAGCAGACCTATTAGGTACAGCTCTCCTAAATTACACAACTCACACTCAGGGAATTTCTGGAGTAAGGAATCCAAAAAGTCACATGCAGGTTTTAATGAAATCTTCAGGGTCTGTACTTTATACATCTATAACTTCTCTTCCTCCATAGTTATATCTGTCCTATCAGTGAAGTGAAGAGAGGCTAGGGCCAGACTTCATGAAACATCAGTCTCTCTAGAATCTATCTCCAAGGCTCAGAAAGAGTAGGAATTAATTATATAACCAACCCCAACCCCAATCCCCTTCCCTGCAAAATACTTAAAAAAATTTTTTTTGTTTGTTTTTTGAGATGGAGTCTCACTGTATTGCCCAAGCTGGAGTGCATGGCGTGATCTTGGCTCACTCCAACCTCTGCCACTGGGGTTCAAGTGATTCTCCTGCCTCAGCCTCCCGAGTAGCTGGGATTACAGGCGCCTGCCACCGCGCCCGGCTAATTTTTGTATTTTTAGTAGAGACGGGGTTTCACCATCTTGGCCAAGCGGGTCTTGAACTCCTGACCTTATGATCCACCCGCCTCGGCCTCCCAAAGTGCTGGGATTACAGGCGTCAGCCACTGCGCCCGGCCATTTTTAAACTTTTTTTTTTTTTTTAAAGTAATAGAGATGGGATCTTGCTGTGTTGACCAGGCTGGTCTCGAACTCCTGGCTTCAAGCAGTCTTCCCATCTTGGCCTCCCAAAGTGCTGGGATTACAGGTGTGAGCCACCACGCCTGGCCATCTGCAAGAGACATCCTGATCCTACACCTTCCTCTTCCAACCCAGCAGGTTATCCCAGGGAAGTCTTCCCAAACCATGGTTTCCTCCCTTACATTCTTGTGTTACTAGTTTTGTTGATGATGACAGCTTTCCCAGTTTGATCAACATTGTGGTCCATCCCAAAATAGGCAGCTACCCGGTGTAATAGCATCCGGTGATATGAGGTCATCTGAGGGAACTTCTTGAACTGATTACTGAAGGGAAACCCGGGGAAAAAAAGTGAAATAAGACAAACAACTGCAATAACAACCAATTTTAATTTTTCTTACAAGTGTCTAAAGTGGAAAGTTTCTTAGGAGAAATAGACATATTATAAGGAATATAGATATTTACTAAATGGGAACCAAATAGGTTTTTCTCAGTTTCTTTATCTACAGTATTCTGCAGATTACTATGACCTACTTTCCTCATTAAGACTACTCATTGCTGGGTGCAGTGGCTCATGCCCGTAATCCCAGCACTTTGGGAGGCCAAGGCAGGCGGATCAATTGAGTTCAGGAGTTCAAGACCAGCCTGGTCAACATGGTGAAACCCCGTCTCTACAAAAAATACAAAAATTAGCTAGGCATGTGCCTGTCATCCCAGCTACTCAATGGCTGAGGCACAAGAATCACTTGAACCCAGGAGGCAGAATTGCAGTGAGTCAAGACTGTACCACGGCGCTCCAGCCTAGGCGACAAAGAAAGACTGTCTCAAAAAAAAGACTACTTATTAAGCCCTAGGTCCCACCCACCTGGATGATGTTTGACAAAGAAAAAGGAAGACATTTAAGAACAGTAAAATCTGGGACAAGTGCAAGCTGCTGAAAAGATATAAATTATTTTTCAACTCAAATCTACATAATAACTTAAAAACTTCAGTATGTTTTCAAAAATCACACTTCAAGGGGAACATCTCCTAAAATTGTACCTAAATTTATTTCCAGTGCCCCCTCCCACCTCTAATTATATATTTCATGCAAGTAACTTACTTGTTGTCATTAATAAATTCCAGAATCTCCTGTTCTAATTTTAGCAGCATCATTCTGTCCCTGTTTAAAAAAGATTAAAACAAAACAAAACAAAACAAAAAGCAGCCCTCCCATAGACATTGAAAGTGGGGATTGAAAACACAACTTGCTCATTACAGAAGCTGAAAAAGGTATATATCCAAACCCAGTAATGAACCATAATGCTGCTAAGCCTCACTTGCCTGTTTTACAATATTTTTAAAAAGAAAAACAACCCGAGTATACATTTTGCAGGTCCTCCAATCATATACTTTGTTATACCATATCAGAAATCTCACTGTTAACAACATATTCATATAAACACACGTTATAAATCTAATCGTCATTCTGTATTCCATCTTGTTATAAACAATTTTAAAGGAATTATAATTTAGCTTATGTACAAATCAATTATTTTTTCCTTCTGTGCTTTTTATTTTAGCTCTTCTTACTATCACTCCCAATGTGTGCTTTTTAATCAGTATACTCCCAAGACTTCATATTTCTTTGTTTCTGCATTCTTCTTTCACAGAAGTTTTCCCAATTCTTCTGAAAACAGAAACCTCAATGTGAGAGTATTTTGAATCCCTCACAGAATATAAAACTATACCTGACAAATACTAGGGGGACAGGAAGATGAGCATCCTAGATTCTAAGAATGGAAAAATTCTGGGAAGCCGTTTGGCCTCTTGGAATCTTGCTATCCCCTAACCCCTTTTCCTCTTATACCCATCATGTTATTACCTTGGGTTCTTTTTCAGTGTATTTACAAGAAATTCATGTAGGTCTATTCCAGTGGAGTCCGTATATTCCTGGCTGGAGTCTAGAACCACCACAACAAAAGAAATTAAAATACATGAAACTGCTTTGCATGCTATCTAATCCTAAGCAGAAGTCCACAACCTAACCAGGAGAAAAAAGAATAGGAAAGCAAAATCAAACTTCCAGGGTTTTAACATAAAATCCAGAATGACCTTGATGTGCTAGATCCCAAAATTCCTCATCAGAATGACAGAAGAAAGAATCTGGGCCATAGTATTACATCAATATTACACTGAAAAGCCATCTATCATCAATAGGTATTTACTGAATGTCCTGATCAAAATATAGCAGGTTTTATTAAGGAAAATAAATTCCAGGTAAGGGCAGTCAGGGCTGAATTTTCCAGAATCTCAGTAAATATGCCCAAATATTATTTTTTAATCCTGTTTGCCTTTTCTTATCAATTATCATTTTTATGGACTATGTCTTTTTGCTACCAGTACAAGAGTTTAAAGGCAAAGATAGTCTAATAATTAGAGGCAAATCTGCATTATTAAAAAAAAAAAAAACCAGGCCAGGCGCAGTGGCTCACATCTGTAATCCCAGCACTTTGGGAGGTTGAGGTGGGTAGATCACCTGAGGTTAGAAGTTCAAGACCAGCCTGGCCAACATAGTAAAACTAAACACCTCTACAAAAATACAAAAATTAGCCAGGTGTGGTGGCATGTGCCTGTAGTCCCAGCTACTCAGGTGGCTGAGGCAAGAAAATCGCTTGAACTCGGGAGGCGAAGGTTGCAGTGAGCCAAGATCGTGCCACTGCACTCCAGCCTGGGCGACAGAGGGAGACTCTGTCTCAAAAAAATAAAAATAAAAATAAAAATAAATAAATAAATATCACCCTAGCCATCCCCAAACCAAAATATAAATGGCATCTGGAGGATTTGCTACCCAATGATTATCAATGTTACCATTATTCCAGAGCACAAGTAAAATCAGAATTGACTACATTGTCCTCCTATGGATAATGCCAATGCAGATGGAGTAGCTGTCTGTGGCATGTGAGCTCCTAAGGCAGGTTCAGTTAAAGAAGCAAAGAAAGTAACCTCGTTAGGCATCTCCTCAAGCAACCAAGTTAGCAGAACACTACAAATTGATGGGCCAGTAAGGCTGGCAGGTGCCAGGCTTCAGGATAAAAGTAAAGGGCACTGCCCTAGAACAGATGAGAGATGGGAAAAACTCCTTACCTCTGGACAGCATCTTCCTTGGGATCTTTTCTTTGTTTTTGTCCTTGTCTTCCTTTTCAGAGACATCTTTTGTGGACTTTTCTTCCTCCTTGTCAGAAGGGCAACTGATGTGCAATTGAATTATATCCTTAAGGGGAAAAAGGATAATCAAAGGGGGAAAAAGATTTTAACTTTCTTGCAGCTCCCTTGGAATCTCAAAGAAGGTAAATCTTGGGGTGGCAGCTCTCTCTTATAGATTAGTGTTATTTTGCTAATTAAACTGTTTTAGTTTTCTTCTATCAAGAGGGTAGAGGCACAGCTTTTTCTGCCAGCAAGCACAACCTACTTTATGGAGAGCTCAAATTACACAGGCCGTTCTTGGCACAGGTATTGAATGGGAATGGTTCTAACCACCAGAGGGGGAGGGTACACATAAGAAAATAAGATCTAGCCCTGGGATCTTCTTGTCTGCATCATCCTAGGTGGTCAAGATATGAAGACCTATACTTCATGCTCTCACTATGCTGGGGTTTTTTTCTTTTTTAGGGTCCCCCTCCTCCCTGGTGCAGGTCTGTCAGCACTGCCACTGCCACTGGAACCCACAGCTGGGAGGAGAGACCATGCCCTGTTTTACTACAACAGCTTTTGTTCTGAAGTACCTTCTACCCTGATTTTCAAGTCTGATGTTGCTGTGACTGCCATACTACATCTTACCAAACAACTGCCAAGCGCAAAAGCTACACTTACTCCTGCAAATGACCTACCTGGGTTTCTAATGGCCCATCAGCAAATGGGGTGGAGGACTCCTCACACACTGCCAGGCTACGCACCAACTTTAGCTTGGAATTAGACTGAAAAAAACAAAAAACAATTTTCAATTTTTTTAATGTATCTTATATATTTCTTCCCTCGGTGAACATTCAGAAAGCTTTTGGCTGAATGAAAAGTGTCCTCTTTGGCTCTGTTAGTTGCTGTTTCCATTAAACAGGGGTTTTTTTCAAACGGGTCCTACTCACCAGTTCCTGATTCACTTGAAAGATACTTCTCTTGCTTACAACAGTAGACATGTACAAACTGGCTACATGGACAGATGATAGGAAACCATTTCACTCAGCCCTCTTCTCTCTTCAACCCCATACTCTAATTTCAGTCTCAGAACTTTATGCAAACACACAGCAACATAGCATAGTAGAAAGACAATGGGGCTGAGAGCCAAAAGTCCTAGCTTCAACTCCTGGTTTTGTACTTACAAGCTATGAGACCCTGAGCAAATTACCTGACCTCTCCAGGTCTCTGTTTTTCCTCAGGAAAATGGCGATAAATACCTAAAATTACCTAAAAACCTGTTGTGAGAATTAGATAATATACAGTATGTAAATATACATATCATTAAATAGTGCTTAGCATACAGTAGACAATAAATGCTAAATGACTCCAAACCTGAGATGCCAAGGGTTTGGAAAGAAGTGTCTAAGAAAAGAGTAAGAGAAAGGCCAAGCATGGTGGCTCACACCTGTAAACCTGGCATTTTGGGAAGCTGAGGTAGGAAGATCACTTGAGGCCAGGAGGTCACAGTCTGGGCAACATAGTGAGACCCTATCTCTGCAAAAAAATTTTTTAAAAATTAGCTGGCCATGGTAGCACATGACTGTGGTCCCAGCTACTTGGGAGGCTGAGGCGGGAGAATTGCTTGAGCCTGGGAGGTTGAGGCTGCAGTGAGCTGTGATCATGCCACTGTACTCCAACCTGGGCAACAGAGTGAGACCCTATCTCAAAAAACCAAAAAACAAAAAATAAAAAAAAATAAAAAAAAGAGAGACAGATAAAACTTTATTAACACTTGGGATTTAATGCAATAAAACCTAATCTGCCCGCTTTACTTCTGCTAGCTGGTGAATCCCAAAAATATCAGAAATCCACTATGCAAATCATTTCCCTCCTAGGGACCCACCCAAAGCTAAAAACTATAGGGTGACTCATTAGAAATCTACCTATAAACATTTACTGAGACTCAATACAATAAAACCAAGGATTACAGTAAATACCAAAGTACAAAACATGACAGGTATGCTCTAAGTAGTGCAGTATAGCAGAAAGAACTTGCGAGCCTGAAGAATTAACATCATGCCTAATTCTGTCACTTGCTACTGAATGTTAAGCTACTGCTACTGATTTGTTAAGCCACTCAATCCCTATAGCCTAAGTTTCCTCATCTGTAAGATGGAGATAATAGCTGTCTTACTTATCCCAAAAAATTTGAGAGGAACTAAAGTAGCAGTAAGTAACCTTTGTTTTGAACTTTAACATCAAGCCCGTCACTATGGATCAGGCCATGTAAGGCAAGCCACAGAGCCAATTTATCATAGTTCTTGGCCTTCTTCAAACTCAAGCCACATAGTGGCTGAGCCACTCTCCAAATTCTATCATTATTTTTTTGGAGGAACAGGGTGGCCAACCTTAATTATTACTTTTGGTGGCAATTCTTCCCAATGCAAGAAAAATTTAATACTTTACTGCTTCCCAGCTAAATTAAAAACCTATCACACACTAACACATGTAGTCTTCCCTGATAACTCTGCTTAAAATAATCTGTGATGTGCTAAGTTTATCATATAATGATTAAAAGCAAAATCCTCTTCCTGCCCCCTAAAAAGTAAAGCATTAGGTTAGCTGAGTGCGGTGGCTCATGCCTGTAAACCCGGCACTTTGGGAGGCCAAGACAGGTGGATCGCTTGAGCCCAGGAGTTCGAGAACAGCCTGCGTGACATGGCAAAATCCCACCTCTACTAAAAACACAAAAATTAGCCTGGCCTAGTGGTGTGTGCCTGTAAGCCCAGCTGCTTGGGAGGCTAAGGCATGAGAATCACTTGAACACGGAAGGCAGAGGTTGCAGTGAGCCGAGATCACACCACTGCACTCCGGCTACAGAGTAAGACTCCATCTCAAAAAGAAAAGAAAAGAAAAGAAAAATGGCCAGGCATGGTGGCTCATGCCTGTAATCCTAGCACTTTGTGGGGCTGAGACGGGTGGATCACCTAAGGTCAAGAGTTCGAAGCCGGGCACGGTGGCTCATGCCTGTAATGCCAGTACTTTGGGAGACCGAGGTGGGCAGATCACTTGAGGTCAGGAGTTCGAGACCAGCCTGACCAACATGGTGAAACCTCATCTCTCCTAAAATTACAAAAATTAGCCAGGCATGGTGGCGGGCGCCTGTAATCCCAGCTACTTGGGAGGCTGAGGCAGGAGAAATGCTTGAATCCAGAAGACGGAGGTTGCAGCGAGCCAGGATTGCACCATCGCACTAAAGCCTGGGCAAGAGAGCAAAAAATTCCGTCTCAAAAAAAAAAAAAAAAAAAGTAAAACATTAGGGGGAAAAAAAAGCCTGTATTTTTAGGATATCCAGAAATGTTGAGTCATTTTTCTTAGTGGGGCAGGATTTATCATAAAGAAAACTCACAAGGAAAAAAAAAAAAAAAGAAGGGGGAATAAAAAGACTCATATAAGCAGCCATTCTCCTAGAGAAGCTAGGAGTGAGCAGAGAAACTGGTATTTCAGCACAACTAGTATCCAGTTCTTTCAGGCTCTGTGGAAGGCTCCAGCTGGGTAGCCTTTCAGGCATCAAATGTGTATACACCTATGTACGCCTACACAGTTTCCATTAGAGGTATGTATGTGTATGTGTACATGTGTGTATGCACACTTACGCAGGTTCACAATTGGGGTACAGAGTACAGGCAAGAAAACTCTGCCTACATAATTTGAACAAACTAGATATTCATGACAAGTCTACTTGTGAAATGTATTACTAATAACATTAGAAAAGAAGCTAGAGGAAGGGCTCTCACCTTGGCTCTTTTCCTGGCATGACCATGGTTAGATGTCCGCCTCTGTTAGAAGGGAATTGGAAAATATTAAAGGTGGAAGAAAATCGACATGTAAGTTAAAAACAATACATGTTTATAAAGAAAAAGCACTAACTGTAAAAACCATTACAACAGCCAAACTATGATGAGGACCACTTGATGTGGGTTTCTCCCTACAACCTACAACTCTAACAACTGTGACAGGAAAGGGACTACAGGCCAATACAGTCAAATCACCATTCACCATTAAGTTAGAGAATCAGAAGATGGTCAGATGTGGTGGCTCATGCCTGTAATCCCAGCACTTTGGGAGGCCGAGGCAGGCGGATCCCTTGAGCTCAGGAGTTTGAGACCAGCCTGGGCAACAAGGCGAAATCCCATCTCTACAAAAAAAAAAACAAAACCAAAAAGACAAAGAAAAAGAAAAAGAAAAAAAAAATTAGCCATGTGTGGTGGCATGCACCTGTAGTCTCAGGTATCTGGGAGGCTGAGGTGGGAGGATGGCTTGAGCCTGGGAAGAGGAGGTTGCAGTGAGCCGAGATCACGCTACTGCACTCCAGCCTGGGTGATAAGAGCCAGACCCTGTTTCAAAAACCAAACAACAAAAACCATTAAAAAGAAAAAAAAAGAGTTGGAAGACACTGATTTTGTTGGCCTATTTCACAGACTGATAAAAGTTACTTTTGGACAAACCATGGTATCCTGTCTTATTTAGGATGCTTCTGCAAATGTCACTACCACAGCATGAAAGAGTGTTTTTTTCCCCCAATCCTGTTCACAGAAGCCTATTTAATCAATAATGGATATGAAATATGGCCCCTAACCATCACTTATAATATCTTTATAGGACAATACACACATTCATAGTTCCAACTTGAGATACCCAAAATATCTGTTCCTATAGCTGCAGAAATGGAATGAAGAGTCTTCTTCCCAAATGCCTCCCTCCCTGAGTTATCAGGATACAAAGAAAGGAGCATAAAATATAGGGATAAGACCTCCAGAGCAAGGGGAAGAGAGTGGATAAGGGTCAGGATAGAAACCGAGGAAGATAAAGAATGAAGGCGTAAGGTGGGATGACGGAAAGAACAGCCAATTAATAAGATTTGTAAACATCTGAGAAGTCAAAATGGGGGCTTCTGGGAAGAGGTTGGGTAGGGTTATATATGGGGATGAGGCACTTAGGAGTTCTGAGATGTTTGGAATGGAACTCCAATGGGGCGTAGAGGGAACTGAGGCAGGAGGATAGGGGAGGGGAAACAAGTCAGAGACAGAGTACCAGCATGGCCTTGGGTAGGTGAGGATTTCTCTTTTCTTGGTCTTCTTCACTAGTTAGCAAATAACACGGCCACAATGCAAAATGGAGAACTGGGAAGGTGGATGGAAAGAATAAGAAATGATGGTGGATCTGCTCAGTGGTAAGATCTGTTGCAGTAAGGGAAGATTCATAGTCCAGAAATATGAAGCAGTATTTGTCACTACTTTTTCAAACAGGCAATACATACAACATGGCACAAAGATTCAAAAGGCATAATGGGGATATATATAGAACAGTAAGTCTCCTTTCATAATTGTCCCCCAGATACTTGGTTCTCTCCTAAATGGTCAACCAGTATTAAAGTTCTTTTGGATATATCCAGGTATCTTTTAGGCATATATAAGCTTAGTGTATGTGTATACAAAGGTTTTTTTAAAAAACCAAATATATTGGCTGGGGGCGGTGGCTCATGCCTGTAATCCCAGCACTTTGGGAGGCCAAGGTGGGCAATCACCTGAAGTCAGGAGTTCAAGGCCAGCCTGGCCAACATGGCAAAACCCTGTCTCTACTAAAAAATACCAAAATTAGCCAGGCGTGGTGGTGGGCACCTGTAATCCCAGCTACTAGGGAGGCTGAGGCAGGAGAATTGCTTGAACTTGGGAGGTGGAGGTTGCAGTGAGCTGAGATTGCGCCACTGCACTCCAGCCTGAGCAACAGAGCAAGGCTCCGTTTCAAAAAAAATAAAAATAAAAATAAACATATTATACATACTACTGTGAACCTTGTTTTTAAACTTTTTTTCATGAGTATCATTCTATAGAAGATCTACCCCATTTTTAATGGCTACATAGTATTCCACTGTGTAGCTATACCATAACTTATTTTACGAGTCTCTAATGTTTCACCATTTAGGATGTTTCTGACCTTTTGTTAGTATAAATAATGACCATATCATTGAATATATATAAATATAGTATATCTGTAGTCCATTTAAAAGTTTTTTATAAAGTATTCCTAAATTGCCCCTCAAAGTGGTTGTACCAATTTAGACTCTTACCAACAATATATGAATGAATCTGCTTATTTCCCAGAATGGATAGTTTTAACAGCCAAACATATATTAAAAGCCTAATATACACCATGTTATCATGCTAGCTACTGGAGGATATGGAGATAAAAGGCACAAACCTTGTCAAAAAGGAACTCATAATCCTGTTGGAGAAGACAGACAGACAATTACAATACAGTACATTAAGTGTACTAGAGAGGTACTCATGGAGTGCTACAGGAGCACACAGCAGAAGCGTCTGACTCAGACCTAGCAACCCATAGATTCATACATTTACAGATATTGAGTGCCTGCTATGTGCAAGGCACTGTGTTGGCCTTAGAGATAAAATGGTGAGCCAAAATTGACCTAATCCTGGACCTCGTAGTACTTATAGTTCTGTAAGGATGACAGACATTGATCAAAGAATTATACTATATAGACCTGCAAATAGGTGAATAAGGTTTTCAAAGGCTTCCTAGAGAAAGACATCATCTGGATTGAGTTTTGAAGGATAAATAGGCTTTAGACAGATGTTGGTAGGGGTAGGAGTTGGAGGAGGTCAGGATAAGAATATTAAGGTGGGCATTCCAGGCAGAGAAAGCATGTACAAAAGCATGCTTTCCCCAAATTTTCAGCTCCTATTTATAACAGGGACCAAGGAATCAGATAATGCTGATGCATTGGATGTCAGAGGTGATGGCTGACAGGCAAGAGACTAGGTCACAATATAACATGCTGAGAAATATTGGACTTGGCTTAAAGCAGTAAGACACACAGAATGTTTGAAGAGAGTTAACACAGGCAGTTCTTTATTTCACAACCACCTTTCTAAAACAATATGGTACATTTATCAAAAAGGATTACAAGTTTAAAGGCAGAAAGCCCAACTAAGAGGTCTTACCAAGTTGGCTATTTTTTTTTTTTTGAGATGGAGTCTCGCTCTGTTGCCAGGCTGGAGTGCAGTGGTGTGATCTCGGCTCACTGCAACCTCCGCCTCCTGGGTTCAAGCGATTCTCCTGCCTCAGCCTCCTGGGTAGCTGGGACTACAGGCATGCGTCACCACACCCAGCTAATTTTTTTGTATTTTTAGTAGAGATGGGATTTCACCATGTTGGCCAGGATGGGCTCAATCTCTTGATCTCATGACCACTCACCTTGGCCTCCCAAAGTGCTGAGATTACAGGCGTGAGCCACCGCGCCTGGCCTCCAAGTTGGCTAAAGGACATTCTTGGCTGGGCGGGGCGGCTCACGCCTGTAATCCCAGCACTTTGGGAGGCTGAGGCAGATGGATCACCTGAGGTCAGGATATTGAGACTAGCCTGGCCAACATGGTGAAACCCTGCCTCTACTAAAAATACAAAAATTAGCCAGGCATGGTGGCACGCATCTGTAGTCCCAGCTACTTGGGAGGCTGAGGCAGGAGAATCACTTGAACCTGGCAGGCAGAGGTTGCAGTGAGCCAAGATTGCGCCACTGCGCTCCAGCCTGGGTGACAGAGCGAGACTCCATTTCAAAACAAAAAAAAAGGACACACCTAAATTCAGTATGTGTTGAGGACTTGCCCATTCTAAACAGAATCTCAGAACCTGCATTTTCTAGCATTGTTTCCATGCAAAAGATGTTCTGAGTTTCACTTGCTGATCCCAAGGACATATCTCACACATTATATGTAATGAACGTCCCTTTTCCCCAAACTTTTCAGCTCCAATTCATAACAGGGACTTTTTTGAAAGGACCACTTAGATTCTTGGGGAGACTTCTAGGGTATAAAACCAGGGAAGGCTGGAGAAGCAGAAATGCTGGGTTTTTTTGTTGTTGTTTTGTTTTGTTTTTTGAGACGGGGTCTCACTCTGTCACCCAGGCTGGAGTGCAGTGGTGCGATTTTGGGCCACTGCAACCTCTGCCTCCCAGGGGTTCAAGTGATTCTCCTGCCTCAGCTTCCCGAGTAGCTGGGATTACAAGCATGCGCCACCAGGCCCAGCTAATTTTTGTATTTTTAGTAGAGATGGGGTTTCGCCATGTTGGCCAGGCTGGTCTCGAACTCCTGACCTCAAGTGATCCACCCGCCTGGGCCTCCCAAAGTGCTGGGATTATAGGCATGAGCCACTGCACCCAGCCATGCTCTTTTTTTTTTTTTTTTTTGAGACAGGGTCTCACTCTGTCACCCAGGCTGGAGTGCAGTGGTACAATCTTGACTCACTGCAACCTCTGCCTCCCGGGTTCAAGCATTCTCCTGCTTTAGCCTCCCAAGTAGCTGGGATTACAGGGACACGCCACATGCCCAGCTCAGAAGCAGAATTTTTAGTGCTGATGAAGGGGTAAATGGTATGTTGGGAAATGCATAGAGAGTAGAGTGCTTCTTAAGGTACTGCTCCATAGGATCCAGGGAGGCTGACAAGACTGAATACTTTGCAAAAGGAACAAGAGCTCCAGTAGATGGCAGCAGCAGCTCCACCTGCTCTACCAGCAGCAAAAGGAGTCAAGTCAGAGAGGAGGCAGGTCCCCTTCCAAACCCCGAGACATTGTATTTGTATTTCCAGGTGAATTTTTTTTTTTTTTTTTGAGTTGGAGTCTTGGAGTCTCGCTCTGTCACCCAGGCTGGAGTGCAGTGGGGTGATCTTGGCTCACTGCAACCTCTGCCTCCTGGGTTCAAGCAATTCTCCTGCCTCAGCCTCCCAAGTAGCTGGGACTACAGGCACATGCCACCATGCCCAGCTAATTTTTTGTATTTTTAGTGGAGCCAGGGTTTCACCATGTTGGCCAGGCCGATCTTGAACTCCCGACCTCAAGTGATCTGCTCACCTTGGCCTCCCAAAGTGCTGGGATTATAGGCATGAGCCACTGCGCCCGGCCTGAAGACATTTTTAAACTAAGCAAGTGTCCATAAAGCATATAAAACCTATAGATGGGGCCAGGTGCTGCCTGCAATCCCAACACTTAGGGAGGCCAAGGCGGGCAGATCACCTGAGGTCAGGAGTTCAAGACCAGCCTGGCCAACATGGTGAAACCCCGCCTCTACTAAAAATACAAAAAATTAGCCGGGTGTCGTGGCGGGCGCCTGTAATCCCAACTACTCGGGAGGCTGAGGCAGGAGAATCGCTTGAACCCGGGAGGCGGAGGTTGCAGTGGGCCAAGATTGTGCCATCGCACTCCAGCTTGTGCAACAAGAGTGAAACTCAGCCTCAAAAAATAAAAAAAAACTATAGATGTCCCTTCTTTTCTGCCTAGCTTCAAGAAGTACACAAAACAGGAATTCAGAACACCATTTATAATTATCTCCTAAGAATAGAATAACTTAGACCCAAAAGGTCATTTAATTATTATCTTTCATGTAACATGACAGCACATAATGAAACATTCATCACTTATCTGTCCTGAATATTTAAAATTCATTATTTGTATCAGTGGAGGCTGGAAGTACAGCTGGAACAGTGGCAGATTGTCTCCACAAGCTCTGGAAGAATGGGCAGGGAATGACAACTAACATGTAATAATGGAAAGAAAAACAGCCAGGGCAGAGACTGGTGAATTGTAAGACGAAAAACAGTAGAAAAGCAGGCAGCTAGAGAACAAAATATCTCAGAGAGCTGTCTAATTTTAATTCATTCCTTTATATTATTGCTGTTTTAATCTTTAAAGAAGACAAACCTTATGTGAATTGAATTGTCTAGAAAAATTATGCTTCAAGTTTCCAGACCCTCTAAAATGTTGTTGTTCCGGTGTTTTAATCTAACTTCTTGCTAGTGTTAATTGTCTGTCTCTTGACTTATAATAAAACCAGTTTTCACCCCTGGGCATGAAGGAAAGGATTTGTTGGGCTTGGGTAACAGAAGAAACCAGCAGTGACCACAGAATAAGGGCTCTAACAGGTAGATGAGAGGAGGCTCAGAGTTTGGGCTGGCCAGGCAGAAACCAAAGAAGAACCCCACAAGGAAGTTTGGCTAACTATCTACTACCATCATTTCTGTACTACAGTACGAATTTGGATGAAAAACATGGCAAACAAAGAGTGAAATTCCTTTTACTCACATTTACCAAGTGGCAAGTTCAGAGGCTATTTCTGACCCAGAAAAATGCTGACTGCTTTAACACAACCAGGATATGAATTTAACACTGTGTGTAAAGCCAGGAAGCTCAAGTTTTAAGAGTTTATTATATGAGTCATTTTATGACTTATTAAATATGCGTTTGTGTACAGTTTATTTTTTGGTAATAAAAAAAGTCAAAATGCAGCAAGAACCAGTGAACTCAGGCCCAAATAGATTAGGGATTTTACTCTGTCCTTTTTAGACTTCATTGTGGACTATATGACAAAAAGGGAAGATTTCTTTTGAGAGTTGAAGCTGGAGTTTTTAAAGAGAATCAAGTGTTTCTAAAAGTGACTGATTCTTACACATCTCCACTTTTATTCAGGTATAAAGAATGTTGGCCGGGCACAGTGGCTCACACCTATAATCCCAGCATTTTGAGAGGCAAAGACAGGAGAATCATTTGAGGCCAGGAGTTTGAGACCAGCCTGGGCAACATAGACCCTGTCTCTACAAAAAAATTTTTTTATATTAGCTGGATGTGGTTGCACATGCCTGTAGTCCCAGCTACTTGGGAGGCTGACGTGGGAGGATCTCTTGATGCAGGAGTTTGAGGGTGCAGTGGGCCCTAATTGTGCCACTGCACTCCAGGTTGGGTAACAGACAGAGCTGGGTAACCCTGTCTCTAAAGGAAAAAAAAAAAGTGTGCATACAATGCATTTCCAATCGTTACCTGTGTCTCCTGACGCAAACTGGTATCTTCACATTCTTTCTCAATTTCTTCCTTACTTGGAGTCTTAGATATAAACTTGTTTTTGTTTACAGATTCTTCCACCAGTTTTTTTTCTGATTCTTTCATTATTTCCAGGGTCTCTTGAGTAGTGTTACTGTTAGACATGTTCTTCAATAGAATACAGTGGCCTCTATGGACTCCTAAAGAAACATCAAATGCATTAAGCAGGAGGTATGTATCCATACTTAACAAATACACAAGACTCGTATTTCACACGGGTACATTTTTTCCAGCAGCCTTCCTTTAACCCAGAAAAGAGTTATTTAATAAATGCTGTCCCTGGGTTCATTTCTTTAAAAAAAAAAAACTTTATTGAGGTAAAATTGACATAAACTGCATGTATTTAAAATGTATAATTTTATATTATGACACATGCATTCACCTGTGAAACCATCACCCCAATCAAAACAGTGAGCGCATTCACCATGCCCCAAAGGTTCCTCATGTCCCTTTGTAATCTCTTCCTCCCTTCACACTAACCCCAGCCAACTACTGATCTGTTCTGTCACTACAGATTAGTCTGTATTTTCTAGAATTTTATATAAATGGAATCAATCATACACTGTCTGGACTCTTTTACTCAGCATAATTATTTTGAGATTCACCAGGATTCAGTTCTAAAGTAGCATGAGCCCTCTTGACACTTTATTTTCTCCCCTTGTTCCCTACAGAAATTTGCGCACATTTCTGGCTCAATCACTTCACCCATTAGATCCTCTCCAGAAAGAAGAAAATTATAAAGCTCCATTGACTACTAGAAAGGAGTATGCTCCTTTCCCAAGGAAGAACTTTCACAGCTACCACAAACCCACAACACTGTTAACCAACTTCAAGCTACTCTCCCTTCAAAAAGAAGTAAAATCAGACAAAGCTTAAATGGTTATAGAATCTATAAAATCTTATATATATATATATATTTTGAGATGGAGTCTCGCTCTGTCACCCAGGCTGGAGTGCAGTGACATGATCTCGGCTCACTGTAAGCTCTGCCTCCTGGGTTCACATCATTCTCCTGCCTCAGCCTCCTGAGTAGCTGGGACTACAGGTGCCCGCCACCACGCTCAGCTAATTTTTTCTATTTTTTAGTACAGACAGGGTTTCACTGTGTTAGCCAGGATGGTCTTGATCTCCTGATCTCGTGATCCGCCCGCCTCAGCCTCCCAAAGTGCTGGGATTACAGTCGTGAGCCACCACGCCCAGCCTGCCCGGCTAATTTTTAAGATTTTTTTTGTAGAGATGGAGTCTTGGTATATTGCCCAAACTGGTCTTGAACTCCTGGACTTAAGTGATCCTCCCACCTCAGCCTCCCAAAGTGTTGGGATTAGAGGTGTGAGCCATCGCACCCAGCCTTAAATTCTTTCCTTTATCTTAAGCAAGCTGAAAAAACAAGAAGAGAACTTTGTAGACATCTGTCCTTCAGAAAGATTGGGTCCCTCCCTGGAGGAGGAATCTTTACTTTGCTATACACTATTTGGGTTCAGTCAATCTACTGTCTCCCAGTGATGGAGTATCTATACTGCAGGGATGGCTGCTTCTTTATCACTTACTATCACTACCTGGGAAATCCTGTAATGAAGCCTACACAGTTCTCCAACCACAAACTAAGAATCAGAAGTTGATACTCTACACACAGATTCATGTCCTCAATTGCCGAAGTCAAACATGTTTAGCTACAACAATAGTTTGCAGAGGTTTCTCCTTATACAGGTTACTGACTGTACTTCAACCCTGAAGACTTCTTTCCCTCCTTTACTGGAAACTCTCCCAGATGTCACATCTATTCCCAGTGTAGCCCTAGAAATGGAATTAAATAAACAGACAAATGGATAGCAATGCTTCAAGAAAATTGTCACAACAGATATTTTCCTCTCCTTCAAATCAGTTTAAAGGGTAAGAAGGGTAAGACCCAGAAGTCTTTCAAGAAGCAAAGTTAGCCTCATCCTGACATAAGTTAGATGGTCTGCCAGGCTACTGCTTTGTGATTTTTTTTTTTTTTTTTTTTGAGACAGGATCTCACTCTGTCACCCAGGCTGGAGTGCAGTGATGCGATCATAGCTCACTGCAGCCTCAAACTCCTGCGTTCAGGGAGTGGTGGCATGTGCCTGTAGTTCTAGCTACTCAGAAGGCTGTGGTTAGAGTACTGTTTTGTTCACCTTGTGGTGGCTCTTCAGCAGCTGCCTGGAGACTTGGTTTACTTAGGGCTAGATAAATTATCTTTAGAGGGCCAGAGAGTCATTCACACAATTGCAAAGTCATATAGTTGACGGCCAGGCACAGTGGCTCATACCTGCAATCCCAACACTTTGGGAAGCCGAGGTGGGCAGATCACTTGAGGTCAGGAGTTCGAGACCAGCCTGACCAATATGGTGAAACAATGTCTCTACTAAAAATACAAAAATTAGCCTGACGTGGTGGTAAGCCATTGCATCCAGCCTTAAATTCTTTCCTTTATCTTAAGCAAGCTGGCTCAATTGCGCTCAATTGCCTCCCAGCTGCTTGGGAGACTGAGGCAGGAGAATCACTTGAACCTCGGAGGCAGAAGTTGCGGTGAGCCAAGGTCGCACCACTGCACTCCAGCCTGGGTGACAGAGCAAGACTCTGGCTCAAAAAAAAAAAAAAAAAAAAAAAGTCATATAGTTGAATTTAAAGATGAGAAATATTAGAAGAAACTAGCTACAAATATTGAAAGAAACTGACTACAAACTTCCATTTTAAAATTATCTGATTCAGTAACTAAAGGCTACTATAAAAACAGTTATAACCTATAGACCTTCATGGATCATTTGCTATACATGGGACTTTGTTTATGTATGTAGTATGTATGTATGTATTACCCACCCCCACAATGGGTAAATCAAGCCTCAGTTCTCTTCAGTCTGAAGTACTAGTAAAACTCAGCACATGCATTCTCCGTATCTCTTGGCTAGGAAACATTAATAAAGATCAAAACTGGGAGCTGTGTGTGTTGGCTTATGCCTGTAACCCCAACACTTTGGGAGGCTGAGCCAGCAGGATCGCTTGAGCCCAGGAGTTCTAGACTAGCCTAGACAACACAGTGAGACCCTGTCTCTACAAAATTTTTTTTAAAAAATTAGCCAGACATGGTGGTGCACACTTGTAGTCTCAGCTACTCAAGAGGCTGAGGCGGGAGGATCACTTGAGCCCAGGAGGTCAAGGATGCATTGAGCCATGACTCTGCCACTGCACTACAGCCTAGGCAACAGAGTAAGACCTTGTCTCAAAAAAAAAAAAAATAATAATAATAAATAAATTATGCTGGGTGCAGTGGCTCATGCCTGTAATCTTAGCACTTCAGAAGGCTGAGGTAGGAGGGTCGCTTGAGGCCAAGAGTTTGAGACTGGCCTGGGTGACATAGTGAGACCTCCTCTCTATAAAAAAAGAACAAAATTAGCTGGATGTGGTGGAGTGTGCCTGTCGTCCCAGCTACTCGGGAGGCTGAGGTGGGAGGATCACTTGAGCCCAGAAGTTCAAGGCTGCAGTGGGCTACAACCACACCACTACACTCCAGCCTGGGTGACAAAGCAAGATCCTGTCTCTGAAAAAAAAAAAAAAAAAAAAAAAAGATCAGGCGCAGTGGCTCATACCTGCAATCCCAGCACTTTGGGAGGCTGAGGTGGGCGGATCACCTGATGTTGGGAGTTTGAGACCAGACTGACCAACATGGAGAAACCCCGTCTCTACTAAAAATACAAAATTAGCCAGGTGTGGTGGTGCATGCCTATAATCCCAGCTACTCGGGAGGCTGAGACAGGAGAATCACTTGAACCAGCAAGGTGGAGGTTGCGGTGAGCTGAGATTGTGCCATTGCAGTCCCGCCTGGGCAACAAGAGCAAAAATCCATCTCAAAAAAAAAAATCAGGCACGGTAGCTCACGCCTGTAATCCCAGCACTTTGGGAGGCCGAGGCGGTTGGATAACCTGAGGTCAGGAGTTAGAGACCAGCCTGACCAACATGGAGAAACCCCATCTCTACTAAAAATACAAAATTAGCTGGGCGTGGTGGTGCATGCCTGCAATCCCGGCTAACAGGAAGGCTGAGGCAGGAAAATCACTTGAACCTGGGAGGCAGAGGTTGCGGTGAGCCGAGATTGTGCCATTACACTCCAGCCTAGGCAACAAAAGTAAAACTCTGTCTCAAAAATAAAAAATAAATAAAAATTAAATAATAGTCAAAACTGGAAGAGTTCTTAGATTTGACCTCCCACAATCTTCCCCTATTCCCCAAAGAAGAACTCATTTTTGTAATTTTCTGAAAGGCCTGCTAACCTCTGGGAAAACTGGAACAGGATCATTTCACTAGTTATGAAATAGTCTTAATTGTTACATAGTTGCTCCCTATTATAAATTATGAACTGCTTCAATCTTGATCCTAAATCAGTCTTAGAGTCACAAAAAATTAAGTTTACATCTTTTATCACATGATAGGCCTTCAGTATTTTTCTCTTTTCCAAGCTTAAATAGCCTCAAATTTATTTGTCAGAAAGAAAAGGTGATATAAAAAATTATAAAGCAGTTTTCGTTTTTTGGTTTTGTTTTTGAGACAGGGTTTCACTCTGTCACCCAGGCTGCAGTGGCATGATCGTGGCCCACTTCAGCCTCAACCTCCCCGGGCTCAGGTGATCCTCCTATCTCAGCCTCCCAAGTAGCTGGGACTACAGGTATGTGCCACCACGCCTGGCTAATTTTTCTATTTCTTTTTTTTTTTTTCTCTTGTTGAGACAGAGTCTCGCTCTGTCACTCAGGTTGGAATGCAGTGGCAATCTCACTCACTGCAACTTCTGCTTCCCAGGTTCAAGTGATTCTTCTGCCTCACCCTCCCAAGTAGCTGGCATTACATGCGCTCGCTTCCATACCTGGCTAATTTTTATATTTTTAGCAGAGACGGGGTTTCACCATGTTGGCCAGGCTGGTCTCCAACTCCTGACCTCAGGTGATCCACCCACCACTTCGGCCTCCCAAAGTGCTGGGATTATAGGTGTGAGCCACTGCACCCAGCCTAATTTTTCTATTACTTTTAGAGATAGGGTTTTGCCATGTTGCCCAGGCTGGTCTCAAACTCCTGAGCTCAAGTGATCCACCTGCCTTGGCCTTCCAAAGTGCTAGGATTACAGGCCTCAGCCACCGTTCAAGGCACAGCAGTGGTTTGTTTCTTTTTCAAGGATGGGCCTTAATTACCAAATGGGTATATTTCGTCAAATCAAAATGACAACTTTGCAGCTCTCCTTCACATGTGGGTCAGGAAAAGACCAACTATCTGGATACCTGGAATAATATCAGTGTCCAACCACTGTTTCTCAGCCAAAACACTGAACACAAACAAATAAAAAATGATCTTTCATCTGTAGAATATGGTCACATATTCAACCTCAAGTTTTACGGAGACACATGGCTTCCTTCATTCATTGGAGAAACAGGAAGACTTGAACTTTAGCTTCTCACAGATACCCATAAAACAGACTCATTTAACTACCCACTTTTAAGAATTTAATCAGTTGGCTGGGCGTGTTGGCTCACGCCTACAGTCAGAGCACTTTGGGAGGCCAAGGCAGGTGAATTGCTCAAGCTTAGGAGTACAAGACCAGCCTGGGCAACATGGCAAACCCCATCTCTACCAAAAATACAAAAATTAGCCGGGCGTGGTGGCACACGCCTGTGGTCCTAGCTACTTAGTTGAGCCTGGGAGGCAGAGGTTGCAGTGAGCTGAGATCACTCCACTGTACTCCAGCCTGCGCAACAGAGTGAAACCTGTCTCAAAAAAAATTTAGTCAGTCATTCTACTGAGACCACCAGCCTCTTGAAGAGCTGTATAAAACAAAATAATTCTTACACTGAGAAAAATGAAGCAGCAGAGGAAAGGGCACCTCCCCAGACTTCCCTGTTCTTCCACATTCATTGATCTAACCCAGATTTCTTTTGGCGCTTGCCTTCCCCTGAGAATACATGATCAGGGAAGGAGACCTTATCCCCAATCCCTGGGAGATGGATATAAATTAGTTAAACCAATTGTGGTAATTCTGTTTCCTTTTTGTGACTGGTTTTAGAAGGGACAAGTGAGACACAAAGGGACTTTGTTGAATGGAAAAGGTTTCCTATTTTATTTAAAATTTTTTTAAGCCTCTGGAAGAAACAGGTATCTTCTACCAAAGGTGATCTTGGATGCAGATGATACCTAGACTGTGGCAGCACCCTGCCAACACATGGAGGATGGGGAAGCAGAGAAAATAAGCCTGCATCCATCCTTTTTTTTTTTTTTTTTTTTTGAGATGGAGTCTCACTATATCACCCAGGTTAGAGTACGGTGGTGAGATCTTGGCTTACTGCAACCTCCACCTCCCAGGTTCAAGTGATTCTCCTGCCTCAGCCTCCCTAGTAGCTGGGATTACAGGCATGCACCACCACGCCCAGCTATTTTTTTTTTTTTTTTTACATGGAGTCTCACTCTGTCACCCAGGCTGGAGTGCAGTGGTGTGATCTTGACTCACTGCAACCTCTGCCTCCTGGGTTCAAGCGATTCTACCTCAGCCTCCTGAGTAGCCGGGATTACAGGCACGTGCCACCACGTTCAGCTAATTTCTGTATTTTTGGTAGAGATGGGGTTTCTCCATGTTGGCCAGGCTGCTCTTGAACTCCTGACCTCAGGTAATCCACCCACCTTGGCCTCCCAAAGTGCAGGGATTA
Organism: Homo sapiens; assembly: GCF_000001405.40. NCBI lineage: Eukaryota > Metazoa > Chordata > Mammalia > Primates > Hominidae > Homo > Homo sapiens. The sequence continues at coordinate 57,317,022 of NC_000012.12, forward strand.
CAGGCGTGAGACATCGCACCTGGCCTAATTTTTGTATTTTTGTAGAGATGGGGTTTTGCCATGTTGGCCAGCCTGGTCTCAATCTCTTGACCTCAGGTGATCTGCCCACCTCAGCCTCTCAAAGCGATTGGAATAAAGGTGTGACCACCTTGCCCAGGCTTTTTGTGTTTTTTTTTGTTTGTTTTTTTGTTTTTTTTTTGAGACAGGGTCTCAGTCTGTCACCTAGGCTGGAGTGTAGTGGCATGATCACAGCTCACTGCAGCCTCAACCTCTGGGGCTCAGCCTCCTGAGTAGCTGGGATTACAGGCGCCCATCACCACGAATGGCTAATTTTTGTATTTGTAATAGAGATGGGGTTTTGCCATGTCACCCAAGCTGGTCTTGAACTCCTGGGCTTAAGCAATCCACCCGCCTTGGCCTCACAAAGTGCTAGGATTACAGATGTGAGCCACCATGACTGGCTGGAGCCTGCATCCTTGATGCTGTGATTAGACAATAGTCAATCTCGACCCTCCCTATCTCTGGACTTCCTGATATGTGAAGTTATAAATCCTCTTACCATTTAAGATACTCTGAGTTGAGTTTATTATGTCAGAATCCTGGGAGATAGTTAAAAAAAAAAAAAAGGGTATATTAAGAAGATAGTTAAAAAAAAAAAAAAAAAAAAGGGTATATTAACAGAGGAACGGGCCAGGCCGGGTGGCTCGCGCCTGTAAAGGCCGAGACAGGCGAATCATGAGGTCAGGAGTTCGAGTCCAGCCTGGCCAGCATAGTGAAACCCCGTCTCTACTAAAAATACAAAAAAATTACTAGCCGGGTGTGGTGGGGGGTGCCTGTAATCCCAGCTACTCAGGAGGCTGAGGCAGGAAAATCACTTGAACCTGGGAGGCAGAGGTTGCAGTGAGCCAAGACTGCACCATTGCACTCCAGCCTGGGCAACAGAGCGAGACTCCGTCCCCGCCCCCCCAAAAAAAAAAAAAAGGAATGGCTGGGCGAGGTGGCTCATGCCTGTAATTCCAGCACTTTGAGAGGCTGAAGCGGGTGGATTACTTGAGGTCAGGGGTTCGAGACCAGCCTGGCCAATATGGTCAAACCCCATCTCTACTAAAAATACAAAAATTAGCCGGGCATGGTGGGGTGTCTGCCTGTAATTCCAGCTACTTGGGGGGCTGAGGCAGGAGAATAGCTTGAACCCAGGAAGAGGAGGTTGCGGGCAACCGAGATCATACTACTGCACTCCAACCTGGGCAAAAAGGCAAGACTCTGTCTCAAAGAAAAGAAAAAAGAGAGGAACTACCTGGACCAGGCAGAGAAGTCCAGCTCTTTAAGTAGAAATAACTGACAGGCTGGGTGGTGCAGTGGCTCACTCCTGTAATCCTAGCACTTTGGGGGGCCGAGGTGGGCAGATCACAAGGTCAGGAGTTCGAGACCAGCCTGGTCAACATAGTGAAACCCCATCTCTACTAATAGTACAGAAATTAGCCAGGCATGGTGGTGTGTGCCTTAGTCACAGCTTCTCAGGAGCCTGAGGCAGAAGAATCGCTTGAACCTGGGAGGCGGAGGTTGTGGTGAGCTGAGATCGTGCCACCGCACTCCAGCCTGGGCAAACAAGCGAGACTCCATCTCAAAAAAAAAAAGAAAGAAAAGAAAAAAGAAAGAAAGAAATAACTGACAGGGAGACAGGCAATAATAATAATAATCAGCTAAAACTTTTGAGTGCTTACATTGTGCCAGGCACTATCCTAAAATATTTTATGTATCTCATTTAATCTTACAATGATCCTATTACATATTTATTCTTACTATTATCACCATTTTACAGACAAGTAAACTGAGGCACAGAGAAGTTAAACACTTTGCTTAAAAGGGCACACAACTGGCATATGGCAGAGCCAGGACTCAAATCCAGAAAATCTGGCTTTGTTACTTGCTTTCTTAAACTTTATACAATACTGCCTCTAACTAAGGGGAGAAATAGTCAAAAACCAGAAAGGAAAGTCTACCAAAGACACAAGGGAATCATGGAATCTCATAACTGTAAGGGTATTTAGAAGCTTTCTCATTCTCCATTTTTCTTTTTCTTTTTTTTGAGATGGAGTTTCGCTCTATTGCCCAGGCTGGAGTGCAAGCGGCATGATCTCGGCAACCTCCGCCTCTCGGGTTCAAGCAATTTCCGGCTAATTTTTGTACTTTTAGTAGAGAAGGGGTTTCACCATGTTGGCCAGGCTGGTCTCGAACTCCTGACCTCAAGTAATCTGCCCGCCTCAGCCTCCCAAAGTGCTAGGATTACAGGCGTGAGCCACTACGCCCAGCCTTAGCTCCATTTTTCTACAACCGTAGTCTTCCATAATTAGGTTCTTAACTCATTAGTAACTGTGAAAAATGTCCCTGCTTGTATACCTCTTAGTGAAGGGAAAGTCTTCACCTCCAGAAAGAAACCATTTCTTTTTGGAACACTTTCCTTTTAAAGAGGCAAAATTTACCTCTTTGGTAGTTCCTCCCACCGGCCCCTGTTTAGCCTTCTGTGCGAGTCATAAAGAACAAGCTTAATCTTGCTTCCCTATCAGCTCTTTGTAAAAGAAAACTTTACCTTATTTCCTTCTCTAAACATTCCCAGCTTCTTTAAGTCAAGCTTTCAAATCACATGGCTTTAAGTCTCCTTACCATTTTCTTCTAGGATAAAAGAAACTGCCCTGAAAGTAGGCAGAGGCGAGTAATGAGGGGTCAGACTGTTACTAATACAGAGTTAAGATCCACTGGAAGATAAACTAAGCATAAAACTGTATTTCTTAGGCTGAGGCTCTCTTTTGCTTTCCAAAATAACCTTTAATTAAGGTCATTTCCAGTCCTTTCAGCCAATGCAGAAGGCTCTCGTTACTCTTGGGGCATAAAGATTCCTGGAAACAATTTTTTCTGGGCCAAAACAAAAGCAAAAGAAAGCAACCAACTAAAAAAAGCCTTAGGCTGGGCGTAGTGGCTCACGCCTGCAATCCCACCACTTTGGGAGGCGGGCGGATCACTGAGGTCAGGAGTTTGAGATGAGCCTGGCCAACACGGTGAAACCCCGTTTCTACTAAAAATACAAAAAATTAGCTGGGGGTGGTGGTGCGTGCCTGCTAATCCCAGCTACTCAGGAGGCTGAAGCAGGAGAATCGCTTGAACCCGGGAGGTGGAGGTTGCAGTGAGCCAAGACTGCTCCACTGCACTCCAGCTTGGGCAACAAGAGTGCAACTCTATCTCAAAAAAAAAAAAAAAAAAAAAAAAAAAGCCTTAAACAGCTAAAATAAAGCCAGTAGTAGCTTAAAAGGCAGAGAAGTAATTCCATTCTTAATAGTTTATTTGGTATAGAGAAGAAATTAAGGGTTTGGGAGGTTTTTGATGGGAGAAGAAAGGAACTACTTCATATGTAATGGTGACTAGAACAAAGCAGACATTAGGCTCCCAGGAGGGCCTAGATGTGTGCTTCCCTACAACCTATTTGTGTACAGTGTACATTTCATCCAGCCAAATAGTACAATTTCAAAGGCAAGATGTCTCCTGAGGATACTCAGTAGCTCAAAGCTGCACAGAGGGGACTGTGAGATGTCGGGGGAACAGGTGGGGCAGTGAAGAAATAGGATAATACAGGGGAAGATTATTGGAAGCCAAGATTCACCTATTTTTTTCAGGGAGAATACTGCATATTCCCTATAATTTTTTTTACTGCTAGGGTAAGTACCTTCCATAATAGAGTGAGATTATATATCCTTCCATCAATTTATAAACAACTTTCTAGGCATTGAGCCAAAAGGAATATGTTAGATAGGGGATATTCAGAGACAGAAGAATAATTTCATTTTCTCACTTTTAATCTATGGCCAAGTAGAGAGAATGCAAGCAAGACAACGATATCTAGGTGCTAAAAATTCTGGTCTACCCTGTGGCAAATTCCTTGGAAGCTTTCCGGTCCTGTACTAATTTGTTTATCAATCATAAGTTACTCTCAATTGATACATTTTAAAAAATGTTTAAAATCTAGGGGCTCAGGAGAATAAACAAATGTAATATTATTTAATAATAAAAAAGACTGAACTATAGGCTGAGCATCCCTAATGAGAAAATCTGAAATCTGAAAGAGTACAAAATCCAAAGCTTTTTGAGCACCAATATGATGCTCAAGGGATGTACATAGGAACATTTCCAATTTTGGGTTTTGGATTATGGATGGTCAACCATAATATTCCAAAATTTAAAAAAATTTCCAAAATCCAAAAAATCTTAAATCTGAAATACAGACAGTCCCAAGCATTTTGGGTAAAGGTTGCTCAACCTTACTGTACATACTGAGACACACAAAAACATGGATAGGGCCGGGCACAGTGGCTCATGCCTGTAATCCTAGCACTTTGGGAGGCCAGGTTGGGTGGATCACCTGACGTCAGGAGTTCGAGACCAGCCTGACCAACATGGTGAAACCCCGTCTCTACTAAAAATGCAAAAATTAGCCGGGTGTGGTGGTGGCATGCCTGTAATCCCAGCTACTCGGGAAGCTGAGGCAGAAAAATTGCCTGAACCGGGAGGCAGAGGTTGCAGTGAGCCAAGAACGGGCCATTGCACTCCAGGCTGGGCAACAAGAGCGAAACTCCGTCTTGGAAAATAAAACAAAACAAAACAAAAGCATGGATGGATCTCAAAACTACTATGATAAATTAAAGAAAGTAGACTCTCCTCCCCACCCCCTGCCACCAGAACACATACTATAATAGTCTATTTATGTGAAGCTCAAGAACAAGCAAAACTAACCTACAGTGATCACAATCAGAAAATGATTGCTCAGGACTTGACTGGAAAGAGAAAGAAGGGACCCTCCAGGACTGATTGAAATATTCAATTTTATTTGATGCAGTGGTTACATGGGTGAATACAATTGTCAAAACTCATTAACTAGGCCAGGCGTGGTGACTCACACCTGTAATCCCAGCACTCTGGGAGGCCAAGGTGGGCGGATCACGAGGCCAGGAGTTCGAGACCAGCCTGGCCAATATGGTGAACCCCATATCTACTAAAAAATACAAAAATTAGCCGAGTGTGGTGGCGCTCGCCTGTTCGGGAGGCTGAGGCAGCAGAACTGCTTGAATCCTGGAGGCGGAGGTTGCAGTGAGCCAAGATCGCGCCACTGCACTCCAGCCTGGGCAACAGAGTGAGACTCCATCTCAAAACAAACAAACAAACAAACCTCATTAACAAAATGGTTAAGATCTGTGCATTTTATTATACATTATTTAACTACACCAAAACAAACAAACCCAAAAATTCCTTTAGGAATCAAACAGTAGGAACAAACATCCACAGGGGTTAAGTGGTAGCTTAAAAACAAAACAGTCTAGGTGCTCCTGTGTCACAAGCCTTTTCTTCCATTCTTTGACATTGGGAATTAGGAGAAAATGAAAAGGTACATGATTTACTGAGGTTTACTGAGCATGATTATGAGCCTGGTGCTTTATGTACTTCAACTCATATCCACCAAGTGCAGCTAAGCAACCTGATCAAGGTTCCGTCACTAAGTGGCAGAAACAGACCAGAACCTCCATGTTGTCTGATTCCAAAGTCTGCATTCTTTCTCGACTTTTTTTTAATTATTTTTTTCTTTTTACTTATTGTTGAATCCTAACACAACTCTTTGTTAGGGTATTTTCCAGTTGAAGAAACCAAAGCTCAGATAAATCTAATAACTTTCCCAAGTCAATACAAGAGAGGCAATGGTAGAATTCCAACCTAGCTGTGTCTGATCCAAAAGTTAAAGTCCTAGGTGTTCCAGGGTGGCTGCTCATTCAGAAGCATTCTGGGGTGTGGAGTGTCGGATGGGAAGGGTGCCTAGATCTGAGGCCTCTGAGTACCAGTGGGGGAACATATTTTTGAAATAAAAAATTAGACTTGTAAACTCTCATCTTTCCCCTCAACCTGGGTCCATCCCTATGACTTTGAATTTTTTTACAGTTTATTGAGATCATCTTACTCAATATTCTCAAGGTATAAAGTGTTATCTCCACTTTATAAAAAAGATACCAAAAAAAATAAAGATATCAACACTCAGAAATACTAAGTGACTTGTTCAGGGCCATACACTACAGGCAAGGAGCTAGAATTCAAATCCAGGTCTACTTGGTTCCAAAATTCCATGTTCTTTCCATTACAGTGTCAAAACAAAGGACAAAAACAAAAACAGTATAACTGCGTGCCTGAAGAGGTAAATGCCTAACAGCCGTTTGGAGAAGGACAGGAAGGAAGGTCCTACTGAGTTATGAGTAAGAGATATAGGTCCAAATCTTCATTTTCTTCAAAGAGAGAATGAATATATGGGAATAGAGTGTAAAGTACTTATGAAACACATAAAGCTATAGGTATATGACAGTCACCAAGCCCTTTAAGGACTGTAGAAACTGTCATAGGCTTCATTAGTACTGGGCCAATAACAATAATAAAACAATAGTTGTGCCAATATTCCAAATCAGGGAAGCATGAAAATCATTCTGTTCTGTAACTGCAAAAGGATTCACTGGTGTGTAAGGAAACCCATAGGAACTGGCTGGTATCCAGAGCAATTCCTTAGGCAAAGTAAAGAGAGAAACAAGATTAAAATGTTCTGGACGTGTATACCCTCTTTATTTGCTCAGTATCTGTTATGGCTGTACTTGCCTTAAAATGAGAACTGTAGGTGCTTTGATCAATGGACTGAAGTGTTGGTTGGGCCCCGTTAACAGTTTTTGTCAGCCTCTCTACATTCTTGGTTAAAAATGCCCTTTTTACGTCCTAAAGTGGAACAGAACAAACCGAATAGCCTCCTCTTTCAAACAAAGAGGAGCAGAGGGTCCTTTCCCTCTAATGCTTCCATTTCCTCTAGCTTTATGAAAGTAATGCCACTATGCAGAAAGCATCGCAGAATCTGAGGGATGAAAGAGACCCTGAAAGTTCACACTGTCTTTTCCCACCCCTTTGCGAAACTGTTTCCAACTCAACCCAGAGAAGATATCTGGAAAAGGAAAAAAAAAATCACAATTTATCTACATTCATGGCACTCTCAGGATGCCTTCCATTACTAACTTAAATGCCAGGCAACTACATCTATCCTGCCATAACCGATGACCTTAGAAAGGACACATCAGACAACAATTCAGTATTAAAACAATCTTTCTTTCTTTTGAGATGGAGTTTCACTCTTGTTGCCCAGGCTAGAGTGCAATGGCGTGATCTCGGCTCACTGCAATCTCCATCTCCTGGGTTCAAGCAATTCTCCTGCCTCAGCCTCCCCAGTAGCTGGGATTACAGGTGTGCACCACCACACCTGGCTAATTTTGTATTTTTAGTAGAGACGGGGTTTCACCATGTTGGGCAGGCTGGTCTCGAACTCCTGACCTCAGGTGATCCATCTGCCTCAGCCTCCCAAAGTGCTGGGATTACAGGCGTAAGCCACTGCGCCTGGCTGACAATCTTTCAAAATCTAACATCAAATGTGAGATTGGCCAGAGAAATTAGACAACAACCTGATTTCAAAGAAAAAATGGAAATCTGTAATAATCATTAGTCCTCAAGCCTCTGCTGCAAAGGAGAAACTGCTATTTATTCCCCGATATCCAATCATCTCTTTTGTAACAGAGCTGCTGATTTTAAGTTGGGGCACACAGCTTCCTGGGGAAAAGCTACACACATCCTAATCTCCATTGTAGCTAAATGAGTACATGACTAAGTTATAGTCCATGAGATATAAGAAGTAGTGTTATGGGCTGAACACATGATGTCCCCCACCCAGTTCCCGTGTTAAAGTCCTTACCCTCAGTACCTCAGAATGTGACTGTATTTGGAGACAGGGCCTTTAAAGAGGCGATTAAGTTAAATGAAGCTGTTAGGGTGGGTCCTAATCCAATCTGACTAGTGTCATTATAAGAAGAGGAAATTTGGACACAGAAGTACACCAGAGGCATGGTGCCCACAAAGGAAATATCATGTGAAGACAGAGAGAAGGTGACCATCTGGAAGCCACAGAGGCTTCAAGAGAAACCAAACCTGCCAACACCTTGATCTTGGGCTTCTAGCCTACAAAACTATAAGAAAATACATGTATATTGTTTAAGCCACCCAGCATGTGCTCTTTTGTTATGGCAGCCCTAGCAGTCTCACTCTGTCGCCCAGGCTAGAGTGCAGTGGCACGATCTCGGCTCACTACAACCTCCACCTCCCGGGTTCAAGAGATTATCCTGCCTCAGCCTCCCCAAGTAGCTGGGATTACAGGCACATACCACCATGCTTGGCTAATTTTTGTAGTTTTAATAGAGACAAGGTTTCACCACATTGGCTAGGCTGGCCATGAAGTATCTTTAAAGGAAGTGGGCAGTACCTCTTCACTCATCCCTAATTCCTTCTGGCTTGAATGTGAAAGTAAAGGCTAGCACTCCAGCAGCCATTTGGACCCTGAGATGATACCAGAGTGGAAAACCATAGACATAGAAACCTAGGCCCCTGATTAGACCAGTCCTGGACTGACTACCTCTGATTTTATTTTTTTCCAAGATACAGGTTCTTGCTGTGTCACTCCTTCTGGAGTGCAGTGGTGTGATCATAGCTCACTGAAGCCTTGACCTTAGGCCCAAGCTATCCTCCCACCTCAGCCTCCCAAATTGCTGGAACCACAGGCATGCACTACTATCCTTAGCTAATTTTTTTTTTTTTTTTGGTAGAGATGGGGGTCTCCCTATATTGCCTGGGCTGGTCTTGAATTCCTCAAGCAATCCTGCCACCTCAGCCTCCCAAAGTGCCAGATTACAGGTGTGAGCCACTGTGCCTGGTTTTTTCTTTTCTTTTTTTTTTAAACAAATTGAAGGTTTGTGGCAACCCTGTGTCAGGCAAGTCTATCGGCACCATTTTTCCAACAGCATGTGTTCACTTCATGTTCTGTGTCACATTTTGGTAATTCTTGTAGTATTTCAAACTTTTTCCTTATTATTATATGTGTTATTGTGATCTGGCATCAGTGATCTTTGATGTCGCTGTTGTAACTGTTTGGGGGCACCAGGAACTGTGCCCATGTAAGACAGTGAACTTAATCAATAAATGTAAATGTTCTGACTCTTCTACCACCCAACTGTTCCCCGATCTCTCTCCCTCTCCTTGGTCTCCCTATTCACTGAGATGTAACAATATTGAAATTAGGCCAATTAATAACTCTACAGTGGCCTCTAAGTAAGCATTCAAGTGAAAGGAAGAGTCACACATCTCTCACTTTAAATCAAAAGCTGGAAATTATGCTTCGTGAGGAAGGCATGTTGAAAGCCAAGACAGGTCAAAAGCTAGGCCTCTTGTGCCAAGCAGTTACCCATCTGGTGAATGCAAAGGAAAAGTTCTTGAAATTAAACGTGCTACTACAGGGAACACACAAATGGTAAGAAAGTGAAACAGCCAAGTCCCTAATTCTCTTCAATTCTATGAAGGCTGAGAAAGGTGAGGAAGCTGCAGAAGAAAAGTTTGCTGCTAGCAGAGGTTGGTTCATGAGTTTAAGGAAAGAAATTGTCTTCATAACCTAAAGGTGCAAGGTGAAGCAGCAAGTGCTGTTGTAGAAGCTGTAGCAAATTATATAGAAGATCTAGTTAAGAAAATTGATAAAGGTGGCTACATTAAACAATAATTTCAGTGTAGACAAAAGAGCCTTTTATTGGAAGGAGATGTCATCTTTCATAGCTAGAGAGGAGAAGTCAAAACCTGGCTCCAGTGCTTCAAAGGACAGGCTGATTCTCTTGTTAGGGTCTAATGCAGCTGGTGACTTTAAGTTGAAGCCAATATTAATTTACCATTCTGAAAATCCTATGGCCTTAAGAATTATGCCAAATCAACTCTGCCTGTGCTCTAAAAATAGAACAAAGAAACCTGGATGACAGCGCATCTGTTTACAGCATAATTTACTCAGTATTTTAAGCCCACTGTTGAGATATGTTGCTCAAAAAAAAAAATATTCCTTTTAAAATATTACTGCTCATTGACATTGCACCTAATCACCCAAGAGCTAAGATTCATATGTACAAGGAGATTAATGTTATTTTCAGGCCTGCTAACATAACATGTATTATTCTGCAGCCCATGGATCAAGGAGTCATTTAGACTTTCAAGTCTTATTATTTAAGAAATACATTTTGTAGGGCCAGACATGGTGGTTCACATCTGTAATCCCAGCACTTTGGGAGGCCAAGGCAGGCAGATCACCTGAGGTTAGGAGTTCAAAACCAGCCTGACCAACATGGTGAAACCCCATCTCTACTAAAAATATAAAAATTAGCCAGGCATGGTGGTGGGGGCCTGTAATCCCAGCTTCTCGGGAGGCTGAGGCAGGAGGATCACTTGAACCCTGGAGGCGGAGGTTGCAGTGAGCCGAGATCGCGCCATTGCACTCCAGCCTGGGCGACAGAGCAAGACTCCGTCTCAAAAAAAAAAAAAAAAAGAAATACATTTTGTAAGGCTATAGCTGCCATAGATACTGATTCCTCTGATGGATCTAGGCAAAGTAAATTGAAAACCTGGAAAGGATTCACTATTCTAGGTGCCATTAAAAACATTTGTGATTTATGAGAGGAGGTCAAAATATCAACACGAACAGGAGTTTGGAAGAAGTGGATTGCAACCCTTGCAGAAGACTTTGAGGGGTTCAAGACTTTAGTGGAAGTATCTGAAGATGGGGTGGAAATAGCCAGAGAACTAGAATTAGAAGTAGAGCCTGAAGATGTGACTGAATTGCTGCAATCTCATGGTAAAACTTCAATGGATGAGGGTTGTTTCTTACGGATGAGCAAAAAAGTAGGTTCTTGAGATGGAATTTACTCTTGGTGAAGATGCTGTGGACACTGCTGAAATGACAATAAAGGATTTAGAATATTACATAAACTAAGTTGATAAAGCAGTGGCAGGGTTTGAGAGGACTGACTCCAATTTTGCAAGTTCAACTGTGGATAACATGCTATCAAACTGTACCGTATGCTCTAGAGACATCTTTCATGAAAGGAACAGTCAGTCGATTCGGTAAATTCACGTTATCTTTTTTTTTTTTTTTGAGACAGGGTCTCGTTCTGTCACCCAGGCTGGAGTGCAGTGGCGCGATCACAGCTCACTGCAGCCTCAAACTCCCAGGCTCAGGCGATCCTCCCGCCTCAACCTCCCAAGGAGCTGGGACTACAGGCAAGCCTGGTTAATTTTTGTATTTTCTGTAGAGACAGGGTTTCGCTGTGTTGCCCAGGCTGCTCTCGAACTACTGAGCTTAAGTGATCTGCCTGCCTCTGCCTCTCAAAGTGCTAGGATTACTGGTGTGAGCCACCATGCCTGGCCAGTTGTCTTATCTTAAGAAATTGCCACAGCTACCCCAACCTTTAGCAACCACCACCATTGATCAGTCAGCAATCATCAACCTTGAGACCAGACTCTTCACCAGCCAAAATATATGACTTGCTGAAGGCTCAGATGATTATTAGAATATTTTAGCAATAAACTTTTTTCATTTCTTTGTTTTGAGACAGGGTCTCTCAGTAGGTTGCCCAGGCTGGAGTGCAATGTCTATTCATGGGTGCAATCATAGTGTCCCACAGCCTTGAATTCCTGGGCCTTAAGTTATCCTCCCATCTCAGCCTCCTGAGCAGCTGGGACTCCAGGTATGTGTCACTGCACCTGGCAGCAATAAAGTACTTTGAAATTAAGGTATGTACTTTTTTTAGACAATGCTATTGCACCTGGCTCAGCTTCCCAAAGTGCTGGGATTACAGGCGTGAACCACCGTGCCTGGCCAGATTATTCATTATTAATGTATTAATGGATGACAGTATAGTGTAAACATAACTTTTATATGCACTGAGACACAAAATATTTGTATGACTTGCTTTATTGTGATATTCAATTGCAGTGGTCTGGAACGAAACTCACAGTGTCTCCAAGGTATGCCTGTATTTGGGTTTTGCTGTTAATTGTAGAAGATCCCAATCCTAATATACTCTCTACATGGTATCTCATATATATAAAAAACACACACTAAGTATAATAATGAAAAAATAATAAACAATTTATATAAGCAAAGAATACTATCTCAACATCCTGGAGCTGATTGGGAGGAAAGAGGTAAAATAAGGGAGAGTTGCCACTTTTATGGAGGATATAAGGGTATACCACCCTTGTACCTAACACTATCTCTGCTGCAAGGAGAAAGACGAGCGTCATTATGGTGAATGAGGGGTAAAACCTATCAAAATAAAGAATATTAATCTCTACAATGTAGGAGACAACAATCATGTTATAGTACATAAGAACAGTAGATAAGATTGTGGACTTCGTAGATCCACAAGAATTTGGCTGTGTGACTACTGTTTCTACAACTTACTAATTATGTCACTGAGCCTCAGCCTCCTTATCTGTAGGATAGGCATGATACATATCTCACAGAGCCACTAAAAATCACAAGATAACAATTGCAAGGTGCCTGCACAGTAGTTGCTAAGTGAATACTAGTTCCCCCTAATCATTTTATAGTAAGAAGGGAGAGAAAAATAATTGAGACGTCTCTTTTCCTTGCTGCTTACTGGTACTGTTTTTCTCTTATGAGTAACATATTCCCACGTCAAATTGACATCATATAAATAGCCTCTACTAGGGAGGCTGAAGCAGGAGAATCGCTTGAACCAGGAGGCAGAAGTTGTAGTGGGCCGACAGAAAAAGACTCCGTCTCAAAAAAAAAGAAAAAGAAAAAAAAAGAACAACAATATTAAGTCTTCCAATCCATGAACATGGGATGTGTTTCCATTTATATTTTCTTTAATTTCTTTTCTCTCAGCAATGTTTTATAGTTTTTATTGTATAAGTCTCTCACGTCCTTGGTTAATTCCTAAGTATTTTATTGTTTTTGATGCTATTGTAAATGGAATTGTTTTCATAATTTCCTTCTCAGATTTTTGTTGTTGTTGTTGTTTTTATGAGATGGAGTTTTGCTCTTATTGCCCAGGCTGGAGGTGCGATCTCGGCTCACCGCAACCTCCGCCTCCCGGGTTTAAGTGATTCTCCTGTTTCAGCCTCCCGAGTAGCTGGGATTACAGGCATGCACTGACATGCCTGGCTAGTTTTGTATTTTTAGTAGAGACAGGGTTTCTCCATGTTGGTCAGGCTGGTCTTGAACTCCTGACCTCAGGTGATCCACCTGGCTCAGCTTCCCAAAGTGCTGGGATTACAGGTGTGAACCACCGTGCCTGGCCAGATTATTCATTATTAATGTACAGAAATGCAACTGATTTTTGTGATAACTTTGTATCCTTCTATTTTGCTGAATGCATTTATTCTTTTTTTTTTTGAAATGGGGTTTTGCTCTCGTTGCCCCGGCTGGAGTTCAATGACACAACCTCAGCTCACAGCAACCTCCGCCTCCTGGGTTCAAGCGATTCTCCTGCCTCAGCCTCCTGAGTAGCTGAAATTACAGGCACGCACCACCACGCCCAGCTAATTTTTTGTATTTTTAGTAGAGACGGGGTTTCACCATGTTGGTCAGGCTGGTCTTGAACTCCTGACCTCAGGTGATCCACCCGCCTTGGCCTCCCAAAGTGCTGGGATTACAAGTGTGAGCCACCGTGCCTGGCTGGCATTTATTAATTCTAAAGTGATTTTTTGTGGCATCTTTAGGGCTTTTCTTTTTTTTTTTTTTTTTTTTTTGAGACGGAGTCTCGTTCTGTTGCCCAGGCTGGAGTGCAGTGGCGCAATCTCAGCTCACTGCAAGCTCCGCCTCCCGGGTTCACGCCATTCTCCTGCCTCAGCCTCCCAAGTAGCTGGGACTACAGGCACCCGCCACCACGCCCTGCTAATTTTTTTGTATTTTTAGTAGAGAAGGGGTTTCACCATGTTAGCCAGATGGTCTCGATCTCCTGACCTTGTGATCTGCCCGCCTCGGCCTCCCAAAGTGCTGGGATTACAGGCGTGAGCCACCGTGCCCGGCCGGAATCTTTAGGGTTTTCTATATCTAAGATCCCATCGTCTGCAAATAGAGATAATTTTACTTTTTCCCTTCTAATTTTGATGCCTTTTCTTTCTTTTTCTTGCCTTGTCATTCCACCATCCTCTCTTGGCGGAATGACTGCAACATCCCTCTAATTGGTCTCTTTACTTCCACTTTCACCCCTACCATAGTATTTTGTAAACAGCAGCCACAATGATTGTGTAAAAACGTTGTTAGGTCATTTTACATCTTTGCTCAAAATCCCCCAATGGGTCTCCATCTCACTCAGAGCAGATGTCCCTAAAATGATCTACAAGACCTTAAATGACCTGACCACCAGTGTTTGTTCTTTGACCCTATCTCTTACAAAACCCCAAATACCTCCTATACCATTTCCTTGACTTTATTTTTCTCGTCGTTTATCATTGTCAAACTATCAATTTATTTTACTATTTATCTTGTTTATTATCTCTCTGTCCCCAAGGTACACTCAAAGAGGGCAGGGATTTTGATTTTGCTTTGCTCGCTGCTTATAAACAGGGTCTAGAATAGTGCCTGGCATATAATAAGTATATTTTAAATAAGTGAATTAAAGTAATTTGCAGGCTGGGCAATATAGGGAAACTCTGTCTCTGTAAAATTTTTTTATGGCTCACGCCTGTAATCCCAGCACTTTGGGAGGCCGAGGTGGGTGGGTCATGAGGTCAGGAGATCAAGACCATCCTGGCTAACACGGTGAAACCCCGTCTCCGCTAAAAATACAAAAAATTAGCCGGGCGTGGTGGCAGGCGCCTGTAGTACCAGCTACTTGGGAGGCTGAGGCAGGAGAATGACATGAACCCGGGACGCGGAGCTTGCAGTGAGCCAAGATCACGCCACTGTACTACAGTGTGGGTGACAGAGCAAGACTCTGTCTAAAAAAAAAAAAAAATTTTTTTTTTTAATTAGCTAGGCATGGTGGCATGTACCTGTAGTCCCAGATACTTGAAAGGGTGAGGTAGCAGGATCATTTGAGCCCAGGAGGCTATGGTGAGCTGTGATTGTACCATTGGATTCCAGCCTGGACCACAGAGCAAGACCCTGTCTTGAAAAGAAAAAAGTAATTTGCCATATTAATAGAATGTAAACAGTGGCCAGGTATGATGATCCATGCCTGTAATCCCAGAACTTTGGAAGGCTGAGGTGGGAGGATTGCTTGAGCCTAGGATTTTGAGACCAGCCTGAGCAACATAGTGGAACCCTGTCTCTACAAAAATAAAAATAAAAAAATAAACCAGGTGTGGTGACACACACCTGTAGTCCCAGCTACTTGGGAGGCTGAGGTAAGAGGATCGCTTGAGCCTGGGAGGTCAAGGCTACAGTGAGCTGTGACTGCATCACTCCAGCACTCCAGCCTGGAGTGAGACCCTGTCTCAAAAAAAAAAAAAAAAAAAAAAAAAGTAGGTGGCAAAGCTAGAATTCAACTCAAGAATGCCTCCAAATTCATGTTCTTTCTTTGATATCACACTGTTTTCTCAAAACGGTCTGCTGCTTTCCCAAATTCAGATCAGGATGGCTTTCCCAAATTTTCACCTAAGAGATCAGTGTTTCTCATTCAAAATAAAGCTTAGCAAGAAAAGATCTGCAAGATCTAAAAAACTGTGTGAACTGAGATTCAAGCTTATAACCTGTGAATCTAACGTGATACTTTTTTCCTCCTGCTTTGTGCTTATCCAATGAACCAAACCACATTCCTTATTCTTACCCTAAGGTGAGTTATCCAGTCAGATACTGAACACACTTTTTGTCCCTCTTTGCTTAATAGAGAATCTAAAATTGGTTTTTCCTGAGATGGAGGTGATGATATAATGATTCATATCTTACAGAGAGCTGAGTAGCTCAAAAGAAAGGAATAAACTCATGGGCCTTTGGATATCGCTTTCAATCCTTTAGCTCTGTAAATACCTAAGTATGAGAACACTGGGAGAGCAAAGAATAAGACCCACCATAATTTCTCAAGTATCCCTTGACATAAAGTGTAAGAAGGGAAACGCAAAACTCTTGACTTCTTTCATTTACAAGATCTAGAGAGGGAAATTTCTATGAATGAATCATTCTTATTCTCTTGGGCATTAAAATAGGAAAAGGAACATGCCATGATCTGCTATGACAAGGAACCAACACTGAGCTCAGTGAAATATCCCAGACCTAAGTCAATATATACAAACAAGCTAGAGAAGTAAAGATGGAAAACATGGAAGCTACCCCCAGCTATTCCTCTATCTCCAGACCAAAGAGAGAGACAACTATATAATGTTGACAGGGATCTACCATGTCAGATTGGAGTAGAAAAAAAAGAAAAACATGGAAGAAAAAAGCTAATAATTTCCGATGCAGATTTAAAAGCTATCAAAATAAGAAAGGCAGCTTCAGGCCAGGCACAGTGGCTCATGCCTGTAATCCCAACACTTTGGGAGGACAAAGTGGGTGGATCACCTAATGTCAGGAGTTTGAGACCAGCCTGGCCAACATGGTGAAACCCCGTCTCTACTAAAAATACAAAAAAATTAGCCAGGCATGGTGGCAGGCGCCTGTAATCCCAGCTACTTTGAAGGCTGAGGCAGGAGAATTGCTTGAATCTGGGAGGCAGAGGTTGCAGTGGGCTGAGATTGCGCCACTGCAGCCTGGGTGACAAGAGCGAAACTCCATCTCAAAATAAATAAATAAATACATAAATAAATATTTCTAGAGGGAAGGAGGGAGGAAGGAAGGAAGAAAGGAAGGGCACTGGATGTGGTGGCTCATGCCTGTAATCCCAGCACTTTTGGAGGCTGAGGCGGGTGGATGACGAGGTTAGGAGTTCGAGACCAGCCTGGCTAACGTGGCGAAACCCCATCTCTACTAAAAATACAAAAAATTAGCCGGGCGTGGTGGCACGTGCCTGTAATCCCAACTACTTGGGAGGCTGAGGCAGAAGAGCTTGAACCCAGGAGGCAGAGGCTGCAACGAGCCGAGACTGCGCCACTGCACTCCAGCCTGGGACAGAGCGAGACTCCGTCTCAAAAAAAAAAAAGAAAAAGAAAGAAAGGCAGCTTCACATATATAAAAAAAACCTCCTCTAGTCCAGAAGGTCATAGTTAGACTTAGACTTAGCACAAGCCCAACTGGCTGCAGTAGCAGCTCAATTCACAGATAGGTGGTAGGTATTTCCCACCATATCCTCCCCCAATCAAATCACATTAAGAATATGCAATTATCAAATTTATATTTAACAGCAAATTTAAAAAACACCTTACACCATTTTTGAAACATTTTATTTCACAGTTTCTATATACAGTTAGGGTGTTAATGTCACCTATTATCGAATAATAAATTCTGCAAAGTTAAATGATAATGTGTTTATGTTCTATCTGTTCATTGGCCCCTGGGTCAGCCAATCTGATCCAAGACTCCATGGCAACAGGCTCTATCACTAAGAGCCTCAAGATGAGATTTCCCTTGCCTTTTTTTTTTTGAAATAAAGCATTTTCCATAGAAACTGCTGCAAAAACTGTCAGAGAATAGTCTATACAGACAAATAAGAAATGCTGCCATTCTGTTATACTAAAAATGAATGGGGCAAGGAGTGAATAGCAAAGACAATCAATCTATGCAAATAACAAGGGATCCCAAAAACCCTGGAGATTTTTCCTTGTTGAATTTCAGTAAAGAAATTCAAGAATCTTTAAACTGCTGGAAAACCAACACCAGGATATATTGAGGAATCAGTGTAGGGATATATTGAGGAATCAGTGAGGAATCAGTGTTCAGCTAAATCACAATATTTAAACTTCCCATGCCTCAATATACGGAGAGCTAAAGACTTTAGTTTAGGACTGCTGGCCAGGTGTCGTGGCTCATGTCTGTAATCCCAGCACTTTGAGAGGCCAAAGCAGGAGTGTCACCTGAGGCTAGCAGTTTGAGAGCAGCCTGGGCAACATAGTGAGACCCCACCTCTACCAAAAAAAAAAAAAAAAGTTAGCTGGGTGTAGTGGTACCTCTGTGTAGTCCCAGCTACTTGAGAGGCTATAGCAGGAGGATCCCTTGAGCCCAGGAGGTTGAGGCTATAGTGAGCTATGATTGGGCCATTGCACTCCAGCCTGGGCAACAGAGCAAGACTCGGTCACTACAAAATATATAACATATATTTTTTCATATATATAATTTAGTACTGCTGATCTGTGTCAATCTCCCATACTTTTTATTTTTTTGACACAGAGTCTTGCTCTGTCACCCAGGCTGGAGTGCAATGGCATAATCTCAACTCACTGCAACCTCTGCCTCCTGGGTTCAAGTGATTCTCCTGCCTTAGCCTCCCAAGTAGCTGGGACTACAGACGCCTGCCACCACACCTGGCTAATTTTTGTATTTTTAGTAGACACGGGGTTTCACCATGTTGGCCAGGCTGGCCTCAAACTCCTGACCTCAGCCTCCCAAAGTGCTGGGATTACAGGCGTGAGCCATCACGCCCGGCCACCTTTTTTTTTTTTTTTTTTTTTAAGTGACAGCATCTTGCTATGTTGCCCATGCTGGAGTGCAGTGGCCTAGTCACAGCTTGCTGCAACTTTGAACTCCTGGGCTCAACCAATCCTCCTGCCTCAGCCTCCCAAATAGCTGGGACTACAGGCAGGTGCCACCATACCCAGCTAACTTTTTTTTTTTTTTTTTGGTAGGGACAGGTTCTTATTAGGTTGCCCAGGCTGGCCTTGAACTCCTGGCCTCACAAGATCTTCCCATGTCGGCCTCCCAAAGTGTTGAGATTATAGGTGTTAGCCAGGCATGGTGGCTCACCGTTGCAAACCCAGCAATTTGGGAAGCTGAAGCAGGAGGATGGCTTGAGCCTATGAGTTCCATCATCCATAAGGAACTTAAATGTACAAGAGAAAAACAAACAACCCCATTAAAAAGTGGGAAAAGGATATGAACAGACACTTCTCAAAAGAAGACATACATGCAGACAACAAGCATATGGAAAAAAAGCTCAATCTCACTGATAATTAGAGAAATGCCAATCAAAAACACCCACAATGAGATACCATACCATAGTATCTAATGGTATCTCATTGTGGGTTTTTTTTTTTTAATTTCATACCTCACACCAGTCAGAATGGCTATTATTAAAAAGTCAAAAAATAACAGATGCTGGTGAGGTTACAGTGAAAAGGAAACACTTATACACTATTGATGGGAGTGTAAATTGTTCAATCATTATGGAAAGCAGTATGATGGTTCCTCAAAGAGCTAAAAGCAGAACTACCATTCAACCCAGCAATCCCATTACTGAGTTTATACCTAGAGGAATATAAATCATTCTACCAACATAAAGACACATTCACATGAATGTTCACTGCAACACTATTCAGAATAGCAAAGACGTGGTCGATTTAGGTTTAATCAACCTAAATGCCCATCAATGACAGACTGGATAAAGAAAATGTGGTACATACACCATGGAATACTATGCAGCCATAAAAAAGAATGAGATAATGTCTTTTGCAGGAACAGGGATGAAGCTCAAGGCTATTATCCTTAGCAAACTAAGGCAGGAACAGAAAACCAAATACCGCATGTTATCACTTATAAGTGGGAGCTAAATGATAAGAACTTGTGGACACAAAGAAGAAAACAATACACACTGGGGTCTACATGAGCGGGGAGGGTGACAGGAGGGAGAGGACCAGAAAAGATAACTATTGGGTACTGGGCTTAACACTGGTGGCAAAATAATATGTATAACAAACCCCTGTGATACATGTTTACCTGTGTAACAAACCATCATATATACCCCCAAACCTAAAATAAAAGTTTAAAAAAAAAAAAAAAGAGGCTATGGAATAGAACAAAGGTTTCTAGAGCTAGGCAATGCTAATGTTTACATTACAAAATTGTCTTCCATGCTTTACTTATAAGTAGATTCTTGAAGTTGAAAAGTAATTTTTCAAATAAATTTTTGAAAATTATTTGTAAAAAAGTCTAGATCTCATGTGTTAGCACTTGAGTTCCAAGGGACCCACACAGCAGACTAACGTGAGAAGCAATAGACAGAATTTCAGAAATTCCTAAACCTGAGAAAATCTTTTCTGGAATGCTATTTCAAATTTCCCAAGAATTCTCTTTCTCTCTTTTTGTTGTTGTTGTTGTTGTTGTTGTTGTTTTGAGACAGGGTCTCGCTCTGTTGCCCAGGTTGGATGGAGTATAGTGGTGCTATCTCAGCTCACTGTGGCCCCAATCTCATGGGCTCAAGTGACCTCCTGCCTCAGCCTTCCAATTAGCTGAGCCTACAGGGCCATACACTTGGCTGAATTTTTTTTGTTCTTTTGTAGAGTCTGGATCTCCCTATCTTGCCTAGGCTGGTTTCGAACTCGGGCTCAAGGGATCTGCCTATCTTGGCCTCCCAAAGTGCTGGGATTGCAGGTATGAGCCACCGTGCCCAGCCCAAATTTCCCAAGAATTCTTAAGGCAACAACTCAGAAAATGGGGTAGAAGCAACTTTCAGTGGGAGTCATAAATTGTATTAAAGCATTTTTTTAAGTCACTGCAAAGAAAGTCACTAGTAGGCCTATCTGCACGTTAAATTTCCTCTATACCATCAGCAAAAACAAAAAACAAACAAAAAAACCCGAAACATTGCACTCTAGTTCTATAACCTTGTGTATGTGTGTAAAGATCTTGGGTTAGCAGATATAGAAAGAGAGCATATTTATTAATCTCAGAAGGACAAGAAGGTGCATGAAGAGGGTATCTTCTCAGAGATGTTACCTCCCAATATGAAAGCCCCAGACTCGAATCATAGGAAGCTATCTTTCTCAACTAATAATAGCAGCAGCTATCATTTACTGTATTCCAAACACTATGTCCAGGTTATACAGGTCATCACAATTATTTGAATTTAACAAATGCTAAAAATTTTCATCTGTCAGATATGAACACTAGAAATTTTTATATTTTTTAATTTTTATGATTAGAAAAGTACTGCAGGTTTCTTTATACTTAGAAAAAACACGCATGGCCGGGTGCAGTGGCTCACGCCTGTAATCTCAGCTCTTTGTGAGGCTGAGATGGGCGGATCACCTGAGGTCAGGAGTTCAAGACCAGCCTGACCAACATGGAGAAACCCTGTCTCTACTAAAAATACAAAATTATCCGGGCATGGTGGCGCATGCCTGTACTCCCAGCTACTCAGAAGGCTGAGGCAGGAGAATTGCTTGAACCCGGGAGGCAGAGGTTGCGGTGAGCCAAGATCGCACCATTGCACTCCAGTCTGGGCAACAAGAGCAAAGCTCCATCTCAAAAACAAAAACAAAAACAAAAACAACACGCACAATTATAGAGAAGAAAACAAACAAACAAAAATACCCATGATCAACAACTCAGAGATAACTGCTATTAACAACATGATGTTTTGAGATATCTCTTTCTAAACTTTGTTTCCATATTAGTACAGAATTTGTATCCATATTGGTTGGATATGTTCAAGTGATCCTCCTGCCTCAGCCTCCCGAGTAACTGGGACTACAGGCGTGAGCCACCACGCCCAGCTAATTTATTTGCATTTTTGGTAGAGACGAGGTTTCACCATATAGCCCAGGCTGGTCTCGAACCCCAGACCTCAAGTGATCCACCCACCCTGGCCTCCCAAAGTAACATGCTGGGCTTACAAGTGTGAGCCACAATGCCTGGTCCTGATGTTCATTTTAAAAACTCAATCTCGTACATGGCTTGAAAATCTCTTATGGCTTCCTCAAAAATTACATGTGATCTGAAGACACAAATAGTACATCCCCCTGCCATTTTTTTTTTTTCAAAGGGAGAGAGAGAGAGAGAGATAGGGTCTCATTCTGCCACCTGGGCTGGACTCTATTTCTAAATATTAATAATAATGGCTAATGCTAAGTCTTTAAATGACCAGGAACTGTCTTAAAAGATTTATTATGTATATATTAACTCTTTTAATCCTCAAAACAACCCTAGGAAGTGGGTACTAATTATTGTCTTCGTTTTACAAATGTGTGTGCATGTGTGTGTCTTTTTAAAAGGCAGAGTCTTGCTCCGTTGCCCAGGCTGGAGTGCAGAGGTGTGATCTCGGTTCACTGCAACCTCTGCCCAGTAGCTGGGATTACAGGTGTTCGCCACCATACCCGGCTAAATTTTTTTGTAGTTTTAGTAGAGACTGGGTTTCACCATGTTGGCCAGGCTGGTCTCAAACTCCTGACCTCAAGTGATCCATCCGCCTCAGCCTCCCAAGGTGCTGGGATTACAGGTGTAAGCCACTACGTCTGACCCATTTTACAAATGGAGACGTTAAATAATTTGGCCAAGGTCACAGAGCAGCAATTGGCAAAGCTGGGATTTGAATTCCAGGGGGCAAGCATTCAACCAGTAAGTTTTTTCTAAAGAGAAGCTCTTGGCAGATGTGGTGGCTCATGACTGTAATTCCAGCACTTTGGGAGGCCGGTGGGTGGATCACGAGGTCAGAAGTTCAAGACCAACCTGGCCAACATGGTGAAACCCCATCTGTACTAAAAATACAAAAATTAGCTGGATGTGGTGGCATGCACCTGTAATGCCAGCTACTTGGGAGGCTGAGGCAGGAGAACTGCTTGAACCCGGGAGGTGGAAGTTGCAGTGAGCCAAGATCATGCCACTGCAGTCCAGCCTGGGTGACAGAGAAAGACTCCATCTAAAAAAAAAAAAAAGAGAGAGAGAGAAGGAGAAGCTGTTAACAGTGAGAGCTGTTAAGGGAGTGGGCTAGGAGAGGAAGATATCAGAGAGAAGAGAATTAAGTAGGTATAGTAACTTTTAGGCACAGTAGTGTCCTTCCAACATATATATCACATTTTTAATTATCCCAAACGGGGTGATGCTAAAAACAACCATTTATAAAAGTTGTTCTTGATCTTTCCTTCTTCCAAAAACAAAAAACAAAAAAAGTAGGGAGAAAAGGGGATAAAAAGAAACAGAAATCTTACTTCTCTAACATCTTTCAATAGCTTTTCTTTTTCCTTGACCTCTTCCAAAACCTTGATGGTTAGAAAATAAAAGATTTCAAAAGAAGGCACTCCCAGTTGAAATAAAAAGAACTTTTGGCAATTTTTCCCTTGGTAATGACAAACATTTAAGAAAGACTTTAGGTCTATCTTATCTACCCTCAAATGAAAGGAAAACCAAGTAAACAAAACCGTCATCTTTTAATTTCACAGCAGTTTTCTTCCCCCTCAAAGGCTATTCCTGTCCTAGTTGCAGACAGGGAACTGCTCCCAGTGACGTCAGAGCAGTCTCCCAGCAACGATTAATGAGGGTTGTCCACCACAGGGGTTTCCTGAAAAGCTAGCAAGAAATTATCCACAAATTTGCTGCAATATCAAGATGCAAGGATGTGGTGGAATTTCCCTTAACCCTTATAGCTCCTGTCTCTGGCAAACATCTAAATAGGTTATTCTTCTAGAATTCTCTCCATTTGCCCTAGGATTATCTTCCTTTTTCTCCTCCTACCACACCCCACCCCCCAAAAATAGATTGTGTTGGTCTGAAACATTTATGGCTGTAATAAATATTAATATAATTGAACTATCATAGAAAAATAAGAATACCTAATGTAAGCTGAGAAGCAGACATTATTACTCTTTTCACTTCACACAAAGAATTCAGAGTAAATGAAAGCACAGAACAGAAGAGAAAATAAAGACAGAAAATAAACCAGCATATTTTTAAAGGTACTTTTCCACATATGTTACCTAAACACACATTGACAGATAGGTAAACCCTTAATTTTCCTAGGCTCTAGTTTACTGAGTTTTTCAAACTGACCTCTGCAGCCCTCTAGAAATCAGCGGTATTAAAATGGAATTGCATGAAAAGCGACTGGAAGCCCAGATACTCAATCCAAAAAAAAAAAAAATGGGTTGGGCTGTTATGCTCACACCTAAGAGTATATATAACAATTTCTTCCTAAAGCTTCGCTTTAGCTACATACATCAAAATTAGAATTTTGTTCTAAACTACAATGTCAAGGAATTTTACATAACTACCTATTTTTTAGGTCTGAGAAACAGTGTACAAACTGTCTGTGCAAATAAGGCAGAAAAATTCCAAATCCAAAACTCAACCAAAATTATTCATGGATCCTGGTTCCAGAAACCTGCTCATGAGTTCTTTATCTTTCCTTATTTAGAAAACGTAATTAGGTAAAATTAACAGCAGGACATATAGGGTTAATTCAGGCACCCTGCTTCAGCAATTCTGACTTCGGTCTGACCCTATTTTAAAAGGAAACAAACAAAATTATAGCACCTTTAAAACATCCCACTTTGGCTTCAGCTCTATTCAATGGCACCCAGTTACCAACATCAAGTCACAGAAGGAAGAACGCACCGCTTCAGATGGATTTTTCTTCTTCCTTCTCTCCGTCCCCTCCCTCTCAGAAGAAAAAGACTGCAAACAAAATCACTACGTCACTGGAGGTAGAGGGAATCCCATCTCTGCACTCTTTAGAAGCCAAGGCCAGCAAATAAAAACAAGCCAATTATAAGAAAAAGTAATACAAAATAAGAATAAATAAACCCAGAAGAAATCCATGTGACAATCTCAACACATCAAAAGGCATTTTTTAGTAAAAAGGTTTTAACAAATGCCTCCTAGGATGTTCATAATCAAAAAATCTCCCCAGACATAGCAAAGGCTTATCACATTTAAAGACTAGGGGATAGTTACGTAAAGATATAGGACAGACAGGCACATTCACCAGCCAGGTGCGGATAGCTGGGTAATGACACAGTGAAGGATATTTATAGGGGAATCCCTGCTTCCTGCAATGTGCGTCAACAGCATCACCAAAGAGAACAGAAATCACCACTGTTCTCATAAGCTGCATCTGAATGAAGCATTGCTTGAAATAGTCATGGAAGAGGTAAAATCTGAATAGTGTAAAAGTTCTAGCAAACCTAATTTTTATAATATTTTAAAGATAAAAAACAGCAAATGAAAATGCCTAAAACACCTTCACAAAACTTAGCACTTCAAAATTCTCTAATTTCCCTAGTGTGTACTATACAGTTAAATCAGCCAAGATAGAAAAATATCTTTATAGCTTCTTTCTACCCAGTCTGTGGAGTTCAAGGACTTTTATATAAAAAAAGAAAATTATCCAAAACTCACCCCAGATGGATCTGTACTTACACCAACAGCGAGCTCACATTATTAATGGAGACTTCATTGTAAAGATCTGTTCTGCCGGAATTTTGCCGGAAGAAATTCCTTCTGGGAAACCTGTGCCTCTTCCCCCACCCACAGCCCTCTCCCGCCCCCTTCACCCTTGAATGAAATGATACTGATCCTTGCTGCTGGAGCTCCAGCTAACTAACTGCTCTGACAAGCAGCTCTGAAGCCGACCATGGCCCAGCTGTTCAGAGAGATATCATCCAGAGCTCTGCCAACAGTCACACTGGCACATACACTCACAGACACAGACACAGGCACACACAGACACACACACACACACACACAGAGGCTGTAAGAGCACCCCCTCCCACCTCCTCTTCTCGCTCTCATTCAAGTACTTCAGTGGCACGCCTGCCTCCACACTGCTCTGAGGATAGCTTTTAAAGACACAGCAGCAGCTCCTTTCTGCTACATATGTCGAAATACCAAAATAGTCTCTTTAGTGAATAACAAGTTGGAAATATGTATTGAATTAAAAGCTCACCTTTAAATTTACCTTACCTTTTTCTCACCTGCAAAATAACTGAGGTCAGGGATATGATCTTTGCCTAAAAGCTACTGGGCTGGACTTTAGAAATGTAAAATTAAGACCAAACCTTGTTATAGAGAATTTTCTTGCCAGCGAGCTATATTTAGTAAAATTGTTTTTCATTTTGGGGCAGAAGGCAGACAGCACAGGATACCAGTAGCTATCTATTCCTCTTCCTATTATTTGCCCCCAAAGGAAGGGAAAAATACTTTGGCTATAAAATGAGGGAATAAGGAAACCATGAAGGCATCTTACTGACAGAACTGATGAAAAAGGATGGTAATGGAGAGTGTAAGTACAGGGATGACAATAAGTAGATTAAAATAAAGAAATTGGTACAAAGGAGACCAGGAAAGAAAAGTAATTATTTGAGAAAGTATACATGGCTCTGGAACGGCAAGCTTAGATATGACCCTCGGGTCTTAATTTTTTTTTTTTTTTTTTTTTGAGACGGAGTTTCACTCTTGTTGCCCAAGCTAGAGTCCAATGGCGCGATCTTGGCTCACCACAACCTCCGCCTCCCGGTTCAAGCGGTTCTCCTGCATCAGCCTCCCGAGTAGCTAGGATTACAGACATGCGCCACCAGGCCCAGCTAATTTTGTATTTTTAGTAGAGACAGGGTTTCTCCAGGCTGGTCAGGCTGGTCTCGAACTCCCGACCTCAGGTGATCTGCCTGCCTTGGCCTCCCAAAATGCTGGGATTACAGACGTGAGCCACCGAGCCTAGCCTCGGATCTTAATTTTTAAGAGCCCAAGGAAGGATAGTAATAATCTCTATTGCTCAGGAAGTAATGAACATTACAGGCAGTGCATGATCTGCAACAGCAAAAAATAATGTATAGCTATGGTCAAGGCATCCTGATGAAAACAATAAAACCTGTCACAAAAACACATCTATTTATTCATTCAGACAAATACTTGTCTGGTTGGGTTATTACTATGGACAGGAACTAAGATAAGCTCTAGGAATAAGAGATAGACTCATGAAGGGTCTTACAAAAGGTTAAAAAAAAAAAAAAAAAAAAAACAGGTTCTGGCTTTTACTCTGAGTGAGATGAGAAGCCTTAGGGGGTTGGAAGGCTGATCCCGCAGGGCCAAATCGACCACTGAAAGCAATCTAACTTTTACACTTCATGAGATGACAGGCCATTTGTGGTTTTTAAGCAGATGAATGACATGTTTTTGACCTTTATTTATTTCTTTGTTGCCCTGAAATTTTTACTTGAGAAATTTCTAACATAAAAAGAATTTGCAAAACCAGCACAACAATCACCTAGATACATATACAAACTTACGTATACACATATGTGCATGCATATATGTGCATATAAATTTTTTTCAGGTCTATTTGACATGCTTTCATGATGACTCTTCACACCTAAAACAATTCAGTACGTATCTCCTAACGTTAAGGTCATTCTGAACTATAAGAATAGCCATCAGCCAAATCTCAGATGAGTGGGTAGGTGATATACATGCAAGGCAGATCTAAATAGCAATGCAAAGCCTTCAAAAACTGAACAGACTTTGGAATCATCACTCACGAAAAGCTGCACGGAACTTGAAGTTGAACACAACCAGGTTGAATGTCTGCTAAAATTAAAGTCAATATTCACCACAGGATTTAAAGAAGACCCTGACATTCATGACATAATATTCAAATTTTCCAGGATACAATCTAAAATTTCCCAGCATATGAAGAATCAAGATAATTTGAATTTGTATAAGAAAAGAGATGAACAGTCAAAACAAGAAGATGATGCAAATGTTGAAATTAACAACCTCACATGACAAAAATATTCCAACAAGGTAGGACAAACATTCTTGAAACTAATGAAAAGACAGAATGTCTCAGCAAAGAAACAGAGGATATAAAGAAGAATCAAATGAAAATTTTAGAACTGGAAAATATAACAACCAGAACATAAAAACTCACTTGATGAGTTCAACAGCAGAACAGAAATGACAGGGGAAAGAGTCAATGAATTTGAAGTCAGATCAACAGAGGTATCAAATGTGAACACTGAATTTCAACACTAAAGGAAAAAAACTTCTCCTGTTTTTTTGTTTTTTGTTTTTTTTTTGAGATGGAGTTTTGCTCTTGTTGCCCAGGTTGGAGTGCAATGGTGCAATCTCAGCTCACCGCAACCTCCACCTTTCCACCTTCCTGGTTCAAGCGATTCTCCTGCCTCAGCCTCCAGAGTAGCTGGGATTACAGGCATGCACCACCATGTCCGGCTAATTTTGTATTTTTAGTAGATACTGGGTTTCTCCATGTTGGTCAGGCTGGTATCAAACTCCCGACCTCGGGTGATCTGCCTGCCTCGGGCTCCCAAAATGCTGGGATTACAGGCATGAGCCACTGCAACTGGCCTAAAAAAATTTCCTTATTGGGGGAAAAAAAAACCAGATCATCAAGGACCTGAGGAACAATACCAAAATGTCTAATATTCAGGACATTAGAGTCCCAGAAGGTGAGGAGAAAGAGTGTACTGAAATACTGAAAGAAATAATGGAAGCAAACTTCACAAGTTTGACAAAAGACATAAACCAACAGATTCAAGAAGCTCAGTAATTGCCCCAAACAGGATAAACACAAACAAATCCATGATAAACTCCTGGATTCATCATAACCTAACAGCTAAACACAAAAAGAGAAAAAATCTTGAAGGCAACCAAAATGAAATGATGCATTCGTTATTAAGGCAATAATGATTCAAATGGCTTCATATTTCTTTTATACACACACACACACACACACACACACACACACACACACACACACATATATTAAGAGACAGGTCTTGCTTTAGCATCAGGCTGGAGTGCAGTGGCAGGATTGCAGCTCACTGCAGCGTTGAACTTCTGGGCTCAAGCAATCCTCCTGCCTCCTGGTTCTGGCTCTCAGGTAGCTGGGACTACAGGCATGTGCCCCCATGCCCCCTAATCTATATTTATTTTATTTTTTTAGAGAAGAGTTCTTGCTATGTTGCCCAGGCTTCTCAACTCCTGGCCTCAAGCAATCCTCCCACTTCAGCCTCCCAAGTAACTGAGATTACAGGCACCAGCCACCATGCCTGGCAGCTTCATATTTCTTATCAAAAACCAGGAGAATGAGGGCTGGGTGCGGTGGCTCACGCCTGTAATCCCAGCACTTTGGTAGGCCAAGGCAGGCAGATCACCTGAGATCAGGAGTTCCAGACCAGGCTGGCCAACACGGTGAAACCCAACCTCTACCAAAAATACAAAAATTAGCCGGGCGTGGTGGTGGGTGCCTGTAATCCCAGCTACTCAGGAGGCTGAGGCAGAATTGCTTGAACCCGAGAGGTAGAGGTTGCAGTGAGCCAAGATCGTGCCATTGCACTCCAGCCTGGGCAACAAGAGCAAAACTCCGTCTCAAAAAAAAAAAAAAAAAGGCCTGGAGCAGTGGCTTACACCTATAATCCCAGCACTTTGGGAGGCCGAAGCGAGTGGATCACCTGAGGCTAGGAGTTCGAGACCAGCCTGGCCAACGTGGTGAAACCTCGTCTCTACTAAAAGTACAAAAAATTAGCCAGGCATGGTGGCGGGCGCCTGTAATCCCAGCTACTTGGGAGGCTGAGGCAGGAGAATCACTTGAACCCAGGAGGCAGAGGTTGCAGTGAGCCAAGACCGTGCCATTGCACTCCAGCCTGGGCAACAAGAGTGAAACTCCATCTCAAAAACAAAAAAAAAAGAAACCATGAGAACTAGAAGGAAGTGGGACAACATTTTTTTTAAAGTGCTAAATGAAAGAACTATAAATACAGTATTCTATATCTAGAGAAAATATCCTTCAGTAATGAAGATGAAATAAAGACATTCTCAGATGAAGGAAAACTAAGAGAATTCACAGTAGCAGATCTGCACTAAAAGAATGGTCAAAGGACATTTTACAAAAAGAAAATGATAATACAACAAAATATGGAAGACCAGAAGGAAGAAAAACATAAATGGTAAATATTTGATTACATATAATAGACTATTCTCCTATTGAGTTCCTTAAAATGTTTGATGTTTGAGAGCGAAAGTTTTAAGTTGATGGGGTTTTTAATGTATGTAGATGTAACAGATAAGGCAACTACAACATAAAGAGGGATACGAAAGAAACCTATATGGTGGTAAGGTTTCAAGACTCCACCTGAAATGGTAAAATATCAATTCTAAATATTAAAAGTTACATGTAGCTGGGCATCGTGGCTCACACCTGTAATCCCAGCATGTAAGGAGGCTGAGGCAGGAGGGTCACCTGAGGCCAGGAGTTCAAGACAAGCCTGGTCAACATAGCGAGACCCTATCTGTACAAAAAAATTAAAAAATTAGCTGGGCTTGGTGGCATAGGCCTACAGTCTCAGCTACTCAGGAGGCTGAGGAGGGAGGATCACTTGAGTCCAGGAGTTTGAAGCTGCAATGAGCTGTATCTGTGCCACCGCACTCCAGCCTGGATGACAGAGTGAGACCCCATCTTAAAAAAAAAAAGTTAGGTGTGTATATCTACATGCACACATGTGTACATGTACCACATATCTGTGTGTGTATATATGTGTGTATATGTGTGCATACATACATAGAGATCTAGAGAGATCTCTACAGTAACCAATAAAAAACCTATACAAAAAGATATAGTCAGAACCAGGTAGATAAATTACAAAGATTAAAATCCAATACTACAAAGGTTCAAATCACTCAAAGGCAAAACAACAGAATCAACAAGTGATTAAAAAATAAGAGGAACAAAGAAAAAACACAAAATAAGATGGTAGACAAAATCTAACATAGTAACAATTATATTAAGTGTAAATTGTCTAAAAATGCCAGTTAAAAGACAGAGATTGTCCAAATACATTTTTAAAAATGACCCAATTACATGCTGTCTACAAGGAAAAGAAAAGAAAAATTTCTGCTGTTTAAGCCACCTAGTCTGTGGTATTTTGCAACAGCAGCTGAAGCTGACTTAATACAAGTAGAAACATCTTATATCAATAATCTAACTTTCCATCTTAAGAAACTAAAAAGAGGAGAACAAAATACATTCAAAGGAATCACAATGAAGGTAATAATAAAAAGCAAAACTCAATGAAATTGAAAACAGGAAAAAATATGAAACAAAAAACTAGTTCCTTCAAAGGATAAATAAAATTGATGAATCTCTAGCAGACTCAGATGAGGTCTTGCCTAGGTGACAGAGCAAGACCCTGTCTCAAAAAAAGAAAAAAAAATCCACTCTCATGACAGATGTTTCATCCTAAGGAAGAAAAATCTTTTTCCTGTTATTGATAGTTCTGATCGTTCTGTATTTTTTTCTGTGAGGTCAAAAGGTATCAAAATATATCACTGTAAGTGGAAAAGTGAGAAACAGAAATCAGCTTGGCACAGTGGCTCATGCCTATAATCTCAACACTGTGGGAGGCTGAAGCCTAAGGATCGATTGAGCCCAGGAGTTCAAGATCAGCCTGGGCAACATGGCGAGACCTCGTCTCCCTTGTCTCTATTAAGAAATAAAAAAAGGCCAGGTGTGGTGGCTCACACCTGTAATCCCAACACTTTGGGAGGCCAAGGCAGGAGAAGCACTTGAGCTTGAGAGTTCAAGAGCAGCCTGGGCAACTAGTGAAACCTCATCTCTACGAAAAATAGGGCTGGGCACGGTGACTCACGCCTGTAAACCCAGCACTTTGGGAGGCCAAGGCAGGTGAATCACCTGAGGTCAGGAGCTCAAGACCAGTCTGGCCAACATGGCAAAACCCCGTCTCTACTAAAAATACAAAAATTTGCCAGGTGTGGTGGCACACGCCTGTAATCCCAGCTACTCAGGAGGTTGAGGCAGGAGAATTGCTTGAACCCGGGAGGCAGAGGTTGCAGTGAGCCAAGATTGTGCCACTATACTCTAGCCTGGGCGACAGAGCGAGACTCCGTCTCAAAAAAAAAAAAAAAAAAAAAAAAAAAAGAGAGAGAAAAATTAGCCAGGCATGGTGGCACACACCTGTAGTCCCAGCTACTCAGGAAGCTAGGGCAGGAAGATCACTTGAGCCCAGGAGGTTGAGGCTGCAGGCTGCAGTGAGCCGTGATCGCACCACTGCACTCCAACCTGAGCAACAGAGGGAGGCACTGTTTCTAAACAAAAAAAGAAGCGGAAATCAAGTAGTATTGGCTGTTTTTCCATTTTCATTTATGTGTGAATTTTTCATATAAATTTGGGTACATAAAGCATTAATGCAAGTCAATATGTTTCAGTGAACAAGTTTCAGGAGTTCAATTCTAATTATAAATAAACCTGTTGAATTTTTCTGGATAATGCCAGAATTTGGATTACTTGAAAATCAAGGCCGGGCATGGTGGCTCACGCCTGTAGTCCCACCACTTTGGGAGGCTGAGGCGGGCAGATCACGAGGTCAGGAGATTGAGACCATCCTGGCTAACACGGTGAAACCCCGACTCTACTAAAAATACAAAAAATTAGCCGGGCGTGGTGGCAGGTGCCTGTAGTCCCAGCTACTCGGGAGGCTGAGGCAGGAGAATGGCGTGAACCCGGGAGGCAGAGCTTGCAGTGAGCCGAGATCTCGCCACTGCTCTCTAACCTGCCGACAGAGCGAGACTCCGTCTCCAAAAAAAAAAAAAAAAAAAAAAAAAAAAGAAAAGAAAATCAAGAAAATCAAGTAAATTTCTTACTGTTGGCAACTAAATAGTGTTTGCAGCATTTTTATCATGCAGTTAATTCCATCCATTCACCATATTTTTCTAATTCAGTTGTCCTACATCTAAGTACATGGTTTGCTTTTTGTTTTTTGGTTGTTTTTTTTTTTTGAGACAGAGTCTCGCTCTGTCGCCCAGGCTGGAGTGCAGTGGCACGATCTCAGCTCACTATAACCTCCGCCTCCCGGGTTCAAGCCATTCTCCTGCCTCAGCCTCCCGAGTAGCTGGGACTACAAGCATGTGCCACCACGCCCGGCTAATTTTCTGTATTTTTAGTAGAGACGGGGTTTCACCATGTTAGCCAGGATGGTCTCCATCTCCTGTCCTCGTGATCCACCTGCCTCAGCCCGTCGAAGTGCTGGGATTACAGGCGTGAGCCACAGCGCCTGGCCAGTACATGGTTTTAATGTTGTCTGTCTTCTGTGCTGTTCCTGTAAGTTTGTTATTAAAATACATTAAACTCAACCGGGCACAATGGCTCACGCCTGTAATCCCAGCACTTTGGGAGGCCGAGGTGGGCAGATAATCTGAGGTCAGGAGTTTGAGACCAGCCTGGCCATGGTGAAATCCCATCTCTACTAAAAATACAAAAATCAGCCAGGCATAGTGGCACATGCCTACAGTCTCAGCTACTTGGGAAGTTGAGGCAGGAGAATCGCTTGAACCCGGGAGGCAGAGATTGCAGTAAGCCGAGATCGCGCCACTGCACACCAGACTGGGCGACAGAGCAAGACTCTGTCTCAAACAAATTAATAAAATAAAAATAAAATAAAATACATTAAACTAATAAATAAAATAATCCAACTTTAATAACAACAATAAAAAATGGGAGGAGACTGTGTTGAAACTAGGTGTTGGATTCATGGAAGTTAAACTATTCTCTATTGTTATTTATGTTTAAATTCCCATAAGAAAATTTTTGAAAAGAAAAAAAAGCTTACATGAGTGAAGAGAGATGAAGCCTGAGATAAACTTCCAAAACTTCTCCCATATCTGGATGGCAAATAAAACTACATCAAATGG
This sequence comes from Homo sapiens, assembly GCF_000001405.40. Classification (NCBI taxonomy): domain Eukaryota; kingdom Metazoa; phylum Chordata; class Mammalia; order Primates; family Hominidae; genus Homo; species Homo sapiens. The sequence continues at coordinate 57,350,491 of NC_000012.12, forward strand.
TCAGGCGTGATGGTTACCCTCTAATCCCAGCTACTTGGGAGGCTGAGACGGGAGGATACCTTGAGCCCAGGAGTTCAAACTGCAGAGAGCTATGATTGTACCACTGCACTCCAGATGGGGCAACAGAGCAAGACCTCACTCAAAAAATAACTAAAACCAAAAACAAACAACTACATCAAATGTCTAAAGAATGAGAACTCATGCCTGTAATCTCGACACTTTGGGAGGCCAAAGCAGGAGGATCGCTTGAGCTCAGGAGTTCAAGACCAGCCTGGGCAACATAGGAAGACCCTGTCTCTACATAAAATTTAAAAATTAGCTAGGCGTTGGCCAGGTGCAGTGGTTCACGCCTGTAATCCCAGCACTTTGGGAGGCCAAGGAGGGTGAATCACAAAGTCAGGAGTTCAAGACCAGCCTGGCCAAGATGGTGAAACCCCATCTCTATTAAAAATACAAAAATTAGCTGGGCATGGTGGCGGGTGCCTGTAATCCCAGCTACTCAGGAGGCTGAGGCAAAGAATTGCTTGAACCTTGGAGGTGGAGGTTGCAGTGTGCCAAGACCATGGGTGCCACTGTACTCTAGCCTGGGCGACAGAGTGAGACTCTGTCTCAAAAAATAAAAATAAAATACAAAATTAGCTAGGTGCTCACCTGTGGTCCCAGCTACTCAGAAGGCTGACGTGGAAGGACTGCTTGAGCCCAAGAGGTTGAGGCTGGAGCAAGCCGTGATGGCACCACTGTACTCTAGCCTAGGCGACAGAGCAAGATCCTGTCTGATTAAAATAAAAAACTGTCTAAAGAATGAAAAAAGAGATGTAGAACGAAGAGCTGCTGCTGTAGAAGGCAAAATCTGCTTATGTGATGAATAAGACATAATCTGAATTAAGCAATAATTAAGACTAAAAAAACAATAGTGTTCATTCACATCAACAGGATATAAAAGGAAGCAATAAGTAAGGCCTGTGGATGGTGAGTACTGAGGGAGTATGTGCCATTTCTATAGCATGTAGCAGATGGAGAATTCATAAAGAAAATGTCAGCATTTCATTTTAGCAAGTCTTTCTACTTCTCCCCACTGAGAGATTTTCTCTAGGTAAAGCACAAAAACTAACAATAACTAATTCCCAGATTTTCTACTCACTAATTATGTAACAGGCAAACTACTACTCTACCTGTTTGAATGTCATATATAAAATGGGGTAACTCTATCTGTCTTGCAAGATATTACAAAAATTAGAAACAAATCACTAACACACTGTGTGATTTGTACATGGCACAGAGTAGGAACTTAATAAATTGGAGTCAATATTGTTATTACTGAGTTTATATGAAAAAAAGTCATCATTAGAGTCAGGAATGATATACGGATGCTCACCATCACCATCTCTATTCATTATTGAATGGGAAGGCTTAGACAAAAGCAGTAAGACATAAAAAACAAAGAAGGTGTAATTAAAAAGAAACAAAACTTTCCTAAATTTAACCAATGTGGCTGTCTAGTACCCAAGAAAATCTAAGTACCAAACATTTAGCATTTAAAAGAATTCAGCTGAAATGAAGATCAATGTACTAAAATTAACAGTGTATCTATATTCTAACAGTAGAGAAAGGAAATACAATAATTAACAAAACTACTTAGGGTATGGGAGGCTGAGGCAGGAGAATCACTTGAACCCAAGAGGTGGAGGTTGCAGTGAGCCAAGATGGTGCCACTGCACTCCAGCCTGGGCAACACAGCAAGACTCCATCTCAAAAAAAAAAAAAAAAAAAAACAAATCTAGGGAAAAGAGATCTTTAATGAAAAACTTATGAAATGTTATTGAAGGGTATAAATAACCCAAACAAATGGAGTCATAGATCATATCTCTGGCTAGAATGACTCAATATTGCAAAGTCAGTTCCCCCATGTCGATCTTTAAATTCAATTCAATTCCAACAAAAATGTCAATGGAGTTTAAATAAGATGAACAAGGAAGGAAAATCTGCCACACTAGGCAAACGCTTTTTTTTTTTTTTTTTTTAGATGGATCATCACTCTGTCACCCAGGTTGGAGTGCAGTGGCATGATCTCGGCTCACTGCAACCTCTGCCTCCTGCACTCAGGCAATTCTCCTGTCTCAGCCTCGTGAGTAGCTGGGACTACAGGTGCGCGCCACCACACCCAGCTAATTTTTGTACTTTTTTGTAGACATGGGGTTTCACCATGTTGGCCAGGCTGGTCTCAAACTCCTAACCTCAAATGATCCACCCACCTCAGCCTCCTAAAGTGCTGGGATTACAGGCGTGAACCATGGCATCCAAGGCATAAGCTTCTTATATAGTAATTAAGACCTGGGAATTGAGCAGATCAATGGGAAAAGAATAGAGATCCTGTACATGACCCAAAACTTGATTATATTAGAAGCATAATTAAATACGGTACCAGATGTGTTGGGGCAATTAGTTATCCACATAGAAAAAAAATCAGAGCCATATTCACACCACACACAAATATAAATTTCTGGTAGATTAAAGACCTACACATGAAAAGTAAATCCTTAAAATGTTCAAAAACAGATATACAAGATTCTTAATGACCTCAGCATAAAGAAGGATTTCTTGAATAAGAATTAGCACAAATCAGAAAAAACATTGAAACTTTTGATGACTTCAAAATTGAAAACTTCTATACAATTTTAAAAATTCATAAACAGTTAAAAAATAAGCTACAGACTGCAAGTTTTTTTGTGAAACATACATATAGGACAAATAACTGGTACTTAGTATATACAAAGAATTACAAACCAAAAAGAAAATGACAAGTAAGTAATTAGAAAACTTGCCAAAGACTAAAAATTAGAAACTCAAATGACTAATAATAAAGATAAATTCATCTTCTCCTAGGAATTAGGAAAATACAAATTAAAACCAAAAATTTCATGCCACACCCAACAGACCACCAAAAACTTTAAAAAATGTCTTACAATTTCCATGTACTGATATATCAATAAATTGTTAATTTTATTGTTGAGTTATACACCATTGAATAGATAAAGCATAATTTATTCATTTATGTGTTGAGGAATATCTGGGTTGTTTCCCATTTATTATTTATTTTTATTTTTTTTAGATATGGGGTCTTGTTATGTTGCTCAAGCTGGCCTCAAACTCTTGGACTCCAGGATCCTCCCACCTCACCCTCCCGAATAGCTAGGAACTATAGGTGTGTGCCACCATACCCAGCTATTTCCAATTTTTAACTATTACAAATAGAGCAGGTATAAAAAATCATATATAAATCTTGACATGAACATATGGATTCATTTCTCTTGCATAAAGACATAGAGGGAAGAATGGGTGTCTCTTGTGGTAAAAATATGTTTTTTTTATTTTTTTATTTTTTTGAGAAAGAGTCTCGCTCTGTCACCCAGGCTGGAGTGCAGTGGTGCAATCTCGGCTTACTGTAACCTCCACCTCTGGGTTCAAGCAATTTTCTGATTCAGCCTTCTGAGTAGCTAGGATTACAAGTGCACGCCACCACACCCAGCTAATTTTTGTATTTTTAGTAGAGACAGGGTTTCACCATGTTGGCCAGGCTGGTCTTGAACTCCTGACCTCTTGAACTCCTGACCTCAGGTGTCTGCCCACCTTGGCCTCCCAAAGTGCTGGGATTACAGGCGTGAGCCACCACGCCTGGTCTAATTTTTTTTTTTAAGTCTGTTTCAAAGTGGTTGTACCATCTTTCTTATCAGTAACATGAGAATTCTAACTGCTCCACAGTCTCATCAACATTTGGTATGGCCAGACTTTTTGTTTGATGGGTTTTTTTTCTTGTTGTTTTTGAGACAGAGTCTGACTCTGTCACGCAGGCTCGAGTGCGGTGGTGCAATCTCAGTTCATGTAACCTCTGGCTCCCAGGTTCAAGCGATTCTCATGTCTCAGCCTCCAGAGTAGCTGGAACCACAGATGTGGGCCACCATACCCAGCTAATTTTTTGTATTTTTAGTAGAGATGGGGTTTCACCATGTTGGCCAGGCTGATCTCGAACTCCTGGCCTCAAGTGATTCGCCTGCCTCAGCCTCCCAAAGTGCTGGGATTACAGGAGTGAGCCACTGCACCCTGCCTGCATTTTTTTAATGAGTAATACTGAACATCTTTTCATGTGCTGATTTTTCAACCCTGTATCTTCCCTGGCCGAGTGTTTGTTCACATCTCTTGTCCATTTTTTAATTGGGTTGTCTTCTTATTGATGAATTCTAAGAGTTCTTCATATATTCTACATATGAGTATTTTCTAAAACTTACATTTTCTGCCAGTATGAAACTTGCATTTTCATTTTCTCAACAGTGTCTTTAAAAAAGAATTTTATTTTCGAGACAGGGTCTTGCTCTATTTCCCAGGTTGGAATGCAGTGGGATGATCACAGCTCACTGCAGCCTCGACCTCTCAGACTCAAGCGATTCTCCCACCTCAGCCTCCTGAGTAGCTGGGATTACAGGCATGTGCCACCATGCCAGGCTAGTTTTGTTTTGTTTGTTTGTTTGCTTTTCCTTAGTAGAGTCCGCCTCCACCTCCCACAGTGCTGGGATTACAGGCATAAGACACCACACCCGGATCTATGATCCATTTTGAGTTAATTTTTTGATGTAAGTTTGAAGGTTTGTTTTTAGTATACGGTTTATCCAATTGTTTAAGAAACACTTCTTGGCCGGGCGCGGTGGCTCATGCCTGTAATCCCAGCACTTTGGGAGGCCGAGGCGGGCGGATCACGAGGTCAGGAGATCGAGACCATCCTGGCTAACACGGTGAAACCCCGTCTCTACTAAAAATACAAAAAAAATTAGCCGGGCGTAGTGGCAGGCGCCTATAGTCCCAACTACTCGGGAGGCTGAGGCAGGAGAATGGCGTGAACCCGAGAGGCAGAGCTTGCAGTGCGCTGAGATCGGGCCACTGCACTCCAGCCTGGGCAACAGAGCGAGACTGTCTCAAAAAAAAAAAAAAAAGAAAGAAAAAAAAAAGAAAGAAACACTTTTTAAAAAGTCATCTCTTTCCCATTGAAATGACTTGGCAACTCTGTCAAAAATCAACTGACATGTTTATTTCACATACCATTTTAATTAATGAACTTTTTATAATAAGTCTTGAAATCAGGTAGTTTAAGTCTTCCAACTTTAATCTTCATTTTCAAACTTGTTTTGTCTATTCTAGACTCTGTGCTTCCAGACAAATTTTGTCAACTGGAATTGTATTGAATCTATGGACATGGGAAGAATTTAAAAATATCAAGTCTTCTGATCCATAAGCAATGTTTTGATCCATAAGCAATGGTACTGCATGTGTCTTGTCAAATTTAGCCCTGAGTATTTCATATTTTTATGCTATTTGTACATGGTATGTTTTGTCAATTTCAGATTGCTCCTGCTAGCATATAAACATATAATGGGCTTTTATATATTGACTTTGTAACCTGAATCCTTCCTAAATTTTTCTAGTTTTATACATTTTATGATACTCTACATACATGATGCTATCCTCTGCAGTGGGAAAACTGTTTTTCCCTTTTCAATCTTATGCCTTTTACTGTTTCCCCCACCCCCTTACTTAGTACACTGACCAGAACCATCAGTACTATGTTGAAAAGAATCAGTAAGAGCAAATACCCATGCCTTTTTCTTATTCTTAGGGGCAGAGAATTCAGTATTACCACTAAGTATTATATTAGCTGTGGGTTTTTCATAAATGCCCTCTATCCAATTGAAGACATTTCCTTCTCATTTATTCAGAGTTTTTAACATGAATGAAGCCTGAATTTTTTTTTTTAAACCCAGTGGTTCTTAAGGAAGCTGAATTTTGTCAAATGCTTTTCTGCTTCTATTAAGATGATCATAGGTTATTTTTTCAGTCTGTTAATAGAGAATTACATTGGTTGAATTCTGAATGTAATGAACCTTGAATTTCTGTGATAAACCCTACTTGATTATGATGTATTGTCCTTTTCACATATCGTTGGCTTTAATTTACTAAAACTTTGTTAAAGATTTTTGTATCCACGTACACAAGAAAATTTGGTCTGTAGTTTTCTTATATCTTTATCTGGTTTTGGAATCAGAGTAAGGTTGGGCTCATAATATGAGTTGGGAAGTGTTCCTCTATGTTCTTCAAAAGTTTATGTAGAAATGGTATGTCTTAAATTCTTGATAAGACTTCAGCAGTAAAGCCATTTGACCCTGTGGGTGAGTTTTTAAACTATAATTTCTCTAGTAGACATAAACCTATTCAGGTTATGTTTCTTTTTGAATGAGCTTTAGCAGTTTGTGTCTTTCATGAAATGTGTCCATTTAATATAAACAGTAAAATTTGGCCGGGCGTGGTAGCTCACGCCTGTAATCCGGCTTTGGGAGGCCGAGGCGGGCGAATCGCGAGGTCAGGAAATCGAGACCATCCTGGGTAACACGGTGAAACCCCACCTCTACTAAAAACACAAAAATTAGACAGGCGTGGTGGCGGGCTATAGTACCAGCTACTCGGGAGGCTGAGGCAGGAGAATGGCGTGAACCCGGGAGGCGGAGCTTGCAGTGAGCCGAGATCGCGTCACTGCACTCCAGCCTGGGCGACACAGCGAGACTCTGTCTCAAAAAATAAATGAATAAATAAATAAATAAATAAATAAATAGTAAAATTTATTGACATAAAATGGCTCATGATAGGCCAGGCACGGTGGCTCTCCCCTGTAATCCCAGCACTTTGGGAGGCCGAGGCAGGTGGGTGAATCACCTGAGGTCAGGAATTTGAGACCAGCCTGGCCAACATAGCAAAACCCCATCTTTACTAAAAATACAAAACTTAGCTGGGCGTGGTGGCACATGCCTGTAGTCCCAGCTACTTGGAAGGCTGAGGCAGGAGAATCGCTTGAACCTAGGAGGCAGTGGTTGAAGTGAGCCAAGATCGCGCCATTGCACTCCAGCCTGGGCGACAGAGCAAGATTCCATCTCAAGAAAAAAAAAAAAAGGAATGGTTCATGATATTCAATGCCTGGAAAATCATCAGTGATGTTGTCTCTCTCATACATACCTAATACTGGTAAGGTGTGTGTGTCTTCTCTTTTCCTTTCTTAGTAAGTCTGGCTAAAAGTTCAATTTTGTCAATCTTAAAGAACTAGCTTGTAGTTTTGCTGATTTTTTTTTTTTTTTTTTGGCTTTTTAGTTCATTAATTTTTGCTCTGGTCTTTACAATTTCCTCTCCTTTGCTTACTTTTAGTTTGCTCTTCTTTTCTAATTTCTTAAGGTCAATGATTTTAGATTTTTCTGCTTCCTAACTATTTAATGCTATAAACTTCCATTAAGCACTTCATTAATTGCATCCCACAAATTTTTCCATATCATGTTCCCATTTTCATTCTGTTAACATTTTCTAATTTCCCTTATTAATTCTTTGTTGACAGAGTTTCAGAGTGGTTAGGTTTCCAAATATTTGGGGATTTTCCAGATATTGTTATGTTACTCATTTCTTTTTTTCTTTTTTTTTTTTTAGACAGAGTTTCTCTCTGTCACCCAGGCTGGAGTGTAGTGGCACGATCTCGGATCATTTCAACCCCTGCCTCCCAGATTCAAGCAATTCTCCTGCCTCAGCTTCCCAAGTAGCTGGGACTACAGGCGCGTGACGCTACGCCCAGCTAATTTTTTTTTTTTTCTATTTTTAGTAGATATGGGGTTTTGCCATGCTGGCCACGCTGGTCTTTAACTCCCAATCTCAAGTGATCCGCCCGCCTAGGCCTCCCAAAGTGCTGGGGTTACAGGCGTGAGCCACCGCGCCCAGCCAAATTTAGGATTTAAATACACAAAGTATGTTTTGTCATAAAGGGATTTAGTTAGAAATTAGTAATAGAGGCCAAGTGGAGAAGTGTACGCCTGTAATCCTAGTACTTCGGGAGGTCAAGTTGGGTGGATCACTTGAGGCCAGGAGTTTGACACCAGGCTGGCCAATATGGCAAAACCCTGTGTCCACCAAAAATACAAAAAAATAAAAAAATTAGCTGGGCATGGTACTGTGCACCTGTACCAACTACTTCAGAGGCTTAGGCAGGAGAATCAGTTGAACCCAGAAGGTGGAGAGTGCAGTGAGCCAAGATGGCACCATTGCACTCCAGCCTGGGTGACAGAATGAGACTCCATCTCAAAAAAAAAAAAAAAAATTCTAAATTTATTGAAACTTATTTTATGGCCCAAGATATGGTCTATTTTAGTAAACATTCTATGAATACCAGTAAAGAATGTGTATCATGCTGTTGTTGGAGTGGTTAAGTGTTAACTGGGTTAATTACTGATTTGTGTTTTACTTATTCTACCAATTATTTAGAGAGTGGTGTTGAAATCTCCAACTATGCTATCCTCCCACCTCAGCACCCCGAGTAGCTGAGACTACAGGCACATGCCACCATGCCTGGCTAAATTTTTTTCTTTTTTTTTTTTGAGGGAGTCTCGCTCTGTCACCCAGACTGGAATGCAGTGGTGCAATCTCGGCTCACTGCAACCTCCACCTCCTGGGTTCAAGTAATTCTCCTGCCTCAGCCTCCCGAGTAGCTGGGACTACAGGCGCCCATCACCACGCCCATCTAATTTTTGTATTTTTAGTAGAGGCGAGGTTTCACATGTTGGCCAGGCTGGTCTTGAACTCCTGACCTCAAATGATCCAACCACCTCGGCCTCCCAAAGTGCCGGGATTACAGGCGTGAACCACCGCGCCCAGTCCCCTGGCTAATTTTTCTATTTTTTTGTAGAGATGGTGTTTCGCCATGCTGCCCAAGCTGGTCTTGAACTCCTGAACCCAAGTGATCCACCTGTCTTTTCCTCCCAAAATGCTAGGTATAGGTATGCACCACACCTGCTTCACATATTTGGAACTATTACTATATGTATAAACATTTATGATCATTAAGTCCTCTTGAAGAACTAACTCCTCTTTCATCATTAAATAAGCTGCTTATATTCATGGTAATATTCTTTGTTCCGAAATCTACTTTGATATTAATACAGTAAAATCTTGATTTCTTCTAATTGGTGTTTGCATGGTATATCGTCTTTCATCCTTCTACTTTTAGTCTGTGTATTGAAATATATTTAAAAGTTTGTTGCAGACAGCATGCGGCTGGGTCGTGCTTTTAGATGCAATCTGATAATTTTCACCTATTGGTAGTGGTGATTAGATTGTTTGTATTTAATGGGATTATTGATATGGTTGGATTTAAATCGACCACACTTGTCCAATATGTTCATTTTCCTTTTTCTCTCATCTTTTAGATTAATTAAGCATTCTTATGATTCAATTTTATCTCCTTTATTGGCTTACTAGCTACACCTCTTTGCTTTTTTTAAGAAGTGGTTTATTTAGTGTATACTTTTATCATAATCTATATTAAAGTAATATATCACTTCATATATAAGAATCGTGAAACAGTATACAGTTGATTCTTGAACAATACAGGCTTGAACTGCACAGGTCCACTTATATGTGAATTGTTTTCAGTAAATAAATAAATAAATATATATATATATATACACACATATATATATATATATATATTTTTTTTTTTTTTTTGGTCGCTCAGGCTGGAGTGTAGTGGCGTGATCTCAGATCACTGCAACCTCCGCCTTCTGGGCTCAAACAATTCTCCTGCCTCAGCCTCCCTAGTAGCTGGGATTACAGGCATGCGCCACCATGCCTGGCTAATTTTGAATTTTTAGTAGAGACAGGGTTTCACCATGTTGGCTAGGCTGGTCTCGAACTCCGGACCTCAGGTGAGCGACCCACCTCGGCCTCTGAAAGTGCTGGGATTACAGGCATGAGCCACTGTGCCTGGTCTCAGTAAATACATTGGGAATTTTTTTGGAGATTTGCAACAATTTGAAAAAAACTTGCAGACAAACTGCGTACCACAGAAATATTTTTAAAAATTAAGAAAAAGGTATGCCAGCCTGATCAACATAGTGAGACCCCCATCTCTAAAAAAAATTTTTTTTTAATTAGTCAGGCATGGAAACCAAGAAGCAGGGAGCTAAGGTGGGAAGATTGCTTCAGCCTATAAGTTCGAGGCTATAGTGAGCCCTCATTATGCCACTGTACTCCAGCCTGAGCAACAGAGACTGTAGGAAAGGAAAGGAATAAGGAAAAAGGAAGGGAAGGGGAAAGGAAAGAGGAAAGGGAAGGAAAAAGGAAAGGCGAAAGGAAAAAGGAAAGGAAAGGAAGAAAAAAAATAAAAGAAAATGTGGCTTTTATATGGATGCAGGATTGCTTTAAGAAAGGCATAGCGCTGGGCGCAGTGGCTCACGCCTGTAATCCCAGCATTTTGGGAGGCTGAGGCGGGCGGGTCATGAGGTCAGATCGAGATCATCCTGGCTAACACGGTGAAACCCTGTCTCTACTAAAAATACAAAAAATTAACCAGCCGTGGTGGGGGGTGCCTATGGTCCCAGCTACTTGGGAGGCTGAGGCAGGAGAATGGCTTGAACCCAGGAGGCAGAGCTTGCGGTGAGCGGAGATGCACCACTGCCTCCAGCCTGGGCAACAGAGCAAGACACGTCTCAAAAAAAAAAAAAAAAAAAAAAAGCAAAGCAAAGCAAAGCATAGGCTTTTCTTACAGTGGCTCACACCTGTAATCCCAGAACTTTGGGAGGCCGAAGTGGGCAGATCACCTGAGGTCGCGAGTTTGAGACCAGCTTGACCAACACGGAGAAACCCCATCTCTACTAAAAATACAAAATGAGCCGAGCATGGTGGCACATGCCTGTAATCCCAGCTACTTGGGAGGCTGAGGCAGGAGAATCGCTGGAACCTGTGAGGAGGAGGTTGCAGTGAGTCGAGATCGCGCCATTGCACTCCAGCCTGGGCATCAAGAACGAAACTCTGTCTCAAAAAAAAAAAAAAAAAAAAAAGGCATAAAGCAAGCACACTGGCTCATGGCTGTAATCCCTACACTTTGGGAAACTGAGGCAGGAGGATCATTTGAGGCTGGGAGTTCAAGACTAGCCTGGCCAACAATGCGAGTCACTGTCACTACAAAAATTAAAAACTAGCTGGGTATGGTGTCATGCACCTGTGGTCCCAAGTTTTCAGGAGGCTGAGGCAGGAGAACCACTTGAGCCCAGGAGTTCAAGGCTGCGGCGGTGTGTCATGACTGTGCCATTATACACTCCAGCCTGGGTGACAAAGTGAGACTGTCTCCAAAAAAAAACCTAAGAAAGGCATACCTATAGACTCTAATATGATTCAAGAAAAAGAGGTCATCATATGACAACTAAAGCAAAAGGAAGGTGAAGGATCTAAAGCTAGAGAATTTAATGCCAGCAAAAGATGGTTTCATAATTTTAGAAAGAAATTGGGTTTTAAAAATGTCAAGGTAACAGAAACAGCAGCTTTTGCCAACCAAGAAGCAACAGATGAGTTTCCAGACACCATTAAGAAAATCACTAAGAGCCTGGGCAACATGGCAAAACCCCGTATCTACAAAAAATACAAAAATTAGCCATGCGCGGTGGAGCAGGCCTGCAGTCCCAGCTACTCGGAGGCTGAGGTGGGAGGATTGCTTGAGCCTGGGAGGCAGAAGTTGCAATGAGCCAAGATCGTGCCACTGCACTCCATCCTGGGAGACAGAATAAGACCCTTTCTCAAAAAAAAAGTCAAAACAGTCAAACATAAATTGTGACTATTTCTGTAAAGTTACAACAAGTGTGCCTGCCTCTCCTTTCCCCTCCTCCCGTCTTCCATCCCTGAGACAGCAAGACCAACCCCTCTTCTTCCTCTTCAGCCTACTTAATGTGAAGACAAGAATGAAGACTTTTACGATGATCCACTTTCACTTAATAGTAAATGTATTTTCTCTTCCTTATGATTTTCTTAACATTTTCTTTTTTCTAACTTACTGCATTTCAAGAATATGGTATACAATACATATACAAAATATGTTTTAATCAACTGTTTATGGTTATTGTTAAGGCTATTAATCAACTGTTGAATTGTTAATGAACTGTTTATGTTACTGGTAAGGCTTCTAGTCAACAGTAGACGATTAATAGTTAAGTTTCTCTGGAGTCAAAAGTTATATGTGGATTTTTGACTGCATGGGCAGTCAGTACCCCTAACCCCCACATTGTTCAAGAGCCAATTTGACCTTGTACTACTATTTCACCTCTCCCAATCTTTTGGGCAACTGCTGTCACTCACTTTATTTCTGCACGTTATAAACCCCACAGAAGTTTTATTATTTTTGTTTTGAACAATTATCTTTTAAATTTTTTTTCCAAATAAAATAATATTTTCTCCACAGATTTCTGATGATCTGCATTATTTTATTTTTATTTTATTTTATTTTATTTTTTGAGACAGAGTCTTGCGCTGTTGCCAGGCTGGGGTGCAGTGGCACTACGTCAGCTAACTGCAACCTCTGCCTCCTGGTTCAAGCAGTTCTCCTGCCTCAGCCTCCTGAGTAGCTGGGACTACAGGCGCATGCCACCATGCCCAGCTAGTTTTTTTGTATTTTTATTAGAGATGGGGTTTCACCATGTTGGCCAGGCTGGTCTCAAACTCCTGGCCTCAAGTGATCCGCCCACCTTGGCCTCCCAAAGTGCTGGAATTACAGGCATAAGCCACTGCGCCCAGCCTGCATTATTTTATTTCTACCTAAATTTTGATTTGGTGTAGTTTTCTCCTGTCTTATAACACTTTCTGTAGCGGTGGTCTGATGGTGGTGAATTCTATCAGCTTTTGTTATGTTTTTAAAAGGCCTTATTTCATCTACACTTTTTATTGTGACATAATTCATATACCATACAATTCACCCATTTAAAGTGCACAATTCTATGGCTTTTAGCATATTCAGAGTTATACTACCATAATCAAAATCAATTTTAGAACACTTTATCACCCCCAAAAGAAACCTTATACTCATTAGAAACAACTTCTGATTAAGTGTAGGAGGAATGGGGTATAGGGAGAGATTTGTTAAAGGATACAAAACTATAGCTAGATAGGAGGAATAAGTTCTAATGTTCTATACCACTGCAGCACAACTATAATTAACAATAATTTTTAGTTTCCAGTAACTAAGAGGATACTAAATGGTCCCAATGCAACAAAATAATAAAATTTGAGATGGATATGCTAATTACCCTCATCTGATCATTACACATTAGAGTATCAAAACATCATCACTATGTAACCCATAAATATATACAATTATTATATTATGTCAATTTTTTAAAAAGGCTGAGTGTAGAGGCATGTGCCTATATTCCCAGCTACTTAGGAGGCTGAGGTTGGAGGACTGTCAGAGCCTGAGTTCAAGACCGTAGTGAGCTAGGATCACACCACTGTGCTCCAGCCTGGGCAACCAAGACTCCATCTCTTAAAAAAAAAAAAGGCAAAAGAATGAACTTCCTATTTTCTCCCAATTCCCAGCCCTAAGCCACTAATGTTTTGCCCATCCTGGACAGTTTCCTCTTCAATTTTGAAAGGTATTTTCGCTGCATATAAAATTTTAGGTTGATAGGTTTTTTCATCTAGCATTTTAATGTTATCAGAATCATTAGCTTGCAATGATTCTAATAAAAAGTTTGCTGTAATTCTTACCTTATGTAATAGTTTGCTAGGGCTGTCATATGAAAATAGCACAGACTCGGTGTCTTTTTTTTTTTTTTTTTTTTTTCAGATGGAGTATCACTCTGTCACCCAGGTTGGAGTGCAGTGGTGCGATCTCAGTCAACTGCAACCTTCACCTCCCGGGCTCAAGCAATTATCCTGTGTCGGCCTCCAGAGTAGCTGGGATTACAGACGCACATCACCATGCCTGGCTAATTTTTTTGCATTTTTAGTAGAGACAGGGTTTCACCACATTGGCCAGGCTGGTGTCAAACTCCTGACCTGAGGTGATCTGCCAACCTCAGCCTCCCAAAGTGCTGGGATTATAGGTGTGAGCCACCACGCCTAGCCTACAGGCTGGGTGTCTTAAAAAGAAAATTTATTTTCTCACAGTTCTAGATGCTAAGAGTCCAAGATCAAGGTGTTCACAGATTTGGTTTCTCCCAAGGGCTCTCTCCTTGACTTCCAGATGGCCATCTCACTGTGTCCTCATATGATCTTTGCTTGGTACACGTATGCCCATGCCCCACTATCCCTCTGTGTGTCTAAATTTCCTCTTCTTAAAAGGACACCAGGCGGGGCGCAGTGGCTCACGCCTGTAATCCCAGCACTTTGGGAGGCCGAGGCGGGCGGATCATGAGGTCAGGAGTTCGAGACCATCCTGGCCAACATAGTGAAACCCTGTCTCTACTTAAAATACAAAAATTAGCCGGGCGTGGTGGCAGGCGCCTGTAGTTGCAGCTATTTGGGAGGCTGAGGCAGGAGAATCACTTGAACCCAGGAGGCAGAGGTTGCAGCGAGCCGAGATCACACCACTGCACTCCAGCCTGGGTGACAGAGTGAGACTCCATCTCAAAAAAAAAAAAAAAAAAAAGGACACCAGGCCAGGTGCAGTTGCTCATGCCTGTAATCCCAGCACTTCGGGAGGCTGAGGCAGGTGGATCACCTGAGGTCAGGAGTTCAAGATCAGCCCGGCCAACATGGTAAAACCCCGTCTCTAGTAAAAATAAAAAAAACTAGCTGGTCAAGGTGGCGCATGCCTGTAATCCCAGCTACTAGGGAGGCTGAGACAGGAGAATCGCTTGAACCCATGAAGTGGAGGTTGCAGTGAGCCGAGATCATGCCACTGCACTCCAGCCTGGGTGACAGAGTGAGACTCTGTCTCCAAAAAAAAAGAAAAAAAAAAAAGGACACCAGTCAGATTGGATTAGGGCCCTCCTCCTATTTTATTTTATTCACCTCTTTAATGGCCTTCTGTCCAAATACTGTCATATTCTGAGGTACTAGGGTTAGGGCTTTAACATATGAATTTTAGGAGGGCTCAATTCAGCCCATCTTGGTTCCTCTATATTTAACATGTTTTATTTTCTGTCTGCTTTTAAGACTTTATCACTAGTTTTAAGCAATTTGATTAAAATGCACCTTGGTATAACTTTCTTCATGATTTTTCTGTTGGGATCACACAGATCCAAATGGCTCAAAGAACTCAAAACAGAAAATCTCAAAGAGAACTACCAAAGAATATCATAATCAAATTGCTTAAGATCAGTGATAAAGCTGGAAACGGTGGCTTATGCCTGTAATCCCAGCACTTTGGGAAGCTGAGGCAGATGGATCACCTAAAGTCAGGGGCTCGAGACCAGCCTGGCCAACATGGTGAAACCCCGTCTCTATTAAAAATACAAAAATTAGCTGGGCGTGGTGGTAGGTGCCTGTAATCCCAGCTACTCAGGAGGCTGAGGCAGGAGAACTGCTTGAACCTGGGAAGTGGAGATGGCAGTGAGTGGAGACTGCAACACTGCACTCCAGACTGGGCGACAGAGCAAGACTCCATCTCAAAAAAAAAAACAAAATATATCAGTGATGAAGAGAAAATCTTCAGTGAGTTTTCCAGATCTGTGGGATTACAGTTTTCACTAAAATTAAAAAACTTAAGCCATTATTTATTCAAATATTTGTCTCCCTTCCCACTTTTCTGAGACTCCAATTACACATATTTTTAGACTGCTTGATGTTGTTCCACTGCTCACTGACACTCTTCACTTATTTTTTTGTCTATCTATGTTTTCATTTAGAGACAGGCTCTCTCTCTGTTGCCCAGGCTGGAGTGCTGTGGTGTGACGTTGGTTCACTGCAGCCTTGAATTCCTGGGCTCAAGTGATCCTCCCATCCTGGTTTCCCAAAGTGCTGGGATTATGTGTTGGTATGAGCCAGTACACCCAGCCTTTTTTTCTATATTACATTTTGCATTAAGTTTCATTTGCTATGTCTTCAAGTTCACTAATTTTTCTTCTGCTGTGCCGATCTGCTGTAAATCCTGGGCACTATATTTCTCATCTCAGACACTGCAGTTTTCGTTTTTAAAAGTTAGATTTTGGTCATTTTTATATTTTCCATGTCTCTACTTAACATGCATTCTCTGAATCATTCCTGGGTCTATTTCTATTGACTGTTTTTGTCCTCATTACGGACTGTGTTCTCTGATGCTTTGTATACCTGATAATTTGTGACCAGATGCCAAATGTAAATTTTACACTGTTGGTTTCTAGTTTTAAAATATTCCTTTAACTAATTTTGGGCTTTTTTGCTGTTGTTGTTTTGTTTTTTTTGAGACAGAGTCTCGCTCTGTTGCCCAGGCTGGAGTGCAGTGGCGCGATCTTGGCTCACTGCAAGCTCTGCCTCCCAGGTTCACGCCATTCTGCTGCCTCAGCCTCCTGAGTAGCTGGGACTACGGGCGCCCGCCACCACGCCCAGGTAATTTTTTTGTATTTTTAGTAGAGACAGGGTTTCACTGTGTTACCCAGGATGGTCTCGATCTGACCTCATGATCCGCCCGCCTTTGCCTCCCAAAGTGCTGGGATTACAGGTGTGAGCCACCACGCCCAGTCTGGGCTTTGTTTTGAGACTTAGTGACTTAGAAATAGTTTGATCCTTCTGAAGCTTGCTTTTATGCTTTATTAGGCTAGTCTTTGACAGCCTTTACACTGGAGCTAATTTGGTATCACTACTGAGGCAATATCCTTCTAAGGACTCTACTCAATGTCCCAGGTGTTAAGTGTTTCTACTCTGGTTAGTAGAAACAAAAAATACTCATGGCCCTTTATTCCTCAACTAATCCTTTCCAGAAGTCTTTCTCTGGCCTTGAGTAGTTTCCTCATACCAGTGAACTAAAGCTAAAGCATCCATGACAGGAAAGTTCAATAGAACTTTCTGTGATGATGAAACTGGGGCTACTAAGTATTTGAATTGTAGTTAGTGTAACTGAGGAACTCAATTTTTATGTAAATATCCACATGTAGCTAGTGGCTACTGTATTACACAGTGTAGGTTTAGGGGAACCCTCTGCAAATTTCCAGAGCTCTCTTTTTCTTAAGAAGCTCTCTCCTCTTAAATATTCTGCCACACAATTCCAGCTGCCTTGGCTTCTCGATTCCTACCTCTGTCTCCTCAATTCAAGATTGCCAGCTCTGTATGTGTATCCCTCCCAACCCTAGTTTCAACCCAGAAACTTTCTTCAGGCTGAAAGGTGGACAATCATAGTGCTCAAACTTCTTTCTTTTCTCTCAGGAATCACTGTTCTATGCTACTCTTTGTCCAATATCTGAAAACATTTTTTCATATACTTTGTCCAATTATTCACTTAAGACAGCAGCATAAATCAGCTTCCTGTTACGCAGCTATCACCAGAACTGTAAGTTCCCCTCCACTGAGTTTCTTTCAATCATTATTTTTTTATTTCTAAAATAATTTAATTGCTTATTTTACAAACCAACCAGTCTTGCTTTATTCTCTCATTTCTTATTCTTGGTCTTTATTTACTTTTCTATTTCATTAAATATATTTATTTTATGTTCTATATTCAATAATTCCAATACCTAAAGTTTCTCTGGGTCTGATTCAGTTGTTTCTGTTGATGCTGGTTCACAGAACCGTGTTTCTTTTGTGATTTTTTTTTTGGTTTTTTGGTTACTATTATAAGCTCACATATGTTGGTAATCTATCTTTAAGAATTCTTTGAAGCCAGGGTTGAGGTATATTCCACCAGGGATGATCTGAGTTTGCATCTCTCAGGTGCCTGGAAGCTCTATCAACTTGGATCTACTTTTTAAAAAAAATTCAATGTGTATATATATATATTTAACTTTTTAAGCAGAAAATACATTTTCTTAGTTCAAAAAACTCCAAACTAGTCCCCTTCCCCTTCCTCTTAGTTAGGCCTAACACTTCAACTAGCACGGTATGTAGTAAAGAATTTAACCTTGCCCAAAGAGAGGTCTGGCATTTGCCCTTAGCTCTTAGGAAGTAATGTTAAACTCTTTGAATATCCTCTTGATAATGATTTACTAGGGGACTTAAGCCATGACAGATAAGTCTACCAATATGATTTATGGTAGGGACTTTAGGTTACATACTATCAACTCAACCTCAGGAAGGGCTGGAGACTGAGGTCAGCCACTTGGCCAATTATATCTATGTGATGGAGCCCCAGTAAAAATTCACGACATCAAGGCTTACGTAGCCTCCTTGGTTGGCAATACTCCATGTGTATTACCACACACCACTGACAGGAGGAGTTACACTATCCATGACTCCACTGGGAAAGGAAAACTGGAAGCTCAGCATCTGAAACCCTCCTGGACTTTGCCCATATATCTCTTCTCTTGGGTGATTTTAGTCTGTCTCCCTTCACTGTAAGTATAATAGCTTTAGTGAGTTCTGTGAGTCGTTCTAGTAAACTATTGAACCCGAGGGTGATCTTGCGGACCCCCCCAAACTCTGCAGTTCCAAAAGTGGGGGGTGGATTTGGGGGCTGTTCTCTAACTTTGCACACAGTCAGCAGGGCGAGGGCTGAGAATTTGTCTGTCATGGCTACGGTGGGACTAAGAAGGCAACACAAGTGATCTGGAGACTAATTTACATCTCCTAATTCTAATATAGAAGGATTAGGCAAATAAGTAACCTCAGATAGTTTTCCTCCTAGCCTTTACTCAAGAACTTTCTTGTCACCTACCCCCACTCTCCCATTTCCCACTTCCAACCCCTACCCCAGCATCTTAACACCATCAAATGATCTCAAGTGTCAGGAAAATCACATGTAGCTCCACCTCTTAAAAGGTGAAGGACCCTAGTTCTGAATTAAGATCTCTGGGGCAAACATAACTCTTGTGAAAAGTGTCATAGGAATTTGGAAAATGAGGTTAACAGCTCTGCAGATGATATGTGATTCTGGTTCTGAAAGTCACCTAAAAGACTTTCATTGTAAACTGATGCGAACTCAATTTTATTAAGGGTGTAAAACTACATCATCAGGCCATCAGGGACAGACTTTAGCTCAAGTAAGCCACCGTTCTAGCATGCCAGTAATAAATAAGCACTAACTTTGTTATGCAGCGAAAACTTGGATGGCTATTTCAGAAATCTAGCATGTCTTTTTTTGTACATTCAATTTGTAGTTTGTGTCATTTTAGTCTCCAAAATGTAATTTCAAGTAAGACTATAAATACTTAGAATTTTTACCATTCGAAAAGGCACAAAACAGAAAATCCCCAACACCTAAGATCCCTCTTTCCTACACTATTACCCTATCATCCAACAAGTCTGCCCCATGGTAAGATGGATGAGGGCAGTAGGAACAGTTCGTAAGATTTCACGGGAAACAAGATCCTTGCTGTTGCCCTTACTATTGAAATCTGGAATTTAAAAATATATATATGAAATTTAAAAGCAACAGAAATTCAAAGTAATAAAAGAAAAAGAAGTCAATTCATTTCTTAGTTTCTCCTAAGATAACTCTTTGAGTGCAGGGACTATGCTTTAAATTATAAGCACCTTCAAAACAGAAGGTTAAATAAATACAAAATAGCACATATAAATTAATAAGAATTTGATAGCCTAAATCATAGAAAGTTTCCTAAAAAATGTTAATTTTCAACTGGCTTTTTCAAGGAGTAATAGCAAAGAGAGGGTGCTATGGTTTGGCTCTGTGTCCCCACCCAAATCTCATCTTGAATTATAATCCCCACATGTGTGAGGGAGGGAGGCTTATTGGATCACGGGGGCGGTTCCCCCCGCTGTTCTCATGCTAGTGAGTGAGTTCTCACAAGATCTGATGGTTTTAATACATAAGCGTCTGGAATTTCCCCTGCTTGCACTCGCGAAGACATACATGCCTGCTTCCCTTTCCACCATGACAGTAAGTTTCCTGAGGCCTCCCCAGGCACGCGGAACTTCCTGTGAGCCAATTAAACCTTACTGGGCACAGTGGCTCATGCCTCTAATCACAGCACTTTGGGAGGCCCGGGGGGGGGGGGCGGGGTGGATCACCTGAGGTCGGGAGTTCAAGACCAGCCTGACCAACATGGAAAAACCCCATCTCTACTAAAAATACAAAATTAGCCAGGCATGGTGGTGCATGCCTGTAATCCCAGCTACTCGGGAGGCTGAGGCAGGAGAATTGCTTGAACCCGGGAGGTGGAGGTTGCGGTGAGCCAAGATCGCGCCATTGCACTCCAGCCTGGGCAACAAGAGCGAAACTCCATCTCAAAAGAAAAATAAAATAAAATAAACCTCTTTCTTTGATAAATTACCCAGTCTCAGGTAGTATGTTTATAGCAGTGTGAAAATGGACTAATACAGAGGGCAAGATAACTAAGAAGGGAGAAAAAGCACAAGGGAAAAATAGTAAATTTAGTCTAGTTTGACTTAGTTGACACAGTCCAAAGAAACAAGCTAATGTCAGGACAGCAGTCAGTGAGCAAAGATGATATAAGCTGCTGAGAAATATGGGATTTATGCAACCGAGAGCCACTGTTACAGGGGAATGAATGGAATGATAATAAAAGAAATCACTGAGCAGTGATATGCCAGTTTCTGGGCCAGTAGAACTGATTAGAAGCAGCAACAGAAGACCAAAATTTGTTCTGGTTCAAAATATAAAAATATTTCATCATTACTCCAAGAATGGGAACCAAATATATACCATTACTTTTTTTTTTTTTTTTTTTTTTTTTTTTTTAAGATACACACACAAACTCAGAGACACCCAACAAACTAGGGCAGGCAAACAAAGTTTTACCCTCTTCAGTGCCTAAATGATTAACAGCTACCCTTTTTCTGCCTACAGTAACATAAAAGGGTTAACTGTTTAAAGAAGTAAAGAACACAGGAGTAGCTGTGTATTCATATATCAAAAAGAAAAAAGCAGTGATATCAAGGGAGAGAAAAATATTTTCATGAAAGACAGGATGCAGAAAAAAATAGAACGAAAACAAAAAAGAAACATCAGTTCTGATGTCCTGCAAAACAGAAAAGGTAAGAAATATCATTCAAGATAACTGCCTTGTGCTTAGGTTTTGTCATTCTTCTTCCAAGCCTATAGTCTGTAGTAAGATAAGAAGACAGGCAATGAGAAGAAATACTCCCAAACAAAACAAGCCAATCCCCCACAACCCAAACCCCCAAAACAGAGAATTTCAAGATATCTCCAAATATCCAGGTCATATTTATAACTAAAATGAATCTTGATTTAACATTGTGCTTCTCATAGGGATTTCTCTTTCACCTTTCCTAAATGAGTAACATCAATGCAACAACTATAAAAACAAAAAGTAAATATCATCAGAAAAGCCAGTATAACATAATATCTTTGAGCATAGTCTAAGGGAAGGATATGGCATAGCTTCTCTCTGTCCCACTGCTGCTGAAACAAAATAACAGTAATCCAAAAGTCCGAATGATTTTACAACATATCATAGATTGTCCTTTTTTGTTGTTGTTGTTTAATTTTGAGACGGAGTTTCGCTCTTGTTGCCCAGGCTGGAGTGCAATGGTGCGGTCTCGGCTCACTATAACCTCCGCCTCCCGGGTTCAAGCGATTCTCCTGCCTCAGCCTCCCAAGTAGGTGGGATTGCAGGCATGCACCAACACACCGGGCTAATTTTTTATTTTTAGTAGAGATGAGGTTTCTCCACATTGGTCAGGCTGGTCTTGAACTCCTGACCTCAGGTGATCCACCCACCTTGGACTCTCAAAGTGCTGGGATTACAGGTGTGAGCCACTGCACCCAGCCAACTGTGGCCTGTTCTTATATTATCTCAAAGCCTTCCCAGGATGGACCAGTGGGATTTAACATGAACCAGGTATGTCATCCAAGTTGAAGACAGACACGTGGGTCCTAATGAGCAGTGGTGAAAAAACATAGTGCTCCATTCAGCTCCCAACAATGATAAATAATTCAGGAAAAGAACTGCCGCAATACAGAGCACAGCAGCAGGATTTAAAAATAGACCACAGGCTAGAAAGCCTTGGGGCGGGGGTGTGGGGGGAATCAGGAGTCACAGAGAAAATGGATTTCTGTCAACAAATTCCCAAGCTCTTTGCAATAAAGGGTGCTGCTGAAATTGGCACGCAAACCAAATGCCAAACTCTAATGTACTTCCTCAAAAATCAAATATTTTTCAGGAATTTGGCAAATCTGATAACAAGAGAGCTAATAAACAATGGTACTATTTGGAAAGAGCAGTTATGATAGAGAAAGCAAATCTAAATGACATAGGAAGATATGTTTTTTAAAAAATAAGGGATTAAAACTCGATTTTCCACACCACCAAATTCTAGGTCTAACATCAATTTAGACTTCTACTAATTATGCCTCTAGTACTGAGATAGCACTCAATATTTTGCTATTCCTTTTTCCACCTCTAATAGATCCTACAAGTCAACACATGCAAACACAAGAGTCACACCAATCAATAAAAAGGGTAGCTTGAAAACTGAACAAAATCCATGATTATGGTCTTCCCAGATTTAAATTAAACTCCAACTCTGGCCAAGCATGGGGGCTTGTGCCTGTAATCCCAGCCCTTT
The DNA here is from genome assembly GCF_000001405.40 of Homo sapiens. Classification (NCBI taxonomy): domain Eukaryota; kingdom Metazoa; phylum Chordata; class Mammalia; order Primates; family Hominidae; genus Homo; species Homo sapiens. The sequence continues at coordinate 57,372,964 of NC_000012.12, forward strand.
GGCAGGAGGCCAAAGTGGGAGGATCGCTTGAGGCCAGGAGATTGATACTAGCCTGGGCAATGTAGTGAGACCCCCATCTCTACAAAAAATTAGCTGGACATGGTGGCACGTGCCTGTAGTCCTAGCTACTTGGGAGGATGAGGTGAGAGAATCACTTGAGCCAAGGAGTTTGAGGCTGCAGTAAGCTATGACTGTGCTGCTGCACTTCAACCTGGATGACAAAGCAAGACTCTGTCTCTAAAAACAGTAATAACAAGCCGGGCGCGGTGGCTCACGCCTGTAATCTCAGCACTTTGGGAGGCCAATGCAGGTGGATCACGAGGTCAGGAGATTGAGATCTTCCTGGCTAGCATGGTGAAACCCCGTCTCTACTAAAAATACAAAAAATTAGCCGGGCGTGGTGGCGGGCGCCTGTAGTACCAGCTACTAAGGAGGCTGAGGCAGGAGAATGGCATGACCCCAGAGGCGGAGCTTGCAGTGAGCCAAGATCGCGCCACTGCACTCCAGCCTGGGTGACAGAGCAAGACTCCGTCTCACAAAAAAAAATGTAATAATAATAATAGAGGCTGGGCACAGTGGCTCACACCTGTAATCCCAGCACTTTGGGAGGCCGAGGTGGGCAGATCACCTGAGGTCGGGAGTTTGAGACCAGCCTGAACAACATGGAGACATCCTGTCTCTACTAAAAATACAAACTTAGCGGGGGGTGGTGGCGCATGCCTATTTGTAATCCCAGCTACTTGGAAGGCTAAGGCAAAAGAATCACTTGAACCCAGGAGGCAGAGGTTGGGGTGAGCTGAGATCGCACCATTGCACTCCAGTCTGGGCAACAAGAGCAAAACTCCTTCTCAAAAATAAATAAATAAATAAATAATAATAATAATAAGGGCGTGGTGGCTCATGCCTGCAATCCTAGCACTTTGGGAGGCCGAGGTGGGCAGATCATCTGAGGTCAGGACTTCAGGACCAGCCTGGCCAACATGGTGAAACCCCGCCTCTACTAAAAACACAAAAATCAGCTGGGGGTGGTGACGGGCACCTGTAATCCCAGCTACTCGGGAGGCTAAGGTAGGAGAATTGCTTGAACCCAGGAGACAGAGGTTGCAGTGAGATGAGATCGCACCACTGCACTCCAGCCTGGGTGCCAGAGCAAGACTCTGTCTCAAAACAAAACAAAAAAATATGGTCCCTGCCCACTCTTAACAATGAAAATACGATGTAATAATGAGCTGCAGTCCCAGCTACTCAGAAGGCTGAGGTGGGAGAATCACCTGAGGCTGGGGAGGTCGAGATTACAGGGACCCGTGATCGTGCCACTGTACTCCAGCCTGGGCAATGGGAGTGAGACCATCTCAAAAAAAAGTATGAAGTCTGATGAATAGTGTGTGGCTGGACAGTCAATCATAAAACTGTTATCTTGAGAATGACAAGAATGACCAGACCAGGCCGGGCGTGGTGGCTCACGTCTGTAATCCCAGCACTTTGGGAGGTCAAGGCAGCCTGAGGTCAGGAGTTCGAGACCAGCCTGGCCAACATGGTAAAACCCTGTCTCTACTAAAAATACAAAAAATTAGCCAGGCATGGTGGCAGGTATCTGTAATCCCAGCTACTTGGGAGGCTGAGGCAGGAGAATTACTTGAACCCAGGAGGCGGAGGTTGCAGTGAGCCAAGATCACGCCATTGCACCCCAGCCTGGGCAAAAAGAGAGAAATTCTATCTTAAAAAAAAAAAAAAAAAAAAAAAAAAAAGGCCGGGCGCGGTGGCTCACGCCTGTAATACTAGCACTTTGAGAGGCTGAGGCAGGCAGATCACGAGGTCAGGAGATCAAGATCATCCTGGCTAACACGGTGAAACCCCGTCTCTACTAAAAATACAAAAAAAAAATAGTCGGGCGTGGTGGCGGGCGCCTGTAGTCCCAGCTACTCTGGAGGCTGAGGCAGGAGAATGGCGTGAACCCGGGAGGCGGAGCTTGCAGTGAGCCGAGATCATGCCACTGCACTCCAGCCTGGGTGACAGAGCAAGACTCCATCTCAAAAAAAAAATAAATAAATAAATAAATAAAATTGAAGTGACATTCACATAAAATTAACCATTTAAAAAAAAAAATGACCAGACCAGACATATTCCACAAACTCAACAATTTATGTGACGAAGAAATAATATTCTGCATCCAAAACTGCATTTCTCTGCAGCCATCAAAATATACACCTCTCAAAAATTAAAAATAAATAAAAATATACACCTCTCTTCATAAGTCTGAGATTAATTTCAGACAACTGGAAATTTTAGGACAATATAAGACAATTTTTATGTCTAATCTCCCTATAAAAGTATAATATAGAATATAAAACCATAATCTGATCCTTTTATACATTACTTTATCCTAAGTAAGCAAACAAATGGTATCGAAAAAAATTCTTGTTCAGTATAAACTGCAAACCAACATATAATCAGATGAATATCAGATGAATATGCTCCTGCCTCACCTATTTTTAGAGGAAAAAAATGGCTATATCTCTTCATAACTGTGCCATTCAACTTACACTGTGCAAAGACCAGAACAGAATGCACTTGGAAGAAGCAGCGTTTTTTCAATTCTTAAATTCTCTAGACTCTATGAGTAAATACTAAACTGTATTTTCAAAGGAGAAACAGGCTGGTTCTTTCAAAATATGGTCCATTTAAAGTACTTATCCAGGTCAGATCAGCTGCTTTTTTTTTTTTTTTTGAGACGGAGTCTTGCTCTGTCGCCAGGCTGGAGTGCAGCGGTGCAATCTCGGCTCACTACAACCTCTGACTCCCTGGTTCAAGCAATTCTCCCGCCTCAGCCTCCCGAGTAGCTGGGATTACAGGCCCACACCACCATGTGCAGCTAATATTTTGTATTTTTAGTAGAGACAGGGTTTCACTATGTTAGCCAGGATGGTCTCGATCTCCTGACCTCGTGATCCACCCACCTCGGCCTCCCAAAGTGCTGGGATTACAGGCGTGAGCCACCATGCCCAGCCAGATCAGCTGCTTTCTAACCCCTCTCCATCAACCAGAGTAAGCCATCATCTCATTCTGTAAACCCAGGCTTTCTTACTATTAACAACAGACAGCATGGTCAAAGGGGCCCAGTTTTGAGTTCTGGCACTCTTGGTCTTGGACCTATTCTGGGTCCTTCATTGAAGATAGAACCACTATGACCCTCCTCTGACTTGCCCATGCCCTCAGGGCAAGATGTCCATGGGACCAGAGGACATACCTACCTGAAGAGCCTTACTCGACTACTCTCAGCTATGCTCCAGATCCCAGGTTTTCCTGCCTAAGCAGCCCCAAACCCCAATCAGGGCCTTCAGTGGATTTCTTCTCATCTCAAACTTTGTCCTTCCATGGACAATAACCTTCTGTTATACACGTTCCATTGCCTGAATGGTGGGCAAGGGACAAACAACGGGAAGGGTACAGATGGAGACTAGGCTTGTAGGATATCCCTGAACCATCCTATTCTGTCTCAAAAAATAATTTCCCCTCAAAGTTCTAACAGTTTTTTAATTTTGATTTACTGGGTGAGGTGGCACATGCCTGTGGTCCCAGCTACTCAGGAAGATGAGGCAGGAGGTTCACTTGAAGCCAGAAGTTCAAGGCTGTAGTGAAATAAAATTATTAAGTTCCTTTTTTAAAAATCTTGATTTATAACTACTAAATATTTAGAAATATGGGGACGGGGGCAGTGGCTCACACCTATACTCCCAACACTTTGGGAGGCTGAGGCAGGCGGATCACCTGAGGTCAGGAGTTTGACACCAGCCTGGCCAACATGACGAAGTCCCATCTCTACTAAAAAATACAAAAATTAGCCAGGTGTGGTGGCAAGTGCCTGTAATCCCAGCTACTTGGGAGGCTGAGACAGAAGAATCACTTGAACTCAGGAGGCGGCGGTTGCAATGAGCCGAGATGACACCACTGCACTCTAGCCTGGGCAAAAGAATGAGACTCAGTAAAAAAAATAAAAAATAAAAAAAAATTTTAAAAAAGGGGCAACCCACTTGGGTCCCCTTCCATGCTGTGGAAGCTTTGTTTTTTCGCTCTTTGCAATAAATCTTGCTGCTGCTCACTCCTTGGGTCCACGCTAAATAAATAAATAAATAAATAAATAAAAGAGACTTGGTCTCAGAAAAAAAAAAAAAATTAAAAATATGGAATGTGGGCTTCCATTCATGCTGTTGCCCAGGGACTGAAGTTGTTAGTAAAACCATGCCCCAAAAACTTAAACCAGTAACTAACAGAAAGTCTTGAGTTTGCAAGATAGCAGATAAGAAACAACTTTCTGAAACACTGAAACTCCTTCTGCTTGTAAGATAACAAAACTGGCTGAAATCAGTTGCAACCAATATAGCCAACTAGAGTTCACTCTGAAGGAGCGTCATCACAGCCTGAATTGCCACCACATGCTTCATATTAACTCCTCCCAAATTTGAACATGGGACCCATGAGGAGTCATGAAGAGATAACTGGGTACTGCCAAGGACTTTCTAGACCTCCCCTTTCCTTCCACCAATCACCTAGTAATCCCAGAATCTACCCGCTAAACCTGTTCTAATAAAATTACTGCACCAGGAGACAGATTTGAGCTTGACTCCTGTGAGTCAACTGGCAATATAAGCTTTTCTTTTCTCAAAAACTCAGTGTCATAGTATTGGCTTGTAGTGCATTGGGCAGCAAGCCCCTTTTGCTTGATAACATTAGGACCATGCCTACCTAGCCCTATCACATACCAGGCTTTGTGATCCTAGATAAGTAATCACCTCTCTAAGCCTCTCTTTATCTCAATGTAAAATAAGCAAGTTGAAACCTTTCGGCCAGGGGCAGTGGCTCACACCTGTAATCTCAGAAGTTTGGGAGGCCGAGGTGGGCGGATTGCTTGAGGTCAGGAGTTTGAGACCAGCCTGACCAACGTGGTAAAACCCCATCTCTACTAAAAATACAAAAATTAGCCAGGTGTGGTGGTGCATGCCTGTAATCCCAGCTACGCGGGAGGCTGAAGGGAGGCTGAAGCAAGAGAATCTCTTGAACCCAGGAGGCGGAGGTTAAAGTGAGCTGAGATCATGCCACTGCACTCCAGCCTGGGTAACAGAGCAAGACACTGTCTCAACAAAAAACAAACAAACAAAAAACACCTTTCATAGGATACTGTGATTATATAATTTTCAAAGTAATTTTGCAGGGTGTCTGGCCCACAGCAAATCTGTAACAAAATGAAACTATTATTACATGCTATGTCATCACTCTGTTTCCTATCATGGGCAAAAAGGGGACATGAAAGGGCAAAAAAGTAGAGCCAATTTCAGATAAACTATAATCAAGAGAGCTGTTTGTGGGTCTCATTTTAAGGATTTGCTTTCATGGATTCCATCTTGGTCTGTCTGGTGGTATTATTTTTCTTTTTTTTGAAACAGGGTCTTGCTCTGTTGTCCAGGCTGGTGTGCAGTGGTGCACTCAAGATTCACTGCAGCCTTAACCCCAGGCTCAAGTGATCCTCCCACCTCAGCCTCCCTAGTAGCTGAGACTACAGGCATATGCCACCACGACTGGCTAATTTTTTGTGTATTTTGTAGAGACAGCGTTTTGCCATGTTGCCCAGGCTGGTCTCAAACTCCTGGACTCAAGACATCCTTCTGCTTTGGCCTCCCAAAGTGCTGCAATTACAGGTCACTGCACCCAGCCTATTTTTCATTCTTCTCACTAAAGTCTAAGTTCTGATTCAGCAATTCTACTTCTGGGTATATATTCAAAAGAATTGAAAATAGGGTCTCAAACAGATATTTGTACATCCATGTTCATAGCAGCACTATTCATAATAGCTACATGGTAGAAGCAAGTGTTTATCAACAAATGAATGGATTTGTTCCAAATGTGGTATATACATGCAACAGAATAATATTCAGCCTTAAAAAGGAAATTCTGACATATGCTGCAACATGGATAACCTTGACGACACGCTAAAGCCAGTCACAAAACGACAAATTCTGTATAATTCCACTTATATGAGGTAGTTAGAATATTCAAAATCATAGAAGACGGAAAGTAGAATGGTACTTGCCAGGGCTGGGGGAAAGGGGGAGAGGAGAATGGGGAATTATTGTTTTATGAGTACAAAATTTCTCAGTTTTACAAAATGAAAATAATTATGGAGAAGGATTGGTGGTGATGGCTGCATGACATCATAAATGTATTTAATACCACTGAACTGTTAAGAGGGTTAATTCTGTTAAAATGGTAAATTTTATGTTATGGTTAAGATGGCAAATTCTGTTATGTGGATTTTAACACAATAAAAAATTGGAAAATGAGGCCAGATGCGGTAGCTCATGCCTGTAATCCCAGCACTTTGGGAGGCCGAGGCAGGCAGATCACCTGAGTTCAGAAGTTTGAGACCAGTCTGACCAACATGGAGAAACCCTGTCTCTACTAAAAATACAAAATAAGCCTGGCGTGGTGACGCATGCCTGTAATCCCAGCTACTCGGGAGGCTGAGGCAGGAGAACAGCTTGAACCTGGGAGGAGGAGGTTGTGGTGAGCTGAGATTGCACCATTGCACTCCAGCCTGGGCAACAAGAGCGAAAATCCGTCTCAAAAAAAAAATAGAAAATGAAAAAAACGATAAGCTCAATAAGGGAAGGGATTTTTTTCTGTTTCTTCACTGCTATATCCCTTACTCTCAGATAGCTCTGACACAATGATTAAGTATTTGTTAAATAAGCTATTGGCCACAAAAAGCAAATATGAAGTGGTTATCTAATATTCCAACATCAAAATATAAGCCTATATATGTAATATATACAATATAATATGTAAGCCAGCTTGGCCTGACCAGAAAATAAATTATATATATATGGCTACTTCACTTAGTGCTTCCTCTAACTTCAGGACAGTTTCCTTAAAAATGAAATTAATGAATATTAGAATATATATTTAATATAAAGGTATTTCTGATCTCTTCAACTTATCTTCCTTACCTGTCTACATAGGCATACTAAAAATACTCAGTAACTCCATACATAATCTCACCAGAGAGAATTACTAGCATAATTCAATTAACTAAGTTGTACTGAAGCTCTAGTTTTAAGCTCCAAATGTAATAGGATGTAACAGAAAGAAGTCCAAAAAAGCAGGTAGGAAAACGAAACCTTTCTTCCTGTTTCTCTTGAGTCTTGAATAATTCAATCCTATTAACTCCTAAAAACTCAAAGCCAAGTCTATGAACTATATCCTATACACCATGACACTCTCAAAAACATATTGTTTTTCAAATTTCCTTAATCAATCCATTTTTATCTTTCTGATGAAAGTTCATTTCCCAACTAAAGGTTAAAATATTATAGAAGTAAGTGATTCAGAATCAAATCTATTCTGAAACAGATTTAAATGACACTAATATTACACAAAAGACCCTTGCAGGTAGACAGAATGATGGCTGGGAAAAGAGAATACAGCAACACATCCTGCAAAGCCTAACTGCAAATTAAAGTGTGGCAACAAGGGGAAGGTTGCAGATGTTCTTTCTGTGTTACACAAGTCCCCATACTAGCCTGGGTACTTATTCAAAGACACAATAAGATTGCATCCTCCATACTGGTCTGATTCCGAAACTTGTCTACAACAAAAGACATCATCTTAAAACTCTTGGTGACCTCAAAATGCTATGAACAAAATACAAATATGATATTCTTGGGCACTGACAAAACAAACTTCTAATACCCCTGAATTCCACTTAGATGGATTAACACAAATCTTCTCTGAACAAAATTCAAAGCTTTCTTAAAAAAAAAGACACAAAAGCCAAAAAGCTACAACATATCAAGACCGAAACTACAATGCTATAAATATCCTGAAATGCCTCAAGGTGTGTAATTACTGAAGCTAATTAGTATTCTCAAAATTAAACATCCACTGCAATGCTCAAGGAATTGGAGAGGTGGGCAGAAAGAAAGAATGGGCAGGCCGGGCACGGTGGCCCACACCTGTAATCCCAGCACTTTCGGAGGCAGAGACGGAAGGATCACCTGAGGTCAGGCATTCGAGACCAGCCTGGCTAACATGGTGAAACCCCGTTTCTACTAAAAATGCAAAACAATAGTCGAGCGTGGTGGTGCACACCTGTAATCCCTGCTACTTGGGAGGCGGAGACAGGAGAATCACTTGAACCCGGGAGGCAGAGGTTGCAGTGAGCTGATATCACGCCATTGCACTCCAACTTGGGCAACAAAAGCGAAACTCCGTCTCAAAAAAATTAACATAAAAATAAGAATGAATGGGCAAATGAGGCCGGGCACGGTGGCTCACGCCTGTAATGCCAGCACTTTGGGAGGCCAAAGTGGGTGGATCACAAGGTCAGGAGTTTAAGACCAGCCTGGCCAACATGGCGAAACCCTGTTTCTACAAAAAATACAGAAATTAGCTGGGCATCTGTAGTGTAATCCCAGCTACTCGGGAGGTTGAGGCAGGAGAATCTCTTGAATCCAGGAGGCGGAAGTTGCAGTGAGCCGAGATCGTACCACTGCACTCCAGCCTGGGCGACAGAACAAGACTCCATCTCAAAAAAAAAAAAAAAAAAAGAATGGGCAAATGAATCCCATCAAAAAGATAAAATTCAGATGTATCTCTAATAAAGAAAAGAAAATAGGATTCTAGAATTAAACAATATAACTTACTGAGAGAAGGAAAATGGTATCGACTTCATAAATCACAACTAAAATGTGACATGTTTATTGATGTTATTCACAGGAAAGTGAGAATTAGGTGGGCAGGCTGAGAATTGCAATTTTATATATACATACATATAGAGAGAGGGGATAGAGATAGAGAGAGAGAGAGACAGAGACATAAACACACAGGGTCTCGCTCTGAGGCCCAGGCTGGAGTGTAGTGGTATAATCATGACTCACTGCAGCCTCAACCTCTCAGACTCAAGCAATCCTCCTATCAGCCTCCTGAGTAGCTGAAACTATACACATGCACCACCATGCCTGGCTAATTTTTTTTTTTCACTTTTGTAGAGATGGGGGTCTCCCTATGTTGCCCAGGCTGGTCTCTAACTCCTGGATTCAAGTGATCCTCCCAACTCAACCTCCCAAAGTGCTGGGACTACAGGTATGAGCCACTGCACCCAGACTTTTTTTTTCTTTTTGGAGGCAGGGTCTCTATTGTTCAGGCTAGAGTGCAATGACACAATCGTGGCTCACTGCATCCTCAACCTCCTAGGCTCAAGAGATCCTCCTACCTCAGTCTCCCAAATACCTGGGACTATAAGCACACACCAACACATCTGGCTAATTTGGTTTTTTTTTTTTGTAAAGTTTCACTATGTTGTCCAGGCTGGTCTCAGACTCCTGGCCTCAAGCAATTCTCCTGCCTCAGCCTCCTGAGCACCTGGAATTATAGGCATGCACCAACATGCCCAGCTAATTTTTGTATTTTTAGTATAGACAGGGTTTCACCATGTTGGCCAGGCTGGTCTGAAACTCCTGACCTCAAGTAATCTGCCTGCCTCAGCCTCTCAAAGTGCTGGGATGAAAGGCGTGAGCCCAGCCTACAAAAAAAAAAAAAAAAAAAAAGGGCTGGCTCACACCTGTAATCCCAGCACTTTGGGAGGCCGAGGAGGGCCGATCACCAGGTCAGGAGATAGAGACCATCCTGGCTAACACAGTGAAACCCTGTCTCTACTAAAAATACAAAAAATTAGCCAGGCGTGGTGGCAGGCACCTGCAGTCCCAGCTACTTGGGAGGCTGAGGCAGGAGAATGGCTTGAACCCAGGAGGCGGAGCTTGCAGTGAGCTGAGATCATGCCACTGCACTCCAGCCTGGGCGACAGAGAGAGACTCCATCTCAAAAATAAATAACTAAATAAAAAATAAAATAATTTTTATTTATTTATTTATTGAGACGGAGTCTCGCTCTTGTTGCCCAGTCTGGAGTGCAATGGCGCAATCTCGCCTGACTGCAACCTCTCACTGCAACCTCTGCCTCCCGGGTTCAAGCAATTCTCATGCCTCAGCCTCCTGAATAGCTGGGTTTACAGGCATGCACCACCAGGCCCGGCTAATTTTTGTATTTTTAGTAAAGTCTTGAACTCCTGACCTCAGGTGATCCACCGGCCTTGGCCTCCCAAAGTTCTGGGATTATAGGCGTGAGCCACAGCGCCCAGCCAAAAAAAATTTTTTTATTAGCCGAATGTGGTGGTGCATGCCTGTAGTCCCAGCTACTTGGGAGGCTGAGGTGAGAGGATCGCTTGAGCCAAGGAGGTCAAGGCTGCAGTGAGCTGTGGTCACGCCGTTGCACTCCAACCTGGAGTGAGACCCTGTCTCTAAATAAATAAATAAAGGTTAGCTATTATTTTGTGTTATTATTAAGTCTTCTTTAATACATTGGGATCACAATTTGTAAAATCTGGAAGAATTAATAATAATGTGATCGGCAGGGCGCTGTGGCTAATGCCTGTAATCCCAGCACTTTGGAAGGCCGAGGTGGGTGGATCACCTGAGGTCAGGAGTTCAAGACCAGCCTGGCCAACATGGTGAAACCCCATCTCTACAAAAATACAAAAAAAAAAATTAGCTGGACATGATGGTGGGTGCCTGTAATCCCAGCTGCTCGGGAGGCTGAGGCAGGAGAAACGCTTGAACCCAGGAGGTGGAGGTTGCGGTGAGCCGAGATCATGCACTCCAGCCTGGGTAACAGAGCGAGACTCCGTCTCAAAAACAAACAAACAAAATAATAATAATAATAATATCTGTTATACAGCTCCTCCTAAACTGAGGGTCCTGCTTGCTTAGAATGAACAGAATAAGAAGGTCCAGAGGGATATCAGATTTTAAGGACCTCAATATGCACATTTGTTCTGGGAGTAAATATTAGATACAATCTAATATTCCTGTTCCAAAAAAATAAAATTCCCTGACAAACAAGTAAAAACTGTATTATGTTAAGGGCTAGCTCAAGCTGCTCACAAGGTAAGCCATGCAGGGAGCAGGTATCTAGATCAGACCATTGGAAAGGCTTCAGAAGGAGGGAATACTTAAGCCTGATCCTCTAGGATAAGTAATATTTAGCCAAATAGAAAAGTATGGAAACAGGCCGGGCGCAGTGGCTCAAGCCTGTAATCCCAGCACTTCGGGAGGTCGAGGCGGGTGGATCACGAGGTCAGGAGATCAAGACCACGGTGAAACCGTCTCTACTAAAAATACAACAACAAAAAAATTAGCCGGGCACGGTGGTGGGCGCCTGTAGTCCCAGCTACTCGGGAGGCTGAGGCAGGAGAATGGCGTGAACCCGGGAGGCAGAGCTTGCAGTGAGCCGAGATCACGCCACTGCACTCCAGCCTGGGTGACAGAGCAAGACTCTGTCTCAAAAAAAAAAAAAGAAAAGAAAAGTAGGGAAACAAGCCTATGTTCCTTGAGATTATTTTAGAGGTTTAACAAGAGATCAATCATCTCTCTCAGTTTCCTCATCTATAAAACAGAATAATAAGAGTACTTCTTTTGGAAGGCTGTATAAAAAAAATAACATATGTAAAGTACATAGAAAAGTGCAAACTCAACACTGTTAATACAGATGTACAGGTCACCATGATTTTTTCTCAGAGCTGCAAGTATTGCATAAAGAAAGCTATAACATAAAGGTATCCATGGAGAAATGAATGGCTTGAGAAGAATCTAGAGAGGTTAGTAGAAACAGGATTATAAAAAGTCTTACATACTAATAAAGCTGTAAGAAACTCATAAAGGACTTTTGGAAAGGAGTTACATCATCAGATTTCTATTTTAGAAAGATTACTTTTTCTACAATGTGAATGGCTTAGAAAAAAAAGAATAGAGGCAAAAACACTAGATAGAAAAAAATGTGAAAAGTACTCTGGCCCAGGCCAGGCGTGGTCGCTCACACGTGTAATGCCAGCACTTTGGGAGGCCGAGGCGGGTGGATCACGAGGTCAGGAGTTCAAGACCAGCCTGGCCAAAACGGTGAAACCCCATCTCTACTAAAAATACTAAAATTAGCTGGACGTTGTGGCAGGTGCCTGTAATCCCAGCTACTCAGGAGGCTGAGGCAGAGAACTGCTTGAACCCAGGAGGTGGAGGTTGCAGTGAGCAGATATCACAAGATCGAGCCACTGCACTCCAGCCTGGGCAACAGAGTGAGACTCCATCTCAAACAAACAAACAAATAAGAAGAAAAGTACTCTGGCTGTAGAATGAGGGGACTCTGACTTAAGATACATTGAGGAGATAAAAACTTAAAGACTTTTTTTTTTTTTTTGAGACGGAGTCTCACTCTGTCGCCCAGGCTGGAGTGCAATGGCGCAATCTGGCTCACTGCAAGCTCTACCTCCTGGGTTCACGCCATTCTCCTGTCTCAGCCTCCCAAGTAGCTGGGACTTACAGGCGCCTGCCACCACGCCCAGCTAATTTTTTGTATTTTTAGTAGAGAGGGGGTTTCACCGTGTTAGCCAGAATGGTCTCGATCTCCTGACCTCGCGATCCGCCCACCTCAGCCTCCCAAAGTGCTGGGATTACAGGCATGAGCCACCATGCCTGGCCTAACTTTAAGACTTTTATCTGGGGGTGGTGGCACACACCTGTGGTCCCAGCTAGTCGGGAGGCTGAGATGGGAAGATCACTTGATCCTGAGAGGTCGAGGCTGCAGTGAGCCCTGCACTCCAGCCTGGGCAACACAGCAGGACCCCGTCTTCAAAAAAAAAAAAAGACTTAGTAACATATGAGATGTGTGTAATGACTGGGAGAGAAGACATCTAAGAAGACACCTGGGGGACTAGACAGAAGAGCAGCTCTCAAAGTGTGGCCTGGAACCCCTGGGAATCCCCAAGACTTTCATGGAAACTACATGGTCAAAACCATTTTCAGAGTAGTAGTAAAACCCTGTTTGTCTTTTTCACTGTCATGCTCTCATGGGTGTATGGTAGCATTTTCCAGAAGATATATGAAATGGAATATTGTAACTAATTTGAATGAAAATGCAGTTATGAGAATCCAGCTGTCTTCTATTAGTACCATCATTAAAAATAATTACAAAAATAAAAAAAATGCCACATTTCTCACCACATTTTGTTGCTGCTGTTTTGTAAAAAGTTATTTTTCATACAAATTTATGTTAACATGCAATAGGTTTGAGAGGTGACAGCGTGCTGGCAGCGCTCGCAGCCCTCCCTCGCTCTGGGGGCCTCCTCTGCCTGGGCTCCCACTTTGGCGGCACTTGAGGAGCCCTTCAGCCCACCGCTGCACTGTGGGAGCTCCTTCCTGGGCTCGCCGAGGCGGGAGCCGGCTCCCTCAGCTTGCGGGGAGGTGTGGACGGAGAGGCACGGGCGGGAACCGAGGCTGCCCATGGCGCTTGCGGGCCAGCACGAGTTCCGGGTGGGAGTGGGCTCGGCAGGCTCCGCACTCGGAGAGGCCAGCCGGCCCCGCCCACCAGGGCAGTGAGGGGCTTAGCACCTGGGCAAGCAGCTGCTGTGCTCGACTTCTTGCCGGGCCTTAGCTGCCTCCCCTCGGGGCAGGGCTTGGGACCTGCAGCCCGCCATGCCTGAGCCTCCCCCCGCTTCTGTGGGCTCCTGCGCAGCCTGAGCCTCCCTGACGAGCGCCGCCCCCTGCTCCACCGCGCCCAGTCCCACGGACAGCCTAAGGGCTGAGCAGTGCAGGCCCACTGTGCAGGACTCGCAGGCAGCTCCACCTGCAGCCCCAGTGCAGGATCCACTGGGTGAAGCCAGCTGGGCTCCTAAGTCTGGTGGGGACTTGGAGAATCTTTATGTCTAGCTAAGGGATTGTAAATACACCAATCAGCACTCTGTATCTAGCTCAAGGTTTGTAAACTCACCAATCAGCACCCTGTGTCTAGCTCAGGGTTTGTGAATGCACCAATTGGCACTTGGTATCTAGTTAATCTGGTGGGGACTTGGAGAACCTTTATGTCTAGCTAAGGAGTTGTGAATGCACCTTTGGCACTCTGTATCTAGCTCAAGGTTTGTAAATACACCAATCAACACTCTGTATCTAGCTAATCTAGTGGGCTGCATATAGCTAATCTAGTGGGGACGTGGAGAACTTTTGTGTCTAGCTCAGGGACTGTAAATGCACCAATCAGCTCTCTGTAAAATGGACCAATCAGCAGGATATGGGTGGGGTCAGATAAGAGAATAAAAGCAGGCTGCCCGAGCCACCAGTGGCAACCGGCTGGGGTCCCCTTCCACACTGTGGAAGCTTTGTTCTTTCGCTCTTTGCAATAAATCTTGCTGCTGCTCACTCTTTGGGTCCACACTGCCTTTATGAGCTGTAACACTCACCGCAAAGGTCTGTAGCTTCACTCCTGAAGCCAGCGAGACCACGAACCCACCAGAAGGAAGAAACTCCGAACACATCCGAGCATCAGAAGGAACAAACTCCAGACACACCGCCTTTAAGAACTGTGACACTCACCGCAAGGGTCCGTGGCTTCATTCTTGAAGTCAGTGAGACCAAGAACCCACCAATTCTGGACAAAGGTTTACTGTCACTTTTAGTAAATTTATACTTTTTAAAAATAGGTATTTTAAATTTTCTCAGTTTTAACTTCTAATCATTAATATTTAATGTTATAACTCACAAAGACAAAAGCTCTCTGGAGATTTCAATCATTTTTAAGAGTGTTAAGGGGTTCTGATACCAGAAAGTTTGAGAACCACTGAGTGAATAATATTTCTACTCACTGAAATATGAATACTGAAGAAGAAACCAGTTTGGAAAGAAAAAGTTCTGTTTCATACATAATAAATATGTTATGCCCATGGGCGGACAAAAAGTGTCCAATGGATAGTTACACCAGTGGAACTGGAAATCTAGAACACCAAACTGAGAGTAGTTGAAACCTTGGATTTTAAACAGGGTCACAGAGGGAGAAAACACAATGAAAACAGTGGCAGAGTAACCAAAGAAAAGGCTAGAAGAGAAGCAGGGGCCTCAAGACAGACAAAAAAAATTTTTTTTTTTTAAAAAGACAAAGTCTTGCTCTTGTCCCCCAGGTGGGAGTGCAATGGCGGGATATCAGCTCACTGCAAACTCCGCCTCCCAGGTTCAAGCGATTCTCTTGCCTCAGCCTCCCAACTAGCTGGGATTACAGGCGCCTGCCACCATGCCTGGCTAATTTTTGTATTTTTAGTAGAGATGGGGTTTCACCATGTTGGCCAGGCTGACCTGGAACTCATGACCTCAGGTGATCTGCCCGCCTCAGCCTCCCAAAGTGCTGGGATTACAGGCGTGAGCCACCACACCTGGCCAAGACACACCAATATTTAAAGGGATAAAGAAGAGGAGTATTTTGAGTGGCAACTATCTGGGGCCAGTGTCATGCAGGCAGTAAAAAGAATTTACCAAGACAGTTGTAGGTAAAGAAAGGCATATTTATTTATTAGCGAAAGTAGGAAAATATGTTGTAAGAAAGCAAACGACAAGTCAGCAAGAGAAGAACTGGCTGCCAGGAGACACAAAGGCTTGCTTGCTGGGGATTCTATAAGATGGTGCTTGTGCTGTGTGCTGAAGAGGGTTAATGATAACACCTTGTGCAGTACTGACAATGTCAAGGTTGCAGTGAGCTAACTTGCATTTTTCTATCAGCTGAGGGTCTGGTGATAGCTGGGTGCAGGAAGATTATGAGTTATTTGCGCAGGAGGGCTATGTGTCCTGGACCACGAAGGCAGTTACAGCTTATCTGCTTTCTCTTTTTGCATTCCCTTGGTCCCGCCAGCCTGACTCCTTTTCCCGAATTAGGACTCCACATGGAAGAGGCTTCCATATGGAGGGGGAAAAAGTTATAAAAATGAGAAATAAAATAAAATGTAAGAGGACATCACTAGCTATAAATTAAAGAAAAAAAAGATGGTCAGGGCTTTGAAGAAAAGAAAAAACAGCAAAAACCGAATCCATAACTAGTAGTGGGAGATACAGAATGAAAAAATGAAATCCAGCATTAACTCCAAAATCTGATTTTCACCAAATATTTCAATCCTTTCTCATATAATACTTTTTTTCTTATCAGGGTTACTAATAAACAACAGAATGGTTTTGGACTCATCTCCTTTGCCTTCTTGGTCTACCCTCCAGAGGAAATGCAAACAAGAAGGAAAATAACCAAAAGGATAGAGATGGGAGGAAAAGGAAAGATCCCCTGAAACGTTAGGAGGGAAGTGACTGATGCAGTGACTCAATGAAGAGACATTCGTTCATGCAGCAAATAACTACTGAGTAACCACTTGCAAAGCACCATGATAGGCAATGTTGAAAATAGCTGACTAATATACAAAGCTATACCCAGGTTCATCAGCAGAAGCAACAGGCTGGAAATACAAATAAAACTCTACTGGTAAGACGAGCACAGAGGCAGCTCTATTCCAAAGGTGGTTCTAGGAGATGACTCCAAGAGCTCAAAGTCATCTAATTATTGAAAAGTGGCCTAATTCCAGAAAATAACTCCAAAGGAATATTTCAAATGTTTGATAGCCTGTGGCAATGCCATGTCTTGCTGAGTTTTTTACACAGATAAGCACACCTTGGAATACACAGATAAATCTTTAAGAAATCTTAGTATATACACTACATTGTCAAACTCTGATCTAAGCTCTAAAACAAATAATAAAGCTCAGAGAGAATTACCTAGCCAGATGCACTTAGGTTGGAAAGGCTGCTTTAATTGGTCAACCTACCCTTTAAATGTAGAAGTTGTGATTTTATAAACATGACCATATTTTTTAACAAAGAATAAAAAGATTAGAATAGAAAAAAAGCATATGATAACACCCAGAATTCAGCATTATATCCAAAAAGAACCCTGAACAAGAAAGGATATATTATCATGCACAAGCTGTCACTAAAATATTTTCACACCATCATCTTGTGCTATGGTAGCTGACCTACTTCTAGCTCTAAGCCTGTATCTGATTGATTTGCAATTTTCTGGAATTATGTGGGCTTCAAGAGACACTGAACAACATCAGAAGTATCTTTTTTGTCTGAGCTCTATTTGGCTGCCGTTCCCTTTTCAAGAATTCGAGAAACAAAGGAATTATTGGATAGTAGTCAGTAACAATAGGTGTAATAATGCTAATGAAAACTTTACAGGTTGGGGGAGGGGATTCCACTTCTGGCTAACAGAGTAACAAGAATCAGAATACCTTCTAGGAGAAATAACTAAAAAAAAAAAAGAAAGAAAGAAAAAAAGAAAAAATATATGAAACAATAGTTTTTAAGTTACTGGGCATCAGGCAGTGAACGATAGTGATTCCTTGGGAGATGGGAAACAAGTGAGGTGAGTCCTGTGATTATCCAGGCTTAATCCCTAAACAGTGTTTCCAAGAAATGTAACAGGGAAGGAGAGTCTAAGGGGAACAAGGGCAGAGTCCAGCATGCTCCCTGAGTGAAGAAAATAGGACTGAGGCCAAATGCAGTGGCTCACATCTGAAATCCCAGCACTTTGGGAGGCTGAGACAGGAAGATCACTGGAGCTCAGGAGTTCAAGACCAGCTTGGCAACATAGTGAGACCCCATCTTTACCAAAAATAAAATAATTAGCCAAGCAAGGCGGAATGTACCAGTGGTCCCAGCACTTTGGGAGGCTGAGGCAAGAGGATCACTTGAGCCCAGGAGTTCGAGGCTGCAGTGAGCCATGATCACACTGCTGCCCTCCAGCCTTGATGACAGAGTGAAATCCGTCTCAAAAAAAAAGGAAGAAAGAAATATGTAATTACCAGGCTGGGTGAGGTGGCTCACGCCTGCAATCCCAGCACTTTGGGAGGTGAGGCGGGTGGATTACCTGAGGTCAGGAGTCTGAGACCAGCCTGGCCAACATGGTGAAACCCTGTCTCTACTAAAAATACAGGAAATTAGCCAGGTGTGGTGGTGGTTGCCTGTGATCCCAGCTTTTCAGGAGCCTGAGACAGAAGAATCACTTGAACCCGGGAAGCAGAGGTTGCAGTGAGCCGAGATCATGCCACTGCACTCCAGCCTGGGCAACAACAACAAAACTCCGTCTCAAATAAAAAAAAAAAAAAGAAAGAAAGAAAAGAAATATCTAATTACCATACCCCCAGCAATTAGACTCTTAAGCATTTATCACAGACAAATAAAAACTAATAATTATACAAAAATCTGGACATGAATATTCATAGTAGATTTATATGCAATAGATGAAAATTGGAACCAACACAGAAGTCCTTCAACAGGTGAATGATTAAGCAAATGCGTACAGCTACACCATGGAACGCTACTCAGCAATCAAAAGGAACAAATTATTGATACATCTAACAACTTTGATGAATCTCCAGATAATTAAGCTAAGTGGGGCAGGGGTTGGGGTAAGCCAATCTCAAAAAGAAAAAAAGCCAACTGTATATACTATAGGATTCCATCTGTGTAATGTTTTTGAAATAACAATATTATATTAGTGGTTTCCAGGGAATGGGATGGAGGGAGGCAGGTGTAGTTATAAAAGGGCAACAAGAAAGATCCTTGTGGGGATGGAACTGTTTTGCATCTTCACAGTGATGGTAGATACACAAATTCACACATTATGAAATTCAAACACCGACATACACAAATACAAGTACATGTAAAACTGGACAAAGCTGAATAAACTCTGTAAATTTTACCAATGGCTACTTCCTAACTTTAATATTGTACTATAGTTATGTGATGTTACCAATGGAAGACACTGAGTAAAAGGACATCATAGGATATTCCTATACTCTTTTTGCAACTTCCTATAAATCTATACTTGTTTCACAATGAAAAGTTAAAATAAATAACTGATAAATGATACAAATTATAGAATCTGTAAAGACACTTGAAAAGTTATTACCACTATATTCCACATGTGCAAAGAGCTATAGTAAAAAGTGAGCGGCTGGGCCCAGTGGCTCAAGCCTGTAATCCCAGCACTGTGGGAGGCTGAGGCGGGTGGATTACCTGAGGTCAGGAGTTGGAGACCAGCCTGGCCAACATGGCAAAATCCTGTCTCTACTAAAAATACAAAAAATTAGCCAGGTGTGGTGGTGGGCACCTGTAATCCCAGCAATTTGGGAGGCCAAGGCAGGAGAATCACTTCAACCTGGGAGGTGGAGGTTGCAGTGAGCCGAGATCGTGCAACTCCTATGCTCAAGTGATCCTCCTACCTCAGGCCTCCCAAGTAGCTGAGACTACAGGCTTCATGAACCACCACACCCAGCTAAGGGAAAATCTTAAAAGCAGCCAGAGCAAAAGGACACAAATAACAGCGGTTTCCAACCTTTTTGGCACCAAGGACCAGTTTTGTTGAAGACAAATTTTCCATGGACAGTAAGGCGATGGTTTCAGGATGAAACTGTTCCACCTCAGATCATCAGGCATTAGATTTGCCTAAGGACTATACAACCTAGATCACTCACATGCACAGTTCACAATAGAGTTCACACTCCTATGAGAATCTAATGCCACTGCTGATCTGACAGGAGGCTGAGTTCAGGGGGTAATGTTCACTCGCCTGCCGCTTACCTCTTGGACCAGCACTGGTCCATGGCCCAGGGACTGGGGAACCCTGACATATAGAAGAACAAAGATAAAGATGACAACAGAATTCTCTCTCTTTTTTATTTTTGAGATGGAGTTTCACTCTTGTTGCCCAGGCTAGAGTGCAATGGCGCGATCTCGGCTCACCACAACCTCCGCCTCATTGGAAGCTATTCAAGCCCAAAGACAATGAAGTATCTTTAAAAACTAAAGCCAAGTGTGGTGGCTCATGTCTACAATCCCAGCACTTTGGGAGCCCAGCAGTTCAATTCTATAGTACACTTTTTTTTTTTTTTTTTTTTGCTAGAGTCTCGCTCTGTCGCCCAGGCTGGAGTGCAGTGGCACGATTTTGGCTCACCGCAAGCTCCACCTCCTGGGTTCACGCCATTCTCCTGCCTCAGTCTCCGGAGTAGCTGGGACTACAGGCACCTGCCACCACGCCCAGCTAATTTTTTGTATTTTTAGTAGAGACAGGGTTTCACCATGTTAGCCAGTATGGTCTCAATCTCCTGACCTCGTGATCCACCCGCCTTGGCCTCCCAGAGTGCTGGGATTACAGGCGTCAGCCACTGCGCCAGGCATTTTTTTTTTTTTTTCTTCAGAAGGAGTCTCGCTCTGTCGCCCAGGCTGGAGTGCAATGGTGCGATCTTGGCTCACTGCAACCTCCACCTCCCAGTTTCAAGCAATTCTCCTGCCTCAGCCTCCCCAGTAGCTCGGACTACAGGCACCCACCAATATGCCCGGCTAATTTTGGAATTTTTAGTAGAAACGGGGTTTCATCATATTGGCCAGACTGGTCTAGAACTCCTGACCTCAGGTAATCCACCTGCCTTGGCCTCCCAAGTGCTGGGATTACAGGCATAAGCCAGGACACCCAGCCTATAGTACACTTGAACTCGTAGTGCCTGTGAATAGCCACTATACTCCAGCCTGGGCAACACAGCAAGACCTCATCTCTAACAAAATAAAATAAAACAAAATAACATAAAGATTATCCAGTTTGGGGAACAAAAAGAAAAAAGAATGAAGAAAAATGAACAAAGTCTGAGAGACCTGTGGGACACCATCAAGCATACTAACAAATACATACTAGGAGTCCTATGAGAGGAGAAAAAGAGGCAAGAATAATATTTAGTAAAATAATGGCCAAAAGCTCAAATTTGATGAAAATCACTCATCTATACATCCAGGAAGCTCAATAAATTCCAACCAGGAAAAACTCAGAGATCTACACCTAGGCATACAATCAAACTCTTAAAAAACAAAGACAAAGAGAATCTTGAAAGCGGCACAAGTGTCTTATCACACAAGAGATCCTTGAGATAACACATATTTTTCATCAGAAACCATGGAAGCTAAAATAATGTAAACCAAACATTCCCAAAATCCAGCAAAACTATCCTTCAAAAACAAAGGAGAAAAAGATATTCCCAGATAAACAGAAAGACATAATTCATCACTAGCAGACCTACTCTACAAGAAATGGCTCTACTCTAGGCTGGGTGTGGTGGCTCATATCTGTAATCCCAACACTTTGGGAGGCCGAGGTGGGCTCCTGAGGTCAGGAGTTTGAGACTAGCCTGGCCAACATGGAAAAATCCCATCTCTACTAAAAATACAAAAAATTAGCCAGGTGTGGTGGCATACACCTGTAATCCCAGCCACTCGAGAGGCTGTTGTGTAAGAATCGCTTGAATCTGGGAGGCAGAGGTTAAAGTGAGCCGAGATCGCGCCACTGCACTCCAGCCTGGGTGACAGAGCAAGAGCCTGTCTCAAAAAAAAAAAAAGAAAAGAAATGGCACAGCGGGCACGGTGGTGGCTCATGCCTGTAATCCCAGCACTTTGGGTGGCTGAGGTGGGCAGATCATTTGAGGTCAGGAGTTCTAGACCAGCCTGGCCAACATGGCGAAACCCCGTCTTGTACTTGTAGTTCCAGCTACTCGGGAGGCCAAGGCAGGAGAATCACTTGAACCCGGGAGGCGGAGGTTGCAGTGAGTGAACTGAGATGGCGCATGTATACCTTTAATATGTGCAGTTTACTGTATGTCAACTACACTTCAATAAAGGTCTTTTTTTAAAAAGACAGAGAAAGAAAAATAGGACAAATGTATTAATGCTGGCCACTCAATAACTGATATGATAGTACTGCAATTAATGTAATCTGTATATAAGCATTTAAATGCACCAAGAAGGGTCCTATAAGCAACTCTAATAAGGCTTCTTAAAGGTGAAAATACCTGTGAACAGTATCTCAAGCGGGAAGAAATCATGAGATTTCTGTTATCTATATTAATCACCTCTTAAGAAAGAATTCCCTAGTTATACATATTTAACTTATATGGATATTCATGCAAATACATTTTAACTATTTCAAAACATTTTATCTACTTTATAAAAAATTATAAGGCTGGGCGCGGTGGCTCACGCCTGTAAACCCAGCACTTTGGGAGGCCAAGGCGGGTGGATCACAAGGTCAGGAGTTCAAGACCAGCCTGGCCAACATGGTGAAACCCGTCTCTACTAAAAATACAAAAAAAATTAGCTGGGCATGGTGGTGGGCGCCTGTAATCCCAGCATCTAGGGAGGCTGAGGCAGGAGAATCATTTGAACTCAGGAGGCACAGGTTGCTGAGATCACGCCATTGCACTCCAGCCTGGGCCACAGGGCAAGACTCCGTTTCAAAAAAAATTAAAAAAAATTAGAGCCGGGCACGGTGGCTCACGCCTGTAATCCCAGCACTTTAAGGCTGAGGCGGCCAGGTCACCTAAGGTCGGGAGTTCCAGACCAGCCTGACCAACACGGAGAAACGCTGCCTCTATTAAAAATACAAAACTAGCCGGGCGTGGTGGTGCATGCCTGTAATCCCAGCAACTCGGGAA
Source organism: Homo sapiens (assembly GCF_000001405.40). NCBI lineage: Eukaryota > Metazoa > Chordata > Mammalia > Primates > Hominidae > Homo > Homo sapiens. The sequence goes on from NC_000012.12 coordinate 57,395,402, forward strand.
GCTGAGGCGGGAGAATCGCTTGAACCCGGGAGCGGAGGTTGCGGTGAGTTGAGATGGCGCCACTGCACTCCAGCCTTGGCAAAAAGAGCAAAACTTCATCTCAAAAAAAAAAAGGTGATCTGCCCACCTCAGCCTCCCAAAGTGCTGGGATTACAGGTGTGAGCCACCTCGCCTGGCACTGAACTCACTCTTGATGCACTCTCTGCATCTCAATTTCTTCATCTACTAAATGGGTACAATAACACTTCCAACACCATGGAGTTGTGTGAGGATTAAATGAGAACAGATGTATAACAATTTGTTGCCTGGAACACAGAAAGTGCTCCATAAATGTTATCTATTATTACCTGAATAAATGCTCAGCCTCCATGAGTCCAGTGCTGGAATGGCATCACATATAAGAAACAAGTCTAACCTCTGGGGGAGGAGGGGGAAAAAAAAAAACAAGTTAAAAGCAATTTTAAACCTTAATATATTAGATCCAATTCAAAATCCACAGCAGCACCTGTTAATATCATCTTTCCCAATTTCTTCAGCTCACAATGTTTCCCCTAACACTGCCCCTGCCCTGAACCCTCTATATCCATTCCCACTGTCAATTTACAATTAAAAAAACCCTGCATTTTGTTCCTCTCTACATTAACTCCCTCTTTGTATGAGCAGTTCTTGGCCTACCACTTTCTAACATAAATTAATCACCCAGTCTATTCCCTGAAATTCTTCAGCTCTTTTTTACTCATTAAAAAGAGTAGTCTAGGCCGGGCGCGGTGGCTCACGCCTGTAATCCCAGCACTTTGGGTGGCCGAGGCCGGTGGATCACTTGAGGTCAGGAGTTCAAGACCAGTCTGGTCAACATGGTGAAGCCTTGTCTCTACTAAAAATACAAAAAATTAGCCAGGCACGGTGGCATGTGCCTGTAATCCTAGCTGCTGGGGAGGCTGAGGCAGGAGAATCACTTGAACCCGGGAGACGGAGGTTGCAGTGAGCCGAGATCGCACCACTGCACTCCAGCCTGGGGGACAGAGTGAGACTCCGTCTCAAAAAAATAAATAAATAAATAAAATAAAAAATAAAAAAATAAAAAAGAGTAGTCTAGGCTGGGCACAGTGGCGCACGCCTGTAATCCCAGCACTTTGGGAGGCCCAGGCAGGTGGATCACGAGGTCAGGAGTTCAAGACCAGCCTGGCAAAGATGGTGAAACCCCGTCTCTACTGAAAAAACACAAAAATTAGCCAAGTGTGTTGGCGGGCGCCTGTAATCGCAGCTACTCAGAAGGCTGAGCCAGAGAATTGCTTGAACCCAGGAGGCAGAGGGTGCAGTGAGCTGAGATCATGCCACTGCACTCCAGGCTGGGTGACAGAGTGAGACTCTGTCTCAAAAAAAAAAAAAAAAAGAGTAGTCTAGGCTGCGCATGGTGGCTCACACCTGTAACCCCAGCACTTTACTTTGGGAGGCCAAAGCAGGTGGATCACCTACTGTTAAAAGTTCGAGATCAGCCTGGCCAATATGGTGAAACACCATCTCTACTAAAAATACAAAAAATTAGCTGGGCAAGGTGGCATGTACCTGTAATCTCAGCTACTTGGGAGGCTGAGGGAGGAGAATGGCTTGAACCCAGGAGACAGAAATTGCAGTGAGCCAAGATCACACCATTGCACTCCAGCCTGGGCAGCAAGAGCAAAACTCCATCTCAAAGAAAAAAAAAAAATTGTCTAGAACTGAGCAAACAAAACTAGGATCTCTCTTAATAGATGAGAAGTAGAAGCAAAAAGAGGCCAGAGGCAGAATTTTATTCTGTGAATATAAGTAGGCATTACAAGTACATAATTTAGTATCTCTTCACCCTAAAAGCAGTAGTTATTATTATTACAAGACCCTGAGGGCTGGCTGTTTAATCTATTTCAGGAGGCCACCATTGGAACCCTTAATATGCCCAAGTCAGTCTGTATTCTTGGAAGCCTTCAAAACACCCAAGCCCTACTGTGTTCTATGCTAAAGTGAGAATATCCCTAACTCACCATTTTGTTTTATATAACCCTGTTCCACAAATACCACATCATGAAAGTCTGCCCTCTTGATATCTTAACAAAGGTTTCTATGAAAAAGTTCTAGTTTTTTTTTATAGCCCCTGCACATCACGGTTTTGACATTAGGAATGTGGAGTAGTTGGCTAAAGTTGCGAAGGAATGGCCAGAGGATATTGCCTTTCCCCTTTTCACCACTAGTGCTGGTCCTAAAACACTCCTCCTGTGGTAAACTTTTTCCCATGTAATACCTTGTTCCCCCCTATGCAAAATATTTACTAGTTTCCTTTCCCCATTGGCACTCAAGCCATTCCCAGATACATCTAATTTTTAAGTGGGCACAGTGGGTTCACACTAAGAGCTTTGTCACACCAAGAGTTCACTCTCTAATTCTGATTAAGAGAATCAAGAGCAACATAATTTTGACTTTCTTGCCCTAATTGTAATCATATCATAATTAAAAGTGAAATACTGTGGGCCGGGCACAGTGGCTCACGCCTATAATCCCAGCACTTTGGGAGGCTAAGGCGGGCGAATCACGAGCTCAGGAGTTCGAGACCAGCCTGGCCAACACAGTGAAACCCCGTCTCTACTAAAAATACAAAAATTAGCTGGGCATGGTGGTGGGCACCTGTAATTCCAGCTACTCAGGAGGCTGAAGCAGGAAATCGCTTGAAACTGGTGGTGGGGGTGGGCAGGGGAGAGGGGCAGAGGTTGTAATGAGCCGAAATCATGCCACTTCACTCCAGCAGCCTAGGCAAAAGAGCGAGACTCTGCCTCAAAAAAAAAAAAAGAAAAAGAAAAAGAAATATTTTATTACCTTGTTCGTATCTGTACCTGCAATTCTAAACAGTGTCTGACACATGATAAGCACTGAAACAGTTTTCTAATTGTTTGGTGCATTTACAAAGCTAAGAAGTTACTTCCTCTGAGGTAAACTTGGGTTTCTTAAGGTGTTTAAAACTTATTTGTATAGCCAATAAAATGGCCAAACTGTCAAAACCTTGTTCTTTTCTTCATTCTAACAATCTGCCTTGTATCCTCAGAAATCTCTCTTCCTTTCTCTCTCTTTTTTTTTTTTGAGATGGAGTCTTACTCCGTCACACAGGCTGGAGTGCAGTGGCGTGATCTCGGCTCACTGCAACCTCCACCTCCTGGGTTCAAGCCATTCTCCTGCCTCAACCTCCCAAGTAGGTGGGATTACAGGTGCCCGCCACCATGCCCGGCTAATTTTTGTATTTTTAGTACCGACAAAGTTTCACCATGTTAGTCAGGCTGGTCTCAAACTCCTGACCTCAAGTGATCCGCCCACCTCAGCCTCCCAAAGTGCTGGGATTAGAGGCGTGAGCCACCGCACCCAGCCCTCTCTTCCTTTCTCAGAAGGTAAAATTTACACTTGGAAAATAAGATGGCAGTCATATCTGGCAGTTAACTGTTCTCTGCCTCTGTGGGGCCCAAATCCAATCTTCTGAGGCAGCAGCAATTGTCAAAGATCTGGCTACCAGCATAGCATTGAAGAGTGCTTCACAGCTTAGAACCATTTAGGCTAAATTGACCCAAGTAGCAAACACCTATAAGAGAATCACTGCTGATAAGACTTCTATGAAGGATTCCAAATGTCTTAAAGATAACTTCACAGGAGTGGAAAGGAGCTGAACTCAGCCATCTGACTACTGAAGCGTTCTATAAACCTTTAGGCCAGGCACGGTGGCTCACACTTGTAATCCCAGCACTTTGGGAGGCCGAGGTGGGTGGATCAGGAGGTCAGGAGTTTGAGACCAGCCTGGCTGGCGTGGTGAAACACCGTCTCTACTAAAAATACAAAAATTAGCGGGGCATGGTGGCGTGCACCTGTAATCTCAGCTTCTCGGGAGACTGAGGCAGCAGAATTGCTTGAACCCGAGAGGTGGAGGTTGCAGTGAGCTGAGATCATGCCACTGCACTTCAGCCTGGGCAACAGAGTGAGACTCTGTCTCAAAAAATAAAATAAAATAAAATAAAGCTTTAATAATGACCCCGTCACCAGAAAAACAGACACTTTGTCCTAGCCTTCTAATCAGCTGTATTTAGCAGCCAACATCCATCTTTTGCAATAAAATGCCACCTCTTAGTTCCTATTTCTATCAAATTATCACAGGTTTAGGCAATAGATAAGTCAGAAACTACAGTTAACTTGTCTAGGACCCAAGACAATTAATAAAACTTACTTGGAGAAGCAGCATAGCCTCTAGTCACCTGAAGACAAGTTTTAAAGATCCTAACAACTGGTAACACTTGGGCACACCAAAATGGCTGTAATCTGAAAAACAGCCACATGCCACTTCTAATGGTGTCATTATACTAAAAGTGACCTTCCCCCCTGAAAGTTTTTAAAGTAAGCTAAATCTTGAACAATGACTCCTACTCTTCTCTAAAATAGGAGCTATGACAGCTACCTTAATGGGATGCCCGATAAACTCAGGGCAAGGGGCTCACTGTGCTGACATTCTCACCTCACCTAGGACTTCCGCTGATTCATCCTGATGGACTGACAAGTCACTGACTTGCCAAAGAATCTTGTTTATTTCACATATAAAAACACTGTCTACTCCAGTGTGGCGATTCCTCAGGGATCTAGAACTAGAAATACCATTTGACCCAGCCATCCCATTACTGGGTATATACCCAAAGGATTATAAATCATGCTGCTATAAAGACACATGGACATGTATGTTTATTGTGGCACCATTCACAATAGCAAAGACTTGGAACCAACCCAAATGTCCAACAATGATAGACTGGATTAAGAAAATGTGGCACATATACACCATGGAATACTATGCAGCCATAAAAAAATGATGAGTTCATGTCCTTTGTAAGGACATCGATGAAGCTGGAAACCATCATTCTCAGCAAACTATCGCAAGGACAAAACACCAAACACCGCATGTTCTCACTCATAGGTGGGAATTGAACAATGAGAACACTTGGACACAGGAAGGGGAACATCACACACCGGGGCCTGTTGTGGGGTGGGGGGAAGGGGGAGGGATAGCATTAGGAGATATACCTAACGTAAATGACGAGTTAATGGGTGCAGCACACCATCATGGCACATGTATACATATATAACAAACCCGCACGTTGTGCACATGTACCCTAGAACTTAAAGTATAATAAAAATATATATTAAAAAAAAACAATAAACACTGTCTACTCAAGACAACTACCATCCAGACACCTTCTGCTCCTGCAGCAGAGCCCTTCCCTCTCTGACTTCATGGAGCAACTAGCAACAACAAAATACATATGTATATTTCAGGTCAATATTAGTAACTCTCTATAACTAACAAGCCATAAAGGGCTGGAAACAGAGCCCATAAAAGGACCAGAGTGTTAACCCTCAGAAATTGCCAATTTTTCAAAGAGATCAAAATCACCTGGGGAAGAAACAATAGCTTTTCAGCATTAACAGATGTTTGGTATTATTACGGTAATCTGAAAAATAGTTGCTAAGCTGGGACCTGAAAATATCAGTCCCCAGCCACACCAAATAATCACAGAAATATTTAAGTAAGTAAGCTTTGTTCTAACATGAACTTCAAAAAGAAAGACAAGTCAGGGCAATAAAAACAAGCAGAAAACATCCATTTCATTTAAAAAGAATGAAAGAGAGAAAGGGAAGGAGAAAAAGAGGAATAATAAAGAACTATGCCCATGTTTAACATGGCCACAGTTATGTGTAACAATTCCCATAAAGAAGTGCAGTTCGTCTCAAAAAAAAAAAAGAGTGTAGTTCATTTCCCCACCCCTTGAATATGAGCTGGCCTTGTGACTTGCTTCAACCATCAGAGTGCAGCATGAATGACACTGCGACCACCGAGCCCAGGCCTCAAGAGGCCGTTCAGTTTCCACTCAAAACCTCTTGGAACCTAACCATCATGCAAAGAAGCCAAGCCAGCCTGCAAGAGGCCATACCAACCTAGAGGACAGCTCTAGCCCAATGCTAGACATGTGAATGAGGCTATCCAGGTCCAACCAGCCCCTAGCTAACGTGCCAACTGAACACAAATGAGTGAGCCCAGCCAAAACCATGTGGAATAGAGGCAAACTGTGACAGAGTCTTGCTCAAATTGCCAGCCCACTTAAATCATAAACAAAGAATGCAGCTGACCATTGAACAAAATAGATTTATTACGAATGATAAAAATCGAGCTCTCAAGTGAAAATCAGAATTTTGAAAATCATGTAATCACTATGATGAGCTTGACAGTTTCTCAATACTTAAAGACTATTCTGCCAGGCACAGTGGCTCATGCCTGTAATCCCAGAATTTTGGGAGGCCAAGGTAGGTGGATCATTTGGGGTCAGGAGTTCGAGACCAGCCTGGCCAACATGGTGAAACCCCTGCCTCTACTAAAAATACAAAAATTAGCTGGGTGTGGTGGCAGGCACCTGTAGTCCCAGCTACTCGGGAGGCTGAGGCAGGAGATCACTTAGACCCGGGAGGTGGAGGTTGCAGTGAGCCAAGATCGAGCTGCTGCATTCCAGCCTGGGCAACAAAGCAAGACTCTGTGTCAAAAAAATAAAAGAAAAAGTGCATGCACAAGCCAGACACAGTGGCTTACACCTGTTATCCCAGCGCTTTGGGAGGCCGTGGCAGGTAGATCTTCTGAAGTCAGGAGTTAGAGACCATCCTGGCCAACATGGTGAAACCCCATCTCTACTAAAAATACAAAAATTAGCCAGACATGGTGACAGGCGCCTGTAATCCCAGCTACTCAGGAGACTGAGGCAGGAGAATCTCCTGAATCCGAGAGGCAGAGGTTGCAGTGAGCTGAAGTCCCACCACTGCACTCCAGCCTGGGCAAGAGAGCAAGACTCCATCTCAAAAAAAAAAAAAGTGCATACATATCCCACAATACTCTGCATGCATAAACAAAAATAAGGAAATGTTTTTGGAGATAAGAGTCTCACTCTGTCGCTCAGGCTGGAGTGCAGTGACGCCATTTCAGCTCATTGCAACCTCCACCTCCTGGGTTCAAGAAATTCTCATACCTCAGCCTCCCAAATAGCCATGCACCACCATGTCCAGCTAATTTTTATATTTTTAGTAGAGTTGGAGTTTCACCATGTTGGCCAGGCTGGTCTCAAACTCCTGGCCTCCCAGCCTGACCAAAATGGCGAAACCCCATCTCTACTAAAAATACAAAAATTAGCCAGGCGTGGTGGCAGGCGCTTGTAAATCTCAGCTACTCGGGAGGCTGAGGCGGGAGAATCACTTCAACCCGGGAGGCAGAGGCTGCAGTGAGCTGAGATCACAGCACTGTCCTCCAGTCTGGGCAACAAAGCAGGACTCTGTCTCCAAAAAAAAACTCCTGGCCTCAAGTGATCCACCTGCCTTGGCCTCCCAAAATGCTGGGATTACAGACATAAGCTACTGCAGCCAGCCAAAAATAAGGAAATTCTTGATGTATAATACTTAAAAGCTATATTGCTAAGTGAAAAAAGATGCAGAACCATTTTTGTAAAATGGGGGAAAATATACATATACATACTTGCCTTTTTTATGCTTATCAATGCATATAAAGCACAAAAACTGGTAATAACAGTTGCCTCTGGAGAGAGGCGTAGGAAGTGACTGGTTTGGGGGTATAAGAGCAAGATGGGGCCAGGCACGGTGGCTCATACCTGTAATCCCAGCACTTTAGGAGGCTGAGGCGGGTGGATCACCTGAGGTTAGGAGTTCGAGACCAGTCTGACCAACATGGTGAAACCTCGTCTCTACTAAAAATACGAAACAATTTGCCGGGTGCTGGTGGCTCACACCTGTAATCCTAGCACTTTGGGAGGCCGAGGTAGGTGGATCACGAAGTCAAGATATCGAGACCATCCTGGCCAACACTGTGAAATCCCGTATCTACTAAAAATACAAAAATTAGCTGGGCGTGATGGCGCACGCCTGTAATCCCAGCTACTTGGGAGGCTGAGGCAGGCAAATGGCTTGAACCTGGGAGGCGGAGGTTGTAGTGAGCCGAGATCACACCATTGCACTCCAGCCTGGGTGACAAGAGCGAAACTCAGTCTCAAAAAAAAATAAAAAATAAAAAAGAGCAAGATGGGGCCTGGCATGGTGGCTCACACCTGTTACTCCAGCACTTTGGGAGACAGGGGCGGGTGTATTGCTTGAGCTCAGGAATTCGAGACCAGCCTGGGCAACATGGCAAAAACCCGTCTCTTCTAAAAATACCAAAAATTAGCTGAGTGTGGTGGCTCACACCTGTAGTCCCAGCTCAACTTGTGAGGCTGAGGTGGGAGGAGGGAGGATCGCCTGAGCCCAGGAGGTGGAGGCTGCAGTGAGCCAAGATGATGCCACTACACTCCAGCCTGGGCGACAGAGTGAGACTCTGTCTCAAAAAAAAAAAGGCAGGATGGAAACTCCATTTCATACTTTTTTCTATCCTTAAAACTTTGAACCATATAAATGTAATACCAATTCAAACAGTAAATCCAAAAATGTATAAGAATTCTCATTTTACATAAGGAACAACTTCTCATATTTTCTCTAGTCTCAAAAAATATCCATCCCATGTGCTTACTTTGGCAGCACATATACTAAAAAAAAATAATAAAAATAAAATAAAAAAAGTCCACTCCTAATTTTTTTTTTTTTTTTTGAGATGGAGTTTTGCTCTTGTTGCCCAGGCTGGAGTGCAATGGCACGATCTTGGCTCACCACAACCTCTGCCTCCCGGGTTCAAGCGATTCTCCTGCCTCATCCTCCCGAGTAGCTGCGATTACAGGCATGCGCCACAACGCCCAGCTAATTTTGTATTTTTAGTAGAGATGGGGTTTCTCCATGTTGGTCAGGCTGGTCTCGAACTCCCAACCTCAGGTGATCCACCCGCCTCAGCCTCCCAAAGTGCTAGGATTACAGGCGTGAGCCACCGCGCCTGGCCATCCATTCCTAATTTTTAACTATAGGTTCAGCGCTACCTAAACAAGGTATCTAGCCAGGCACAGTGGCTCACACCTGTAATCCCAGCACTTTGGGAGGCCGAGGAGGGCAGATCACGAGGTCAAGAGATCGAGACCATCCTGGCCAACATGGTGAAACCTCGTCTCTATTAAAAATAAAATTTAAAAAAATTAAATGGGCATGGTGGCGTGCGCCTGTAGTCCCAGCTACTCAACAGGCTGAAACAGAATCACTTGAACCCAGGAGGTGGAGGTTGCAGTGAGCCGAGATTGTGCCACTGCACTCCAGCCCGGCACCAGAGCGAGACTCTGTCTCAAAACAAAAACAAACAAACAAAAGAAAACAAGGTATCTAGGTCAGCCATGTTGGCTCACACCTGTAATCCCCATACTTTGAGGCTGAGGCAGGAGGATCACTTGAACGCAGGAGTTCAATACCAGCTTGAAAAACATAATGAGACCCCATCTGTATTTGTAAAATACAGATTTTACAAAAAAATAAAACTTAAAAAAAAACAAGATATCTATAATTAATATGAGACAAAGATACCCACCCACTATGAAACCTTTGAATCTTTAAGTAGGTTAACTAATGATTCTGGGGTAGGGTCAGAATTTTCATCTTTTACATTATATACTTTTTTCCTTTCTTTCTCTTTTTTCAAGACAGGGTCTCACTCTGTCGCCCCAGCTAGAGTACAGTGACATGATCATAGCTCACTGTAACCTCAACCTCCTGGGCTCGAGTAATCTTCCCACCTCAGCCTCCCAAGCAGCTAGGACTACAGGTATGTGTCACAGCACACTCAAGTAATTTAAAAAATTTTTTGTAGAAATGCGGGTCTCACTGTGTTGACTAGGCTGGCTTTTATACTTTAAAATCATTTAAATTTCTCATAATGAGTACATATTACTTTTGTAATTTGAAAAATGCAAATTTCTATATGATTGAAGATGTTAAAGGAAAACCTACTGGCTGGGTGCAGTGGCTCATGCCTGTAATCTCAGAACTTTAGAAGGCCAAGACTGGAGCTTGAGATCAGGAGTTCGAGACCAGCCTGGGCAACATAGTGAGACCTTGTCTCTACTAAAAATAACAAAAATTAGCTGGGCATGGTGGTGTGTGCTGTAGTCTCAGCTACTGGGGAGGCTGAGGTGGGAAGATGGCTTAAGCCTGGAAGATCAAGACTGCAGTGAGCTATGATCACACCACTGCACTACAGCCTCGGTGACAGAGTGAGACTGTCTCAAAAAAAGAAGACAGACCAACCTACAGTCCAAATGTTGAATTGGAAATACTGACATGAACTTAGGATATACTTTATTTAAAAACAAACAAAAAATACCTTATTTCCTATAGAAAACTCCAAGAAACAATGACCAACACACTAAGCAAATGAATACCTTTTGCACCCAGATTGTGATCTCTAAACATCATTTCTCCATAAAAGGAACCAGGATTTGGGGGGCAATGTCTGATCCATGTTCAGAAATGAAAATGTAAAAGATGATCTTCGGTCATCTTGTCAGACCAGAAAGCAAGGAAGCTATCAAAGACTAACAGGATCACATCCAAAGGACATAGGAGCCAACTTGAAGAGGTTCCCATTTGCCAAAGATGAGACAATGAGACATTAATAAGGATAAAACTGAAAGTGGCCAGGCGCAGTGGCTCATGCCTGTAATCCCAGCATTTTGGGAGGCCAACACAGGCAGATCACCTGAGGTCGGGAGTTCAAAACCAGCCTGACCGACATGGTGAAACCCCATTTCTACTAAAAATACAAAATTAGCCAGGTGTGGTGGCAGGCGCCTGTAATCCCAGCTACTCGGGAGGCTGAGGCAGGAGAATCGCTTGAATCCAGGAGGCAGAGGTTGCAGTGAGCCGAGATCGCACCACTGCACTCCAGCCTGGGCAACAAGAGCGAAACTCCGTCTCAAAAAAAAAAAAAAAAAAACTGAAATTGGCTTAAACACATTAAATATATTTAAATTGAAGAGTCCATAATGACTATTTTTTAAAAACTCATCAGTCAACTTTAGAAAATGTTAATAAACAAACTAATTATTTTGAAAATGGTCATAACTGTTAATTAAAAGACTTAAGCATTTGTCTTTTCTGTCCTATACAAATTGTACCTCAGAGTAACCAAATAAGCGATGAGGGGAGTATCTTTTATAAAAAGTACTGCAGCTAAAAAAAAATTAAGAAATGATAGAATTTGAGTATCACCATTTATAATCTCTAATGAAGTTCAATGAAGTAAGGGATCTAGGCAATGATTATCAACAGCTGCTGACATCATAAAAGGGAGATTAATAGACATCACATGCCCTTGATGGAAGTATACAACACTGCATAAAGCATGCTAACCAAAAATATTGAATCTGAACCTGATCATCTAGATATAACTACCAATTTGAAGAAAATATGGGAGACAGAGAACATGTTAAATGACACCACAATAATGTCAATCAATTAATCCAGTTAACTGTGGGAAATTCTACTGGACAGATGACCCAATTTCTTTAATATATAAACTACGAAGGAAAATAAGTGAGGGAAAGTCTTTTAGAAAAAGAGATTTTAGGGTGGGCATGGTGGCCTGTAATCCCAGCACTTTGAGAGGCCAAGGCGGGCGGATTGCTTGCGGTCAGAATTTCGAGACCAGCCTGGCCAACATGGTGAAACCCCATCTCTACTAAAAACACAAAAAATTAGCTGGGCATGGTGATGGGCACGTGTAATCCCAGCTACCTGGGAAGCTGAGGCAGGAAAATCTCTTGAACCGGGGAGGTGGAGGTTGCAGTGAGCCAAGATCTCACCACTGCACTCCAGCCTGGGCAACAGAGCAAGACTCCTTCTCAAGAGAAAAAAAAAAAAATTAAAAGATGTTAAACATGCACTGACCAACTATAACAGACTTTATTTGGATCCTATTTTAAACATATAAGCTACTAAAAAAATCATGATACAATCAGTGAAATATGAACACCAGATATTTAATATTAAGGAATTTTTTTTTCTTTTTTTCTTTTTTGAGACAGAGTCTCACTCTGTTGCCCAGGCTGGAGTGCAGTGGCACAATCTCAGCTCACTGCAACCTCCACCCTCTGGGTTCAAGCAATTCTCCTGCCTCAGCCTCCCGAGTAGCTGGAATTACAGGCGTCTGCCACCGTGCCCAGCTAATTTTTTGTGTTTTTAGTAGAGATGGGGTTTCACCGTCTTGGCCAGGCTGGTCTTGAACTCCTGACCTCGTGATCCACCCGCCTCGGCCTCCCAAAGTGCTGGGATTACAGGCATGAGCCACCACACCCAGCCTGGAATTATTATTTTAAACGGGCAATTGGTTTTTTAAAGTCCTTATTTTTGTGCGTGTTTTTTTGTTTTCTTTTGTAGAGAAAAGGGTCTCGCTCTGTTACCCAGGCTAGAGTGCAGTTGTAAAATCACGGCTCACTGCAGCCTGAAACTCCTGGGCTCAAACAATCCTCTCAGCTCAGCCTCCCACATAGCTGGGGACTACAGGTGCGTGCCACCACATCCAGCTAATTTTTTGTTTTTCTGATGGTGGAGTCTCACTCTGTTGCCCAGGCTGGAGTGCAGTGGCGCAAACTCAGCTAACTGCAACCTCCACCTCCCAGGTTCAAGCCATTCTCCTGCCTCAGCCTCCTGAGTAGCTGAAATTACAGGCGTTTGCCACCACGCCCAGCTAGTTTTTATTATTTTAGGAAGAAACAAGGTTTCACCATGTTGGTCAGGCTGATCTCGAACTCCTAACCTCAAATGATCCTCCCACCTCGGCCTCCCAAAGTGCTGGCATTTCAGGTGCAAGCCACCATGCCTGGCCTAATTTTTAAAGTCTTTGTAGAGATGGGTTCTCACTGTATTGCTCAGGCTGGTCTTGAACTCCTGACCTCAAGTGATCCTCCCACTTCGGACTCCCAAAGTGCCAGGATTATAGGCATGAGCCACCGCACCTGCAATTCCTTATTTTTTTAGATACATGCTGATATATTTATAGGCAAAATAATATATCAAGGATTTGCTTCAAAATAATCAATAAGGGGCCGGGCTTGGTGGTTCCTGCCTGTAATCCCAGCACTTTGAGAGGCCAAGACAGGCGGATTGCTTAAGCTCAGGAGTTCGAGACCAGCCTGGGCAACATGGTTAAACCCTGTCTCTATTTAAAAACAAAAACAAAACAATAAGGGAGGTACTAGGAATATAGATGAAACAAAATTAATCATGAGCAGATAATTGCATATGGACATTCCTTATACCACTCTTGTTGCTTCTGAATACATACGAAATTTTCCATAGTAAAATGTTTCATAAAAGAGCAAATCTCAAAAAATATATATATATTTGAAATATGATGATCCATGAGAGTTCCACCCTCATGAGGGGATTAATGCTATTATTGAGGGAGTGGGTTAGTTAACTCAGGAGTGGATTACTGATTAAAAGGATGAGTTTGGCTTGAAAAAAAAAAGATGATTACTGAAATGAATTTTGTATACTAATCTTTAAAGCCTAGTTCAATTTCTACTTCTTCCACGATGCCTTTCTATATTGACTTCTCTCTTATTTTGTATCTGTTTGTACTCAGCAATTGACTTAATTAAATTATACTGCATATTGTTTCCATCACAGGATCTAATCCATTATATCCTGCTCATTAATTGTTCATTTTTTATCTCTATAGCTAGCCAGTCAGTAAGGTTCTTTAACACACACAAACCCTAAAATGATTATTAAGCCTCCTAATGATCCCAAGTACCTTATCTGACACTCAAGTTGTCTCAAAAAACCTTGGGACCTATGGAAAAATACAATATTCTTCCTTATCACCCCAATAGCCACTCTGCACTAAAATTAAGTTTTTACTCTAGTAAAACATACAATATTATCTTCTTCAAATTTTACACAGATCACACCAAAACAGTCTCTAGCCACTTAAGGCAAGCTAATACGCACCAGCTTTCCTTCTCCCAGAGTTCAAATGAGCATATTTATACTCTGTCACAGAAAGAGAATTATATACTACTAGATTTAAATAGAAGTTCTGTTAACTAACTGATAAAGTAGAGTGAAGTTATTTAATAAAAACTAGAGCTGAGAGGTGGGGCAAAAAAAAAAAAAGAAAAAGAAAAAAAAAATTGGCTGCAATACACAGAGAGCCTACCCAAAGGAAAAGTCACAAAACCCAGGAAAAAAAGAAATCACTACCTAATTGAAGACCAATTAAGACCACCTGGTCTACTGGAGTACCTACAAGCTTCAGAGATGACATATAGCCCCTTTATCCCTTTTGTAAAAAGTGTTAAGATAATTGGTTTATTCCTCTAATTATAAAAATAAATATTCTTTATGAATAGAAATAAGCTAAAGGAAAACAAAAATTTACCCCATAACCCCCTTCATAACTTTTTTGTCTCAGTAAGTTCTTTGAAGACAGCTCGTTTTTCCAAAGAAAACATGTCCCTCCCTTCTAAAACTGATGTAGGAAGAGCCAGAAGGAAGGAAAGAAAAGAAAAAAAGCACATGGGCTTAAATCAATGAGAGAATATGTAGATTTGTTTTTCAATTTTCTTTTACATTTACCATCTGTATAAATCTAGGGTCAGAATAACCACACATTCCATTTTTATGAATTATTTTTGTTGGTTAATAAATGTTTAGCATTTTTTTCTACTGTCCCTAAAATTTCTTGCTATAGTAGCAACAAGATCCTACTTTTCCAAATACCAAATCAGGTGGTAAACATATCATATTCACTTTGTATGTGTAATCTTACTCTATTTTAACTTATTTTTCATTTAAATGAATTACTCAACATAACCATTCCTTTTATCTGCCATTTCTTGTGTTGAGGCTCTACCAACTATTAATACATCAATAGATCTTCACATTACCAGGGAGGTAGTATAACCTTAAAAAAAAAAAAAAAAAAAAAAAACTTCACATTTCATGAACAGCTAAACATACATGGAATTACTAAGGTTCTCCTCAAAGTATCCTACATAAACTCTAGTCTGAATTCAATACATGCAAAACAATTCCAGCATCATAAAATTCTCCCACAAGCACCCAAGTGTAAGGCTCACCTGATCTCAAGCTCAAATGTATTGCCTCATCCATCCAGGTGAAGTGTTAAGAAGTATATTTATTAAGAAGTATGTTTAGTGGCCAGGCACAATGGTTCACGCCTATAATTCCGACACTTTGAGAGGCTGAGGCAGGAAGATCGCCTGAGGCCAGGAGTTTGAGACCAGCCTGGGCTACATGGCAAGACCCTGTCTCTGCAGAAAAATTAAAAAATTAGCCAGTCATGGTGTGTGTGCCTGTAGTCTCAGCTATGTGGGAGGATGAGGCAGAAGGATCGCTTGAGCCACAGAGGTTGAAGCTATGGTGAGCCATGATGGCACCACTGTATTACAGCCTGAGTGACAGAGCAAGACTCTGTCTCTAAATAAATAAAAAGAAATTCTATTTATAAAGTATAATTTGGAGAGACAGTAGGGAAAAAATAGTGGATTTCAATTCTACAGGAGAGCTCTACATGGTTCTAATTTGGCCAAGTAACAGAAATAATGGGAAAGCATACAATTCATCTTAATATCTGCAATTTATGTTACCAGGCAGCTCATTTATTAAGTAATCTTAGAGCAGTCATCCACATAAAACAAAAGAATATATAAGGCACACAACTAATAAGTTAGTAAGTTAATTAAAATACCAGCTAAAATGTCTGAAAATGACCAACTTCCCCCATCAAAACAATATTTTATACTTCCTCAATAGCAATAATATGCAGGATTTTTGTTTGTTTTTTTGAGACAGCATCTCACTCTGTTGCCCAGGCTAGATGGAGTGCAGTGGTGTGATCTTGGCTGTCTGCAACCTCAGCCTCCTGAGTAGCTGGGATTACAAGTGTCCACCATCACACTCAGCTAATTTCTGTATTCTCAGTAGAGACCATGTTCACCAGGCTGGTCTCAAACTCCTGACCTCAAGTGATCCACCTGCCTCAGCCTCCTAAAGTGTTGGGATTACAGGCATGAGCCATGGCCTAATATGCAGAATTGTAACTATTTCAAAGGAACATGTTACTAACACATCATCACCTTCTGTGCAGCTTATTTATATGTTTCCACATCAAAGGAATATGCAGATACATTTAATGGGTTTCACCTTCAGTGCAAAATATTTTTGTGGACAAGACTGACATGTCTGGTTTCATGTAGAGTCCCAGAGCAGTACATTCTCAAGCTGTTGAATAAGAAGTGATTTTGATATACCAGATCCCAATTCCAAGACTAATACTATTTTGGACTTTCTAAAACATGAGACCTCATCAAGAACCATAAAACTATGCTCCAACAGAAACATTCAATACATTGAACACCCCGATATGGTTAGGCTTTGTATCCCCACCCAAATATCACCCTGAATTGTAATACCTGGGTGTTGACGGAGAGACCTGGTGGGAGGTGACTGGATCATAGGGGTGGTTTCCCCCATGCTGTTATTGTGATAGTCAGCGAGTTCTCACAAGAGCTGATGGTTTTGTAAGGGGCTCTTCCCCCTTTGCTTCCTTCACATGCTCTCTCACCTGCTGCCATGTAAGACATGCCTGCTTTTTCTTCCACCATAATTTTAAGTTTCCTGAGGCCTACCTGGCCATTCGAAACTGTGAGTCAATTAAACCTCTTTTCTTTATAAATTACCCAGTCTCCAGCATTTCTTTATAACAGTGTGAGAACAGACAAATACACATCCTAACTTCATATGAGTTCTAGATTGTATTCACAGATCAATATGTAAAATATATATGCAGATGAATGCAAGAAGCAGGTTCAAAACACAAAGTATTGGCCGGGCGCGGTGGCTCATGCCTGTAATCCCAGCACTTTGGGAGGCCAAGGGGGGCGAATCACTTGAGATCAGGAGTTCAAGACTAGCCTGACCAACATTGTGAAACCTTGTCCCTACTAAAAATACAAAAAAATTAGCCAAGCATGGTGGCACACGCCTGTAATCCCAGCTACTTGGGAGGCTGAGGTGGGAGAATCACTTGAACCTGAGGCGGAGGCTGCAACGAGCCAAGATCACACTACTGCACTCCAGCCTGGGCAACAGAGTGAGATTCTGTCTCAAAGAAAAAATTAAAACAAACAAACACACAAAACCCACAAAGTATTAAAGGTCTGGGTTGAGAAGATTCCCTACCTAAGAAT
The DNA here is from genome assembly GCF_000001405.40 of Homo sapiens. NCBI lineage: Eukaryota > Metazoa > Chordata > Mammalia > Primates > Hominidae > Homo > Homo sapiens. Next base: position 57,412,624 of record NC_000012.12, read on the forward strand.
ATTTTAATTCAGAGAGCAGAAGATATAAAGAGGGAAACAACTCTTAAGTGACTACAGCCTGGATTACCTGAGCATAAGAGGGATATGAAAATGTATTTTTGGCCAGGCGCAGTGGCTCACATCTGTAATCCCAGCACTTTGGGAGGCCGAGGCGGGCAGATCACAAGGTCAGGAGTTCGAGACCAGCCTGGCCAACATGGTGAAACCCCTCTCTACTAAAAACACACAAAAAATTAGCCAGGCACGGGCCGGGTGCAGTGGCTCACGCCTGTAATCCCAGTACTTTGGGAGGCCGAGGTGGGCGGATCACGAGGTCAGGAGATCGAGACCATCCTGGCTAACACAGTGAAACCCCGCCTCTACTAAAAATACAAAAAAAAATTAGCCAGGCGTGGTGGCATGTGCCTGTAGTCCAGCTACTTAGGAGGCTGAGGCAGGAGAATTGCCTGAACCCAGAAGGCAGAGGTTGCAGTGAGCTAAGATCATGCCACTACACTCCAGCCTGGACAACAGAGTGAGACTCTGTCTCAAAAAAAAGAAGAAAAAGAAAAAGAAAACTTATGTCACCACCAAATTAGGTGAAAAAAAAGCAATACAATGCCAATCTTCTGTGCAATATCCCATCTCCCATGGCAAGTCACCATAACTACTCATAAATCACTTCATTATGTGAAATAATTCAGGTTAAGGCTAGGCATGGTAGCTCATGTCTGTACTCCCAACACTTTGGGATGCTGAGGTGGGAGAATCGCTTGAGCCCATGAGTTCAAGACCAGCCGGGCCAATATAGTGCAACCTTCTATTTAAAAAAAAAAAAAAAAAAAAAAGCAGGCTGGGCACAGTGGCTCATGCCTGTAATCCCAGCACTTTGGGAGGCGGAGGCGGGCAGATCGCTTGAAGTCAGGAGATCAAGACCAGCCTGACCAACATGGTGAAACCCCTTCTGTACTAAAAATACAAAAATTAGCCAGGCATGGTGGCGGGCACCTGTAATCCCAGCTACTCAGGAGGCTGAAGCAGGAGAATCACTTGAACTCAGGAGGTGGAGGCTGCAATGAGCCGAGATCGCACCACTGTACTCCAGCCTGGGTGACAGAGCAAGACTCCATTCTCAAGGAAAAAACAACAACAACAACAACAAAAAAAACAAACTCAGGTTAGACACTTTATTGCTCAAGCACATCTGGGAAGACACAGAGAGTCTTAGATCTGTAATCCCCCCCCTTTTTTTTTTTTTTTTTGAGATGGAGTCTCACGCTGTCACCTAGGCTGGAGTACGTGGCACGGTCTCAGCTCACTGCAACCTCCGCCTCCCAAGTTCAAGTGATTCTCCCGCCTCAGCCTCCTGAGTAGCTGAGATTACAGGCACACACCACCATACCCAGCTAAATTTTTTTGTATTTTTAGTAGAGAGCGGGTTTCATCATGTTGGTCAGGCTGGTCTTGAACTCCTGACCTCAAATGATCCACCCACCTCAGCCTCCCAGAGTGCTGGGATCACAGGCGTGAGCCACCTTGCCCAGCCCACTCTATCTTTTTTTTACTACAAATAACTAATCTCATAAAAATAACAAAGAATAGGCCAGACACAGGGGCTCATGCCTGTAATCCCAGCACTCTGGGAGGCTGAGGCGGGCTGATCACTTGAGGTCAGAACTTCGAGACCAGCCTGGCCAACATGGTGAAACCCCATCTCTACTAAAAATACAATAATTAGTCTAGCTGGGCATGGTGATGCGCACCTGTCATCCTAGCTACTGGGAAGGCTGAGGCATGAGAACTGCTTGAACCTGGGAGGCAAAGTTGCAGTAAGCTGAGATCACATCACTGCACTCCAGCCTGGGCAAAGAGAAAGACTCCATTAAAAAAAAAAAAAAAAAAAAAAAACGAAAAAACCAAAAACAGAGAATTAAGAATGAGAAGCAGGCCGGGTGCGGTGTCTCACGCCTATAATCCCAGCACTTTGGGAGGCCGAGGCAGAGAGATCAGCTCAGCTGAGGTCAGGAGTTCGAGACCAGCCTGGCCAACATGGCAAAACCCCATCTCTACTAAAAATACAAAAATTAGCTGGGCATGGCAAGTGCCTTGAATCCCAGCTACTCGGGAGTCTGAGGCAGGAGAATCACTTGTACCCAGTAGGAGGAGGTTGCAGTGAGCCAACATCACACCACTGCACTCCAGCCTGGGTGACAAGAGCAAAACTTTGTCAAAAAAAAAAAAATACAAAAGAAAAGAATGAGAAGCAATTTCTCTTTATAGGAACCATTCCCCATTCAAGGAATCAGGATTCCTTAAAGAAACAATTGATTCTAGGTCTGGGGCAAGTAAAATACAAAGTGAGCGCAGAACCCCTTGTTGTGCCAGAGTGTAAGGAAGTGCTCAAAACATGACAGGGATGTCAAAAGGACAAAGCAGCCAGCTTGAAGGAGCTCCCTCAAGCCCCTTCGAATCAAATTTAAGACAATTTTTATATTTCTAATAATGAATATTATTGGTACTTTTAATACTAACAGTAATGGATTGTAACTTGTTGAATTTTTTTGAACTATCAAATCTATAGTTATCCTCAAAAACATAAGGGAGGAGAAAAGCTCTTCTCTTTAGAACAATACCAGCCGTAAATGCAGAGGGAATGAGAGAATGTGAAAATCAACATATTCAAAGCACCAGTGGTGCTCGCTTCCACAGCACATATACTAAAATTGGACTGATACAGAGAAGATTTAGCATGGCCCCTGACCAAGGATAACATGCAAATTAATGAAGCATTCTATTAAAAAAGGAAAAAAGAAACCACTAGTACAACAGCTTCAGACAAGGATCATCAATGGATGCTAATGTCACTGGGTAAAAGGTTGTGGAGGAAAAGAGACCCAAAATCTTAAAAGTATCATCCCACAGCTGTTTCTTAATTTTTACCAAAGGAAAAGGATCCAACATCACAAGGCCAGGGGTGGAAAAAAAAAAAAAAAGCAGAAAGATTCCTTTACAATGAAGAAATCTAGCAGATATCAATTTAACCAAGCAGACTTCAATTTAACCAAGCAGACATCAATTTAACCAAGTGATCAAAGTTAACATTATCAATAATGAGATAAAGTCACATTATGTGCACACAACATCACCTGGGTAGTATTCTTGCCAAGTATATTTGACTTGAATCTAATCATGACAAATTCAAATTGTACAACATTCTTCAAAACAATCGGCCTGGACACTTCAAAAATATTAATGACATGAAAAACAAAAAAAACAGAAGAGAACTGCTCTAGGTTAAAAGAGACTACAAACATACAACAATTAAATGCAACACATGTTCCTTGAAGGAATCCAGGATTGTGGGGGTAAGTTGTAAAGCATGTTGAGATAACTGAAGAAATTTAAATATGGACTGTTTATAATATTATTATATCACTGTAAAATATTTTGAATGTGATAGTGAACTTAATAATGGTATTGTGGAAAACACCACTGTTCTCAGGTGATACATGCTTAAGAAATTATGGAGTGAGGTATCCTGATGTCTGTAATTTATTTCCTAATACGTGAATAAAAATTCCTAATATACAGTAACACAAAAAACTGTGTGTGTACTATGTATGTAGGGAGGGAGCAAAGAGAGGAGAGGGAAAAAGTGAGAGGGAGAGAGGAAGAGAAAAAGAGGAAGGGAGAGAACAAACATACAAATGTGGCAAAATATTATCAATTGGTAAATACAGGTAAATGTCATACCAGTGTCCACTGTATCATTCCTCTACCTTTCCTATAGGTTTGAAATTCTTCTAAATAAAATGTTGGAGCCAAAAAGAACAAGAAGCAACATTAACCAAAATACTTGGCTGCCCAATAGAAACTTGCCCTGTCCTAAAAGGCAATTTGAGATGAGGGTTAAAAGCACAGACTTCAGGCCAGGCACAATGACTCACACCTGCAATCCTAACACTGGGAGGATGAGAAGGGCTGATTCAGCCCCAGGAGTTCAAGACCAGCCTGGGCAACAAGGTGAAACCCTGTCTCTACTAAAAATACAAAAAATTAGCCGGCAGTGGTGGCACATGCCTGTAGTCCCAGCTACTCGAGAGGATGAGGCAGGAAAATCACTTGAATCTGAGAGGCGGAGGTTGCAGTGAGCTGAGACTGCGCCACTGCACTCCAGCCTGGGCAACAGAGTGAGACTCTGTCCCCCCCGCCCCACAAAAAAAAGCCAGCTGGGCATGGTGACTCACACTTGTAATCCCAGCACTTTGGGAGGCCAAGGAGGGCAGGTCATGAGGTCAGGAGATCAAGACCAGCCTGGCCAACATGGTGAAACCCCATCTCTACTAAAAATACAAATTAGCCAGGCGTGGTGGCGGGCACCTGTAGTCCCAGCTACTCAGGAAGCTGAGGCAGGCTGAGACAAGAGAATTGCTTGAACCCAGGAGGCGGAGGTTGCAGTGAGCCGAGATCCCACCACTGCACTCCAGCCTGGGCGACAGAATGAGACTCTGTCTCAACAACAACAAAAACAAAAAAAGCCTAGGTAATCCCAGCACTTTGGGAGGCCAAGGTGGGTGGATCACCTTAGGTCAAGAGTTTGAGACCAGCCTGACCAACATGGTAAATCCCCATCTCTACTAAAAATACAAAATTAGGCCTGTAATCCCAGCTACTTGGGAGGCTGAGGCAGGAGAATCGATTGAGCCCAGGAACCGGATGTTGCAGTGAGTAGAAATCCCGCCACTGCACTCCAGCCTGGGCTACGGGGCAAAATTCCATTTCAAAAAAAAAAAAAAAAGAGAGAGACTTCCACATGAAACTGGGTTTATATCCTGGCCACATGATGATGGTCATATAATCTAACCTAACTTCCCTAAGCCTCACTGTGAAATGGGAATAATACAATACTATTCCATGAGGATTATTATTCTGAGGATTAAATGATCTAATATGTATAATTTGTTACTATACTCCCATGACATTATCACATTATTTGTTCTTTTTTTGTATGTCTTGGCAACTTACAGGTCACTGTCAAAATTTTTGCCAAATATATCCAAAATCAAAGAATTATAATGCATTCCATCCAAGGACCAATAACAGTCCTCCACTGGCACAAGTAAGTGAGAACTAACATTCTCTAAAGAATATAGCACGTGATGGGAAATGTAGCTTACCAGCTTATGTTTGCTCCTTCCTCAAAATATTACTGGGTTATCTGTCAGGAATGGGCATAGGCTACCTTGGTCCCAAAAATGTCAATCTTAACATTAAAATCCAATGCTATCAGGCCAGGAGTGTTCCTAAAATTCTGGTATTTCCTGGGGCTCGATGTCAACTCTCCTATCACTTTCTTAAGTTTGCCCTGAGTAACCCTGTTCCCTATCACAGATTAAACCTTCTTGTGGAGACTACTTCCAAATCTAAATACCCCTGCCTCTCTCTAGCACTCCAGATCCATTTAGACAACTAGCTGCTAGACATTTCCAAAAGTGAACTCTCTACCAACATTTCCTCTAATCCCAAACCTACCCTTTTCTTATCTCAGTAAGCAACACCACCCAGTTTGCCCAAGACACAAACCTGAGCGTCATCCATCCACAATTCCTCCCCTCTTCCCACATTTAAACAATCTCCAAATTCTGGAACCATCTCACATTCATCTGCTCTTTTCAGCTCTGATTCCTCTCCTCTATTCTCATTACTTCTGCGCAGAACATTTAGTTAACGGGGCAAGGCCTCCAGAGCTTTCTTTTGCCTTCAGCAGAGCAACTGGCAATATTCCCAACGGTGGTTGCGCAGGCTGCCGTTGGTCTTTGTCCTTGTACAACTAAAAGTCTTTAGCCTATCTTTGATGGACATGTAGTGACAGTGGAAAGGAAACTAATTGTTTCAAGCTACTGAGATATGGAGACTGTTTTTTACCCAGCATACTCTAGGCTACCCTGACTTTGATATCTTCTTTTTTTTTTTTTTTGTAAATGGAGTCTCTGTCGTCCAGGCTGGAGTACAGTGGTGCGATCTCAGCTCACCGCAACCTCTGTCTCCCCGGTTCAAGTGATTCTCCTGCCTCAGCCTCCCCAGTAGCTGGGATTACAGGCACCCACCACCACGCCCAGCTAATTTTTTGTGTGTATTTTTGGTAGAGATGGGGTTTCACCATATTGGCCATAGTGATCTCAAACTCTGACTTCAGGTGATCTGCCCGCCTTAACCTCCCAAAGTCCTGGGATAACAGGCATGAGTCACTGCACTCGGCCTCAGTATCTCTTATATAGACTACAATAGCCTCCTAACCAGTGTCACTCCCTCTACTCTAAATCCAGTATAAGTATTTCTTCAAATTGCTGCCAGTTTCCTTTGTAAAATACAAAATAATCATTTCATTTCTCTGATTAAAAATCTTCAGTTCACCTTTGTCTCATATGCCAAATTTCTTAATATAGCTTGTAAAGCCCACCATAAAATCAGGCCCTAAATATATCTTTCTCTTCAGTCATTCAAAATACTGCCCCATATATACCATCCATATTCTCCTTTCCTTTTTTTTTTTTTTTTTGATACGGATTCTTGCTCTGTCACCCAAGCTGGAGTACAGTGGAGTGATCTCGGCTCACTGCAACCTCCGCCTCCAGGGTTCAAGAGATTCTTGTGCCTCAGCCTCCCCAGCACCTACGATTACAGGCAAGTGCCACCATGCCTGGCTAATTTTTTGTATTTTTAGTTGAGACAGGGTTTTATCAGGTTGGCCAGGCTGGTCTTGAACTCCTGATCTCATGATCTGCCCGCCTCAGCCTCCCAAAGTGCTGAGATTACAGGCATGAGCCACTGTATCTGGCCATCTTTTTTTTTTTTTAGAGACAGGGTCTCACTCTGTTGACCAGCCTGGGGTACAGTGGTGCAATCATAGCTCACTGCAACCTCAAACTCCTGGGCTCAAGTGATCCTCCCACCTATCTCTCAAGTAGCTGGGATAAAAGGTGCATGCCACCACATCCAGCTAATTGCTTTAACTTCTGGTAGAGGTGGGTGTCTCACAATGTTGCCCAGATTGCTTTCAAACTCCTGACATGATGTAATTCTCCCGCCTTGACCTCCCAAGGCACTAGGATTACAGGTGTAAGCCACCGTGCCCAGCCTCATACCATATTCTTTAATACCTCTAGGTCTTTGCCCAGGCTATTGTATCTGCTTGAAATGCTCCCCCACCTTTACACTACCCCATGATATCTTTGCCTGCCTAGCCATACAAGTACCCTCAGCAGCTATCTCTCCCACTCTCTCAACAGCTATTCGAACTTGCCTCTCTTCTCAAGGCCCCTATTCAACCAACCTGCCTTACGCTAAGACATCAGCTCCCTGACCCAAAAAAATAAGTCTCCTACATCACAAGTAATATAAAGGTCATAAGGCAGAAACTCTCTCAAATTCCTTTGTTTAGATACCAAACATTTCTCCCCACCCCTTTCCTGACCTTTTCCTTCTCTTAATGAAGGGGATAATAATTCTACCCCTACTTTAGATTGCATCTTCTCTGCAGGCTCAAGAACTTCATTCTGTTATCATGGCTCTGTATTGTCTTGTTCATTCTCCTGTATATATAAATATGCTCGAGTTTGTCATCTTAAAAAACTCTTCCTTGCACATTCCCTCTAATTACTGTCCTCTCTCTCCATCTCTTTGCAGTCATCTTGAAAGACAAAGTTTGTTTTTTCTCTCCTCCCATTTATTCCTCAAAATGTTATCATCATTCTAATGACCCTGCTCTCACTGAAGACACCAATGACCTGACTGTCAAATCCAGTGAGTTATTTTCTGTCCTTATCCTACTTGGTCTTTCTACCACCTGTGATACTACTGCCTTCCTCCTCCTTGAAACTCCTCCTACTTCTCATTACACACACTTTACTGGTTTTCTTTTTTTTTTTTTTTTTTAATAGAGATGAGGTCTCATTATATTGCCCAGGCTGGTCTCAAATTCCTGGCCTCAAGTAATCCTCTCGCCTAGGCCCATAGTATTGGGATTACGGGCGTGAGCCACTGCGCCCAGGCTTTACTAGTTTTCCATCTATCTTTAGGCCTCCTCAGATTTCTTCTGGGGCTCCACTTCCACCAGTCACACCTTTAACTACCAGTGTTCTCTAAGTCCTCTCCTCAGCCTGCAGCTCTTCAGTCTCAACATGCCTCTTAGCTGACCCAAACCATCACTTCAACTACAACGTATATACTACTATACTGCTGACTCCCAAATCTCTCTCCAGTCCCAACTTCTCTGACTCTGGACTGGTATATCCAACTACCTAGCAGGCATTTCCATATGGTTCCACAGGTACCTCAAATTCAACCATTCAAAAACCAAACATCTCATCTTTTGTTCCCAAACGTGCATCTTCCTATATTCCCTAATTTATAAATGGAAGTCACTATCCACCTTAGCATGGAACCCAGAAAACTAGAAGTCATCCAAGAGCTCATCCTTCTCATTACCACTATTATCCTCTCTCTTGCTCTGTAGCTTTGTCAATCACGCATGTACACATCTCCATGTCTAACAGATTCTTTTTTTTTTTTTTTTTTCTGAGACAGAGTTTTGCTCTTGTTGCCCAGGCTGGTGTCTCGGCTCACAGCAACCTCCGCCTACTAGATTCAAGCAATTCTCCTGCCTCAGCCTCCCGAGTAGCTGGGATTACAGGCATGCACAACCACTCCCGGCTAATTTTGTATTTTTAGTAGAGATGGGTTTCTCCATGTTGGTCAAGCTGGTCTCCAACTCCCGACCTCAGGTGATCCGCCCACCTCAGCCTCCCAAAGTGCTGGGATTACAGGCGTAAGCGACCACACCCAGCTCTTTTTTTTTTTTTTTTTTTTTTAAAGACAGGGTCATCACTTCTCTGCCTTTTGGCTAAGATCAAGGGTAGTAAAAGACAGGGTCTCACTCTATTGCTCAGGCTGGAGTGCAATGTGGTGGGATTGTGGCTTACTGCAGCCTTGATTCCCAGGTTTAGGTAATCCTCCCACCTCAGCCTCCCAAATAGCTGGGACTATAGGTGTGTGCCACCAGGCCCAGCTAATTTTTCTTATATTTCTTTAGAGGCAGGTTCTCACTAAGTTGCCCCAGGCTAGTCTCGAACTGGGCTCAAGAGATCCTCCCACCTCAGCCTCCCAAAGTGCTGGATTATAGGTGTGAGACACTACACCCAGCCTATCTATTAAATATCTCATGGTGGCTCATGCCTGTAATCCCAGCACTCTGGGAGGCCAAGGGGGGCGGATCACCTAAGATCAGGAGTTCACGACCAACCTGACCAACATGGTGAAACCCATCTCTACTAAAAATACAAAAATTAGCCGGGTGTGGTGGCGTGCACCTGTAATCCCAGCTACTCAGGATGAGGCAGGAGAATCGCTTGAACCCGGGAGGCAGAGGTTGCAGTGAGCCGAAATGTGCCACTGCACTCCAGCCTGGGAGACAGAGGGAGACTCCGCCTAGCAAAAAAAAAAAAAAAAAAAAAAAAATTTTGAGTCCATCTATCCCTCTGCACTTGCATGACTACTTTAGACCCTATTTCTTATCTAGATTATTGTGATCCTCCCTAAACTGGACTCCCTAATTCCAGTCTATTTTCCAATCCAGTCTCCAAATTGCTATAAGAGATATTTTTAAAAAGTAAATCCTTCAGTAGCTTTCATAGTTTAAGACAAAACTCGAACTTTTTAGCCTATCAAATAAGGACTTCAATATCAGGCACCTAGGTACCTCTCTAGTCTTTTCTGTAATTCCCACAAGAATCCCATATGTAGCCTCATCCCATTCCGTGCAGTTTGGCAAAGACTCTGTTACCTTGCTCTATACCTCCATGATTTACGTAGGCAGTGCCTCCCCAGAACTTTCTTCCCCATACTTCACCTAGCTAACTCCCAGGTAGTTAAGGAAAAGCCAGAAAGGCTGACAGGGGCCAGATCATAAAGAGTTTTTGTAGGCCATAATCTTAATAAGTCCTTCAAGAGATACATATGCCACTAGGTTTAAGAACGAGAGATAGGGAGAATACAACAGAAACTTTCAGGAAAATGAACATTTAAAGGACAGGGGCCAGGTGCAGTAATTCACATCTACAATCCCAGCACTTTGGGAGGCCAAGGCAGGACAGGACGACTGCTTGAGCCCAAGCGTTCAAGACCAGCCTGGGCAACACAGGAAGAACTCATCTCTACAAAATTAAAAAATAAAATTAGCTGGATGTGATGGTGTGTACCTGTAGTCCCAGCTACTTGGGAGCCTTGAGCCCAGGAGGTGGAGACAGCAGTGAGTCATGATCATGCCAGTTTACTCCAGCCTGGACAACAGAGCAAGACCCTGTGTCAAAATAAAAAATAAAAATAAAAAAATATATAAATGAAGAATGGGCAGGAGAAAAAGAGCCAGGAAAGCAAGTAAAAAAGTATAGCGTCACCAAATATTTGAAGAAGGAGAGGGGTCAACAGTAATGAATGCTGCAAAAACAACAGAGTAAGAAAAGGATGAAAAGAGATCTGTGGCCGGGCGCGGTGGCTCATGCCTGTAATCCCAGCACTTTGGGAGGCCAAGGCAGGTGGATCACCTAAGGTCAGGAGTTCAAGACCAGGCTGGCAAACATGGTGAAACCCCCCATCTCTACTAAAAATGCAAAAATTAGCCAGGCACGGTGGCGCACCCCTGTAATCCCAGCTACTTGTAAGACTAAAGTGGGAGACTTGCTTGAACCCAGGAGGCGGAGGGTGCAGTGAGTCGACATCATGCCACTGCACTCCAGCCTGGGCAACAGAGCAAGACCCTGTCTCAAAAAAAGAAAGAAAAGAGATCTGTTAAATTTTACAAGGTCTCCCATATTCTTCCCATTGATTTTGATGGTTGCTGGGAGCTGTCTCTACCAACAGCATTAGAAACTTTAAGTGGGCCAGGCGTGGTGCCTCATGCCCAGCACTTTGGGAGGCCGAGGCGGGTGGACTGTCTGAGCCCGGGAGTTTGAGACCACCCTGGCCAACATGGTGAAACCCCATCTCTACTAAAAATACAAAAATTAGCCAGACGTGGTGGCGGGCACCTGTAATCCCAGCTACTCGGGAGGCTGAGGCGATTGCTTGAACCCAGGAGACGGAGGTTGCAGTAAGCCGATATCATACCACTGCACTCCAGCCTGGGCAACAGAGCAAGACTGTCTCAATTAAAAAAAAAAAAAAAAAAAAAAAAGGCCAGGTGCAGTGGCTTACACCTGTAATCCCAGCCCTTTGGGAGGCTGAGGCGGGAAGATCACCTGAGGTCAGGAGTTCGAGGCCAGCCTGACCAACATGGAGAAAACCCATCTCTACTAAAAATACAAAATTAGCCAGGTGTGGTGGCACATGCCTGTAATCCCAGCTACTTGGGAGGCTGAGGCAGGAGAATCGCTTGGACCCAGGAGTCGGAGGTTGCGGTGAGCCAAGATCGCGCCATTGCACTCCAGCCTGGGCAACAAGAGCAAAACTCTGTCTCAAAAAAAAAAAAAAAAAAAAAAAAAGGAACAAAGAAACTGTAAGTGAACACTTCTCATGGGTATACATTCACCTGCTACAGTGCTACAGGCTGGAGTACAGTGGCGTGATCTCAATCACTGCAACTTCCGCCTTCCAGGTTCAAGCAATTCTCGTGCCTCAGCCTCCCGAGTAGCTGGGATTACAGGCATGTGATACCATAACACCCAGCTAAGGTCTTGTATTTTTAGCAGAGATGGGGTTTCATTATGTTAGCCAGGCTGGTCTTGAACTCCTGACCTCAAGTGACCCACCCGCCTCAGCCTCCCAAAGTGCTGGAATTACAGGCGTGAGCCACCACACCTGACCATATATTTCAAATGTACCTACCATTAAATTTGGATTGTCACTGCCTTAATTACTTTCCTCCTAGTCTTCTGTTATTAATCCTGTAAGCTTTCACAAGTCTGACCCACCCTTTTCCAAGACACCAAGGATTTCTTGATGCCCATACTGTTCCTCATAAACAAAAACCATAAATTCTTACAATTGTCATACGCAACAAAGACACAGGCCCAACAAAAATATGAACTGTATTTTTTGAAAACCTAGCCTTTTTGGGGTTTTTAAGAGACAGGCTCTCATTCTGTCACCCAGGCCAGAGTATGGTGGCACAATCATAGCTCACTGCAGCTGCAAACTTCTGGGCTCAAGCAATCCTCCCGCCTCAGATTCCCAAAGTGCTGCACTACAGGTATGAACCACCAAGCCAAGCCTATACAATATTTTTAATAACGGTGCACGTAAAACAAAGTTTTGACTGTAATTTGTCACATGAGCCTGGGCAACAAAGTGAGACTCCGTCTCAAAAAAATAAATAAATAAAAAGAAATTATTCAGTCAGGTGCGGTGGCTCACGCCTATAATCCCAGCACTTCAGGAGGCTGAGGTGGGTGGATCACCTGAGCTCGGGAGTTCGAGACCAGCCTGACCAACATGGAGAAACCCTGCCTCTACTAAAAATACAAAATTAGCCAGGTGTGGTGGCGCATGCCTGTAATCCCAGCTACTGGGGAGGCTGAGGCAGGAGAATCACTTGAACCCAGGAGGTGGAAGTTGCGGTGAGCCGAGATCGTGCCATTGCACTCCAACCTGGGCAACAAGAGCGAAACTCCGTCTCAAAAAAAAAAAAAAATTATTCACAAAATGAGAACTACTAATATAATTCTAGAAGATGCAGTTATTTCTTTATACTAATAATATCAGAACTATGTCCAGACAAATGCATAGCAGATCCCCAATTCTTGCACCTCCCATTAACTGTTCTCTCCTAGGCCTGGCAGCTTTCAATGTCCTCGCAAAGGTTTAAGCAAAAGCCTTAGCTTTGCCACTAGCATTCCTACAAAGTGTTAAAAGCACACTTCAGGCCGGGCGTAGCAGCTCACAACTGTAATCCCAGCACTTTGGGAGGCCGAGGCAGGCGAATCACCTGAGGTCAGGAGTCCAAGACCAGCCTGGCCAACATGGTGAAACCCTGTCTCTACAAAAAAACAAAAATTAGCCGGGCATGATGGCGGGTGGCTATAATCCAGCTAGTTGGGAGGTTGAGGCAGAAGAATCGCTTGAACCTGGGAGGCGGAGGTGGTAGTGAGCTGAAATCAGGACACTGCACTCCAGCCTGGGAGACACAGCAAGACTCTCTCAAAACGAAAAACGCACACTTCACTCCCTTTGCCTTCCTGAGCTAAAGAAGAGTAGCCAAACCGCCCCAAAGAGAAATCTCATCCAGGTTACTCTAGCCGGAAGATCAATGGAGGTAACTAATGTACCAACCAAGAAACTAAGGAAAGATAGGTCAGGCGCGGTGGCTCATGCCTGTAATCCCAGCACTTCGGGAGGCCGAGGCGGGCAGATCACCTGAGGTTAGGAGTTCGAGAGTGGCCTGGCCAACATGACAGAACCCTGTATCTACTAAAAATACAAAAATTATCCAGGCGTGGTAGCCGATGCCTGTAATCCCAGCTACTTGGGAGGCTGAGGTAGGAGAATCCCTTGAATCCAGGAGGCAGAGGTTGCAGTGAGCCAAGATCACACCATTGCACTCCAGCTTGGGCGACAGAGCGAGACTCCATCTCAAAAAAATAAATTAATTAATTAATTAAGGAAAGATAAAATGAGGGATAACCCACAGAATTTAGGGTGCCTGCTCCTTTTTATCCTCAAACTTAGCATAGATTTAGTTGCTAAAAATGCCCCCCAAAATCAATCTGTGAAAAAAGGATCAAGTGTTCTCTAGAACTGAACATTCTACCATTGTTAGAGAAACCTATTCTTAAAGTTTTTAAGCTCAACTGTCTCTACATGAATTGGTGGGGTTGAGGGTAGGAACTAGCCCATAAAGACAGAACTATAAATATTAACATCTTCAGGCTACTGAAAACTCAAAGTGGAACCAGCCTGCTCAGCTAGGTAGGGTCAGAGAAGTAACGAGTGATATTTGTCTTGGAAGGGACATGAACAAACCTCAAGGGAAGAGCATGAAGTAGGTAAAAATTCTAGCCACAATAAATCTGAGATAAGACTACCAATACCAAAGACTTCCACACTCCATCCTCTTCTCTGCCCTCAGAGTATTTTCATTCAATGGCCCCAAAGCACGAGATGTTTGTCCAAAGAGAAACATCCCCAGAAAAAACATCTCAACATCTCTCAATGAGTACCTTAGAAAACCAGGTTTTCCTAGTGAAAACCCATCCCACCCTTCCAAGGACAACTAATCACGATGAAAAATTCATGGAAAGAGTTCAAGGAAAAAACTCCTCCTTACCTACTCAGTCAATAAATCTGTTGTGCACTTTACTGAACATCAAGTGCTGTGCTAAGTGCTGAGGATACGGAAATTAATAAAACAAAAATGTGGCTGGGCACAGAGGCTCACGCCTACAATCCCAGCACTTTGGGAGGCCGAGGCAGGAGGATCACCAGGTCAGGAGTTCAAGACCAGCCTGACCAACACGGTGAAACACCATCTCTACTAAAAATACAAAAATTAGTTGGACGTGGTGGCGCGTGCCTGTAATCCTAGCTACTCAGGAGGCTGAGGCAGGACAATCACTTGAACCCGGGAGGTGGAGGTTGCAGTGAGCTGACATCGTGCCACTGCACTCCAGCCTGGGCGACAGACAGAGGTTCTGTCTCAAAAAAAATAAATAAATAATAATAAAATAAAATAAATAAAACAAAAATGCCTGCTCTCCTGAAGCTTTTTTTTTTTTGAGACAAAGTCTCAGTCTGTTGCCCAGGCTGGAGTGCAGTGGCACGATCTCAGCTCACTGCAACCTCAGCCTCCCAGGTTCAAGCCACTCTCCTGCCTCAGCCTCCCAAGTAGCTGGGACTACAGGCGTGTACCACCACACCCAGCTAATTTTTGTATTTTTAGTAGAGATGGGGTTTCACCATGTTGGCCAGGCTGGTCTCGAACTTCTAACCTCTGGTGATGCCCCGTCCTTGGCCTCCCAAAGTGCTGGGACTATAGGTGTGAGCCACTGCGCCTGGCCCTGAAGCTTTCTACTAGGGGAGATTAAAATATATAATACGTTATAGGTTGATAAGGGTTAAGGCAGAAAATAAAGCAGAAAAGGGGGATAGAGAGTTATGTAAATGTGTATGCAGGAGGGGCTTTGCCATCCAGATAGCCAAGGGAATATCAGTGTTAAGAGTGACATTTGGGCCAGGCGCAGTGGCTCACACCTGTAATCCCTACACTTTGGGATTACACTTTGGGAGGTGGAGGTGGGTGGATCACTTAGGGTCAGGAGTTGAAGACCAGCCTGGCCAACATATAGTGAAACCCTGTGTGTACTAAAAATACAAAAAAATTAGCCAGGCATGGTGGCAGGCACCTGTAATCCCAGCTACTCAGGGGGCTGAGGCAGGAGAATCGCTTGAACCCAGGAGGTAGAGGTTGCAGTGAGCCGAGATCATGCCACTGCACTCCAGCCTGGGTGACAGAGCGAGACTCCATCTCAAAAAAAAAAAAGAGTGAAATTTGAGTAAAGACCTGAAGGAGATGAGGGGACAGACAGGCTATGCTCTTACACAGCTTTGTAAGAGAAAAGTAACTCAGGAAGAGGAAACAAGAGCATAGACCCTGAGGCAGAAGTGTGCCTAGTGTGCTCAAGGAACAGCCAGAGGCCAGTGTGCATGTTAGGGGAAAAGGGTGCCACAGATCTAGAGCTTTAAAGCTAAGATTGGTTTGGCTGGGCGCGGTGGCTCATGCCTGTAATCCCAGCACTTTGGGAGGCCGAGGTGGGCAGATCACGAGGTCAGGAGATCGAGACCATCCTGGCTAACACAGTGAAACCCGTCTCTACTAAAAATACAAAACATTAGCCGGGTATGGTGGGGGGTGTGGTGGGGGGCGTGGTGGGGGGGCACCTGTAGTCCCAGCTACCCAGGAGGCTGAGGCAGGAGAATGGCATTTACCCAGGAGACAGAGCTTGCAGTGAGCCGAGATTGCACCACTGCGCTCCACCCTGGGTGACATAGCGAGAAAGAACAACAACAACAAAAAGTAACATTGGTTTTTATTTTGAAAGAGAAAGGAAGCCATCTCCTGTCTTAATTTTCCATTAAAAAATATTAGGCATGCTATTATTTTTTTTTTTTTTTTGAGACAGTCTCTCGCTCTGTTGCCTAGGCTGGAGTACAGTGGCACGATCTTGGCTTACTGCAAAATCCGCCTCCTGGGTTCAAATGATTCTCCCACCTCAGCCTGCCAAGAAGCTGAGATTACAGGTGCCTGCCACCACGCCTGGCTACTTTTTGTATTTTTAGTAGAGACGGGGTTCCACCATGTTGGCCAGGCTGGTCTCAAACTCCTGACCTCAGGTGATCCACCTGCCTTCGCCTCCCAAAGTGCTGCGATTACAGCATGAGCCACCGTGCCCGGCCAGTCAGGCATGCTATTTTTATTTGTCAAATTTTTTTAAAACTTTACATTGTGAAGCTCTGCCAAGAGCAATGGCTCACGCCTGTAATCCCAGTGCTTTTGGGAGTCTGAGGCCAGAGGATCACTTGAGGCCAGGAGTTCAAAACCAGCCTGGGCAACATAGCAAGATCCCATCCCTACGAAAAAAAAATTGTGAAGCTCTACTAATCATATAATGGACACAAAGACAAATGGAACTTCAACTCTGAAATTTAACTTGTTAGGAGTTCATCAGGCCTTCAAGAAAAAAGTTATCTTTTCTCTCAACTCTCTGGAGAACAGCAACAGGGTAAGAAAAATACAACTAAAAACTGAACTGAATTAATCTAACCGGCCACTTTTCACCACTATTTAAACTTTTTGTCTTTCCCGGCGCGGTGGCTCAAGCCTACCACTTTGGGAGGCCAAGGCAGGTGGATCACTTGAGCCCAGGAGTTCCAGACCAGCCTGGGCAGCAAGGTGAAACCCGTCTCTACAAAAATCAGCCAGGAGTGGTGGCTCATGCCTGTACTCCCAGCTACTTGGGGGACTGAGGTAGGAGGACGGCTTGAGGCCAGGAGGCAGAGGTTGCATTGAGCCGAAAAGGAACCACTACACTCCATTCTGGGTGACAGACTGAGACCCTGTCTCAAAAAACAAAATACAACCTTTTGTCTTGATACCCCAGCAACAAAAAGGGGGGCGGGGGTGGGGGGGGAATATTGGTGGAACAACAACAAAAAAAAGCATTAGGAAGAAGAGCCACAAATAATTCAACTGCAAATCTATCTAAAAATACAAGAAAATGCTAGGAATTTGTGATATTCCTGAAGTGAAACCTGTCACTTTCCTCCTTCCTTGAGTCTCCACGTGGCTTACGCATATCAGACAGGACTCAGGCTTCTCAATCTTAGTTATCTATTTGAACAACATTATGTACAAGGATATTCATCCAACTGGGATCTGAATTCAAACTTTTCCACTTTTCTTTCTTCCGTTTTAACGCAGTTCTGGGATTGTTATTCGGTCATTTCTCATCATTATCCAATGACAATTCACTCTAAGTCAGTATTCCTGGTAGTTCCGAGACTTAATGGCCACAA
The DNA here is from genome assembly GCF_000001405.40 of Homo sapiens. Taxonomy (NCBI): domain Eukaryota; kingdom Metazoa; phylum Chordata; class Mammalia; order Primates; family Hominidae; genus Homo; species Homo sapiens. Next base: position 57,430,165 of record NC_000012.12, read on the forward strand.
ATGTTGAAAAATGTTAGCTCTACGGGAAAACGAATCGAAGCGTTTTCAGGGGCTCGAGTAGTTATGAGCTTAGTGTAGGCCCAAGTTTTAAGCTATAGAAACATCTCCCTGTATGTGCCAACTCAAATCCCCGTCCCTGTAAGAAACCTGGACACCAGCATGATTTTAAACACTTCTACACCTCTCCGTCCTATTTTTCCATGCTCCACGCTCGAAGGAAAACCGCCACCCAAGAAACACACGGAGCTAGCCACCCCGAAGCACTGGAAGGGCGCAATAGTTTTTAGGTCACCCCGCAAAGGCCACAGGTGGCGCCACCCCCCTGCCCCCGCACCGCCGCCCTCCGCCCCGCGCCCCCAGCTTCTCTCCAGCAGCGCACACTTGGAGCAGTCCTTCCCGCGGCCATCCGACCCTGACCCATCGTCCCCGGGACCGGCTGCCGGGCGCGAGGAACCCAGGCCGCGGGGCCTCCTCGCGCCCGCCCGTGCGGCCGCCACGCCCCCTCCCCACAGGCCGTCCGGGCCGCCCGCCCCCTCGGCCGGGAGGTGGCCTCACCTCGCACGGGCCTTGGCGGGGAGGGCGCCCACGTCTCCGCCCGCCGCCCGGGCCCACGGCCGCTCGGCTGCGGCTCGGCCCCGACGGCCGGCGGCGGCGCGCTTCTGGGGGCGGGCTTTTCTCGGCCGGGGCTTCCCCGGGGCCGAGGGCTGGGAAGCAGGGGGGACTGGGACGGGGGAGGGGAAAGGGGCTTGGGAAGGAGGGGGGAGAGGGGAAGAAAAGGGGGGAACCAAACCCGGAAAGGGAGAAAAGGGGGGAGGGGAAAATCAGAAGGGGAAGAAAAGCCCAGAGTCCGCCCCCCGCTGCGGCTGCGCGCTACGTCACTACGTCCGGCGTTGTCGTCACCTCGTCCTGCGTTCCGGCCGTCCCTGCTTCCTGGCTTCCCGCGTGCCCCTCAGCAGCCCTGCGGGGCCTACCGCCTGCCGCACGCACTCCCGCCGGCGCGCGCGCACTCGCACTCGCTCGCTCGCCCTCTCCTCCTTCCGCGTTACCTGTGTCAGGACACCAATCCGGAGTCACTGGGAGCCTCGGTCCTCCTTAAACCCTTCAAGTCTGTCAGATAGAATACCCTGGATTTCAATATAATACTAATAGTGATCATTCTAAAGTAATTTCCATTTACAGAGCACTTTCACTTAGGGCAGTAACTCCTGTACCAAAAGAACGTACACTCGGTATTTGTTGCATACGTGGATAACTATAGTTGAGCAGGTAAATGTCCATTTTACGTAAAGATGAAAAAAACCGACCTAGGAGGAACTCAGTCTGTCCTATTAAGATCACATTCTTACCATCATCCCCTCTCTAAGATACAGTTCTCAAAAATCGTCTTAAATGTCCAGCCTCCCCCGTTTTGTCCATTCTAGGCAGAATCAATTTAGTTATTGATTATGTGTGTGTGGATAATTTACTGACCAAACTCCCTCAAAGAAGCAATGTAGTCTTTTGTAGAATTCGACCATTAAATATTTACCTTGTGACAGAAACTGCGGTAGGCAAAAAAAGTCAAATAATTATAGTACAATTTAAGTGCTATAATAGAAAGGTTTAAATGTGCTATGGAAACACAAGGAACAGCAATTCGTTCTTAGCGGTAAAAGAGATTGAGTAAGTTACAGAGAAACTACAGGTGAAACTCCAGCTAATCTTGAGACTATAAATAGTTCACTAGAGAGGTAAGAATGGAGATTCCAGCAAAGTCATAGAGGCATGAAGTTCATCTTTCCTTCAAGGATGAGCAAGTTCCAGGTTGGTTGGCGTTTTTTGTTTGTTTGTTTGTTTGTTTTATTTATTTTGAGATGGGGTCTCGCTTTGTCACCCAGGCAACTAGATTGCAGTGGTGCAATGTCGGTTCACTACAACCTTCACCTCTCAGGTTCAAGTGATTCTCCTGCCTCAGCGTCCGGAGTAGCTGGGACTACAGGCACGCACCATCACACCCGGCTATTTTTTGTATTTTTAGTAGAGACGGGGTTTTGCCATGTTGGCCAGGCTAATCTCGAACTCCTGGCCTCAGGTGATCCACCCGCCTCGGCCTTCCAAAGTTCTGGGATTACAGGTGTGAGCCACCTTGCCCAGCCCTCTCTCCTGGTCATCACTGCCTCCTGCCCCCAAATTCTCTCAACCCTCTAGAGAACAACAACGGGGGAAGAAAAATACAACTGAACTGAACTGATCTAACCTGCCACTTTTCACCACGATTTAAACTTTTTGTCTTGGCCGGGCGCAGTGGCTCACACCTAGCACTTTGGGAGGCCAAGGCAGGTGGATCATTTGAGCTCAGGAGTTCCAGACCAGGCAGTGATGACCAGTAGGAAATAATAGCTAATATTTGTATTATGTGTATGTAAGTACAATATAAAATGTGTAGCATTCTACATCTATTGTTAGTATCAAATCCTCAATACAATAGGTACTATTATTATACCTGTTTTATAGATGAGGAAACCTGAGGCACAATAATGAAACCAAAGTTCCAGATTTTTTTTTATTTTTTTTGAGACGGAGTCTTGCTCTGTCGCCCAGGCTGGAGTGCAGTGGCATGATCTCAGCTCACTGCAACCTCCACCTCCCGGGTTCAAGTGATTCTCCTGCCTCAGCCTCTCAGGTAGCTGGGACTACAGGCATGTGCCACCACGCCCGGCTTATTTTTATTTTATTTATTTTTTTATTTTTCTTTGGTATTTTTAGTACAGATGGGGTATCACCATGCTGGCCAGGCTCGTCTCGAACTCCTGACCTCAAGTGAACTGCCCACTTCAGCCTCCCAAAGTGCTGGAATTACAGACGTGAGCCATCACGCCCAGCCTACAAGCACATTTTTAAGGGCAAAAAAGAAGGAGACAGGGAGTAGACTGATACAAAGTTGTCGGGTATTCTTGTTGGTTTACAGAAATAACATTGATTAGTGATTGGCTATAGATTGTTAAGCTATAGGATCTAGGTTATAGTGTCCAGTGCAGCATTATTATGTTAATTTATAGTTACTTGTGGCAATAGCAAGCAATTTCAAGAGATGAATACATAGCTCAAAAGCAGGAAGTAGGACATGATTGCCCTCTCATTTTATTTATTTATTTTTTATTTATTTTTTTGAGACAGGCTCTCACTCTATTTCCCAGGCAGGTGTGCAGCAGTACAATTACAGCTCACTGCACCTTCAACCTCCTGGGCTCAAATGATCCTCCAGTCTCAGCCTCCTGAGTAGCTGGGACTACAGGAACACACCACCACTCCCAGCTTTTTTTAAATTTTATTTTATTTATTTATTTTTTATTTTAGTATGGATAGGGTCTGGCTATGTTGCCCAGTCTGGTCTTGAACTCGTGAGTTCAAATGATTTGCCCGCTTTGGCCTCCTAAAGTGCTGGGATTATAGGCTTGAGCCGCCATGCCTGGTCTGCTGTCTCATTTTAATGTCTCTCTGAGCCTGATAATCTTCAAAGACTTGCATTTCCCAGATTAAAATTGTTTTATTTTCTCAGTGCCATGACACAGAATGAAAGCCTGAAATGTTTCTGAGACAAGTGCAAGAACTGAAGAACAACAACCAAGAATACCTGGATTTAAAACCTATACTCCTGGCCAGGCACGGTGGCTCACGCCTGTAATCCCAGCATGTTGGGAGGCCGAGGCGGGTGGATCACAAGGTCAGGAGTTCAAGACCAGCCTGAACAACATGGTGAAACCCCGTCTCTACTAAAAATACAAAAATTAACCAGGCATGGTGGCACGCACCTGTAATCCCAGCTACTTAGGAGGCTGAGGCAGGAGAACTGCTAGAACCCGGGAGGCAGAGGTTGCAGTGAGCTGAAATTATGCCACTGCACTCCAGCCTGGGCGACAGAGTGAGACGCCATCTCAAAAGAAAAAAAAAAAAAGGGAATCTCAAAACTTCTTTTCCAAGACAGAAAAAAACCCCAAAGGGTGAGCAAATCTGGAACTCAAGCCCTTTCCCCACCTTAGGAGTTCCCTCTGAGAGCATCAAAGACATGGCTAGAACACTGTGCCTCCCTTCCCTTAACCTTCAGACTTCATAGTTTTGAGACCTCTTGGGCAAAACTCAACCAGGGCTAACAAATAAGGCTGGATTGAGAACCCCAGGAGGGAGGATGGAGGGATGGGGATGGGCTTTGAGAAACACCAGGCAAAAAAGAATGCAACTCTCAATTGTTCATGCGTGACAGTGAGCTAAAGTGCCTTGCCAATGACCCCTTCTTGTTTGAGAGTCTCCCTTTAACATTCTTTCCCAAAACCTGTGATCTGTCCCTTTCCACCATCCCCAGGATTCCCAGCAAGGGTAGAGATCTGAGGAGGAATTTAATCTCTCACCTTTGAACCCCAGGCCTGGCAGCTCACATGGATAACAACTGTCTCCCAACATTGGCCCAGGGACGTGTCTTTCCCTAAACAAACCAACCTCTCCTCACATCCCCCACTCTGTACTTTCACTGACTATGCGTTGGCAGATTCTGCCAAGTTCTACCTGTAACTGGCTTCATTTTCAAGTCAGACGTTTGGCTGCTGCTCTGTCCCCTGCAACAAGGAGCCATGCCAGCTGGACACACACTTCTTCCAGGGCCTCTGGCAGCCAGGACAGAGTTGAGACCACAGCTGTTGAGACCCTGAGCCCTGAGTCTGTATTGCTCAAGAAGGGCCTTCCCCAGCAATGACCTCCTCATTGCTTCTGGCCTTTCTCCTCCTGGCTCCAACCACAGTGGCCACTCCCAGAGCTGGCGGTCAGTGTCCAGCATGTGGGGGGCCCACCTTGGAACTGGAGAGCCAGCGGGAGCTGCTTCTTGATCTGGCCAAGAGAAGCATCTTGGACAAGCTGCACCTCACCCAGCGCCCAACACTGAACCGCCCTGTGTCCAGAGCTGCTTTGAGGACTGCACTGCAGCACCTCCACGGGGTCCCACAGGGGGCACTTCTAGAGGACAACAGGGAACAGGAATGTGAAATCATCAGCTTTGCTGAGACAGGTGGGTTCCTGATCTGTAGCTCTTCCCCAGAACTTGACCCCTCAAGGAAAGGAAAAGTTTCCTCGCCAGACTTACCTCTGACTCCTTCCCCAAAAACCATCCAACCCCTGCTTCCCACAGGCTATAATCTCCTTACCCAGGTGTCCCGACAACCCCCACATCCCTCTGGGGTCACTCTGGTAGCTCAGACCTGACCAATAGGCAGCTGGAAAGCTGGTAAATTTCACTTCTTTTGAGATTGGCTGCCGTCATCTCCTCCGGCTCCTCTCTCTGCAGGCCCCACAAACCCACAGGCTGTGGTGTGAGCCCATCCACTTCCTGGGCCTGTACACAGCGACTGGGAGGTGGGAGTCTCTCCTTTCTCTGGCCCCAGGATCTAGCCCCTCCCTTCCCCTCTCCTCCAGATGCCTCATTTGAGTAAAAGAAGAAAAAATAAAACACCAGGACTGCAATACCTCACCATATGTCATGTTCCCATATATACCTCAGGTCCCCATATCACAGAGAACAGGGTCAAAATGGGACTCAGAAAGATGGATAAAGGGGCTGGGCACAGTGGCTCCTGCCTGTAATCCCAGCTACTCAGAAGGCAGGAGGATCACTTGAAGCCAGGAGTTCGAGACCAGCCTGAGCAACATAGCAAGACCCTTTTTTTTTTTTTTCCTGAGACGGAGTCTTGCTCTGTCACCCAGGCTGGAGTGCAGTGGCGTGATCTCGGCTCACTGCAACCTCCACCTCCTGAGTTCAAGGAATTCTCCTGCCCCAGCCTCTTGAGTAGCCAGGATTACAGGTGCCCGCCACCACACCCAGCTAATTTTTGTATTTTTAGTAGAGACTGGGTTTCACCGTGTTGGCCAAGCCGATCTCAAACTCCTGACCTCGTGATCCTCCCACCTCAGCCTCCCAAAGTGCTGGGATTACAGGCGTGAGCCACCGCGCCCGGCAACCCTGTCTCTTTTTTAAAAAACTTTTTTTTTTTTTTTTTGAAAGAGTCTCACTCTGTCACCCAGGCTGGAGTGCAATGGCATGGTCTCAGGTCACTGCAACCTCTGCCTCCTGGGTTCAAGCAGTTCTCCCACCTCAGCCTCCCGAGTAGCTGGGACTACAGGCGTGTGTCACCATACCCGGCTAATTTTTGTATTTTTAGTAGAGATGGGATTTCACTATGTTGGCCACGCTGGTCTCGAACTCCTGACCTCGTGATCCGCCTGCCTCGGCCTCCCAAAGTGCTGGGATTACAAGTGTGAGCCACTGTGCCTGGCCTTTTCTTTTTCTTTTTTTTTTTTTTTTTTTGAGACAGAGTCTTCATCTGTCACCCAGGCTGGAATGCAGTGGTATGATCACAGCTCATTGCAGCCTCAACCTCCCAGGCTCAAGCTCAGGTGATCCTCCCACCTCAGCCTCCCAAGTAGCTGGGACTACAGGTATGCGCCATCATGCCTGGCTAATTTTTTTTATTTTTTATTTTATTTTATTTTATTTTTTGAAATGGAGTCTCGCTTTGTCACCCAGGCTGGAGTGCAGTGGCGCGATCTTGGCTCACTGCAAGCTCCACCTCCTGGGTTCACGCCATTCTCCTGCCTCAGCCTCCCGAGTAGCTGGGGCTACAGGCGCCTACCACCATGCCTGGCTACTTTTTATGTATTTTTAGCAGAGACAGGGTTTCACCGTGTTAGCCAGGATGATCTCGATCTCCTGACCTCGTGATCCTCCTGCCTCGCCCTCCCAAAGTGCTGGGATTACAGGTGTGAGCCACCGCGCCCAGCATATATTTTTTTACAGAGACAAGATTTCATCATGTTGCCCAGATTGGTCTTGAACTTTTGGGCTCAAGCAATCCACTCGCCTCGGCCTTGCAAAATGCTAAGATTACAGACATGAGCCACCATCCCCGGGCTAAAAATAGCTGGGTGCGGTGGAGTGCACCTGCAGTCCCAGCTATTTGGGAGCCTGAGATGGCGGATCATTGAGCCCAGGAGTTTGAGACTGCACTGAGCTGTTTGCACCACTGCCCTCCAGCCTGGGCAACAGAGTGAGACCCCCATCTCTAAAATTAATTAATTAAAGAAAGATAGATAAAAGAGGACAAGGAAGAGAGATAGTTACTTCCATAGACAGGGGAATAGTTGGAGTATATAGTGAGCAGATCAGGAATTCTAAGCCAGGACTCTAGAAAATGCAAATTGAAGGCCGGGCGCGGTGGCTCACGCCTGTAATCCTAGCACTTTGGGAGGCCAAGTCGCGCAGATCACAAGGTCAGGAGATCGAGACCATCCTGGCTAACATGGTGAAACCCCGTCTCTACTAAAAATACAAAAAAAATTAGCTGGGCATGGTGGCAGGCGCCTGTAGTCCCAGCTACTCTGGAGGCTGAGGCAGGAGAATGGCATGGACCCAGGAGGTGGAGCTAGCAGTGAGCCGAGATTGCGCCACTGCACTCCAGCCTGGGGGACAGAGTGACACTCCGTCTCAAAAAAAAAAAAAAAGAAAGAAAGAAAATGCCAATTGAGCCCTTTGCAAGCTTTTTCTTAGGTCTGGAAGACCCTTCCCATTTCTGGCCCCTCATTCCCTCGTTTTTGTGTTTGTTTGTTTGTTTGTTTGTTTGAGATGGAGTCTCATTCTGTTGCCCAGGCTGGAGTGCAGTGGCACAATCTCAGCTCACTGCAACCCCCGCCTCCCGGGTTCAAGCCATTCTCCTGCCTCAGCCTCCCGAGTATCTGGAACTACAGGCGAACACCACTAAACCTGGCTAATTTTTGTATTTTTAGTAGAGACGGGGTTTCACCATGTTGGCCAGGCTGGTCTCGAACTCCTGACCCCAAGTGATCTGCTCGCCTCAGCCTCCCAAAGTGCCAGGATTACAGGCGTGAGCCACTGCACCCACCCCTACCTGTTTCAAGACCCTGCTTGAACTGGAGCTAGATAGCCTGGGCTCAGATTCTTGCTCAGCCATTTATTAGCTGTTTGACCTAGTGGTTAATAGTTTTCTCATGTGTTAAATGGGGATAATAAGAGGATAGTTGAGATAATTAAATGGGCTAATACAGGTAAAGTACTTTGAATGTTAAAGTGGAAGGGAGCAGGAACTAGAGAGTAGACTTAGTGCCTGCCCATGGAGGAAAGGGACAAGGCAAATCTCTGGAAACTTTTTATAAAGGCACTAATTCTATTAATGAGGGCTCCACCCTCATTACTTAATCACCTCCCAAAGGCTCCACTTCCTAATACCATCACATGGGGGTTATGATTTCAACATATGAATTTTGAGGGAATGTAACAGCCTCTCTCCATGAAGCCTCTTATCATTCAATAGTCTATCCCAAGTTTCTTTAGAGAATGGTGGCCAGATTCCAAGAGGATAATTTCAATGTGTAAATTATTCTCAAACTTCTACATACACCCTGCTTGCTAATGTCCCATTGACAAAGCAAGTCATTGTAGCCAAGCCTAGAATCTATCACTGTGAGATGGAACTAGACGAAGGCATGAAAGCCATGAGGTAGTGTTTACTGGGGACTACCAATCTAGCAGCCTACTAAAGTCTGCCCTCTGACCCCTAACAATTTATATCTCTCCCACAAGCAAAATACAATCATCCTCTCCCAGCTACCCACATCAAAATTTCATCCCTTTATGGCATCAGGATCGGGCTAAAGTTCAGCATCTCATCACCTGAATTAGGTGCAAATATAGGTGAGGCTCCTCTGGTACATTTCTTCAGGTGCAGGGGCCTTCAGTGATGTCCTAGCGCTGGCTTATTCAGACTTATGAAAGCTGATTGTGAACATCTTCTCCCAACTCAGCATTCAGTGATGTCACATTAGCAGCTAGAAATCAGCCATGGTGGGCGAATTTGTAGTCTTATAGAAATTGACAAAGACTACAAATCAGGGCTTTTGATTTTTTTCCCTGGAGACCAGTTATTAAACATTTACCAGCATACCACTGTCTGCGTCCTAAAAATACAAGTTCTCTACCTCCCACGCACTTAACATACAATGCTGAGACAGGGACAGGATAAACATAATAGATATTCCTGTTCAAAATGGGGTATGGGAGAATAGGAGACACAGAGCAGTCACTGATCCATAAAACTTCTTATATTCAGCCAGGCAAATATCTAGGTCCACTCCAAACCCAGAATTCCCTTGGTTAGTTAGGGCCTGGTTCTGCTCCCTGGTATTTCCCATTGCTCACCACTGCTCTCCTGGACTTCCAAATCCACCCTCTCAGCCCTTGGCCTCTACCTGCTGAGGTGTCTTTCCTTTTAAATAGGAAATAATCTGTGTTTGTGGCTGAGTAGTTTTCTCAGCCTACTTTCTGCCCAGAGTTGGGGGCCCAGAGACCCCTTTTTATTTTGAATTGTCCCTTTTAGTCCAAACTGGTGCTGCTTTCAGTATTAAACTTCTCTTTAAAACTCTGTGGACCCTGTAAATAATAAATTGTAGTCTACTCAGTTACACAGAAGGCACCACATTCTATCAAGACAGACACTTCTTTAGGCTACAAGTCTGTGTCATGGGATGACACCTTTAAGATGTTTAGAAGTGCATTTGTCTAGTTGTGAGGGTTGACAGAACATCGTCTTAAATTTTAGATCTCAAAAAAAAATGTTAGATCTTAACAAGCAAAGCGTTTTTTTGGTTTGTGTTTTAGAGTTGGTCTTGCTATGTTGCCCAGGCTGGAGTATAGTGGCTATTTGCAGCCTCAATAATATTGCCTTATAGCCTCAAACTCCTGGCCTCAAGGGATCCTCCTGCTTCAGCGTCCTGAGTAGCTGGGGCTATAGGCATGTGTTCCCATGACCAGCTAACAAAAGGTTTTATAGCTGACCCTTTATTTGTTTTGATCTTCACTCTGAGTCCCTGTATTACTGGAAATGCCCTGGATTTGATTTTTGCCCTGAGGTAATTTCTTACTTTAAGAACCTTTTGTCAGAGAGAAAGAATGAAAAAGAATTTTTGTCATTATTTTTCTTTTCTTTCCTCTACATGTACAACATGAAGTAAAAGGTTTTGTTTTGTTTTGTTTTCTGAAAAATTAGCAACATAGAGTAAGCGGTTCTATTTTTTAATTTAGCAAGTCCTTTTAGAAATATTTTCTCTAAATTCTGTTTGAAAATTGAACAGTGCCTTTTTTTTTTTTTTTTTTTGAGACGGAGTCTTGCTATGTCGCCAGGCTGGAGTGCAGTGGTGCAATTTTGGCTCACTGCAACCTCTGCCTCCCGGGTTCAAGCGATTCTTTTGCCTCAGCCTCCTGAGTAGCTGGGACTACAGGTGCACACCACCACACCCAGCTAATTTTCGTATTTTTAGTAGAGATGGGTTTTCAGCATGTTAGCTCGGATGGTCTTGATTTCTTGACCTTGTGATCTGCCCGCCTCAGCCTCCCAAAGTGCTGGGATTACAGGTGTTAGCCACCGCACCCAGCCACAGTTCCTTTTTTAGTTCATCTCTCTCCCGAAATGCCTTATCGTAGGCAACTAAAATATACCAACTGGCATTTTCAGCATTCTGCCTGGAAATATCATTAGCTAAATTCACAACTTTGTTAGATATCTTTCCTGGCTTCTAAGTTACCACAGGTGATAGCCAATACACAATACAAGTTCCCCTTTCTTCAGCTTCCAATAGCAATTTCCTCACTGTTCTTCCTTCCTTTACTAACAGTTTCTTCCCTACCCTTCTAACTTCTGCCTGCCACTCATTCCCGAAGCCGGTGCAACTGACCAAGCACAGTGGCTCATGCTTGTAATCCCAACACTTTGGGAGGCCAGGGTGGGAGGATCACTTGAGGCCAGGAGTTTGAGACCACCCTGGTCAATATAGCAAGATGTTTCTTTAAAACAAACAAACAAACAAACAAAACAAAAAGCCGGGTGCTGTGGCTCACGCCTGTAATCCCAGCACTTTGGGAGGCCAAAACGGGTGGATCACCTGAGGTCAGGAGTTCGAGATCAGCCTGACCAACATGGAGAAACCCATCTCTACCAAAAATACAAAAAATTAGCCAGGTGTGGTGGTGCATGTCTGTAATCCCAGCTACCCGGGAGGCTGAGGCAAGAGAATTGCTTGAACCCAGGGGGTGGAGGTTGCAGTGAGCCGAGTTCGTGCCATTGCACTCCAGCCTGGGCAACAAGAGTGAAATTCCATCTCAAAAAAAAAAAAAAAAAAAAAAAAGCCAGGTGTGGTGGTACATGCCTGTAATCCCAGCTACTGGGGAGGCTGAGGCAGGAGAATTGCTTGAACCCAGGAGGCAGAGGTTGCAGTGAGCCAAGATCACGTCATTGCACTTCAGCCTGGGCAATAAGATCAAAACTCCGTCTCAAAAAAAAAAAAAAAAAAAGTCAATGCAACATATTTTAGGTTTTTGTGATGGTAGCACCCCACTTCTGATACTAATTTTTGTTTCAGTTACTTATCAATATAACAAACCAGCCCAAAACATAGAGGCTTAAAACAACACATTCATTATTTCTCATGATTCTTTTTTTTTTTTTTTAGATGGAGTCTCACTCTGTTGCCCAGGCTGGAGTGCAGTGGCACAGTCTTGGGTCACTGCAACCTCCATCTCCAGGGTTCAAGAGATTCTCTTCCCTCAGCCTCCTGAGTAGTTGGGATTATAGGTGCCCGCCACCATGCCTGGCTTTTTTTGTATTTTTAGTAGAGACAGGGTTTCACCATGTTGGACAGGCTGGTCTTGAACTCCTGACTTCAAGTGATCCACCCACCTCAGCCTCCCAAAGTGCTGGGATTACAAGCATGAGCCATTGCCCCCAGCCACTCTCATGGTTTTGTGGCTTGACTGTGCTTATCTGGACAGTTCTTCTGCTCCATGTGGTGTAGCTGAGGTCTCCCATGCAACTTCATTTGGGGACTCAGATGGGACTGGAACATATAAGATGGTCTCTAATCCTCCAAAGTCTCTCTCCACATGACTTCTCCTAATTTAGTAGTCTAGCTCAACTTCCTTTAAAGCACTGCGGCTGGCTTCCAAGAGTGGAATGCCTCAATATGTAAGTACTCAATAAACACCATGCTTGCTAATGTCTCACTGCCCAAATCAAGTCACATGGCTAAGCCCAGAATTAATATGGAAAGGGACAGCACAAAGTCATGAATACTGGGAGGTGTTGGCCTTTGGGGCCAACAGTGTAATAGTCTACTACAGCCCCTGTTGGTCTTGTGTTTGCCTGCCATAACTGGAGTGACTTAAAAGGTACTAACTATAGGGTGCTTTGTGACCTAGCAAGGAAAAGATTAGTTGGGCCAGTCAGACTCTTTTAGGATTTTGGAATTGGGACACTGGAAGATCTGCTCACTTAGGAGGAGCTGAGCAAAAGGTCCTATAGACTTGGGACCTGGGCCACAATTTTGGGACCTGAGGAAGCTAACAAGGAGGCAGAAGTAGTAGATCCACAGAGAGAGAAGAGTGGAACTGACTTATCTAGAGAGAGAGATGAAAGAGATCTTATTGGCTCTGAGAGCTGTCAAGAGCAGCCTTGTTCCTGTTGGGCACGTTGGCTCACACCTGTAATCCCAGCACTTTGGGAGGTTGAGGTGGGCGGGTCACCTAAGGTCAGGAGTTCAAGACCAGCCTGGCCAACATGGGGGAAACCCTGTCTCTACTAAAAATACAAAAATTAGCTGGGCATGGTGGCAGGTGCCTCTAATCCCAGCTACTCGGGAGGCAGAGGCAGGAGAATTGCTTGAATCCAGGAGGCTGAGGTTGCAGTGAGCCGAGATTGCGCCACTGCGCTCCAGCCCAGGCGACAAGAGTGAGACTCCGTCTCAAAAAAAAAAAAAAAAGAACCTTATTCCTGACTTTCCAATTTACATGAAGCCTAGTTGAACTTCATACCCCGCCTTTTTGAGCCCATGAGAGTATCAGTTCCATTCCCATAATAAAGCACTCTTTTTTTTTTTTTTTTTTTTTTTGAGACGGAGTCTTGCTCTGTTGCCATGCTGGAGTGCAGTGGTGCGACCTCGGCTCACTGCAACCTCTGCCTCCTGGGTTCAAGTGATTCTCCTGCCTCAGCCTCCTGAGTAGCTGGGACTACAGGGGCGTGCCACCATGCCCAGCTAATTTTTTTTTCTTTTTTTAAGACAGAGTTTCACTCTTGTTGCCCAGGCTGGAGTGCAATGGCATGATCTCAGCTCACCGCAACCTCCGACTCCCAGGTTCAAGCAATTCTCCTGCCTCAGCCTCCCGAGTAGCTGGGATTACAGGCATGCGCCACCACGCCCGGCTAATTTTGTATTTTTAGTAGAGATGGGGTTTCTCCATGTTGGTCAGGCTTGTCTCGAACTCCTGACCTCAGGTGATCCACCCACCTTGGCCTCCCAAAGTGCTGGGATTACAGGCATGAGCCACTGCGCCGGGCCTCATAAAACATTTTTCACTTAAAAAAAAAAATGGCTAAGGCCAAATTACAATGGGTATTTAACTGTTTCCTAAAAGAGTTAGGACTTTATTAACTAATAAGGTTTTTGAGACCATGAATTTTATGATCCATCCATGTTTTGGGAAAAGAATCCTGATGTTAAAATAATTATAGAAATGAAAGACCATTCAACAAGTATTTTGTTTGTTTGTTTGTTTGTTTTTGAGACAGAGTCTGGCTCTGTCACCCAGGCTGGAGTGCAGTGGCGTGATCTCTGCTCACTGCAACCTTTGCCTCCTGAGTTCAAGCAATTCTCCTGCCTCAGCCTCCTGAGTAGCTGGGACTACAGGTGCATGCCACCACACTCGGCTAATTTTTGTATGTTTAGTAGAAATGGGGTTTCACCCTGTTGGCCAGGCTGATCTCGAATTCATGACCTCATGACCTCAGGTGATCCTCCCATCTCAGCCTCCCAAAGTGCAGGGATTACAGGTGTGAGCCACCACACCTGGTCTCAACAAGTGTTTATTGAGTGCTTACTAAATACCAAGTACTAGGGATACAATGGTGAGCCATACAGGCACAACCGCTGTTTTCATGGAGCTTACATTCTAGCTGCAGGGAAGAAAGAGGGGTAGGAGAAATACGTAGTAAACAAATGAACGAAGAACCACACTGGACCGGACTTGGTGGCTCATGCCTGTAATCCCAGCACTTTGGGAGGCCGAGGTAGGAGGATCACAAGGTCAGGAGTTCCGGAGCGGCCTGGCCAACATGGCAAAACTCCGTCTCTACTAAAAATACAAAAATTAGCAGGGCATGGTGGTGCATGCCTGTAATCCCAGCTACTCAGGAGGCTGAGGCAGGAGAATTGCTTGAACCGGGTAGGTGGAGGTTGCAGTGAGCCAAGATCGTACCACTGCAATCTAGCCTGGGTGACAGAGCAAGACTCTGTCTCAGAAAAAAAAAAAAAAAGAACCACACTGATTACAGAGCATGATAATGGCTATACAAACAGTTAAGCAGGATGATGTATTAGAGAGATGGAGGCAGAATTGAAGGCTATTTTTATTTTATTTTATTTTATTACGTTTTATTCTATTTTATTTCATTTTTGAGACAGCCTTGCTCTGTTGCCCAGGCTAGAGTGCAGTGGCATGATCTTGGCTCATTGCAGCTTTGACCTCCTGGGCTCAAGTGATTCTCCCGAGTAGCTGGGATTACAGATGTGTTCCTCCATGCCCAGCTATTTTTTATTTATTTATATATTTTTTAGTTATTGTAGAGACAGGGTCTCACTATGTTGCCCAGTCGGTCTCAAACTCCTGGCCTCAAGCAATCCTGCCACCTTGACCTCCCATAGTGCTGCGATTACAGGCATGTGCCACCACGCCTGGCTGAAGCCTGCTTTAGATAGATTAGGAAGGAAGCCTGAAGCCTCTCTGAGGAGGAGACATCTGAGCCGAATGCCAAAAAGAACTCAGTCATTCAAAGATCTTGGAAAGACATTCCAGGGAAAGAGACTAGCAAGTGTAAAGGCTATGAGATAGCTTTATGTTTGGTGAATTTGAGGAACAGAAAAAGGCCAGTATAGGCAGGGTGTAGTAGTTAAGTGTCAAACAAGTTTCCTATTTCAAGGAGTTTAGATTTTATCCAAAGAGCAAGGGGAAGACTTTGAAGTGTTTTAAGCTGAGAAGATAAAACTAATCAGATTTATAAAAAGATCACTGGCTGATATTTGGAGAATGGTTTGGAGAGCAAGAGTGAATCACTTGAGTGAACGAAAGCTACAGTTAAAGAAAAAGATGGTTGTGAGTTGGACTAATGAGTAGTAGAGGAAGTGGGGAGAAGTGAAATTATATTATGAATTAGAAGTAGAGTTGATAAAACTTTCAGATAATTTCAAAGTAGAGGATAAACACAATCAAGATTTTGCCTTAAGCAATGCGTTTATGGGGAGAAGTTTGGAGAAGGAACAGGTTTGGACTGGGGGGATACATTTAGACTTCCTTGTACAGGATTGAGGCTGGGCACATTGACTTATGCCTGTGATCTCAGCACTTTGGGAGGCCAAGGTGAGAGGATCACTTAAGGCCAGGAGTTCAAGACCAGTCTGGGTAACATAGTGAGACCCCCCGCCCATCTCCATGTAAATTTTTTTTTTTTTTTTTTTTTGGAGACAGAATCTCGCTCTGTCATCCAGGCTAGAGTGCAATGCAATGGCATGATCTCGGCTCACTGCAACCTCTGCCTCGCAGGTTCAAGTGATTCTCCTGCCTCAGCCTCCCAAGTAGCTGGGATTACAGGTGCCCGCAGCATGCCTGGCTAATTTTTGGTGGTTTTTTTGTTTGTTTGTTTGTTCGTTTTTTTGAGACAGAGTCTCGCTGTGTTGCCCAGGGTGGAGTGCAGTGGCGCGATGTCAGCTCACTGCAACCTCTGTCTCCTGGGTTCAAGCAATTCTCCTGCCTCAGCCTCCCGAGTAGCTGGGATTACAGGCATGTGCCAACATGCCTGGCTGATTTTTTGTAATTTTAGTAGAGACAGGGTTTCACCATGTTGGCCAGGTTGGTCTCGAACTCCTGACCTCAACTGATCCACCTGCCTCTGCCTCCCAAAGTGCTGGGATTACAGGCGTGAGCCACCACACCCGGCCTAAAAATTTTTTTTTAATTAAAAAAAGAGATTGAAATATCATTGGATGTCCAAGTCAAATATCAGATAGCCACTTGGACATACAAGGCTGGGGCTCAGGGAGAGGTCAGGACCAGATATATATATTTGGAAGTCATCAGCATATAGATGGAATTGAAAGCCATGGAATGGATGATCATTCTGGGAGAGGGTATAGATAGTGAAGAGAAGGGAGCTTAGGACTTTATTTATTTATTTATTTATTTATTTATTTATTTATTTATTTATTTATTTATTTGAGACAGGGTCTCATTTTGTTGCCCAGCCTGGAGTGCAGTGGTGCGTTGATGTCTCACTATAGCCTTGATCTCCCAGGGTCAAGCAATCCTTCCACCTTAGCCCTCCGTAGTAGCTGGGACTACAGGTGTACACTAGTACGCCTGGGTAATTTTGTAATTTTTGTAGAGACAGGGTTTTGCCAAGTTGTCCAGGCTGATCTCACTGATCTCAAACTCCTGGACTCAAGCCATGCATCCACCTCAGTCTCCCAAAGTTCTGGGACAAGTGTGAGCCACCACGCCTGGCCTGACTTCCAACATTTAAAGGTTGGGCCGACAAAGAGGAGCTGTCGATAGAGGAGAAAAAGATAGAGTGGCCACTGTTATAAAAGCCAAGAGAAGAAAATATGGAAGAAGGAGGGAGTGGTTAACTGTGTCAAACACTGCTTAAAGGTCAAGTAAGATGAATACAAATGGTTAGATTTGCTTTGTGGAAGGTGTTGGTGATCTTGACGTGTGCAATTTCAGTAGAGTGGAGGGAATAGAAACCCAACTAAGATGTTCAGTAAGGAAGGTGAGGGATGATAAGAGGAAATTGGGCAGTAGTAATAGGGATACAAAGAAATGCACAGACATTAGAACCATTCTGGTGAGACAAGGTATAGGGGGAATGAAGAAAGTAATCATAGTTTGTTTTTTTTTTCTTTTTTTGAGGCGGAGCCTCGCTCTGTCTCTCAGGATGGAGTGCAATGGTGTGGTCTTGGCTCATTGCAACCTCTGCCTCCCAAGTTCAAGCGATTCTCCTGCCTCAGCCTCCCAAGTAGCTGGGATTACAGGCGCCCACTGCCACGCCTGGCTGATTTTTGTATTTTTAGTAGAGATGGGGTTTCACCATGTTGGCCAGGCTTGTCTCAAACTCCTGACCTAAGGTGATCCACCTGCCTCAGCCTCCCAAAGTGCTGGGATTACAGACGTGAGCCACCACGCCTAGCTGATCATAGAGTTTTTACAGGTGATGAGGGTAGTGGCACCACCAAGAATGAAGAGGGGGTATATAGGAAGGAAAGTAATTATTTTTCAGGTTGAAAAAATTGATTAAAAAAAATATATAGGCCAGGCGCGGTGGCTTACGCCTGTAATCCCAGCGCTTTGGGAGGCTAAGCAGGGCGAATCACTTGAGGTGAGGAGTTCAAGACCAGCCTGACCAACATGGAGAAACCCTGTCTCTACTAAAAATACAAAATTAGCTGGGTGCAGCTACTTGGGAGGCTGAGGCAGGAGAATTGCTTGAACCCGAGAGGCAGCGGTTGCAGTGAGCTGAGATTGCGCCATTGCACTCCAGCCTGGGCAACAGGAACAAAACTCCGTCTCAAAAAAAAAAAAAAAAAAAAAAAAAAAAAAATATATATATATATATATATATATATATATAAAATATATGTGTGTGTGCTTGTGTTTGTATATATGTATGCATACATATATACATATATATACACACATGCATACACACATATGTATTTATAAGATGGGGTCTTGCCATGTTGCCTGGGCTGGTCTTGGGCATGTTGCCTCAGTCTCCCAAGTAGCTGGGATTACAGGCATGCACTACTCCACCCAGCTCTGGGACAAATTGATTTTAATGTGCTGCCAGGACATTCATGTGACAAAAGTAAGTAGTTAGAAATCTAGGCCTGAAGCTTGGTGATTTCCAAATCTATATGTCCGGTCCAAATATGCAAAATGCTCTGGTCTGGGCATACAGATTTGGGAATCACCAACATAAAAATTGTGTTGCTTGGCTGGGCGTGGTGGCTCACGCCTGTAATCCCAGCACTTTGGGAGACTGAGGTGAGTGGATCACAAGGTCAGGAGTTCAAGACCAGCCTGGCCAACATGGTGAAACCCCATCTCTACTAAAAATACAAAAATTAACTGGGAGTGGTGGCAGGCACCTGTAATCCCAGCTATTCAGGAGGCTGAGGCAGAAGAATCACTTGAACCCAGGAGGCAGAGGTTGCAGTGAGCCAACCTCACGCCACTGCACTCCAGCCTAGGTGACAGAATGAGACTCCGTCTAAAAAAAAAAAAAAAAAAAAAAATTATGTTGCTTGACCATGAGTCTAATTAAGAGCTCCCTTAATGTAGACTAGAAGGAAATGAAAGTCCAAGACAGACCTTGGAAAACTCTGATATTAAAGGGATGGTCAGAGAAAGAAAAGCCAGCAAAGAAAACCAGGAAGAATTATAACAGAGTTGTGTCATGGAAGCCAAGAGAGAAAAGATTTTCAGGAAGGAAAGAATTGTCAGCAGTGCTGTCTTAGTCCGTTTTGTGCTGGTGTAACAGAATACCACAGACTAGGTCATTTATAATGAGCAGAAATATATTAACTCATGGTTCTGGTGGCTGGGAAGTCCAAGATCAAGGGGCTGGCATCTGGCGAGGGCCTTCTTGCTTCTTGCTGTGTTATTCCATGGCAGAAGGGCAAAGAGAGGGTGGGGCTGATAATTAAACTTATCCTTTTATAAGGTACCCATTCCCAAGATAAGGGCATTAATCCATTCATGAAGGTGGTATTCCCATGACCCAAACACCTCCCATTAGGCCCCACTTCCCAACACCACTGCATTGGAGGTCCAATTTCCAGCACATGAACTTTGGAGGACATGTTTAAACTGTAGCAAATGCCAAGTGCTATAGACAACTCAAGAATGCTGAGTACAGAGAAATAGTTGGTAGAACTGACAGTCAGAAGGCCGCAATGACTGGGGCTTCTTATGTCCACAGGCCTCTCCACCATCAACCAGACTCGTCTTGATTTTCACTTCTCCTCTGATAGAACTGCTGGTGACAGGGAGGTCCAGCAGGCCAGTCTCATGTTCTTTGTGCAGCTCCCTTCCAATACCACTTGGACCTTGAAAGTGAGAGTCCTTGTGCTGGGTCCACATAATACCAACCTCACCTTGGCTACTCAGTACCTGCTGGAGGTGGATGCCAGTGGCTGGCATCAACTCCCCCTAGGGCCTGAAGCTCAAGCTGCCTGCAGCCAGGGGCACCTGACCCTGGAGCTGGTACTTGAAGGCCAGGTAGCCCAGAGCTCAGTCATCCTGGGTGGAGCTGCCCATAGGCCTTTTGTGGCAGCCCGGGTGAGAGTTGGGGGCAAACACCAGATTCACCGACGAGGCATCGACTGCCAAGGAGGGTCCAGGATGTGCTGTCGACAAGAGTTTTTTGTGGACTTCCGTGAGATTGGCTGGCACGACTGGATCATCCAGCCTGAGGGCTACGCCATGAACTTCTGCATAGGGCAGTGCCCACTACACATAGCAGGCATGCCTGGTATTGCTGCCTCCTTTCACACTGCAGTGCTCAATCTTCTCAAGGCCAACACAGCTGCAGGCACCACTGGAGGGGGCTCATGCTGTGTACCCACGGCCCGGCGCCCCCTGTCTCTGCTCTATTATGACAGGGACAGCAACATTGTCAAGACTGACATACCTGACATGGTAGTAGAGGCCTGTGGGTGCAGTTAGTCTATGTGTGGTATGGGCAGCCCAAGGTTGCATGGGAAAACACGCCCCTACAGAAGTGCACTTCCTTGAGAGGAGGGAATGACCTCATTCTCTGTCCAGAATGTGGACTCCCTCTTCCTGAGCATCTTATGGAAATTACCCCACCTTTGACTTGAAGAAACCTTCATCTAAAGCAAGTCACTGTGCCATCTTCCTGACCACTACCCTCTTTCCTAGGGCATAGTCCATCCCGCTAGTCCATCCCGCTAGCCCCACTCCAGGGACTCAGACCCATCTCCAACCATGAGCAATGCCATCTGGTTCCCAGGCAAAGACACCCTTAGCTCACCTTTAATAGACCCCATAACCCACTATGCCTTCCTGTCCTTTCTACTCAATGGTCCCCACTCCAAGATGAGTTGACACAACCCCTTCCCCCAATTTTTGTGGATCTCCAGAGAGGCCCTTCTTTGGATTCACCAAAGTTTAGATCACTGCTGCCCAAAATAGAGGCTTACCTACCCCCCTCTTTGTTGTGAGCCCCTGTCCTTCTTAGTTGTCCAGGTGAACTACTAAAGCTCTCTTTGCATACCTTCATCCATTTTTTGTCCTTCTCTGCCTTTCTCTATGCCCTTAAGGGCTGACTTGCCTGAGCTCTATCACCTGAGCTCCCCTGCCCTCTGGCTTCCTGCTGAGGTCAGGGCATTTCTTATCCCTGTTCCCTCTCTGTCTAGGTGTCATGGTTCTGTGTAACTGTGGCTATTCTGTGTCCCTACACTACCTGGCTACCCCCTTCCATGGCCCCAGCTCTGCCTACATTCTGATATAACTGCTTCAACACTAGGGGGTCCTAAAGGCTTTCTATCTTGCTAGTCCCTGGGGCCTCAACATCTCATACTGGTTCCCTTAACTCTGCCTATACCTCTGTAAATAATTCCTTCACTAAGTTCTCTTGATGAAGCAAAAACAGACAGCTGAAAAGTCCTCTATCTCCTACAAGGGCCCTAACTGGCACCCCAGATGACACAGAGCCTGCCTGCTTATGCTGTAGTCTGCCTACTCTGCTGTCTCTTCACATGGTCTCCTCAGAACTGAACTATTGTATCCATCTCACACTTTATGCCTCTTCTTTCTTAGGCACCCCGTCCCTCCATCCTTCCAGAACCATCTTTGAGGTCTCATGGCTAATAAAAACCTAGGCTTTACCTGTTCCCTCTGTAATCCCTCCAAAAGATGAGACAGATCTATGCTTGGTCATCCAGTAAACTGACCAGCTGTGGGCACGCAAGTGTGGGAGGCAGAGGCATGCTCAGAGCTGGCTGCCAGGACCTCTGACTTGCCTTCCTTTCACCCACCCCCAGTGCTCCACCCAGGAGTCCTGCCTGGAAGCTGGAATGGGCAAGGGCTGCTGGAGTGGGACAGGGAGAAGAGGAAGGCCTGGATGAGGAGAGGGTGGCATTTGCTCTGAGACTGGGTCCTTTTTAGACCTTTGCCCGTCCTCCCCCACATCTCCTCCCTTTGGCTGGACAGTCCTGAACCATGAGGTCGATAATGTCTGCAGCCCAAGGCCGAGTTTGCGCAAAACCCATGTGTTCTTTGGTAAACGTGATGTCTGTGTTTGCTCAGTTTATGACCCCCTCCTATGAGGGTAAGAGGTCCCTGAAATAGGAACCCTAGAGGAGAAAGTCTGAAAAGGACTGCCTGGGGGACTGTAAATCTGAGCTTGAGGGCTTCCTGAGCAACCCATGGAAGTTATCCCACCTTTGACTTGAGGAGACCTTCATCTAAGGAGAATCTAAGGAGGCCTTCTGGTGTCTCCCCCACACATCCCCGACCCCCAGATCTAACCTCCTTCCCAATTACAGCTTAGTCTCCAGGGCTAGGACTGGGGTAAAGCAAAGTGAGTCATTCACCTGGGGGGGCTAAATTTTAAGGGGGTGGTGAACAATTTATTAATCAAGATAGGACTTTAATGCAATATTATTTTAAAGTCAAAATTAATGCAAAAAATCCATGATGAACAAAATAGCCTACTTTTAAATAAAAACAGGATCAGCATTATTCCCTTTCTTTTTTGGCTCTGTCTTTTGTAATAAGGGGAGAGAGTGGGTCTGTCTTCTTCTAAACATTTTCTTCTAGAGCTTCCTAGCTCCTACCTCTGGACCCCTTCAGGCTTTTCTCATTTGAGCAAGATAACCACTCCCACTTCTTCTACTTCCTTACCCACCCCCAAGCCTGTCGCTATCCCCCAGCCCCCAACCAGGTTGGTGGTAGGGCAGGCAGTGAGGCAGATGGCTGGGGTATTTATAACCCAGGAGCACTTCTTGGGAAAAGTGACTAAGATGCTAAGAGCGTATTTATAGCTGAGCTCTGACGTAAGTGTCAGTGGGGAGGTAGGGCCAGGCCAGGCACAGCAGCAAGCGGGTGGGAAGAGCTGGAAACTGGGGGCATCTGACAGTGAGGGTGGGGAGAGGTGGGGTCAGTGACTCCTGCAGCCACTTCTTGTCACTTCCCCTGACTGCCTACTGATACCAACAGGTAAGCCGTCTGAGGCACCACCATGGATAGATACCTCCACTTTGCTGACCAATGTTCCAGACCCGAGGGGGTAGAGGGCTGTCATTTCCCAGCCCAACCAACAGAATGGTTGCTGGGAGCTGGGGAGAACACTGGACAGAGCTCTTGAATGTGTTTCAGAGCTTGGGGAGAAATGCAGGGTGGACAGGAGGGTCTAATCGTCTCAGTGCGCCCCCACCCCACTCCACCCCCACCAAAGAGTGCCCTGAGGTTCTAGGAAGAGCCTGGTACATCACCAAGCTCCATTGCCACGTGTTTGTGTGATGAGGTCCAAAACCAAAGGTAGCAGTGATGTGGATCCTGAAGACAGTCTCTCTTCTCTGGCAGTGTGATGGGGAAAGAACAAAGGAACCAGCTTGTCCCTGTCTCTTGTGGGGGAGGCAGCGTCCCCAGAGTGAGAGGTCGAGGGGCACTCCTCATCACTCCATTCCCCAGAGCTGCCCCTTCCCTGTCCCTGGGAAGCTCCAGCCAGCTACAAGCCAGCTGCTGTCCAGAGGCACGGCACTGCCACATGGTGGACACTGGTGGTACTGAGGTCCAGCCTTCCAATTAGGAACCCTGTCGCCTAGATCTAATAGTCTCTCTTGACAGCCCCCATCATCTAAACAGAGGGGAGATGAGCAAAGTGGAGTAAAGACACATTTCCAAATCACACCCACTTCCCCCACAGCTTTCTCCCCATCAAGCTTCTTGGAGAAATTGGGGCATAAGGAGAAAAGCTAGCATGAGGCCCACCTTCATGAATTCAATGTGGAGGGGTCTGGGTCCCCCCCCATTTAAAGCCAGTGAGGACTGGGTGTGGTGGCTCATGTCTATAATCCTAGCGCCTTGGGACGCTGAGGTGAGAGGATCGCTTGAGCCCAGGAGCTTGAGACCACCCTGGGCAACACAGCAAGACCCTGTCTCTACAAAAGAATAAAAAATAAATTAGCCTGTGTGGTGTGGTGTGGTGTGGTTGGTGTGGTGGCACGCACCTGTAGACTTAGCTACTCTGGAAGCTGAGGTGGAAGAATCACTTAACCCAGGAGGTCAAGGCTGCAGTGAGCTGTGATCAGGCCACCACACTCCAGCCTGGATGACAGAGTAAGACCCTGTCTCAAAAACATAAAAAATAAAATAAAAAATAGGTCAGGTGCGGTGGCTCATGCCTGTAATCCCAGCACTTTGGGAGGCCGAGGCGGGCAGATCATGAGGTCGGGAGATGGAGACCATCCTGGCTAACACAGTGAAACCCCGTCTCTACTAAAAATGCAAAAAACTAGCCGGGCGTGGTGGCTGGCACCTGTAGTCCCAGCGACTCGGGAGGCTGAGGCAGAAGAATGGTGTGAACCCGGGAGGTGGAGCTTGCAGTGAGCCGAGATTGTGCCACTGCACTCCAGCCTGGGCGACAGAGCGAGACTCAGCCTCAAAAAATAAAATAAAATAAAATAAAATAAAGACAGTGAGAAAATGTGGTCAGGAGGGCTGAGACTGGGAACCAAGACTGCTGTATTTGCCTTGCTTTGTTGTCAAAAGCTCTTAGAGCTCCCATTTTCTACCCCCATTAACAGGCCTGAAGGGTGGTGCGGTGGCTCACGCCTGTAACCTCAGCACTTTAGGAGGCTGAGGCAAGTGGATTGCTTGAGCCCAGGAGTTCAAGACCAGCCTGGGCAACATAGCGAGACCCTGTCTCTGTGGGAAATTTAAAAATTAGCCAGGTGTGGTGGTGCGCACCTGTAGTCCCAACTACTAAGGAGGCTGAGGCAGAAGGATTGTCTGAGCCCAGGAATTCAAGGCTGCAGTGAGCTATGATTGTGCCACTACACTCCAGCCTGAACAACAGATTGAGACCTTACCTCAGTAAAATAAAATAAAATTTAAATTTTAAAAATGTAAGAAAAAAAGGAGGCCTGGCACTACTTCTAGGATGCCCCAAATTTAGGCAACTCTCACAGTCCCTTGAAAGAGAAGTGGCAGCTGGGTATAGGCCCTCCCAAGTGTCATGCCCCCTGACAGTCCTGATGGACTCTGCCCTGTGTAAGATTGCATCACCACCACCACCACCTCTCTGGGCTTCCCCAGACATCACAGGAACACGTTCCCCGCCCCAACCCCCGCCGGCTCTGGCCCTCCTCCACATCATGCTCCACATCATGCTCCAGGCCAACTGGACTCTGGGCGGCCAGCACAGGCAGGGTCAGGGGGTGACTTCTGTGCCTCGTGGCACTGCCACCTGGGCCTGAGCAAGAGGGCTCCATTCTCCTACCCGCCCAAACCCTCATCCCTGTCCTAGCCCCAGTGCTAGAAATAAAGAGACCAGAATTTTCCTTCTGGCCTAAGGGCCCCAGAGGAATACCCACTGGAACTCACAGCTGCCTCATGGAAACTGCTGCAGCAGTGGTGAAGCTAGAAAGACTAGAGGTATGAGGGAAAATTGCCCTTCCCCACCTGGCTCATAAGGCGTTCCCTCCCCCAAGTCCCAGACCTTGGGGACTGAGCATGTGAAATCATCCTCTTTCTTGCATCATGCGTGTCCACATTGCACCCCCCCACCCCCATACCCCTACTTCAGGCCCAGTCACCATGGCCAGATGGTGAAACCTGAGCTGATGGGGAGGAGGACCTCCACCCCCTGCAGGGGCCTGATGGGCAGCACAGCTGGCCAATCCTGGGACTCAGAGGGTAGGTCGGCTGGCTGACCACTAGGTTTGGAAGACCCAGGCAGCTGGCTCTAAAGAGGCCCCAGGTCAGTAGCCAGACATGAGCTGTGAGGGTCAAGCACAGCTATCCATCAGATGATCTACTTTCAGCCTTCCTGAGTCCCAGACAATAGAAGACAGGTGGCTGTACCCTTGGCCAAGGGTAGGTGTGGCAGTGGTGTCTGCTGTCACTGTGCCCTCATTGGCCCCCAGCAATCAGACTCAACAGACGGAGCAACTGCCATCCGAGGCTCCTGAACCAGGGCCATTCACCAGGAGCATGCGGCTCCCTGATGTCCAGCTCTGGCTGGTGCTGCTGTGGGCACTGGTGCGAGCACAGGGGACAGGGTCTGTGTGTCCCTCCTGTGGGGGCTCCAAACTGGCACCCCAAGCAGAACGAGCTCTGGTGCTGGAGCTAGCCAAGCAGCAAATCCTGGATGGGTTGCACCTGACCAGTCGTCCCAGAATAACTCATCCTCCACCCCAGGCAGCGCTGACCAGAGCCCTCCGGAGACTACAGCCAGGGAGTGTGGCTCCAGGGAATGGGGAGGAGGTCATCAGCTTTGCTACTGTCACAGGTGGGTGAGGGAGAGAGCAACAGGCAAAGAGCAGACAGGGAAAGGGAGGCAGAAGGGGAGCCTGGCAGGAGCAGCAGAGGGAGTGGGGTGTGGCAGGAGAAGGAGGAGCTGGGGCAGGGACTGGTTGCAGAGGACACAAAGCAGTCTCTACTTTTCTAGAGGTAGGTTCGAGGGAGAGCAGTGGGCAGGGCTTGGGGAGTCTCAGAGGAGAGCTTCATCTCTACTCACATTTTCTTTCCCTTTTCTGTCTTTCGGGCAGACTCCACTTCAGCCTACAGCTCCCTGCTCACTTTTCACCTGTCCACTCCTCGGTCCCACCACCTGTACCATGCCCGCCTGTGGCTGCACGTGCTCCCCACCCTTCCTGGCACTCTTTGCTTGAGGATCTTCCGATGGGGACCAAGGAGGAGGCGCCAAGGGTCCCGCACTCTCCTGGCTGAGCACCACATCACCAACCTGGGCTGGCATACCTTAACTCTGCCCTCTAGTGGCTTGAGGGGTGAGAAGTCTGGTGTCCTGAAACTGCAACTAGACTGCAGACCCCTAGAAGGCAACAGCACAGTTACTGGACAACCGAGGCGGCTCTTGGACACAGCAGGACACCAGCAGCCCTTCCTAGAGCTTAAGATCCGAGCCAATGAGCCTGGAGCAGGCCGGGCCAGGAGGAGGACCCCCACCTGTGAGCCTGCGACCCCCTTATGTTGCAGGCGAGACCATTACGTAGACTTCCAGGAACTGGGATGGCGGGACTGGATACTGCAGCCCGAGGGGTACCAGCTGAATTACTGCAGTGGGCAGTGCCCTCCCCACCTGGCTGGCAGCCCAGGCATTGCTGCCTCTTTCCATTCTGCCGTCTTCAGCCTCCTCAAAGCCAACAATCCTTGGCCTGCCAGTACCTCCTGTTGTGTCCCTACTGCCCGAAGGCCCCTCTCTCTCCTCTACCTGGATCATAATGGCAATGTGGTCAAGACGGATGTGCCAGATATGGTGGTGGAGGCCTGTGGCTGCAGCTAGCAAGAGGACCTGGGGCTTTGGAGTGAAGAGACCAAGATGAAGTTTCCCAGGCACAGGGCATCTGTGACTGGAGGCATCAGATTCCTGATCCACACCCCAACCCAACAACCACCTGGCAATATGACTCACTTGACCCCTATGGGACCCAAATGGGCACTTTCTTGTCTGAGACTCTGGCTTATTCCAGGTTGGCTGATGTGTTGGGAGATGGGTAAAGCGTTTCTTCTAAAGGGGTCTACCCAGAAAGCATGATTTCCTGCCCTAAGTCCTGTGAGAAGATGTCAGGGACTAGGGAGGGAGGGAGGGAAGGCAGAGAAAAATTACTTAGCCTCTCCCAAGATGAGAAAGTCCTCAAGTGAGGGGAGGAGGAAGCAGATAGATGGTCCAGCAGGCTTGAAGCAGGGTAAGCAGGCTGGCCCAGGGTAAGGGCTGTTGAGGTACCTTAAGGGAAGGTCAAGAGGGAGATGGGCAAGGCGCTGAGGGAGGATGCTTAGGGGACCCCCAGAAACAGGAGTCAGGAAAATGAGGCACTAAGCCTAAGAAGTTCCCTGGTTTTTCCCAGGGGACAGGACCCACTGGGAGACAAGCATTTATACTTTCTTTCTTCTTTTTTATTTTTTTGAGATCGAGTCTCGCTCTGTCACCAGGCTGGAGTGCAGTGACACGATCTTGGCTCACTGCAACCTCCGTCTCCTGGGTTCAAGTGATTCTTCTGCCTCAGCCTCCCGAGCAGCTGGGATTACAGGCGCCCACTAATTTTTGTATTCTTAGTAGAAACGAGGTTTCAACATGTTGGCCAGGATGGTCTCAATCTCTTGACCTCTTGATCCACCCGACTTGGCCTCCCGAAGTGATGAGATTATAGGCGTGAGCCACCGCGCCTGGCTTATACTTTCTTAATAAAAAGGAGAAAGAAAATCAACAAATGTGAGTCATAAAGAAGGGTTAGGGTGATGGTCCAGAGCAACAGTTCTTCAAGTGTACTCTGTAGGCTTCTGGGAGGTCCCTTTTCAGGGGTGTCCACAAAGTCAAAGCTATTTTCATAATAATACTAACATGTTATTTGCCTTTTGAATTCTCATTATCTTAAAATTGTATTGTGGAGTTTTCCAGAGGCCGTGTGACATGTGATTACATCATCTTTCTGACATCATTGTTAATGGAATGTGTGCTTGTATGGTCTTGTGTTACAGTCTTTTTCAGTTTTAATTTCTAATGTGGTGAATTGATAGATGTAAATCATATGAACAAAAGCTCAATGATTTTTTTTTTTTTGAGACGGAGTCTCGCTCTGTCGCCCAGGCTGGAGTGCAGTGGCACAATCTCGGCTCACTGCAACCTCCACCTCCCAGGTTCAAGCGATTCTCCTGCCTCAGCCTCCTGAGTAGCTGGGACTACAGGCCTGCGCCACCATGCCCAGCTATTTTTTGTATTTTTAGTAGAGATGGGGTTTCACCATGTTGGCCAGGCTGGTCTCGGACTCCTGACTTGAGGTGATCCGCCTGCCTTGGCCTCCCAAAGTGCTGGGATTACAGGTCTGAGCCACTGTGCCTAACCTAATGACTTTTAAGAGTATAGAGGAAACCAAAAAGTTTGAGACTCACTGGTCTATAGAACTGGGTGGGGAGAAGAAAGTAAGGTGTTCTAAGAGAGCTCTTCTTGCTGGGCACCGGTGGTCCCAGCTACTTAGGAGGCTAAGGCCGGAAGACCGCTTAAACCCAGGAGTTCGAGGCTATGATCACACTTGTGAATAGCCTCTGCACTCCAGCCTGGGCAAATAGTGAGGCCCCGTCCCAAATAAAAATAAATAAATACATAAATACATAAATAGCTCCTCTGGAAGAAGGGGCTCGAGGCTGGGACAGGAGCATGTGTGGGGTGCCTTTTTTTCAGTGCCCATTAGTCTGGTCTGACTGAGCTGGGTCTCTGACCCTCTGGGGATAACTAGCCTGGGTCAAAGTCCCAGATCTCCCCCTACCTTCACCTTTTCTTTTCCCCCTTGACCCTCAGACTGAACAGTTAACCCACTGACCTTCCACACCCAAGGGGGTGGTTCTTGGAAGCAGAGCTAGGATGTGGGAGGTCTGCCTGTGGGGTTGAAAAAAAGGGGAGAGGGTGCCCTTTTTCCTTGTCATGCTTCCTCCTCTTTCTCATAAAAATCAGAGACTGAAATGCTGCCCCTCCCTTATATCCGGTCACGATGGCAATGCAAATCTAAAGAGGCAGGGCACTTCCCTGTCAGGCAGTACCGCTGGGCATAGCAACCTCTGCCTCTCCGTTTCTCAGAGCTCACATATCCACCTCCTGGGCTTTTAAGTGGGCTTTAGTGAGGGGCTCCTCCTTCAACTGGGCTCCTCCTTCAGTTCCCCAGCTCTTCTGCTTCGACTCCGAGCGGGTGTCATGTGTGAGAACGGCCAGCAGAGGGAGCAGAAAGCCTGGAAGAGCAGCTAGAGCCTGCAGTGACGTGGTGCGGAGGGGCGGCACCCTCCAGAACTTCGAGACGTAGAGCCGGGGTTCTAGGGAAAGGGGCTTCAGTCCCAGGGCTCCTTGGTGACCTCGTGAACCACACCCTGCACCCAGAGCCTCAGCCGCTGCTCCTTGCTTTTATGCTCCATAGACTCCTCACCTTCTTCCAGAGCCCCCAACCCAACTTGATTTGCCCCAAACCGCAACTCTGTCCCGGCCGCTGCAAGTTCCATCCAAAGGGTGAGGCCTGCAGATAAACCACAGGATGGCAGAATGCTCAGTTAGCACCAACCAAAGGCGACTACCCTACCTCCACTATTATCGTTCTCGGTTGAACTTCTCCCCCTGCCCCGCAATATTTTCCTCAATCTGGTTGTCGGGGCCTCTTTGGGGCCAGCCGATCCAGAAATCCAAGCCGGGATTTAGTACTCACCAACAGCAGCGTGTTCAGCCGGGGCGGGGGGGGGGGCGTAAGCAGTATAGGGTCCCTCAAGGGAGGGGGAGGATCCTGGGGGTCCTGGGGGTGCAATAAGCCCGGCACCCCTTCTCTTGCTTCCAGCTACCCCGCCTCATCCTCCAGAACGGCAAGAGGGAGGGAAATAGAAGGGAGGTGAGGGGCGAGCGGGAAGAGCGGCGGCGCGCCAGCGGCTGGAGAGAGAAAAAGTTTTTGCAAAAGGGAAAAAAAAAGTTTGCGCTTCTCGCGGGTGGTCCGGGCTTGCGGCCCGGCGGGCTGGGCCGGCGGGAGGGCTGGGGGCCAGGTTGGGGGGGTGGGGGTGGCATCGAGGCTGCGCTGCCGTGGCCCTCTCCGCCCCCC